>NC_000004.12:32839016-35339016 GCF_000001405.40 Homo sapiens | reverse complement strand
CACTGTGAGCTAATCAGATGATGTCCACCCAGATTAAGGGTGGGTCTGCCTTCCCCACCCCACTGACTCAAATGATAATCTCCTTTGACAACACCCTCACAGACATACCCACGATCAATAGTTTGCATCCTTCAATCCAATCAGGTTGACAGTCAGCATTAACCATCACATGAAGTTTTCTACTTATTACTAGAACTTAATAAAACTCTGTTTATTTACTTAACAAACACTGTGTATATAGTTCATATTAGCTGCAATGTTTTTCACTTGATTTTCAAAGTCTCTTATTCTTTCTTATGTTTGCTTTGTTAGTATTTTATTCTAGTTGCTTTAGCTAATTCATTTATTTTAACCAATCAATACAAATAAGTTTGAGGTAATTCTTTTGAAAATTTATCACCTTGCTTATGTTCATTATTTTCCAGATTATATATATTTTTAAAACGTATCATTATTAAATTTTTAAAAATGTAATAAAAGATCATAAAATGTCTGGATTTTAAAAACTGTATTATATAATGCAATATATATCATATACACAATATATATGTTTTTCATACATGCATTTCATTTTTTCTTTCTTCAGTTGTCTATGAAAGTGTCTCAACTTTGCTTTCTACATTAATCTTCAATTTTTCTATACACATATTTTATTTTAAATTTGTCAATAATATTTTACATTCTCCCTAGTGCTTATTTATACTGTTGAGTTACCTGTCATCTAATTATTTTACTTCAGTTAAACTCTACTTATTTATATTTGTATGTCCATTTTCATTGATGTTACATTTTTATACATTATATTTTACCACAGATTTGAAAACTTTTCTGAAAACTTCTCAATCTCTACATAAAACAGTTTTATTAAAAGCTTTTAATCTATCCTTTGTAGTAAAATTGTTCATGGTCTACTTTCTCTTGTAATTATAACATGCTCAGAGTTCTGGGGTAGGTAGGTAAAAGCTGGAAGAAGAAAGGGAAGAGAGGCTTTGAGAATTTCCTGGTTAAAATAAAATGCCCCTAATGCACCCTCACAGAGTGTATTCCATGATTACTTATATTTGTGTAACTTGAGGGTGTTCAAATTGCTCAAATGGCAAACTTTCCAATGAGTTCTACCCTACACATCAAATTTTTTACTGCAACATTTGCCTCCCTGACTTTCCCAGGTCCACGTTACCCTTTTATCCTATCTTTGTTTTTATTTCATAACTCTTATTAACTTTTATAAATTTATAATTTGTTTTCTTTGTTTCTTATAGTTTCTGCCTTACCTTCCACTAGAATGTAGCCTCCATGAGGGTAGAAAATGGTCAGATTTGTTTCTGTGACTAAGTATGTACTCAATAAATATTTTTAATTAAAATAAATATAATTCTGAAATCTACTACAGACTGAAAATAAAATTCTGGATATGGATTAAGGAAATCTGCATTTTACATAAGTTCTCCCCATTGATTCTTATGCACAGTAAAAGTTGGAAATTTTTGTATCTTAAAATGAAATAAATGGGTGGAGCTCAAGTATGTGCATTTTGAAAAGCTACCTTGGTGACTTTGTATATTCTATTTTCTTTCCCCCATCAGACTGGTAGATTTTCAATAGTGCACTTCTTTTGAACCAGGATAAAATCTACTCGTAAGGTCATTCTTGTTTTCTGGCATTTGAACGATGGTGCTTTCTGCTGAAACAGCATTCTAAGATAATAGGGTTATTCCTGCCTCTGCCTTTTCCTAGATCACTTATCTTGGTCTACTAATAACAGGGCATCCATCAACAAAGAAACACCACCATCTTTCATGTTCTGTTATTAATTGGACTCTCTGGACTACTGTTATCTCTGGTACTCTAAAAAAGAAAATTTTATAGTGTCTACTGGTGGGACTAAATATCTTTTTACCTACCTACCTATAGGTAAACTGTACTCCTTCCTCCAAGAGGCAAATTATAGGTGGTACACATTTTTTTTTCAGATTAGTTTTGTTCATCATCTTAATGAGATTTTCCAATAATTATATGTATAGTTTGGCTTTAAAGGTTTAAACGTTCAGTTTTCTTTTTGACTTCATGGAAATTTTAATGAGCATTTGGGAAAGACTAATTAATAGGTATGGCTATCAGATGCCATGTGAAACCAGACATTTTTCTTGATATACTGGACCTGTCTTCATATCACATAAGGAATTGAAGTATATGATATTTCAAAATACTTTGGGATCAATATTTGATACCAGTATTGTTAAACAGGGATATTTAATTTGAGCTTGATGAGATAGAGTAACTATCAAAAACAATGCCCAAAATCTCATGTGAAGTTGCTAATATTCTGAAAACTCTCATTGTTATGGACAGAATTTTTAAAAGTGAAAGATGGACAGGTATATTGGTGACTATCATGTTTCACAATGTTTTTGATATTTTGATTTAATTATACAGTTATAGAAATCTTATAAGCATATACATAAAAACCTTAAGTATTCATTTTATCAATAAAATTTAATTCAAATAAGTATCTCTAACAGACCTACTGTGAGCTAGATAATGTGCTACATACTGTGAAAGCTATAATAAATGAAACTTGAAGTAGAAATCTAATACAGGAAACACACACAAGCAAATATATTCATGGCAATGTGATAAGTACAAGAAAAGGCATATAAATTTTTGAGGGGTGTTACAAAAGAAGGAGCCATCAATTCTGATTCAAAACATCTTACACAGATTCAGAGAGGAGAGAATACTTAGGTTCAGGGAGTGTAAGTGAAATAAGTAAAATGAGCTAACACATGATGCTATCTAGTGCCAGAGCTGGAAATAGTACAGAAACACCAAGACTCCTAAGTCAATGTCCTTACTACATAAAACAAACTCTTTATCATTTCCTTCTGAATTTTTTATTATGTTGTTTTTATAGCTCAAACCTAGATTATTTGAGAAATTATATTAAATCACAGGAAACAATTATGTAAATACTTGATTCTTTAATATAAATATGAAAATATAATAAGATATGTCTATGGTTAACAATGTATAAAATATTTAAAACTGGTATCTATTTTAGAGCAATTCCTCAGAGAACTTTGAGCTGTGAATTTGAATTATTATAACAGATTTTTGCAAAGTTATAGAAACTTCTTACAAACTTTTATCTTCCAAAGTTTTGTTAAGTACAATAATTACAACAGTGTAATTATATTGATATGGTTTGGCTCTGTGTCCCCACCCAAATCTGATCTTGAATTGTAATCCCCATAATCCCCACATGTCAAGGAAGGGATCTTGAGAGAGGTGATTGGATCATAGGGGTGGTTCCCCCATGTGGTTCTCGTGATAGTGAGTAAGTTCTCATGTGATCTAACGGTTTTATAAGTGTCTGGCATTTCCCCTGCTTGCAGTTCTTTCTCTCCTGCCTCCTTGTGAATAAGGTGCCTGTTTCCTCTTCTGCCGTGATTGTAAGTTTCCTGAGGCCTCCCAAGCCATGTAGAAGTGTGAGTCCATTAAACCTCTTTCCTGGCCGGGGGCAGTGGCTCACGCTTGTAATCCCAGCACTTTGGGAGGCCGCGGCGGGCAGATCACAAGGTCAGGAAATCGAGACCATCCTGGCTAACACTGTGAAAACCCGTCCCTACTAAAAACACAAAAAATTAGCCGGGCGTGGTGGTGGGGTGGTGGGCACCTGTAGTCCCAGTTACTTCTGAGGCTGAGGCAGGAGAATGGCCTGAACCTGGGAGGTGGAGCTTGCAGTGACCCAAGATCTCGCCACTGCACTCCAGCCTGGGCGACAGAGCGAAACTCTGTCAAAAACAAACAAACAAACAAACAAACAAAAAACCCCACCTCTTTCCTTTATGAATTACCAAGTCTCAGGAAAGTTCTTTATAGCAGGGTGAGAACAGACTAATACAGTAAGTTGGTACTGCAGAGATTGGGGTACTGCTGTAAAGATACCCGAAAATGTGGAAACAACTTTGAAACTGGTAACAGGCAAAGGTGGGAACAGTTTGGAGGGTTCAGAAGAAGACAGAAAAATGTGGAAAAGTTTGTAATTTTCTAGAGACTTGTTGAGTGGTTTTGACCAAAATGCTGATAGTGATTTGAACAATGATGTTCAGACTGAGGTGGTCTCAAGTGGAGATGAGGAATTTATTGGGAACCGGAGTAAAGGTCACTCATACCATGCTTTAGCAAAGAAACTGGTGGCATTTTTTCCCCTCCTCTAGAGCTCTGTGAACCTTTGAGTTGGAGAGAGATGATTTACGGTATTTGGTGGAAGACATTTCTAAGCAGCAAAGCATTCAAGATGTGACCTCAGTAATTCTGAAAGCATTCAGTTTTATGCATTCAAAAAGATGGTTTGAAATTGGAACTTATGTTTAAAAGGGAAGCAGAGCATAAAAGTTTGGAAAATTTGCAGCCCTACCATGTGGTAGAAAAGAAAAACTCATTTTCTGGTGAGATATTCAAGCCAGTTGCAGAAATTTGCATAACTAACAAGGAGCTGCATGTGTATTACCAAGGCAGTGAGGAAAATGTCTCCAGGGAATTTCACAGCGCTTGGTAGCACCCTCTCTCATCAGGCCTGGAAGCCTAGTAGGATAGTTTTGTGGTCTGGGCCTAGGGCCCTGATGCTCTGTGGAGCCTCAGGACATGGGGGCTTCTGTCCCAGCCACTTCAGCTCCATTCATGGCAAAAAGGGGTCAAGGTACAGCTCAGACTATGAATTCAGAGGGTGCAAGCCCCAAGCCTTGGCAGCTTCCACATGGTGTTGGGTGTGTGGATGCACAGAAGTCAAGAATTGAGGTTCGGGAACCTCCACCTAGATTTCAGACGATGTAGGGACACAAGGAAGGCAGAAGTCAGCTGCATGGGCGGAACCCTCATGGAGAACCTCTGCTAGGACAGTGCCGAAGGGAAATGTGGGGTTGGAGCCCCCACAGAGTCCCCACTGGGGTATTTCCTAATGGACATGTCAGAAGAGGACCACTGTCATCCACACCACAGAATGGTAGGTCCATTGACAGCTTGCACCACGTGCCTGGAAAAGCCACAGACACTCATCACCAGCCTGGGAAGGAGCTGCCCAAGGCTGTAGGTACCAGCCTCTTGCATCGGTGTGCCCTGGATGTGAGACATGGAGTCAAAGGAGATCATTTTAGAGCTTTAATATTTAATGACTGCCCCACTGGATTTCAGACTTGCATGGGGCTTGTAGCCCCTTGGTTTGGGCCAGTTTCTCCCGTTTGAAATGGGAACATTTATTTACTGCCTACACCCACATTGTTTCTTGGAAGGAACTAACTTGCTTTTGATTTTACAGGCTCCTAGGCAGAAGCAATTTGTTTTGCTTCAGATGATACTTTAGACTGAGGACTTTTGAGTTAATGCGAAAATGAGTTAAAATCTTGGAGGACTGTTAGGCAGGCATTATTGGTTCTGAAAGGTGAAAAGACATGGATTTGAGATGGTTCAAGGGGGAAGGATATGGTTTGGCTTTGTGTCCCCACCAAAATCTCATCTCAAAATGTAATCCTCATAATCTCCATGTGTCAAGGGAAGGACCTCCTGGGAGATGATTGAATCATGCGGTTTCCCCCATGCTATTCTCGTGGTAGTAAGTGAGTTCCCACAAGATATGATGGCTTTATAAGCATCTGGCATTTCCCCTGCTTGCACTTCTTTCTCTCCTGCTGCCTTATGAAGAAGATGCCTGCTTTCCCTTCCACTGTGATTATAAGTTTCCTGAAGCCACCCCAGCCATGCAGACCTGCTTGTCAATGAAACCTACTTCCTTTATAAATTACCCGGTCTCAGGGAAGTTCTTTATAGCAGTGTGAGAGTGGACTAACACATACAACTTTAGTGATACTGTTACTTGGTACTTAGTAGCATAGCGCAGGGCTTGCAGCTTAGAGTTGAAAAAAATAGTTCAAGAACTATTCCTGTATATTTATATCTAAAAATTAGCTGTGTTCAAAAAACTACATCATAATAATAGAATAAATTAATGTAGGGAGTTTCAATAATATCAAAAATCAATTGGCTTGTTTTAAAAGACACACAAATAGAGTAATACATGCAACATTGCATTGTACCTAAAGCACTTCATTTTGGGTATTGATCAATTAAATTTTCATGCATATTTTCCATGAACAATGACAGAGTTTTATTAGTGGTTATAAAACTCTATTTGGGGTAAATAAGTCACATAGATGGGGGGCATTGTCCTGGGCACCATAATCCAGAATATTATCTTGCAGATATGTTTTGTGGTCTGGAATATGCATTTTATATTTTTCACCAAATAATTTTTATTCAGTTGGCAATATATTATTCCATAGTACTTATAATTAAGTTAACCCCCCTTGTTATGCATACAAGACACTTTTGTGAGTCTCTTGTATAAGAGTGTACAATAGTGGCAATCCTGCCTCTATTTTTTCTGTGGTGCTAACTTCAAATGCTATTTGAAATAGCAATGTTTGTACTGTGATTTCTGCCTTTGGCATACACAGGGTTTTAAAGTTTTTTTTTGATGGCAGTGATTTAACAAATCACATATATGGACAATCAGCTCATTTGATTAAGGAACATTGCTAATCACAGGGATATTGCTAATCACACCCAGTTTATTTTGGTATTATTAGTGTGATTCCTTAATAAGCATGTTGACTTTTATTTATTAATTTTTTCAGAAAATAGCTTCCTGACTTACTCAAACTTATTTTTCTTTCCTTATTATTTAAACAAACATTTCTTAATCACCAATTATGTGTAAGAAATTATATTTTAGCTATGAGGAAGTGAGTAATGCCCTGTTGTGATGAAGCTTACATTCTAATGTAGGTGCAGTATTATAGCTTTACATACACACACACACACACACACGCACACACACACCCATCTTATATATATTGCATATGATATATGGACATGCGTATATCTGTATATGTATACATGAATATAAATATATATGATATCTTTATAAATATATACTTTCCATAAATAGTGTAAGAAAACAACTTTAGTAAAAATAAAAGCTAAACCAGTTTTAAAAAGGATAATATCTTCCTACTCCTCCCCACCAAAAATAAATTTTGCAATTAAAAGAATTTATGTAAGAGTGAAAATAATGGACATCCTTATACAATATAGACAGTGCAACACCTCAACAAAACACAATTTGTTGGGTATTTATTTGCCATTATACTAGAAAGTAATTTGGTAATAAATATCAACTGTCCTAAAAAATCATACTGCCAGAATCATTGTTTTCTGTTTTCAGAATTTATATATAGACTAATGAGAAAAATGTGTAATTATTGCATGAGTAAAGGTGTGTATTGCATCCTTGTAAATGGTACAAATACTTTAAAATATGAGACTCTAAAAGTTGTGTTAAATACACTATGCTAGATATATATTATTAAATATTGTTAATTCATTTTCAAACTCTATTTCATGAACTCTCAGTGCTTAAGATCATGGGACTTAGATTGCTTTACATGGTTTGAAACAAGAGTTTCTTTTAAATGTTATGTTACTTAATATAAAATTTATCTGTGATATGGTCTGGCTCTGTGTCCTCACCCAAATCTCATCCTGAATTATAATCCAAACTGTAATTGCCACGTGTTGGGGGAGAAACCTTGTGCGAGGTGATTAGCTCATGGAGGTGGCTCCCCCATGCTGTTCTCATGATAGTAAGTGAGTTCTCATGAGATCTAATGGTTTTATAAGGGGCTTTTCACACTTTACTTAGCACTTCTGTTTCCTCTTGCCCTGTGATGAAGGACGCGTTTGCTTCCCCTTCTGCCGTGATTGTAAGTTTTCTGAGGCTCCCCCAGCCATGGGAAATGTGAGTCTATTTAAACCTCTTTTCTTTATAAATGACCCAGTCTCAGGAAGTTCTTTATAGCAGCACTAATACAATCTGAAAAATGAGATTCAGCTACAAAATATTAAAACATTTTTTTATGCGTACGTATCTGTATAAAATTAATTTAACAAATGTATATACTGTCTGTACAAAAAATCACTATTTCTGAGTGATCTTAAAATGCTTGATTTATAAAATAGTTCAGAATTTATCTAGAAACAAACTGAATCTTAAAAAATTAGCAAAACACTAACTATACTTTGAATTATAAAGTAGAATCTTTTTTTTTTTGTCTTTTTTTTTGGGAGATGGAGTCTCTTTCTGTCGCCCAGGCAGGAGTGCAGTGGTGCGATCTCAGCTCACTGCAACCTCCACCTCCTGGGTTCAAATGATTCTCCTGCCTCAGCTTCCTGAGTAGCTGGGATTACAGGTGCCTGCCACCACACCCAGCCAATTTTCATATTTTCAGTAGAGACAGGGTTTCACCACATTGGTCAGGCTGGTCTTGCTCTGCTGACCTCATGATCTGCCCACCTCGACCTCCCAAAGTGCTGATATTACAGGCATAAGCCACCGTGCTTTATAAAGTAGAATCTTAAAAATAATACAGAATAAATCATGTTGAATATTTAAACAACTTATTCTACCAAGTTTTATAATAGTATAATTTAAATTCCTCTAATATGTTAGAATTTTACAGCATAATTATAACTTTTTATTTTTGCCAAATTTTTAAAAACTTTACTCATTTTCTCAGTGGCTTCATTCATTGTTTATATTCAAGTCATTTTCCTTTGAAATACCCATCACGTCACTACGCTTGTAAATGTCATCACTTCATTGTGGTTGGCTTTTCAGTTATCCAGAATTGTTTGTATTAATTTAATAAAATCCTGCATATTTTATAAAATATTTTGTTTTCTATTGCAGAATAATTGCTTTGTATTTGCATTAGATTGCAGAATGTTTCCATCATCCCCAAATCAGCTATGATAGCCCAGAAAGACTCTAACCTATGCATTCTCATACCTACACAGAGTATACGTAATTGGAAAAATATTTTTTACTAATACTTTATTTGATATTTGATTTGTTTCTAAAATCACCAATTTCCATTTCATGTTATAACTTATCATTGTTGTCAAGTTATAAAATAGTCTATTTTTTTCAATGGAAGAACAATAACTAAAAACTGGTAAGTATAATTAGACAAATAATTTTTTAAAACCACCTGTAGGTAGAAATTGCTAAACATAAGTACTATAGATATACTGTGTTCTTCAATGTAGATATTGAATCCAACGAAAGAACAGTGATGGATGCTATCGTAAGGCACTTGGGAAACCTCAAAGTACCACAAGCTTGACAAGGTTGGTCACTAGGTTACATCATCCTAATTCTATAATCCCATGATTTCTCGATGGGTTTCATATAACAATGAGGAAGAGCCTAAAATCAGAGCTTTTAATTAATTTATGGGTTCTGCTTCAATCTACTCATTTCAACCTATAAAGAAACATAATTAACCTCAATTTATTTTTTAAGAGTATACCTGCATTTCTAGCTCCCACTTTCTTACATTTGAGTAAATGTGGACAGCAGTCAGCAGTTTCTTATTCTATTTTTCCTTCATCATCACCGTTTGCCTTTCCGATATAAAACAGTTGAATACAGACAAGTTATTTTATTCTTCATAAAATTTTTTGATTCTAAGCTACCAATTAGAATCCTATAGCAGGGAAGTTATTTTATTTAATCTATACATTAACCATTGAATAAATGATGTGCCCATTGTTTGAGTAACTGACTGAGGATTTACTACCAACCCTGAAGAGATTACCTGGGTGACTAAATTAATATTGTTAATACTTTTTATTTTCTATCTTCTAAGTTAAAGGTTTAATTAACCACTGCCCTTTCTGTTTGCTGATGAATGGCTTGCTTGTACTGAAAATCTGGCCTCTGCTAACTGGCATCATTATTTTTTCTTCAAAGCGTCATTGGCCTCTATTAGACTCTTAGAGGTTAAATTATTCAGAATTACTGAAATGCATTTTCAAAATAAGTCAAAAATTTAACCTAATTACACAATAATCATCTTAACAGAATTCAACAAATTTTAGAATATTATTTAATGAACTGTTTTTAAAATAATTATCTTCCGATTTACAGTCTGATTTGGCACACAGAAATACGTAGGTGTAATGGAATTCTAAATTACACTGAATTTATGGAGAAGGACATAGTTCATTCTATAGTATAGGCCATAATTTCATTCTATTACCATACAATTTGCTTTGCAACAAAATAATTTGCAAACTGAAGCTGATGTACTCCTAATTTCAAGAATGTTAAATACACAGCATAACATCCAGTAAAACAAAAGGAAGTAGCCAAGACTTTGATGTTTATTGAAATGAAGTTTTGTCAATAATTATCATTACCAATTTTAGCTGCTAGGATTCACTAGTTGAATAGCCTTTCAATTTTGCCTTATTTTTCTGAAGTCATCAAATTTTTCTTTCATCTATGAATAATGAATTTGAACTCTCTGCTGTCATTGGAGGTGGCAGTATGAGTGTAAAGACAATTAGTTATCTTGTTAAATAAACTACTTTTCTTCTCTGGTTAAAATTAGGTAAAAACAATATTTTGCATTTGTCTCAAAACACAACCACTTTTCAGCGTACAAAGGGAGCTTTACAACTGACCCAGTTGTAATACAAAGTTGCTACACAGGTTTACCTCCATTTTATCCAATAACTGTGAGTAATAGTTATTCTTGATCAACAGTGGGGTCGAACATAGATGGCACTTTTCTTTTAAATTCATCTTTGAAGTCATGTAGGTGATGAGGACGGGAGACTGGGAATGGGTTCGCAGTGGAGTGTGGGAGTAGTATGGGGGACCCTAATATCCGAAAAGGCCAAGCATGCATGTCTTAAGCATGGTCTATAAAATGCACACTTCTTTATCAACTCAGAGACTTTGGTATCAAGTATTCTTTTAAAATCCCTAAATAAATAAACAAAACATTAGTATCAGAACCTAAACCATAAGGTTCACCTAAGAGATCCTAAGGCGGGGAAGTCAGTATGTGTTTAGGGGTGGAGGGCAGGGAGGAGAGGTGGGACACAAGGGAGAGATAGTTGGGGGCAGCATACACAAAATCCAATATTAATCTTAGTATTTTAAAGGTATTATGGTTCTGGACTCTATGTCAGATCCAGAAATATTAATTGATACTTTTTAATTAATATTCTTAAAGTAAAATATACAATCCTTTTGAAACACATTATTTTATATTATTGTTATAGGAACCTTATTGGATAGATAGACCATATACAATCTATGGCACATATACTTTCAATGTCTCAGCTAAAAGTCCATTAAAGGGAGCTCTACTTTATTTTATTTATTTATTTATTTTTTGAGATGGAGTCTCATTCTGTCACCCAGGCTGGAGTGCAGTGACATGATCTTGGCTCAGTACAGCCTCTGTCTCTCAGGTTCTAGTGATTCTCCTGCCTCAGCCTCCCGAGTAGCTTGGATTACAGGTGTGCACCACCACACCCAGCTAATTTTTGTATTTTCAGTAGATACATGGTTTCACCATGTTGGCCAGGCTGATCTCGAACTCCTAACCTCAAGTGATCTGCCCACCTCGGCCTCCCAAGGTGCTGGGATTACAGGTGTGAACCATCGCTCCCAGCCCCTACTTTCTTACCAGTGATTTTTCCTGATTGTTTCTGAGGATAGGATTAATGAATGATAATGTCTCTGTCATTTTTCCCTTCTTTAAATAAGAATTCTGCTTTCTGAGGCTTTAAAGAAAATTAAGTTTATACGAATTTTTGATTTTTCACTACATTGATTATTTTAATATTATAATCCATGGTATATTTCAAGACCATGAGATACATATGGTTTTTTCTGTGTTTATTATGTATAAACAGATAGACTATGGATTTTGTACCACTTGAGCTTTGCATACTTATGATAACGAAGTTTGAAAATAAATTATATACCTATGCACAGCTCTGTACTCCCCATGTCAATTATATTAGAATGTGAAGATACTGCTGCATCTGGGCTTAATAGAGCAAACATCTGGTGAGCTTTCTTCATGCTCACAGGTTGGATGAAGTCATGAGATAGCAGAACCAGGAGATCCAAGCAGTAAGCACCACCAATTCTGAGAATCTGTTTAAGGGAAGATTCCTCATTTCAAGAACTGTGAAGTGAGCTAGTAATAAAATTCTGTTGATGGGCATTTCTTAGTTTTGTACATATGTCAGTCACAATTTATCCAGAAACAGAAAACTAAGTCGGTTAAGCAAAAGAAATAATACAACAATTAAATTGGAGACCCAGAAACATTACTCAGCTGCCAGTGTTCCCTGACCTGGAAAAGTTATCTGCTGTGGGAATCCAGCTGCTGGAGGAGGTACCTGAGAGCCTGTACTTTGCAATCTTCCAATCTTAGGTTTTGTCAAAGTTACTGGTGATTGTGATAATCATTAGATAAACCATTAGACATTAGATACTTCGATCTTTACCTTGATTCACTCCTCCATCCTTTCAAAGTGAAGCCTGAGGTGTGCTCTACAAAATTTTACCCACAGGGAGAATTCCCTGTCTTTCTAAGCAAGCTTTGTTGGAGGCAATGGTGCAGAAGCAACACACTTCTAGCCTGCAGCAGCATATCAAGCAGAACATCTGCAAAGCAGTACGTTTTGTAGCACTGTAGCTAGATAAAAGATTATTTGTGGAGTCATGAACTAAAAGAGAAGCAATAATATAAAAACAATATGACTTGAATGAAAGCCAACTTCTCATGAAAATACTCGTGTTTCCCCAACCTGAGCAAGCCTGACGTCATATATACCACTTCCCCTTAACAATGGAAAATTACTTAGCACCTCTAATTTTGTATTTTATCAAATAGATAGTACTCATTTCAAGTCTCATGATCATGTAGTCTTCCACAGGTAGTGATTTAGTTTCTGTCACCTCCCCGTGTCAAGCCAAGAGTTGTGTCTCAAAAAGAAAGTATTGATGTGTGTAAAAGTCCACTTTAGGTGTAATTACAGGCTCACTGAACCGAGTGGTTGACTCATATACCAATGTACTAAATTTTAAGGGCATTGTATTGTTATAAACACCTTGGCCTAAACACATATCTTCCATTAAGGGGGAGTGGCTTTGCAATTAACTTTACCATAATGATAGAATGGTATCATTCTATCATTATGCAAAGCTCAAGTGGTACAAAATCCATAGTCTATCTGTTTATACATAATGAACACAGAAAAAACCATATGTATCTCATGGTCTTGAAATATACCATGGATTATAATATTAAAGTAATCAATGTAGTGAAAAATCAAAAATTCGTATAAACTTAATTTTCTTTAAAGCCTCAGAAAGCAGAATTCTTATTTAAAGAAGGGAAAAATGACAGAGACATTATCATTCATTAATCCTATCCTCAGAAACAATCAGGAAAAGTCACTGGTAAGAAAGTAGGGGCTGTCAGGAATCTGACAAAGGGCTAATATCCAGAATCTACAATGAACTCAAACAAATTTACAAGAAAAAAACAAACAACCCCATCAAAAACTGGGCGAAGGACATGAACAGACACTTCTCAAAAGAAGACATTTATGCAGCCAAAAAACACATGAAAAAATGCTCACCATCACTGGCCATCAGAGAAATGCAAATCAAAACCACAATGAGATACCATCTCACACCAGTTAGAACGGCAATCATTAAAAAGTCAGGAAAAAACAGGTGCTGGAGAAGATGTGGAGAAATAGGAACACTTTTACACTGTTGGTGGGACTGTAAACTAGTTCAACCATTGTGGAAGTCAGTGTGGCGATTCCTCAGGAATCTAGAACTAGAAATACCATTTGACCCAGCCATCCCATTACTGGGTATATACCCAAAGGACTATAAATCATGCTGCTATAAAGACACATGCACACGTATGTTTATTGTGGCACTATTCACAATAGCAAAGACTTGGAACCAACCCGAATGTCCAACAATGATAGATTGGATTAAGAAAATGTGGCACATATACACCATGGAATACTATGCAGCCATAAGAAATGATGAGTTCATGTCCTTTGTAGGGACATGGATGAAATTGGAAATCATCATTCTCAGTAAACTATCGCAAGGACAAAAAACCAAACACCACGTGTTCTCACTCATAGGTGGGAATTGAACAATGAGAACACATGGACACAGGAAGGGGAACATCACACTCTGGGGACTGTTGTGGGGTAGGGGGAAAGGGGAGGGATAGTATTAGGAGATATACCTAATGCTAAATGACGAGTTAATGGGTGCAGCACACCAGCATGGCACATGTATACATATGTAGCTAACCTGCACATTGTGCACATGTACCCTAAAACTTAAAGTATAATAATAATAAAATAAAATTAAGAAAAAGACAGGAACTGAACACTTGAAAAAAATTGCAAAGTCATTGCTGCCTAACACGTAATGCAAAATTCTATATTTCATAATTGTATATTCTCATGAAATATGTTGTATTCCCTTTAGTTTAATTTATGTTGATATTCTACATACATTTTCCTTGGTATTCATTTTCATTAATTTAAAATTCACTTAAACATTTGATTCCAGAAGTTACCATGCTGTTTCACAGGTTAATACATATCAGCTGACCTATCTAATGAATTAATCCACCCAAAAATAGCCTTGATTTCCAACCATATATTTTGCTGCATGAAGGGATTAATGTAAGCTTTTATTATCATTTATACTATTAGCATGTAACTGGTTAGCTGTAAAAATTTCAAAATATTATGTCTATAAAATATTTTGAAGAGCAGTTAGCAAGAGTGCTCATGAAAAGACAATAAAGGGAAAGCTTTACTAATAGGTAGGTATTTGTCTTGTGTATAATAAGAGTTATGCCAGTAGAATTTTATAAAAGGCAAATGAAAAGGTAAAGTTAATAGAGGCTTAATATAGAAGAAGTGTAGTGAAATTTTATTTGTCAAAAGGATTAACTTCGCCTTTATTTTTCCTATTGAGAATGGGTTGCAAATTTTCTTAGTGAATAATCAGTTGACAAAGGGTATTTACATTTGCTTCCTGAGTATGAAATACAACCCACTGCAGGAAGAAAAAAAATATTGGTCTAAGATAAGATGTTTAAAGCAAATATATTAATTCAGTGTATGGGTCGAGGAATATATCCATTTCTTCTAGATTTTCTAGTTTATTTGCATAGAGGTGTTTGTAGTATTCTCTGATGGTAGTTTGTATTTCTGTGGGATCGGTGGTGATATCCCCTTTATCATTTTTTATTGCGTCTATTTGATTCTTCTCTCTTTTTTTCTTTATTAGTCTTGCTAGCGGTCTATCAATTTTGTTGATCCTTTCAAAAAACCAGCTCCTGGATTCATTAATTTTTTGAAGGGTTTTTTGTGTCTCTATTTCCTTCAGTTCTGCTCTGATTTTAGTTATTTCTTGCCTTCTGCTAGCTTTTGAATGTGTTTGCTCTTGCTTTTCTAGTTCTTTTAATTGTGATTTTAGGGTGTCAATTTTGGATCTTTCCTGCTTTCTCTTGTGGGCATTTAGTGCTATAAATTTTGCTCTACACACTGCTTTGAATATGTCCCAGAGATTCTGGTATGTTGTGTCTTTGTTCTCGTTGGTTTCAAAGAAAATCTTTATTTCTGCCTTCATTTCGTTATGTATCCAGTAGTCATTCAGGAGTAGGTTGTTCAGTTTCCACGTAGTTGAGCGGTTTTGATTGAGATTCTTAATCCTGAGTTCTAGTTTGATTGCACTGTGGTCTGAGAGATAGTTTGTTATAATTTCTGTTCTTTTATATTTGCTGAGGAGAGCTTTACTTCCAACTATGTGGTCAATTTTGGAATAGGTGTGGTGTGGTGCTGAAAAAAATGTATATTCTGTTGATTTGGGCTGGAGAGTTCTGTAGATGTCTATTAGGTCTGCTTGGTGCAGAGCTGAGTTCAATTCCTGGGTATCCTTGTTGACTTTCTGTCTCGTTGATCTGTCTAATGTTGACAGTGGGGTGTTAAAGTCTCCCATTATTAATGTGTGGGAGTCTAAGTCTCTTTGTAGGTCACTCAGGACTTGCTTTATGAATCTGGGTGCTCCTGTATTGGGTGCATATATATTTAGGATAGTTAGCTCTTCTTGTTGAATTGATCCCTTTACCATTATGTAATGGCCTTCTGTGTCTCTTTTGATCTTTGTTGGTTTAAAGTCTGTTTTATCAGAGACTAGGATTGCAACCCCTGCCTTTTTTTGTTTTCCATTTCCATTTGCTTTGTAGATCTTCCTCCATCCTTTTATTTTGAGCCTATGTGTGTCTCTGCATGTGAGATGGGTTTCCTGAATACAACACACTGATGGGTCTTGATTCTTTATCCAATTTGCCAGTCTGTGTCTTTTAATTGGAGCATTTAGTCCATTTACATTTAAAGTTAATATTGTTATGTGTTAATTTGATCCTGTCATTATGATGTTAGCTGGTTATTTTGCTCGTTAGTTGATGCAGTTTCTTCCTAGTCTCGATGGTCTTTACATTTTGGCATGATTTTGCAGCGGCTGGTACCGGTTGTTCCTTTCCATGTTTAGTGCTTCCTTCAGGAGCTTTTTTAGGGCAGGCCTGGTGGTGACAAAATCACTCAGCGTTTGCTTGTCTGTAAAGTGTTTTATTTCTCCTTCACTTATGAAGATTAGTTTGGCTGGATATGAAATTCTGGGTTGAAAATTCTTTTCTTTAAGAATGTTGAATATTGGCCCCCACTCTCTTCTGGCTTGTAGAGTTTCTGCCGAGAGATCCGCTGTTAGTCTGATGGGCTTCCCTTTGTGGGTAACCCAACCTTTCTCTCTGGCTGCCCTTAACATTTTTTCCTTCATTTCAACTTTGGTGAATCTGGCAATTATGTGTCTTGGAGTTGCTCTTCTCGAGGAGTATCTTTGTGGCGTTCTCTGTATTTCCTGAATCTGAATGTTGGCCTGCCTTGCTAGATTGGGGAAGTTCTCCTGTATAATATCCTGCAGAGTGTTTTCCAACTTGGTTCCATTCTCCCTGTCACTTTCAGGTACACCTGAAAGTAGATCAGGTGTAGATTTGGTCTTTTCACATAGTCCCATATTTCTTGGAGGCTTTGTTCGTTTCTTTTTATTCTTTTTTCTCTAAACTTCCCTTCTAGCTTCATTTCATTCATTTCATCTTCCATCGCTGATACCCTTTCTTCCAGTTGATCGCATCGGCTCCTGAGGCTTCTGCATTCTTCACGTAGTTCTCGAGCCTTGGCTTTCAGCTCCATCAGCTCCTTTAAGCACTTCTCTGTATTGGATATTCTAGTTACACATTTGTCTAAATTTTTTTCAAAGTTTTTAACTTCTTTGCCGTTGGCTTGAATTTCCTCCTGTAGCTCGTAGTTTGATTGTCTGAAGCCTTCCCAGCCATCCCATTACTGGGTATATACCCAAAGGACTATAAATCATGCTGCTATAAAGACACATGCACATGTATGTTTATTGCGGCACTATTCACAATAGCAAAGACTTGGAACCAACCCAAATGTCCAACAATGATAGACTGGGTTAAGAAAATGTGGCACATATACACCATGGAATACTATGCAGCCATAAAAAATGATGAGTTCATGTCCTTTGTAGGGACATGGATGAAATTGGAAATCATCATTCTCAGTAAACTATCGCAAGAACAAAAAACCAAACACCGCATGTTCTCACTCATAGGTGGGAATTGAACAATGAGAACACTTGGACACAGGAAGGGGAACATCACACTCTGGGGACTGTTGTGGGGTGGGGGGAGGGGGGAGGGATAGCACTGGGAGATATACCTAATGCTAGATGACGAGTTAGTGTGTGCAGTGCAACAGCATGGCACATGTATACATATGTAACTAACCTGCACATTGTGCTCATGTACCCTAAAACCTAAAGTATAATAATAAAAAAATAAAAATATATATATTAATTCAGTAAGAAATAATTGATACTGGTAATATAACATTTATTGGTCACTGTCATATAGAAACCAGTACAGAACTCACAATACTACAGACTTGAACTACAGGACAGAGCTCATGTAACTGAAGCCACTGGAAAATAAAAGGAGGTATATTGGAAAAGATGAATTAAGAGTAAGGAACTTGAAATTCAGTGTGAACACTGACCAAATCTTTGACTGATAGCTGACGTCTGAAACGTGCTTGCCTATGAAGAGTATTCCAAGGAGTCCAGCTAAAGCTAATAATACGAAGTGAAGTTTCAGATATTAATGACCAGGCAGTAGTCAGAGTTTGCAGTTTGTGTTTAGCCAACTTTAGTGCTTACAAAAAACAAAATCAATACCCTTCATTACTATATAACAGAATTGAGAGTATCTATGTAATTTACAAGATGAAGAATACAATATAATTTTTTAGAATATAATGAAATGAGAAAATATCACCCATTTTTATAATGAAGAGGAAATTAACAGAGACATACCCTCAGGAAACCCCAAATGATGGAATTATCTGACAAGTTTTTTAAAGCAGCCGTTATACCTATGCTCAAGAATGTAAAGAAAAACATACTATGAAGGAATGAAAAGATTGAAAATATCAGCAGAGACACAGAAACCAAAAAAGGGAAATTCTAGAACTAAAAATGTAATGGTAAATGAAAAATTCAGCTAGATGGAATTAACAACAGAAAGGAGATGAAAAAATAATCAGTGGACTTGAAGATAAATCATTAGAAATTAATCAGTACAATATAGAGAAAAAAAGGTTGGAAATAAGTACTACAGCATGACTTATGACACATATACATACGTATATATTTATACACATACAAACAAACACATAAAGTGTGCATATTCCAGTATGTAGCTAATTAGAATTAAGAAATGTTAGAACAGAAAATATTTTAAAAAATAATGGTTGAACATTTTCCAAATTTGATGAAAGGTATAGATTTAGAAACTTAAAGAGCTCAGTGAATACCGTGTATGAAAAATAGAAAGAATAGAAAGAAAACCACATCCAAACACATCACAGTTATTAAAAGATAAGAGAAAAAGTAAAAAAAAAAAAAAAAAAGAAACAGACATTAAAAAATGACACTTTACATTGAGGGGACAATAATTTGACATAGAAACCAACAAAAAGAACAGATTATAAATATATATATATATATATATACACACATTAATCTATAAAAAAATTCTATCAAGAATAAAGGTAAATTAGTATACTTTCAGAACATTCTAGAACTGTACCACATAAAAGAGAAATCTTTTCAGGTTAAGGGGAAATGAAACCAGAGAGATACTGTGACAGGAAGAAAAGAAGAGCATCAATAATAGTAAATATGTGGGTTAATATTAAAAAACTTTTTCTCTTTATTTATTTGAAAATAATTTACTATTTAACTGGTTTAAAATGTAGATATGCATGATACATATGACAACTCAAGCATAAAAGTTGGAAGTTATTATAATAAATAAAATATATAATATGTAATTAAAAAGCTGTTTTATTCCAACAGTTCTACATTTTATGCAAAGTGTTAAATTATTAACTCTTGATAAATCATATGGAGTTGAAAATGTGTATTGTCATCCCTATATCAATTATCTAAAAATTTAGGAAAAGATAAATGATGCAAGCAGAAATATCTTAAAAGCCAGTGGATGAATTTAAATTATATTGAAAAATTGTTTTATTATTAAAGAAGGCAGGAATGTTGCAACAGGAATAAAACATATACCAAATATTGATATTGATACTGATACAATATTGATAACTATATTGATAATGATACAATATGTTATTAGACTAAATATTCCAATTTGAGGGTTGTGAATGTCTGAATGGATTATAAATACAATTACATGCTATTACAGAGTCTTATTTGCTCAAGAAGTCTCAGATAGGCTGAAAGTAAATAGTGGTTGAAAAAGTTGTGACGCATAATCAATAGAAATAATATGACTACAGTGGCTTTATCAGTGTTAGATAAGGTAGATAAAGAATATTACAAGATATAATAAGGGACATTAATAATAAATGGGACATTAATAATAAATTCATCAAAAATATGTAGCAAACATGAATATACATAGATCAATTACAGAGTCACATGCATAATTGGAAAATATAATACGCTTCTATTAGCAATGGAAATAAGTGTGTATTTGTCAGGATTTTCCAGAGAAACAAAACTAATAGGGTTTGTGTGCGTGTGTGTGTGTGTGTGTGTGTGTGTGTGTGTAACATTTGTTTAGGAAATTTGTTCAAGTTATGGCAAGCCTCAAATCTACATTTTGGGCTGGCAGCCTCAAGGGATCCAATCCTGCCCTTCCAACAAAAGGCCAAGCAGCCAGCAGCCCAGGAAAGCCAATACTGCTGCATTCTGAAGGCCAGCAGCAGGGGAATGAGGAGCGCCAGTCTTCCATTTTGAATCGAAAGGCAGTTTGCTATACAACCAGGAAGAACCATAGGTAGTCTGTTGGATAATTCTCTTTTGCTCAGAAGAGGCCAGTGTTTTTGGTCTACTCAGGCCTTCAACTCACCAGATGAGGCCCACCCACATTAACAGAGGACAATCTATTTTACTCAAATTTCAATAATTTAAATGTTAATCTCTCACAGAAACACCCAGAATATTTGGCCAAATGTCTGGTTATCCCATGGCCCAGGAAGTTATGCATAAAATAGACCACTGCAAGTCTACTTCTTGTTAAATTTGCACCCATACACATTTTAAATCATACATCATCTCCAAATAAAGACAATACACAGCTTAAATCATACATCACCTCCAAATAAAGACAATAAAAAGGTCACACTTCTCCCTAATCTGATAAAACTCTCCTGTGTACAAGTGAAAATGCACTAAACCATCCCCAGAAGAAAATATGAAGTTCTTGGATGATGTTTACTTTTCTCCTTGATATTCCAAAACTTAAATACTATGAATATATATATATCCATAGTCATACTATAACTTAAATACTAGGAAAATTAACAATAGTTAATACTATGATACAAGTCAATACCTCTTATGCTACATAATAAGAGGATAAGAGAGAGAAGAAAACAAATAGATGTTAAACACAAGCATTCATAACAAAATAAGGAAGAAATGCTCATGGTAATTACAGTCCTTTCTTCTGTAACTGGTCACATGGTCATAGCTGGTGCTCATAACTACTTTCTTCCAGTAGCCATTTCAGCATTCCCTTCACCTTCAGGAAGCATCTCAGCTGCTCACGATTTTTTATCTGGTGGGGTGACTCAAGATTTCATTCCTGAAGGATTTGGCCATTAGCCGTTCTGCCTGAATTGGATTGTTGTAGGTTTTTTTTTTTTCTTTTAGTTTAAGCACATGTCCCAGTAATCTTAAGAGACAACATGGAGAATGTGTTGTATTCCAGACATAGCCTTTTTCACCTTCACTGTGGGGTAGCAGTCCAAATTTCCCATTGGTGGTCAGCATCAGTCACCCCAACCAGCATATTAACTCCCTTCTTTACCTGTTGATTCAGAGGTGAGGGAGACCAAAGTGGCCTAATGGCAGTTATAATTTTCCACTTAGTAAAAATCATTGCTGTATCTCCTGATGAAAGCCTTCCTTCCTTTGGAACTAAAATCTCTAATCCAGCAGAGTACAAGATCATAGGAACAGAAACAACAATTTTGCTAATGGATCACTAGAGGTAATGGTGAGTGGTGCTGCTCCCATTTGAATGCTTTGATTCCTGGCCCTGTGAATCTTGGCTATGGGAGAAATAGCACCAAATACTGAGCACTGATTGACAGCAAATATAGCACCCTAGAGAACCTCGCTGTAGCTCTACAAGGTATATGTATCTGGAACTATAACAGTGTCTTCAAAAGGCGATTCCACCACACTGTCAAACCATCTGCTGAATGATGGTAGGAAAGTTGGTAAGACCATGAATTTCATGAGCCTAGGCCCATTGCTACCGTTTTTGCTGTAAACTGATTTCCTTAATCCGAAGCAATGCTGTGTGGAATACCATGACAGTTCATAGGCATATTTTAAATGCACGTATGAATTATAGTTTTGGCAGAAGCATTGTGTGCAGGAGAGGTAAATTCCTATCCAGAGTATCTATTATGGTAAGTACCAGACACCATCTCTTTCAGTGTGGAAGGAGTCCAATATAATCAACCTGCAACCATGTCACTGGCAGATTACCTCAGGGAATGGTGCAATATTAGGGACTCAACATTGTTCTCTGCTGCTGGCAGATAGGCCACTGAGCAGTGACCATAGCCAGGTTGGTCTTGTTGAGCAGAAATCCTCGGTACTAATCCCATACATAACTTCTACCCCTGCCACTATGGCCACTTTGTTCATAAGCCCATTGGATGGTGACAAGGGTGGCTGGGAAAGAGGTTGACTGGTATCCATAGAACAAGTCAGTCTATCCACTTTATTAGAAACCCACTCTGCTGAGGTCATCTTTTTTGAGCATTCATATGAGACACAGATATCTTCTTTTTTTTTTTTTTCCATTTAAAGAAGTCTATCCACATACCTCTTCCCAGATTTTCTCATCACCATTTTTTTTCACCTGTGTTCCTTCCAAGTCCTGTTATCCATCCAACATTTTTTTTAATCCCATGAATCAGTACATAATTGCAAGTTTGGACATTTCTCTTTTGAAGCAAAATGAACAACCAGGTGCACTGTTCAAAATTCTGCCCACTAAGGGAATTTTCCTCCACCATTGTCCTTCAATGCTCTCCCAGAAAGGGGTGTATTGCCACAATTGTCCATTTCTGGGTGGTGCCAGGATTTGATGTAGAACCATTTGTATACCAGGTCCAAGTGTTCTTTGCTCTATCAGGTATTGATCATAGAAGAGCTCCCCAAGAAGCCATAGTTTCAGGCTGGGAGAGAAAAGGCAGTGTGGCAAAAGTAGAGACCACGGGCATTTGAACCACTTCTTCATATTACTTATTTGTGCCTTCAGGGTCTACTTGTGCCCACCTCATATATACCACTTCCCTTTCACAATGAAGTGCTGATGTGGATGCCCAACTTTTGATAATAAATTTATAATCAATCAGGAACAAATACCATACACAAATGCATAATGCTTAATATTCATGGAATAACTACAACTTATAATTAGAAAATATGGTAAACTATTAAGAACAATTGATTAGAAAAGTAGATTCAAAAATTAGTAGGTCCTAAGAGATATGAACCAACTGTCAACTGCCATGACTAAATCATATTAATGGTTTACAGAGCATTATTATTCACTATAAGATACACTTTTTTTTTTAGAATATGTGATAATTTTACTGATTTAAATCATATGCTTGGTCAACAAATTTTGATAAGTTAATGCATACAAAGTGTTACAGAGTGATTTTTTTTACCACAATGCAATGAAGGTAGAAGAAAATAAAATGAGGAAGTGCAGAAACCACCCAAATGTTTGGGAACTTAACTACATGCTTCTAAATAGTTACTAGGTCAAAGGCTAAATCACAAACAAAATTAGAAAATGGATGAAATAAATTGTAATAATTTGAATTGAATTGTATAAAAATTCAAATGAATTGTAATAAAAATTCAACATGTCAAAAATTAGGTATAAAATTGTGTTTAAATAAAAAATTAAAGCTTTAAATTCTAATATTGGGAAAAATAAATTTAAAAATAAATAAACTCCTACTTTATAGTCTAGAAAATAGAAATTAATTCAAATAAGGCATAAATAAATAATAAGGACAAGGCTGAAAAAGTTATACTAAAAAATAAATACAATTTACAGAACATAAAAATGATATTTTAGACTACACTTTGAAAAGATTAAAACATATTAAGCTAACTATCTGATTGGAAAAGAAGACATAAAGGACCAATATTGGGAATAAAAGAAGAATGGGAACTATATTATTTCAGAGTCTATAAATGTTGAGATTATTATAGCTATGGATTCTGTAAATATTGACATTAAATTATATTAATATTGAAATAAGCAACTTTGTATTTATAAATGAAATGGAGAAATTTCTTGAATGATGTTTCTTATAAAATATGACATAAGACTGAACGTGTTTATAGTACTGTATCTATTCAAGAAATAAAATATATTCCTTTTATTTAAAAAATTATATTCCTAGTTGCTTTTGCTACTAGATTTTTGGGAAGAATTAACCTAATTTTAAATAAAGTCTTAAAAATAACAGAAGAGAAAATACATCCATCCTCTTTCAATGCCAACATATTACAAAAAAGAGAAACATCGGGCCGGGCGCGGTGGCTCACGCCTGTAATCCCAGCACTTTTTGGAGGTCAAGGCGGGTGGATCAAGAGGTCAAGAGATGGAGACCATCCTGGTTAACATGGTGAAACCCCATCTCTACTAAAAATACAAAAAATTAGCCGGGCGTGGTGGCGGGCGCCTGTAGTCCCAGCTACTCAGGAGGCTGAGGCAGGAGAATGGTGTGAACCTGGGAGACGGAGCTTGCATTGAGCCCAGATCGCGCCACTGCACTCCAGCCTGGGCGACAGTGCCAGATTCCATCTCAAAAAAAAAAAAAAAAAAAAAAAAAGAGAGAGAGAGAATCATCATACACACTCAAAATCGTAGGCCAATTTTTATCACAGAAAGTTATGAACATTAAAAAAATCATCAAATCAAACCCACCCAAATATTATAAGATAATTTACCATGATCAAGTGGGGTTTATCCCAGGTAGAAGAAGGTGGATTTCACATTCTTAAAACAAGTTGTTATTTTTATAGGACAAAGAGTCATTTCAACAAATACAGAAAATACATTTGACAAAATTTTAGTCACTTAGGATAAAAGTGCTTAGTGAGCAGAAGAACACTTCTTAATCTAACAAAGGACATGTATAAAAAATGAGCGCTAATATATTTAATGGTGAAATGTTGGATGTCCATCAATTGGGAAATAACAAACTGTGCTATATTTATATAATATAATGTTCTCAACAATAAAAATGAACATCTATAAGAACATGGGGAATTGATAACAATAATACATTCAGAGAGATGTCTACTTTCCAGTGTACACACTACAGACTTTTATTTAAATTATATTCAAAAATAGACAAAAGGATTTTGTGGTGGGATGAACTAGAACATTGATGCCTCTGAGACAGTGAATGTAGTGAATGTGTTCATATATAGATGCTCTCCTACTTAGGACGGTTGAATTTATGTTTTTGCTTTTTTTGTTGTTTATTTTTTTACTTTGGTACAAAAGTGATACACATTCAGTGCAGTATTCAATAAATTACATGAGAAAATCAACACTTTAGTATAAAATGGGCTTTGTGTTGGATGATTTTACCTAACTGCAGGCTAATGTAAGTGTTCTGAGCACATTTAAAGTAGACTAGACTAGACTAAGCTGTAATGTTTGGTAGGTTAAATGTATCAAATGTATTTAGTACAATTTTGACTTGACAATATTTTCAACGTATGATGGGTTTTTTAGGATGTAATCTTATTTTAAGTTGAGGAGCATCTGTACTGTGAAGGGGAGGCAGAGTTGATAGCAAAATTATGTATTTTATTAGGATTTTGAGCAACATAGATGTATGTATACAATCTCACTGCATAGTATATATTAGATTCTTGAACTTCATTATAAGTACATTTTACTATAGATATGTGTGTGTATACATATAACTATAATTATAGATATGCTGAAGTATTTAGAAAATAAAATACTGATATATGCAATGTCCTTTGAAATACATTTTTTTTTACAAAAAGGTGGATTGATGGATGGATCTATGGGCAGATAAGTGATAAAGCAAGTATAAATAAATTATAGACTCCAGGTGATGTGCATAGGGTTATTCACTTTATAATTCTGCATATTTTCATATAGTTGACATGTTATAATGCTGAGGTCTTAAGAAGTTACTGCCTTTGTTTCATCCAGAACAGACTGTATGTAGTCAAATAAAGGAAGGGTGACAGAATGAAAACAAATTACAGTATTTCAAGTGATAAATGAGTTCACTTTAAGTGTTTCATTTTCCATTACTATGTAATAATCCACCATAAGCTCAGTGGCTGAAAACAAAAATGATTATAAATATGCTCACTTACTCTGTGGGTCAAGAATTCTCAAAACATATAGTGGTCTTCGCTTTTCTCTGACCCACAGTGAGACTTCAGTTAAGCATGATTCCAAAGCTTGAGATGACTCACTGACTGAGAACTGGAATCATCTAAAGGCTCCTGCATTTGTGTAGATTGCAGCTGACTGGGACCTTAGCTGGGACTTCTGGTTGGAAGTCAACAACACTGGCTGTCTGTGTGGATGCTTGGACTTCCTCAGAGCATGGCGACTGGATTCCAAGAGCAAGTATCTTAAAAGAACAAAACATAATGCATGTCATTTTTATGAACCAGTTTTGAAGGTTACTTAGGTTTACGTGTGCCACACTCTATTGGTAGAGACAGCTACTACATTATATAAAATTTCAAAACAAAAAGTAGGCACTACTGCTCAATGGAAGAGGTGTCAGAGTCATATTTTAAGCAGAACATGTAAGATGACAGATATTGTTGTGGCTCTCTTCAGAAAATATAATCTATATTCATGTAGATATCTAAAAAATTAAGAAAGTGAATGCATTATTAAAATTTCATAGTAAGACCAACAATTCTTTACAGTGGTTTAGATACAAGATACTGGTAAAAGAGAAGAAATTATAGGACTAATAATTTTGGGTGAGAAAATGAGTAGATACTGAATATTTATGATAGGGAATAGTAGGGAATCTGACTTGATGGTGAACATCAAGAATTCATTGTTTGCGTTAGTCTAGGATGTCTTCATAGGTAGCCAAATGGTAATGACAAAACGACATACTAATTTTCAACTCAGAGAGAAATCAAAAATTGGGATGTAGACCTAGGCATTATGTAAATAGTAAAGCCCATGTCACAAGATATCTTATAGAACGCAGTTAGAGTCCAAGGGTGAACCTGCCCCAAGACCCTTCAAAATTTAGGGTGCATTAGAATGAGCCAGGAAAGACTTACAAGTGAGAACCATAAGCAAGTCAGAAGAGCACGATGTAATAGAAACCCCCCAAAAATAATATATCATGAAAGATTAAGTATTCAACTTTGGGAAATGCTCCTGGGAAATCAAGTGGGAAAAGAATGAAGACATGGCCATTGGATTCATCAATGTGTGAGGTGATTTCTTATTTCACAAAAGCAGCCTTAGTAGTGTGGTGGGAATAGAAGCAAAAAAAAAAAAAAAAAAAAAAAAAAAACAGGAAATGGAAAGAGAGAATATAGATAAGTCTTTGAAAATGTTTTTCAATTAAAGAAACAGAGAACCCCAGGTGCAGTGTCTCAAGCCGTTAATCCCAGGACTTTGGGAGGTTGAGGTGGGTGGATCACCTGAGGTCAGGAGTTTGAGACCAGCCTGGTCAACGTGGTGAAACCCAGTCTCTACTAAAAAAAAATAAATAAATAAAAATAAATTAGCCGGGTGTGATAGCACATGCCTGTGATCCCAGCTACTTGAGAGGCTGAGGCAGGAGAATCGCTTGAACCTGGGAGGCAGAGGCTGCGCTGAGCCAAGATTGCGCCACTGCACTCCAGCCTGGGCAATAGAGTGAGAATCTGCCTCAAAAAAAATAAAAATAAAAATAAAAAATAAAGAAACAGAAAGATTATAAATTTAGTGGAATATTTAAGACAGGACTTAATTGAAAATTAAGTTGTGACTTCACAACTGATTTTTTTGGAGGATGCAGTGAGCCAAATTAATGTTCTCCAAAACTGAATGTTAATGATTATGAACATTAGTTTTCTATTTAGTATGTGCTAAATATTTCACATATAACACTTCACTGGTTTTCACAAATTTAATGAGTAGGTCCTATCCTATCCAGTTTGTTGTTGGGGAAATTAAGAGACTTAGAAATATTAAATTATCTGTTCAATGTCAGAGTTAGTAAGTTGTAGAGCTCACATTGGTATCCAAGAGTGAGGCCCCAGAAGTTGAGCTCTTCTTTTCCACATTACTATGCCTCACACTATAGTAAATGTTTTGATGGCATCTTACTTTAGAGATGAGAATATAATGATTCTGCCTTATGGACAATGTAAAACTCATAGAGTCTGGAAAGCAAATTGGATCTGATCAATAATCCCATCTACCTCCACCAACTCAGGAATCATGTACATATTATTTATAATTGATGGCTACCTTGCCACTTATGTTTTTACATTTCTTTTTTTTTTTTTTTTTTTTTGAGACAGAGTCTTGCTCTGTCGCCCAGGCTGGAGTGCAGTGGCGCAATCTTGGCTCATTGCAAACTCTGCCTCCCAGGTTCATACCATTCTCCTGCCTCAGCCTCCCAAGTAGCTGGGACTACAGGCACCCGCCACCACACCCCGCTAATTTTTTTCTATTTTTTAATAGAGACGGGGTTTCACTGTATTAGCCAGGATGGTCTCGATCTCCTGACCTCGTGATCTGCCCACCTTGGCCTCCCAAAGTACTGGGATTACAGGTGTGACCCACCGCGCCCGGCCTGTTTTTATGAAGGAAGACAGCAGCTAATCTGGCTTACAGCAATAGAAGTAAAGAATTCTTGTTCACACTGGGCTCAATCTGTCTCTCTGCAGCGTTCTTTTATTAATCCCTATTAGGCCTTCTATATCTATAAAAGTATACTCTAACTTCGATTCTATCAATTCTTTAAACATTTGAAAACCTGTCCTCCTAAAATCAAAAAAATTTATGAAAATATGTGTATTGTGTTTCTCTTATGTGTTGGCTATTTTTTAACTGAATTACATGTAACAAATATTTTTAGTGTTTTCTTCTGAGACAATGATTCTGCTGAATGTCAGGAATATGTACTACTTTTTATTATACAAATCAGACCAGTCATTTAAAAGATCTTGATTCATTGCCTCTATGGGCCTTTAAATAAAGACTTAAGCTTCTCTGCATCATTAGTTCTATACTTCATGAGAAAAATCTCTCTTGGAAGTTAATGAAAAGCACAAAATAGGCTATTCTGACAGTGTCAGGAAAAGAAAATCTGTCTCCAGCATTCTAACTATTTCTTTTTTTCTCTATTTCTAACTTTTGCAATGGGCTACAATGCTGCACCTACAATAAATTTTCATGTACAAAGGTAGTGTGAGCTGGAAAGTTATTTGAAATTGCACAGGAAACCGTGCATAAATAACAAGTGGACCATGAGCAAGTGCTATGCAATTATTGGCAGGTGCATATGCAGTGCGCTTTACCTTCTCTATACATGATTAATTTGCATGACCAGCCAAGCTTTTCTTTAACAACTTGTAATTTCAACAGATGTGGCTTTTAGGCATTGGATTTATAGACATTGCTTTCTCAGCTTATTTGGAAGAAAAGTAAAATTAAATATGCCATAGATACAGAAGCTGATATTAATATGCTGACTAAATAAGAATTACATTACAATTATAATTCTAAGCTGGGATAGAAAGATGCTGTCTCCGAAAAAGTGATTAATGTCAACTTTAACATTACATTAACCAGCATTGATTACTTTGCTGAAAGATACAAATGATTATTAATAGGCAATTTTGTAGATTAAAAATATGAACGGGATAACATTGAAATGTTTATGGTACTAATGTACTGGCCATTAACCTAAAAAATTCAGGCTACAATTCATCAATTGCAAAATAGAAGAAAAACATTATCTCTGAGTTATGGCTGTATCTAAATCCTATACCATATTATTCATGATGATAATCTCATAGTCAGCACTAGAAATATGTGTTCATACAAGTCTTTTCTATTAGAGAAAATGACTTTTTGAGAGAAAGAGGACCAAATAATTTGAACAGCACTACTTGATTTTCACCAGAAAGGCTGAACAGAATTTAATATGCAGTATTGATTACTTATTTAATAAATAAAACTCATTAGTCTACACAGAAGTAAGTAGATGGCATGTCTTTGTGTCATCTCTGACTAATGAAAGTAAGATATATTTGCTTTAAATCCTAAGACATATTCATTTTGGTAGATTATAAGAGAGGGAAACTTATGTCTTGAATGACTTTAAAAGAAGCCTGAGCAAATTATTCATGGAAATGACTAATTCTCTTTGGATGAATTAATCTACTTCTGAATGAAGTTAATGTCTCATCATATCAAAGCCACAAATATAGGAATATCTTTTTCTTTTTAAATACTGATACCTGTTAACTTAAAAAAATAGTTTTGAGAGGCAGGTTATAAAAGGAGGTAGCTTTCAGCCATCAAAATTTCATTTGTTACATATAAATGATTTTTAAACATGATAAGTATGATGTCTTTGAATTCTTCCTTCACTTTGATCTACCTATTTTATTAAGATTAAACACTTTTAGGATTCAAAAAGGATAATATTATGGACAGAGTTATTTGTTGATCTCCAATTCTCTGACATTGTGGTAACCTATAGAGGAATGTATACTGCATTTTGGTATCTGTACTAATAGAAGACAAGATTTTTCTTTTTTTGTATTATTATACTTTAAGTTCTAGGGTATTTTCTAAACAAAGCAAATTCACAAAACTAGATGTTACAATGATTCAATTCCCCAAATGTATATGGTTTCTATCAAAATTACATATAAAAATGAAGTATATATTATATGTAACATATATTTATATATGTATGCATGAATATATGTATCATTACATTACATATGCTGTGGGTACTATGCTTACTACCTGGGTGATGTAGTCATTCATACAGTAACCCTCAGTGACACGCAACTTACCCATGCAAGAAACCTGAAAATATACCCCCTGAACCTAAAATAAAAGTCAAGAGAAAAAAATAAAAAGAAAGCAAATTGAAACCAGATCTACAAAATAAAGTCTAACTCTAAGATAAAAGAGAGAGAGAGAGAGAGAGAGAGAGAGAGAGAGAGAGAGAGAGAGAGGAGAACCTCAAAATAGCCAAGTAAGCGGCACTAGTAATCATGGCAAGCAAATTCAAGAGCAATGAGTGAAATTGGCAGGAATTCTGTAGACTGCATTAGTGGGTAAGTACAAGTTATTATTATTATCATCATTATTATTCTCATTATTGCAGTAAATTCCTGAGCATTACGGAAGTGCCTATAAACTTAGTTTCTAGATATATCTTCCAAGACAGTTTTTCACACTAGGGAGAGACTTCCTGTGGAGTAATCACAGTAAAGTAAGATAGTTACAGTAGAGGTAAAGGAAAGAGAGGGTCTAAATGAAAATGGGGAGGAGAATAAGGTATGAAAATCTCAGAAAACAAAGCACCATGGAAGTCAAATGAAAACAACAGAAGAAGACATTTGTGAAGCTAGAAAAGCCATCTAAACCAAACCTTTTAAAGATTTTTGGACTACTCTCATAAAAAAGCAATATAAAAGTATTAAGATTCAATCTTAAGAATCATAATAATATTCTTACCAAAGGTGAAAGAATATAAGAAAGACTTTCCCATTATTCAGGTTACAACTGTAATGTACTAATTCAAGTAAGCTGAAAGACATTGAAAATATAATAAAGAACATAAAATAACATTATCATATTAGCATGGGCTGCCATAACAAAATATCATAGACTGGGTAGCTTAAACAACAGATTTTTTTTTTTTTTTTTTTTTTTTTTTTTTTTTTTTTTTGAGAAGGAGATTCACTCTGTCGCCCAGGCTGGAGTGCAGTGGCGCGATCTGGGCTCACTGCAACCTCCGCCTCCCGGGTTCAAGCGATTCTCCTGCCACAGCCTCCTGAGTAGCTGGGACTACAGACGCCCGCCACCACGCCCGGCCAAATATTTTGTGTGTGTTTTAGTAGAGACAGGGTTTCACCATGTTGCCCAGGTTGGTCGCGAACTCCTGAGCTCAGGCAATCCACTCGCATCAGCCTCCCAAAGTGCTGGAGAATATATATATATATATATATATATATTTAACAGGTTAGAAGCTGGATGTCTGAGAACAGGGTGCCCGTATAATCAGGCTCTGGTAAGGTCCCATTTCCCAGCTTGTAGATGTCTGTCTTCTCACTGTGTCCTCACATGGCAGAGAGAGAGAGAGAGAGAGAGAGAGAGAGATCGATCGATCTAGTCTCTTTCCGTCTTCTTATAGAAAAACTAATCCCACTATGGGGCTCCCACCTTCATGATCTCATCTAAACCTAACTAGCCCCCCAAGGCTGCACCTCTGAATTCCATCACATTGGGAATTAGGGCTTAAGCCTATGTATTTGGAAGGGCCGACAACATCTAGTCTATAACACTGATAAATCTGAATTGGACAAAAAATAACAAGTGAAGTCACAAAAATCAGAAAAAAATTAAAATTAAGAAAACCTAATTTTATAAATATAGTCTTTTGTAGAATAAACACAGGAGTGAATAAACAAAACAAAAAATCACCAAAACAAATACAATGGGATAGCATTAGGAGATATACCTAATGCTAAATGATGAGTTAATGGGTGCAGCACACCAGCATGGCACATGTATACATATGTAACTAACCTGCACATTGTGCACATGTACCCTAAAACTTAAACTGTAATAATAATAAAATAAAATAAAAATTAAAAAAGGCACACCCGAAAAGAAAAAGTAGAACTATTTTAATTTAATTTTACTATTTATTTTTACTTTTTAGAGATGGGTCTGGCTCTGTCACCCAGGCTGGAGTGCAGTGGCACAATCACAGCTCACTCCAGCCTTGAACTCCTGGACTCAAGTGATCCCCTTGCTTCAGCCTCACAAATAGCTGGGACTACTGGAGTACACCACAACTCCCAGATAATTTTTAAAATGATCAGCTACGTCCAACCTTCAAACGTCCAGTAAAATTAAAACTGAGAATTCAATTCAATTTGATGAAGTGGAAGTCTTCTCCATTTTATCTTTTAAGTTATATTATAGAAATAAATTGATCAAAAATAAACTTTCTTTATCAAATATTACTGATGTGTCTGTATACTATGTTGAAGTTAGATTAAGCCCAACTTCTCAGAAGCACATATTTTACATACTATAATCTAGTAAAAAACATATTTTCAATCACATTTCACATATCCAACTTTACCAACCTTCCTCAAATTTATCTGTTTTCAAAATGCATTTACCATAAAAGTAAATATATCATGTTTTTTATTTGATGATTACTCCAGTTAACACCATTATTTATTAAATTTAATCAAATAAAATTTCAGAAAATATTTTATATTAATTTTACTGCATTGATACCAAGTCAGACATTGTTTATAAAATAACTCTAGGGAGAACACTTATTTGATAATTACTATCTAATTTTAAGAAATATAAATATGTTTTAAAATGTATACTTGTAATTAGATGCAAATGCAAGTGACAATGGCAGAAAGCACAATACTCTGCATAAAAGCTGTAATTAGAGTAGCAGAATGTGAGTAGATGAAAAAAACTTTCAAATAAGGTGCTAATACAACCACAAATTTGAAATTTTGCTAATAAGTCCCTGAACTGCATCAATACTAGAATAAGACAATTTTAGACTTTATCAAAGTATATATTTAAAACTTGGTATTAAAAAGAAGGTCATATCACTAACTTTGAAAATTATTGCTAGCATGAAATATGCTTTGTCCTTAATTTCTCTATAGCATCTTGATTTCTGATGAAAAATCACCAAGATTTTTCTAGAACATGACTCTGGGCATTAATCATCCTTTTGTTTAATGGCCAAGTATATATTTCTCAAGAAAATGTGAAAAGGTATCTATTATTTATTGAATTTGTCCATGTTGATTACTGAATGTTCAAATTTGCTTTAAAACTGATAGATTATCACTGAATATTAAAATGATGTCACTAAGAAAGCCTAAAATAAGAGTGAACTCCTATTCTAGATTTTGAATTTGTTTAATAAAGGCTAAAATGTGAATTCATTTGGTGGAATCATGCTATACAAAACTCGTCCATCTTACCTGGAGAGTAATTTATTCACTATGTGATTTTGGAGGATTAATTTAGTTTCACTCATTCTCAGCTTCTTCATCTATAATTAGACAATGATTTTTTAATTACCCTGTATGTTTTAATGGAATTAAATAATTATACTTAATACACTCACTACAGAGCCTGGGAAATAAGATGATCAGCAAGTTCTCTAATTTCCTTCTCCACTAATTGTGCTTAAATATTTAATGCATCTGTGGGATGGAATGTGTTTTCCCCATTTGCATTTTATTTCATGTGAAGAGAGTTCCGTTTGTTTAACTCTCTTGGCCTTTCTGCCCAGAGGACTTGGTATTCCTTAAGTCATTGGTACATTTGAGAAGAAAGGATAGAGCATGCTCTGTCCAGCTCCTCCTCTCTGTCTGGAATAATTTACCTAAAGGCAGGTTGAGATTTACTCTATCCCTCTGCTGCAGCCCTTCCAGGTGGAGAGGTTGTGCCAGGCCAGCATGACTTTGTATGTGCCCTTCTGTATAAGTCTGGGATTCAGTATTAGAAAACCTACTACCTGAACATAAACTCCATCTCCTCTAACCTAGGCTTTTCCACAATAAAAATATACATGTATTTTATTTTCTATTTACTTTAATGCTTTTCCTTATTTATTTTATTTTTATTTTTATTTTTTTAGATGAAGTTTTGCTCTTGTTGCCCAGGCTGGAGTGCAATGGTGCAATCTCAGCTCACCACAACCTCCGCCTCCCAGGTTCAAGCAAGTCTCCTGCCTCAGCCTCCTGAGTAGCTGGGATTACAGGCATGCACCACCACGCCCAGCTAATTTTGTATTTTTAGTTGAGATGGGGTTTCTCCATGTTGGTCAGGCTGGTCTCGAACCCCTGACCTCAGGTGATCTGCCTGCTTCGGCCTCCCAAATTGCTGGGATTACAGGCCTGAGCCACCATGCCCGGCCCTTATTTCTTACTTTGTATAGAACCCAGGTGGGAAAGAGGGTTGCTATTTCGTGGGTTTCCTCAGAGACCTCAGCCATCTCCAGCTATCATTGCCATTGGTCACTATTTGGACCTTGAAAGATAATAAATGCTGATACAATAATGTGACTCAACTCATACGTCATTTTTCAAAATCGCAAGTCACGAAGTTTAAGTCTTGTTTGTCATTTATTTCTCTTATCAATGCAACAAAGGAATCATCACAAGGCGGGTGACTAGGGCCTGAGAATTATCAGTTCTGAATTTCCTGCCAATTTCAGGAATTATTTCATCAGCTATTGCCCATCAGCAAAAAATAAACATACTTACCTCCCCAGCCTCTCATTTCTCAGCCCTCCTTTCCCAAAATTGGGAAAAATTGAGTCAAAAACAGGCAATAATATTGATACAACAGAGTGCTTACATTGGTTGCTCTGGGAAAGATAGAACAGATAGAACAGAGAAAAACAAATGTAAATGATTAACTGTATTTCAGCCAGTAAGATATTTTTGTTTCTTAAATATTCTCACAATTCTACATTTACATGAATGTGTTATTGCATTTTGTCCTATCTTATAAGGTCTCTCTACTAATTTAAATTGTGAGAATACTATTTATTTTTAACTCTACTTCTTCCAAAAATATTTCCTGATGCTTATAATGTAATGCTGCTACTTCCTCATATATATTTTTCCTTTTACAATCTCATGAAGCAGCAACTATCATAAAAGCTAACTTGTCCATACTAGAAATCCTATCAATTTCTTGGATAAGCATTACCTGTTGGTGTTATTAAAGAAAATGTTTTTGCAGAATAAATATGGCATTATTTCACTCCTTTTAATATATATGATATCTTTGCTACTACAAAATAAGTCCAGCAAATCTAATGATTATATATAAGATGTCTTTGGGAAATATTTTAATGATTGCTCTTCAGAAATCAATCTTCATATGTCACAAGTAAAATTCCAATTTTCTGAAGTATGATAAATTACTAAGCTTATGAAACAGAAAGATGAGGACTGAATAGCAAGGTTATAATTTCCAATGTTTTAAATAAATATTGTAGGTAGAAAAAAATCAGGTAATTTTGATTGTAAATGTCACTTGAAATAGAGAGTGGCATTTGCTAAAAGATTTTCCTGATACCCACATAAGCATTTTAATAACAATAAAAAAGTTCCTTGGATTTCATGCCCTATATTAAATTGTTAAATATTGATGAATAACTTACAAATTTTAACTGTCATTTGGTACTTCTCCTGTGAACTGGAGGCAACAAAAGCTTATACCTCTTTTTCTTAATATTCAACTGGAAAAAATAGTTGCTTTTAAAATGGACCATATATGCAAAATATGTAGTCTCTCTCTCTCTCTCTCTCTCTCTCTCTCTCTCTCTCTCTCTCTCTCTCTCTTTCTTTCGATGGAGTCTCGCTCTGTTGCCCAGGCTGGAGTGCAAGCTCTGCCTCCCAGGTTCACACCATTCTCCGGCCTCAGCCTCTCGACTAACTGGGACTACACGCGCCCGCCACCACGCCCGGCTAATTTTTTGTATTTTCACTACAGACGGGGTTTCACCGTGTTAGCCAGGATGGTCTCCATCTCCTGACCTCGTGATCCGCCCGCCTCGGCCTCCCAAAGTGCTGGGATTACAGGCGTGAGCCACTGCCCCGGCCGAGAATGTTTTTTAGAGATATATGAGAAAATAATAGATTTTCCAAATAATAGAAAATAAGAGTCAATTTTATTGAAGAACATAACAATGCATGTCCCAAAACAGAAATTATTTGTTTTAGTAATCTAAGAAATGTGCAATTTGTTTCTTTTTAAAAAAATTAAACTTTGATAGATAAAATGTTTACTGATATTTAGGCATTGTAATAAATCTAAAATGCCAAAAAAAATTCCAATTATTGGCTGTTATAACTGATTTTTGGAATGGCATATTTCACACTGAAAATGTGGTTCACTAGTCCTACTGTTAATTTGTGACATGTAGCAGGTACATAAATGAGTTCTAGCAGCCTTTGAAGGCACATAAGGGCCAACTAAGCACACAATTTAGTAGCATGTTTAAACAAACTAAATAAGTTTACCAAGCCTAGGAAGAATGTAAGCAGGGAATGATTAACAATACCATGTTAAGAATCTGAATTTATTAACCACCATGATAAAAATCGTTTCATCCCTTTTTCACCAAATAAGTGAAGCATTTTGACTTTTTAAATAGGAATATTCCTTTTTATTTTTCTTTAAAAGTTTTGATAATGTAATAGCCAGACTCTCTGGAAAATAAAACAGGACAAAAATGGTGCAATTTTTTAGGATATGAGCTCTATATATGTGTTTTGAATGAAACTCTTTGAGTTTTTCTATCAACTAGCTGGTAGCTACTAACCCCCGCCCGCTGCTGACAGAGGGCCAGACAAAAGAGCAGCAGCAGGGGATCCACATTGTGGGTCCCTTCAGGGGCCTGCTGTCAGGGGTCAGATTGCAGGAACAGCTTCAATGACACACCACAGTGTGAAAGTTGAAGAGCTGTTAGTTCTTCCAGACCCTGGGGGGTACACAGCATGCTACACACGGAGGTCAGAGAGTGCTGACGGAGAGAGAAGAGAGTGCGGCAACTAGCGGTATAGATGAGGGACTAGAGCTTGGGTCACTTTAAGTTCCCAGAATCCCTAAGAGAAGTACAATTAGCACTAAATTCAGAAGATTGTTTATTAAAGACTCTGCCTCTGTATCATGATAATTTTGAAGTGATCAGAAGAGTCAACACGCCTGAATGGTCTCTCTAAAGTAACCAAATGCCTGAATGGTCCCTCTAAATGAACCAAATGCCTGAATGGTCCTTCCAAAGGAAGCAGCAGAAAAGCTGGGAGCCCGGCGTGCTGGGTGGGAGAGATGTCTCTAAGTTCTTATCTCTGGCCACAAGCTTGAGCCAGGTAGGGTGGTGTGGAACCGGAAACTGGGTCAAAGGTGACTGAGCCCTGACTCTAGCACAAGAAAGCAAAGCTTCCATTCAAAATGAATGTGGATATTCTCACTTATAACTGGAATACTCAATATAACATTGGGTACTCACGGAAACTGGAAGCTAAACATTGGGTAGTCATGGACATGAAGATGGCAACAATAGACACTGAGGACTGCTAGATAGGAGAAGTAGGGAGGGGGCAAGGATTGACAAACGAACCACTGGGTGCTATGCTCACTACCTGGGTAAGAGGATCAGCCCTACCCCAAAGCTCAGCATCACATAATATACCCAGTAACAAACCTGCATGCGTACCCCTAGAATCTAAAAATAAAAGTCAAAGTTATTTTTAAAAAATGATGCCAAGGCAACATAAAATTACAAGCATTTACTAAAATATGTTTTTCTTATTTCTTTTATTTTTATCAGTATAAGATTTCAGTACACTTGTTGGAAATCTTATTTGAAATTTCAGTAATCATTCATTCACTTCTCTAGTTGCTCAAAACCTGAATACCCAAGAAAGTACAATTAGCACTAAATTTATAAAGTTGTTTATTAAAGATTCTACCTTTGTATCATGATAATTTTGAAGCGACCAGAAGAGTCCACGTATAGCTAAGCCCAAAATATTTTACCAAAATACTAAAAAATAGATATATTCTTAGGTTTGCTTTCTCTATTTCTTTCCTTTGTTCTTTACCCATTCTTATATATAAATACATGTGTGTGATATTAGTTACTCTTTATGAAACATTTTCTATGTGCCAGGAATGATTGTAAGAGCTTCATATGTATTAACATATTTAATTCTATCAATATCCTAGGAAGTATTTCTCCCTATTTTACAGATGAATGAAGTCAGGCTTGCAAACATTATTTGACTTGCCCAGTATTACTCAATATTATCTGTCCATTCACCATCACCTACAAGTGTTTACTCCATTTTAGTCAGCTGCTGATTTTTTAGCACTCATAATTGAAAGCATTTATCTGAGTGCTTGTGGGGGTGTATCAGATTATTTAAGAAAAATATATAGACCTGCTGCCTGGCTGGATCAGAAATTGGTTCTTGAGAAACAATAAAAGAAATTAACCAAACTATTTGGTTCGAAGTCCAGAGATACTTTGCTAATAAGAATGATCCGGTTTTGAGAAAGGTCAACTCTCCAACAGAGGAAAGTGAGGCTTACAGGAAAATGGTAAAATAATACACAGTGTAACTGATTCAATTGGAACTTCTGGTAGAGAAATGTGAGACCAGTCCCATCACTCTTCCCTAGGGAATCTTATACTACTGATATACCATTGGTATACTGGCCATCAGTAAGTATTTATTGAACAAATGAATAACAAATAAATCAATCAATAAGCCTAGCATTGGTATAAACTGAACTACTTTGTTACTTTAAATTAGAAGAAGAGAATTAAAATGAGTATTCTATTGGCTTGATCTTCTTTGCTGATATCATTTGCATTTTTGTATAATTGATTTCATAATACTGAGTCATTTTAATCAAAAACAATTCAGCATTCACACATCAAACCAAAAACAATGTTACATATTGGGAGTGAAAAGTTAAATAAACTCCGATTTGTTCTTTGAATATTTTCAAATCTACAGGTGGAGGGAAATGTGTAAATCAAAAATTAACAATGGTATCATTGGTGTCGTAACATAGCAAGCAGAGAGTAAAATGGGAACAACAACAGTATCTAATGATCTGATGAACATCAGAGGATTTTCATGAAAAATACTGGGAAATATGGCTGAGTTGAATCATTTAGGATGAGTGAGAGGAAGTAAGTAAAGATGAAAGGACGAGACGGATAGCAAACCCTATGACTTGTTCTACAAACATTTCAGGAAAATTTAATTGAGTGGGGCTTGAATGCTTAAGAAATAGAACAAGTTACAACAGAAGATAGAAAAGGAAGAAAGATAGATGGTAGAATATCTTAAGTGCTAGCTTATCTAATGAGTTTGAACATTATCCTGAGCATCCTATGGACAGCAATTGCATTGTTTCAAAATGGAATATTATTATATGATTGATGAGAATGATAAACAGCTATATATTTTAAGTAATTATGTCGTAAAGCAGTGCAGATGCTAAAATAGTATTCATTATCTATCAATAGAATTATGAATAATCTTACAAGAATTCTGGTCACTTTTGTAACTTTACCATTCTATTGAAATCTTATTAATCAGGTCTGTAAGTCTGTAAATTCCTGCACAATACTAAAAGCAGAGAGCACACAGGGAATTGAGAAGCAGCCAGGTATTACTATAGAACTCAAATTTGGATGAGGATTTTTTCTTAACGTAAGTCACTAATTTGTCATAAAGATCCAAAAGGAGGAAGCTTATTTAGTAAAAGAATCTCTGTTAATTTGAGGAGTTCAATTCTCACTTTATATTCATTTTCCAGTTTCTTGCTTCAGAGAATATCTATTTCCTCATAAGCCTGTTTAAAGCATTAATATGCCTAAAACCTGTTTATAATAGAATATGTAGATGGCCTCTGAAGCAATCTACCACATTCAAACTCAATACTCATATTAATTTTCTCAAGACTCTTGAACACTTTATAGTGCTAATTATGTCTATTAATGTGTCATTTACTTTGAAATAATATGTATGTTTTCTTCTAAAATAGAAATTCTTAGTTTTGCTTAGCAGAGTTCTATTTCAGTAAGCCTTTCTGATCTAATGACTCCGATTTTTCTCGGAAATAATAGGTTTACTTGTACAATGAATAGTAACACATATGTTTAATACAGATAACTGGCTGCTTATCAAATTTGTTCTAATTAGACATTTTGCATTATAGGATTAATATGAGCACTGCTGGGATAGGACACAAAAGTGCATACATTTTCCAAGTGAGGCCCGGACACAGTGGCTCATGACTGTAATCCCAGCACTTTGGGAAGCCACCGGCGGGTGGATCACAAGGTCAGAATTTCGAGACTAGCCTGACCAATATGGTGAAACCCTGTCTCTACTAAAAATACAAAAATTAGCCAGGTGTGGTGGCACATGCCAGTAATCCCCGCTACTCAGGAGGCTGAGGCAGGATAATTGCTTGAACTCGGAAGGCGGAGACTGCAGTGAACTGAGATCGTGCCACTGAGCTGCAGCCTGGACAACAGAGCAAGACTCTGTCTCAAAAAAAAAAATCGCAAGTAAGAATAAATTGATAAAGGTGACATTTTCCATTTCACACTAGCTTTGTACCATTTGCCAAATGCTAATGACTGCAGGTGCACAACTGGGCTTTGAAAGTATCTGTCTGGCAAACAGATATGGTGGGTTTGGGGTGGAAAATAACATATATGATGGGATTGGAGAGGAACATATTTTTAAATTGCATTCTGTTTCCAAATAGTTGCCATACTAAATAAATATATGAACACTTGTGAAATTCCCCAAGTAATAGGTTCCAGTGCTAAGCTAAATTTATAGGTTCAAAATGGTGTATTTTCCAGCTTGCTATTTATTGTACAGTAGCATAAGGAAAACTTGGTTGATTCATCTGTATGATGCCATCACTCTTATTTCACTCATCTATTTTTCCTTGTATATTTTGGAGGTTAAACATCAGGATTCCTGATTAATGTTTAGAATCATGAATACAAGGCTAAATCAGTTTCCCAAAATTTATGCTTTCTCTTTTAACAATTCAACCAATTATATGCATAATTTTACTTACATCATGTTATATTAAGATATATTTCTACTATGGCTGAAGAATTATTACCTGAACATTTATTTTTACTTAGAAAAGGCTAGACGCTTAACTCTCCATTGTATTAAACTCTATTTGCCCACATCTCCTTGGATATCACCACGTATTCTTCTATATTGTGACTTTTCCAAAAATATCCTTGCAAATATCTTTCCAGTGTGATGTCTAAAAGATAAATGATGAATCCTTTAATTACCTATGTGTAGTATATATCGTTCCAGCAAGGGCAAATGGCTAAGCAGTGCTGGTCCTAGGCCTGGAGTAGATGGACTTTGGAAATCTCAGAGTCTGTATCAGCAGCAGGTGGACAAGTCACCTATTGCTCATCATCCTCTGAGACAGTGCACAGCTATTAACAGGACCAGACATGACACTTGGGAAATTTTAAAAGAAACCCCAACTTTTGGCTGTGGAGCTTTGAAACTGCATAATCAGGGATGAACCAGCCCTGCCTCGTGTCATCAGGAGCCAGTGCACATATGATAACATAACATGAAGAACTTTGGCTCTAGCCTTATTCTGCCACACCAGCATCAATCCTTTCAGTGGCATAATGCAGGGGCTGGGGTCTGAGCATTTTGTTTGCAGCTGAATGGTATGGCATTATTTGTCAAATCTCTGCTTGTGGTTGGGAAAAGTTCTGTCCCTTACCCTTTTCCTCATGATGGAGACAGGGCTAGGGAAGCGTGTGGTCCAAACTTTGTAGTAAAACAGGGATCAATGCCCAATGCTGTACTAAAGCTTGTTTCCATGCACGTATGCAGGAGACAAATTTCATTCCTGGGAGTCCAATTAGCAAAGGTTTGGTCTTGAAGAAATATTTTCTTACTATGCCACATTTGTAAATTATAAAATACCACATATGATATATGTTGCATATATGGAGTAAAATTATTTTATCTCAATTGGCAATCCTCCCGTAACCACTTGTCAAATAGTTTATTCATAAAAATAATCTATTTGTTTTATAATATCTTCCTGTCAAATACCAAGTTTCCATGTATATGTAAAGGTGTGTATCTTCTTCCATTGATCCATTTGCCTAACCCTGTGTCAATGCCACAAGCCATCATTGTAGATCATTTAATTACTCCTATTACATGGACAAAATTAAACAATAATGTTCTTCAAAAGCTTTTAAAATGATATGAATTATGCATACATGCAGTACAATAGCAAAACATTAGGATAAAAATTCAAATTTCAAATTTACTAAGGAAAACATGATGACAATAGCAAAAAACACAAAGCATTTATATTTGATTTCAAATATTATATACACTATTTTCTAAAAAAATAGTATCTTTTCTTTCCCCAACTACATTTTAGGTTGTAATTTATTGCCCACAATAATCTCATGGGTCATTAATGTTCTGCGTTAAGAAAGTATCAAAAGATGCTTTGGGGAAAATGCATTTATATGTGAATTACATTAAGCAAAAAAAAAAAATGGAAAGTTCAGAGGTACAAAGAGGATAAAACAGGAAAAATTTAATTTTTAGGTAAAAGCCACTTTATTCTATTTGATAAAACTTGTTCTACAAATGGCTAAAACTTAGTAAAAGAAATGTACAATGTGAGGAAACGCTTGAGTGAGAGAGATTGATGGAAAATTAAGCATGTGACTACCATATAGGTAAAAATTTTGACTATATTCTTAATAGTCAAAGGTTGAATATTATGGTATATATTGTATAATTTTGAAATTATTATTCATGATTTAGTTACTCAGAATTCTTCAACCAAGTCACTTAAACATAAGAAGGGTAATCTGGGCATAGTAGGATATTAGGCAAAAAGGTATAGGTTTATATCTTCTCTAATGTAGCTCTTTCTTGGGCAGCATCAGAAGCCAGCTTTAACTGGTATGGTAAATAGTATTTAATGAGCACTCAATTCAATAGTTCTCATTAACTTTTTTATCTTAATAACCCTGATAACAGCAACAACTGGTGTCTAAGCCTTCTCTTAAAACACCTCCAATTTATTTCTAAATGGCTTCAATAGATACATTTCTAATCTAAAGATGGACTACGTCACTTAAATAATTAAAATCCTTTATTTTTTTCTCATCGCCAAAATGTTAATATACAAACACTTTGGTACAACATACCATACCACAGCCTCTACTTATCTACCTAAAACAATCCCCACCCACCCCCAGCAGACACACACACACACACACACACACACACACACACACACACCCTTACAGTCAGTCCCCAATAAGCATTGTATTATCAAACAATATGGAACCATGTGAGTTCCATCCTGCACTGGGAATACTGTAGCAAAAAGGACAAAAATTTCTGTGCTTACTCTTTTACATTTTAGTGGAGGAGGATAACAAAAATCAAGATGAGTAAGTAAAATATATTGTATAATATTTATAAGGTGTATGGTATAATAGATGTTAGGCCATACTTGCATTATTATAAAGAAATACCTGGAACTGGGTAATTTACAAAGAAAAGAGGTTTAATTGGCTCACAGTTCTGCAGGCTTTACAGGGAGCATGGTGCTGACATCTGCTTGGCTTCTAGGGAGGCCTCAGGAAGCTTACAATCATGGCAGAAAGTGAAGAGCGGGAGGGGAGGCCCATCACATGGAAAAAGCAGGAGCTTTGTGTGGGGACAAATACCCAAACTGTATCATATGATATTATGTAAAAAGGAGAAAAATAAAGAGGGACAAGATAAAAAGTATTGTTGTGGGTTGTAATTTTTTATACATTGGCCAGAGAAGACCTCACAGATGAACAATTTAAATAAAAATATGAAGGAGGTCAGGCATTAATTTTTATAATTCTCTTGAGGAAGAGTATTCTAGGCAGAGAGAACATCAAGCGTGAAGGAGAATGATACGAGATGACAGTGCTGGGAAACCTCTTCCAATACTGCTACAACCAAGACATTATCTAACCTTTATTTGTGTTTTAAAATTCACGTTAGGCAATTCTTCCAACTGGAAGACTTACTGGCTATTTACTAAAGTTTGGTACAGGTGATATTTCTTGGCATTGTAACAGTAGATTCTATATCACAACACTTAAAGCACACTGAAATTTACATGTTTCATTTTACATGTTTGTTGCATTATCCATCCTCTACACAGGAAACATTGACTATTTATGTAAATCTGTTTGCAATTGTGTAGTATTTCAGTCAAATTCAAAAGTACTTTTCTAATTTTGTTTCTGAAGGTTGTATTGACCTTTCCTTTATGTTACATAAATAACTTAAGTCTGTCTTTCATTAGTAAATCTAGTCTGTGTTGCAAAGTTAAGTGTTAGCATTTTTGCACTTCTGTATACTAGTATATTTACATGTTTTTGTTGTTGATAAAATATTTTCTAATTATTACTCCTTCCAGCACAAATCACAACTATGGAAAGACCAACTTCCATATATTATTTGTGATTTAGTTACTCAAATAAAGGATTTTAATTATGGAAGTTATGTAGTCCATCTTTAGATTAGAAATGCATCTATTGAAGCCATCTAGAAATAAATTGGAGGTGTTTTAAGAGAAGGCTTAGTTGTAAAGGCAGTAAAGGGTAGTCTTTAATAATACAGGACCTTGAGCTGAAAATCTTGGTCTCTAATTATAGCTTTTCTATGTGCCAGCTGTAGTTTAAGGAGTTACTTAAGTACCTCATTGTTTTAGATTCCTCATCTCTAAATTTAAAATAATTCAATAATAGAATCTTATACTTAATATGGGTCAGGCATGGTTTTAGGCACCTCATATGTATTAACCCATGCATTTTTCACATCATTTATATTTGTAAAACTTTTGGAGTTATGGTTAAGGTACAATACCTGTTAAGTTAGTTGCTGTTACATTCAATGGCAAAAACTGCCATTACTTTGGCACCAACCTAATAGAAAAGTGCACATAAAATAAATTGTTGTGGATTTCCTAAAATTTGTATACATTCAAAGGTCTAGTCTTAAATTTTTTTTAAATCAACATCAGTTATACCCATGTTCTACCACGAATATTCATCCTCTGGAAATGAAGATTTTGGTTCTTACTATATTCTTAAAGCAGTGTTTTGCTCTTGTCCTGGGATTTTCTCCAGCTCTCCCACATTCATTCTGGAACTTCTTGATATTATCATAAATTGTCAAGATAAGGTTTTAAAGGAAATACTCATATTACTTCCTCAAGAGATCCTTATGTCGAACATTAATTTTGTTAAAATATTGTAATTGTCCAGTAATTCTCCCAAGAAAAATAATTACATATTTTGCACAGCCAGGTAATGAAAACCATTTCTCTTTTTGCTAATAGTAATTTTAAGTTTCCATCAACTTAAGACTCATTTTATTCACAGAGATATAAACAAATGACATTTTTAAACAGAGAAATGTAGTAATTATTTCTATATCACCTGATTTCAGCTGGCTTCCTGGAAAACATTAGTAAGAACATGGAATCATAGAATGAATAAACTACTCAATGAGATGATGAGATAATTCTTAATGGCATTTTAGATCAGCCATAAAATTTGACCAAAAATGTAGGTCCTTATTATGCAAGAAAGTAGCATAAGCTAAATTACATAGGTAGAGTTTTCCAGGGAGATTAGAAAAGCTACAAGTATCCACATATGATGCTAGGGTACCAGCAGAGCAACAAAAAGAGTCATCCATAGAGTAACACAGATCCAAGAATTGTTTGAATGTTATGAAGAGATAAAAAGTTTCTTCCGGCCGTGTGCGGTGGCTCACGCCTGTAATCCTAGCACTTTGGGCAGCCGAGGCGGGTGGAACACGAGGTCAAGAGATGGAGACTATCCTGGCCAACATGGTGAGACTCCGTCTCTACTTAAAATGCAAAAAATTAGCTGGGCGTGGTGGTGCACACCTGTAGTCCCAGCTACTCAGGAGGCTGAGGCAGGAGAATCGCTTGAACCTAGGAGGCAGAGGTTGCAGTGAGCTGAGATCGCACCGTTACATTCCAGCCTGGTGACAGAGCGAGACTCTGTCTCAAAAAAAAAAAAGAAAAAAAATTCCTTGAATTAAGTTAATGCACTGCTTCATTTATCAAGAAAGCCTTGCTTTGAAAATACAATGGGAGCTTAACTAAAGAGAGTGCGTTATAAAGTGTTTGATTTACATTTTGATTCAAGCTCTTTGTCTCACCAATCACAGATAACACTTTCATATCGACACAACTAGAACTGGTGTAGAGAAAATATAGAAAACAGATGAATTATAAATTTGTAACATTAAATGGTACCCTGGGTTTAAATGGCTAGCTCAAAAGTTAGGCAGGCCTTAATAAATGCTATTCACATTGCTATAAACAGTACAACCATATAATTCAAGTGAATTTGAATGGCTCATATATAGCAGATCTTATAGGAGGAGTGGCAGAGATGGAAAATACCAATACCTGCTGGAAATTAAAAGAAAGGTAGGTGGGAAAGAGAGGTCGACGAAAGTTGGAGTGAAAATGAAAGGAGGGATTTGATAAACAATACAAGTAGATATCAAGTGTTTGAAGAAATTAATTCACATTGATGCTATTTTAATTTATTCATTGGGGTAAATTTTATTCAAATGTGCTAATAAAGCATGTTGTTATCAAAAACAGCTATAACATACAAATATATATATATATATACACAACAATAATGCATAATAGATGTTACACAATTTAGTTTTTCTGCTTGAAAGGGAACTAATCCATCAACAATTTCAAGGAAATCTGAGTTTATAAGGAAATACAGCAATGAAAATACAACGTTAACTACATGTGGAAACATAAATATTTTTGTCAACCTGTGCATTACAAGTTAGCTTGTGTAAAGCCATATGAGGCTGATTCCACACGTGTAACTAAACATCTACTTAGATAGGTATAACTAACACAAGTTTTATAAAAATCTAGGTTGATTATACTTGAAAACATTTTAAGAGAAGGTTTATCATGATATACTTTGAAATAAAAGGCCAGAAGAAGTTAGTCTTTCCATAGTTGTGATTTATGCTGGAAGGAGTAATAAATAGAAAATATTTTATCAACAACAAAAACAAGTAATTATACTAGTATATAGAAATGCAAAAATTGCTAACATTTAACTTTGCCACACAGACTAGATTTACTAATGAAAGACAGACTTAGGTTATTTATATAACTTAAAGGAAAGGTCAATATAACCTTCAGAAATAAAATTAGAAAAGTACTTTTGAATTTGACTGAAATACTACAGCAATTGCAAACAGAATGATGATAAATTATGTCTCTTAAATCTAAGTGCTGCAATTATGAGATTCTCAGAACAGTCTTAGAAATGATAGATTTAATGTTCTGCTACATAGAAGACAATATAAAAGCACTAAGCTGGCAAAGCTTTTCCACTTTGAGTTTCCTTTTCCCTTTTCAGAAACAATTGACAATAAGCATGGCGATCTCTGAGGACAGTTTGGAAACATCATAATATCTGAAGTACTTTTTGAATTTCAAAGAAGAAATGATGGAAAAGAAAATGTGCATACATTATATAACACAATGACAAGTTTTGCTCCCACATTGGAACATCCATCAAAAATTACAGTTTCATAATACATCCATTGGGGTTTGACTGTGGAGTACTGTCTTTTAAAGAAGGGAGAAGCAGACAAGGTGAAAAAAAGATTCACTTCCTAGGAGAATTTAGCTTCTATGAACTCTGGAAATAAGACAACAAAATTGTGACTCAAAGAAATAATGTCACAAATATTTTTACTAATAATCTCAAGAAATTAATGTTACATAATGTTTATGCATTTTATTTAAACACAATTAAAAAGAGCCTGGATAACTGCAAATGACACATATCATGCATATGAAAATTTGCTTCCAAATGTATAATGGTGGGAATTCTAAATTTATATATATAGAAGTACATGTAGGTTATAAGGTTATGTAACATATATGGTTATGTAAGGTTATGTAACATGTAACAAAGTTATATATAAGGTTATGTAACATTTATAATATACAAATATAACATTATATAATATGTAATATAATATATATGATATTAAAATAATATATCACATAATAATATAAATATTGTATTATTATAGGATATAATATGATATAATAGATTATATAACAATATCTATAAGTTAATGTAATATTCCTCAGGCTTCAAAACTTTCCACTCGGATAAAAGGAAGGCCATTCATTAAGGTAGAAATTACAAAAGAGAATTTGATCTAATAATTACAAAATGTGTAGTACTGTGGGCATAGAACAAGAATTTGAGTTCATGTTCAAAAATTACTTTCAAAGAGGAATGAAAATTGTCTAGTCAAACATTTCATTAAAAAGTGTATTTTTCTCCAACACATGAAATGATACGATCTTAATCCGGAGAGATTTGATTCTTTTGTGGCTTCAAACAAGATTAAAAGGGTTGTCCTACTACAATCAAGTTCTATTAAGTTTGTTAATATTCATGCCATCTTGAAAAGTTTTAAGAACAGTGAATTTTGTCTCATTGCTGGGAAAATTTAATCTAGTTTCAAAAATAATTTGTCTATTCAGATTTACATTAATACCAAGGATCCGAAGTGCTCAGATATTTAATATATAAAATGTCCTTTAAACAATGAAATATTAGAGACTCTTAAATTTCTAAATAACTGCTTGTTTTGAGTACAAAGATTTCTCCTGTTGAAAGAGATTTGCTTTTCTTTCAAATATTTATTTTTTTAATGTTCTAGCTCTAAATTAAAGAAATGAATGAAAAACTCAGCATAACAATTCAAGAATCAGAAAATTCCTCCTAGGACATCCCAAAGTAATTAAAATTAATAGAAATCTTAAAAATAATTGACTCCCTCTTTAAATTATGGTATTAGAAAACATGTAATATCATTAGTAAAGGGCAGTTTCACTCATCACTCCTTTATGCCCTTCCAGATTTTGTCCCACCATTTTGCTGTCAAGGGTATATGAGTTATCAGAGTATGAGGGTATATCAGTTAATCAGAGGTATTTTCATGAGCAGAAATCTCTCTGAAGATTGTGCTACCAGCTCCTTTTAGTGGTAATTTGTAAATTGTAACTAAAAGGCTAGAATTCAGTTCAATTCAACGAATCTTTAAGTCCCTCATATCATGAACAATTGCTAAGGCAAACATTTAAAAACTTACAGCATAATGAGAGTGGAAAAATATATTTTCAATTATTATATATTTACAAAGCATTCTATAAAAATCTACACGCAATAATGATAAATTCCTAGATATACACACTATTCTAGTAAATACCAATATTTATCAATGAGGTGCAATAGAACTTACCTCTATCTTTTTACTCTTACTGACAATATATAGCTTTACAATAGCCAAAAGTGTAATACCTATTTCTGAAGTTGTGCTTTTCCAAGTTGATTACATCTTGATAATAATGTACATTTTACATGACTACGAATGGCTCCCTTCCCACTTGCTGTATATTCTCTTTTTGTTCTTTGTCACTTTTTTTTTTTTTTTTTGAGATGGAGCCTCACTCTGTTGCCCAGGCTGGAGTGCAGTGGCGTGATCTCGGCTCACTGCAACCTCCATCTCCAGGGTTCAAGCAATTCTCCTACCTCAGCCTCCCGAGTACGTGGGATTACAGATGACCACCACCATGCCCAGCTAATTTTTGCATTTTTTAGTAGAGACGGGGTTTCACCATGTTGGCCAGGCTAATCTCGAACTCCTGACCTCAAGTGATCCGCCTGCCTCAGCCTCCCAAAGTGCTGGAATTACAAGCGCGAGCCACTGCACCTGGCCCTTTGTCATGTTTTAATGTTTTAATAGATTTGGCTTTTAGTTTTATTCTTTGATTTGATCTTTCTTCCTTGATATCTCTTCTGCAGTTTCTCAAGCGTTTTGTTGCTTTTTAAATTATTGTTGTTTTATAAATTTTTGGAATTTACACATTTTCCAAAACTTTTAACATGTCATTTTCATTAACATTTAGAATTTTCAAAGAAGCTCCAGATGCATCATTAAAAATAATCGCTCTCAACAATGATAGACTGGATTAAGAAAATGTTGCACATATACACCACAGAATACTATGCAGCCATAAAAAATGATGAGTTCATGTCCTTTGTAGGGACATGGATGAAGCTGGAAACCTTCATTCTCAGCAAACTATTGCAAGGACAAAAAACCAAACATCGCATGTTCTCACTCATAGGTGGGAATTGAACAATGAGGACACATGGACACAGGAAGGGGAACATCACACACCGGGGACTGTTGTGGGGTGGGGGGAGGGGGGAGGGATTGCATTAGGAGATATACCTAATGCTAAATGACGAGTTAATGGGTGCAGCACACCAACATGGCACATGTATATGTATGTAACAAACCTGCACGTTGTGCACATGTACCCTAAAACTTAAAGTATAATAATAATAAAAAAATAATAATAATCGCTCTCCTCTTGTCAACTGTCATTGTCACCATTGTCATCAATAGGTTGGTTTTCACAATATTTCCTGCACACCTGTCTGGTTTTGTTAGTTGGAGCACTTACAGCTGTATGTGGTACAGAACATACTTAGAAACATGCACAACATTTTATAGATGTCAAACAAATGTGTGGGAGGTTGCAATGCGTGGTTTATAAAAATTTCAAATTTTGGAGAAACTGGAGTAAAATAAAATTAGAGCAAATAAACGAGTGTTATTTGAATTTATATAGTGTTTAATTATAGCAAATAATAAATAGCATTGTCTATATTCCAGGTACCATTTAGGTGTTTTACCCGTATTAACACATTTAATTCTTAAAACAAGTATACAGGGAAAATGTAATTATTACCTCTATTTTAGAGATAAGGAAAATGAGGCCCATCACTATACAATGATTTGACTAACTTTTCATAAGTAAGCATCAGAATTGTGCCTTGGTTCCAGCCAGTGAGGCTCCAGATCCTGAGCTCCCCAAAAAGGAAGTTTTACCGCCTTTCAGAAGATGCATGCAGGAAAACTGGAGGCTTTTGAATTCTACGTTAAACAGTAAGAAACTGTAACAACGTGAGTAAACATTTCTAAATAGAAATATCACTTCATTATATATTTGTGCAAAAATAACACTTTTGTGCAAGATTTTGGTGAAAATATGTAACAGTGGGTTTAGAGAATTCAAAATAGTATTTAAACTGCTGAAGACAGAAGGAGCAGTATAAGTCAATTGCTTTAGTTTAAGAAAATAGAATGCTGTCGTAGCCTGGAAGGATATCTAAGAGAATAACTTTAAAGGTGTGTGTGTGTGTGTGTGTGTGTGTGTGTGTGTGTGTGCACGCGCGCCCGTGTGTGCGTGGGTGCGTGGGTGTACGCTTTTGAAACAATATTTTCTCCAAGATATATAAAGATAGATCTGGTGTTTTTCAGTTTTCTGTTTTTTCTGTTTTCCCAAAAGAGGTCATATGCGAAAAACATTTAGACAGTTAATTAGAAATTATAATAAAGTAGATATAAGTCTACATACATGCAAATTTAAGTAAAAGAGGAGAAATTTTTTCTCTTTCAATAACATGCTATACATACTAGAGGGGATGAGAATTGAAGGTCACAAGATAGATTTATTTAAGGTGGTTTCTTAAACGAGGAAATACTTCGAACAAAGTTCCAGAGTTCAACAGCTCTAAAAATTGCCTTTAAAGAGGCAAAGTGTTTCTGAAGTAGTTTGTCCTTCTGGATTTGAACAGGCTGATTTCTGCAATGAATTGTTATGTCAGCACTTCATCTACCCCAAAGGAAAAGCATGATAAATCTGTATTGTGCTTTGAGGAAAGAGCATTACCAATCCCTAGTATTAGCTTTCAAACCAGCTATTTCTAGTAACAGGTCAGATTTACCCACTAGCTATTCTGGCATTTATGCATAGATTCACTTTGTGCTGAATGAGCTGTATTTTTTTAATGCACCCATAACACTAGTACTTATTAAAACATATATTTTTTAACATTTAACCAATTAAATTAATATGTATTTACTTTGCAATTCTTTTCTGATTAGAATATACAATTAATTCCAAACAGCATCAGAATATAAAGTGTTTTGATGATGTGAAACCTGTATTTTTCATCAAGAACAATTATCAGGTAATACTTTTGTGTTTACTTTATACTGTATTATTATTATTGCAATTATTTATTAATTTAAACTCTTATTTGCATATACTGATCTGTTTCCTTTCATGCTTATTTTAATTTCAAGAACAAATCAAGTCACAGAATTTCTTCCCTAGGATTTCATTTTTAATGCTTTGAAATAGAAACCAGACTGTCAGCTGAACCTTCGCAAGGTCTTAAGGAGGACAGAATCAAGGGCACCTAAATCTTTAATTTAGAACATGACTCGATTAATTTTCTGCCATAACTTGATTCTTCCATTGAAGAGTACTATTTCTATCCAAATCATATGAGTTTTGACTATTAAAACAAAATAGAGCTCAAAACAATTATTAGGAAGAGTAAGCAATCCTTGGCTTCTTGGAAGTAATTGGGAAACTCAAGAAAAATGAGTGCTTTTGCAAATGATGTATTCTTTCCTTCTTTATACCTTTGATTTTTCTCCTGTAAGATCTTTGATGGGGTGTTATATTGCTAGGCCACAAATAGCTCAGTTATTTAGGGGAAGATGGAGGAATGGAAGGAACAAACTATAATATAACATTTGCCTATTTGCCTTCCTCTAGAAAAAATAAAAAAAAATCCGAAGATGCTAACACTAAAACAAGTATTAAAATTACCAACTTTATCTTCCCACCCTTCATCACTGTTTCCTCACTTACACTGTACTGTAAATACCTTTCTACACGTTATAATATTGAGATTATGGGCTCTTATAATCATCAATAGTCATCAAACATGTTGAGTATCTGCAGGTTTAGGGCCTTGTGGCCGACATTGGATAAACAAGTGCTGTAAAGCATGAACCCTTTCTCAATAAAAGATAGTGTTTTAGGAGGAACACACCTAAAACTATGCAAAGTATCATAGGATAAGAATCAAATGGGTAATATGCACCTTGAAGTCAAATTATTTCTGTTTGCAAAGTACATGATCTCATGTTTTATAAAACCTGAAGTTTCCCTAAACAACCTCTTGGAAATGACAAACAAATTCAGGATATTTCTCAGGATACAAAATCAACATGAAAAAAATGTTAGTGTTTCTACACACCACCAACAAAATAGCTGTAAAAGAAATCAAGAAATCAATCCCATTTACCATAGTTATGTAAAAGTAATGAAATACTTAGAAATAAATTTAACCAAAGAAGTGACAGACCTCTACAAAGAAAACTATAAAACACTGATGAAAAAAATTGAAGAAGACACAAAAAATTAAAAGTTATCCCAAGCTCATGAATTAGAAAAAATAATATTGTTTAAATATCTATATTACTTAAAGCAATCTTAGATTAAGTGTAATCCCTATCAAAATACCAATGGCATTTTTCACAGAAATAGCAAAGAAAACTTAAAATTCTTATGGAACCAAAAAAAATTTCCAAATAGCTAAGGCAATGCTACACAAAATGAACAAAGCTGGAAGCATCATGCTACCTGATTCCAAATTGTATAGAAAGATATATTAACCAAAACAGATTGATATTAGCATAAAATAGACACACAGACCAACAGAACAGAATGGAAAATCCAAAAATAAATCCATGCACTTAAAGTCAATTTATTTTGACAAAGGTGTAAAGAATATACATTGGGGAAAGGACAATCACTTCAATAAATGGTGCTGGGAAAACTGAATAACCATATGCAGAAGAATGAAACTAGACCCCTATTTCTCACCATTTATAAAATGAAACAAAATAGATTAAAGACTTACATGTAAGACCTGAAACTATAAAACTACTAGAAGGAAACACAGAGTAAGTGCTTCAGGACATTGGTCTGGCCAAAGATTCTATTGATGAAACCTCAAAAGCACAGGCAGCGAAAGGAAAAATAGACAAATGGTATTACCTCAAACATAAAAGCTTCTGCACAGAAAAGAAGGCAATCAACCAAGTGAAGAGACAACTGTAGAATGGGAGAAAATGTTTGCAAATTATCCATCTGATAAGCGATTAATATCCAGAATAAAAAAAGATATCAATTAAACACCAAAAACTCCCAAATAATCACATTGAAAAAAAATGGGCAAAAGACATGAATAGACATTTCTCCATAGAAGACATATAATTGGCCAAGAAATATATGAAAAATGTTCAACATCACTAATCACGGAAATACAACTCCAAACCACAATGAGGTATCATCTCAACCAATTAGATGACTATTATCAAAAGGACACAAGTAACAGATGCTAGTGAGGATAAAAAGATAAAGGGAATTCTTATATGCTGTTGTTGGGAATGTAAAGTAGTATACACATTATGGAAAATAGTATGCAGGTTCCTCAAAAAATTAAAATAAAAATACCATATTATCCAACAATCCACTACTGAATTCTTTACCACAGGAAAAAAATCAGTATAATGAAGAGATGCATGCATTTCCATGTTTATTGCAGACTATTTACAATAGCCAAGGTATGAAATTAACCTAAGTGTCCATCAACAGATAAATAGGTAAAGAAAATATAGTATATATACACAATGTAATATTATTCAGCCATAAAACAGAATAAAATCCTTTTATTTATGAAAACATGAATGAAACTGGAGCTCATTTTCTTAAGTGAAATAAGCCAGTTACAAGAAAACATATCGTGTATTCTCACCCATATGTGTGTATTAGTCTGTTCTCACATTGCTATAAAGAATTACCTGAGACTGGGTAATTTATGAAGAAAAGAGGTTTAATTGGTTCACAATTCCAAAGGCGGTACCGAAAGCATGGCTTGGGAGGCCCCAGAAAACTTACAATCATGGCAGAAGGTGTAGGGGAAGCACGGACATCTTCACATGTCAGAACAGGAGAGAGAGAGCAAAGAGGATGGTGCCACATAGTTTTAAATAACCGGGTCTTGTGAGAACTCTGTCATGAAATAGCACTAGGGGGATGATGATAAACCCTGAGAAACCACCGCCATGATCCCATCCCCTTCCATCAGGCCTCACTTACAACACTGGGGGTTACAATTCAACATGAGATTTGGGTGGAGACACAGAGCTAAACCGTATCAATGTGGAATTGAAAAAGTTGAGCTATAGAATAAGAGAGTAGAATTGTGGTTATTAGGTGATGGAAATGGTAGGAGGGAGAGGATGATAGGGAGCGGTTAATCAACAGATAAAAAACTACATCTAGATAGGAGCATTAACTCCTGGTTTTCTATAAGATTGTAGGGCGACTATAGTTAACAATAATTCATCGTATATTTTTTAATTACTGAAAGAGAGGATTATGAAGGTTTCCAACACAAATACATAATAAATGAGGTAATGTGTAAGTTAGTGGTCCTGATTTGATCATTACACATTCTATACATGTTCTGAAATATCAAAGTTTACCCCTACATATGTACAATTATCATGTATTACTAAAAAAGTAAAACAAGTAAATGGGTTGTATTTCAAGCTACTAAATTTTGGAGTGTGTGTATGTGTGTGTGTGTGTGTTTGTGTGTTTGTCTGTCTGTGTGTGTGTCAAAAGCTAACCAATAAAGACTTGATAGAAGATAAATCAAGTTAGGCAGTGTGTTCATCTCCATGCAGGTGAGCAATCACTCATTACTTATGTTTGGGGTTTATGGTAAATCCATGAGTTGAGGGCCTTTCGTTGATTACTACCTACCCTGGTTGCCTCAAGGTTTGCTCAATTCATCTGAACTACTGTAAAGAGATAACTTTTTTCAATGCATTAGAACTCTCAAAAGATTATGTAAACTGAACTAACCATAAGATAAATTGAAGTGAAAAGAAATGTTTGTTGCAGCACTATTCAAAATAGCCAAGATACAAAATTAACCTAACAAATAAACTCCTAACACTTTTCTGTAGGTGGGAAAAATGGAGCTGGCCCACAGTGCGATGATAAGTCAGTGCACCCTAGTATGTATTGTATACACATTTACAATGTTGAAATTATCAGAAAATGTGGGAGATTCAATACTGTCTCATTCTGGGTTCAAAATATGCTTTACCATCTGCCTGTATATGTTTTAGTTATTTTCTATGGGGAAACTCAATAGAAGTACTTAAAAGTCTTCACTGCTTATAAATTAAAAATAATTTAGAGTAACTCAATACAAGTATGCTGCTTAATTACAAACATGAGAGGTGTAACATTTTGGTAAAGCACTGATTCTATTAAGACGTTGTTATAAAGCAGGGTTTTAAGTCCATATTTTGCTATGGCTATAACTTAACAATTGAGCAGCAAAATTAATGTGTTGGTGTTTCCCTTTGGTTGTTACAGCACATTTTATTCAAAGTGGCTTGCTATTCCTTTCAGTTTCTGCCAAAAAGACCTGGTATATACTGACAAGAAAATGGAATTTTGCATGGGCCAAATTTCTGACATTCACTTTGCTCAGACATTAATTTAGTACAAAGAATAATAATCTACTGTTCACAAAGAAGAAAAAAAATCCTAGAACATTTGAAGCCAAATCTTTTCACTTAAAGGTGATAGTGACTGAACATAATTTTCTCAGGAGGGAACTTTGTTGTTTGAAATGTTTAAGACAAGAATCATCAGAAGGAAGAGTTAGTTGAATCTTGCCTATTGCAGGTCTTGGGATAGTTCAAGACACTGGATAGGAGGAAATTTCATCTGTTTGAAATCAGAATTAATTTTTGACACAAGCTGTCCAAAAAAAAAAAAAAAAAGGAAATAAACCAAACTACTCCTAAGGAATATAACATTGCTAAACAAGTTTAATGGGAAATTAGAAATTATACCTGTATTTAATTAACTCTGGGCCAGAGGTGACGAGTTCAGGTCTTTGAAACAAATTTAGAAATAATAAACCTACATAGCGCTCTACCATCAGAGATTATCAAAGGGGTTTTAGAAGACAAATTACAAAGACAAAGGAAAAAAGAGAGGTTGGATATTTTTATAGAGTAAATTTTAAGTCCAATCCATTAAAATGTCTTTATTTAACTTAAAACTAGAGGTCAAACATGACTAGGGGCATTTTTAATTAATAACAAGTGTGGTAGCAAAGAGCTGGTATAAATTGCTGAGGAAAACTAAAAGAAGGAGGCTAGTCTACCTGCACTGAAATATATATTGTGTGTCTTTTAAAAGTTAATAAATACTTGCACATTATCAAAGAGAGCAAAAGGAATAACTGTGACTTTATAAATAAATATTTATCATCAAAAGCTTACAAATACATACATTTATAGATATAATGTTTATATGTATGTGTGTGGATATATATTTGTAACACATACACACATATATGTAATTTTGTTACATAGAACTGGTCTGCATTTTCTCTGATACCACATCAAATATACTTATGTTAAAAAACAAGTCTGCTATTTGGATATCTTTCATATAATTGAGGTTTTGAAAGAATCCAAATTAGTTTAATTTTAGAAGAAAGAATAAAAATCTCTTTATTACAAATATTGTTTTACATCCATCAAACTATGGAGAGGAGAATAGCTTAAAACATATGATGTGGGGTTAGGCTTCTCAGAGTCAAATCTTCACGCTGTCTTCCAATTTAGCCATGCTTTTTAATCTTGTTAAACCTTGAGTCAAATGATTGAACTTATCTTAGATGTTAGTTGCAAGCATTACATGTAATGATATGTAAACATTTTAACATAGTGCTGGGTTAAAAGTTTTTGAAGAGAACCAATATATGAAGATAAAGAGTATTTATTCTTTATTCCAATAAAAAAAATAGTGCAAGATCCAAAAAGTCTCCTATCAATAGGAGAACTGTATTAGCATCTATTTATTTTAGAATAGTAGAAAAAAATTCACAGTGCATTTTTTACTTCTTTTATAGCGCATCTGACTTTTCAAATTCTCAATAGTACTGGCATTTACAAAAGACTTATGTGGTTTGAAAATGAAATCCTATATTTACGATGCTGACTACCAAATATTTATTAAGTAACTAATATGTGTCACTTCCTAAGCACATTTTAGTGGGAGAAGATGTATAGTAAACAATTAGATGAGTATTAGACAGTCAAGTGTAGATACTGAGAAAGTTGTTAAAAACAAAAATCATGGATCAGGGAAAGTTTAAGGCTAGAGATAGCATTTAGCAACATATATTGCTAGATAGTTGGAAAACATGTTTTAAAATGGCTCTTGACATTCAATACCTCATTTTTTACCTTGTTTTTCACCTAAAGTTTTGAATTCTTTAAGATTTAATACATGCATTCTCTTCTCTTAGGAGTTTTCCATGGCCCAAGCCAGTTTAAATTAAGCTATCCTCTTCTATATATTACATGCACCTCTCTCTATCATTATAACGCTAAATACCCTGTATTGCTATTATCTTTTTATTTGGCATCTTCACTCTAGTAGATTGAGAGCTCTGTTGTAAAAAATAATTAAATAAAATAAAAAAAAGATTTAAGGTTGTATTCTTCTTTGTTGGCCCAGAGCTTGAAAAAGGTGCTTGACAAACATGTGGTACTCAATTTAAGACTGAATATAATAATGTTATACAAACAAGAAAAATCATGTGATTTTATTAAAGAGCTTTTTACGGAGAGAAAAAATATGTAAAACTGGTGGAAGGGGGCTGGATTTCATATGCACAAAGGTAAGGAGTTTGAAATCTCTCCTGAAAAACATGAAACTCTTGAATTTTGACTAGGTGATTTTCACATTACAAAATAATTCTTTTACTTTTACAGCTCGATGGAAGGTGGATTGGAGTGAATACAATAGCGGTAATTAACTTTGTGAAATGGCTGGCAGTCTCTAAGGAATATGGAAGCTGTTGCACTGAGAATAAAGTCCTACATCTCAGCATCCAAAGTGGATCTGGGGATAAAATGAGAAGCAGTAGAGGTGTTTAATTTGAGAGAGTGTAAAAATAAGAGCAGTTTGCCAAGGACTATTAAATAGTTTTTAGAAAATCATTTAAACAATATGCAAAAAAAAGAAAAAGAAGTCAAAATACTATAAGAAAAAAGAGAAGCTAGAGATAGAAGACAATCAGAAGAACAGAAGAAAGTGGTCCTGTAAGGGAAAAGAGAGTTTCAAGGAGGATGGTTTGAATTATTGCTAAAATTGACAGAAAGATCAAAGGGATAAAAACCCAAAATTATCTAATGAATTTGGTAATATGTTCATCCTTGAATTTCTTAGAAAGAAGATTTCAGTAGTGATGACCTGAGAGGTGAATTGAAAGACAGAGAAATAAAAGAGAAATAAAACAGAATTTTAATGTGGAACACTAGCACAAAGCTTAAAGGTCAAGGAAACGAAAGAGATGTGATGTTAGGTAAGGTCAAAGGGCTTAATAAAGGTTTGTTTTTGTTTGCTTGTTCAATGATTGGTGAAATATGAGCACGTTTACTTTCCAAAGGGAAAGATCTTTCAGAATCATTTACTACGTTTTAGATGCTCTCTATATTACAGTTAATGGTAAGCATAAAAACGTTCATGATCACACTCTACCTGTGCTTCAGGTTTCTTCTGGGAAATTGCTATCTCATTTGTACCATTACTGTAGATTGAGGAAATATTAAAATTTGATGCTCCTAAAATAATTGTCTTTGTGTCTCTGGGTATCTAGAATGATAGTTGTTTGGATTAATGGGGCATCAGCTTTATAGTTAATTCTATGTATTCCCTTTATTACTCCTTAGATAAAATCTGCCCTTTTTTTTACTCTAAGGTTGTTATTAATAAAAAAACTTATTGAAACTTAGGGAAAACAAGTTTTATTTGAAATGTTTTAACAGAATCTAATCCATAAGATAGGTCTACATAAACTATTTGGAGGAGTGTAATCAGTCACAGGCTAATTTGTCAATTGTAACCAAGGGCTATTTCAGAGCAATCATCTGTCTAGCTATCAATGTTCAATGCCTGCAGCTACTTTTTAGCACTTCTAATATAGTAGCTTAAACAAACCCTTTTTCACAAATATTTATGAACATTAAGGTGGTCTGAGAGTTTAAAATATTAATATCCTTTGACTATTTTCTAGCTAAAATGCAAAGCAAATATTAATTTAATATCCCAAATAATTACTATGAAAAAATAGAGGCCATTCTAGTAACAAGGAAATAGATAATCTTGTATTTTATACTTCATACAGCCATTTTGTCTGATCAATAGAATCAAATCTGCATTGTGTGTGTCTGTGTATGTATCTATGGGTGTAATAATAAATAGTGATTTATAATTTTCACTAGTTTCTAAGAGATTATTACGGGGAACTAGGGGGCTTTTTGCTACATGCAGTGATAACTATGAATATGCACATCTTTAAGGAGATTTTGGAGCAGAGTAGAATTGCTCTGTATGATTAGTTCTGGAAACAAAAGAGTTTACAGTGGGAGAATCTAAGAGAAGGAATATAGTTAATGAAACACTGGACACTGAATTGAGGAGAGATCAGAAAACAGAGGAAACCTGAATCTGCAATGTAGTCAAGAAAACGTGTGTCAGCAATGTTTCCTGGGGAAGTGGGGATTGAAATGCTGAGCACTTGAAAATGTGAAGAGGCTGAGGTCCATTTATTGATGATACCATAATAGATTTAGAATGTAAAGAAAAGGGAACATCAGGCATACAAACAATTTTCATATAGTTTTATTCAAATTATTCTTTTCAAGAAAAGAAAATCACAAGTTGGAGAATATAGATATGTTTCATTTTTAATTTATAAAAAGGGCTTGTTTCTGGCTCTGTTAATGAGAATAATCTAAGATTAACACGAGAGCCAGGGCAAACTTGAAGTTGTCAAGGTCTCAGTTTCCTCCTTGACTTTGGTAATGTCTCAGAGCATTTGAAATAAATGTCAAGAATGCTTACATAAATCACAAGACCCTAGTGATCTGGCCCCGTCTTCTTATAGAGTTTTATTTTAAATTGATATTCCTCCTTTCCTTATGTTTTTTTCTGGAAACAAATACAGGTATTCTATTATTCTTATAACTTTTAATATATTTTAGCAATATAAATAATGTACCTGTCCCCACAATTGCTGTCCTATGTCTCATTGATTTTGTAACGAATATTCACATTGCTATTCCACTAGACTCTATGGCCCAGAATGGCTATTTTTCTCCCTTTGATATCTCAGTAACAAACAAAATGCCTATAAATATGATTAGTAATTATAAATATTTGTAGATTAAATGAATAAAGGATTACATTAAATATATACAAATAAATTATTTGGTGGGAATTCAACTTTGCTTGAATTTTGTACCAAAGAACAGTCTAAATACAGTCATCCCCCTTTACATGTGGTTTTGCTTTCTCGAGGATTAGTTACCTGGAAATAGTTGAATATGGTACAATAAGATATTTTGAGAGAGAGAGAACATTCACATAACTTTTATTAAAGTAAATTGTTATAATTATTGTATTCATTATTATTTGTTGTTAATCTCTCACCATGCCTGATTAATTAATTAAACTTTATCATAGGTCTTCATATATAGGAAAAAACACGGCACATATAGGTTTTGGTAGTATCCATGGTTTTAGGCATCCTCTGGGGGTCTTAAAATAAACAATTTTGTCATTAATAACAAAAATAGTATTCAACATCAATTGAGAACAAACTCTATGTCAGACACTGTGAACATTTATTTCCTCTACAATGCTATAAATAAGTTATATTTATGTCCTCATATCCAAGTTACATATGAGACATTTAGACAGACATAAGACAGGCAAACTGCATAAGATCACACGACTAGCAAATAGTAGAAGAGACATACAATCATTGGTAGTCTATCTCTGAATCTTTTATTCTTTTTTTATTTATATATATATTTTTATTATACTTTAAGTTCTAGGGTACATGTGCACAACGTTCAGGTTAACTGCTTTTCTAGGCTGTCCCTCATGGTTTTTCCTAGGAACTCAAAATGTGTAGTAAGTAATGATATTTGTATTTACCGTAGAAAATTGTGACAATACCATTCATTAGTTTCTCCAACAAAAATGTTTATTTACTGCTTGTTAAATGTACACACCATGATATACACCAGGATATAATGCAAACAAAAATACAAGATTAGTGCCCATTGAAATTGAGTGCTCAGGATAAGAGCCATTGTAGGATGAAGATCAACATTGTTGGCTCAGAGAAAGCCAGCCAAGTGCACCATTTAGTTCCAAGACGTTGGGCTAGTAACATAACGTTTTCTTTCCTCAGTTTTCTCATCTGTTAAAATTACCACTTGATGAGTGATAGGGTTTGCCTGTGTCCTCACCCAAATCTCATCTTTAATTGTAGTTCCCATAATCTCCACGTGTCATAAGAGGGACCTGGTGAGAGGTAATTTAATCATGGGGGCAGTTACCCCCATGCCATTTACGTGATAGTGAGTGACTTCTCACAAGATCTGATGGTTTTATAAGGGGCTTTTCCCCCTTTTGCTCAGCACTTCTCCTTGCTGCCACCATGTGAAGAAGGACATGTTTGCTTCACCTTCTGCCATAACTGTAGGTTTCCTGAGGCCTCTCCAGTCCTGCAGACTATGAGTCAATTAAACCTATTTCCTTTATAAATTACTCAGTTTTGGATATTTCTTCATAGCAGTGTGAGAACAGACTAATACAATGGCATTATATCAGTTAAAAACCCTTAGTACAGAGAATTTTATATAGTAAAAACTGATTCCACCTTGGTGTCCGGGTCAAATACTAAAAACTAATCATGTTAAACAATTTAAGTGCTCTAGAAAAAAAGGATCAAAGTATTCTTATGTACACGTTGATCAAATAACCTATTCTAGTCTTAGAATAAGGGTGGTAGGAAACGACCTCCGGTAGGTAAGAAATTAGTCCAGGAATGCCAACTTATACCTGCTGTGGGACAAAACGTGATAGCCTGACTATGACCGTAAAAAATAGAACAAGACTTTGTATCAGACAAGAATAAATTCTCTGGGAATCCTTGAACAATGGATGACCCTAGACCAACCCATTTCAGAAAGGTATTCAATCAAGACTTGACCTCTTCCTTGAGCCTACACAAGGATGAAACTTTGAGGTTAAGACCAAAATGAAAAGGTAGATAAATGCAAGTAATAAACCATTCTGAAACTCTCTAGATAACAGACCTGGTTACAGTTACATCAATTTATTTTCCTGTCTCTTTGCTTTTATACTGTGTCTTTTTGTTGTCTCTTACTTTTGGTTTATGCAATGGATTTTCAATAGTTTTGAAACCAAAAATAAGAGGGAACAAAAAGACATAAAAGCAAAATGAGTGAACCAAGCTAAAGTGAGGACAAATAGTTTTCATTTTTTATATTTGTATATCTTTCTCATCATCCAAAGAAATTAAGATTTGTTGATTTGTGATCTGTCCTCAGAAAAGTATTTTTTGAGTTCTGTTGATATTAGTAAATACATCAATATTTATACTTATGACTTCATAAAGATATTAATTTCATGATTATATTAAGAAGATAATTAGAAGCTAGTTATATAAATACACAACGTATGTTAAAATTGTATAAAAAAACAATTCACTCATAACCTAGTTATTTCAAGATCATTGGAAGAATTGTCAAGTTTACACACAGGAGTTGCAATATATTTCCAAGATTTCATTTTTCTCCATGACTTTATAAATTGTTAGCAGACATAGGGTCAAGTTATAAACTCAATTTTTAAACTCACAAATATTCAAAATATTTACAAAAATGTTTAAATATTTATAAAATATTCAAAATATTTACAAAAATATAGCTGGATAGTATGAATAAGTCCTAGTATTTGACAGTACAACAGGGTGACTATAGTCTACAATACTATATTGTACATTTTAAAATAAAAATAATTCAGTCAGTATTTTAATATAAATAAACCAACATATAAATAAAATAACAATATATCTCCTCATTACTGAAACACTATATATATTTATTTTTAAAACATGCTTAAAAAGTGACAAGTTATAGCAAATTATTCATTGACTTATTCTAATATTTTCAATATTCTATCGATTTATAGAAGTTGTTGATGTGAACCCTTGGTGTGACTCAGCTATCCTTATGCCATGGTGTGATATGGAACCTCCATATAATAAGAATCCATATTAAACCCTTCAAAGACTTCCTCATGAAATGACAATCATTAGTGACATTGTATTTGGCCAATGCCTCAGGGCATAGACTTCATTGCTTCTCACCATAGCCTTTCCAGGTTTTCCCTTCTCTCTCACCACTGGTTTTTCCTTCACTGTCAGTCAGCATTTTATAATCTGAACACAAGTCACATGCCTGAATTGAGGGTGAAGTGCACTGAGACCAAACGGACAAAATCGGAAAGGAGAACTGGAGTGAGGTGTGTGGGGATATATGGAGCTAGTTGTCTGACCCAGGAGCTTGACTCTCTTTACAGCCTCACTCCATCAAGAGAGTGTGATATGGCAGCAACACCTTGTACACACCAATGTGTAAATAGGAGGCTACACACAGGGAGGCTGCTACAGACCGAGGCTTACTTAACAATTAGGAGTAAAACAAAGGGGAAAAAGAAGAGGTCGACACCAAGGAAAGTTTAAATGGTGATTACTATGATTATAAAAAATAGGGCAAGACTTTATATCAGACAAAAATAAACTTTCTGGGAGTCCTTGAACAATGGATGACCCTAGACTAACCCATTTCAGAAAGGTATTCAATCAAGACTTGACCTCTCCCTTGAGCTTACACCAGAATGAAATTTTGAGAACAGGACAGAAATGAAAAAATAGATAAATGCAAGTAAGGAACCAATGTAGTAACAACCATGAACCAGGGATCCTATTGAAACTAATTGTTACAGGGTACACGAGGGAGTGAGCCAAAGGAAAGACTTGTTGCCCTTGCAGAGAGCCGGAGAAAGGGGATGTCACAGTGTCACACCATCAAGACATGTTGAGGTGTGGTTCTGATAACTGGGATTAAATGGGTGGTTTTTCTCCTCTGCAACCTTATCACAAAGAGCCAAATTGGTCATTCCCCTCCATCACCCTGGTTGCCCATGGCAAATACTATGAAGGGATAATTTTCAAATAAGTAAATATTCCACAGACTCATCTGAAGACTGAATAGATACACACTCCACACTACTTTCGGATGTCCTGGGCTTCCACTAACCTCCCAGTGAGGGCTGAATCCATACAAGGCTAGGCATTTCTTTGTGTGTGTGTTTGTGTGTGTATGTGTGAGGGGAGGGAGAGACTGGGATATGCAGCAAGTCTTTCTCAGCTTCCAGAGACAGCCTTCCTCTCCCATCCAAGAATTTTTACTCCTAGAGGCAACTCTTCATATCAGAATCAATTGAAATATCTGCAGCCATAACTCCCCACCCCCAACACACGTACACTTCAAAATCTGTGCCATAATTTCCAAATCATAATTGCAGAGTCTATTCTTGTTTCTAGATAAATCACATTTGTTAGAAAGCATTTTATTAAATAACTTTTACCATTTACTTCATTATTATTATGCTATTTATCAATCATTATGCAAGTACTATAGTTCAGTCTTTTAATACTCACTCGTACCTGTGACTGTTAAGTATCATGTAGGCCTCATATTAACTACATTTTCTTTGGCCTGTGTTTGGGGCTCCTTATTTTTGTTTCCATCTTAGATGAATACTACCTTGAAGTTAAAAGTTATCCCCCTTATTTGCTCCATTATTGTTATACACTTTTATATTTAAAATGTTGCTATTGAAGATGTTTGGTATTCCCTGCCTTGCACTTGCTTTGTCAGCAGAGTACACATTTGACCTAAGTACAATAATTTTATCCTTGTTAAATCCCAAATAATTGAGAACACGTGTGTTTAAGAGGTGACGAGAGTTAACTTTATTATCCAGAATAATTTTGTTTAGTTTAATTGGTTTTGAAGACCCTTGTCTAGGAGGGAACATTAAATTATTTTATCTAATTGCTGTTATAGAGATTCAGTTTCCTTTTGGAATGTACTGACAGGTTTTTCATAGCTCCTCTACATGAGGGTTTTTTTTTTAATAATTGTTATCTACATCATTATCTATTATTGAAAGATAAAGGACTAGAACTGTTCTGGAATTGATAAAAGTTAAAATACTAACCATGGTTTATAATTGTGTTATAAGATGTGAGAAAGAAATTAAAAGGCACTGAATTTTAAAATATTAATTCTAATTTAATAGTTGACATGAATTTGATTACTGATAATAATTAAGCACATACATTTATTAATTATATATGTAAAGGGACCAAATAGGATTATATATTTGCATAAAAGATAGATAGGTTTTAAATATAAGGCTTAGAAATTGCTCTTGGATAGACTATTTGAAATGTTTGAGCAGTTGTGACCATAGGAAAACATAAAAGCAAAATCGAACAAACAAAATCATGTGTGCGTGTCTATGTTTTAAAATGCTTTAACTCTGTAAACATAAGTCGTTTCTGGGATTGCAAATAGAAAACATATTCATCCTGTAAAAAAATGCTTTTTGTATTTCCCTTAACTATGTTAACCAGTGGAAGACATGAAGATGGGAATTAATCTATGAACAGACCTTAAAGGGCCTTTCCAATTATACAAATTTTTATTTTATCCTGCGGGAAATACGGGGTCATTAATGGCTTTTAACTCTCACGTTATTCATGTCTCTGTCACATTTTACTTCCTCAGAGAGGCCTTCCCTGACCACCTGATTTAAAATGAAAGACCTTACGATTCTGTATCATTTTGTCTGTATTTTTCTTATCAACATTGGTATTACCAACTATTGTTTTATTTATCTATATTTTTATGTATTCTCTTAATGTCTACATTTTCCAATTTTAATTAAAATATGAGCTACATAAACTTTATTTTTTTGTTTGTTTGTTTTTTTTGGAGACAGAATCTCTCTCTGTCATCCAGGCTGGAGTGCAGTGGCCCGATCTCTGCTCTGCTCACTGCAACCTCCGCCTCCCAGGCTCAAGCAATTCTCTTGCCTCAGCCTCCTAGTAGCTGGGATTACAGGTGTCTGCCACCACACCCAGCTGATTTTTGTACTTTCTGTAGGCACAGGGTTTCACCATGTTGGTCAGACTGGTCTTGAACTCCTGACCTCAGGTGATCCACCTGCCTCAGCCTCCCAAAGTGCTGGGATTACAGGCGTGAGCCACCGTGCCCGGCCGAAAACTTCATTTTCTTATTTTGGTTGTTATTGTCATTCACTTATGTATATCCAGAACCTACAATAGTACTTGGAAAATAAGTAACTTTTGAAATAATGAATGAAAGCTAGTATACTTAATGTGTGAATTGCATATAATCAGTAACAGTTCGTCTGTAGAACACATGAACAACTTCACCTAACCAGAAAGTAGGTAAAATCTAAAAGTAAGGATGCAATAGTCAAAAAGCAGCCTAAAATAGAAAAAGCAAAGATTTGTTCAATAGTGTAAATGCTGCAGGAGTATTGGAATTGATCTCTTCATTTCTCATAAAATTAATTTACTATTCATTACATGTTAATATAATTTATTTGGCAATCTGATTCCCAGACCTATATCAAATTAGAAAAGTGGAATATTAGAGAAACAGAAAGGTGTTAGTAACCCTTTGCAGCCAGAGCAATCATTTTAAGATTCAAATATTATCAAATTACATTACTCCTTATACTGTGTTGAATAGGGTCCCCAGAAACTTTTTGCTTTCCTCGACCTGTGAATGTAACTTTATTTGGAAATAAAACATTTGCAGATGTAATCAAGTTAACATGGGGGCAAGCTGAATTAGGGTGTATGACAAATTCAATCACTGGTATTGTTACAAGGAGACTAAAATTTAGAGACATGAACATACACAGAGAGAAGAGAGCCAAGTGAATGCAGAGGTGAAAACTGGAGTGGTACAGCTATAAGCCAACGAAGAACAAGGATTGCAAGCTATCACCAGAAGCTAGGAAGATGCAAAAAATGGCTGAGCATAGTGGCTCATGCCTGTAATTCCAAGATTTTGGGAGACCTAGGTGGGAGGATCACTTGAAGCCAGGAGTTTGACAGTAGCCTGTGCAACAAAGCCAACCTTCTCTCTACAGAAAATGTAAAAAAAAAAAAAAAAGCCAAATTTGGTAGCATGTACCTGTAGTCCTAGCTACTTAGGAGGCTGAGGCAGGAGGATGGTTGGATCCCAGGAATTCAAGGTTGCAGTTTGCCATGATTGCATCACTACACTCCAGCCTAGGCAATAGAGTGAGACCTTGTCTGGTGTGGGGTGGGGGGCAGAAGGAAGGAAGGAAGGAAGGAAGGAAGGAAGGAAGGAAGGAAGGGAGAGACGGAGGGAGGGAGGGGAAGGAAGGGGAAGAAAGAAAGAAAGAGAGAAAAAAAGAGAAAGAAAGAAAGAAAGAAAAGAAAGAGAGAAAGAAAAGAGAGAGAAAGAAAGAGAAAGAAAGAGAAAAAAAGAAAGAAAGAAAGAAAAAGAAAGAAAGAAAGAAAAAGAAAGAGAAAAGGAAGGAAGGAAGGAAACTAACTATCCTTTCCTAGAGTCTTCAGAGGATTTATAGGTATATAGCTCAGCCAATAATTTAACTGCAGATATCTAGCCTCCAGAACTGTAAGAAACAAATGTATGTAATTGTAAGCCAGCCAGTTTGTAGAAATATGTTACAGCAGCCCTAGACAACTAATATACCTCCTTTTTTGGAATGCTTCAGAACCTTACAATTATATTCGCCACAGTATTGAATAGTGTAACATGTATTTAATGCGTGTTCAATAAATGTTGCTAAACATAGAATAATAATAATGTCCCAGAAGTAAATAAATTTACTGGATATACTAAGATGTGTTTCAGATTATAGGAGGGAACCAGGGGTCTTAGAAAGGAGAGATTCAAATTGCCATTAATGTTTTTATAGTATATCAGTTAGGATGCTCTTGATTGTAGTTACAGAATAACAAACTAAGGTGGGCTTAAATAATGAAAACCACGTTTATTTCTAAACATTTCCCAGGGTATAGTATTTCCAGTGTTGGTGGTTTTAGTGGCTCATTGCTATCAGAGACCTCCTCAGCTTATGTAAAATTTCATTGGCTTTTACCCTCATGGTTGCAAAATTGACATGGTAGTTCCAAGAATCTTGTCCTCCTCCAACAAGTCTAGAGGGTGGCTTCCAGGCTTGTGTATTTCTAAGCATCTGTGTACATGTGTGTCTTTTAATTTGAGGAGAAATAGTTCATAATCCTTTCAGAATAATTTATCACTTTTATTTGGTCAGCATTTTATTGAAAGTCACATTATCTTTCAATTAGGCTGTGCCTAAATCAATTACTGACAATGAGAATGAGATTACCAGGTTCAGTTCACACCCGTCAAAATTCACTCCCTGGGACCAGGCAGGAGTTCAACCTCTCCCGAAGGACAATTTCACCTATATGGTAGGAAATAAACTGGATTTTTATTGGCAAGAAAGACTTTGAATAGGCCTGCTAAGTAGTGCTATGGTTTAAATGTGTTCCTCCGAAAGTTCATGTGTTAGAAATTTAATCGCCATTTTAACAGTCTACTAAGAAGTGGAACCATTAAGAGGTGGTTAGTGTTGTTATGATTAATGTTGTTATCCTAGAAATGGATTAGTTCTCCAGTTGGCTCCTGGTAAAAGGATACCTTTGACCCCTTTTTACTGTCTGTTTCACATGCTCCTTCACCATATGATGTCTTCTGCCATGGCATGACCTTCAGCAGATGCAGAGCCATGCTCTTGGAGTTCCCAGTCTCCAGAACCATAAAACAAATAAACATGTATTCTTTATAAATTACCCATTCTGTGGTAGTCTGTCATCACAACAGAAAATGAAGACAAAGAGCAAACAACGGTGCCTGTCTAGCACAGAGTTTAAATATGGAAGCCAGAAAGACTGTGGTAAGATATGAGCGTCTTGATAATGTGACTTTCAATATTCTCTCAGTTTCTTCACATTTCTTTATTATATTAATCAAACTCCTCCTAAAAAATTAGGCAACATTTCCCCAAGGCTCAGGAAAGATGGAATCTCATCTGTGCATGCCCCACTTTCACTGCAGCTATGAGGGATACATTAATCACTACAATAAAGCATTTTAGAGCATCCTGTTCTAAGAGGGACAGGAACAGAGCCTGGGCTGTTCAAGTCAGTTTCTTTATTATCTCAAGATGTTGCATTCTCAGCACATTCTATTAATTGTTTTTGAGAACTGCAAATAAAAAAAAAAAGGAAAAGAACTGAGTCAGTCCAAAGCCACCCAGAAAACTGTTCTATACTTAGCACTCCCAAAAGGGTAATGGAGACACTGAAATTAACTTATGTGGCTAAATCTCACATGAATATGACACTAAAATCAGGATAACAGAGAGAGGGCTTGAAGCATTGGCAAAGTGATACTATCAATAAATAAGGCATAGATCGTTTGATTGGGAACCATCTGGGAAAAATAGAGGCCTCATAAATGCCAGTGTGAAGGTATGACTATGTCCAATGGGAAAATAAAGTACATCTCCATGGAGATACTGATCAAGCTCAAATGTCTTTCCACAAAGCCATACTAACACATACATTGTCCAGCACTTAAATAGAATTTAGATGTAGGAGCTGGAAAGTGGACAGATGAAGTAATAAGTGATGAAAAAAATAGAGTATAAATGTGACTTAAAATCTCTGAACTGGCTATCATTTCCTAATATCTTCTAGATCATTTCCACTATCTTACAACATGATAGATCAATATAGGGGTGAGGTTGATATCTGGTTGAAAAAATAAAGGCACCTACATCTATTGTAAACTTCAGAAAGTAGCTTGAAAATATTATAACTTATTTAGATAAAAATAAATAAAACAAATAAAAGCAAATATCCATAGTGCAAGAAGAAAGCAGAGAAATGGAAGCACTGAAAAATCAGCAACAATTACAATAACACTAGGAGGTTCAATCATTTCACCACAAAATTAGAGAAATGTGGATTGACTATGGACTCTACCTAGTAACGAAACATCCTCACCTGTATGAGAAGGTGTTTTCAAAGTCCCAGGGCCCTTTCCCTTCATTCCTTCTATAGAAAGTCCTGGCCTGAGGAATATTTTTGCCTTATTATTTCATCATTAGGAAAAAAATTTCAAAGACTTAAAACTTGACTAAAGATATTACTGGGTGTCTTTTCAGTGACACCCTCTGAGGTGCACACTCTGAGGATTATATGGTTTTACACGTTTGGGTACTTATGATTGTCTACTGATTATTTACAACCTTTAGGTATAGAAGTTGTGGAAAACGTATAGTCATATAAATACAAATGCAAGTAAATCTTATTGAAGGAAATAAAACTGAATTTTGCCCTTTAGAAAATATGAATCTAAATATTACATTTAAATGCCCATTTGTTATTAACTGGTTTTGCATCCATTAGCAAATTCATCTCATTCTCCTTACATGTGTATAAGTGTGTTCTTTGCAACCCCTTTGAATCAGTTTTAGTATCTTACTTGTTCCCTCATTGAGTTAACTTAAATCCTTGACGTTTATTTACGTTATACTTGTATGAGTGTTATTATTTTTAAAAACATAGGTTATCCATCCCATTTAAACATCAGCTGGACAATCTCTTTAAGTAGGTTACTGATTTAAAATCTCTGATGATGCATCTGTAGCTAAAGGTCTAGTGAGGAATTATACTTAAGTCATGTGCTAGGCAAAATACCTTTCTTGTCTGTTTTTGAATTTGCAAAATTCTTAGATATATTTACTTAGGGAACAAGCGGCATCTACATACCTGCCTGCCTTGAATTTACTCAGTAATTGTTTATTTTCAACTCCAGATTTTTGAACCTATAGATACTCAAAAATGTCCTTTAATTTTTTACTTGGCTCTTAATGCAGAAGAGAGTTCAGAACAGCTGATCTAATTCTGCCAACATAGGCCTAAAAATTTAAGGCTTGAATCACACTAATATAAGGTTGCTAGATAAAATACAGGAGGCCCAATTAAATTTGACATTCAGATAAATACTGATGACTTGTTTTAGTGTAAGTGTGTCCCATGTAATGTTTGGGACATACTTTTACTAAAATAATATTTGATTTTACCTAAAATTTTAATTTAAATGAATATTCTATTCTTACTTGCTAAGTCTGGCAATGCTACGTAGAAAGAGAGAAATACATGTTGAATTGAGCTGCCTTGCAGTTCAAAATTGAGCAGTTAAAAGTCCAGAGAGAGAAGACCTCTTTAATTTATAATTGAATTATTGCCTAAGCTCATCTATTATTTAAGAAACACTGGCCAGGCATGGTGGCTCACGCCTGTAGTTCCAGCACTTTGGGACGCTGAGGCGGGTGGATCACTAGGTCAGGAGTTCAAGACCAGCCTGGCCAACATGGTGAAACCTCGTCTCTACTGAAAATACAAAAATTAACCAGGCATGGTAGTGTGCACCTGTAGTCCCAGCTACTTGGAAGGCTGAGGCAGAAGAATTGCTTGAACTCGGGGGTCAGAGGTTGCAGTGAGCCAAGATCGTACCACTGCACTCCAGCCTGGGTGACAGAGCGAGACTCTGTCTCAAAAAAAAAAAAAAAAAAAGGAAGAAAGAAACACTGTGGTTGTATATTGAACTACAGTACCCTACACTGTGAAGGCTGAGATAGCTGAAGTGCTTCCAGCCATGCTCTCTGTATTAAATATATGCCCCAGTCCTGATTACTAAGGACTCTGCAACCTGTAACTGACACACTCTTTTGGCCTTCATTTTTGCTTCTCGCTTTTGATCTCCACAAAAAGAAGCATCTTTACCTTTTCTAAGCCTGGCAACACCTGTAAGTTGCCTGTGGTCTTCATCTTTGCTTGAAGCCCAACTTATTCGTCTACAGCATTGGCTGGAATCCTTGTCTGCACATTGCAATCACCTGGTAAATTTTAGAAACTTTCTGATGCCTTTTCCCTACCCTCAAAAGTTCTTATGTAGACAGTCTGGGATACCTTCAGGTAACCATAAAATTGAGAATTTCCGGTTGATGCTGATGTCGCCTGTCTAAAGAACCTCTACTCTGTACAAACAGCCACTCAACTGTGGATAAAGCCAAGGTCAAAATACTAGGTGCCCTGGGATTTAAAGTCCCATTTCCTCAGCCTCAAAATCCAAATAACCTGGTCTCTATATTGTGCCAAGGTGAAAATGTCCCACTTACCCACAAAAATTAGAGTTTTGGGGTCATATACTCAACCTCACCAAAATACTATCACTCGTAATTTTTTTCTTCCACAAATTTATTTTCATGAACACCAACAAATACAATCACTTCAATCACCTCATTTTTATCTCTCTTATTTAAGTATTGAGGTCTTTGAGATGCCCCAATAAATATTAATTTTCTTCTATATCCAGGTTCTTAACAAATTGAGGAAAAGCACAAGGAAATGGCATCTCAGGAACAAATATTATTTTTGACAATAACCAAGTTAAATGACTTGATTTTACCTCTGTACTTGACCCATGCCTGCTGGGTAAGTTAGCCTAATTGTAGTTATTAAGTCAGTACATTTGATTCCTATAATAAAGACTAAATAAACAGCCAGTTTTTTGTTTGTTTGTTTGTTTTTGTTTTTGTTTTTTTTTTTCTTTTTTTGAGACAGAGTCTTGCTCTGTCGCCCAGGCTGGAGTGCAGCGGCGGGATCTCGGCTCACTGCAAGCTCCCCCTCCCGGGTTCACGCCATTCTCCTGCCTCAGCCTCCCGAGTAGCTGGGACTACAGGCTCCCGCCACCACGCCTGAAGCAGCCAGTTTTAATTAGAAAATTGATTGATGTGTATCAGAAAAAAAAACAAATTAGAACATCAAAATAGTAGAGTAAAAGGAGTCAGTTGGATGATCTCACTGCATTACTAATCAATCTTTGACAGCTTAATGGATCAATTTCCACATGAATCATAAAAATATCAAGTTAACTGGAGAACTTGTTTAACCTGCAATGCTCTACTTAGTTCCCTATTCACCCTATGAGATTTTAAGCTCCTTTAAGAAAAAGGAGCTACTTCTTTTCGTCTTTACCTCCAGCATCCAGACTAGAGAAATGACACGTTGGATATCAGTTAAGTTAATCATAATACAATAAGGTAAATGCCACCACGAAGTTAGAGACAGGACACCTCTATGATCTTATAAAGTCATAGAAGAGTTTTCCAATATAGAAATGGTGTAAGAGCCTTCCCAAGTACAGTCACTGTCTTATATAAGCGTAAGAAGGAGAAAAAGAGTATGTTTCCACATTTGAAAGTTATCGAGTAGTTAGTAGGCTTGATCAGTTCACGGGGAACACTATGAGATACAGCTAGAGCAAATTTATGAAGTGTCTGGTAACCATTCTCAGAAGTTTAAAGGTCTATATGTTCCTCAAGAAACTGCTATGCAAACAGCTATACAATTCCCAAAAGGAATTTCACTGCTGGACTTTTAAAATATGCTACATATATAACATTGCTGAAACTGGATTCTGCTCTAGTTTATAGCTACAGGTAAAGCCAAGGATCTACAAACCTTCCCTTGACCTTCAATCTGTTTGCCTGGAATCAACTTGTACTCCTCTTAGAAAATTTAGGTCTTTTTCTTTGGCTATCTTAGGGCAAAATAATAACAATGATGATGATGATTCTTATGATATTATCTAAGAGTTAGCTAGACAAACTCAGCAAGGGGCCTGTGGAGTCAATGTCAGTGAAAACCTAGCAATGCTATTAACTATCTGAATTACTTCATCTCTGTGTTTCAATACCCCGACTTGTAAAATGAGCTTATCATAGTACTTATTTGGTAGACTTGTGAAGAATATATGAGCAGTGGTTACTTGGATTGGAGACTGGCAGAATAGATAAAACACTAGATAAATGGTACCTGCTATTAATGACGGGGCATTTTCAAAATATTTCTACTTACAACGAATTTATTTTTCTAATATTTACCCATATTTCCAATAAAATGGACTGTGTATAAATCAATAATTATGTCTTTAACTTTAGATTGTCCAATCTCCAGGGTTTTGTTAAGGAATTTAAATTGTGATTTTATACTGCATCTGCAAAAGTATGTGATAACAGAATCCCAGTTAGCGCAAAGTAGCAAAGGGAAAGTTGTTCATCTAGGGAAAAAAAATAGAACTTTTCTATATTTTGAAGGAATTTACATTCAACATATATATTCAGTCCACAGAAGTCTAAGTCAGATGCTGTGTGTTCAGAGCATGATAAAGCCAGTGCTTGTTTAACAATCTCTTTTGGCCTGCTATGTAGAAACCTCATAATATCAAATAGATATTATGTGTTAAGAAGATGAGCAAAAACATCCTTTCAGAAAATAACAGTAAATTATATGAGCTTGACTAACAGCTGGTCTCCGCTGCTAAAATTTTGCAAAGTATGTATTTATGTCATGTGACATTATAGATAATTTTTGTAAAAGAGTGATATGATCCTTACATTTTTTCCTTTGAATTACCATCTAAGTATAAAAGTATTTTATATAAAAATAATTGACATATAATTAAATATACATAGGAATTATATATAAACAGACATAAGCAAAGATATAAATATAGATAATATGTTGCTATTCTTGGAACATAAGCCTTTTATTTTATGTACTTTTAGAATCTCTCTTAAAGACATGAAAAATATACTCTTATGGCTAAACAAGCATTGTTAAGCTTAATTTTTTAATTTATTATAATTCAAGTATTAAGATTAATTATTTTTTTCAATTTCACTTATATTTGCAACATCACTGGTAGTATTCATTTGGTCTGATGAATATTTTTTGTACTACAGGTTCATATTTGGAGATCAAAAATGTGTCTAAATATCATGAATAATTTAAATTATGACTTGTATTATAATTTCTATTGTTTGAACCTCTGTATTTGAAGGAGACCCAGAGGATTGTATGAGATTATTTCAATGATACTTCGAAGTATTCTATGTAGATTAAGCATTGTAAACATATTACAATTATTATTGCTCTCTAGTTTGTGTTATAACATTTTTGTGCTAGTACCAACAGTTAGAATCAACATAATCTCCAAAGAGGATGGCATTTGGAACTGTTTATCTCATAAGCATATTTTGTATTTTAAGAATAGAAATTTATTGACTGACCTAGACATAAGCAAAAAGAAAAAGGTATGAGCGTTTTTATAAAATACCAACACAGATTTTTCAAAATGCTAGAAGGTAAATGACAATTCTAGAAAGTACAAGCAAAAGGCATATGGTTTCAGAGGAAAAAAAGTAAAAGTAGAAATGTGTTAAAATAATTGTGTATAATTCAGGATATATTAACTAACTCTCCTTTGGCAGTCTTTTGAAAGTCTAGGTACACTGTGACTTTCTTATTCTTGTCCATATTCTTATAGATATATTCCTCAGGGGGAGCTCACAGACATTCTGCTTATTAACCTCATTAGTACCCTTTCATGTACGATTTGCTGACTAACATGATCTTATAGTGGAATAGCTGTCGTGAACAAGTGACTCTCCCTCTGCACTCACAGAAATATTTCTGGTAGAACCTCTGGTGAACACATGTAAGTTTTAGGCAATTGCATGCCAAATGCCATCTGCTTTGACATATAAAACACTAGGAATATGGAGCAGCATTTAATTAGGAAATCCAACCTCTTTTTTGTCATAACCTTTTAAGATATTTTGTTCATCTGGCTTTATAAGAAAAATGAAGATCCATAAAAAGAGAATGATTGTTTTTTACTATTTATGGACTTACAAAAGAATTATATTCAGCTTAATTTAAGATTTTAATATCCCTTTAAGAAATAAATAATATAAACTAAAAAAATAAACATTGTTGTAAAATTTAAAAACTTTTTGTTATTGACTTGATTCTTAGTGTAATCATAAAGAAAAGGATGTTTGGTCTCTGCTCTAAAGACATCTACCCTATGATGCTTTTAAAGAGAATTTATATGAAAAAAACACTTCAAAATAAATTAATGCTTTAATGTGATCAATTTATTTGCTGGTAAAGCATATGATATTCAAGATATTATTAAATCATTCTTTTTACCATCTCTAATTCTTGCTAAAGTTAACATTATCTAAAATCTATAGGATATAATGGCACAAATAGGTAAGTCATGAAGTCAAAACAAAAAGTAGCAAAGATGCTTGAACTGTGTATTAGGCAAAAGTCTAAAGTTGCTCCCAAGGTTTCCACCTCCTGGTGTAGTGGATGTGATAGACTATCATTTATTTGATTGGACTGCACTTCAGCCAAATTTGAATTAATCAAAAGGAGGATGGTTTTAGCAGATCTGACCTAGTCAGATATGCCTTTGTAAAGAAAGTTTATAAAAGAAGTCAGACTTTAGTAGTGTGAAAGGGACTGTGGAAGGAGTGACTTGAGAAGGAGTTGTGTGTGGTGAGCCCATTAGGGCTGAGAGTAGCCCCTGTATGACAGGCAACTAGAGGACAGGGCCTCAGTTCTGCAACAGCAAAAAGCTGAATTCTACGTCCAGCCACATACACTGGAAGATAGGCTCTTAGCTCCAGAAAGAAAGGTAGGCCCAATGACACTTTGATTTCAGGATTTAAAATCCTGATTCAGAATTTCAAAATAACTCTGTATGTAAAGAACCCATTTCAGTGTGGCTTGGACCTCTGACCCACAGAAATCATGAGATGATAGGTGTTTTTTTCAAACTGATAAATTTGGGGTAATTTGTTATGCATCAGTAGATATAGTATATGGGCAGCAGGAATAAGGGTGAAATGAAAGGAGAGGTATGGAGGTTCATTTTGGTTAAAATTCCAAAGCCATTTTAAAAATTGTTTTCAGGAGGTAAGTATACCCAAAATGTAATTCATTGAACAGTTCTACATTTTAATCCTCTACTACTTACTCTTTTACCTCAGAGAGGTATGGAAATTCTTTAAGATCTGTTAGAAAATATCTAAAATGTACCCATTTATTGCTGATTATTCTTTGAAATGCTGTTGAACTCACAGAAATTATTCATAAATGTAATAATTGTGAGATGTCAATATACATTCAAGTTAAATCTGAATTTATTTGAAGATATTAATTAAAATTATTACTAGAGTTATAATAATGTATTTGAAAATTATTTTTTGACTAAAAATGAGGACATCTGTAAAGTATAAGATAGGGTAATAAATGATCAGGACAGGAAAAGAAAGATTTCACCCTTAATATTTTATCTCTTCATAGACAGTCATATATACGTGCATGGGTATCCACACATATTCTCTCTCTTTCACTTATTTGAATCGCTATCTTAGCACATTTTGTTTTTTTGACAGATTGTAGTTGCTCAACAAATATTGCTTCACTTTTTTCGTATGCCATATAGATTTGGAAAAGAATGCATGCTGCTTTAATCATTCTACCAACATATCTAATTATAATGTATCCCTACAGATAATTCTAACCTAATACAGTAGCATTGAATTCCCTTAAGACAGCAAACTCTGTAATTTTGACCACAGCAGCAGCAGCTTGGCATGAAAAGGTGCCTGGTCTCTCTCTCCCTGTCTCTCTCTGGCCCAGTGGTGGCAGTCGCAGTGGCAGCATCTGCAGCTCCAGGGCAGAAAGCAGGCCTCCAGGAACTGGGGCTTTTAGAATAATGCCCAATAATTACTTTCTTTCATATTTTTCCTTTTCAGTTCATCATAATATGAGCTTCTAAAAGCACCATTTTGTGTTCAGCTTTTATCATTTTATGTTATAATTTACATTGTTTTCAACAATTTCACTGCATATATGCTGTCTTTATTTTCTGTCTCATGACTGAAACTTCAGCATGGTTAATACTGCTAATTTATCTTAGCAGTAGCAATAAAATATAGTGGCTTTATTTAACTAATGTACTTACTAGTATTCCAACAGAAGAGTACTCTACAGCCAAACTGCAGGGACCACATACACTTGGATGAAATTTAGTTATTCTTTTTTTAACCTGTTGTGTCTCTGTGTTCTCATCCATATACTTAGGATGGACCTACTGCTTACTGAATTAGTTATTGCAAAGATGATATGAGTTAATATATTTTTAAAAACCTGAAATTATTCTAGACTATCATAAGCATTAAGCATAAAATCCAATTATTATTTTTAGTTGTATTTGTTATACTGATTCTCTATGTGACTTTAGTTCTCCCTTAAAATAAAAGTAGGGTTATAATTTCATGTTTTATACAGTGATTAATAAATAAACCTAAAATGACTTGTAGCTTCGCTAAATGTTTTATACTTAATATTTTGCTATTTGTTCTTGACCCTGCTGATTAAACTATTTTCTTCAGATACTGTTACTGACTGTTTATAGCTAAGATATACTGTAATGGGGGAATTGATTGGAAGGGGACTGCACAAAGACATAGATACAAGAAAGGAGGCGGGAAAACATAATTCAGTCTAAGGGTGAAGTAAAACTTGACCAAAAGATACAATGGAATTTGAAGTTAGAAATACATTTTGGAAGGTAATTACATCAAAATTTGATTATGACCTTTCTATACAAACGTTAAAATCTTCATATATTTTATCTGTATTATTACCTTACTTTTATTGAACCCCTAAATTTTTATGAATAAAAGTTCAGAAAATCTAGCTTTAGCTTTTTGTTGAAATTATTTTTGTACTATGGGAAATTCTTTTTTTTAAATATGGTTTTATTAAAAATAGGTAAAACGCCCCATGGCCCCATGATTGCTTGCCTCCGCTGCTCCTTCTGAGGGGTCCCATATCCCCATTGTCAGGGCCACAGTACAACTGTTCTGCCACAACCTGAGCATTTCATCTGCAGCCTGGCATTATTCTAAAAGCCCTGATCCTGGAGGCCTGCTTTCTGTCCTGGAGCTGCAGATGCTGCCACTGCCACTGCCACCACCGGGCCAGGGAGAGACAGGGAGAGAGACCAGGCACCTTTTCAGGCCAAGCTGCTGCTGCTGTGGGATGGAGGCACAGGAAGACCACGAACCACTCAGGTGCCTCTCTCTTTTGCTCCTGCTGAGAATTACCCACACTCCCTCATTGCAGGCCCACAGTTCAGTTGTTCTGCCCCCAACTGAGCATTCCGCTGGTGGCCTGGGGACCAGCCTGCTCCTCCCTATCATAGCCAGCACCTCAACCTTGAGGTACTGATGACAAGTCTTCTGATCTTGTCCCAGTCCAGTCCCTCCAGGACTACTACATGCCAACCAGGTGGTCATCGAGGCCATAGATGGGGAACAGGGAATTGCCAAGCCTTGTCCTCCACTACTGGAACCTGATCACTCCTCCAAGAGTCTAAGGTCAGGTTGATCCAACCGACCAAAACCACCACAGATGGCACTCACCCACACTCACTGAAAGACAGAGCTCCACAACTCTCTGTGCGAAGCAGCAGCATTCCTGCACCAGAGAACAGGCAAGCCATAAACCTGCCTGTTTTAAACTGAAGAAAGAGGCCCTTCGCCATAACCATTTCCACAAAGAACCAAGGGAGAAGCGTTATCTATGGCTCTCAGTTACATTGTGACCTGCAAATAGACAACAGCATCTTAATGAATTGGGAGTCACGAGCCCCAAGACAGGGGTATGATAAGGAAATGAATGGTATTCCTGACTTCCTAGGATGTCAAGCTGGTGCAGCTCCCTCCCCCACTTAGAACACCTCAGCACAATTAATGAGGAGCTCTTTCTACCACCTCCATGAAGACACTCATCACTGGAATATTCAAGGGTATACTTGGCAGTCCAGCTCTGCTCTGCATCATTCCCTCCAACATTTGGGCTGAACCAGGGACTCAGTGCACCAAGCATTCCACAGATCAGCCCATCACTGAAACAATAGACAGCACCTCCCAGTATACAAAGATCAAGTACATTTCCAACTGTTTCTACTGCAGCCAGTCCTTACCCAAAGTACAACTTAGTGGCCTGGAGTTTGAACTGCACAACCCAATACAAAGCTTCTAACCAAAGTGCACAATGTTGGGGAAAAATATACGCTTCCTAAGACCTCCAGAATCCCAGTCCCGCAGAAGGATGTGAGCCTGCTCATGTGCTCAGTACATTGCTACTATATTCAGCATTTTAGAAAGCCACCAAACAAAGGCTATCTATAATCAAAGAACTCATACAGAGCCTTGGCACCTTGAAAGTACCTACAGCCAAAGCCAAACAACCATACCGAACATATATTTCAGCAACACCCTCAAGGGAGGGTAAAATGTTCTGTCCAAGCAAAAGTAAATTCAAAAATAGTAGAAGTGAAATCTTCTCCAGATGAGAAAAAAACAGTATAACATTTCTGAAACTGGTAACAAACGGCATTATGAGACCCACCAAAGGATTACATCAACTCTAATGCAATGGGTTATTATAAAAATGAAAATTCTAACATGGCAGGAAAATAATATATATATTATTTATATCTTATATAATATATAATATTATAAAATAATATATAAATAATATATAATAAAATATATATATGGAAGGAATTACAAAATTCAACTGAAAATTTTAACAATAGGATAGACTAAGCAGAAGAAAGAATTTCAGAGCTGGAAGACAGGTTTTTTAAATTAATCCAGTGTATTAGTCTGTTTTCACGCTGCTGATAAAGACATACCCCATTGAGACTGGGAAGAAAAAAAGGTTTCATTGCACTTACAGTTCCACATGGCTGAGGAGGCCTCAGAATCATGGCAGGAGGCTAAAGGCACATCTTACATGGTGGCAGCAAGAGAAAAATAAGGTAGAAGCAAAAGCAGAAACCCCTCATAAATCCATCAGCTCTTGTGAGACTTATTCACTGTTGTGAGAATAGCAGGGGAAAGACCTGCCCCCATGATTCGTGTACCTCCCCCTGGGTCCCACCACAACACGTGGAAATTCTGGGAGATACAATTCAAGTCAAGATTTGGTTTGGGGCACAGCCAAACCATATCATTCTGCCCCTGGCCCCTCTAAATCTCATGCCCTCACATTTCCAAACCAATCATGCCTTCCCAACAGTCCCCCAAATTCTTAACTCATTTTAGCTTTAATTAAAAAGTCCACTGTCCAAAGTCTCAACTGAGACAAGACAAGTCCCTTCTACTTATGAGCCTGTAAAATCAAAAACAAACTAGTTACTTCCTAGATATTATGGGAGTACAGGTAATAGGTAAATACTGTTGATCAAAATGGGAGAAATTGGCCAAAACAAAGGGGTTACAGGGCCTATGCAAGTCCGAAATCCAGTGGGACAGTGTTACAAACCTACACATGTACTCCAAGGAATATATAAAAACAAATGTAAAATAGATACATACATTTTAAAAATAAAAGAATCATAGTCATTATATATAAGTATATATATATATATATTTCAAGAATATATGAGAAAATATACTTCATACTTGATGTCTTTGTTTATTCAGCCTGCTACACTAAATAACTTAGATTGGGTAATTTTAAAAGAATAGAAATTTATTGCTTAAGTTCTGGAGGCTGGGAAGACTAAGATCAAGGTACCAGCTAATCTGGTCTCCTGAGGGCTCTCTGCTTTATATGTGGTATCCTCTATGTGTCCTTACCTGGTAGAAGGGGCAAGAGGCTAACAAGGTCCCTTAGTCCTCTTTTATAAGGGCATTAATTCTATTCAGGAGCACAAAGCCCTCATAACCTAATCACTTCCTAAAGGCCACATCTCTGAATACTATCATATTGGGGGTTAAGATTCAGCCTATGAGTTTTAGGGAGACACGTACTTTCAGATCATAACATTTAGCTTTCTCTTATATAATGTAATAATAAAAATGATTTTATAATCTGTAATATGATTATTTTAAAAATATATCTAATTATATTCTTTATATACATTGACACAATATTTTTCAGTGCATTCTTTAATAATTTGGTGTTGACTATGAAAAGGACATATTATTTAAAGATTCTCAAACTAGGGTAATCAAGCAACAATTTTATATGTAGAAAATACTAGGAAAATACTTTAATTGCTATGCTAGTTAGCAAGCCAAGCAACAAATTGATCTAAATTCTAGCTCGACTAATTGGCCTAAGAATTTTAAATACATGCTGAATATTTTTTCCAGTGAAAATGTTTTGTTTTGCAGGTTATGACATATCAGAAATGCATTCAAATAAATTATAAATATTGTTATATACAGAAAATATAAATCAATCTTTAAACATTTGAAAAGTTTTACCTCAGAATAGAAATAGTTCCTTTAGGATAGTAATAGCCTTCTAAGTCAGACATTATACACTACTATATTTCTGAGCACCTCTGAAAGGTAAAACAATAATAAAGGGTCTAGAAAAATGTGTAATATTCAAATATCTCTTCCAAATATCTAAATCTTATTTTGATAAAACTGTTAAAACAATTAAAGCATCATTGCAGGATATTGAGCAAAATATTGATACCATTCCCCAAGTGCTTTTTTTAAAGCGTGACGAAGGGAAGATTGGGAAATTTAAAAAGAGGAGAGTACTCTGCCAGCAACATTCTAATCAGTGCATGCTGTGCTTCTATTGCTCTGTGTGAGTTTACCAGCTAGATATTTTAATTTTTTTTTTTTTTTTTTTGAGACGGACTCTCGCTCTGTTGCCCAGGCTGGAGTGCAGTGGCACCATCTCGGCTCACTACAAGCTCCGCCTCCTGGGTTCATGCCATTCTCCTGCCTCAGCCTCCCGAGTAGCTGGGACTATAGGTGCCCGCCACCACGCCTGGCTAATTTTTTGTATTTTTAGTAGAGAGGGGTTTCACCATGTTAGCCAGGATGGTCTCGATCTCCTGACCTCATGATCCGCCCACCTCGACCTCCCAAAGTGCTGGGATTACAGGTGTGAGCCACCAGCCTGGCCTAGATATTTTCATTTTAAAATTTAGATTCTACATGTAAAGCATGCCATCACTATCTTTAAGTTCCTTCTTCATTTTCACTTACTTTATGCTCACCAGGTAACCTTTATTTATATCACAAGGAACACAGAAATCAATAGTCATGGATTTGAGAAATGACCAGAGTTATGAGTGTACATTGAGTTCAAAGCTCTGGTCAATGGTGTGACTGGATGTGAAAGAACTTTGAAGGAATGTGGTTAAAAAATTGGTGATGGTGACAAGGAGGTCTATGTAAAAGGTGTGTGTGTAGACCTCTATTCATGGACAAAAATACGTGAAGATATTTGTGTGCCATGAAAATGCTCACCAAAGAATGACTTCATTAGAGGAAGATTTTAAAAATAATATGAAAATCCCATTCTGTGGATACCAGTAAACTTCTTTGCCCAGTGGGCTCCTGGTAAAGCATGCATCCCTCAGGGTTGAGGATTACACATGAGTCAACAACATGATCTTCTACTCACCAAAAGCAACCTGGCTATAGTCACTGCTAAGGACCCAATATGCCAGCAGCAGACACCTGCACTGATTTATTTCCGCATATGGCACAATTCCCCAGGGTGATCAGTCAGCTACAAGATGTCAGGTTGATTACACTGAAGCACTTCTATCATTGAAGGGGCAGCACTTTGTTCTTACTGGAATGGACACTTGTTCCGGATGTGAACTTAACTTTCCCTGCATGTAAAACTACTGTCTGCCTTTTCCACATCATAGTATTCAACACAACACTGCTTTGATGAAGAAACTTACTTCAGAGTAAATAAAATGTCACAATGGCCCATGCTCATGGAATTTACTGATCTTATCAATTTTACTCTATCCTGAAGCAGTTGCCTTGAGAGAATGATGGAATGGCATTTTGAAGACTCAGTTACAGGAACATCTAGGTAGCAATGCATTGCAGGTTTGAGGCAATGTCCTCCTGGAAGCTGTATATGCTTTAAATTAGCGTGGTCACAATCCACAGGTCCAGAAATCCAAGGGTAGAAATGTGAGTAACACCACACTCTATTACTCTTAATGATCCATTAGCAAATATTTTGCTTCCTGTTGCTGTGACTGGATGCTCTGCTTGTCGGTAGGTGTTATTCCAAAGGAAGGAACACTAGTACATGCAACAATCATTCCATTGCACTAGAAATTAAGACGGCCACCCATCTACTTTGGGATCCTCATGCCTCCAAATAAATGAACAAAGAAGGGAGTTATGCTGGCTGGGGTGACTAATCCTGACTACAAAGAAGAATTTCCACTACCATTCCACAATGGAGGTAAGGAAGTGTATGTCTGGAATGTAGGAGATCTCTTTAAGAGTCTCTTAGTAATATCACACCTTATGACTGAAGTTGAAGGAAAACTACAACAACCCAATATAGGTAGAATTACTAATGGTCCAGACACTTCAAAAATGAAAGTTTGGGTCGCTCCCACAAGCAAAGTACCATGAATAGCTGAAATGCTTGTTGAAGGCAAAACGAATCTGGAATAGGGAGTAGAATAAAACAGTTTTAAATACCAGCTATAAGGACTGTGATAGTTATAATAATTTATTATTCTGTTATAATTATATGTGTGTATATCTATATATCTATGTCATCTCTACCTCTGTGTTTGTGTGTGTCTGTGTGTATATATATATATATATATATTACAAAATATTTACATATGTTTTCCTTCTGATTTTCTGGTGGTAACCTGATTAATACACTCACCCTTCTTCTGTCCTGTATATTTACGTCCCCCATTTTCATAAAAGTCATCTTAAGTTGCCTGTTAAATATGTTCCACCTATGTCTCTCTAAATATAATTTTACACGACTTCATAACTCTAAGAATCTCCTGGTTTCCACTCTTGTTTTAAAGGTAAAACCTCTTAAAACAAATCTGGATTCTTGCTGTATGTAGTGTGATCCATAGACCCAATATTACTATCCCAACTGGGAACATCTTAGAAATGTGCATTATTAAGTTCCACCCAGACCTATAGAATCAAAAATATTTATTTTGATAAATAAATATTTGACAAAATATTTAACAACATCCTGTGGTGATTCATAAGCTTGTTAAAGTTTGGAAGTACCAGTCAGACTAGTGACGGAACTCTCTTCCTCAGTACCTAAATTCAATAACCACCAATCTTCTTTACCAAGGTTTTCCAAGTTCTCAATTAAGCTTCTAATTTAAAACACAATGCAAGTTTCCAGTCCATACCTTACATTGTGTAAATTATATTTTATTACCAAATTTATTTCCTGAGCCCTCTTTTAATGCACACGGAATCATTAACAATCCCATCTTCTCTAAAGCTTAAGATTTCCTCTATATGGGGGTTTCTTCAAATTATATTCTGATATCTACATGAAGATCAAAACAAAAAATGAGGAAGGAGAAAACTAAGATATTTCTGTTTTCCAAAACCAAAGTATGTAACATATTTAAAAATGGAAAGAAAAGTATATATCAAATTCTTTTGAGAAGCTGCATAAAACAAGGCCTAAAAACTGACAATTGGGTGTTCTAATGTAGGTCATTAGTAATCCTGATAAGACAAATTTCAAAATAATTGTGAGTGCAAAATATTACAGCAAAAACTTCATGGAGGAGCCCATATAGACAGATCTTTAGTGGAGTTTTTCTCCAAAGAAGAACAGACAATGAGGTCACAGTCAGAGTTGGTAGTGGGAGGGACCTAGGAAGGATTGTTTAAAAACAGAAGGTATTAATAACCTTCCTTTACTCTTACTGAGATCATTTGATGATGCATGAAAGTGAGTGGATCATTGCTATACCAAAGTCAATGACGAGGTAAAGACAGGTGTTAGCTATTGCACTAAGGAGCAATAAGAATTTGAGATGAGGAAAGGCAAAGATTTGTAGATCCATAAGAAGGTAGGTTGCCAGATAGCCCCAAGGAAGTAATATGAAAGTTCTTTTCTATTCACTTCTGTAATTTCAGTGATATAAGAAAGAAGACAATCATGTTAGAGAAAGAATGTATGTATGTGGCATGTTGGAGAAAGGAAAGTTATTTAATAACAACCTAGGAGAGGTTAATATATGCAAGGTACATACTAAAAAACATTTGGAAAAGAAAGTGCATTGTATGTTGCCATCATAAAGATCTATAATTTTACAGTAAAAGATAATTAAAATATTTTATCTTGGTGGATTTAAAATAGACATATTAGATAATGTAAAATAAGGCTTTGAAATATAAACTGATAATATTTTAAGGTCACATATTTTAATATGAAATGTATTTTGCTATATCTTTGAAAAAATTTTTATTGAATTTTCAGTGCCTTATCTAAGAACATTTAAAAGTAACTGGTCTTATGGGCAAAATGCCAAACAGCTTGCAATTTGTTGACTCATTCATGGCTAGCTGAAACATCGAATTCTAACTATCCCCAGTGGTAGAAGTTTAATCATTTGGATCACTGCTTGCTCTGAAAGCAAACTGAGCAGAAATTGAAATTATCATTCCCCTAAACCTAAGAAATATTCCTAGGGGGAATTAACCTATTTTAGATTTCCTGGGTAAAGTACACTAGACTTCATCAAAAACTCAGACCCTTCTATCAAAATGCAATGATGTCCAGTGTATTTCACAAGCTTCATATGCCCTACAACTGTTTATTTAAAAAGAGAAAGAAGGGCTGCTGTGATATCTGTACTCCCCCACCTCAGAGGTTTATTTAGTCTTCTCAACAGGTAGAAGAATTTCATTCAGTATTTATTGAACATCTCCTGTGGGCACAATACCAGGAAACTGGTGATAGTAAATGAGCCAGATTATACTGTTAGCAAGCAGATGTTCAGGCATTATTTGTCACCTGTGACTAGTGGGGTGCTTGACTTAGCTGATGTGTGAAATTTCAGCAAAGCAGCTGGGATCTTTTAATTGAATGTGTGTGTGTGTGTGTGTGTGTGTGTGTGTGTATGCATGTGATTTTTCAGAGATGTTAGTAAAAATGTAATTTCTTGAAGATTGGTTTCTTGGTGAATAAATTCAGAAAACTCAACCATAAATATCCAAGCTCTGTTTTCATCAATAGCAAAGAAGACATTTGAAGAATGGAAAGTGTTTATGTATTATTTTTGCTCACTCACCACTTCTTTTCTGAAAATAAGTTATACTCAACACAAAGGTGAGTTAACAAAATAAAATGAGATTAAACCAGATTACCATTGTGAATATCAAATGGACTTTTTCAGTGTTTTTAATCCATGTGATGTTTTAGTAAATTAGAGCTGTAGAAAGGATCCTAGAGCTGTTACCTGGCTAAGACATGAATGTTCGTGTCGTTCAAAATTCATATATCAAAACCCTAACTCCCAATGTGATGGTCTTAGGAGGTGGAGGCTTTGGGGATGATCAGGTTTACATGAGGTCACGAAGGAGGAGGCCCATAATGGGATTAGTGCCCTTATGAGAAGAAGAAGAGACACCAGAGCTTTCTCTCTGCTATGTGAGAATACAGCAAGAAGGCATCCAGTTGCAAGGAAGAACTTTCACCAAAAATCCAATAATGCTGGTACTCTAACCCTAGACTTCCAGTCTCCAGAACTATAACTGAGAAATAAATTTTGTATAAACCACAGAGTCTATGGAACTTTGTAATTGCAGCCCAAATTGACTAAACCGCTCTCCAAAGATGGTCAAAATATATTCAGTTCTACAAAAAAAAACCTATAAATAAAATAGATCAATAAAATAAGTCAAGTGATTTTCCATGAATATAGAATTCAAGTCAAAATATTGACTTCAAAAAACAACGTGGACCTGAATCAGCATCCTTCTAACAGTAATTATGTATCTCCTGCTTTCATTTGGAATTTTAATTTTTAATTGTGAGATTCCTGGTTTTCTTTTAAGCAATGTCTTTCTCTTACTTTATCAGTCCCTCTGACCTCTTCACTCTGTTTCACTTTCTGTCCCTCCTTCTCTTTTTCCTTTTTCTTTCACTGCCCCTGAAAGAAAAAAGTATTAAAATTAAAAATTACAATATATACAAATGAGAGGATTATCGGATTCATACTTATTTAAAACCATACTTTTGATTCCCTCACACTCCAAATTTTCCCCATCAATCTCAGTAAATGGCAGCTTAATTCTTCGAATTACTTAAAACCAAAATTCTGAAATAACCTTGCTAGTCTGATCACCCATCTCATATTCTATACCTAAATTATCAGTACATCTTCTTGGCTTTATTGTAAAAATATTTATTCTTCTTCCAACCACTTCCAACCAAGTACATCAACACTGTTCTTTTTCCAGGTACTACTCCCCTAGTTGATTTCAATAACATGCAAACTAATTTTTTGGTCTCATTCTCCATATTCGCCCAAATAATCACTTTAAAATTAGAGGAAGATCAGGTTACACCTGCTCCAAAGCCCTCAATGGCTTTCCATCTTTCAAAGTGGCCTTTAAGATGCTACATGTTTTGTTTTCTTGTTGCCTCTCTGATCTGATCCCCTCCAAGTCTTTTGCTTGCTTAATCTATCTCAGCCATCCCTGACACCATACTGTTCTTTGCTTATGCCTAGCATGCTCTGGCATTCAGGGTGTATGTAATTCCCTCTGCTTGAAAAGATCTTCTCTGAGATTACTCCAAGGCTACTTCCATTCATCCCTTCATGTCTCTGCTCAAATGTCTTATTACTGAGACAGATCTTCATTAATTAGCTTATACAGAGTAGCACTTTGCCTTCCTACTTACACATTCTATCCTTCGCACTCTGGAATATTTTTTCCATACTTCTTACCAGCATTTCACATAATAAATATTTACTTCTCTATTTATTTTCTATTTACTTAAGTGACAGTAAACTCTTTGAGATCAGAGTCTTTATGTGTTTTGATTAATATTACATCCTGAGCCTTCAAAAAAGGGACTTTTTTAAGGGATCCACTTACAACATTTAATTAAAAATATATTATCTTTAGGTTGTCGTCTGTTTATGTACTTTATATTTTTCAGTATATTTTAACAGACAGAATAAAAATTAGATTATATGTGTAATTGTCTAATCAAATCCATCTGTTTTGACAAATAAGTATTACATTTGACACCGTTTTAAAGCATTTAGTCTAACTTTGGTATTCTGTCTACTTAATAATGGGAAAATAACAATAAATAAATATTTCTGCTTCATTGAGAGAATTTCGTTTGAAAAAAAAATTTAAGAGGTCCTGCATGCATCTCAATGTTTGCCAGTGAACTAAAGTAGAAAGAAAGGGTACTGGTTGCCTCAGTTCTTAAGTTGTTCATTTGGAATAGCATATGGATTAACCCAGCAGATGAGACAAAATGAATGCAAAGTCTATAATTAGAAATACGAAGAGAGACTCTTACTGTTTTATTTAATTCCTGTGAAATTTTGCTTCTAGAATATGGAGAAAAACATTCTCAATATCTTGGAAACATAATTGCACAAGGACCAGCAAATATCTACAATAACCACAGTTGTCTTTTGAAATTACATTATGCAAAAAAAATAATTAGGAAATCTATTCATAGAGAATCTGAAAACCTGGATCAGTTCATGACGTCTGGGAACTTTATTCTCTTAACCGAAGGTTACAAAGCAGCAATGAAGGGAAAAACCATTAAACACTCCTAGAAGGAAAAGAAGTGACAGTCAAAGGAAAAGGAAGGATCTGGAATAAAGCAAATTATAATATTTGAAAATTTAAATATATGACATACAGATATTAAATAAATGCATGTCTATGCTTATCAACATATTAAAGTGGAACCTATAATGTTTTTTAAAAGCTGTTCCAAGGAATGTACTGTATTTATAGACATATTAATAAATAATATTGAAATAAGGTTGCTAGGGTTGATATAAAACTGTTGTTATTCAGGAAAGAATTATTTTACAGCTCTATGCTTATCTCTGGGGATATTGGGATGCCAGTTTCCTTTTTGGCCAAAATAAAGCCTATCTTAACTAACAAATGGTTTGTGATGCACTATTTAAAGTCTGAAGCTCCGTTGGCAGCACCCAGGGTTTGTTTATGGATGCCTTTCACCTGGTGTAACAGGTTAGATATCCTGGCTTGGCTAAGTAACCAGAGAGGCATAAAACACGTTGCCAGGAATGTCTGTCAGGAGCTCCCTGAAGCCAAAATTCAGTACACAAACCTTAAAATGTTAATCAGAAGATGATTCACGTCTTTGTGCAAATAAGAATGACCTTGGGGAGTATAAACCTGGATGCCTTTTGGAGCTCCAAAAACTACCTAAATTCTCTTTCTTTTGTTGTCCTGTATTTTTTTGCCTCTATTAAAAGCCTTTCCTGAATATGTTCTGTAGCATCTTGAGAGCCCTTGCAATTATCCAAATCTTTGTAATAGTTGAAGTTACATAGAGCAGTTAAACAAAAACAAAAAAATAAGAGCATAACAACACCAAGAATATTTATATCCTTTATATCCTTTGACTTTTTTTTTTTTACAGGAGAGAAATTCTTTGCAACTCTACTAGATAAAAATGAATATATCTGTGATGGAGTTGAGATAAATTACACATTCCATTTGCAGTTAAATATGTTTTAGTGCAAGCATATTTATTGTGGTTGAACTGTCTAGAGAGCTTGCTTAGACAGTGCTGAATAAAAAAGCTCTGAATCAAGGCTTCCTGGGAAGTACTGAATGTGCTTAAATGCCTATGTTATGTTAATAAGTTTTTTAGGCATTGAAAATAATCCAGTAAGCAAGTTGGGCATTCTGGAAGTCTACTGTACAGATGAAGATAAATGGAAAAAAAAAAGAGGAATATTGGGGAAGCTTAAAGAGAAGTCAAGAAAAGTTTTTTACGGTTTACTCGCATATGACATACATACACACTATACATATATATGGGAGTTTTGCATTTGTATATAGCTTAATAAAATGTCAAATGTATACATTTAAAAAGCAAGAAAATAATTAGATTATCAAGAAAAGATGTTGTAAATGTGAGATATCCTTTTGAAATATTCTGTTTTTAAAGACTTAAAGTTGATTTATATATAATATTGATGAAAAGTATTCTTCAACAATTCAGTTATTTCCTACAGTCAATGTGATCTAATCACATGGGATCATATATACATGTATGTGCTGTAAAGTTTTACTCTGATGGATTCTCAGATAATCTTATTTTATAGAATTTTAATAAATGCCATTGTTCTTTGAATGAAAATGGAAAATGTGAACTTTGATAAAGATTTTGAAGATATTAGGTTTTTTCACAAGACATAGTTTCAATTAGATTTCTTCTCTTTATGTAATTATACTTATCAGTGTTTACCTCAAAATGTGTTATATGATAAAATAAATATATTTTTTTTTTGTTACTTTTTTTTTGAGACAGAGTCTCACTCTATCGCCCAGGCTAGAGTGCTGTGGCATGATCTGGGCTCGCTGCAACCTCCGTCCCCCGACAGGTTCAAGGGATTCTTCTGCCTTAGCCTCGAAAGTAGCTGAGATTACAGGTGTATGCCACCATGCCCAGCTAATTTTTGTATTTTTAGTAGAAACGAGGTTTCACCATGTTGGCCAGGCTGGTTTCTAACTCCTGACCTCAAGTGATCCACCCGCCTCAGCCTCATAAGGTACTGGCATACAGGCATGAGTCACTGCGCCCAGCCTCTTTTGCACTTTTTCTTTTCTTTTTTTTTCTTAGCCTTTATAATTATGGTTAGTTATTTCAGGAGTTGCCAGAATTTAACGCTCCATTCTGTTGCTAATGGCATAGAGATCTAACAGCCCATAGTTATCTTTGTTCCATCAAGAACATGTTTAAAGTATTTATATAAAAGTCTAGTCAGACATTTCTCTCAGAATTAAAGTTTGAGTTTTAAACCTTAATTTAAAGAGAAATAGTTTGTCTAGAAAATATATTCCACTTAAATTCTCTGGAGATTTTATTATGATAATCATGAACTGTGTCTTTTGTATATTCATCTCTAAAATTAAATTCTTTGTAATTAACTGAAAGTAATGTGCTGTGGCATTTTCTAACTGCAGAAACAATGAAGCCTTAAAAAAAGTACAAGTACCTCATTAAAGCTAAAATACAATGATCACCTGAATATTTTTCCAACAGACTAATTTTAATTTACAGCGATAACTTTACCAAATTTATTCAATATTTTTGTTACATAAAGAAAAGTAAGCTTTCAGATGCTTATTACTGACAAGTTGAAAACCCAGCACAGGTCCTATTCCAATTATGGGAGATACTCTAGAGGTCAAAAGAAAATGTACGACTACGAAGACTTATAGTAAGAAGAAAAAAACAAAAACAAAACACGGAGAAGCACCTGAGAAAGGAGAAGATGTTTTGACTCCAGTAGGAAAGAAAATGACATCCAGAGATGAGAAGGGTTAGTCTCCAGATCTGAGGAATAAATAAAAGTGGATATTTTTAACTTTTTAAAAATCTTAGTGACAGACATATTTGCTAATCAAGCTGTTTCCCATTAGCCCCTTCAGGACAGAAAAAAATAATGTTACCACAGCCACAGTACAGATTACATCTGAGTGACCCAAAATGGTGACTGAGACATGAAGTCAATAATCACAAGGAAAGGCAGATTGGTAGATTTGAAAGAGTTCCTTTCATTCTCTTCTCCTCAACATCTTAGTATTACATCACTAACAAAAAGGAAAAAAAAAGCTTTCAGGAGGGAGAAGACTAAGAGGAGAAGAAGAAAGAAGGATCCTAAAGGTCACCCCCTGATACTCCCCCAAGTACATTCTGTTAACAAAAAACAAAAAACAAAAATTGATACCTCAATGAATAATACATGCATAGGCAAAAAACAACATCATTCTGGTTCAGATATCGTAATATGAACCTAAAAGAATCAAATTCATAGAAGGAGAGAGTGAATGTTGATTGCCAGAGGCAGAGAATGGGAAATGGGAAGATGTTGGCCAAAAGGTACAAAGTTTCAGTTAAGCAGTATTAATAAGTTCTGGAGACCTACAGCATGTTGAATATAGTTAATACTATATTGTACATTTAATAATTGTTAGGAGAGTTGATCTTAAATAGTCTCATTGCACAGACAAAAGATAGGTATGTGAGGTGATGGATACATTAACTAATTGATTATGGTAATTATTTCACAAAGAATACATATATCAAAATAGCACGTTGTACACCTGAAATACATACATTTTTAATTTTAAAATTATACTTTAATAACAATTGGTAAAAAGAGAAACTTGGATCCTTAAAAATGAAAGAACAACAACATAAATGGTGGACATGGTAAATAATGAATTCTAAAATTTTTCTTCTCTTAAGTAATTTAAAACATATATGACTAAAGTTAAACGTTTAACATTATCCGCTGTTTTCAATATATGTAAACATTACTGATATAGAAACTCACAGAACTTTAGTGAAAGCAAAAGAAAGAGACGATTTGGTTACAGTATTTCTATACCTTACCTTAAGGGGTAAAATAACTAATTCTAAGTGGACTGTGAAAATTTGGATATGTATTTTGTAATTCTTAAAGCAATCACTAAAAATAATACAAAGAAATAACAGTAAAAATTAATAGATAAAATACCAACGTGTTCAAATAATAAAAAAAGAGAAGTGAGAAACCAAGAAACAGAAAAACAGGCCAAAAGTAGTAATAAAATGGTAGACCTGAATCTAATCATATCCATAATTACATTGATGTTAATATTTTAAACACTCCAGTAAGTGTCAGCGATTAACAGAGCAAATAAAAAAGCGTGATTCGATTGTGCTACCTAAAGAGACCTACAACATAGTGTGAGTACACAGAGGTTGGCTGGCTTATAAATACCATTTCTAAGACAGAAGAATCAGAACTCCATCTTCAGGGTGTTTTAGCCACCTCACCGAAGCAGCATGGACTCTTACCCAAAATTAGGCCTGAGGGTCAAGACTTAAAATGTCATACATATTAGAGGATATAAAAAGGTTTTTCACTCATGTTTTGAGGCTTGCTGTGATATCATGGTAAGATGAGAAACCTGGTCCAAAAATGGCTTGAAAGAGAGCATGTAAAGGAACTAGTTTGGAGTTTTGAATTCAGTTGGGGGCAAGGAATTAGGATGAATGTTCATGAATGTGAAAAGGTGTTTGTGTAGTTGGAATCTCCCACCAACACCAAAGGAGAGAAAGCCCAGACTTCCTTTTCAACTCACCTAAGTGTTCAGCAGAAGAGGGGGTAAGGCTTAAAAGATATCAGCAGTCAAACATTACAAAATAGAGTTAGACTCTCACAACTGAAACCTGGTGTTTGTCTGATGATGGAAATGTGCCATTTTCATTTAATTAAATATGTATTTGTTTAAATATACCATTGTGTTAGTCTGTTTTCACACTGCTGATAAAGACATGCTTGAGACTGGGTAAGTTACATTGAAAAAAAAAGATTTAATGGACTCACAGTTCCACATGGCAGGGGAGGCCTCACAATCATGGCAAAAGGTGAAACTCATGTCTTACATGATGGCAGGCAAGAGAGAGTGAGAGTCAAGAAAAGAGAAACCCTTTATAAAGCCCTGAGATATCATGAAATTTATTCACTACCACGAGAACAGTATGGAGGAAACCACCCCTATGATTCAGTTATCCCTCACTTGTTCCCTCTCACAACACATGAGAATTATGGGAGCTACAATTCAAAATGAGATTTGGGTGGGGACACAGCCAAACCATATAATTCTGCCCTGGCTCTCCCAAACTTTGTGTCCTCACATTTCAAAACCAATCACGCCTTCCCATCAGTCTCCCAGAGTCTTAACTCATTTCAGCATTGAACTGAAAAGTCCACAGTCCAAACTCTCATCTGAGACAAGACAAATCCCTCCCACCCATGAGGCTTTAAATCAAAAGCAAGTTAGTTACTTCCTAAATATAATGGGATTACAGGCATTAGATAAATACACCCATTCCAAATGGGAGAAATTGACTGAAATAAGGGGCTAAAGGCCCCATGCAAGTCTGAAATCCAGAGGGGTGGTCAAATCTTAAGGCTCTAAAATGATTTCCTTTGGCTGCATGTCTCGCATCCAGGTCATGCTGATGCAAAAGGAGGGTTCCCATGGTCTTGGGTAGCTTCATCCTTGTGGCTTTTCAGGTTACAGTCCCCCTCATGACTGCTTTCATGGGCTGGCATTGAGTGTCTGTGGCTTTTCCAGGTACATGGTGCAAGCTGTCAGTGGATCTACTATTCTGGGGTCTGGAGGGTGGTGGCCCTCTTCTCACAGCTCCATTAGGATTGTCCCAGTGGAGACTCCATGTGGGGGATGTGATCCCACATTTCCCTTCTGCACATACCTTGTACAGGCTCGCTATGAGGGCTCTGCCCCAGCAGCAGACTTCCACCTTGACATCCAGGCGTTTCCATACATCCTCTGAAATCTAAGCAGAGGTTCCCAAACCTCAATTATTGACTTCCGTGCACCCACAGGCCCAACACCACATGGAGGCCTCAAAGGCTTTGGGCTTGCACCCACTGAAGCCACAGCCTGAACTGTATCTTGGTCCCTTTTAGTCACAGCTGGAGTGGCTAGGACACAGGGCACCAAGTTCCTAGGCTGCATACAGCAGGGGGGCGCTGGGCCATGCCCGTGAAACAGCTGAGCTATATCTTGGTCCCTTTTAGTCACAGCTGGAGCAGCTAGGACACAGGGCACCAAGTTCCTAGGCTGCATACAGCAGGGAGCCCCTGGGCCATGCCCATGAAACCACTGTTTTCTCCTATGCCTGTGCATCAGTGATGAGAGGGGCAGCCTCAAAGTTCTCTGACATGCCCTGGAGATATTTTCCCCATTGTTTTGGAGGTTAATATTTTGCTCCTCATTACTAATGCAAATTTCTGAAGCCACTTGAATTTCTCCTCAGAAAATGGGTTTTTCTTTTCTATTTCATCATCAGGCTGCAAATTTCCAAACTCTTATGCTCTGTTTCCCCTTTTAAACATAATTTCCAATTCCAAACCTTATATTTGTGAAGGAATAAGACTGAATGCTTTTAACAGCACCCAAGTCAATTCTTGAATGATTTGAGCTTAGAAGTTTCTTCTGCCAGATGCCCTAATTAATCTCTCTCAAGTTCAAAATTCCACAAATCTCTAGGGCAAAGGCAAAATGCTGCCAGTCTCTTTGCTAAAACTTAACAAGAGTCACCTTGCTTCAGTTCCGAACAAGTTCCTCATCTCTATCTGAGACCACCTCAATCTGGACTTTATTGTCCATAACACTATCAACATTTTGGTCAAAGCCATTCAACAAGTCTCTAGGAAGTTCCAAACTTTCCCACATCTTCCTGTCTTCTTCTGAGCCCTCCAAACTGTTCCAATCTCTGCCTGTTACCCAGTTCCAAAGTCTCTTCCACATTTTCAGGTATCTTTACAGTAGCACCCACACTACCAGTATCAATTTACTGTATTAGTACATTTTCATGCTGCTGATAAAGACATACCTGAGACTGAGTAATTTATAAAGAAAAAGAGATTTCTTGGACTTACAGTTCCACATGGCTGGGGAGGCCTCACAATCATGGCAGAAGCTGAAAGGCACATCCTACACGGCAGCAAGCAAGAGAGAGTGAAAGCCAAGTGAAGGGGGAAACCACTTATAAAACCATGAGATCTCGTGATACTTATTTACCACCATGAAAACAGCATGGGGGAAACTACCCCCATGATTCAATTATCTCCCACTGGGTTCCTCCCACAACACATGGGAATTATGGGAGTTAAGATTCAATATGAGATTTGGGGGGTAACTCAGTCAAGCTGTATCAACCACTATGGTAATCTATGGTATCTATGCTAATCTATTGTATCTATAATATTATCCATGGTAATCTATGCGCCCAGAACTGTAAATTATGATAAGTGAAATGAGTGCCTTGGTCACTATCAGTGGTATATGAAATCCTTCAAAATGTCGGTGATGTGAAAGACAAACAGTCAGAGGGAATGCCCTAAATAATAAGAGGCTAGAGATATATCTCAATTCATTGTTCTTATTTAGGTCCAGGGTTTCAACTATTTATGGATTGTCAGATAGACAGATTGATGAATTTAATGGAGAGATTGGGCAAATGTGGGTCTCATGCTTCCTAATATTTTATCCATGTTGAACTTCTTAAATATAATATTGGTGGTGTGGAGCAGTAGGGATGCATCCTTCTTAGGAAACACACACTCACTGAAATGTTTAAGGGTAAAATGTATTGATGTCTGCCATATTTTTACATAAAATTTTAAAAATACCCCATATACGTATATGAATACACATACACAGAAAGAAGGAGATGATGGAAATGAGCAAATTGATGATCTAGTTAAAGGGCTTATGGCATTTACTGTTTTTCTTTTCCTTTTTTACTTTCATAAATTCTGAGATGTTAAATGAGTGCCTTGTTCACTATCAGTAGTGTATGGAACTCTTCAAAATGTCAGTCACATGAAAGACAAAAAACAGTCAGAGGAAATGCCTTAAATTATAAACCTTTTGTAGGTTTTAAAATTTGAAAATAAAATGGGTGCAATTTGTTTTACATGAAAATTTTATTAATTTATTTAAAAAGTCATACAAAATATATGCTTAAAGATATTAAAATTAACAAATCTTAAGAAAAATAATTAAAATAGGCTAAAGAGCAAGAGTGGCAATGAGGACACCAGTTGAGAAGCTTCTGTAATGATGCAGGTGAAAGTTGACAGTGGCAGGTCAATAGAAGTGTCAAAAATAAGAATGACTGGTATTCAGAGTATGTTTTAAAAGCAGTGTACTCTGTTCTTATTGGATAATTAAACATGTATGGATGAAAGATCTAGAGGTATTGAGGATGCATCTGAACAATGGTGTCTTAACTCAGATAGGAAATATTTAGAGTGGAGTAAGTGGAGAATAGAGATGGACATAATTTTGATCTGCATATCTGGAATTCACTTAGAGAAGCCTCATAGGTAATTTTGCATATGAATCTGGAGATCAAAATACATATTTTTGCTGAATCAAAGATCAATTTGAGTCATCAGACTAAATTAAAACAAAGGAACTAGGTGTTACTAAGTTAAGTTTTTGGCACTGACTCTCCATTAGATTCACTTGAATAATTTTAAAGGATATTTATATCCAAGTTCTACCAGAACAACTAAATTAGAATACATGGGGATTGGGTCAGTTATTTCTATTTTTAAAGCTCTTTGAGTTGTACAATTATGTAACCCTGGTTGGAAAACTACTGATTTAGATAGAGGATATAAAAAGAAAAAAAAAATCTGAGGTTTATGTCCTAGGGCACACCAATAATTTATAGGTCTCTGGGGAAAGAGAAAGCAATAAAGAATAGCATCTGAAAGAGAAAGCAGCAGTGGGAGGAAAGCCAAGAAAATATGATAATCCAGAAACCAAGGGAAGACAGAATTCCAATAATGCTTCTGAAAGACTGAGTGAAATGAACATTTTACCATTATTGGATGAAGTAACCCCAAAAGAAGTGTTTTTATAACTTGAAAGAAGGGGACCTACTCTAATTGCAATGGATTATAGAGATGATTTAGTGGAAAAAGATGAGAAAGCTAATAATGACAAACTCATTTGACTTTATGACATTTCTGTGAAGAACAAAAAATTAGTGTGTTAGCTGGTGGGAAATAAGATTGTTCCAGTGACATTTTATGTAGGTATGCATGCATTTGTTTATTTCACTGAGGATACTGTAGCATGTTTATTTTTGAGTGAACATGCTACTTTATAAACAGCAGCAGCATTATTTGCATTATTTGCATCATAGAAAACTGACAGGATATATTACAGAAATATTACAGAAGTGTGGAGATTGTCTCAGCAAGAGGGATAGTTCACTCTTAGCAAAGAAAAGACGCCAGAGTATATGAGTACTTGTGAAGAAGAAGAGATGATATGTTAGGTGATGGATAGATTATGTAGTTCTTGTTCAAATGCTTTACTTCTGAATTAAACAATAAGCAAGATTAACAAGAAGAAAGAGATTTTTCAGGTGAGATGTAAAATTCTCACTTCAGAGAGTGAGGTTTAACAAATTTAACTGGGAAATAATAGTGAGATTCTTGACGATGGCTCCCACCCTGTAAGCTAGTAGCATATTTTTCTCCAAACACGTGAAGTGATACACAGGGAGTTTATGTGAGTAGTGTGGAGGTAGAGCAGGGACAGAGGTTGATGTGTTGCATTGTATTTGAGAGTGTTATTGTAATGATGAACAATGTAATCTCAGCTCCGTGGGAGATAAATTACCAGGGGAGCAATGGGGAAAAAGTGAAGAGGAAATGAACTAGATTTCTTGATGTGTTGACAAATTTTGACATGGGAGACGATAATAGATCAAGTGAGTTAGAAGAGGGTGACCAGAGAGTGCAATGTTTGAAATTCAGATTTTAAAGATGATGATGTTATTACTGGTATATTAAGGTTCATAGTATCATTATTCATAGCAAAAATGAAAACAGCCAAAATCTTCATCAGTTGATAAATGAGTAAATGTAATATGTCACTTCTATTCAATAAATGCTGCAACATGCATGAACCTTGAAAACCTTATACTAAGTGAAATAAATCATTATCAAAAGACTACATATTGTATAATTCCACTTATACAAAATGCCCAAGTGAAGAAAATGTACACAGACCCCTTCCCACTTGGCTGTCTCAACAGGGAGTAAATTAGTGGTGCCTAGGGCTTTGGGGCATTGGAAGTTAGGTGGAGTGACTGCTGTTGGGTGTGGAGTTTCTTTCTGAGGTGATTAAACTCTTCCAAAATTGACAGTAGTGATAAAGTATAACTCTGTAACTAGATTAAAAACCATTTAATTATACTCTAAATGGGGAAATTTTATGATACAAGAATTATATACTAATATCTGTTCAAATAAAAAATACAATTAAAGCAAATAATTAAAAGCACAAGTGTGTGTGTGTGTGTGTGTGTGTGTGTGTGTGTGCATATATGTGTGATCCAAATTATTCAGTCTGATAAGTCTGGTATGAATTTAGCAACCTGGACTTCATGCAATGGAAACTTATATTTCAAGTTCCAAACATTTCTATTTCTTATTGACATTTGAAAGGCAATTAACTTTTAAATGTCCTACCATTCCTACTATATTTTTTGGTCATTGATTTTCCAGGACAAGCTTTATAATTAGCAGTACTCAAATCCAAGATTAAGAAACATTAAATCATTTATTGAATAAAGAAATACATACTTATGCTTCAAAATTTTCTGTGTAATAATTTAAAATAGAGGATCATAGAGTTGAACACAGTCTAGACTATCATTATTAGCATTAATAATGGAACTACATAACTTATCTCTCTAGCACTTTTTAGCAGCATTAATTTATTTTTAATAATTGAGTGTATCTGTATCATAACATACTAGTTCAGAAGCAGCACATTCATTAGTAGACATCTCTAAATATGAATTTCTCCTTATGTTAAATAAACTATGCTTCTATAAATCTCATACAAGAAGCTTCCAGATGCTATCTGAAGAAAAAAGTGTCTGCTCACAAATCTGAAACAGAAAGCTTCAAACATATAAAGAAAATTAAAATATATCTTTTTAGTTTTTGATTTTCCAGAATACACATGCCAATTAAATATAGTACTCACATGAGGTGATTTTTATATATCTATCAACTTTGAATTCCTTTGCCTACATTCTCTTGGTTTATTATTTCATTTTTCTGTCCATTACATAATCTACCCATCTATCCTACTATGTAGTTATCCAAAGCACCAATCTATTTACACACATGGACTGAGCTTCCACAAATATCCAGGTTAAGTGACTGAGTATGCTAGTTAATGGGGGTAAAAGATACATAATCCGCAACAATTTTTCTTAAAGTAGCTGCTTAGTAAGAGATTTCTAATCCCATATCGCTTTCTTTGGAATATTCTGATATTAAAATGTTTGTCATCTTCTACTGCAGAGTAATTATGTAATTATGGTTCATATGCATTTATGAACTAATTATAAATGAAGAGATTTTGGACCGGATACTGAAATGTAAACAAATACAATAAATTAATAAATTTTCTCAACCCATTATAAGCCATATAGTTGATTTAAAAAATCAAATACTTGTAAACTATTGTTTTGGAAAGGATTCTTCTGATTCATGGGCATCCATGTTTCTGTTATTGGTTGTTTATATATAATTACTTAGTCTAGTGTTTTTCTTATTTTTGAGGATAGTAAATTTCAAGCATACATAAAAGTAGATAGAATAGTATAATAAGCTCCCAGGTACTTATTATCCACCTCTAATAATTATTAAGTTGCAATCAATGTAGTTTCATTTATATCCACAACCACTACATCCTTCAATCATTTCATTTTATTTGTAATATCTCAGTGAGAATCTCTATAAGTTAAGAACTTAAAATACCACAATAAACATTAGGGTCACAATTAAAAATAATTACTGAACATTATAAAATTTATTGGCCAGGTGCAGTGGCTCACACCTCTAATCCCGGCACTTTGGGAGGCCAAGGCAGGCAGATCACAATGTCAGGAGTTCAAGACCAACCTGACCAACATGGTGAAACCCCATCTCTACTAAAAATACAAAAATTAGCCAGGCGTGGTGGCGCCCACCTGTAGTCCCAGCTACTTGGGAGGCTGAGGCAGGAGAATTGCTTGAACCTGGAAGGCAGAGGTTGCAGTTAGCCAAGATTGCCCCACCGCACTCCAGCCTGGCTGATAGAGTGAGACTCCGTCTCGAAAAAAAAAAAAAAAAAAAATTATTGTGCTCAAGTATGCATTTGTCTTATAAATTTTAAATATTATCTTGCTTCAGTGTTTATGATTTTATTTTACTTTAATTAGGGTTAAAATAATATTTATACATTGCTCTTTGTTGATAAGTTTCTATAGGCAGTTTTAATGTACAGTTTTCCCCTGTATTCCTCATGTTTTTCTTTTGTTCTTCTAAGTTGTTTGGTAAAGAAAACCAGGTTATTTATCACATAGGATTACCACAATAACTTGCTCCTCTATCTTCTACATTTCCAATAAAATGTAATTAATACATAATATATGATTTTGATATTTTAAGGCATATTGTTATAAAGGCTCGATTATTATGGTATCCATAAATAAATTGTATATAAATATGTCTATGTGGGGAAGGTGGGATACGGAGATAATGGCCAAAGAGTACAAAAATATAGTTAGATAAAGGAAATAAGATCTAGATCTAGTTCTCAGTAGAACAATAGGGTGATTATAATTAAGAATTTATTGTATATTTCAAAAAACTGAAAGTGGGAAATTGAATGTTCCTAACACAAAACATAAGGAAAAATGCTTGAAGTGATGAGTATCCCAATTACCCTGATTTAATCATTAAACATTTCTTGTTTGTATCAAAATATCACACACCCTACAAATACCACAACTATTATGTATGCGTAATAGTTAAAAATTAAAAAAAAAATAAATATGCCTACTTGGTATGTGTGTTATCTTTTTTTAACTTTTATTAAAAAAAAAAGGTTCAGGGGACATGGGAAGGTTTGTTATATAGACAAACTCATGCCACAGGGTTTTGTTGTACAGATTATTTCATCTCCCAGGTATTAAGCTCAGTACCCAGTAGTTATTTTTTTCCGCTCCTATCCTCTCAACCTCCACTCTCAAGTAGAACTCAGTGTCTGCTGTTCCCTTCTTTGTGTTTCTGAGTTCTCATCATTTAGCTCCCACTTACAACTGAGAACATGTAGTATTTGGTTTTATGTTCCTGTGTTAGTTTGCTAAGCATAATAGACACCAGCTCCATTCATGCTCCTGCAAAAGACATGATCTCATTTTTTATGGCTGCGTAATATTCCACGGTGTATAGGTACCATATTTTCTTTATTCAATCTGTCACCAATGGGCTTTTAGGTTGAATCTCTGTTTTTACTATTGTAAAACAGATACAGTTTTATAGTGCTACAATGAACATTCATGTGCATGTGTCTTTATGGTAAAATTATTTATATTCCTCTGAGGATATTCCCAGTAATGAGACAGCAATTAATCATTACCTCATTACCTCATTACAATGAGGTTGAGTGGTAGTTCCATTTTTAGCTGTTCCAGGAATTGCCATATTGCTTTCCACAGTGGTTAAACTAATTTACACTGCCAACAGTGTGTGTTTCCACTTTTCTGCAACCTGGCCAGCACCTGTTATTGACTTTTTAAAAATAGCCATTCTTACCAGTGTGAGATAGTATCTCAACTGGGATTTTGATTTGCATTTCTCTAATGATCATGGATACACAAACACACACACACATATATATATACATATATATATGTATATATGTATATATATGTATATATGTGTATATATATATGCTTGTTGGCTGCATATACGTATTCTTTTGGAAACTGTCTGTTCATTTCCTTACGCAGTTTTTAATGGAGTAGTTTTTCTCCTGTAAATTTGTTTAAGTTCCTTATAGATGCTAAATATTACACCTTTGTCAGATGCACAGTGTGCAAAGATTTTCTCCTATTTTGTAGTCTCTGTTTATTGATAGTTTCTTTTTCTGTGCAGAAGCTCTTAACTTTCATTAGATCCTATTGGTCAATTTTTTCTTTTGTTGTGATTGGTTTTGGTGTCTTTGTCATGAAATCACAAAAAACAGACCTAAAGACACAAACCATATGATTATGTCAATAGATAGATGCAGGCTTTCCAAAAAATTCAATATCCCTTCATGTTAAAAAGTCTAAATAAACTAGGTATTGAAGGAACATGCTTGATAATAATAAGAGCCATCTATGATAAATCCACAGCCAACATCATGCTGAATGGGCAATCACTGGATGCACTCACTTTGACAATTGGTACAAGACAAGGATGCCATCTCTCACCATTCTTATTCAATATAGTATTGGAAGTTCTCGCCAGAGAAATCAGGCAAGAGAAAGAAATAAAGGACATTCAAACAGGAAGAGAGGAAGTCAAATTATCGCTGTTAGCAAACAACATGATTCTAGATCTAGAAAATCCTATTCTCTAGGCCCAGAAGCTCCTTCAGCTGGTAACTGTGGCAAAGTTTCAGGATACAAAATCAAAGTATGAAAATCACTAGCATTTCCTACACACCAATAGCTAAGCTAAGAGAGACAAATCAGGAAGGCAAACCCATTCACAATTGCCACAAAAAGAATAAAATATCTAGGAATACAGCTAATCAGGAAGGTGAAAAATCTCTATGATCGTATTAAGAAACACTGCTCAAAGAAATCAGAGAAGACACAAACAAATGGAAAAAAATCCCATGCTCATGGATAGGAAGAATCAATAGCATTAAAATGGTGATACTACCCAAAGCAATTTACAGATTCAATACTATTCCTATCAAGCTACCAATGACATTATTCACAGAACTGGGCAAAACTATTTTAAAATTCATACGAAACCCAAAAATTGCCATAATAGACAAGGCAACCCTCAGTGAAAATAACAAAGCTGGAGACATCACATTACCCAACTTTCAACTATACTACAGGGGATACAGTAACCAAAAGAGCATGATAGTGGTACAAAAATAGGCACATACACCAGCGGAACAGAATAGATAGCCTATAAATAAGGGCATGCACCTACAACTAGCTGATCTTTGACAAAGCTGACAAAAACAAGCAATGGAGAAAACAACCCCTATTCAATAAATGGTGGCGGGATAATTGGCTAGCCATATGTAGAAGACGGAAGCTGGACCCCTTCCTTACACCATATACAAAAATCAAATCAATATAGATTAACAACTTAAATGTAAAACTCAACACTATATAAACCCTGGAAGACAACCTAGGCAATACCGTCCTTGACATAGGAATGAGCAGAGATTTTTTATGTGTTTTTCTTAAAATATATTTTAATTGTGATATAATGTTCAATAATGATTCTCAATTAAAATAATTGTCCTTTGCACTTGAATTTTGGTGTGTAGATGTGTGACTGTCAGTTATCTAAGACCAAAAAAATATACTTGAGAAAAAAAGGATGATTAAAAACACAACTAGCTTTCAAATCTTTAATAAGTAATAAATTGCAATAATTTAAAATATATATGCTATGCATAATCTTCAAATTAAGTTCTTTGATAAGCAAGGAAATAAATTACATCATTTAATTTTTTAATATAAATAGTTAAGAATTTAAATAAATCATTTGAAAAATTACTTCCCTCATTTAACCTGAAAAGATTCACAGTAGCCAAGAGAATTTAGAGAAGGGTCTTTGAAGCTTTGAATGTAATTATAAAAAGTATATTTAGCCCAAAATATTATGATCAATCAGAATCTTAGCAAATTCAGTTGAAGATTTTTATTTAAAATAACCTTCATTCTGGTAAACAATAGCAGGTAAACCTGTTATTATTAATTGTACAATTATTAAATTAACATTAGAAGCAAAATTAAAAGAAATCTTCCCTTGTTATTCTGCCCTATCAAACATTTTGCTATTTTTGTCTGTTTTCTTTCAGTTTATTTACAGATGTAAGTAAGAGTTTTGTTTTGTCACAACCTCAGCAGCATAACTGCAGTTTTCTATTCTACTTTTTTATTGAACATATCATCAGTAGAGCTGGCAGTATAACAGTGACTGAAAGTTTTGAATTCCGTATTAAGGATATTGCTCTTTGTCTCATAACTTTCAAGCCTTAACTTTCTCCTAAAAAAATTAAAATAACAATATTTACTTCATACTCATTTGTGATCATTAAGTAAATATTAAATTATATATAATATAGTTGGTAAACTATCTGACAACAAGCACTAAATAAATAACAGCTTCTAAAATCATGATTATTATGTTTATTATTATCATAATCAACAATTTCATAACATTCTATTGAATGAATTAATGTACCATACCACGTGTAATCATGCCCCTTCACCATTCCTATTCACATTAGTTGCCACAAGAAGCCTTAGATTCTTGTGTTAGCCCTCTTACCTTACACTCTAATCGCGGTAAAAATGATACATATATAACTCTCTCCCTTATCACACTTCTTGCCAATCATAATCTCTCGCTTATCATACTTCTTGTCAACTTCTAAAACCATTCACCTTGCTGGGAAAGAGAAATGCAGCCCTGATAAACAAGAAACTGCACAGAACTCACAATTAAGCCATTACTTTCTCTTGTTGAACATAAAAATTTCACAGAAAACCACCACCAAACAAGGATACTCTGTCACCAGAAGGATAAAGACAAAGGCTAAACATCACTTTATGTCATATTTGAACACAGAAAAAAAAAAACATTGTTCGAGATATCAAAATGACTAAATATTGTTTTATACTAACATGAGTGACTGATTATTTCAACAATCAGATTTAACCTTGCTCTATTCTGATATTCTAGTTGGAAATTATTAAGGAACTGTATCAAATAATTGTATTAGTGATCTTTGGCTGAGGGATATTGACAGAGATATCTGAACATCAATGTCCATTGGAAGCAGCATCCACTATATCCACAATACCTTCTCTGGATCATCCCATTGTGTTTCAGCTCAATTGAACATTTTCATTTTCCTTAAGAGCAATGCTTCCTCTGCAACGCCCTCAAATGCTGGCTGACTTTTCTTCCCCAATTTTTCTATCATTGAGCCTAGAGTTGAAATATGTCCCATTTGCTCCATATTGTCTTTTTCAGATAATTCTTCCTCCCACCTCCATTACTCCCCTTTAGCTTTCAATCGCTTACCATATGATTATCCCATTCACCATATCTCATCATTACCATCATCTGCCAACCCCTACGTCAAATCCATAAATCCATTCACATTATACACTTCTTTATTTTCTGAGTCATCATCACTATTTCCAATATTGTTTCTGTATTTATTTTGAGCTACTTCAATATTCACATAGACAATTTTCCTCAAAACCGTAGTTTCAGTCTCTTGAAGTACTCTTTTCCATTCATTTTGCTTTGCATATAGATCAGCTACTCACACTCACGATCATATTCTAGACCTTGTCATTGCTACCACCTCCTATCTTTCCAGAGTACTGTCTTTAGTACAGCACCACTCCAAACTTAAACCAGAGTGTGGCAGGAGAATGTGGCTGGAGAGAAATAGGTCACCAAAGTGAATGGTCTCATATTAAATGCAGTGGCCAAAAGCCTCCAGTGGACTCTTCACGCTACAAGGCACTCATAGTGTGCAGTTTTTGTTTTCATTTTATTTTATTTTATTTTATTTAGAGACAGGGATCTTACTATGTTGCCCAGGGTGGTCTCAAGCTCCTGGCCTAAAGGGATCCTCCTGCCTCAGCCTCCTGAGTAGCTGGGATTACAAGTGCCAGTTACTGTACCCAGCCATAGTGTATGTTCTTCATCCATTCTCTCTCCGACAACCTAGATGATTATTTTGTAGCTCCTCTTCTCATCAAACACCAAATACTTCCTCCCTATACTTACTTCCAGCTAATGTCCTCCTCTATGTTTACTAAAACAATTGAAGGAAGCAGAGGAGATTCTCATAAAACCATGTATTAGTTTTCTAGTGGTATGTAACAAATCACTACAAATGTAGTGCCTTACAGCAATCAACATACGTTATCTCACAATTTCTGTGAGTCAGATATCTTGATGTGGTCCAACTGGGTCCTCTGCTTTCTGGTGTTTCACTGAGCTACAATCACAGTGTCAGTCAGCCAGGACACCTGTATGTCATCTGAGGCTTTACTGGGTAGAGATTCACTTCCAAACTCACATGGTTGTTGGCAGGATTTGATTTCTTGAGCTGAAGAAATTTTTCTTCCAATGTTTATTTCTCTTACCTTCTTCAAATCTTTCTCCAAATTATAATCTCTCCACAAGGTCTAGCCTGAGCACTCTACTTAACAGTGCCACCTGCTTCCAATATTGCTTGTACTCATGATCTACCCCCTTTCCTTCACTCTTCTCCCAAAAGCATTTGTTACCTTGTGAAAGACTATATAATTTGCTTATTAATTGTGTTTATTGCATAACACTACTCAGAAGAATGTTGACTCCAAGAGTGCCATCCCTTTTGGTCACCGGTGTTGTGCAAGCAAATTGTTCAATCCCTTACACATAATAGTCATTCAAAAATATATGCTGTATATGTAAATAGATAAATGAATGAGCATGAGAATCATCTGGGAGCAATGAGATTATGCTGCCTGAATTAAATTGAGGTATTTACTCTGGTAGGCTGATTTCGTGGAAATAGCCAAGAAATTATCAGGAGACCAAGTTCTTTTTTTTTTTTTTTTTTCTGACTGCTTGAGGAATCATGTATCTCATTAGAATAATACCACTTTTTTAGGTCAATGCACTTATCCCATGAAGTGCTTTCTACACTTTAATAACAGTCCTCACTACTAAAAGAGATTTATTTTGGTCTAACAAAGAAAAACTTCAACAAGATTTGCTTTTATTTCTCAGACAGCCAGGGTAGGCTTTAACAAATATATCTTATCCTAAGAATTATTTAAATGCATGTACAAAGAAATCTCATTTTCTTCGACTGTGTTCCAGAGAAAATGGTGTCTAAGTAGAATTTATAGAGTAACACTTTATTGTGGGGTGCAGTCTTGGTGAGACAAAGAAAGGAGCGAAGCAAAGATCAGAATGCATGCTGATCTGAGATCTTAAATGCAGCTCATTATTGTGTTTTCCAGGATGTCTTCTAGTTTAACACACTGTTTCATGAAATAGCATTTTCAGAGTAGAAAGAATAATTATCTGTTTGCTTCCATCTCCTATTGGTCATTTTACTCCACAGGGTTTCATTCCAGGCACTTCCAGGCATTTGACTTATTTTGTGCAGTTGCCAGGGAAACCAGATCCAAGATAGCAGTGGCTGTGTCTGAGGCTTATGTTAGCAACATTCACAACTTTCTTCATCTTTCAGTCTTGTACACCCACTTGGGGGGCAGGTGTACAATAAGTTTGCTTAAACATACACACAGTGAATGGGTAAGTTAGGGCCTCCAGCTTCAGAGACAAGAGGGGTAGGATGAACATTCCAAGGGATGTCCAGTTGTATCCATCAGTGATATGAAGGAAAAGGGTCAAGTGCTTCAAGGGACCACCAGAAAGTACTGTAACTATAAGGCCACTACCATGTACTGCTGATGAAGTTCATACAGCTCCATAGGTAGCACATAAGAAGTTTCATCAGTAGCCAAGATGATAATCAATAGCATCTAGCAGAAAAGCATTGCCAAATAAACCCAAGGAGGCACCTAGACAGGATCCAGCACATCCTCATCAACAAATTTTCCCACTATCATCCTTTTAATTTCCTATCCTTAAGCCTGCGCTGGTTGCAGTATGTTTATTTATTCTGATCACATTTATATTTAGATATTTGTATTAATTATGCAAGTGTTTCAGTATTTCTTGGGGTGCTCTGTCATTTTGCTTTAGATAGCAATGAAAACATTATTCGAGTGGTCAATTTCACATGGCAACACCAAACAAAAGTCTCGTCTTTATGCAGTTGACCTTATTTACCTCCACCTTAAGATAACTCACACTTCCGAAATAATTCTCACATTAAATAAAAATGAGATGAAAATCCTTTAAAAGACAATGAACTCAATATAATGTCCTTTTATGTTGCTTATAGCCTAAGCCAGATTTAGAACCCTTTAAACCTGTTGTTCTCTATGTACATTCTTATGAGTTTTCATTTTTGGTTATTGTAGTTGCACTAGGATCTCTGGCTCTGTGCTGCCTAATATCGATACATGCGGTCTCCAATATTTGATGTTATCTCCCAGTGTATTTATGATTTTCACGATACTAAAATTCATGGTTCTGGCCTGGTCTTTGCTTGTCTCTGCTCCTGCCACTTAACTACAGATCTCTTTTTTTACTTGTTTAATGTTCTTTACTGTAGTTTCTATGAAAAAAAAAAGTGCATATTAGGAATATATAAAATAGTGACTTTTTTGAAGAGTTTATAGTCAAAAAGAAGAGACAGGGTAGTAAATAACCTTTATAAAAGTGCTAAGTATGTTCATGATGGAATGAACGTTCCTTAGAAGAAAGTGTTCTGTCCTACAGAGAGCACTGACGAAAACTGTCCTTCAATTTTACTACTTCGCCTTGCTCAGTTCACACTCCTAATAACTAAAGGAGTATCTCACTCTTTATCGTCTTTCCTCAAAATGTAAACACCACTTTCTCTTTCTACATTTTCAGCCCAGGGTTTAACTCCTCCTTACGCTGAGAGACTAGTCAAAAAAAAAAAAAGCTAACATTCATAGACTTTTATCTCCAAACAAATCTTCCAACCATCATATGCATACTCACACTGTTTGCTCACCTTTTACTCTGTTTCTAACTTAGGCTAACCCTCTACCCTCCTGCACACACACACACACACACTTCCACCTTCAATTCCATTGCCTTTTTCTTATTCAAGAAATTCTCCTACAGTTATGCCTCTCTAATAGATATCAACTATTGATCCTTACTAGTTCATTCTCAGCATTATTTTCCTAGACCATTTTAGATCACTCTCTATGTAATTGTTTATAAGTAATTTTTTTCCTTTCTCATAGCAACTCACTCCTAAAAGGTGTTCATACCTTCTCATTTACAGAAACTTCTTACAGATAACTTCCACTTTGCACTTTACTAATTCAATATTCATTTATCAGCCTTTATCTGATTTAACCTGTTAGAAATATTTGATGCGTTCTTGATATGCTTTCCTCTTTGTCCTCCTGTTACTCTCTTACTCTCTTGCTTCCTCTTCCTCCCCCACATGCTCCTCCTTCTCCTTTAAGCAGAGCCTCCAAATTTCTCTCTAAATTAGGTCTTCACTTCCCTTGCTGCCTCTGACTCTCACTCTGGTCTATGTGATGTTCTCATCTTTTTCCTCTTTATCTGATCCCAGTTATCAGGATTTGGATGTCTTTTCTTACCCAGTTCTTTGATGATTTCACTTATCCCTATGGTTTTAAATAGTACTATCAAGATGACAAGAATGTTCAGCTCCTAGTCCAACATCTTCCAACATGTGCAGAATCATGTCGAGCAAAATATTTGCTACTTCCACTTGAAGATCTACTAAACTCCTCAAATTTGACATGTCTAAAACCAAATTCTTGAGTCTCCTCTTATAATCTCGCCCCATCTCAATAATGGCATCTGCATTCTCTTATTTGCTCAGTCTTTGACTTCTCTATTTCTCACATACTCCATGTTTAATGACTCAATAAATCCTTTCATCTCTACTTTTAGAATTCAGATTCTAGGCTTTTTGTCATCAATAATACTAATATCCCAGTGTCTTTGCTACAACGATTTTATGCCTGAATTGGGGTATTATGCTTCTGCCTGGTCTACATTTTTCCCTCCTTATACATCTGAGTTCTTTTTCAACAGAGCAGCCTGAGGAATTTCATAAAAGTGTAGCTCTTGAACATATTATATGTTAGATTAAATCCCACTAATAACTCATTTGACTTAGAATAGAATATAAATTTCTTTCCATATTTGAAAAGGTCCTACTCGGCTATCTCCAAGCTATCACTAACTTCAGCTGCTATCTCATTCTCTTGATCACTCATCTCAAACCAAAATTGCATACTTTATGACCTCAAAAAAGTAAGGCATGCTCTTCCCTCAGGGTCTTGGCATTTGTCTTTCCATCTGCCTGGTCCAGTCTTCTTGTAGATATCTTCTTGGCTGATTACTTTCCTTTTTATAGGCCCTTGCTCAAATGTCACCTCATCAGAAAATACTGTCTTTATGTTCAATTTAGACATTAATTTGAAACATAAGAAAGTGCTATTTTTGAGGGTCATCAACTGTCAAATAGCTACAATTAAATAATTCAACCTAAACAGTCGTATCTCTGCTATTTCTCTCATAACACTCATGAATACCTAAAAGAGCTATTTGTTTATAACCTGATTAATCATCTCATTCACTTGAGTAGAATGAGTTCCATGAAAGAAGAGACTATGTCTCTTTCGTCACTAGTTTGTCTTCAAATAATGGAAAAGAAAAGCTGGGCACACCATGGCTCAGGCCTGTAATCCCAGCACTGTGAGAGGCCTGAGACAGATAGCTTGAGTTCAGGAGTTTGAGATCGGCCTGGGAAACATGGTCAAACCCCATCTCTACAAAAAAATTAGCCAGATGTGGTGGTATTTGCCTGTAGCCCCAGCTACTCGGAAGGTGGGAGGATTGCCTGGGCCCAGATGCAGAGGTTGCAGTGAGGCAAGATCTCACCACTCAACTCTAGCCTGGACAACAGAGCCAGACCTTATCTCAAAAACAAACAAACAAAATAATTAAAGAGATTTTGGTAAACACTTGCTGCATTAGTGAATTAATGATTCAACTGAATGGATGACATGTAAATGATGTTACCAACAGATTGCCTCAAATAATTTTAATATTTTATGCCTGCATTCGGTTATTTCTATAAAAGCTTTAGATCTTCAAACAAATCTTTTAATCTTTTGCTTATGTATTTTGCAAAATGTGTGATTTAAAGAAAAGTAGAGGTTTAAATGTTTATCTCATTCTACTCTTAAGATTTGTATAGTCATAGAAATTTAACCTTTCTGAAGCTCACTAATTTTTTTCTCTGAAATAAAGATGATGTTCCTAACTCAAAGTGTGAATATCCATACAACTCCTAATAAAATGTTTGAGACAGGCAGGTGTTACACAAATAACATTTACCGTTATTTAACATCAAATATAGTTTTAGCTTAATGTATTTATGAATTTTAACATACTGAAAAGTTAGGTTTTATTTTTACTCTCTAACATTCGGGAAGTGATAAGAAAAAGAGAAATGTTCAGTTCTAACTGTGTATGTGTGTGTGTGTGTGTGTGTATTTCTAATAGCAAGTAGAACTGTACCTAGCTATGTTTTTACCACTTACATAACAAAAATAACGTGTTATCTTGATTCAGTGATTGTTATCTTTAGTTACTGATAATTGCAAAAATGAAAAATATGCTCATTTCCTTGGGGGAAAACATTTAAATGATTGACAAGCCAGTGCAACATTTGTAAAGATCTCACATCTGGGTAAATTCCTGGATGAATTTTTTTAATGATTTAAAAAATATGTGTAATAGATCAACTGGCAGGAGTTAATCAGGTTACATTAGAGAAACTTGTCTATAAACACTCATTGCTGGTTTTTTTTTTTTTTTTTTTTTCTTCCTTGAGACAGGGTCTAACTCTGTCACCCAGCCTGGAGTGCAGTAGCTTGACTGTGTCCAGATGCAGCCTTGACCCCTTGGGCTCAAGTGATCTTCCACCTCAGCCTCCCAATAGTTGGGACAAGGGCAGGCCACTACCCCTAGCTTATTATTATTATTATTATTATTACTACTACTATTATTATTATTATTTGTAGCAACAGGATCTCATTACGTTGCCCAGGCTGACTCACACTCCTGAGATCAAGCAAGCCTCACACCTCAGGCTCCCCAAATCTGGAATTATAGGCACGAGCCACCACACCTGGCCTGTTTTCCATTTTTAATAGGCAGAAGATTATTTGGGGAAAGAAGACCAGTAACTTCACAACACCTTAGAAGTTCCTTTGTTCTTCAAAATAATTCAAGTCCTCTGAGTCTTAGGGTGTTTTTCAGATTCTAAGTTACCTAAATAAACCAAAATAGATCTGAGTTACCTAATTAGACCTCCCTAGTAATTTAAGGAGACTCCTTGCTCGTCTAAGAGATAAATACATGGGCCACTAAGATTTTTGAGAGGGCATGCAGCCTTGCCCCTTTTCTTTTCCAGTAACTAGGACTCTGAATTTGCTTGTTCAGTTTCTTCATCTCCTTCTCACCCTGTCAGATTGCTTCTTTTTACCCTGATGAACCTGGTCATGAGGGAGAGGGATATAAAACCAGGCAGTAAAGATGAAAGAGGAAAAGACTTAAAAGGATGTATGTACATGGTGTAGGATTTTAGGAAGTTGGGAGGAAGGGCATTGGAACATCTGTGTGGTCAGCAGAAGTAGATGGGAGAGGAACTAGATTTTTAACATGGCTGGTATGGCTACATTTTGCTTTCGCCACATAAATGAGCTTACATTATTTTGAGAATTTCTCTAGTAACAGGATATTTCTTTAAATTGGGTTTATAATGCTCTGACACTGACTAGATAGCTCAAAGCTTCAACAGAACAATATGAAGATATGTAAATAGTGCAAAAATAATATAAAAGATTCCTCTCTTATTTTGAGAATAACAGTGCTACAAGTAATCTCTATGTTGAAAGTGAATAGAGTAGAATGTGGTTAAAAAAAAGGAATATATCCAAAGTTGTCTGAAGCAGAATATATAACAAAGAATTTCAGATACCACGGCATTTTAGTAGGACATATGATATGGTTTTCCTGTGTCCCCACCCAAATCTCTTCTTGAATTATAGCCCCCATAATTCCCTCATGTTGTGGGAGAGACACAGTAGGAGATAATTGAATCATGGGGGTGGATTCCCCCATACTGTTGTCGTGGTAGTGAATAAGTCTCACAAGATCTGATGGTTTTATAAGGGTTTCCCTTTCTGCTTGGCTCCCATTCTCTCTTGCCTGCCGCCATATAAGACATGCCTTTTGCCTTCTGCCATGATTGTGAGGCCCCCCTAGCCATTTGGAACTGTGAGTCCATTAAACCTCTTTTTCTTTATAAATTACCCAGTCTCAGGTATGTCTTTATTAGCAGCATGAGATCTGACTAATACGACATGTGAAAATCAATGTCTTGAGCCTCCTAGTGTATTTGGAATTTCTTTTTCCTAACTAAGTACCTCAGAGACACTTGACCTGCTTGAAAAATCTGGGAAAATCCAATAGATAGTCTTACTTGACCTACCGTTTTATCAGATATATTTGTGTCACTTCCTCTTGACTGTATTATATCTGGCCAAATATCCAAGTACTAAATGAAAATGCAAAAGCCAGCATAGGATTTCTGTTGTGGTTAATTTTTTCATGCTGGTTTATCTCAATAGTTTAAAACCTGTGCTCTCTTTAATGAACATAAAATCTAATAACATACTTTAATATTATTATAAATTTTTAAAACAAAACTCTTATGACTAAAAATGTATTAAAACATATTACTGAGACATGCAACTATTTTCAGACAAACATTTGAAATATAATTAAGTTATTCTAAAATGAAAATGCAAGTATATTAACAAAATTATATATACTTCCAGTTATGATACACTTTTCTGTAAAGATGTACTTCATGAATTACTTTTGCTCTTATTCATTCTGAGCAAGGTATTTAAAACCACATAGAAATAAAAGTTAATAAGGATCTTCATAAAAAATTAAAAGTTTTTTTTAGAAATTTTCACTCTATTTTATTTTCTTGATTCATTGCACAAAGGAATTTGCTTCCCTTGAATTCACTTATTTAGCCCTAGCAATAACAAAGCAGATTAAGGGCTTTAATGTTTTTTCTCATCCAAAAGTATAGCTGAAAAAATATAAATTTCATAATAATGCTGGCCCTCATTACCTCAAAGTTTAGAGTTGATTATTTTGGTGCCAAGTAGAAATAGTAATTTCATTATTATCTTATATATTCCATGATATAAAGCATCAAATTATTTCATTACAATTTTCCTGGGCATTTTTTAGGTTTGTGTAATGAGACAAGAAGGAAACTATGATTTCCATGGGAACAAGAGAGAATAAAAATGCACTGGCAGTCAGTACCTGCTGGGGATCTAACTTCAATAATTCAAACCCATACTACAACTTCTCCTTTGCTTAGAACGTTTACCTCTGTTTTGTTTGGAGAGGGTAGTTTAATAATTTAACCTCTTTCAATGTACTTAGTTTTAGATATTTTAGATGGAAAGGAATGAGTAAAGTTAAAGGATAATTGCTGTATAGGTGAAGCAACCCCTTTTCCTGTTTTTAATACAAAATTCATATAAGCAAATTTATTTTTAGAAAGACATAGTGCCAATAGTGCTTGTAAGTAAATTGATGAAGCCAAGTCTCATCAAACTGTCTGTGGGGCAATTGAGGTTTGTTATTTATTTTATCAGTACAAAGACAGAAAGGGATTCAAACTGCTCCTAATGCCCATAAACATTATTATCTTAAGGAAAAAATATTTATATATAACTATTAAGAAAATTGATTGCTTTATTAGGATAATATTACAGTTATGCTTTCTTGAGGCTTTCTTTCTGAAGCCAAATTTGATTATTTAGCTCCATGTACAATGGATCCTTGATCATAAAGACTGGTAGAGGGATTACATATTAAGGCTTATGAGGAAGCTGGGGCAGTGTCAAGAAAGCTGATCTAGTTGCAGAATTGGCCTTTCAAGGGTAGCTCAATATTAATATGTTCAGCATATTTTAAGATATCCAAGAACCCCCTGTAGTCCATCATTTAAAAAAATTTATTGACTGCTTTGTTTGTACCAGGCAGTTTGTTAGGCTTTGGAAACTCAAAGGTGAACAAATGAGAGATGATCCCTTTGCTTGTGGATCTCACAGCCTAATGCAGGAAACATGGAGATAAACAAACATAACCCAGATGGGGCTTTGGTTATAGGGATCTGGATACAGTGCCATTAAGTCATCCCTGTACAGGGTTCAGCCAGGTTAGTTAACTTGAAGTACAATCCTAGAAAGTGTATAAGGCATAAGAAAACCAAGATATAAACCAGCATTTGTTGGGCTTTGAAATCAAGTACGCATAGATTCAAATATGAGTGCAACCATTTAGAAGGTAATACAGTGGTGTAGGGAGCATTTTATACCAATTTGCCCATATCACCATTCCAATTCTATCATTTCTTGGCCAACTTTTCTGAATCTTAATTTCCTTAGCTAGAAAATAAGGTAAACAATGATATTAAGAAAGAAACTAACCACATAGTGATTAAAGTCATTAAGATATGTATAGTTCATGGGACAGTGCCTGATACATAAAAAGTATTTTCATTGCTATATTCTTTTTACTTTTTAACTTGGGTCAAGTTTACATTATTTCATAATAAATGAAATGGCATACTAAAATGCTTACCTAATGGTATTTTTGTTGTTCCAAACAGCCATTGCTGTATAAATCTTACAACAACAAGTCAGTACTGTATCTTGCTCTCCTATATATTGAATAAGCATGACTGGGTGGTCACTCATGCGAATATAGTCCTGTGTCAACTAGGGCTGCAGCCATCTGAAGGCTTGTTAGGGCTAGTCTTCCAAATTGACCACACAGAGGGCTGACAGTTGATGCTTACTATTGTTTGTAGTTCTGTTGGGGCTTTTGAATGAAGTGACTGTATGATTTCTTTACATAATGTGGACATGGAGGATGGACTTCATGAGGGAGCATCTTGAGGGTGAATGTCCTTCCAAGAGGCCTGATAGAAGCTGCGAGTGCTCTGATGAGCCAGTTTCCAAAGACCTGTAGCCTCATTTTTGCTGTATTTCATTGGTCAGACAGGTTGCAAAGTCTAGTCCCCAAGCATGCAGAAGTGAATTAGACTTCACCCCTCAGCAGAAAAAGTAGCCAAGAATTTAAGGCCATTTTTAATCTATTTCACTTGTGATAAACCTACCAAGTAATTACCTATACAAACATTAGTTACTTTCACTTTAATCATTATCATCATCATCATCATGCATATTTATTTTCATTTTATATTCTAAGAATGCTAGTAATATAAATATTATTTTCACTTTTTATGGTTAAGGAAGGAAAATAATAATAATGGAAGCTAAATGGCTTGATAAATTTGCTAGTAAACCAAGAAGGTAAGGTTTCATCTTGGAACTATTGGCTTTAGAGTTCCATAAATACAATACTTAGGGAATTAATAAAAATAAAATACAAATGCCATTTCATTATTTCAGTTTTTCAAGAAGTCCCTTTCCAATCTTAAGTGAATCATCTAATCTTAGAGGAAGAAGAAAATCGAGGAGAGCGCATGTAGTTGGTCCTTGCACAATGCAGGGGTTAGCAATGCCAACTCCCTATGCAGTCAAAAGTTTGAGTATCACTTTTGACTCCCCCAGAATTTAGAGATCATATAATGTTGACCATTGAACAATGCCGAGGTTGGGGTGTCAACCCGCCATGCAGTAAAAATTTCAAATTTAACCTCCAAAATTTAACTGCTAATAGCCTACTGTTGACCAGAAACTTAAGTAATAATATGCATTGCCAATTAACACATACTTGGTATGTTATATGTATTGTATACTGTATTCCTAAAATAATGTAAGCTAAGAAAGGAAACTGTGAATTTAAAAAATCTAAGGAAGAGAAAGTATATTTATTGTTTATTAAGTGAAAGTGGATCATTGTAAATGTCTTCATCCTTGTTGTCTTCACTTTGAGTAGGCTGAGGAGAAGAAAGAGGGCTTGATCTTGCTCTCTCAGGAGTGGCAGAGGAAGAAGAAAATCCCTATCTAAGTGGAACTGTATAGTTCATACTCATATTGTTCAAGGGTCCACTGAATTTTAAATTATGTTAATAATTTGTACTAAAATTGATTATGTATTGTTTTACTTTTATAATATATTTGAAGAAATTGTTCAAATTTGCAATAGATGTTAATTAAAATGAGGTTATATTGTACACACAAATAAATAGCAAATGAATTTTTGTGTGTGCTTTTTCAAAAAACTGACATCTAAATCCAAGTATTGAACTTTCCTATGGATGAAATTACCATTCATTTGCTTATATAATTTGCTTACTGGTGAACAATACTAAATGTTTTCCCCAAATTTTCAACTTTATAGCGAATAGTGCATAGCAAATATGTAGCATACAGTCATTCCACTTTATTCAAGGAGGAAATGTTCCAAAACCTTAGTTGATATCTGAAATTGGATATGGATAGTACTGAATCACAGATATATATATATATATATATATATATATATATATATATATATATCTCACATATATATATCACACACATATACATATCATATATATGTGATATATATACACACACATATATATACTGTTTTTATCAGAAAACTAATATATATATCATATATATTACACATATATAATATATATGTGTAATATATATCATATATATTACACATATATAATATATATGTGTAATATATATCATATATATTACACATATATAATATATATATGTGTGATACACACACACACACACATATATATATACTGTTTTTTTTAATCAGAAAAGTAAGACAGCTACTAAGTGACCAATGATGAATAGCATATACAGCAGGGACACAATTGACAAAGGATGATTCATGTCCCAGGTAGGAGAGAGCAGATAGCATGGGATTTTACTATGCCACTCAGAACAGTGCACAATTTAAAACTTATAAGCTATTTAGTTCTAGAATCTTCCATTGAATATTCTTGGACCACAGTTGACCATGAATGTATAAAACCATGGAAAGCAAACTTGTGGTTAAGGGGAAAACTACTGTAATTTTATATGAATGTGAATATTTTCATTTCAAGTTACTATCTCAGTGGAATAATTGGCAGAATATTACCAAAACTTTAAGTAAAGACAATGTTTAATTACAAATACAACCACTTAGTAGCTCTCCTTCAAAAGCAGAATTTTAGTGGGCCAGTGAACAAGAACACTCAGGAGAGTCATCTTTCTTTCAAAATTGAGGCCTATGTTCTTGCATACTAATTAAATCATGCCTATTTCATTTTAAAAGTACAGACATACTACTTGCCCTAAGGATACATTTTATTGTCATGTGGAATATGAAATGTTATTCTGCTTCAGGAGATAAAAGCAATTTAATTTGATTCTCTCTGGAAACTAGAGCATCAGCACAGCTAGTTATCTATAACATTCATGACTATTATCTTTTAGTAAACGATTTTACACTGTCATTAATATATGTGACATTTTTGCATATTAAGCCTATTACAAAGGTGATATTATTGCAACTCACTGAGAGAGAAAATTCAGTTGTGGGTGTGGTGAGTAGCATTTGTTCAGTAGATTTTTGTTTAAATCACACATAGTTTTAGAATGTGGCCAAATTTTAAAAAGGGACAGGGAGAGAGAGAGAGAGAGAGAGAGAGAGAGAGAGAGAGAAAGAAACTATTCTGCAGACTACCAGTTAGGGACTATTCAGGATATATATCTTATTTTTTAATAAAAGGCCTTCTAAGATGAAAAAAATCCATTATGATCTCCTGGGCTTTCTTGATCAGTTTCACAGTCCATGTAGGCTTTAACCAATCATAGCATGTTTCCTAATGGTGTTAATGGGAATTCATTTCTTCTTCTAATTAAACACAGATGTAGATCTAAAATTTAAGAAAAAGAGAAAAGCTGTATTCCCTTGCCAAACTCATAATTTCTATTTTTTGCACGCTACAGGGTCGTTGACAGTACCCAGGAGCCTAACACAGATGCACATTAATTACCCGTTGTCTAATTACTAGGGTACCAATATAACTGCTCAACCATTCATTACACATTCTTCTCAACTTCGCAAAGCCCCAGAGACATATGTATGAAGCACACCACTTGGCAACATTAATTGAACCCTATTAACTCATAAAATTTATGAAAAGTGCAGCTATTAATAAGAAAACCCTCTTTCATTTAGTCCACTAAACCCACAATGTACAAATGATCATTTTCCTTGTGCTGTATATTGGATATTGGACAATGCAGCTGCTCACAGATTGTTAATTATCAGGAATACATCAACAGGATTAGACTAGAATCCTGGTGGTTAAATTAGCCAGGCTAATTTCCCATTCTGGAAGTTATGCACAGTGGTAGTTAGCTGTATAAGCAAATCTAAATAGGATGCTTAGCCAGGACATTCGATTTAAAAAAAAGCAAATAAAAAGTATGAAAGTAATTCTATTTAAGTTCAGACATACTGAATCACTGCACTCTCAACTGGTTTGCTTAGAAGATACTTCAATTTTAATTTTTTTATTGGAGATATTTCCTTAATATGATATTTTACATTAGAAACAGTGTCTTTTTCATGTCAGATACCATTTATTTCCTACTCATATCTAGTAATTGTGAAATTTATCATTGCTGGATACAATCTAAACTTCAGGCTCGGCGCAGTGGCCCATGCCGGTGATCCCAGGACTTGGGGAGACTGAGGCAGGTGGATCACGAGATCAGGAGATCCAGACCATCCTGGCTAACACGGCGAAACCCTGTCTCTACTAAAAATACAAAAAAAAAATTAGCTGGGCATGGTGGCAGGCGCCTGTAGTCCCAGCTACTCGGGAGGCCGAGGCAGGAGAATTGCTTGAACCCAGGAGGAGGAGGTTGCAGTGAGCTGAGATCCTGCACTGCACTCCAGCCTGGGTGACAGAACGAGACCCTGTCTCAAAAAAAAAGTAAACAAAAAGTATGAAAATAATTATGTTTAAACTCAGACACACTGAATCACTGCATTCTCAATTGGTTTGCCTAGAACATACTTCAATTTTAAATATTTTTATTGGAGATATTTCTTTCGTAGGATGTTTTACATTAGAAACAGTGTCTTCTTCATGTCAGATACAATTTTTTTCCTATTCATATCTAGTAATTGTGAAATTTATCATACTGGATATAATCTAAACTTCATAACCTGGATTTGCACTGGTTCAAGTTGGCTGAGCAAGTTGTTTTTAGTTTATCCCCTGGTAAAACATATGTAAAAGCATATTTAATTTTGTAGAGACTGCCAAACTGTCTTCCAAAGTGGCTTTACCATTTTGCATTCCTATCAGCACTAGATAAAAGTTTCTGTTCCTCATATCCTTGCCAGCATTAGGTGGTATCAGTGTTTCGGGTTTTAGCCATTCTAATATGTGTGCAGTGGTATATCATGGTTGTTCTCATTTGCAAATCCCTAATGACATGTGATGTTGAACATCGTTTCATATGCTTATTTGATATATGCATATCTTCTTTGGTGAAATGTCTGTTAAGAACTTTGCCTACTTTTTAATTAGGTTGTTCATTTTCTTACTGCTGAATTTTAAGAGACTTTGCACATTTTGGAGAACAGTCTTCCATCAGGTGTGTCTTTTCCAAATATTTTCTCCCAACCTGTGCCTTGTCTTCTCATTCCCTTAACTTTGTCTTTCTCAGAGAAAAACATTTTAATTTTAGTGAAGGCCAGCTTATCAATTAATTTCTTCATGAACAATGTCTGTGGAGTTGTAGCCAAAATGTCATAGCCATGCCCAAGGTCATCTAGGTTTTTTCTTATGTCATCTTCTAGCAGTTTTATAGTTTTGCATTTTACATGTAGATACATGATATATTTTGAGTTAGTTTCTGTGAAGGACATAGAATCTAACTTTACTGTATAATTCATCAATCATGCTCCTTGGTGTTTATCCAAGGAAGTTGAAAATTATGTACACATAAAAACATGCATACAGATGTATATAGCTTTACTCATAATTGCCAAAACTTGGGAGCAACCATTCAGTAAGTGAATGGGTAAACAAGCTGTGGTACATCCAGTCCAGTTCAATTCCTTTGGTCAAAATAAGTATATAGTAAGTTGGACAGTGAAAAAGAAAGAGGAGCAATGATAATTAAGTTAATTGTTTTACTAGAGTTAAATCATGTCATGGTAAAACTTATTTACTTCTCTAAAGGAATTACTAGAATATATTGGGTTATTTTTATAATCATTCTTTTTTAAAAGATAAAAACATGAATTGTAAAACGGATATGCACCTATCACTGATTTCTTGTAAGACATGAAGTATTTATCTATTTGAAGAAACTTATGTGATATGTTTCCCATAAATAATACTTTAATTCCAATAATAATTGGGAATTTCATAATTCATATTATCATTTAGGTTTTACAAGGTTAAATAAAGGACAAGAGGATATAGTGAAGAATGAAACAACATGTTTCTTCTCGTTGACATGGATGCCTTCATGCACTTTCCGGGGCAGTATCCCTATAGCATTCTTTAATCATCTACCTCTTCAAGGCATTTTACTTTATAGCAATTTTTCTTCATTTTTAAAAAGTATTTCTAATTTTATTAACAGCTTGTGAAGAGACTCATTTGCATGTAATTAGTTTTTTCATAAAGTGATTTCTCTTTCTGAAATTATGTGCTAGCACATTACAGAACAATCAAATTATCAGCTTCTCTTCCAAGAATCAATTCGACACTCAAAAATTATGATGAGTGAGGTTCTCCATCATTAAAACTGCATACAAATTCTTCAGAGCTGTCAAGGCAGCATCAATGGTTGTTATTTAATGTGTTTATGACGATCAGGAGTTAATGGCATTTTGTCATAGATAGAATTTTCTAGGAAGTTAATCTTTACGTGAGTGGAATATATGGCTAATAGCCTAAAAAATCCAAGAGTAACCAATTACTATTTCTAGGCCTTTGCTTCCTAAAAGGAGTTAGTCTAGCACCTTTCTGATCTAAACATAAATGCTACATGAGCTCTAATTGAAATCTGATAAATTTAAAATCAGTGGATTTTCACCCTATAGTTCAGTGAGTTGTGAAATGAAAAGATAATATGAAGACAGCAGTAGTTTAGTTGTTTTTCCCCAGGTCTTATGTATTTTGATAGACTGTTCTATTATTGAAAGGCATATTTTATTTCTTTACTTGAAGATAAATGTGATACAATTAAATATTTTCTGATCTACTCACATTAGCACACACTAAATAAAGTTTCAGTACTCAAATATGTTTCTGTCAAACGAACGAGCAAACAAAAACCCAGCTGACACATATATAATGATAGAGATTATTTCTCTGTAGAAATAACCTTATAGGACAACATATTTTCCAGATCAAAAGCAAAATGAATAGAGCAAATGTAACTCTTCTGTTGCTTTTATTTCAGTGTTTCTTTAAAAAATGTAATGTGTACCCTGGGGGTCTGATTAAAATGCAGATTTTGATTCTGTGGGGCTTAAAACTTTGCATTTCCAACATTCTTTCTGGTCAGCAGATGTTACTGGTTTTCTGACCCAATGCCACTTTGAGTAGCAAGATTCCATACTACACATGTTCTCAATAAGAAACATTTACTAACACTTGTATTGGCTTCTTTTCTTGAGATATTTTTGGAATTAATCAGACTTGTTTTCTGTATCCTTTGTTTACTTTTGAAATAACCTGCATTTAAATCTCTGGCAGGTTAATTATCAAATTGCTATGCTGCTCTTACAGGAGTCAGATTACTCTAGTTAAGACCTACTGAATAGGGATCTCTGACAGTGGGGTTCTGAAATCTGTATCTATAAAAAATTCCAAAAGTTTTTACAATGTTTAACAATATTTGAGATCCAAGATATTAAAAGAGCCACCTCTTATATGAGCTAGAATAATTGGTATTTGTGTGTTTGGAGGAAAATAAACAAATACGCCTTCTGATCTATGAACCTCTATTTATTCCTATTTATTTTCATTTGTTTTATCCAATAACAAGGTTGTTTTCCAAATTGAAAACAATCTCTTAACACAAACAAAAATCTTTCTTATGTTATAGTCATCCAACTTACTCTACAACATAGTCATTATATTTTGTTTATAACTAATTGCATTCTTATGCTTTAGAAGCTCTTAACAACATACTTGAGTGAACAAGTAATAAAGTCTTCCACACCTGCCTAATAGCCACAGCTATTTTACTCATTGTCAAGTGGTAAAAGTGATTTCTCTACCCAGTCCCAAGGTAATGCTCTCCAGAGTACCCTTGTGATAAGCCTGGTTGTTATACATAGTGTAACTATAGTAGCATTTGGATTTTGCTATCATGTTATTTAAAGAAAACCCTCAGGATCTATAGATTAGCTTCAAAATATTATACAGTATTTCTCTCAAAGAAATCCGCTAAAGATGATGAGTTCCGTACTCTGATTATCAAGCCAGAAAAAGATAACAATAGAAGCCTCCAAGCAGAATTGTCATAATTTAAACACTTCTTTTTGTTAAACTTCAAAGTCCCAGATAACATACTCAAATTTCATTTACTTTCCAAATTTCAATATTCCAAATATGAAAAGCAATAGAAAGGTTTTTGAAAGAAGGAATATTTTATTTTTATATAGTAGATGATATCCACATATAATTTTTTTAACAATTGAGGCATTATGACATATTAAAAGACATACATCAGTACTATAGTATTTCCACTGAAAGATGGCCTAGTATAGCCTTAAGTTCTCATTTTCTTAAACCTAAAATGGAATTAAAGCAGATTGGCAACCAACTTATAGTTTCTTTCACTGAGCTCTTTTATGGCTAGTGTCATTTTAAAGCAGATGGCTGTTGCTCTCACTGTGAGCCCCAAAGCGTCAATTGTAATTAAGAACTTTATTTGGAATACATTTGTCAGTTTATTCAAGGCAAATAATGTTGTTCACTGTGAAAATTTTAAAATAAGAGTACAATTATAATTATCAATTTTATTTTAAGGAAATGTTTACTTCAAGAAATTTCTAGTGAAATATACCTTATCAAATTAAATTATTATCATACTGCAATATTTATTGAATGTTTAATATATGCCAGACACTATTCATAGAATATTTCACGAATTATCTCACTTAATTTTCACAATTCTGGGAAGTGTAGTATTTTAATGCCCATTTGACCAATAAGACAATTGAGTCACAGAGAAGTTGTTACTTACCTGATGCCAGATCCGAATGTTTTTCTTCCCTCCAAATTCATCTGTTGGAAACCTAGTCACCAATGTGATGTGTTATGTAGAACTTTTGTGAGGTGACTAAATTATGAGTCTGGAGCCTTCATGGATAGGAATAGAGACCTCATAAAAGCGGCCCCAAAGATCTGCCTTTCCACTTCTACCAATTGAAGACACAGAGAGATCCTTCTGTATACCCGGAAACTAGACATCACCAGACACCAAATCTATCTTTTGGACATAGTAACTTGAATGAACTAAGACAAAATCAGTACTAAGAAGAGGGAGTGTTGATGTAACAAAGACCTAAAAATGTGGAGACAATTTTGAAACTGGGAAAAGGGCGAGTGACCATGACAAATGACATAACCTGTGTGGCTTATAACAGGAGAATTTTATTTCACAAAGTCTTGGCTACTTCCTCTTATTATACTGGATGTTGTGTTGTGCTTTTAACATTCTTGAAATTAGGAGCAAATCAATGTCAGTTTCACAGTTCTGGAGGCTGAGAAATCCAAAATGATTTTGAAATGAGTGCTAGAAAGTCTTATGTTGCTTTGAACAGACTGTTAAGGGCTATTCTGGTGAGGGATCAGAAAGAGGAGAGTTGTAGAGAAAGCTGCAATGCTTTTAAAGAATATCCAAGGGGCCATGAACAGAGTGTTGATAGAAATATGGACAATAAAGACTATTCTAATGAGGTCTTAAATGGAAATGGAGAACATATTATTAAAAAATGGAGGAAGGGTGATCTTTCTTATAAAGTTGCAAATAAATTGACTTGGTGTCCTTTATGTTTTGTGAAAGGTAGAACATGTGAGCAATGAAATAGGATATTTGGCAGAAGAAATTTCTACTAAAGTGTTAAAGGGGTGCTTTGGCTTCTTTTAAATGTTTACAGTAAAGTGAGAGAGAGAAGATAGAATTAATTTAAAGATGAAATTTTTAATCAAAAGGGAAACAGGGATGGGCATGATGGCTCATGCCTGTAATTCCAGCACTCTGGGAGGCCAAGGCAGGTGGGTGACTTGAGGCCAGGAGTTTGAGATTAGCCTGGGCAACATGGTGAAACCCTGTCTCTTATTAAAATACAAAAATTAGCCAGGTGTGGTGGTGCTTGCCTGTAATCCCAGCTACTTGGGAGGCTGAAGCACAAGAATCACTTAAACCTGGGAGGTAAAATTTGCAGTGAGCCAAGATTGCACCAATGCTCTCCAGCCTGGGTGACAGAGTGAGATTCTTTCTCAAAAAGAGAGAAAGAAAGAAATTGGAAACAGAACTTAAAAATTTAAAAAATATTCTGCCTGTTCATATTGTAAAAAATGAGAAAGAGTGCTTTATAATGAACACCAAGAGTATGGCATTGCAACCATTTAAGTACAGATCTGCGAGGTACTATTTATCAAGATGATGAAAAAATGACCCCAAAGGCATTTCAGAGACCTTCTTTGCTTCCTCTTCCATCAGAGTCCCATTGTATTAGCCAGGACTCTCTAGAGGGAGAGAAGTAATGGACTATATTTGGACAATTTTACTGAGGATGAAGTTCCTTGAATTTTAGTGAGATTTATTTCCCATCCTCTGGCACACAAATGTCTCACCAGTAAGCCCAGTGTGTTCGCTACTTATAGTATACTTTATATATATTATATATACTATATAGTATTACATATACTATAAATTATATTTATTATATATAATATATATTATATATATGGGAGTTTATTAAGTATAAACTCACACAACCACAAGGTCCCATAATAGGTTGTCTGTTGGGCTGAGAAGAAAGGAGAGCCAGTCCAAATTCCAAAACTGAAGGACTTGGAGTCTGATATGTGAGGGAAGAAAGCATCCAGCATGGGAGAAAGATATAAGCTGGGAGGCTAGGCCAGTCTCTTTTTCCACAGTTTTCTGCCTTCTTATATTGTAGCCTCACTGGCAGCTGATTAGATTGTGCCCACCTAATTTAAGGGTGAGTTTCCTTTCCTAGTCCACTAACTCAAATGTTAATCTCCTTTGGCAAAACCCTCACAGACACACCCAGGATCAATACTTTGTATCCTTCAATCCAACTAAGTTAACATTCAGTATTAACCATCAGAAGTCCACCCCTTGTCAACTTGAACCCATACACATCTCCTGAGATCAGATATAATCATCGAATAAAGACAATAACAAGGTCATAATTACATCTAACATAGCACAACTATCCTTCATACAGCCGGAAGAGAACCAGTCCTCAACCCAAATACTACTACATAACGTTAACGATACTTAAATGTTGATATGAAGTCAATAAATCTTATGTCACATGATAAAAGAAAAAGAAAAGAAAATGAAGTTTCTTTCTAGTGCAAGTGTATACATGCACAAATATGTTTTTAATAAAAGAAGGAGAAAATACTCATGACAATTACATTCCTCATTTCTGCAGCTGGTCCTGTGGTCATAGCTGGTATTGATGACTACCTTCTACTACCCATACCTTCTACTTACTTACGTACCTTCTACTGTATTCCATTTGGCTTCAGCAAGCACCTCAGCAGGTCATGTTTTTTGTTTTGTTTTGTTTTCCTTGTGGAGTGACCCAAACCTTCATTCCTGAAGGGTCTGGGTCATTTGTAGCCCTGCCTGGATTGGGCTGTTGTAGTTTCCCATTGACTTTAATCACAGGGCATGGCAATACTAAGAGAACCCCTAATGGATCCCCTGTATTCCATTCATACTCTTCCTTACCTCCAATGTGGAGTAGTAGATTGATTTCATCTTGATAATTCAGGTCAATTACCCCAGACAACACGGTAACTCCCTTCTTAGACTGTTGACTTAAAGGTAGGAAAAGCCCAAAGTGTCCAGGTGGCAATCTTAACTACCAGTTTAATGGAATCATTGTTGTGTCTCCTGGTGGCAGTGTTCTTCCCTCTGGAATGAATACCTCTAGGACAGCAGAACTTAATGTTGCAGGAATAGGAAGCAAAAAGTTTGAATCACTGGAAGTGTAGCGAATGCTGCTGCTTCCACTTCCACCTTTTGATTCCTGGACCTGTGAATCCTGGCTATGGGAGAAACAGTACCATATGTTGGATGTTCATTCATAGCATACACAGCTTTCTGGAGAACTTTGCCCCAGCCCTGAAAAGAATTGTCACCTAGTTGGCGTTGTAATTGTGACTTTAAAAGGCCATTCCACCATTCTATGAATCCAGTTGCTTCAGTATAATAGGGAACATGGTAAGACCAGTGAATTTCATGAGCATGTACTTACTGCCACACTTCTTTAGCAGTAAAGTGAGTGAGTGCCTTAGTCAGATGCAATGCTGTGTGGTATACCATGACGGTGGGTAAGGCATTCCGTGAGTCCATGGATGGTAGCCTTGGCAGAAGCATTGTAAGCAGGATAGGCAAAATCATATCAGGAGTAAGTGTCTCCTCCGGTGAGGATAAACTTCTGCCCTTTCCATGATGGAAGAGGTCCAATATAATTAACGTGCCACCAGGGAGCTGGTTGATCACCCTGAGGAATGGTGCCATATTGAAGGCTCAGTGTTGGTCTCTGCTGCTGGCAAATTGGGCACTCAGCAGTGGATATAGGCAGGTCAGCCTTGGTGAGTGGAAGTCCATGTTGCTGAGCCCATGTGTAACCTCCATCCATGCCACCATGGCCACTTTGTTTATGAGTCCCTTGGCATGGCTGTGGAAAGTTGCTGAGTGGTGTCCATAGATGGGACATCCTATCCACTTGATTGTTAAAATCCTCCTCTGCTGGGATCACCCACTGGTGAGCACTCACATGGGATACAAATATCTTCACAGTTTTTTACCACTTAGAAAGGTCCATCCACATACTTCTTCCCTAAATGTCTTTGTCACCAATTTTCCAATCATGCTTCTTTCAAGTCCCTGACCATCCAGTCAAACCGTTGGCTACAGCCCATGAATCAGTATATAATTTTACATCTGGCCATTTCTCCCTCCATCCAAAGTGCACACCAGGTGCACTCCTCGAAGTTCTGCCCACTGGGAAGATTTCTCTTCGTGGCTGCACTTCAGGGATATCCTAGAAAAGGGCTGTAGTGCTGCAGCTGTTCATTTTCAGGTGATGCCTGTATATCCTGCAGAAGCCTCTGTGAACCAGGCCCTAGCCTTCTCTTCCTCTGTCAACTGACAGAACTCCCCATGATATCATCCATGCAGGCTGGGGGAGAGAAGGCAGGGTGATAAGAATGGAGACCATGGGCATTGGAGCCATTTTCTCATGTAACTCACTTGTGCCTTCTGGACCTGCTTGAGCCCACTCACGTATATATCACTTCCATTTGATAATGGAATGCTGCTTTGCACTACCCACTTTATGGCTTGGTGTGTCAGGAAGCAACCTGTTTGTGATAGGCAGTTCAGGTTGCATGGTGACTTAATGACCCATAGTCAAACCGTCAGTTTCTACCAAAGCCCAGGAGCTGTCTCTCAAAGGAGAGTAGTTATCTGCAGAAGTCGGCAGAGCCTTGCTCCAAAATTTTAGAGGCTTCCACTGTGATTCACCTATGGGGGCCTGGAAAAGCCTCTAAACAGTATCCCTATCTGTGACTGACATCTCAAGCACCATTGGATCTTCTGGGTCATATGGCCCAAGTGGCAGAGCACCTTGAACAGCAACCTGGGACTGTTGCAGAGCCTTCTCCTGTTCCGGACCCCACTCAAAACTGGCAGCCTTTCAGGTGACTCGATAAATGGGCTGGAGTAACACACCCAAATGAGAAATGTGTTGCCTCCAAAATCCAAATAGGCTCCCTTGGTGTTGTGCCTCTTTCTTGGTTGAAGGACGGGCCAAATGCAGCAATTTATCCTGCATCTTAGAAAGAATATCTCGACAGGACCCACACCACTAAACCCTTAGAAATTTTACTGAAGTTGAAGTTACCTGAATTTTAGTCAGATTTATTTTCCATCCTCTGGCAAACAAATGTCTTATCAATAAGCCTAGTATGATTGCTACTTCTTGCTCACTGGATCCAATCAGCATAATGTCATCAATGTAATAAACCAGTGTGATATTCTTGCAGAAATGAAAAGCGATCAAGATCTCTCTGAATAAGATTATGACACAAAGCTGGAGAGTTGATATACCCCTGAGATAGGACAGTAAAGGTATATTATTGACCTTGCCAGCAGAAGGCATATTGCTTCTGGTGGGTCTTATGGACAGGAATGGAGAAAAAGGTATTTCCCAAGTCAATGGCTGCATACCAGGTACCAGGAAATGTATTAATTTGTTCAAGCAACGAAACCACATCTGGTATAGCAGGTACAATTGGAGTCAACACTTGGTTAAGCTTACAATAGTCCACCATCATTCTCCAAAATCCCTCTTTCTTCTGTACAGGCCAAATGGGAGAGTTAAACAGGGATGTGATAGGAATCACCACCTCTGCATCTTTCAAGTCCTTGATGGTTGCACTAATCTCTGCAGTCTCTCCAGGGATGTAATATTGTTTTGGATTTACTAGTTTTTTAGGTAGAGGCAGCTCTAATGGCTTCCATTTGGCCTTTCCCACCATAACAACCCTCATCTTACCAGTCAGGAGCCAATCTGGGGGTTCTGCCAGCTGCTAAGTATGTCTATGCCAATAATGCATTCTAGCACTGGGGAAATAACCACAGGATGAGTTCAGGTACCCACTGGACGCACTCTAAATCAAACCTGAGCTAAAACTCCATTAATTACCTGACCCCATAAGCCCCTACTTCAACTGGAAGATGACGTCTTCCAGAAACGTCAACTGGAATGATGTTTTGGGCTCCCTGGAATCAATGTCATCTTAGAGCCAGTGTCCAGCAGTCCTTGAAATGTCTGATCATTTCCCTTTCCCCAGCGCACAGTTACCCTGGTAAAAGGCCAGAGGTCTGCTTGGGGAAGGATGGGAGAAAGTCTCATTGCATAAATTGTCAGTAATGTAATGGAGTCATAAAAGGGGTTCTGGGTCTGTAAACTAGCTCAAGTCTGGAAATTGATTGAGGGGCCATGATTCTCCATTTTTATAATTAGAAAAATTCAGTTTTTATAATTAGTTATATATAATTAGTTTTTAAATATAATATATAATTAGTTTATAATACTCAGTTTTTATAATTAGCCTTTTGTCCATTCAACCTAGAAGTCTTCTGCTTATGTAAATTAAGTAGAAATGCAGTAGGCATCCTATCAATTTCACTTCTAGGAAACCGTGATTAATTAGCCAATGCCAGAGCTGTATATGAGTCAAACTATTCTTATTCCCACTTTCCATTACTATCCATTACAGCAGCTACTCCCACCTTGCCTTTGATAGTTGTGCCACCGGTTGACCCCTGCCACCTTGGGATCCAATTATTCCCATTGTATTTAAATTTTGTAGTTGAGTGACTGCAGTTCCCACCGTTAGATCTGACATACAGAGAAGAGCAATTACAGGCCTCTTCAAAGATGCAGGTGCTGCCCTAACAAATCTATTTCTCAAAGCATTGGTCAGGGGGTTATCTTCTGAACCCTCCCAGCTGGGATGAATATGCCTAAAGTCACTAATCCACTCCACCATCCAAATCTCCCTAAGACTTTAGGTCCCTTCCTCTACATTAAACCAAGGGAGATCAGGCATTTCCAGCTTACTCACAGTGGGCTATCTTTTAATCCATATTTCAGCAAACCAAGCAAATAAACTATTAGAACCTCTTTTAATTCCCTGAGCTGCAACATTAAAAGCAGAGTCCCTACTTAGTGGGCTCAAATCAACAAATTCAGCATGATCCAACTCTATGTTCCTTCCACCATTATCCCACACCCTTAATATCCATTCCTATCCCTGTACTCCAAATTTCTGTTTATATAAATTGGAAAACTTAAGCAGTTCTTTTCGAGTGTAGCACACCTTCTCCTGGGTCACACTCTCAACCTTACCTCTAGGGACCCACCAGGACTTCATTTATAGGTCTGGAAGCAAACAGGGGTGTTGGGAATGGCTCCTGAGGAGAATCAACATTATCTTGCCTGGCAACTGCCTTAGGAGAGGCCATCACTGTTGCCTCAGGCAGTGCAGGGCTTATCGCCTCAGACAAATGTGGAAAGGCTGATGGCAGCATGGGTTGGGGAGTGGTTGTTGCCACTACTGGGGATGGGGAAGCTGTTTCTTCTGGCAAAAAAAGGTTCATCAGAGTTTACCAACTCACTGTCCCCACCTTCATAAGGGTCCTCCTACACATCCTCATTCCAAATTCCAAAGTCCCATTCTTTTCCAATCCATGCACTCGCTTTAACAGTAGACACCTGGCGAGGCACTGCATGCATCTTTCATTGCAGATCTGCCACTCCCATGATAAGAGCTTGTGTCTGTTTTTCCACAATTTCTGTTTTTTCCCTACAGGAGATAAGACTCTCACTCAGGGCAGTCTTAGCAGATTTGAGGCTCAGTATCTGCTTCTGAAACTGGGAGATAGAATCCCTGAGTTCATGATTACCTTTCAACACTTTGTCAACTGAACTTAGGAGCAACCAACCAGATTTAATACGTTCCTTGGTTCTCCACATATGGTCGAAGGTATTATGTACAGAGTCCCTAAATTCCTTGCCTCTCACAAGTGATGAATCAGGAATGTCAAATGCATTTATTTTGCATAACTCTCTAAACAGTTTATGCCAAGGACTATCAGTGTTCTCCATACTATTAGAAGTAGAGTCTTTAACAGTTTGGTGTTTAATTATATTAAGCATCCAACTGCAGGAACCCCAATACCAACAAAAGAACTCCATCTTTAATATTTTGTTCCTGTAGAACCACTCCTTTGTTCAAAATCTGTAATATTCAGGGTTATCGAGAGGACAGAACTAATGGTTTGTCTACTACATATATATCAGTTAATACTTAAACTCCTCTTTACACATATATATACATATATGTGTGTGTATATATATTTATATATATTTGTATATATATTTATATGTATTTATATATATTTATATGTATTTATATATATTTATATGTATTTATATACGTTTATATATATTTATAAGTTTTTATATGTATTTATATATATTTATATGTATTTATACATATATTTATATGTATTTATATATTTACATATATTCATATGTATTTATATATTTATATATATTTATATGTATTTATAGGTATTTATATATTATATATATATTTATATATATTTATTTATATATTATATATATATTTATATATATATTTATATATATTCATATATATTAATATATATTCATATATATTGATATATATTTATATATATTCATATATATTGATATATATTTATATATTTATATTTATATATATTTATTTATATATATTTATATATATTTATACATATTTATATAGATTTATATATATTTATACCTATTTATATATATTTATATATATTTATATATTTATTTATATATTTATATATTCTTATATATATTTATATATATGTATATTTATATATATTTATATATATTTCTATATTTATATATACATATATTTACATATATATTTATATATATTTATATATATTTACATATATTCATACATATATTTATATATTTATATATGTAAATATATTTATACATATATTTATATATATTTATGTATATAGATTTATATATATTTATGTATATAGATTTATATATTTATATATATTTGTATATATTTATATATATTTATATATATTTATATATATTTATATGTATATATATTTATATATATTTATATATTTATATATTTATATATATATTTATATACTCATATATTTTTATATTCATATATTTATATATATTTATATATTCATATATTTATATATACTTATATATTCATATATTTATATATTTATATATTCCTATATATTTATATATTCATATATTTATATATATTCATATATATTTATTTTTTATATATTTATATATACTTATATTTATAGATATTTATATATTTATATTTATATATATATTTATATATTTATATTTATATATATATTTATATATTTATATATTTATATTTATATATATATTTATATATTTATATTTATATATATATTTATATATTTATATTTATATTTATATATTTATACATTTATATATATTCATATATATTATTTATATATTTATATATTTTCATATATATTTATATATATTCATATATTTATATAGATTCATATATATTCATATATATATTCATATATATTTATATATTTATATATTCATATATTTTCATATATGTTTACATATATTTATATATATTTTTATATATATTTATATAGTTATATATATTTTATATATTTTTATATATTTTTATATATTTGTATATTTATAGATATTTATATATTTATATATATATTTATATGTATATTTATATATTTATGTATATTTATATATATTTATATTTTTATATATTTATATATATTTTATACATATATAATGGGGAGTTTATTAAGTATTAATTTACATTATCACAAGGTCCTCGCATAGACTGTCTGCAGGCTGAGGAACAAGGAGAACCAATCTGAGTTCCAAAACTGAAGAACTTGGTGTCCAATGTTCGTTCGAAGGCAAGGAGCATCCAGCACAAGAAAAAGATGTACACTAAGAGGCTAGGCCAGCTTCTCTTTTCATATTTTTCTGCCTGCTTATATTGTAGTCTCACAGCCAGCTGATTAGATTTTGTCCACCCAGCTTAAGGGTGGGTCTGCCTTCCCCAGCCCATGGACTCAAATGTTAATATCCTTTGGCAACCCACTCACAAATACACTGTGGATCAATATTTTGTATTTTTCAATCCAATCAAGTTGACACTCAGTATTAAACATCACACCCAGAAAGCAAGGGCATTGGGGGCTGAACAATTTCAAAGGAGGGGCCGGAGAGGACACCCACAAGAACTTGACATTCACTGCCTGGTATCACCTCATTGCTCTGCTCCAAGCCTTACAGAGCAGCACTCTCCAGCTGTGTCAGGTTCAGTTCCAGCAGGCCTAAATGTCACATAGGGGCTACAAGTGGTAAACCTTGGCAGTGTTCAAACAATACCATCTCTGTTGGCTCACAAAGTGTTGAGACTCATGGTGGTTCTGCTACCTCCACCTGCATTTTGAATTATGAAACCATGAAGGGACACAGGCAGAAGACTCTGTCAGAGGATTACAGTACGGTGGTGCTGCTGTAGAGGATCTCCAATTAGAAAGATAATAGGTCTCAAGGATCTAGAACTAGAAATACCACTTGAACGAGCCATCCCATTACTGGGTATATGTCCAAAGGACTATAAATCATGCTGCTATAAAGACGCATGCACAAGTATGTTTATTGCAGCACTATTCACAATAGCAAAACGACTTGGAACCAACCCAAATGTCCATTAATGATAGACTGGATTAAGAAAACGTGGCACATACACACTATGGAATACTTTGCAGCCATAAAAAAGGATGAGTTCATGTCCTTCATAGGGACATGGATGAAGCTGGAAACCATCATTCTCAGCAAACTATGGCAAGGACAAAAAACCAAACACCGCATGTTCTCACTCATAGGTGGGAATTGAACAATGAGAACACTTGGACACAGGAAGGGGAACATCACACACCGGGGCCTGTTGATGTATGGGGGAGGGAGGGATAGCATTAGGAGATATACCTAATGTAAATGACGAGTTAATGGGTGCAGCACACCAACATGGCACATGTATACATATGTAACAAACCTGCATGTTGTGCACATGTACCCTAGAACTTAAAGTATAATAATAAAAAAAAGAAAACGTGTCTACAAAAAAACCAACACACACACACACACAAAAAAAAAAAAGAAAAAAAAAAAGAAAGAAAGATAATAGGTCTCCAATAGGGAAATGTCTAGTAGAGCCAAGGAGGCAGGGCCACTCCAGAAACCCCAGACTGGTGGAGACACAGATGTGCAATTCTAGCCTGGGGGAGCCACAGGCACCTGATTACTCCCTGTGAAAGCTTGGGTGTGAGCTGTGCCCAGTGAAGCTATGGGTGTAAGGTTTTCCAGAGTCTTGGGGTGCCAACAGCTTCCCCAGGATGTCCAGAAGGCAAAGTATCAAAGTTTCAAGTCAAGCCTTAATGTTTTGGACCTGCCCAGAATCTCTAATCCTTCTTTCTATCCTGATTCTCGCTTTTGGAATGGGAATGTCTATCCTATGCTTGTCTCCGTATTGTATTTTGGAATCACATAACATGGTTGATTTCATAGTTTCACAGATAAAGGGAATTTTGCCTCAGAATGAATTGTACCTTGAGTCTCATCCATATATTATTTAAATGCTTTAAATGATATTAGATGAGACTTTGACTTAGACTTTTGAGATATGAGTTAAGATTTGAGGAGCTATTGGGATAAAATGAGTGTGTTTTGCATGTGAGAAGGGCATGAATTTTGAAGAGATCAGAAGTTGAATGGTATGGTCTAAATGTGTTCTCCCAAACTTTGTATGTTGAAAACCTAATTACCAATGTGATGGTAGTAGATAGAGCTGTTGGGAATTGATTATATCCCGAGAGCAGAGCGCTCATAAGTGAGATTAGTGTCCCTATTAAAGAGAACCCAGAGAGCTGTCCCTTCCACAATGTGAGGACAGAGAGAAGGCATCATCTATCAAGCAGGAAATGGACCCGCACTGGACACCCAATCTGCTGACACTTTGATCTTGAACATCGCAGCTTCCAAAACTGTGAGAAGTAAATTTCTGTTGTTTATAAGCCCCTTTGTTTATGGTATTTTTATAACAGCCTGAATAGACCAAGACACCTGAATTCCTAGAAAATAAGAGCAAACTTTCTAAGCTCTCGAATCCTTGTCATTAACTACTATCTTCCATAAGCTCCCTATTTGTAGCCAAAGGGTCACGACAGTGATAAAATCATATGAAGAAATAAATGTGTAAAGATACAGTTAGTAAAAAAATGTTTGGTCATTAAAGTGATAAAATTTTAGTGTAACTCCAAGTGAGAACAGCCTTTCTCAAAATTATTTATCACAACATTTTTTTTTCCTACAGAGCACAGGATACTGAGTATTCCATTTTACATGGTTTGAGAAATTCTGCCCAGAATCATGGGAAGAAAAATAAATAATAGGCAAATTTAAGACACATCCTGGAATTATATATAGCAGTTTGAAAATAGACTGAATATGAAGGATGAATAAGAATTAGGGATGTGATTCCTATGGTTTTGGTTTGAGATGGTAACAGGATATATATATATATATATATATATATATATATATATATATATATATGTATATACACACACACAACACATATGTATGTGTATACATATAAGTATATGTATACACACATTACGTTTTATGTAATACACAACATTTAAATCAAAGAGATTGAAATCATCCTGGAAGAGGGAATGGATAGAGAAGAGGTAAGAGTCTAACATGGTAGCAGAGGAAGTACAAACAAAACAAAATTTTGAATACAAATATTCAGTTACATAAGAGGAAAATCAACAGAGTATTAAGAAAAGAAAAAGTCTTTGTAATTAAGAGTGTTATAACCTGTATTAAATGCTGTTGAAAACTTAACTGGCTAAAAAAGAAGCATATACAGTAATTAGAAACATGGAAGATTCTCATAACTCTAAGAACATAGTGACTAGAAGAAAAGGTAAACATATTCAATTGCTTATTTACTGATATTTTCACAATCAATAAATATTGTAAGGACAGGATTCCATGACCTACAGACAGAACATGAAGTCAAACTGCTAATAGTTTATTTTATTTTATTTCTAATGAAGGAGTGTCTAAAAGAAGTCATGTTTTTATTTTTATGTACAAAGTAAGCATATATAATTATTTTCCTACAAATTTATAACATACAAACTACTAATTTGGTATTGAATAACTTATTAACAGAAGAGCTGTAAGAATTCTGATTTAAATACTGCTTCAGAGGAATTAATATCTCAAAGTGCCATACTAATATTAAGAAAATATATTCTATAAAATGTACGTTATGTCATATTTATTAACTAAATTTTTATTTCCATGAATATACATCAGCAAATATATTTTAGCACTTTGATTAAATCATAAAGAAAGATTAATGAAATGACTTTTAGTTTTGGTTACCAGTGTCTAAATCTTTAGACTCTTGTTCAGTGGATTCTAGAGTACAGACTAGTCATCTTTAAATACAAATTCCTCAGGTCTTCTGATATACACCAAACTTTGAGATTTGTTTTTGTTAATTTAATCCAAATAAATAGCAATAATGTAAAAACATTTTCTTCTTTAATGTTCAATATGGCTATTCAGAAAAATTCACCTAAATGTAAAATGTCAGGGCTACAGAAGATACTTAGTAATTATTTAATTGGGTCTTTAATTAATTAGAAACATTGCCTAGCTTCCTAATCTAATCATGATCCTACAGGCTCCATGGAGACTCACTGACATAATACATAAGATTTGAATCTTTAAGGCACATTTATAAAACAACTCTAAGGTTCTGATAAAATCTTCCCTCCTAACATTTATATATTTCCAACATGCTATATACAAGCAGTTCATCTTACTGGTACCTGAGCAGCTGGAGCTCTAAGATTTACATCTTGATACCTTCAGTTATCTCCATCTTTGTTCCTCTAATTCTGGCTACACATAATCTCATTCTTTATATTTCACTTTCTCATGTTTGCTGATTATTCATGGCTTTTGATGATATGTGGCTTGCATTGCCGATGATGTTTGTGAATTGCTTTTCTGTGTGTTTTATCTTTTAGTGTCGACTTATTTATGAACAATAAAAGCATGACTGGCCCAAATCATTACTGCTGTTATTTGGGGAGATATTTCTTTCCTCTTAATCCCTTATTGGTTGATATTTATTCTGTATTCCACTCAGCTGTGACTAGGGAGATGATTTACATGTCAGGCAACATAGTCATTTATCCATAAAAGAAAAAAACAAAACAAACAAACAAAAAACACTGTTAGGCAATTTCCTCAACGGCAGCTGGTGGGTGACATACATAGTTTCCTTCCAAAAGAAAACTGAGGCAATTTGAGATATTTGAGAAAACAACAACAAACAAACAAATGAATAACTTCCCCAGTGTATCAGAACAAATCAATGCTTGAAATTCATTGTAACTCAACAAAACTATGATACCTTTCCTTAAAGATGGATTTATTGTTTAGAATAAGGAATTATATGCCTGTTCATTTATTTAAGATGTAATAAAACCCCAAATCACTATTATCAAATATAAATATGTAAAGTGCTTATCACATAATTTCACATTCTTAATGAGAAATTTCCCTATGTGTAAGGAAAAATCAGCAAAGAAGGGCAGGATATTTTTAAAAAATTCATCAGTTGAGAGATTCAATATAATCACTTATTCAAATTGTCATTACTTTTAAAATAGTATCTATTAAAACCAAGTAGGTATTTTTAATTTATAAATAAGCTGTTGCTGAACAAATTATTTTTTAAAAAGCAGTCATTGAATTCGTATCTAAAAATGAATAACTGAATTAGATTTATAAAATTAGAATTATAAAATTTGTATATTTGAACTTATTTAAGAAGGCAAAAGATTATTGCAGAATGAGTCCTTAATCTGTGTCTTTTTTCCTTCTTAACATTACAGATAGAATTAATTTTAAAGTTTTGGTATATAACAACGCCATTTTCACATATATATGCTTTCATAAAGTTCTAAACCAAAAAAATAGCTGTTAATTAGTTTTGCTTTTAGTGTTAGCCATAAACTTTTCAATTTTCAATTACTTCAAACATCTCATAAGTTAAAAACAATTCATTTTGGCAGTAGCTATATTTGAACAAGCCATATATTTGATCAAGAAATAAATTCATAATGAGTTGAAGCTGAAGTTTTGTAACTTAACTATCTAGCATATATTAAAATCTCTAAAAGTCATTTTGTCAACTATAAGTTAATTTCTTCTTTAATAAGAAAATTGTAGTGTCGCTTTCTGACCATGAGTTTTATAACACAATATGTTCAGTGATTAGTTTCTTCATTTAAAACTGTTACATTTGGAGTAATTTCATCACCAATATAGTAATTTCTTAAATTGAATATGTGAACCAACTGCTAATTTTGAGAAATGAAAAATGAAAAAAAAAAAGCCTGTTTTTAAGTCTTACAAAGAGCATCTCATTTAATGTGAATGTTCTAGTTGAGAAACCAAAAACACCCTGCCTCATACTATTCGTCTTTTCCTCTTTCACATTGAATGTTCCATAAGTTACGGGGGTACTGCCTGATTTTCAATCACACACGTGAATTTCTACTTCTGCTAATAGGTCCTGGAGAGAAAATCTGCTTTCCTTCGCTCATTATCCCTGTTGCCTCTTACTTAATTCTCTAAATATCAGTTACAAGGCAGAATTTATTTTGTTCAATGTCATTTTACCTTCCTGTCCCTTGATATAAATGTCCAAGTAACTTTGGGCTAGCTTATTAAAATTTTCATTAGCCTTAAAATTATATTTCAAATTAATGAACATTTTTCATACTACACACTAACATATACTGGATACTTATAGTGAATGAAGAAATAATTGGCAATTGGTTACAACTAGCACCATTAACTCCAATTTTCTAATTCCTGCTCTTCAGACAGAATACTTTCAGGATCCTGACATTCTTTCACATGGACTAAATATGCTGGCAGGATATGTTACATAAATTCCCCTTTAAAACTGCAGTGTAATTGTCTTTCAACCTATGCAAAGCCTGGCCATGGAGTGCTGAACCTACTTTATGCCAACAACTTGAATAGTTTAGTAACATTTCACAGCTGAGATCTTTATAGTACTTTCTTTTCACTACTACACATTTTCAATAGGGCAAGTCAGCTTCTCAGGAGTCATTTTTCTCCAAAATCTTACATCAGAAGCAGGAGATTAGTTACCCCTAATATCTGATAGAAAAGCAGATTGATAGTTAAAATTCTATTAACTCAATGCTTCATTTTAATTATAGGAACACGATTTGTAATACTATGGAAATCAAAACTATCTCTAGCAGTTTTCAATGGTACAAAGTTTTTATTGATTCATTATAAGCTATAAGTACATAAGAAAAATTTATCTTGTATCCCCAGAACCTAAGAAAGGAATTTGGAACATATTAGTCAAATATTATTAAATGAATTTCTAAATTAATGGTATATTTAAACAAAAGCATATCTAACCATGAAGCCTAAATAGAGTCAAAGTAAGTTTCTCATCTTTCTTAATCACTTTTTCTTTTCCCCTAAAGAAAGATAAACTTAATAATAATGCTTAAATCTCTCAACTCTAAGTAGACATTTTCATCATCTGTTTTGGATATCTTTCAAGGATATGTTTTATGTATATTTATACACGTACATCAGGTATATGTTTCGAGTATATATAAGAATAATCTTTGTCAGAACTTTTTAAAAAATATAATCATGAGCTTATAATTTTTTAATTTTAGATATGTACTTTTTTTAGATTAAATCCATGGAATATTTTATTTTTAATCCAGGAAACTGACTATTAAAATACATTAGGATAGAAGTTTCTGTGTTAACTTCAATATTTAAAAAGCTTGGAAGTCATTGTTCTAATTCTTGGGAGAAAAAAACTGGACAAACTGACAATCAACAATTGCTCTTGGCCCTGTCTGAGAACTGACTGAGCAAGTGGAAAACTGCCATCCTGAAATCTGCAGCGACAAGCAAATCCAGAGAGACACAGTCCAGATCTGCTTAACATGGATCAGAAACCACTGGAGCCATAGATTTATAAGAACAGTTAAATGTTAATTTTGACTAATTACTTGAGACTAAGTGTGGTCTACCTGATGGTAAGAAACCCCTCGGCTCCAATCCTTGAGCTTTACATCCGACGAATATCATTAGGGTCTCACAGTAAAGAATTGAGGGTTATAAAACTATTTTCTATTATACTGAATTGGTGAATACATGACATTTAGCATTTATTAAAACCCATAGAAATTTAAAACAATTAATGTTAATGTATGAAAGGTTTTAAAAAATGTAAATCAGGATATCTGTTAATTCCAAGATCATTAATGCAAGATGTGAGGAAAGAAGCTACATGTATTACAAATGTATGAAACAACCTCCCTGAAGCAGGTGGGAGAATAAGGTACTGACCTAAGTAATTTTGGAAATGAATCATATCCCTAAAACTGAAGGAAAAAGAACTGTACTTAAGCACTGTACTCTAGTCGATATATTAGCTCCCCATGGAGGTACAGGTTGATAATTTTGAAGGCACTAATATCCTGTGAATGAAAAAATACACAAATGGATGGCAGATGGTAGAAACCAGGGATTTTACTTTTAAAGTGAGAGTTTACAGATAAGTCATAGAATGTGGCTAAGATGATTCATGTCAGAGAGCTGGTAACATCAATATGAATCTAGGTTTTGCTTAAAATAGACACATACAATTACATATAGGAATATTTGTAGATATGAGCATACGATACAGGTTAGCTTACATACGTGTATCACCCTGCTTGATTAGACTAGAGGGCCTGGAAACTACAATACCAAGTAACAATGAGCCAATGAGCACACTTGGTGCCTGATGGTGGTTTCTAATGTCATTCTCTAGTAAGGGGAATAATGGCTTCCTGGATAAATGGCTGATTTTAGGACTGGGGCAAAAAATATACAAGATAAGCCTGGAGCATCTTGTAGTTACAGAAAGTAAGAGAAGTTAAACATACACACACAATCTTCCACAATAACAAGGTATCCCAAAGAAATACAGGAGGAAACTGGAAAAGATCCCAATGGCTAAAGCTGGAACAATTTTAAAAAACAAAGTAAATAAAGAAGTCTTGTATTATTTCCCAAAGTATAACGAATAAATATCCATGAGTCCAAATGGATATGAATAATTCAATAAATGTATGGGGGAAAATAGAGCAAACTACTGTCCTTTTAAAATTTCCTGAGCTTTCCTTTCTCCCTTCGACTTATCATTGTATCTGCATAATCCAGCGAAGGACCTGGCTTCTAGTAGGCAGTCAATTAATATTAGAAGAATGAAGAACAATTGAATAGACCACTTAAGTCATCTAGCATCCACTTACCTACATGCCAAATTGATGGTTGACATTTATTGGACCTTGCCCAAGTCTCACAAAGGAGATGCGACAAAGAACATTTTCTCATGCATTAATTTCAAAATATTCTCAAAGACATTTAACAGCTGAAAAGACAAAGACAGAGTAGTTCACTTTATTACTACAAGGTTTGGCTAGTTGGATTTCCATTGCATATGTTGAAATATTATTACCTTTATGTAAATAAATTTACTATATATTGCAGGTGTTTATTTTTACAATTGAAAGTCTGAAACACTTAAAAAAATAGGTTTTAGAGGAACATCATTTGTAAGAGAATAAGTGAAAATAACTTTTTGATACAGAAACACTTATGTGTTGAGACTCACTGATAATTCCAAGCTCTCACAGCCTGTCATCTCTCTTGCTTAAACTCTGAATGCTATAACAGGAGGTAACCAGATTATTTTCCCTGTCATTTTTGTGAGATTAAAGAGATATGTCATTTAGGTAAATGCCAGTAGTTGTCCATTCATTTCAAATAATGAAATTGATATGGTTTGCCTGTGTCCCCACCCAAATATCATTTTGAATTGTAATAATCCCCACGTGTCCAGGGATGGACTCTGTGGGAGGTAACTGAATAATGGGAGTGGATTTTTCGTGTGCTGTTCTCCTTATAGTGAGTAAGTCTCAGGAGATCTGATGGTTTTATAAAGCGGAGTTCTCCTGCATATGCTCTCTTGCCTGTCACCATGTAGAAGTCCCTTTGCTCTTCTTTCGTCTTCTGCCGTGATTGTGAGGCCTCCCCAGCCACGTAGAACCGTGAGTCCATTAAACCTCTTTTCTTTGTAAATGACCCAGTCTTGGGTATGTCTTTTTATCAGCAGCATGAGAATGGACTAAAACAGAAATCATACACACACACACACACACACACACACACACACACATTTGTCTTCATGGGGCTAAACACATAGAACCATTGCTAATACTAGTTAAAATAAACTACTTTTGAAATGTAGAAGCAAACTACTTTTCTTTCAGCATTCCGAATATGTCATTCCACTGTCTTCTGGACTCCATTTTTCTTGACAAGAACTTAACCATTAATCATATTGTCAGGTTCCTATTCATGATTACTTGTTTTTCTCTTCTTTTCAAGATTTTCTTTTATAATTTGACTTTGACTAGTTAAATTCTGATTTTGCCTAGCTGTTATTCTCTGTTTTTATCCTAACAGAAGTTCATTGAACTTCTTGAATGTGTAAATTAATGTATTCTTATCAGTTTTGAGAATATTTCAGGCGTTAGTTTTCGAATTATTTTTCTGCTCTCTTCTCTCTCCCATCCTTCTCCTATTTCCATCCCATGCATAGGCACATTTTGTGTGTTTACACAGGTCTCTGAAGCTCTGTTAATTTGTCCTCATCTTTATTTCTAGTTTCTTCAGATTAGATAAGTCCTACTGCTCTGTCTTCAGGTTCACTGGATTTTTTTTTCCTGGCATCCCAAATGAACCATGTAGCCCCTCGAGAAATTTTACTTTTACCCTCAAATTTGTTTTTCATTCCAGAATTTTCATTTGGTCCTTTTTAATAATTTATATCCCTTTTTTGATATTCTCTAATTGTTGATTCTGTTGACACTACACTTCCCATGTTATCTTTATTTCATTAACATTACTTTAGTTCTTTGAATATATTTATAAAACTACTTTGAAGTACTTATTTCTGATAAATTCATCATCTAGGCCAACCCAGTGAAAATTACTATTAACTGCTTCTATTTTGCATAAAGTCACACTTTTATGTTTCTTAGTCCACCTTATAATATTTGTTGAAAAATATATAATGAGGGAGTATTATGTAGTAACTATTGATTCTGATTCTTTTCCCCTCAGAGTTATTATTATTTGCTTAATAACTTCCCTGAAATAAGCCCGTAGAATATGCCTCTGTCACTGTAGGTATTATTTCAAGTCCCTTTTCTGTTTGTTTTGTATTTATTTTTTGTTTATTTACTTATTTTTATATTTGAGCCTGATTTGCTAGGGGACACCTTTGTGTGATACATCTCAATGGTCAGCTTAAATTGGACGGACTTTGTGGTTAAATACATTGAGTCAGTAAGACTTCAATTCTGTGTGTAGGTTAGAAAATGCATTTAATATTCGTCAGTTTTCAGATGTTTCCTGACTCTTACTTTTCACCAGAATTTATTGCATATTTTCTGCTTGTTTGTGTAGTGTTTCAGGCAGCCAGAGATGTGCGGATGGCCTGGAACCCTTTCAGTTTCCAGTGCACGTGTGCACAAAAAGCACCTGAAGAGCTATCAAACTTTTGTATGTCAATCTTATTTCCAGAATCTCCTTATGACATTTCTATCTAGCCTGTTAATCCATTGATTTTTTTTTTTCAGTCAGGACCACTTCAAGTTAGCAGAGTTGCTGTCCTGTTATGTTCATTTGCCACTGATTTCACTACTCTTACTGGGTGCTGCTGATGCAGGTTTTTTACCTTCGTTTCCAACTAAAGTGAGCTACACTGATCTTATTTGAAGTTCAGTCATTTTCATGAATAAATCAATTTGTTCTTTGAGGTATTGCTCCTCACAAGAGGGCATTAGCTGTGGGGGTCTGCCCGCAGACCCTGACCCAAATGACGGATGAATAAAACGTACACTGCCACACAGATATTCTGTTTTGCCAGTCCTGCTGAGTGTCCGACCGCCTGCACACCAAGACAGGTTTGTCACTGAGGCCTGCCCTGAGCAGCTTGCATTCCAGGCATTTATTTAGTATACAATAAACAACAGAAGCTTTGAGTAGACATGCTTGAGGATAATTAACATGGGTAAGAGAGGAGTTCTACCAGTGATTAAAGCTCAGGTACCCCAGTTTAACGTAAATATCTTTAGGGGGCAACATCCTTGGTCGACCTCCCCCAGAGAGGGCCATCTGGCTCAAAGGTTAGTCAGTGGAGGTAGGGTAAACAGACTTAACTGGGGAAATCCCTATTGTCCCTAGTATTTACCCTATGACCTAATGCTTTAAGGTAAGAACCGGCTGCCTTCAGCCTGTTCAATTATTACAAGCTATGTAACTTTTCTGCCTTCCAAAAAGGTTTGTGTCTATTCCCTATAACTTTCCCTAATATTTCCCTTTAATATTTCTGCCACCATCCTGAGTGAATCCCAACAGTTCTTTATGGTTGGTCAACTCTGAGAGTTCAGAAATTGTTATTTGTGACATTTTAATCAAGTTCTATAGTTGTTATTTAGAGACAAAGGATTATTTAAACTCAGCCACACTGGGAAGCCCCCTATACCATATAGTTTTTAAATGACTAATTGACTTTAGAGCACTTTGTACATTAGGACTATTACACTTTTGCCTTTGATGTAGTCTACAAAGAGACACATACATATACAACATAGAAAACCTTCCAATGAACTTATTAATGCACTCAAATTTAATAGTCTTTTTATTGTGTCAAGATTTTAAATTATCATTAAGAAACTACTCTCTCATTTAAAAATATAAGAAATGCAAAACAAGCTTTCTATAAGAAATGATATTGCTTCACCTCTTACATTTTGATATTTGTATTTATCATTGTGAATAGTAAGGTGTATGGATATAACAAACGAGCATGAAAATCTAGAAACTGAACAGAAATAAATATGTACAGATTACTTTCCTTCTCTCTTAGGTCTTTTTTTCTTTATTCTCATTCTGCTTTCCTTATTTCTTTTTTCCTATGCTTCTTGTTAGTTCCCTTTTTGTTTCTGAAAGTATTTTTTTGGTGACAAACAAAACTACCATAAAACAAAATAGCTTAAATAAAACTAAGGCAAAATGAAATGTCAAAACATGCTCTATAAATATATTTATGTAGGAAATGTTATACAAAAATCTCATATGTGACTCTTTAGAAGACCGTGTAATCAAGGTCACAAAACTCATCAGTGGGAAAACAGGCTTTGCAACAGTTAACTGTGATTCCACAAAAGTTTCACAAAACCATTGTGTCTTTAGTATAAAAAGCTGATTATCCTAATAGAAAAACGTAAGTTTGAGGTCAAATGCTAACAACATAAAAATAATATTTTTTTATGAATAAAGCATGTTATATTTTACAGTGTCATCTTAGGAAGAGTAGCTCCATCCAATTTAAATATCTTCTTATTATATTGATTTTTCTTTTGCAAAGATACTTATTTTACAAGACTTTGCCACAGTACATTTTACTCTGCAGATTACTCCTTACAGTGATAACAATCAGGTGAGTTTATCTTTTGGTTTTGGAGGCTATTTTACATTTACATTGCCAATTAACACATAACAAAATTGATTTGAAAATGAATTAGGCAAAGGTATATTTATTAAATTTGTTTATTCATTGTTTTTTGCTGGTGAATAAACAAAAGAAGTTGTGGCTAATGATCAAGGAATTTGCTATTGAAAGAAAATCTTTGTATTAGGAGTAAAAGCAACAAAGGAAAAAAATAACAATTTAAGAATTATTCTAAGTGGTTCTTTCTTGCTAGAAAGATACCTGACCTAATTTGTTTTTTCGGTACATCAATCATTTAAAACTTTAATTAGAATACCTAAAGAGCTATGAGCATTTTCAGTTTATTACAACAAAATAAGATTCACAGGATAGCATGTTAATCAGAAAATTCAATTCATAGTTCATAATATTGTATCATTGCCAAATTATCAAGCTGGTACAAAGATGATAAAATACTACCGTGTCTGATAAAACAAAGAATGTTACTTTACTCATCAAAACAAATTAATTTGCTTTAATAATTTTATAAATGCATATGATGATAAGGGAATTTAAAAATACCTAAGGACTTACATTTTATAAATTGTTTCCTATGTGAAAATATGAAATTGGAAAAACACTTTTTAAAAACCAGTGAATTGTTGTCTGTTTTCCTAGTTATTAAAGTTATTTCTTTGGTAAATTAAAATAGGCAATAGGTTACAAAATAACATTTCATAGATATAAAATATTAAGACATGTATTATTTAAGTTTAAAATGTATTTTATAAAAAAAGTATAGATTCCCTTAATACAAAATGGAGTGTAAGCATTTATTAATATATGATGGCATTATATATCATTTTATATTATGTGCATACAGTAGAATTTAGATACATGTATTGCTTGCAAACTTTTGCAAGAATATAAATGTGTAGGTTTTGCTTTTTGATTGGTTGGTTTGATTTGTTTGTTTGTTTTTTAAGACACGGTCTCAGTCTGTTGCCTAGGCTGGAGCGTAGTGGCACTATCATGGCTCACTGTATCCTTTACCTCCTGGGCTCAAGCATTCCTGTCACCTTAGCCTCCAGAGTAGCTGGGACTATAGGTGCACACCAGGAAGACTGGCTATTTTTTCTTTTATTTTTAGTAGAGACAGGGGTCTCACTATGTTACCCAGGCTGTTCTCAGACTCCTGGCCTCAAGCAATCCTCCTGCCTCAGCCTTCTAAACTGCTTGGATTACAGGCACCATGCTCGTCAAATGTATGTTTTTATGGTTTAAGAAAATTAGCCTGCCTGCTAAAATAATTTGCTTCTATTTTGTCTTTGTTTTTGCTGTAAAATCTTTTTAAACATTGTTTCTAGTATTTTTCTAGAAATTGTGTGTATTTATATACACGTACATATATACATATGTATATAATTAATTAATTTACATGCACAAATATGTAAGTATTTATATGTGTAATGTAAGTATTATTTTGTCACCCAGGTACTAAGCCTAATACTCAATAGTTATTTTTCTTCTCCTCTCCCTCATTCTACCCTCCATTCTGAGGTAGAACCCGGCGTTCCTTGTTCTTTTCTTTGTGTTCATGAGTTCTCATCATATAGTTCCCACTTATAACTGAGAACATGTGGTATGCGCTTTTCTGTTCCTGCATTAATTTGCTAAGGATACTGGCCTCCAGCTCCATCTTTGTTCCTGCAAAGGACATGATCTTATTCTTTTTTATGGCTACATAGTATTCCATCTTGTATATGTACTACAGTTTATTTATCCAGTCTACCACTGATGTGCATTTAGGTTGATTCCATATCTTTGCTATTGAGAATAGTGCTGCAATGAACATATGCATGCATATATCTTTATGACAGAAGGATTTATATTTCTTTGGGTGCATACCCAGTAATGGGATTGCTGGGTTGAATGGTAGTTCTGGTTTTAGCTCTTTAAGGAATTGCCACACTGTTTTCCACAATGCTTGAGCTAATTTACACTACCACTGACAGTGTATAAGTGTTCCTTTCTCCACAACCTTGCCAGCACCTGTTATCTTTTGATTTTTTAGTAATAGCCATTCTGACTGGTATGAGATTGCATCATATTGTGGTTTTGACTTGCATTTCTCTAATAATCAGTGATATTGAGCTTTTTTTCACATGCTTTGGGGTCATATGTGTGTCTTCTTTGAAAAGTGTCTGTAAATGTCCTTTGCCCACTTCTTAATGGGGTGATTTGTCTTTATTTTGTAAATTTAAGTTCCTTATAGATTCTAGATATTAGACCTTTCTCAGATGCATAGTTTAAAAACATTTTCTTCCATTCTGTAGGTTGCCTGTTTATGCTGTTGAAATTTCTTTTGCTGTGCAGAAGCTCTTTAGTTTAATTAGATTCTATTTGTCCATTTTTGCTTTTGTTCCAATTGCTTTTGTTGTCTTTACCATGAAATCTTTGTCAATTCCTATGTCCAGAATGGAATTACTTAGGTTGGTTTTGTCATTTACCCAAATGATGTTGTTTAATTACCATATAATTGTATAGTTTTGAGTGATTTTCTAAATCTTGAATTTTATTTTTATTGCACTGTGGTCCAAGAAAGTGGTTGGTGTAATTTCAGTTCTTTGTATTTGCTGAGGATTGTTTTATGTCTGATTATGTGATCAATTTTAGCATATGCACCATGTAATTACATAGTTTTGAGTGATTTTCTAAATCTTGAATGTTATTTTTATTGCACTGTGGTCCAAGAAAGTGGTTGGTAGGTTTCAGTTCTTTATATTTGCTGAGGATTGTTTTATGTCTGATTATGTGGTCAATTTTAGCATATGTGCCATGTGGCAAAGAGAAGAATGTATATTTTGTTGTTTTTGAGTGGAGATTTCTGTAGAGGTCTATCAGGTCCATGTGGTCTAGTATTGAGTTAAGATCTTGAATATCTTTACAAATTTTCTGCCCTAATGATCTGTCTAATAATGTCAGTGAGGTGTTGAAGTTTCTCAGTGTTATAGTGTGGAAATCAAAATCTTTTTGAAGGTCTCTAAGAATTTGCTTTATGAATCTGGGTGCTCCTGTTCGGTGAATATGTATTTAAGATAATTAGGTCTTCCTGTTAAATTGAACCCTTTACCATTATGTAATGCCCTTCATTGTCTTTTTTAATCTTTGTTGGTTTACATTCTGTTTTTTCTAAAATTAGGATCACAACCCTTGTTATTTTCTGTTTTCCATTTGTTTGGTAGATTTTTCTTCATCCCTTTATGTTGAGCCTATGGGTGATATTGCATATGAGATGGGTATCTTGAAGACAACATTCCACTGGGTCTTGCACATTTAGCCCGTTTGCATCAAGATTACATTGATATGTGTGGATTTGATATTATCATTATGTTGTTAGCTGCTTATTATGCCAACTTGCTTGTGTGGCTTCTTTATCATGTCACTGATCTGTGTAGTTTAGTGTGCTTTTGTAGTGGCTGGTTATGAATTTTCCTTTCTATATTTAGAGATTCTTTTAAGAATTCTTGTAATGAAGGTCTGAAAAGAAAAAATTCCCCCAGCATTTGCATGTGTGAAAAGGATCTTATTTCTCCTTCACTTATGAAACTTAGTTTAGTCGGATATGAAATTCTTGGTTGGAATTTCCTTTATTTAAGAATGTTGAATATAGTCACTCAATCTCTCCTGTCTCATAGGGTTTCTGCTCAGGTCAGCTACTATTCTGATGAGCTTCACTTTTAGGTAACCTGTTCTTTCTCTCTAGCTGCCTTTACCATGTTTTCTTTCATTTTGACCTTAGAGAATCTGAAGATTTTGTGTCTTGGAGATGATCTTTTTGTGAATTATTTTGGAGGAGTTCTCTGTGTTTCCTGAATTTAAGTGTTGTCCTCTGTAGCTAGGTTGGGGAAGTTATTCCTGATGACATTGTGAAATCTGTTTTCCAAATTTCTTCCATTCTGCCCATTTTTTCCAGGGATGCCAATAAGTAATAGATTCATTATCTTTACATAATCCCATATTTCTTAGAGGCTTTGTTCATTCCTTTCCATTGTTGTTTTTCTCTATTCTGTCTGTCTTATTTCAGAAAACCAGCCTTGAGGCTCTTGAGTCTTTCTTCAGCTTTGTCTGTTCAGCTGTTAACACTTGCAATTGCATTATATATTTCTTGTATTGTGTTTTTCAGCTCTATCTGGTCAGTTACATTTTTTTCCACTTTAAGTTCTAGGATACATGTGCTGAATGTGCAGGTTTGTTACATAGGTATACATGTGCCACAGTGGTTTGCTGCACCTATGAACCCATCATCTAGGATTTAATTCCCGTATGCATTAGGTATTTGTTCTAATGCTCTCCCTCCCCTTTCCCTCCACCCCTCAACAGGCCCAGGTGTGTGATATTCCCCTCCCTGTGTCCATGTGTTCTCATTGTTCAACTCCCACTTATGAGTGAGAACATGCGATGTTTGGTTTTCTGTTCCTGTATTAGCTTGCTGAGAATGATAATTTCTAGCTTCATCCATGTTCCTGCAAAGGACATTGACTCATTCTTCTTTATGAATGCATATTCCAAGGTGTATGCATATTCCAAGGTGTATAGGTTCCACATTTTCTTTATCCAGTCTATCATTGATGGGCATTTGGGTTGGTTCCAATTCTTTGCTATTATAAATAGTGCTGCAATAAACATATGTGTGCATGTATCTTTATAATAGAATGATTTATATTCTTTTGAGTATATACCTAGTAATGGGGTTGCTGGATCAAATGGTATTTCTGGTTCTAGATCCTAGAGGAATTGCCACACTGTCTTCCACAATGGTTGAACGAATTTACACTCCCACCAACAATATAAAAGTGTTCCTATTTCTCCCCATCCTCACCAGCATCTGTTATTTCCAGACTTTTTAATGATCACCATTCTAACTGGCATGAGATGGTATCTCATTGTGGTTTTGATTTGCATTTCCCTAATGACCAGTGATGATGAGATTTTTTTCATATATTTGTTAGCCACACAAATGTCTTCTTTTGATAAATGTGTGTTCATATCTTTTGTCCACTTTTTGATGGAGTTGTTTGTTTATTTCTTGTACATTTGTTTAAGTCCCTTGTAGATTCTGGGTATTAGACCTTTGTCAGATGGATAAATTGCAAAAATTTTCTCCCATTCTGTACGTTGCCCGTTTACTCTGATGATGGTTTATTTTGCTGTGCAGAAGCTCTTTAGTTTAATTACATCCCATTTGTCAATTTTGGCTTTTGTTGCAATTGCTTTTGGTGTTTTAGTCATGAAGTCTTTGCCCATGCCTATGTCCTGAATGGTATTGCCTAGGTTTTCTTCTAGGGTTTTTATGGTTTTAGGCTTTGCATTTAAGTCTTCCATCCAGCTTGAGTCAATTTTTGTGTAAGGTGTAAGGAATGGGTCCACTTTCAGTTTTCTCCATATGGCTAGCCAGTTTTCACAGCACCATTTATTAAATAGGGAATCTTTTCCCCATTGCTTGTTAACGTCAGGTTTGTCAAAGGTCAAATGGTTGTAGATGTGTGGTGTTATTTCTGAGGCCTCTGTTCTGTTCCATTGGTCTATACATCTGTTTTGGTTACCAGTACCATGCTGTTTTGGTTACTGTACCTTTGTAGCATGGTTTGAAGTCAAGTAGTGTGATGCCTCCAGCTTTGTTATTTTCGCTTAGGATTGTTTTGGCTATATGGGCTCTTTTTTTTTTTCTTTTGTTCCATATGAAATTTAAAGTAGTTTTTTTCTAGTTCTGTAACAAAAGTCAATGGATAGCTTGATGGGAATAGCATTGAATCTATAAATTACTTTGGGCAGTATGGACACATTCTTTTCTACACTGACTATTTTGTCTGCAGCTCCTGTATCATTTTATTGTGATTCTCAGCTTCCTAAGATTGGGTTTAAACATTCTCTTGAATCTCAATGATCTTTGTTTCAATCCATATTCAGAATTCTATTTCTGTCATTTCAGCCATTTCATTTCAGTTAAGAAGGCTTGCTGGGGAACAAGTGCAGTCGTTTGGAGGAAAGAAAACATTTTGGCTTTTTGAGTTGTCAGAGATCTTGCACTCGTTCTTTCTAATCTTTGTGGGGTGATGTGCATTCAGTTTTTGAGGTTGGTGCCCGTCGGATTTTTTTTTCTTTTCTTTATTTGATGAACTTGGGGGTTTTGATTGTGGGAGAAGGAGGGTTTAGTTGACTGGATTTGTATCTGGAAGATTTTAGGGGCCAAGGCTCAGCTCAGTGCTTTGGGACTGTATGCTCTACCTCTGAGACTGGTATTAGGCCCCAGCTTTGATTTTTGGCTCTTCCAGTTTAGGAACCTACTGCACTGGAGGCACTGAGGTGCTCCTGGATTGCTAGTCACAACTCTCTGATGAGTGTTGCCAGCCAAAGCCCTTTTTAGGGCAGTAGCAGCAGGATCCATTCTCATTTGCATATGCCAGCAGCAGCAGCAGTAGCAGTGTGGTGGGGTGCATGCTCATTGGCTGTGGCAGTGTGCTATTGGGTGCCAGGGTGCTGGCCTCTGTGAAGATGTTCACAGCAATGGCAATGGCAACAGGGATTGGGAAGGTGGGGGCCCCCTGCTAGCAACTGTAGCATGTTTGCACTGGTTGTGATGTTAGCTAGGGGTGGAGCACTGGTGGGTGCAGGATTTTGTGCCCCCTCTGTGTGTGTACATGTGGACAGCAGCAATGCTCAGGGTGGAGGTGGGTCTGCTGTTTTCTGTGAATAGTTTTGCACAAGTGGCAGTGTAAGTACAGACTTGGGGTGCTGGGGAGATGGGGCTGGCAGCTTTGTGCCAGTAATACTCTGATGACAATGGCAGTGTAGCTGAGGCGATGGGGTGAGGTTGGTGTGCAGCTATGCCAACAGCAGTGGTATGGCAGGGTCCAGGGACACACACATTCTGGAAAGGAAAAAAGGGCAATGTCTGCCTGCACGTACATACTAGGCAGAGCGATGTGAGGTGAGGCCATGGGAGAGCACATGCAGGAAAAGCCACATAGGGTAGGCTGCAGTGGGAGGAGTACACAGGAGGGCTGGTGTGTGTCCATGGGGATTGTTCTGTTGGAGCACACTGCTGGACAGGTGCAGTCTGCCAGCACAACAGCTATGATGCAAGCCCCTGGGAGGCACTTGGGTGTTCCACTTAAAGCAAAAATGGCCAAGCTTGGGACACCGGAGAGGCCAGCAGACCCAGGGGTACTCAAGTCAGACCGGCTCCATCTCATGCGCAAGACCTCCCTGCAGAGTTCATGTCCAACAATTCCCCTAGGACTAAAGTCTGCTATAGGAGCAAGTCAAGCCAAAGGGGATGGGCATCTCTGGCTATGCTCCACTACAGACACTTCTGCAGCTCCACTACAGACACTCCTGAACCAAACCCTCTGGGTGCCACACTGGCTCAAGTTCTGCCCCACCACTTCCTTAAGCGGATCTCCCTGGCAACTCAAGTGTCCGTGATGCTCAAGGGGTCTCCTTCTACTGGGAAACCAGAGGCCCACAGCGTGAGTGGATTGCTCCTTGCCAGTTCAACTCACCCCTTCCACAGGAGTCGTTAGGGGCCAAGAATAAGTTCTGGTGCCCTGTAGCCCAGTGCATGGTCCCCAGCTTTCTGCCAGTTCAGCCTAGCATCTGTGTCTTCCCTCCATTCACTGTCAATGCCTTCCTTCTGAAGTTCTGCTAGAAGTGCACCAGTCTTTCTGATGTCCTGGTCCCCCAGTGGGAGACATTCTTCCTGGCTTCACCTAATCAGCATCTTGAAGCAGGAATCCACACTTTTTTTAATAGCAACTGTATAATCAATGTCTAGTTCTTAAAGAAAACAAACACTGAATAAACTAATCCCGCTATTATTTTGTTTAAGTATGATAGAAATTATTTATGGAAAGTTGACATCTTTTTGATAGCAATGTATATTTGGAAATAGAGGAAATCTTGACATTGATTCAAATAAAAATATGTCCGTTAGCAGCATTTTAAATATAATTTGTATATTTCTTGCATGTCATTCATATCCCATTTTGATATTACACCCAAGTAAGTTATTTGATCTCCTTATTTTCCTGCTTATAATAGTAATTTTCTCTCTTATTTTTTATCTTTAAAAAATATAAAATTTCCAATATCTACAACTACAATTACGTATTTTCTCCTATTATAATTCATAGTTGTTTTGCTCCTGGTATGAATCCAAGTGGATATTCCTTTAAATGAACTGTTGCATTCAGATTGTTAATTATTTACTGAGATTTTTAAACAATTGTTACACATGAAATTTGACCAGAGCGTTATTTTTCATATTATCTAAGTCAGGTCAGGTTTGTATAACAACCCCATGAAAGCATTTTGAATTTTTTCCCACTTTTCTGTATTCCGGACTCTCTTTAATAGCATTAGAATTTGCTCTGTGTTTATGACTTTCCATGGACATGATGCTTTGTAATGGGGCATGGGGAATAATTTACACATTTGAATACATGTGAAATTGGCTTCTTTAGGGTTTTACATATTTTAGGGAGTCAGTTTCAGAGAAAATAATTGATTGTCTAGGTTATCAAAATGACCTGAATTTTACTGAAGAAATTAGTCTCTTATTCTTTTATCAATGATGATCTTCATTCTCTTTTCTTCTTTGTGTATTTGTAGATGCTCTCATTTCAATTGATTGAATTGTTTATCTATTTAACTTTACCTTTTTAAAATTAAATTAAAGAATTAGTTCACATGTGTCTTTACCTTTTTAAAATTAAATTAAAGAGTTAGTTCACATCATTTTTTTTCTATTTTGGGGTGCCTGAATATATTTCATCCCACTATAACTTTGTTGTCATTAGAATTGTCTTACTGTTCTTTCACTTATGTATGACTTGTAACTGTATAAATTTATTATCATTTATTCCAATTATTGAAACAAGTATGTTAGAAAGGAAGAAGTTAAATTTTTCCTGTTTGCAGACAATATGATCTTATATATAGAAAACCCAAGAGTCCACCAAAAAACTGTTAGAACTAATAAATGAATTCAGTAAAGTTGTAAGACACAAAATCAACAATAAATGATGCTGGACAAACTGGATATCCATATGCTGAAGAATGAAATTTGAACTTTATTTCATACTGTATGCAAAAATAACTTTATTTTACACCATATGCAAGTAGGAAAGTCATTATGGCAAGTAATATTGAGATTCCTAAAATAATTAAAAATAGAATTATCCATATGACCCAACATTCCCAGTACTAGGTGTATATTCAAAGGTAATAAAATCTGTATGTCAAAGAGAAATCTGCCTTTTTATGTTCACTGCAGCATTATTCACCATAGCCAAGATAAGGAAACAACCTAAATATCCATTAACAAATGAATGGATAAAGAATATCTGGTATATTCACACAATTCAATACTGCTTAACCTTAAAAAAGAAGAAATTCTTTCATTTGTAACAACACGAATGAACCTGAAGAGTAAAGTAAGCTGGGCACAGAAAGACAAATACCACATGACCTTACTTATATGTGGAGTCTGAAAATCTTGAGAACATAGAAACAGGGAGTATATTGGTAGTCTCTAGAGCCTGGGGGATGGAGGAATTGAACAGTTGTTCAAGGACACAAAATTTTAGTTAGGAAAATAAGAGATACATTAATATGCACATCAATATTTCTCTACAATAATTGGTGATTACAGTTAATGACAGTATATTATATACTTGAAAATGACTACTAGAGTAAATTTTAAATCTTCTTAATACAAAAAAATGATAAGGAAGTGAGGTAACACGTATGCCAGATATCTTCATTTAACTGTTCTATAATGCATACATATATCAAAACATCATATCATTCAACACAAATATATATAATTTTTACTCATCAATTAAAATTAAACAACAAATAAAACAAAACAATAAACATGTATATTCATTTGAGAAAGTTCCTTTGAGACTATCTTGATGTGTAGGCCTTAAATACTACTGGACTATGCTCTCATTAATGTTTACTATAACTATTACTTCTTATAATTTCTTTCTCTTCATTTCTCAGCCATATTTTGTTGCATTAATTTGTAATATTTGCCTTAAACATTATATACCTGTAGGCATATAAGCATATAAGTTAATAATTTAAATAAACCAATTACTAATTATATTATTTTCAATAGTTAATTGTTTCCTAATTTTAATGATTTACCACAAATTAAATTATCAATATATTTAAATATATGCTTGTATTTAAATACATATGTGTATTTACAATTTTTAAAATTGTTTTGAATTTAAATGTTATATATTAATATCTAACACAAAAAGTAAGAGTTCATGTTTTTACATTCCTTTTTATCTCTCCCCTTTCTCTTTCAAAATTGCTTCATCAGTTGTGATCTTCTCCAGTTTATATCATTTACATATTGTTCAGTCACCAGAGGTTCAAAGGTTGCTTTAGTCTTATTCCTAAAATGAAACTAAATCAATATGCAGTGCCCGTCGTCCTTCTGTTTTTTTATTTTTTTTAACTTTTATTATAAGTTCAGGTACAGGTGCAAGATGTGCTGGTTTGTTAGATAGGTAGATGTGTACCATGGTGTTTAACCACACAGATCATCCCATCATCCAGGTATTAAGCCCAGTATTCATTAGCTATTCTTCCTGATGTTCTTCCTTCCCCTAACCTCCCACAGGTGCCCAGTGTGTGCTGCTCCTCGCATGTGTTCTCATTGTTCAGCTCCCACTTATAAATGAGACCATGCAGGGTTAGGTTTTCTCTTCCTACATTAGTTTGCTGAGGATAATGGCTTCCAACTGCACCCATGTCCCTGAAAAGGACATGATCTCATTCCTTTCTATTGAGCGTAATCCTCCATCGTGTATATATACCACATATTCTTCATCCAGTCTGTCATTGATAGGCATTTGGGTTGATTCCATGTCTTTTCTATTGTGAATAGTGCTGTAATGAACATATGCATGCATGTGTCTTTGTAACAGAATAACTTACATTTCTTTAGGTATATACCTAGTAATGGCATTGCTGGGTTAAATGGTATTTCTGCCTCTAGGTAATGTAAATCATTAAATAACTGATTTATTAGAGGAGGTCACATTTAACTTGTCATTTAATTAGCATTATTTGAATATGAGATTCCTAGAATACACAATATATTACATAATTACTAGTTGATAATGTAAGAATTCATTAACATGTGTTTTGTATACTAATCATATGATTTTGTTTCTACTCTACTTAAACTCTCATTACAATTTTCAGTTTTCCCCTTAAGGGAGAGTTGGGAAATTTAAAGTGGAAGAATATAAAGTAGTTAGCCCAAGGACTGTAATATAATAGACCTAAGGAGCAGTTCTTGCCTTCAACCAGATTTAGGAAGCATACTTTCTCTCAATTATGGAAATTAATGCTAAAGCAATTTTGTTTATATTTTTGTTCATATTCTTTCCTGATTTAATTATTTTAATAAATCATGTCGATAGTTATTTGACTGAAAAACTGGCCAGACATTAGTACATTTGCTTGGATTCTGGTGCCAAGTGAAATACAATTAAAGCAGATTTTTCTTTTGATGAAACGCTGTAAGAATTAGTAAAGCTACTGCTTTCTCAGCTGATTCATTAATTGACCTCAGTTAGAAGTTTTGCAAGGAGGAGTAATGACTGCACAATTGACCTTGATGATTAATCCACAAAAGCGTACAAAAGCAAAGGCAAAGAAGATAAAGGGTAAAAATAAAGCCTTGCCGTCTTTCATTTTTTATTCACTGTCAACCTATAGGTCAGTCAGGCAATGAAAATCTCTCACTTTTCATATATAAAACTAAATTCTAACTCAGAAACAAAAGCTTAAAAGAAGCAATTTGCCAAAAAAATGAGTCAAATACAATATGATTTATGTAATATTTAAGTGTCTGCTAAGGGGGAAAACCCCTACACACATGAAAAGAGATAAAAAATGTTGCAAATTAAGTACATTCAATCAAATAAAATTCTCTTCAAAATAATTTCTAGTCTATATTTAGATTTTCTTACCAATTCTTATTTAATATGGTTACTTTCTGATGAAAAATAGATTATATTACAAAATGAATTACTAAAATAAAGGTCAAAATTTTTAATTAATTAATTAACTTATTGAGTCATTAATCATTTTTCCCTGAAGCCAAAGGTATGTTAGCGTTAATACTGAGATATACAAAAATGAATAAAATATAGTCATATCTGCCCTCTAGGAATTCAGTCATGGAGTGTAGACAAACAGATGACACCTCAGTTACAATGGTTGTTATGAGTGCTACACTACAGTCACATAAATTTTATCTAGTGGCACAGAAACTCTGAACTTTCTCTTTCTGAAATTTTAGCAAAAGCTTTATAGGTCAGAAGTCCTCAATAGGAGCTTTACATTTAGGTAGATATTCAACACTCACAAAGTAAGCAAGAGCATTCAAGACCGTATGTTTTGTCTATGCAAAAACAACGTTCGTGCATTATGTCATATTCTGAAAATTATAGGCTTTAATTTGACTGAAGCACAGTAGGAAGGGTCAAAAACTGCTTACAATGAATTTAAAGATTTAGGTAGAAGCTAAGTGATGGAAATCTTCCTCCCTCTCTACCCTATTGAAATAAAATATTGACAGTGCTCTGTGAACAAGAAAAGTCAGTGAAGATTTGTAAAGAAACATCAAAATCAGATTTGCATATTAGAAAATTCATACTCCTAGTGTTAAAGTGTTATGTGGAATTTAAAAAATCATTAAAATTCTTTATTCTGTATAGATTTGTTTAAATATTTGGTTTTAAAGATAAACTGTTAAGAAAAAGTGTCTATGTTTTTCCAGTGTCATTATTCATAAAAGTTTTATCTAGAGAGACATAAATCAATAACAGCTTACAGAGAGATTGCCATGACATGGGCAAAGTGAGTACTTAGTTGAGATGATCAAGGAGGTGACATGGTCAAGGGATTGAATGAGAGGTGCAGCCCAGCCTCTGAAAAAACAGAGAGCCAGTGAGAACTGGGCTGTGCAGAGTAGGCAGGAAAACCACCTGCTTATAATTGTTTTTCATCTACCACAAGCCTCCTCAGCAGGACAAGAGGAAACAGGAGCAGCCAGCCAAAGGGATTCCTTGGCTGAACATATGCGTGAGGGGGGGTTGCAACGTTAATTGGCAATTTTGAGTTTTTCCAGCACACAGAGATGGAGAGTTACTTGTGCAGATTACTTAATCAATTACATAAAAATTTTAAAGTTACATTTTTTATTCATATCTCTTTGAAGGGTGTATTTCTGCCACACAGCACATGCCACTTTATTCCATTATGATAAGGAAGAAGGAAGCCTTTCATCATTTAGCTTCTATCTAAATCTTTAAATGCATCATAAGCGATTTCGACCCTTCCCCCTGTGTTGCAGCCAAACCAAAGGCTGTAATTTTAAAAATATGCCATGATACATTCACTTCATGTTTCTGCATGTTTTTGCCAGGTCTGTGCTACGCACTTTACAAGCTCTGTGACCTCTGAATCTCTTTTGTCCTTCTCACATAACTACTGTTAGAATTACTATTCTTTTAAGTGAAAGAACTAATGTTTACATAGGGAAAATAATTGTCCAAGGTTGCAAGTAAAAAAGCGTAGCTTTGGATCTATGGAATCAAGTTTCAAATCTTAAAATTTTGAAACTACGTTTACCGTATACAGAAGGTTAATACAAGTAGAAAGCATAATTAAATGTCTGCTAATGAAGCTCCACTAGGTCAGAACTAGGTTTGTCTACATCCTCCTGCATCCCTGAGCAGATGAGTGTGCATTAAACACTTAGGTATTTAAAATACGTTTGTTCAATGAACAAATGAACAAAGAATCTTCTTCTTAAAACACACAAGTGAAGATCTTGACAAATATAATTATTTTTCTCACTTTTTTCCATAAAGAACTACATTTACATGCAATCTGTTTATCAAGACACTTTCCTCAGTTATTTATCTTCAAAGTGATTGCAGATTCTTATTGAAGAATTTGTTGTGTACTTTTCATTGCACAACTCATTATTGATTCTCCTCAAGCTTTAAATACTTGAAATAATCAGGTAGATGTATCTTTGGAGGAACAGCTTGGATATGAGTACCAAAGAAATTTCACGTTCTAACATTAATTAATGATGAATTATGCCCACATTATTTAAACAACATACATTTACAAAATGTATATAAACATAAAATGTTACCAATTTGTTTCCTGGTAGAATTTACGAGGACTTCACTAAAAGACTGTGCTTAGAAGAATTTAAAGGACAACAGCTGCGTTTGGGAAAACTATCTGAGAAGCATGCAGAATTGTGTAAGACAATGAATGGACCATATGTAATGCACATTAGAAGTATTGTTTAAGGAATCATTAAATCAGACATTAAACTGTGGTGGGTTATTGTTAAGGAACAAGAATTGTGTTATTATTTTCTTCCACTTGTTTTACCCTGGATATGCCTTCCCTTCTCATGCCAGTAAAGTCTCATTTACTACAGAACATGAAGTTATATGATTTGTGGAAATTACCTTCATATACTAGATTTGTTTTTTATTGCTGCATAACAAATGACCATAAATATAACGGCTTACACCAACTCACTCACTTGGCTAAAATCAGTGTGTTGGCAGTGCTTTCCTTCTTTCTGCTGGCTGTGGGGCAAACCTGTTTCCTTGTCTTTTCCATTTTCTAGAGCCCAACCACAGTCCTTGTCTCATGATTCCCTTTCTCCACTTTGAAAGCCAAAAGTTCCATTTCTTTGTGCTTCTCTTTTGTAGTCACATCTACATTTGAATACAATTTTATGATTGCATTAAGCCCACACAGATGATTAAGGATAATCTTCATCTTAAGATCCTTAACCTTAATCACATTGGCTGTCTTTATCCATTGTTTGTTGCTATAACAAAATATCTAAAACTGGGTACTTTATGAAGAACAGAAATGTATTTCTTACAGATTTGAAGGCTAAGAAGTCCAAAGCCAAGAGCTTCACATCTGGTGAAGGTCTTTGTATAGCATCATCCAATGGCAGAAAGCAGAAGTGTGAGGGAGTGAAAGGGGGCTGAACTTGTCTTTTTATCGGGAACCCACTACTGCAATAACTAACTTGCACTTGTGATAACAGCGTAGTCCAGAGCTCTCATAATCACCTCTTAAAGTTCCATCTCTTGATACTGTTATCATTGGAGATAAATTCTCAACACATGAACTTTGGGGGACACAATTAAATTATAACATTTTGCCTAGGACCCCCAAAATTCACGCCCTTCTCACATGCAAAATACATTCATTCCATCCCAAGAGCCACAAAGTCTTCACTCATCCCAACACTAACCCAAAAGTCTAAAGTCTTATCTGAATCAGATATGGGTGAAACTCAAGATGTGATTCATCCTGAGGCAAATACCTCTCCAGCTGTGAACCTGTAAAATTAAACAAATTATCTGTTCCCAAAATGCCACAACGAGACAGGCATAGCATAAACATTGCCATTCTAAAGGCGGAAAATAGGCCAAAAAAAAAAAGAGTGTAGGCTCCAACTAAGTTTAAAACGCAACAGGGGAAACAACATTAAATCTTCATGCTGGAGAGTAATTTCCTCTTATTTTATGTCACCCATTCTCAGCACACTGAGGTGGTATTAGGCCCCCAAAACCTCTGGAAGCTCTACCACTATGGCTTTGTCAGGCTTAGTCCACCAAGTAGCTCTCACAAGTTGGAGTCCAATGCCTGCAGCTTTCTCAGGCTGGAATTTCATGTTAGTGGCCCTATGTTTCTGAGCGATCTGAAGTGGCCTCTCTCCCAGGAACTCAGGAGAAAGTGTCCTAGTTGGGGCTCTATGTAATGGTTCCATCCCTGCAAACAGTATCTACCTGGATCCCCAGACTGTCCACGATATCCTTTGAAATCTAGGTGGCGGCTTCCGTGGCTCCAAAGCTCATGCATTCTGAAGGGTGGAATACCACCAAGGTTTATGGATTGCACCCTCCAGAGCAACACAAGAGCCATACCTGGACCAGCTTGAGGCAAGGCTGGGGTGGTTGAAGTGCTCTGCTCTGGAATGCAGGGAGCAGAGACCTGAGGCAGCGCAGGGCAGTGAATGCTGAGGTTCCATGAGATTTCTCTGGAAATCTTGCCCTCAGTGTTTTACCTTACCTGGGAGATCTCTGAAAATGCCTTTGGAATCATCCTTCCATTGTCCTGATGAATAGTACCTGTTTCCCTTCTATCTATATTAGTCTCTTTTGTAAATAGTCTATTGGCTACATCCTTACTGTGCTCTCCTAAAGATACCTTTTTAATCTTCACTTGGCCAGACTATGAATTTTTCCAGTTTTTCCACTCTGCTTCCCTTTTAATTATAAATTCTGTCTTTAAACAATTTCTCACCTCTTGCATGTTACACATGCAGTTAAAAGTAGTTATACAGTTCCTTCAATATTATACTCAAAAATTTCTCACACCAGATATTCTAATTTATCAGTTTTAAATTCTGCCTTCCACAAAGTCCTAGGACACAGGTAATTTCACCATGTTATTTGCAAGTGTATAACAATGATGGTCTTTACTTTCGTTTTCAATACCTCATTCCTCATTACTATCTGAAACCTTGTATTGGTTCTTTCTCACATAAAGAAATACCTGAGACCGGGCAATTTATAAAGAGAAGAGCTTTAATTGGCTTATAGTTCTGCAGGATGTACAGAAAGCATGATGCTGGTATCTGTTCAGCTTCTGGGGAGGCCTCAGGAAACTTAAAATCATGGTGGAAGGCAAAAGGGGGTCAGACATATCATGAGGCTACAGTAGGAGCAAGAGAGGGAGAGAGTGGGGAGGTGCTACACACTTTTAAACAACCAGGTCTTATGAGAACTCACTCACTATCAGGATAACAGCACCAAGATGATGATACTAAACCATTCATGAGAAATCTGCTTCTATGATCCAATCACCTCCCACCAGGCCCCACCTCCAACATTGGGAATTACAATTTGACATGAGATTTGGGCAGGGACAGAGATCCAAACCATATCAGGCCTCACAGAATGGCCTTTATTATTTATATTTCTACCAACTTTCTGATCACAACCACGTAAGTAATTTCTAGGGAGTTCCAGACTTTCCCCACATTTCTTGACTTCTTGTGAGTACTCACTAAAATTGCCCTTAACTCTGCATTCACAGCAATCTAAACATTTTGTAACCAATTCTTCCAAAATTTTTCAGCCTTTACCCATTACCCAGTTTCCAAGCCACTTCTACAGCTTTAGATACTTATTATAGCAACAGCGCCTCAACTCAGTGCTGATTATTTTAGTCTGTTTTGTGCAGCTGTAATAGGACACCTGAGACTGGGTAATTTTAAAGAACAGAGATTTATTTCTTATAGTTTTGTAGGCAAGCAAGTCCAAGACTGAGGGGCCTTTGTGCTGTGTTATCTCATGCTGGAAAGCAGAAGGGCAAGGGAGCCGGAGCCAAGGGAGAGAAATGGAGCCAAACTCATCCTTTTACCAGGGACCTACTCCTGCTATAACTAACTCTCTACTGTGATAATAGCATAAATCCATTCATGAAGGTGAGGCCTTCCTGACCTAATCATCTCTTAAAGGATCCCCCCTCTCAACACTGTTGCACTGGGGATTAAGTTTCTTCCACATGAACTTTGAGGGACACATTCAAACCACACTGGATGCCAAGTCCCTTCTGCCATTTAAAGCCACATATCAACATGCTCTAAGATTGTCATATTTGGGGAGACACCAATCTGCCTACCCCATAAAGATTGTTTTCTATCCGTATGAACAATGGATTTTACTCATATATATGTGAATCCTTCATCCATTTATATAGTTGTAAAAGAAGAGCAAAATGATTATTAAGAATAACTACTCATACTACACAAGGAAATGTGTAACCTGGAGAAATACCTATAGAATAAAGGAAGAAAGACAAAACCCTGCCTAATGGCTAATTTTGTTTGTCAACTTGCATTGCTATAAAGAAATACCTGAGACTGGGTAATTTATAAGAAAAGAGATTTAATTGGCTCATGATTCTGTAGGCTGTAGAGGAATCATGACGTTGGAGTCTGCTTGGCTTCTGGTGAGGGCTTCAGTAAGCTTTCCATCAAGCTTCCTGAAGGTTGGAAGGCAACCTTCAGGTTGGAAGGTTGGAAGGTTGGAAGGTGGAAGGCAAAGGGGTAGTAGGCATCTCACATGGTGGGAGCAGGAGCAAGAGACAGAAAGGTGAGAGGTGCTAAACCCTTTTAAACAACCAGATATCATAAGAACTCACTCACAATCACGAAGAAAGCACCAAGAGGATGGTGCTAACCATTCATGAGAAATCTGTCTCCAGAATCCATTCATCTCCCACAAGGCCTCACCTCCAATATTGGGGATTACAATTCAACATGAGATTTGGTGGGGACATATATCCAAACTATACCAGAAGGCTATTAAGTTACTAGGTGATAGGAATTTTCCAGCTCCATTATAATATTACAGGACCATTATCTAATATGTTTTCCATCATTAAATGAAACGTTGTACAGCACATGACTGTGTACATATTTGATTGATTCTGTTTCTCTGAAGAAGCTAAATTACCAATCCAAAGGCATTTTTTCTTTTTAACTTTCAATCACTTTTGTACACAAACCTACCTTCAGCCTTAGTCAACTTACAAATATCATCAAATAAATTTTAATTATCCTAAAAGATAAATTCCCTCATACCTCCTTTTAGCACAATGGACTCAGATTCATTTTGAAAGTAATGTGAAGTTTTTCCTATTGAATAACTAAGTGAATGTGGGTTTTCTTTTGTTAGAAATATTAAGTAGTGTTCATTTTAAAAAGTTCAACTGAGATAGTATCATATACTCATACCTTGAGATTGTGCTTATATGATGAATTACAGCATTGTCAGTAGAGATTAGCCTACTCTATATATCCTATCTTCTAATTCGTCCAATAACAATAATATGTCTTCCTATTTCAAATTTCTTCTCTTTGCTGTTATGGAAGAAAATAAAAATTTTAGATATTTACCTGTACATAACAATACCTGAAAAAAATTAGCACTACAAATAATATCTCCAGAATTTTATATGCCTTCTTGAAAGTTGATGTAAAATATAAGAAAACGTAATTTAAATTGTTAAGGTTAATGAAAATTGATGATTTATTTTAACATTATGTCATCTTCTAGACAATATTATCATTTATCTATTTTAGCATTTTAGTATTGTTTGGCATAGTTGAAATAATTGTCAAGTAAAAAATAAATAATTCCTAGGGTGATTAAATATCAAATGTTTCAATACAGAGGAAAATAATATGTCTACAATTTTACATTTTATTTCAGATTTATAAAATCATCCAATAAGCCAATAAGGTAATTGCAATGTAGAATAAATTTTACATTTTATTTAAATATTTGTTATCTGTATTTAAAAAAAATTCCTAAGAAAGAATACAAGCCATAAAAGATCAATCTTCATAAATAGTTATACATGCTCAAATAAATTTAGTAACTAAAATTGGATCCAACAAACTTTGTCAGTACTTAAATGATTAATATTTTCTGCATTGAAAAATAATTTAAAATAAGTGCATCATGTGCAAGCCAGTCCTTGCTCTTAATATATCTGACAAATGTTGACTTCTCTATTGAATATTTATTATGCAAATGGATGCTAGAGATAATTTTCAGATCTTATGTAGAACACTTTGTCTTTAGATGGCATTGGCATTGCTACCATATGAAGAAATTGGCTAAATCATTATTTTACATTTAGAACAAATGTACATTGAACAGATTGGAAGAAAGACTATTCATTCCTGAAATCATAAAAAAACTTGAAATAATTGTGTGCAGATAAGTCTACATCATATTTGAATTGGTTTTATAAGATTTGTATTTTATACATATTAACACTCAGATATATATGTACACACATATACATATGTATATACAAATACATATGATATTTTCCATTTTATATGCATTTTGCAATGGTTTTATCTCAATTCCCAGACCATTGTTTAAGTAAAATATGGTCTGAAAACAGACAAGAATTAATAGGCTCAGGCAAATTAACATGCTGCAACAATGCCTCAGGTTTCATTAGTCTTAATGGATTTCTGCTCTAAACATTTATCTACAGAATAAGACATAGGTATTCCTACCCTTATAGGGCAGGTACTAACCTGGAGGTAAACACTTTGAAAAACACTGCATTAATTATTTAGGTAAAGCTACTCTTTCAGAACTATTCAATTCAATCTGTTCCTAAACTTATGCGAGAGGATAAGGCTGCTTTCAATTCCTGGGAGGTTTAAGCAATTAGCAAAATAGTTTCATCTGATTTTGCAAATTTGTATATACAGTCAATTGTTTCAGAAATTCCTAGAAAATATAGGCAGATAGATACAGAGAGTAAAAGATTAATAAAGTCTTTCTCTTATAACATTAAATATGTTAATTATTCTATAGATAGACTGTAATTGTCACATGGTTTCTGTACAAACATGAATGCTCGGGTCTGCAAAGCATGTAAACGCTCTTTACTGAGTCTACATTACAATTAATTTGATCTCTTCAATATGAAGTCGAGCCACTATATGTGAGAGTACAAGTGGGCTGTATATATGGATCTAATTCCCCTTCCATTACCTGCCTCAGAAGACTAATTGATTACATTCAATATCAAAACTTTTATCAAAGCTCTTTTTCAAAAGTCCCCAAGCAATCATGGACAATTGCATTGCTAGCATATTTCCCAAATCCCATTCCCCCTCAAGCACTTCCGTAACCAGCTGGAAAAAAACAGGCAGTTATCCAAGTTAAAAATACAACTTAATAAAAAAATTCAGAATAAGGACATTAAATATCGCATTCTTAGAGATTCAAAAGACAGAATCTTTTCTTTGTCTATAACTTATACACATGGCTAAGGTAGAGCACCACTTCTAGGGTGCTTCCCAGGGCCTTAGTGTTAAGTGTCATATATTTATTTTTTTGTAGTCCATGGATGCCTTAGTCTTAATGTTCCCTCTCTTGTTGCCCCAAAATAAGGTACAGAAAAAATATATATTTAAGGACCTGTCCTACTCTTCTAAAACTAGAAGATACAGATAAGCAAAGTCAGAAACAATTATTCCAAATTAAAACTTGGATACCAGTGAGGACTGGTGCAAAGAAATTCAAATGACTAAGTGTGGAATTAATAACAGAGTGATAGAGCCAAACATTTTAAAACTAGCTCAACTACATAGAAAATGGCCAACAAGTTGTTATGAGGGCAGGTGTGGGCATCCTTAAAAAATGGTTTCAACCTCAGTAGGTTTTTATGACTAAACTTCTGGGTTAAATTGCTGTGTCCATATGATAGCTCGACACATGAAAATAGAATGCAGCATAGGGCCTAGGGGAGTTAGGAGTAGCATGGAGGCAAGGAAGATGGGAAGAATTTGTATTTCCAAGGCAATTGAAGATAGGAGAAAGCGAATTTGATTGACATGATAATATTTGACCAGCACTAGCAAGCAATCTTTCAATTTTCATCAGAAGCAGATGGCATGAATGTGTCAGATGGAAAGCCAGGTGGCATTTAGAAATCACATTTTATCTCTGAGAACTCAATTTCTATTAGCATATAATAGGTAACTCTCTTGACATATTGTCAAGTGTCCTATTGAGCTTTTTGTATGTTCTACTCTCCCTCAATACTGTCCTGGTACTGATTGAACATTGCCATTTTATGGCAAACTTGTTGCAGGAAAGTAGCAGGGTGGAAGGTAAATTTATTAAGTTGGTACAAAAGTAATTGCCATTTTTGCCATTACTTTCAATGGTTTCTAAAGGATAGAAGTAAATGCAGTGATTTGCTGTGGTAAAGCATTATGACTGCCAGAGAAGATGTACGGTTGGTAGTTTTCAATTTCATTTTAATGCAATTGTAATGGTGTAGACATTTTCCCACGGTCCACTTGACATTTCTAGATAGCAAATGGACTTAGAGTAATGGCTAATGGACAGGCAACTACCAATAGAGTTTTGAACACTATTTATCAGTACTTTGATACAACCTAGAATGACTAGTTATAATAAAATAGTTCCGGGGGGTAGAAAAATTCTTTAATAAAACTAGATAAATTTGCTGAGGTAAACCAAAGAGAGGATACGTAGATTTCTAAAGAGACCACATGCCAACAGAAATCATTAGTGGTGTTAGATTGTTTATAAATGCCATTGTGACAATATCATAAGTCACTCAGCATGTGAATGGATATAGTAACTTCTGAGCCTATCTATGTCTGGCACACATGTATAGCAGGACATTGACATACTATTCCATATGCAGAGCCGTCAAAAGATCTAGTGAAGCATACTTAACATTTTTAATATATTACATTTAGCTCAGAGGATGCATATCTCTTGTGAGTAAATTGTTGAAGTACATTTACATGGCTACATGTAATCATTAAATCATAATTGCATAATTTAAATGACTCATTCTGGATCTTAGCCAGGGGCTGGTACGAGCATTGTTTTATTTTAGGTACATGATTTATCGTCTGCTATGGCTGAAAAACTACAAATGTCTAGGCGTGATGAACTCAATATTTTTTGACGTTCTACTTTAATGAAAAGACACATGTTCAAAGGTCCTCTTTTGGTACTACTGGAGACAGAGCAAAACTCTGGGGAAAAATATATATTCACTTCATAAATGTGGCATTTCTTTTTTGCTTATGCTGTTACCAGTTTCTGGGTTCAGATGTTAAGGAAATGAGGCACTAAGCTTCATAAGTCTAGTCAACACATTATCGATCAATGCTTCATGGGTTCCGGTTTCCACCATGTAACTGACCTCTACTGTGTATAGCAAGCTTAGTTAGTTATAGGATCATTGATTTTCATATCTCCCAGAGTCATCCTGAGAACATTTTTGGTCTTTGTGTTAACAGGGTGGCAGTAGGGGGCTGGGGTATATGGATTATAGTACACCAGCATCAAGGCATAGATAAACAGGTCATGAATTACTTCAATGCTGTGCCTGAAGCTGTTGGAAAGCACCAGAGACTCAAGTCATTCTTGATTTATGGTTTCACTAGGGGGAAGTGTTTTGACTGATATTTGTCTTGTCACTAAATGCCTGTACCTCTTACCAAGTTAACACATGCAGGTAGTAATTTAATCAAATTATTCATGGCACAAACATTGAGATAGGCATTGCTTACTTTTATCTCAATGAGGATGCAGTGTATATTCCAGAGAATCTAGCCTTTCTTGCTTTTAATTTTGTAGATGGGTTTTCATGAGTGGTTTGTTTGTTTTGGTGGGTGTAAGGGACAAAGCTAGGTTCAAAATAAGACCAAATTAGTTTTTCCATTATTGGAAGCCTTCGGAGTTCTTAGTAATGGCTCTGATGGTGTTCAAACTGAATTCTCATAATTGAAATTGCATTTATCCAAAGACAATAAGGAACAGTTAGTCACTACGTTGTAGGTTGATAAGAAAAATTTAGTCAGAGCATCTGAATACCAAAATCTGTATTAGTCAGGGTTTTTGAACAGAATAAATAGGATGTGTGTGTATATCTATGTCTATATATCTGCATCTCCATCTCTATCTGCTTATTTATCTAGGTATCTCTCTTTCTTTCTCTCTCTTCCTATCTATCTATTGAGCTTTTATGGAATTGGCTCAAATGATTGTCAAAACTAGCAAGTCCAAAAAAGGCATGTCCTAAATGTCCTTACTCCCATCGAATTTTATTCAAGTGTGGTCATGTTGGGGGGAGGAGTTAAATGTATATAAATATCACCTAGAATATCAAATGATCGTATGTGGAATGGGGAAAAATAAAGCAGGGAAGAGAGAAAAGGGTGTCAGGTAGTCCATGTTAACCTCTCTGAACAGACCTGCTATTATCTGAGTAGGGCTTTTCGTCTTGCTACCAGCCCAAACAAAATAGTTTGTAGTAGCTGGAAAAGACCACCTATTTTAGAATGTAATTTTTAATTATTTTTAGAGACTAGATAAAGGCTGTGTCTGGAGATGACAAAGAAAAAGTCCAACTTAAACCTCAACTTGGATCATTGGCTTTCAAAAGTGTACAATCCTTAGAAAGCCAAATTTTCATTTCATGTATCATATTTCCAAGTCCAAGAGATAAAAAGTTGTGACTTTTCTATTGTCAGGTGGGGCAAAACAGTGGATTTTCAGCAAGTTATTCAAATTCAACCTTCACCTGAAGAATTGAAGCTGACTCAAAAGGGATATGGATTAAATGTAAAGGGTGAAGGTTTAAGTTCCATAAGGCTTAGATGAAGGCGAAGTTTTCTCTTAATAATGGAAGGTGTACATGCAAATGTGCGGTGCTACCAAAAATGTATTAATAGACTAGTCTCTTTTTTGGATAAGATAAATCCGTTAAGAGAAGATGAGGTTTAACAATTAAGAAGGTTAGTATAAACCAGAAATCCAAAGAGCAAGAAATCTACTTGCTAGAAACAATTAAGTTAAATACAGAACAGGTAAAGAATTTGCAGGATAGGAAGAAGTTCCTAAGTATAGTGTTAGATTTATTTTATGGCCAATGTGGCTATGAAGTAGGAATATTAGTTTGTTTTAAAGAATAGAGAAAACATGGGCAAAATCAGCTAATTCTACCTAATGGTTTTAATAGAAAGTAAAAGAAAGACTCTTCCATTGTTGTTTCCATTTTTGAAAATATTCTTGAATATTTTTTGTGATGCCACATTTTAAATCTCTTTTTTTGGCCATTTCTGACCAAAATGTTAAGTTCCCCTTAATAAGTGTCTTTCAGTTTTACTCACCCGACTGTATGACTGTATATTACATTACTGTGACATCTAGTTAAACATCAACCCCAAAATTACAGAATAGCTTAATTATGGAAAATGTGACTCTTCAATATTTATTTAGATATTGAAATGAATAATGATTTTCTTGTGTAATTAGAAAATTACAAATAAATTATTGGTAACTATTAAGTGTATAAATGAAGCAAAATGGAAAACTACAATCTGTTATGCTAAGAAAAAATATGCATTCTGTAGCCATGGAAAATACTACATGGAAGAGATCTTCATATCATTTTGTAGAAAACAATTTTTCTGAGAATCTAAAAAGTAAGGCATGAGGTGGGGTACCAGAAATACACAAATTGTTTAGGGAAAGCATATAAACATTATGACAGTAATAAGCCTTATCACATGACCAGACATTCTACTCTGGAGCAACCCTGACTAGAAGCCATACACCAATGAACAGGATATTCTTCCTGGGAAATTTCCACTCTTGCCTCACAGGGAGGGTAATTCAAACAAATAAAGTAGGATCAAGCAGCCCCGACATGTGAAACATTCTGACCCCACTGGATTGTGTTGTAGGAAAAGTAGGTAAAAATATGTCTACAGGCTTCTTATTAAAATTTTTGGGGCCATATGACAATTTTTAGAGTAGACAATAATACTTTGAAAGTCACCAATGCCTTTACTGATTTTTATTTCACTTTCAGTTAAACCTTTCTTGGTAACTGTACAGTTTTGGTAATCACATGGTTGAGGAGTAACTTTCAAATATTTTATCAGCAGAATATTTTTGAGTCAATATTTCCCAAAACAAAGAAAAGCTACACTAGTTGAATTAAAACTGGGAAGTCAACAACCCTGACTACTCAGCATTCCTTTCATTCCCTACAGCAGAGACTCATTAGCGACTTCTATGGAGCCCAGAGCTGAGTGGGGCTCAGTTTGGAAACCACTCATCTGAAAAATCTCTAGAGGACACAATTTAATGAATTATGATAATGGTCATTTGAAACTGGCAGCTTGAAGAGCAATATTATCAGCTACTCATTTAAATCAATGGGGAGAACATGGTATAGTGCAACATTTAAAAACTGCAGTTCATAATCAGCCTACACATTTTTAGATATATGCTACAATATTTACAAAAGCTGTTGTGTATTTACAAATCCATGATCTGGCTCAAAATGGAAAATCCTGCAATTCTGAACCCACAATACTGCAATGCAATAATTAACTGAATTTAAGCTTATCTGTGCTTATGAACTGGGCACACACTCTTGATTTGCCAAATTTTTGTCTTCTATTTTTATACACACTTTATGATTCACTGATTTACCCTTATCTGACTGCTTGTATGAGTTTGCAACCAGTGTGAAAGAAAGATTAAGGATACCTAAGTCAGAAATATTTGATTCCTGTTATAATACACAGAATCTTGGGCAAGTTAATAATGTTGGACCCCTAATCTGTACAATGAGGGTAAAACAAAACAAGTTTCACACATTTGAGTGAGAATTAAACGTGTTAACAAATCATATTTATCAGGTAAAAATGGAGATGCTCACTTCATTAACAAAGCAGATATTACTTACTTAACATGAATATTTACTAATGTAAATTAAGCATTAAAAAGCAAATCAAACCTGTTATAATTATATACTTATTCACCACTTTTTATTATTCACTCCCTAGACATAGTCCCTTGGAAATTTTTACAAACAACATAAAATTCATGAGGAAAAGCATATGATGTACTCTTCAGTTTGGGTAAATGAAGCTGGTGCCTCATGCAATTACACCAATATTGATAGGTTCGTTGAGCTACTGACTAGTGAAGCAGTGCCGTGCCCAGAAACATGTTCTTGATTTGAGGTTATGCTAATCTTGTAACCTTGACTAAAGAACTTTTAAATTGAAAATCAGATAACTTATAAGATGGAATTAACTACTTTAAGTACTCAACAGCCAATTAACTTAGTGACCTTCTAGGCATGACATGGGGAGATTGTGTAAAAGAATGCAGATAGAAAAGAGTATTGGACTAGTGCCCTTTAGGATTAAAGAAAATTCTAATGGTGGGTGTAATGAAGAGAATTTCATTAGCAGATAATTCATGCATTTGATATATACAAATTAATTGACTGGAATAATTACTTGGCTCTGAATTTTTTCTTTTAACTTTATTCCCTTATTTTACATGGCTTTTAAAAGCACAGTTATTGCTAAGATTCTCTGAATCTTAGCAACTGTAAAATTCTAGTTTACATTATTTGGCAGGGGGATTAGTTAGGCATTGTAGGTAATACACAAAAGGTATAGCCCAAGAACCATTTATTGTATGTTAAATTGTTTTAATCTTATAGTTGACTTATAACTAAAAACTGTAATCACATTTGTTGTATTTAGGCTTATTAAGAAATTCAAAAATATCAAATAGACATCTATTATGTAGCAGGCACTGTTCCACATGCTGGGATACAGTAAACAAAACACACATGAAATACTGACATCTTGAAGAAGAGATACAAGTTGAGAAGAGAGTTAATAAATAAATAAGTAAGACATGTAGTATTTTAGATAACAAGTACTATGGCAAGCAAATAAGTTACAAAGGTATAGGGTTTACTGGTTTACTGGCTTCTTAGCAGAGAGGGGCTTAAATCTTAACTAGAGTATTATGCTTTGTGGAGAAGATGACATAAAGGCAATGACTTGGATGTTGTCAGGGAGCAAACTGTGTGTATATCTGTTTGAAAAAAAACAAACAGGTTAGATTAAAAAAACTTGAGATAATCAAAACTCCTGGAATGTTTCAGATACAGGAAAAGATTGAATGTCTGGAAAAGAATGAGGGAGGGTGAGATTAACAGAGACGAAGACCAAGATATAATAAGAGTGCCAATCACATAGGAAATTTTAGACACTGTAGGACTTTTGGCTTTGATTATGAGATACAAAGCCATTGAACAGAAAATCCATTATGACCTTCCTTGTATTTTAAAAGGATTACTCCACCTCTCCTGTGGGGAATAGTCTGTGACAGAAAAATTTGGAAGCAGAAATATCATCTTGAAGTCTATATGATAGTGGTTGGTGACATGGTGGTAGTGTTAGAAGCAGAGAGAAATAACTGTATTCTGAATAAATTTTGAAAAGAGCCAATAGGAACTAGGCATTGAACATGGAGACTGAGAAAAACAGAGGTATCAAAGGTGATTACAGGTTTTCTATCTTGAACAACTAGATTAGAAAATACAATTGTCAGTTACTAATGAAATGTTCTGATTGTATTAAAATATAGTTTAAAATTTAACTTATGGCTAAATCTAATAAAAATGTAGTGACAAAGACAAATAATGATAAGCTATTCCTTATATTATGATAAAATTAGAAATTTTCTAAGAGTCAAAGAGTAGAATAGACTATAATTCTTCTGATATTTATTCTTGACTGTCTTAAATAAATCCTTGACTTAGTAATTTTGGTAAACCTTAACATGACAGATCTCATTAATAGACTATTTTGACCTCATAAGCTATTTAAAATTTTTTACTTCTATTACATACTTAGTTGGATTGCAGGAAATCAGCTTTCACTTCTGGAGCTAAAACAAAGGCACCAATTCTTCCACCTACCAGATTCATTTAAAAAATCTAATTTAAGGGCGTAAAGGATTGTTTAAGCAAGGTTTCATCTATTCTGCAAATGTGACCAAACTATTTATATAAACTTTTGCTAATTTAGAAATAACCTCAGAGATCTGAATGTAGTTTATAAGAAGAGAAAAGTGAAATAAATCCACAATTTTCCAATGGGGAAAAGACAAAGAAATTTCGTAGTGTTTTATAATTGGACAACGCTTGAAGTGACACAACTTCAAATCTATGAGCTGAAGCACTTTTCTCCTTGCTTCATTCTAACAATCAATGATTAGATTAATGGGGAAAAGCTACCATTTTTAGGATAGTAATTTATTCCAGAGAGCTTGTTTTAAATTCCTCATTCTAAAACAGTAATTGGAGTGAAAAGCACCAACATATTTTATGGTTATAAATGACTTTATAAATTTAAATTTTAGGAAACTACACCTATTCTTTCAAATAACTTTAACAACATTTTTTTACATACCCAGAAAAACCTCATTGAAGATGCAAAATACATGATGCTTAATTTTATGTGCCAACATGCCTGGGCTAAGGTATGTCCAGATAGCTGGTCAAACATTATTTCTGGGTGCTCCTGTGAGTGATTGAGGAAGAGATGAGCATTTGAATTGGTACACTAAGTAAAGATGACCCTCATCAATGTAGGTGAATACCATCCTATTTGTTCTTTCTGTGTCTCCCTCTTTTTCTATTACTTTACATAATAGTATCCAATTTTTCTGACCTTTACTTGAAAAGACCATCTCTCATTGAACTCCCTAGACAAACTTTAGCCAAAACCAAATTACCATGTATATGTGGATCTATTTCTGGACATTTTATTCTGATTAATTTATACATACATACATATATACCTACATACACATTTTTATAATTTTATAATTATATTTATATATTTTTCTTAGACAGATAGTTAAGGCCTGAATAAAACAAAAAGGTGGAGAAATCTTCAATTTATTCTCTACTTGAACTGGAACACTCATTTCCTGCTCTCAGATATCAGAGCCCCTGGTTATGTGGTTTTTGGACTCAGACTGGGACTTACATCATTGTCTCCCTTTAGTACCTACAGTTTGTGTTTGTTTGTTTGTTTGGAGACAGGGTCTCACTATGTTGTCCAAGCTAGATTTCAAGCCCTGGGCTCAAATGATCCTCCTGCCTCAGTCTACCAAGTAGCCTACCAAGTATATATGGAACTGGAACTACACCACAGGCTTTCCTGGGCCTTCAACTCTCAGATACCAGATTATGGAACTTTTCAGAATTCATAATAATTTGAATCAATTCCTCATAATAAATATTTCTATTTATCTGTATACATCCTATTCATTCTGTTTCTGTGGAGAACCTGTTCTAATACATTGGTATGTCAGTTAGGACTATTTCAGTGGAAAGTGACTGAAAACATAAGTCATTTGAGTCTATACAACAATGGTACATTATTGGCTCATATAACTTGGAAGGCCTGGATTCATCAGATATGTCAGTGACTTTCTGGAAAATACAATTTAGTCAGATCATGGGAATGAATCTACCTGAGACATCTTGTTGGAACTCCATTTATAAAGAAAACTCAGGGACCAAAGAAACAAATATTTTAACATGCTTATTGTATTATTCTGTTTTCATGCTGCAATAAAGACATACCCATGACTGGGTAGTTTATAAAGGAAAGAGATTTAATTGACTCACAGTTCTGCAGGCCTGGGGAGGCCTCAGGAAACTTATAACTGTGGCGGAAAGGGAAGCAAACACATCCTTCATATGCTGAAAGAAGTGTAGAGCAAAAGGGAGAAATGCCCCTTTTAAAACCATCATATCTCGTGAGAACTCACTCACTGTCACGACAACAGCATAGGCGAACCACCTGCATGATTTAATCATCTCCTACAAGGTCCCTCTCCTAACATATGGGGATGACAATTTGGATTACAATTCAAGATGAGATTTAGATGGGGACACAGAACCGTACCATACCACTTATGTTTGTAAGAAACTTTATTTTATAGAAGAACTACCTGAATTAAAGACACAGCAGATATTAGGAAAAAAAAAAAAAAAAAAGAAACCCCACAGCTTACCAAAGTTAGTGATAAGTTCTACATAATGGAAAAACATGGCAGTTTTTTCCCCAGTATTATCGTATCTGCAAAAATCATCTCACATCTACAGATATCAGTATTTGAAAGGAAAAAAATAGAGTTATGTTTCATAGGGATTTTGAAACTTAGAGAAAAGGGCTTAAGGCATTATCATTTGGTGACTTATTGATAGACCACGACTGTCTTTTTTGCTTGTGTTTCTTTGCAGTAAACCCATTCCCCTCACCCCCAGACCATGACAGCCATTGGTATACATTCTGCCTGTGTGATATTTTTTTCCAAAATGTCCGATGAATAGAACAAATGAGTAATTATTGTTTTGTATTTCTCTTCTTTCAGTTTTTACACTACTTTTGAGATTCACCCTGTTCTTGCATCTATCAGTAGTTTGTTTCTTCTTTTGAGTATCATTCTATTGTACTGGTGCAACAGTTTGTCAATTTACCAGTTGATGGACATAAGGAATATTTGTGGTTTCTGGTAATTATGAACACACCTTTAATGAAAGGTAATGAATGCACACATGCTTTTATTTCTTTCAGGTAAATACCAAGCAGTGGTATTGTTAGGATATGTAAATGTTGCTTAACTTTATAGGAACTTCAAAACTGTTTTCTAAACTAGCTGCTGTATTTTGCATTCCCTGTGACAACATGAGTGTTCTAGATGCTCATCTACACTTGGTATTGTCAGTGTTGATGATTTTAGCCATTGTAATATGTGTGCAGTGGTACTACATTATGATTTTAATTTACATTTCACCCATGACTAATGAGGGTTCCTCATTAGTGACTCAAGGTTAGTGAAAGAGATTTTCATCTTTCTTGTATTCATTATGGGCATGTTAGTTAGTGAAATGTCTGTTTAAATCTTTTGTCAATTTTATTATTGGGTTATTTGTTTTTTTGACTGAATTCTGATTAGCAGTCCTTTATCAGGAATGAAGCTTGCAAACGCAGTCTATGGCTTGTGTTTTTATTTTCTGAATGGAACATTTGAAAAGAAGAATTTTAAAAATTTTGATGAAGTTTAATTTATTAACTTACTCATTGATGTTTTGGGCTTAATGTGTCCTATGAAATGAATCTATATTTAATTTTAAACTATATTGTTGTCTAGAGGTTTTATTATTTTTGGTCTTACTTTTAGGTCTATGATCTATCTCAAGTTTAGCTTTATATAAGGTAAGGGTTGATGCACTTTCTTGCCTTTCATTCTCTTTCTCTCTATCTCCGTCTTTTACTATCTCTTTTCATAAGAATATCAAATTTTTCCAACTTTTTTCTGGAAAGACTATATCTACCATTGAACTACCTAAATAACTTTAACCAAAATCAAATTAACATGTACATGTGGATCTATTTTGGGACACTCTATTCTAATTAATATGTATTTCTTCTTATGCAATTATTCAAGTGTCTCGATTTATAGTAAGCATTGATATCAGAGAGGAGAAGTCATATTACTTTATTCTTCTCTTTCAAAATTGTTTTGGCTATCTCATGAGCTCTGTGCTTCCAAATAATTTATTTAATTAAACTATCTCATTTTGAGATACTTGTAAATTTACATAAAGTTGTAAGAAATAACATAGATATATCCCATATACTCTTTTCCCAACCTCCACCAATGTTAACATCTTACATAATTCTAGTAAATCTCATAAATAATATATTGACATTGATGAAAATCACCAATCTTATGCTAATTTTTGACTTAGTTACGTGAACTGATACACGTTTTGGTGTGTGTGTGTGTGTGTGTGTGTGTGTGTGTGTGTGTGTGCAGGGTATGTTTGTATTTAGTGCTATGAGATTTTGTCACATACATAAATTGGTATAATCATTACTGCAGCAAGATACAGAAAAGTGTCATAACCCCAAGGATTTCCTTATAAGAAAATGTTATTATTTTACATCAATTTTATATGTAAAGGAAATCTGTGAATATAGAAGAGATAATTTCTATATACTTCTCACTCAGTTTCCTCAATTATTAACATCTTACATCCGTATAGTATATTTTTTGCAGTTAATGAGCCATATTGATAAATTATTACTAACTAAAGCCCATACTTCACACACATTACCTTAGTTTTAATCTGTTCTTTTTTTGTTCCAGGATTCTGTCTAGGATAACACATTACATTTAGTTTTTATGTGGCATTCGTCTTCCCTTAGTTCTGGCAGTCTTTCAGACTTTCTTTGCTTTTGATGATCTTGACTGTTTTGAGGAATTCTGGTCAGGTGTTTTGTAGTATACTTCCCAAATGGGGTTTGACTGATGTGTTTTCTCATAATTGAACTGAGTTTATGGATCTTTAGGAGAAAGATCACAAAGGTTAAATGTCATTTTCATCACAATGTATCAAGAGCAGAAACATGCAATCAACATGACTTGATGTTGATGTTGGCCTTGATCAAATGACTGCTGAGGTAGTGTTTGTCAGGTCTCATTACTGTAAACTTACCTTTCTCTCACTCCTCTTTCATATATATTGTATGCTTTGGAAGAAAATCACTGAGCATCTCATAGCAGTGAGAGAGTGGAGAGTTATGCTCCACTTTCTTGAGGTCAGGGAATCTACATATGAGTGTTTCTGATCCATTTGAGTCTAATATATGAATTATCATACCAAACTCATAGCTAAATATAATTCTCAATACCGATTATTATTCTTTCCTACTCCAATATCTCCCTCTCTCAGTTTAATGACATTGCTTGGGTAGAGAAGCTACAAGCTTAATTTCATCTCTGCCAGCAAAATGAGTCTTTGTTCTCAAAAGATTTTTAATTCTTTTTTTATTATTTGGAACTTAGAAGCATAAGTTTTTTTTTTCAAATCTCCAAACTTCTGTATTGATATACCTCTACTCTTTTCTTTCTGTTTCCAAATGATACACTCCTTTCTTGAACTCATATTTTTTTTCTGATACCTTATTAAATATAACCAGTAATGACCAAAGACATACTTCCATGATTTTCTTTTTGAATCTCTTCTTTTGGAGCCCAAGGGTCCATAAGGATGCTTTCTGCTTTTGAAGTTATTTAATAAGCAACCAATTCATTACTTCCTATGTTAGTTTTGCCAAACTACCACTTGCTCAGTAAGCCAATGTCATACAACTTAATTTTTTTTATTATTGTAGAATCCTACTTCAAAGGACCTGTACCGGCATTCCCCATAGTATGCTAACTGCTGTAGAAACAGCCCCAGATTTCCATGCTTGACACATCAAAAGTTTATCTCTTGCTCACACAGTAGCCCAGTATAAGAGTTCCAACACAGGACAGATGGGTTTAACATATATTGTTAGACATTAATGATTGCGATATGAAGCTTAGAGACTATGAGATTTCAGAATTGACTGCCAGATTTCTGGCTTACCACCTGGATTTCTAGCAATGCCCTTTACTAAGTGAGAAAGCGCAAGAGTTGGATCAGCTTTTAGAGGAGTGAACATGAATAAAGTGTATGCATATTGAATTTAAAGGGTCACTGACATGTTTAAGAATTGTATGTAAAGGCAGTTGCATAAATGACGCAAAAGAGATGTCTGGGTTCAAGATGCCTAAAATTATTTGGCCATGTACTTAACCTAGTAGTGTGCTTCTAGCTGAAGAAGGCAGATGTTTCAGTTTAGTGGGTTTTTTTTGTTTGTTTTTTGTTTTTTGTTTTTGCTAAGGAGGTGACATTGAAAGGATAGAGGGTCAACAAAATATATGGCATTTGTGTTGGGTAATATTCCAAGATGACCCCTAAGACTCCCACTGTTGATATATCTGCGATTAAGTTCCATTCTATGACAACTTTTAAGGTGATGTTCAGTTGTGATTAAGTCTTTAATCAGTTCGACAGAGTTAACAGTAGATTAACCTGAATAAGTCTTGCCTACTCTGTTGGTCCCTATAAAAGGGCCTATAAAAGGGCTTACACCTTTCCAAATTCAGGGATGCTTTCCTGTTCTTCTTGAAAAAGCACACTATTATGAGCGCCATAGGTACAAGGAGTGAATTCTGCTAGTAATAACATGAGCTTGGGAGAGGACCCTGAGCTTCAAATGAGATCAGAGAAGTGATGAATATTTCAACTGCCGCTTTGTGAGAGATAAGCAGAGGAGCTAGGTAAACTATTCCTGGTTTCCTGACTTGTTAACATAAGGATTTAACAATTTCCTTTTCAGGCCCATAAGTGTATGGTTGTTATATAGCCATAGAAAGTAAAAGTAACATTTATAAGTGTTATTAAATGACTAAACTTGTAATTTTAGTGGAATAAAAAGAAAAATGAAAGTAAAATTGCTCACAATATTTAGTTAGAGGGATTGATGTACTTTTCATCAACATAAAGTTGAAGAACAGATACTTGAATACACATAATGAGGACAATGTAGTCGAAATGGTGATATTTTAATGCAATAAATTTCTGCAGTCAACCTGACACCAGTAATTAGAAGAGATTGAAAGAGAAGTTCATTACATATAAAGAACTGAAAAAAAAAATGGCCTAGGTTATTGGATCAGCCATCCACATCTATGTCCAAAGGACCCAATAGTAACAAGGCATTATGGGAAGCAAGAAATGGAGCCTGGTGTTAAAACTCAACTACGCACAAGAGACTAGGAGGTAGATGAATAACAGTGATGACAATAAGGAAGATTGACATTAGGCTGAAAGGAGCAGCAGTTTTTCTGAGAATGTGATCAAGTACTTCTCTGGAAGATTTCTTGTAGAGAAAGAAACCCTGAGTTCCTCGGGAAGTGAGAAAATAATGAACGTTTATTTCATGGAGGTAGTTTTAGATTTGCGTCATCAAATCCAGCCAGATTTCTAAAAAAGCAAAATGACCAAAAGGTGGAGCATGCAGGGAATTTCTATATCATGAAACAAGAGTTTGATAAAACACCGTGACTGAGTTTAGAAGGGAAGGTAGAAGACAATAGGATGGTCCTTCCAGGACGTGTAATAAAATAATATTCATTTGGACACTAAAAAGAAGAAAGTAGGAATATGAGGCATGATGAATTTAAATCTGAAAATGTTGTGGTTGAAAAATATGCACTTCAGTTGTTCAGATTCAACTGAGTAATGTGACCTTCAATAATAAAATATCAGTGATCTACTAGCAAACCAATGCAAATATAGCTCCAAATTGAGAGGGCTTTCTAAGCATCAAAGCAAAAGAAAATAAATCAGAATGTGGAACTGTAAAGTTCAAAATAAAAACTTTATATAAAACTCTCCACAAACACATTTAAAAAGAAAATTTTTAAAAGGACTTGGGAAAAAGATTTACTATTTATATGAGAAGCATAAAGAGCATTTTAATATATTCCAAAAGAAAAAAATCACTGAATGGTAAAAGTAAGCTGAGAGTAGACTAAAAAAATGTCTAGGCCGGGCGTGGTGGCTCACGCCTGTAATCTCAGCACTTTGGGAGGCCGAGGCGGGAGGATCATGAGGTCAGGAGATCAAGACCATCCTGGCTAACACAGTGAAATCCCGTATCTACTAAAAATAGAAAAAAAAAAAAAAAAAAAAAATAGCCAGGCGTGGTGGTGGGCACCTGGAGTCCCAGCTACTGGGGAGGCTGACACAGGAGAATGGCGTGAACCTGGGAGGCAGAGCTTGCAGTGAGCAGAGATCGTGCCACTGCACTCCAGCCTGGGTGACAGAGGGAGACTCCGTCACAAAAAAAAACTAAAAAAACAAAATTTTATTCCCCAAAATACGAAGTATTAAAGTCATAAGAATTCAAATAATTAAAAATTAAACTATTTTTATTTATTTGATAGTAATTTTTAAATGACAATATATAACAATTATATTCGTTATCTATTGTTGCATAAAACATTGCCACAAACATAGCAGCATAAAACAACAGAATTTATTATTTCAAAGTTTCTGTGAGTCAGGACTCACTGTGTTCTCTGCTTGGAGGTTTCTGCTTGCGGTCTCAAAAAAATGAACTGAAGGAGCTGGCTGGCCTGCCTGTATTCCTCATGCGATTTTTGTAAGAGTTTATTTTCTTGCAGCTGTAGGACTAAGGTTTCTGTGTTCAAGTTAGCTGTCCGTTGGAGACCACTTTCATCTCCCAGCGGCTGCCCTCAGTTCCTTGTCATGTGCCTCCTGTGGGCAGTTTACAACATGGCTATTTGCTTTTTTCCGTGCCATCAGGACCTCTTCCCTCTGATTTCTTCTTTCCCTCCAGTCAACTATAACAGAGACTTCTATAACATAATGCAATCACAGGACGGACTATTCCATCACCATTTGTCACATAGCATAACCTGATTAAGGGAGCCACTACCCCGTCATATCCATAGGTTATATTGGTGCTCAGGTGCAGGGGCTATACAAGAGTTATACTCCAGGGGGCAGGATTACTCTGGTCACTCCAGAATTTGCCGACTACAATTACCAGGGAATAGAAAAACAGGAATATTCATTCATGTTTTCTGAGATTATAAATCGATATTTTAAAATGTTTCTGTAAATATATATATATAAATTATTAAATTTAAATATAATTTGATAAATTAATTTTATATTTTAAGACTTTGACTTTTTTCCGAAGAAATAATCTGCTAGGGGGCTCAACAAAGTGCTTTGTGAAATGCTAAATAAGATTTTTTAAAAAGTGTTCAAGGATATGTGATTGATTATATAGATTTTTGATACAATACAGCAATTGAAATATTTTAAATACTTTAAGTATTGGATAATGTTAACTAAAAAAGAAAGCGTTTAAACAACGGGGCCATTAATTATGCAAAGGAAAATGCCAGTGAATGGATCCTCTATTTGGCTGTAATGATTATTTAAATCTTTTTGATTATTTCTAGACTTAAACATTTGTAATGTTATAACTGTTACTGATTTATGCTGTATTAATAAGATAGCTTAGCTGTAACTGCACAAAATAAAATTTATTTTTCCATTTCATACATGTATCCATGCACTCATTATATTTCTAAGCAATTGCAAAAAATATATAATTTATTAATACTTAGAAATTATTTTCATTGAAAAACACCAAGACATTGACCTTTCACATTTGTAACACTTCAGATATTCTATGATTACATAAATTGCCAAAAATATAAATTTTAAGTTTTGGGGTGAATTAAGGGCAAAATTCTTGGTAAAGCATTATTAATACCTCAGAAACAGAGAAAACTCTTAGTATTTCATCTGTTGTGAATTCCTTGATGTCCTCCATTATAAATATTTCTTATAGCAAATAGACTTTTGCATGATATAGATTTGTCATAATAATCATCTTAGTACATACTCGAGAAACACCCTATTGACTAGTATTCAAGTATAAAATTTTTGGAAATTTAAAAAATTATTTTGTTTTTCCATGAGAAATTAATTTACTCTAAATTGATGCTTTCATTTATAACATTTAGCTATAAAAAGCAGCAAATTTGTGCCATTTTGGCCTTGGTGGATTTCTAAAATACTACTAGTACAGAGTGGTATTAATGATAAAGACTTAAAATTTATTTTTAACTCTGGTTATTAGGTATATTTTGGGTTTGTGTTGACCAGATGGATTGTAATACTCATTAAACTGCTGAACAGAAAAAATGGGAATATGTCTTGATGATAATGTTTTGTATCACGCTTAACATCTGCATTTCTAATTTGTCTTAATTATGTACATATACAATTTGGTCAATGTTTTGCATTTCAAAAATCCTTTCTAATTTCAAATGTATCTGATAGTTCATAAGAGCAATTATGTATTTAAATGAGACAATCATTGTCTAAATGGCATATTTCAATTTCCACTGAGATGTGCCAATTAACTAGAATCCACTGTAGACCATAATATCTCCAACAGAGGATTTATGGACTATCAGCTAAACACAGCAGTTTTGAAGCAGCATATCCTAAAGTTTGTTTCTGAAAATGGCTTTCACCAAGGGGATTTGTGCTGAAATGCATAAATTGCACTTAAACTAAAACATATATCATCATTCACTGTGCTTTGTTCACCTTTATACTCCATGTCCTTTTGTTTTCTTCGAGCAAATATAATGGAGTTAGGGTGTTGGAATAATGTTCAATCATCACATTTTAATTTAACATATTAGAACATTGTACTAACTTCTCAAGGTGCCTGAGAAGCAAAGCCAGATGTTGTCTTCACATTCTTAAAACTGCCCAAACCAGTGGTGATTCTGCTTATCCATCTATCTATCCATCATCTGTCTATTTATCTACCCTATGTATAGCAGTTTATGATTAACTGTGACAATAATTTTTATGGGATATTAGAGCTATTGTGTTTCAGATAAGATTGCCCAAGTTTTTTTTTAATCTTAAGATGAGTGCATTGAAATATTTATTTAAACCAGTACAAAATATCAAATTTACAAATTCATAAAGTAAAAAATATTACAAATGTAATGTAAAGGTAGACCATTATTAACTGATATGATTTGGCTGTGTCCTCACCCAAATCTCATCTTAAATTCCCATGTGTTATGGGAGGGACCCAGTGGGAGGTAATCCAATCATGGGGGTAGGTCTTTCCTGTGCCGTTCTCATGATAGTAAGTTTCAGGAGATCTGATGGTTTGAAAAATGGGAGTCTCCCTGCACAAGCTCTCTCTTTGCCTGCCACCATCCACATAAGATGTGACTTTCTCTTCCTTGCCTTCCACCATGATTGTGAGGCCTCCCTGGCCACGTGGAACTGTGAGTCCAGTTAAACCTCTTTCTTTTGTAAATTGCTCAGTCTCGGCTATGTCATTATCAGCAGTGTGAAAACTGACTAGTACACTAACTTATCACATGGCCCTAAGAATTATAATCTATATTTCATTGAGACAATCAATCATGCTTGCTGTATAGATTCATAAGAGGCCTAATGTCAGTTTTTGCCATCATATTTTGGTACATCTTAGTCTCTGTCTTTCCCTCATAAATTTTACTTCTTTTTCTTCTTAGTATGAAACATTTCTATATTTTTGTCTTATTTTTGTAAAGATAACATAGCCAAACATTTCTCATTTAAAATAGTTGCTTTAAAAATCTTTTTAAAAACTTGGTCAAAATGTAAATTAATATAAGCAAATTCTTTAATTGGGACTATACTAATCTTTAATTTTATTGTCATTGCTTCTTTTTTTAATTTTTTACATAATGAAAACTTGCACTAAAAATATCATGTGAAATAGTGATTTATATAAAGAATGCTGTCACGTATAAAAACTGAATTCCAATTTGGAATTTTGTCTTTTTAACATTATATTTCATATTATACTAGCATGACTTTGATAAGTTTAGCCATTGCTCAATATAGCAATTTATGTTTAGTATTATGACCTTATTCTGAAGGATTATAACTGTTAGAGTTGATTTCTGAGTCTCACCTCAAGAATGTCTCATCTATACTCTTAAAGTAAATCCAGGGAGTTTGAATATGAACATTTTAGTGTCACTGATCTAAGAATTATACTTTGAGAAACATTGAGCTATTTCTATGTAGGCATAAAAGAACCCTAAATCTCTAATCATCATTCACATATTTATGAACACAGAATGACATAAAATTAAATTAAGCATTCAATAAAAATGCATCATTTTCAGATGATCTTAATGTTCTTGAACTTCAGAATAAGAAAACATCAGTTCCCTTAAATATTTATCTCACCTGTACTTTTCACTCCAACCTCTCTGTTTGGACCTTCTGTCTGCTTATACATAAGAAGCTACATAGCAAGATGTAACATCTAAGAACATTTCTAAATACAGGCCATGCTATTCGGAAAACTGTTAATGCAAATACACACAGAATGAGAAAGTAACTAAGTAAACTACTACTCTAGAAGTCATGCATTTAAAAGGTGACTACAAACAGCTTCTTTCACAATTAAGCTTAGAACTTTTGAAATACTAATACAAGTTTTGGTGAAAACTAAGCTTTGGATTTTAAGAGTGGACATGCTAACACTTCGCCCTGCTTTTCAAAACCTGAACTTACCTATGCAACTTGTTTTCAAATAAATTCTCTAAAACTTTTATTTTAATTACATCAGTGTACTCTAAAATATTTCTGAACTTTTGGTTCTTTATATGCCTGGAATTTTATATTTAGTCTTTACAAGATAAATCTAAAGTCCTAGCTTAAATTCACCTTCTTTAGGGTATTTTGAGCTGATTTTTCCTCCCTATTTATGCTTTTTCAGGAAGCAAATCTCAGAGATATCTCAGTAGAGAGACATATTATATATGAGATATAATATAATATAGGCCTTTCTATATTATATAGTCTGAGAAGGTTTCCATTATTAACCAAAGACCAATGAGTCAAAAGGAGAACTTTATTTTCTAAAAGCAATCTGTATGTCTCTCTCTCTCCCTTTTTCTGTCCCCCTCCATATTCCTCTCCCTATCCCCTCCATATTCTCCTATTTCCCTCCATAAACCCCTTCCTATTCCTATCTCTATCCCATCTGTGTGTATTAGACCAGAAATTAAGAAACTTGAATTTTCGTACCAGTTTGACAACCTTCTGGAATCCCATACCTTGTTTATCCTTGCTCCTCTATTAGCTCCTCACAGTTGAGTAAATTTAATGCATTCAACCAACAGAGTATGTTCCTTTTTTTTTTTTTCTGGCACATTGGTGGCTAAGGCTGTCTTAACATTCTCCAATGTTCTTTCCTATTAAAAATGAATTATTATTTACCTTAAACCAGTGCTTCTCTAATGTCTAAGATTATCCAGTTGCAAATATGTTTAATGCATATGCATGCACAATGATATGCAATTCAATTTGCCCTTAATTAGATAATTATAGTTTTCTTCTTCTTTTTTTTTTCTTTTTTGGAACAGAGTCTTGCTCTGTTGTCCAGGCTAGAGTGCAGTAGCATGATCTCTGCTCACGACAACCTCCACCTCCCGGGTTCAAGCGATTCTCCCACCTCAGCCTCCCAAATAGCTGGGACTACAGGAGCATGCCACCATGCTTGGCTAATTTTTGTATTTTTAGGAAAGACAGGGTTTCACTATGTGAGCCAGGCTGCTCTTGAACTCCTGACCTCATGATCCACCCACCTCGGCCTCCCAAAGTTTTATTGTTTTATGAAAGTCAGTTAGTGTGTGCTCTAAGTAGTGTAACTAATAGTGGTATAAACATTGTTGTTCTAATTAATTGCCCTAAAAGCAATCTTGATTTTTCCATTTTACTCAGAAGTATGTCTGTATAAGCACATTGCTAGGGTTATTCCACGGTGATGTGAAAATGTCCACAAAATGGTGGGTCCTGATACTGACAATTAGCTTCTTTAGTTTAATAGTGAATCTATGTCTGGCTCTTAGTAAAAAAGGCCTGTAGTGTACTAAGAATTTGCTGTTTTTCTCAGATATAGCAGAACATCTTTTTGATCTTGCTTTCAATATATTTTTTAAACTAATTTTTTATTAGTCAGAGTTTTTCTAAGAAACAGCACAAACAGATTTACTATAAGAAAATGGCTTATGCAATTATGGATGCAAACTCCCAAGATCTGCAGTTCAAAGGTCTGAGAACCTAAAGTGCTTATAGCTTAAGTTCCAGTTTGAGTCCAAAAGGAGGAGAAGATCATGTCCCAGCTTAAAGAGCATCAAGCAGAGACAGCCTATTCTCTCTTGTTAAGCCTTTTTATTTTATTCAGGTCTTCAACAGATTGAATGAGACCCACACACATTGGGGAAGGCAACCTGCACCCTCAGTCTACAAATTCAAATGTTAATCTCCAAGAACACCTTCACAGACACACCCAGAATATTGTCTAACCAAACATAGGGGTGCCCCATGGCCCAGGCAAGATGACACACAAAAGTAACCATCACAAATTTATTTAGAAATTTGAAAAAATGTGTGTATGTAGGTATGTATGTGCGTGTGTGTGTGTGTGTGTTTGATTTATAGCCTACTTGAAATGCTACAGCTTTTAATTAGGAACTTTACTGAATGATTTGTCTATTTTCTCAGTACTCTCACAGGAGTGTGGTCCTTTCTCTGTATTATTAATAGTTTTTAGGACACTAGCGCTTTGATTTAAAATGAATTATACTCTCCTAAGAATAGAACACATATCTTCCATTCTGCCTATAATTTCATGTTCTGCCTGGGCTAGTCAACATTGAAACTCTGAAGCTCAGTCTCCATAGACAGTATAGTTTTGAATATTCAAATGAATAGTATATAAAAACTACCAAAGATTCCTACCTGTATTTCCCTCCTGGAAGAATCTCTAATCATTTTCCAAAAACTCAAATAAAGCTGCTGTAATTTCTAGCCTATAATTACTGGTGAGCCAACTTTAGCTTTTACTTTGTTAGTTCTGTTGGCCTTATATTACTTTAAGAGAGTTGTCTTAATGTTGGCAAGTTAGAAGACAGGATACAAAATGGTAGTGTAGTAGTTTTCATTGGTAAATGTCTTTACTCTTCTTTTGGTAACAGATCAAATGGACTTGACCAAATAAGCAGGCATGTGATTTAAGATAAACTAATCATAGTGTTACTTTTCTGTAACTACAGAGTTAGGATTAAATCTGAGAAGATGATATCAACTAGACAAAGTCATTTGTTAATCAAAAATATTTGGTGAGCTTCTATTATGATACAGCAGATACTGCACTAGACTGATTATAATGGCTAGTAAAAATAAACACAGGGTTTGCTCTCATGGGGCTGAGAGTCTAGTGTCAGGGAAGATACAAGTGAATGAAGATCGAGAGCACATGTGAGGAAGGTTTCATCAAATAAAAGAAGTCTGAGAAGGTTTCCTTTATTAATCAATGAGTCAAAAGGAGAACTTTATTTTCTAAAAGCAATCTGCAGATTGGGAGAGACAGCCTTCAGTGCAAACCAGAGCTGCACTTTGAAGGGGAAGTTGGAGAGTTAGAAATTTTAAAGGCAAAAGCTCAGGGCAAGATGAGTAGTCAGGGGAGTAAGGAGCAGTTTTGATTAGATAGCCTTTAATCCCCAAATTACCAGCCTCTCTAAATTGTCTGGTTCCAGGTTGTCAGTTGGTTGACACCAGGTTGTTTGTTGGTGGTCAGTTTGGGATATTTCCAGCTGCAGTCTATCTTGGCATCAACAACAGGAACTGGTTTGGCTTGATTGGAGAAGGGGCAATAATGTGACACTTTTACAACATCTTTCTGAGAATGCAGAGTACATGACTGCTCCCTCACCTAGTCATGGCCACCTGATTATTTTAACTTTGAGCAACTCAGCCAAAGGAAGGCCATTTTTTCTGTCAGCCAGGGACATAGTTTAACACCATTAAAAATGCCAAGACCAGCTCGGCTGGAGAGATTCTAACCCAGTGGCACTAGAGGAATTAAAGACACACACACAGAAATATAGAGGTGTGACATGGGAAATCAGGGGTCTCACAGCTTTCAGAGCTGACAGCCTCGAACAGAGATTTACCCACGTGTTTATTAACAGCAATCCAGTCATTAGCATTGTTTCTTTAGATATTAGATTAACCAAAATTATCCCTTATGGGAAACGAAGGGATGGGCTGAAATAAAGGAATGTGTTGGGCTAGTTATCTGCAGGAGGAGTATGTCCTTAAGGCACAGATTGCTCATGCTATTGTTTGTGGTTTAAGAACACCTTTAAGTGGTTTTCCACCCTGGGCAGGCCAAGTGTTCCTTGCCCTCATTCTGGTAAACCCACAACCTTCCAGCATGGGCATTATGGCCATCATGAACATGTCACATTGCTGCAGAGATTTTGTTTATGGCCAGTTTTGGGGCCAGTTTATGGCCAGATTTTGGGGGGGGGGGGCTGTTCCCAACATGTCCCCCTTCTTTGATTTGCAAAGCGATAAAAGCAAGGGCAGCTTTGTCACGGTGAGCTACTTCTCGCAGGAGTCAGGATCTGCATCTGCAGACTATACTAAAGAAAAACAACACAGATTAAAAGCACAATCATCATTGAAATCATAGAGCTTCCAAGTGTTTTTATCCATTTCAAAGGATTACTAGCTGTTAATCTGCCTGCAGCTCCTTCAAGCACTCCAGTTCCTGGCATTAAGGTCAAGTGTGCCTGGGATGCTTTAAATATTTGTTCTTTTAATCTTGCAATGTCCAAAAACAAGTTTAGAGAGTGTCCTTCTAAATGCTTTTTTATTCTTTCCCAAATTTTGATCTTATTAAGAGCTATTAATAGTTTCCACAAATCCTTATTTTTAGCTCCTACAACAACCCATATCATTTGAGGTTGAGATGCCACTATACCATCATGGTTCCAGATAATAGGAACTCTTGCCTTACTTCTTATCATGTCTACCATCCGACTGTTTTGTTCAGATCAGCTGAACATAGTGTGGCTGTAGCATGCAGACTGAGAGGTGCAATTCAAGCTAAACATCCCCTTAGGGAACCAATCAATAATGATTCCATAGGAGTTGCTATGCAGCACCTCTATCTGTTCTGCAATGCAATCTTCCTAAACAAGTATGTTGATTTTTTCTGGCCAGGTTCAATTTTGTTTACAAATAGATTCTTGAGAGCAGTATGCCTCAATTATAGGAGTAGATTTATTATGGTAAATACTGAGATCAGAAAGCATGCGTAACTGCATCATAGAGTGATTACATCCAGGCATTATTGCCAGCCAAATTTGATAAATATGCCCAATAAGTATAATTGTTCTCTGTGTCAGCCCTTGTTGAAGGAATCACTCACAGCAGTGGTGATTACCGCTATCACAGCTACCATTAAATTACTCATTGTGACTGGTTGTCCCACTGTCCTCAGGTTTTCTTCCACCATCTATGACAGCTTCTTGATCTGTCCCCAGGTGGGTGGCTGTGTTCGACAGGTGTTTCTCGTGACAGTTGGGGTCCTCCTCACTGTCAGACTTGACATGGCTGCAACCAGGGGGTCCTCGGGATCCTTCCGGAATCTCTTCCTTGGCATCTGGCTCATGATAAGGTTTCAGGTATCTTGATGGTATCCAAATCAGCTGTTGATTTTGACCTGGAGAAACATAAGCATAACCTCTACCCCAAGTTATTATTTTATCGATTCCCCAACTTTTTGTTATAGGATCTCTCCACAAACCAGTTGTTCTGCTTCTGTCTTTGCAGCTGGTTTCTGTAGATGCTGTTCAGCTGCTGATAACATCTGGGCTTTGGGCAGGCTCAAAGAATTTAAAATTGATAACACTAGATTCAATTGTGTATGAGCTGTCCTGTAATCCCCATTTGTCCCCCTTTTTTGTTTTTGTCATCAGTTGTTTATATGTATGAAATAGTAACTGAGCATTTTTAATTAACTGTGTGGAATGAATCACGTATGAAGAATCGGAAATCACATTAATAAGCATATTAAAAATAATTAATACCTCAATTACAGCTACAAGCTCCGCTTTTTGAACTGAAGTATAGGGTATCTGAAAAACTTTACCTTTTGATCCAGAATAAGAAGCTTTACCATTACCAGATCCATCTGTAAAACAATGAAAACGCTTAGCAGGCTGCAGGTTGTTTACTGCAGAAATTATAAATGCAAACCGTTCACAGTCTTGCTCAGCTAAAAGAAACAGTCTTTTAAATCTATGACTATTAAAGGCCAATTTTTTGGAATTATAGCAGGAGAAAGAAATCCTGGCTATAACGCTCCCATAGGTTGTATAACTGAATTGATGGCTCTTAAGTCAGTTAACATTCTCCATTTACTTGATTTTTTCTTAATTACAAAAACTGGAGAATTCCATGGGTAAAATGTTGGAGCTATGTGCCCATTTTCTAATTGTTCAGTAACTAATTTCTCTAAAGCCTCCAGTTTCTCTTTACTTAGTGGTCATTGTTCTATCCAAATTGGCTTATCTGTTAACCATTTTAAAGGTGTAGGTTCTGGAGGCTTAACAGTGGCCGCCATCAAAAATTATATCCTAATCTTTGGTGGGAACTTTGTCTTTCTGCTTAAAGCGGTTTTTTCAAACCTTGCAAATTTTTTTCTAGTCCCATGCCAGGGACATACTCCATTTTGTGCATTGTATGTTGACTTTGAGGGTTATATAATTGTTCTGGAATTAGAACTTGTGCTCCCCATTGTTGTAATAAATCTCTCCCCCATAAATTTATAGGTACAGAAGTTATAATTGGTTGAATAGTCCCATGTTGTCCATCGGGCCCTTCACAATGCGAAATATAACTACTTTGATATACTTCAGGGGCTTTACCAACTCCAACTATGTTAAATTGAGCAGGTTGAATTGGCCACTTGGACAGCCAGTGCTGTAGAGAAATGATTGACATGTCCACTCCTGTATCTACCAAAACTTTAAATTTCTTTCCCTGAAGAGTTATTTCACAGGTAGGATGTTTATCAGTAATTTGATTTACCCAATAAGCTGCTTTGCCTTGTTTATTCGTGCTTCCAAATCCTCCTGTTCTTTTAATTTCACTTTTTCCCATTCCCACATATGGCACAAACGGGAGCTGTGCTATGCACTCTCCTGGCTCTACTTTCCAGGGAACAGAAGTAGACATAACAATTTGAATTTCTTCATTGTAATCTGAATCAATGACTCCTATATATATTTGTACCCCTTTTAAATTTAAACTAGACCTTCCTAGAAGTAATCTTATCTTCCTGCTGGCAAGGGTCCACAGATTCCTGCTGGGACCTTTTGTGGGGGTTCCCCAGGCAGAAGGCTCACAGTTTTGTGCAGCATAAATCTACTGCGGCACTACCGACTGTGGCGGGGGACAGACATTGTACAGCGGTGAGGGAATGGCCTGAGCTGGAAATGCCCAGGTTTGGAACGGGGCCCAGGATGGGCCCCTCATGACGTTTCCCAAAATTGGGTTCCTATCTTTATCAAACTTAGAGTGACACTGATTAGCCCAATGTTTTCCTTTTCTACATTTTGGACATTTTTCAGGCTCAGCTGTTTTCTTTTTTCCCGTATCTGGCAGCCTGACTTGCTGATTTTTTCCTACATTATTTTTTAGTGTGACCATGCTTCCCACAGTTAAAACAAGCTCCAGGAAATGGAGTATTTCTTTTATCCACTCTCAGTCCTGCCATTGCCTGTGCTAGCAGATTAGCCTTATAGAGATTACCTCTGATACCATCACAGGCCTTGATATAATAAACTAAATGTGCTTTCCCTCTGATAGGTCACACAGCAGCCTGGCAATAAGGATTAGCATTGTCCAAAGCTAAAAACTGCAACACTATATCCTGAGCAGCCGAAAATACAATCATCTTTTTAAGAGACTCCTGTAAGCAAGCTATAAAATCCACGTATGGTTCCTTTGGTCCCTGTTTTATAGCACTAAAGGAAGAGTATGGTTCTCCACATGAAGTGATTTTTTTCCCAAGCTCTAATGCACACTCCTCTAAGCTGTTCTATGGCATCATCCTGCATGACCAGTTGTGCATCTAAACCAGCCGAGCTGCCAACCCCCTAAAAGTTAGTCTGCAGTTATATTAATTTGAGGTTGGGCCTGGGCATTGAGAGCAGCTTGAATGGAAGCTTCATCTGCCCATCAAGTTTTAAATTGTAAGAACTGAGCAGGAGTTAGACAAGCTTGAGTAAGAGCATCCCAGTCAGTAGGAATCATCCGACTGGAAATGGCAACATTCTTTAACAGTCCCATTAGAAAAGGAGAACCTGGTCCATACTGATTTATAGCTTATTTAAATTTTTTGAGTAATTTAAAATAAAAGACTGAAATGTAGCTATAATATTTCCCTGTTGATCTGGGGGGTGTATTCTAATAGGGAACTGCTGAGCCTCTAAATCACCCTCTCATCTAGCTTGCTGAATTCCTGCCTGAATAAACCTAAGAGTGGTCGCTCAAGGCACTGCTTGAACAGTCACCGGGGTAACTAGTTTTCGCCCAGTGTCCTCCAGAAAAGAAAGATCTGGAGGGTCTTTTTCTTCAAAATAATAATGAGGGCGTCTAGAAGGGTAGGGATGAACCTCTCCCTCCTTTGCCGCTTTAGCTTTGGCTGGCAAATAAACCTGCTCTGTAACCTCTTCTGTTACTTCATTATACTCTCCTTCCTCCTCATTATCAGTGTGAGAAAGTTCCAAGGTGGAACGAACCAGACCCCATGTTTGTCCCATTGTTACCCTGATGCTTCTGAGCTCCCCTTCTTACTCACCATGGGGATTGCTTGAGTACTCAGGTGTCCTCCAGCTTAGTTCCACATTCTCCAACCATCACTCCGGTGACTCTTTGACCTGGATTTGAGCCCCCATTATGGACACCACTTGCCGAGACCAGCTTGGTCAGCGAGATCCTAACCCAGCAGCGTTAGAGGAATTAAAGACACACACACAGAAATATAGAGGTGTGAAGTGGGAAATCAGGGGTGTCGTCTCACAGCCTTCAGAGCTGAGAGCCTTGAACAGAGATTTACCCATGTATTTATTAACAGCAAACCAGTCATTAGCATTGTTTTTATAGATGTTAGATTAACTAAAAGTATCCCTTATGGGAAACAAAGGGATTGGCTGAAATAAAGGGATGGGTTGGGCTAGTTATCTGCAGCAGGAGCATGTTCCTAAGGCACAAATCACTCATGCTATTGTTTGTGGTTTAAGAAGATCTTTAAGTGGTTTTCCACCCTGGGTGCGCCAGGTGTTCCTTGCCCTCTTTCCGGTAAATCCACAGCCTTCCAGGGTGGGTGTTATGGCCATCATGAACATGTCACATTGCTGCAGAGATTTTGTTTATGGCCAGTTTAGGGGCCAGTTTATGGCCAGATTTGGGGAGGCCTCTTCCCGACAAAAAATATTATCAGTAAGATAAACAGAATAATGCTCCTCCAAAATGCTCATGCCTTAATCCCCATCACCTGTGAATATGGTATCTTACATGGCAAAAGGGACATTACAGATGTGGTTAAGGTAAGGACTTTGAGATGAGGGGATTATCCTGGATCACCCCAGTGTGTCCAATATAATGACAAGAATCTTCATAAGAGGAGCCAGGAAAATCTGATTCAGAAAAGGCAAGATGATGATAGAAGCAAAGAGAGAGAAAGAGAGAGATTTGAAGATGCTAGCTTTGGAGATGGAGAAGGGCCATCAGCCAAGGAATCCAGGCAGCCTCTAGAAGGTAGAAAAGCTAACAAAATGGATTCCTACTGACAGCCTCTAGAAGAAACCAGCCTTGCCAATATCTTGAAACTAATTTTGACTTCTGTCTTCCAGAACAGATAATAAAAGTGTGTCATTTTATTGCAGCATCAACATTTAACAAGATCTTAAAAATGGGTCAGAATTCACTTGGCAAAGAGAAGAGCAAAGAGGATCCTATGCAGAGTAAAAAAAAAATCCTTTGGTAAGAGGCAGTACCCACTTAAGAAGCAATGGGAGAAAAAAGAAACACAGTTCTTTTGTGGACAAAGGGGAAGAGAAGAGAAACATTCCAAAAGAAAATGGAAAGGGAGAGAGTGGGCATGAAGCAAAGGGCTCTGCAGGCCACGTTCAGGATTCTAGGAAACCATGGATACATTTTTATTAGAAGACTGTGTGAGTGGGACATGACAGACATGAACTTTTGAACCTATTTCTCTAACTTCACTCTAGAGAATGATTAGTGTTTCTGTTGGGTGTGGGGAGATTTATGGAATTACTTAAAGTCTGGAGAATGATTTAGATATGGATGTGAGTGGAGGACTGCTTCATATTGAACATTTAGGAACTATTGTAAAAATGCAAGCAAGAGATGGAAGAAATTGACCTAAATGGAAATGTTGAAACTACCTGGAGGTTGATATATCTGAGAGATATTTGGAAAATGAAATTGACAGGGCATGTGGGTGAGGAATGTTTTATTACATTATTTCCAGAAATGTTACAGGATATGTGTCAAAACTGAGAAGGTTCTGAAAGAATCCTGTGGGCGTGGAGAAAGATTGCTAGCAGTTGGAAAGAACTTAATAGCAATGCAGAAACAAGAGGACAAGAGGAGGGGGGAGATGGGAGGGGAATTCGACAAAGAAACAGAGATAGGTTGTTTAGAACCCTGAATCCAGAGGTCTCTGGGTCAATTTCAACCTTGGCACTTTTCATGTTTTGGTTAGATGAGTTCAAAATGTTCCCCTTATTTTTATTTTTTAATTAGTCTTCTAGGAGTAGCTCTTGACAAACACAAATGCAGTATAGACTTGAAACACAAGTTTCAAATGTAAACGTTAAACAGATAGGCATCATCTCCTATTGTCTACTAAGATCTATGCCTAGCTTCCTAAAGATTATAAAGAGATGATTTAACCACCAGCCACCTCCCTCCCACACACTTAGGAGTTTCACATGTGGCAATTAATGGGCAGTTAATACTAACTCTCTGAAGAAGCTGCCCCGCCTGTACAAGTACTGAAGTGCTTGAGATCCACCCTGCTGAGTCCTGCCACTAGACACTTTTCTCAGTTTCCATTGATTCATAGGAATTGATGCAATTCCACTACAAGTTTTTGAATTCAAGTGTTTTTGGTGTTATCTTCCTTATTATAAACAATTACTGTCTTCATTATTATAGACAAATATCCAAACTTCCATTGAGTTAAATCTTATGTTGAATTGTAATCCTTAATGCTGGTGGTGGGGCCTAGTGGGATGTAACTGGGTCATGGCAGCAGATCCCTCATGGCTTAGTGCTTTCTTCACAAGAGTGAGTGAGTTCTTATGAGATCCAGTTGTTTAAAAGTGTGTGGCACCTCCTGACACACTGTTTTTCTCTCTCATGCTCCTGCTTCTATTTTGTGAGATGTCTTCTCCTCTTTCACCTTCTACCATGATTTTAGGCTTCCTGAGGCCTTTGCAGAAGCAGATGCTGGAGCTATGCTTCCTGTATAGCCTACATAATCATGATCCAATTAAACCTGTTTTCTTATAAATTAGTTAGTCTCAAGTATTCCTTTATAACAGTGCAAGAATGGCCTGATATAAAAAATTTTTACCAGGAGTTTGGTATTGTTATAAAGCTGTCTGAAAATGTGGAAACAACTTTGGAAGTGGATAATGAGCAGAGGTCAGAAGAGTTTGGAGGGCTCAGAAGAAGAGAGGAAGATGAGAGAAAATTTGAAACTTCTTAGAGATTTGTTAATTGGTTGTGACCAAAGTGCTGATAGAAATATGAACAGTAAAGACCAGGCTGATGAGGTCTCAGATGAAAATGAGAAACATATTGGGAACTGGAGCTCTTCTTCTGAGAGCTTAGCAAAGAACTTGGCTGCACTGTATTCCTGCCATAGGGATCTCTGGAAATTTGAACATTATAGTGATGAATTAGGATACCTGGCAAAAGAAATTTCTAAGCGGCAAAGTGTTCAATATGTGGCCTGGCTGCTTCTAATAGCCTAACTCAGATGTGGAAGCAAATGAATAACTTAGAGTTGAAATTTATATTTAAACAGTAAGCAGAGCATAAAAATTTGGGAAATTTGCAGTCTGGTCTTGTGGCAGAGAAGGAGAAAGCTTCTTCTGGTCAGGAATTCAAGGAGGCTGTGCAGCAAAAAATGGGCTAGAAATATTTGCATAACTAAAAAGGAACCAAGTGCTAATAGCCAAGAAAATAGGGAAATGGCCTCAAAGGCATTTCAGAGACCTTCTTGGCAGCCCCTCCCATCACAGATCTTGAGGCTTAGGAGGACTGATTGGTTTCATGGGCCAGGACCAGGGCCCTGCTGTCCTGTGCAGCATCAAGACAATGGTCTCCACATCCTAGCCAATCCAGCTCCAACTGTGGATCAAAGAGGCCCAGGTACAACTCATGCTGCCACATTCCTCCATGAGGAAGCCTGCCGTATGTCTTGGAGGCTTCCATGTGGTGTTAAGCTTGTAGACAGAATGCAAGAATGAGGAATACTTGAAAGAGTCTACCTAGATTTCAAAAGATGTATGAGGAAGACTGGGTGGCAAGGCAGAAATGTGCTGCAGGGACAGATCCCTCACAAAGAATCTCTACTAGGGCAGCACCATGGGGAAATGTGGGGTTGGAGATCCCACAGAGTCCACAATGGGGAATTGTCTAGTGGAGCTGTGAGAAAAGAGCCACCATCCTCCAGACCCCAGAATGGTAGACCCACCAGCAGCTTCCACCCTGTGCCTGAAAGAGCTGCAGGCATTCAACTCCAACCTGTGAGAACAGCCCTGGGGGATGAACCCTGTAAACCAACAGAGGCGGAGCTTACCATTGCCTTGACAATTCACCCCTTGCAGCAGTGTCTTGGGATGTAGGGCTTAGAGTTAAAGGAGATTATTTTGGAGCTTTAAGATTTAATGGCTGCCCTGCTAGTTTTTGAATTTGCATGGGGTCTGTAGCCCCTTTATTTTGGCTGGTTTCTCCCTTTTGGAGTGGCAATGTTTACCCAATACCTACACCTCATTGTATCTTGGAAGTAAATAACTTGTTTTTGACCTTACAGGCTCACAGGTGGAAGGGGCGTGCCTTGTCTCAGGTAAGACTTTGGACTTTGGACTTTTGAGTCGTTGCTGAAACAAGTTAAAACTTTGGGGAATTATTGAGAAGGCATAACTATATTTTGCAATGTGAGAAGGGTATTAGGAGGTCCCAGGGCAAAATGATATAATTTGGATATTTGTCCCTGCCTAAATGCCCAACTCTCGTATTGAAATGTAATACCCAATGCTGGTGATGGGGCCTGGTGGAGAGGGTAGAGATCACTGTGATGGGTTCCACATGGTTTAGTGCTGTATTGACGATAGTGAGTGAGTTGTCATGAGATCTGGTCATTTAAAAGTGTGTGGAACTTCCCCACCCAATCTCTCTCTCTCTTTTTCCCACTCCTGTTATGTGAGGAGATTCAACTTCTGCTGTAATTATAAGCTTCCTAAGTCCTCCCCAGAAACAGACACTGCTGCCAGGCTTTCTCTGCAGCCTGCAGAACTGAGAGCCAATTAAACCTCTTTTCTTATATATTACCCAGTCTGAGGTATTTTTTATAGCAATGCAAGAATGGTCTAATAAAATTATTAAATTCAAGTATATAGAATGTAAGTTACATAGATTTTTTTTCTGTCATCCGTTAGAGAATTTTGTGGGTATAAATAGCTTTTTAGGCTCCTGTAATCTAATATGAGAGCAAATGTTAAGAACAAGAAAGAGCATGCAAAGTGTCTACTTTTTATTTTAGTAGAAACTCTGTAGAGGTCATAGAACTTGAAGTTCATAAAGTAATGCTTAATAATTTGACTATAGTTTTCAAAAACACAGCTTTTAGTTTATTAGAAACATCATCCAAAGCCCTTAATCCCAAAATTAACCACTGATAATGTTTGATGTATATACTTTAGATTGTATCATAATGCACATTTCATTATTTTTACCTACAAAACTTCATACATGTATATTGGTATAAACTTTTCCTTTTACTTAGTTACATATATTAAGTAGTGCCTACTTCATCGAGCTACCTTATTGTATTATTTTATAACTTGTGATTTTTGTAATAATTTTTGGATAATATACATTCATGTGGAAATACACATTCAATGTTGAAAGAATGGAATATCTTGATTGTCAAAATTCTATCATAAGAGATAATCACTGTTAACATTTGATATATATCCTTATGGATATGTTAATACTTTATTGTATAAACGTTAACATATCCATAAGGATATATATGAAATGTATTGCAAATGTATAGCAAAATTTAGGTTATATTGCATATAGTATTTTATATTTTTTAACTCACATAGTATTATAGCCTAAATATATTTTTATACCAACAAATGTATATTAACAGCTTTATTTTTATGATTAAGAATTCATTTTCAAGAGTGCTATAATTTATTCAACCAATTTCCTGTTAGTAATCTTTTCTATTGCTGTAAATGTTTTAATATATTGAAACAGTGCTATAAAGAGCATCCTGGTAACTATGTCTGTGCTTAAATTCACATAACTGTAAATTCCGGATCAAATTTTGCAAGAAAATTATGTTTGGCTTTGATATCAAATTTTATGTTGAAAAACAATAATAGTCTCTCCTCTTCTTCCATTCCTCTTATGTGTTTGGTTTAGAGGATTTTATACAGCTTTTCTTAATTGTTTTTTTCTCATTATAATACCCAAATGACTCTTAAAAGTTACATCTTCATCTGAAGCTGATTTCAACATTGAAAATGACATTGAAACAGTTTTAGACTCCAGAGTGCCATTTAAATGTCACTAGGTTTGTATTTTCTAAACATTGACTTAAAAGGATTAATAGTGCTTTTTTAAAAAAAAAATCTAGTGTTGCTTTTTTCACCAAGTGCATGTACAAAAGTAAATTTTATAACAAAATCAATTTAAGCATCATTCTTCTAATTTAGTAACTTCAGTAACTTAACAATAGAACAATATTTATTTTTCTCTTTAGCCTAAGATTTTATGCTATCTTATTACTTGACAATATTTAATGTATAAAATAAGAATACTTTTAGTGCCTCAAAATTGTGATTGCAAATTATTTATATCAAAAACACTTTCTATCTAATTATTGTTTTTAAGTTATTTATGTATGTATGTATGTATTTATTTTTTAGAGAATGAGTCTCACTTAGTCACCCAGGCTGAAATATAGTGCCATGATCAGAGATCACTGCAACCTCGCACTCCTGGGCTAAAGGGATCCTCCTGCCTCATCCTCCGGAGTTGCTGGGACTACACACACGTGCCAGCACACCTGGATAATTTTCAAATTTTTGTAGAGGCAGGGCTTTGCTATGTTGACTGGGCTAGTCTCAAATCTCAGGTGGTCTTCTCACCTCAGCCTCCCGAAGTGTTGGGATTATTACAGGTGTGAGCTAATTCTCCCAGCCTCATTTATTTATTTATTTATTTATTTATTTATTTACTTACTTACTTACATGCTCCTAGTACAATATTGTGTGTTTGTGTGTGTGTGTGTGTGTGTGGAGGGGGACAGAGAGAGAGAGATTCACTACCATTTCTACCATTTAAAGTAGGTTGTGACATAGACTGCAAAACATTCCTCAATAACCACAATCCTCATAAATCGTCTCCTTCATAATAATAGCACACTGACCTGAACATACAGTCGCTCTGAATAAAGATTGTATTTTCTAGCTTCTTTTTCAGGACATGATCACAAGTTTAAAATGTGACAAAAGAAATGTCCATGGAAGCTGTGAGTGTAAACTCTAGGAAGCGTCTTTAAAGGCAAGAGCGTACTTTTCTTCTGTTTTGTGTTCCTGTCAACATCAATAGGAATTTTAGTAAATGGAGCTAGAGAAGCCATTTCAGGCCACCTGGGGATGGAGAGGGCACACAAGGGAGAAATGACACCGAAAATACCTAAGTCCCTGACAATGTAGAGCAACATATGGGCTCTGAACTATTCACTCAGGCTTTTACATAGAAGAAAAGTAAACATCTATATTGGGTTTTCTGTCACAGTGTAAACAAAATCTACCTATGTATAGGGGAAATACAAAACAACTATTTGTAATGCCTAAATTAGCCATCACTTTTTATCATTTTTAAGAGATATATGTGAAATATATACATAAATACATATGTGTGTTTATATATAATGTTATTACTTAAAATAGAAATTATATAGATAAATAACCGTGAAATTTTCAAATCATTGATGTTCTAAATATAAGATATAATGATGTAATATAAAGTTTGGTATAATATGACTACAGGACGCCATAAAACTTTAAGGAAATATATTTTTAATCTATGTTATCATTTTAATATTTTAAACTATTGCATAAATGTGACTGCTGGCCATAAATGAAATTGTTTTCTTTAGACATAAGGATAGGCTTTTTTATCCAGAGCATAAAAATGCTCTAGTTTTTTTCATTTTCTTTATGCAGAGATAATATTCAAAAGATTAAAATAAAAATATAGATGTAAATCTACCAGATTTTAAAATTCTCCTTCAGTTTCTGAAGGGGGCTTTTAAGAACTGACAGGGGAGATGCTGTAGAAATCTTTTGAAACATAAGCATTCAGTTTTGTTCTATGTTCTGAAGCAGAAATCTTGCTATAAAAGAATTTCTAATTTACCCCAGCGGACATGTTAGTGAATGTGGAATAAAGCACTTTCTTACCTTCTACTATTTACTTTGTTATTGCCTATTAAAAATCATTCACTGCTATAATTCCTGTGAATGAGACAGCATTCTCTATGTTACTAGAAAACTTTCAAGGGCAAGTCAATATATTTAAAATGGAGCTTTGCTGAGAGTTTGGCTTTCTGCAAAGTTAAACCTTCTAATTGTCTCATTCATTTGATAGAGAATAGTAATGAGCTTGGCTGGAAAATTAGGATTCTATAAAACTGCAAACGCAATGGAATTCTAGCCTTGATGATGAAATCATTGCTTATTTCTAAATAAGTGTGTATCCACAACATGGCTATTCTTTCCATTTTGATTAGTGACTGAAAATACCTATTGTCAAAGTTTGCCAAACTCATTGCTTAGCTCCCTCAACTTTAGTAAGATGAAGATACTTGTCAAAATTTTCACTCTCATACTTAAAGATGAAACTGTTTTAATGGTAGTTAGTTCAGGGTCAAATTTAAAAAAATATTTTATTACTCCCACTCTTGGATACCACAGTCCTGTCTTGGGTTCTAAGTATTTAGTTTCTCAGTATTCTTTCTTAGTCTTTACTGCCTTATTTCTCAGATAAGCCCTTATTTACTTACACATGTTTTTCCTGATAGTATCTTTAATCCTTAGATGGATTCTCTCTTTTCTTTTTTTTGGTCTCTAATTTGCATGAATTCCAGTAAGCTTGATTCTTTCTTTCCAGTCAATCCCTGGTGTTAGTGTTCCCTTACTGGACCATTACCATTCAAGTCTTTGAAGTGGACTCAAGGATATGGCCAGGCACGGTGGCTCACGCCTGTAATCCCAGCACTTTGGGAGGCCTAGGTGGGTGGATCACCCAAGATCAGGAGTTCGAGGCCAGCCTGGCCAACATGGCGAAACCCCGTCTCTACTAAAAATACAAAAACTTAGCCGGGTGTGGTGGCACGTACTTTGTAGTCCCAGCTACTCAGGAGCCTGAGGCAGGAGAATCTCTTGAGCTCAAGAGGTGGAGGCTGAAGTGAGCCGAGATCGCGCCACAGCACTCCAGCCTGGGCGACAGAGTGAGTGAGAATCCGTGTAAACAAACAAACAAACAACAACAAAAACAAAGCAAACTCAGTGATACTGATAGGTATTCTTTATTTCTTTTAAGTGGGGAATGCTTTTGAAATATTGTTCTACACACTTTCCAAATTTTCTTAGAAAATGTTTTAGTATGCTCTTAAAAATAAGAAATGGTCTCTAATCCATACACTACAAGAATGGATTAAGCTACATGAACAGAGCATCTCTTGCACCTGAAGAGAGGCAGAAATGTGCTAACTATTCTGATAAAAACACCAGTGAGGCTGGGAGCTATGGCTCACGCCTGTAATCCCAGCACTTTGGGAGGCCGAGGCAGGCGGATCACGAGGTGATCCTCGTGATCAAAATACAAAAAATTAGCCGGGCGTGGTGGCGGGCGCCTGTAGTCCCAGCTACTCGGGAGGCTGAGGCAGGAGAATGGCGTGAACCCCAGAGGCGGAGCTTGCAGTGAGCCGAGATCGCGCCACTGCACTCCAGCCTGGGCGACAGAGCGAGACTCTGTCAAAAACGAAACAAAACAAAACAAAAAAAAACAGTGCTTGTATAATAACATACCCTTATGCTGACCACACAAATGACGCCACTTTAAAAACTGATAATACCATGTGCTGCTGAGGATGTGGAGCAATTAGAAGTTTTATACAATTCTGGTGGGAGTGATAGTTGAAACCAATGCTTGGGAGAATTCACGGGCAGTGGATATTAAAGTTGATCCTATGCATAGTGTATGTTCCAGAAATTATACTCCTAGGTATAAACCCAATAAGAATGTGTAGATATCTGCCAAATAACACTTTCAAGAATGCTTATAGCAGCATTACAACACAGTCATTGACTTACAATTGTTTGACTTTATAATAGTGCAAAAGAGATAGGCATTTGGTACCTCCTCAGACATCTATATAAATCCATTGTTATGATAGGTTTATTGAGATATAACTCCATCACACATAGAGGGGCACCTGTATTGCCAATGTCCTCAAACACAGAAACAATCCAAATATTTGACAACAGCATGATTAAAATTAACTTCTGGTACATTTGCACAATGAAATAATGTACAGCATGAAAATGAATGAAATACAGCTATAATGTAATGGCATAATCAATCTCACCAACATAATATTGAAAGAAAGAAGCTAGACAGAAAAGATTGAATTTATGCAGAGTTCAAAAAGAGATACAACTAATGTAGACATTTTTAAATCAGGATAAAGATTCTGAGGAGAAGACAGTGATTGGGAAAAGGCAACAGAGCAGCTTATAGGATATTGGAAATGCTGATTTCCAGGTGTGGGTGATGATTCATGATTATTGTGTTCATTTTGTAGTAATTCATCAATATATTCATTTGTGATTATGAATTTTTCTGTATTACATTTTAATTCTAAAATGTTTATAAAGAAAAATTAAACCAGTGCTCAATGATTTACTCTTATTTAAATATGTTCTAGTGTATAGATTTAAACTCTTCCCCATAAATCTCCAGATATATTTATAATTGGATATAGCCTTAGATTATTCTAGAAACAATTTCATAATACATTTTAGTGGTTTTTGCTAAGCCTGAGAAGTTGGGCTATTTGTGTTAGCATAATTTAAAATAATGAAGAAGCTGTTGAAATAAACTCTCCTGAACTGCAGAATTAAATTTATAGCCTCTATGAAGGAGCACAACTTCTGTATTCATACCTCAGGAATGATCAACTAGGATAGTTAGTATGTTACTGCTGAAGTGCAGCTCATGTTCCTCTTGCTATCTGAGCAATTCAATGGATATTTATTGAGTACCCAACATGTGCAAGTCACTGTCTTAATCTTCCCAGGCAGTACACATAGTAAGACATAATGACTCTTAAGATGTGTAGAGAAAACTAGAAGTTAAATCATAACTCTACTTGATAGATGTAATTTTTAAATAAATTTCTTTCTAGTTTGAAACAGGTTTAAATTGGTGTGGCTTGTGTTAAGGAAAAAAATAATAAAATAAAAATAAAATAAACAACAGCTTTATAACACTGATGAAAGGAAGATTACACTTACATGGCAAGTATAAAAGAAGACACAACAATCAGCATACCCATTCAATTTCTGATGATTTACATTTTTGTTAACTAATTCCAATTACAACTAACAAATAACTTGTATTATGAAACAGAATAAAGAGTTGTGTTGACTAATTGCAGTACTTATGCACCCATATGGATGTGTTCCTCACAATCTTTATCCTAAGAATTCTCACAAATCATCAAAACATTTTGTTCTTCATGCATAGCAAAAAACCTTAGAAAACATCGGCTTAATTAAAACTTTTTTCTATGAAATTGTCTATCCTTAAAGTTATAACCTGAATTAATAAATACAACTGGCTATTATTATTCAATGACCCATAACAACAATTGTTGTTGATTCATGGTCAATATCACATCAACGATGGATAATTTAATAAGAAATGATGCTATCTACAATATCAGGATATTTTTATTGGTTTTCCAAATTCATTTGTAACATCTTTAAAGCTGTTTGAAAAATAAAAAAGTATTTGGGTTATTAGTCCATTTATGTATTGGTTATTATATTTGAAATCAATTAGGAAACATTAATTCATTCATGCTTTTTTTTGAGATAGGGTCTCGCTCTGTTGCCCAGGCTGGGGTGTAGTGACACAATCATGACCCACTGCAGCCTCAATCTCTTGGGCTCAAGCAATCCTCCAACCTATGCCTCCCAAGTAGCTGGGACCTCAGGCACATGCCACATGCCACCATGGCTGGCTAATTTTTGTAGTGTTCTTTTTGTTTTGTTTTGTTTGTTTGTTTGTTTTTGTAGAGATGGAGTTTTGTCATATTGCCCAGGCTGGTCTTCAACTCCTGGGCTCAAGCTGTCCAACCACCTCATCCTCCAAAAGTGCCAGGATTATAGGCATAAACCACCACTCCCAGCCTCACTCATACTTTTAAGGATAAAAAATAATGTCTTCTGATGGACTAAGAATCAGCAAATCTGACTCTTTCAGCCATGTGACCTTAGAAAATTACATAATATTTCTGAATTTAAGTACTCATTTGATAAAGAAAAATGTTGAAATGGAGAAGCTGCAAATTCCACGTATAAATTACTGTAAGCCTGTCCATAAGATATTTGTGAGTTCACATTCAAAGGTTTAGGAGATGCAATAATTTTGAATTTGAACATGTGCTGATTTATATCTTTTTACCAATTTTATTTCATTGGGTCATAGAGAACTGATGCTCTTATTCATTTAAAAATATAACAAATAAAAATGAAGACATTCTACTGTCAGTCTTAATTTTACACTCAAATATCAGTAAACTTCAAAAACCTATTTGTTATCTCTTATGATAATAATACACGGCCAAGGGCGGTGGCTCATGCTTGTAATTCCAGCACTGTGGGAGGCCAAGGCAGGAGGATCACTTTAGGTCAGGATTTCAAGACCAGCCTCACCAATATTGTGAAACCCCATCTCTACTAAAAATACAAATATTAGCCGAGTGTGGTGGCACACACCTGTAATCCCAACTACTCAGGAGGCTGAGGCAAGAGAATTGCTGGAACTCAGGAGGCAGAAGTTGCCATGAGCCGAGATCAGGCCACTGCACTCTAGCCTGGTGACAGAGAGAGAGAGACCCTTCCCGCCCCCCCAAAAAAATAATAATAATGCACACAGGAGGTAATAACATAAAAATGATAATTTAAAAAATGATAATTACATGGGTTTTGTTAAGTTCTTATTTACATAAGATAATTTTAGATTCTCATGTGTTAGATAATAGAGACCATGTAATTAAGAAGACATTCAATTCAATAAAAATGCTGGGATTTTGAAATGAAATTTAATTAACAATTTATAGGGGTCCAGGTAAAATATTTATTTATTAAATATAATAAAATTTTTCAAATGTCTTTATATATCTTGCTATTGTTACTCCAACATCATTTTGTGCTCTAGGAACTTTTCAGTTAAGATGCTTTTTTTTGTCAAGAGTATATGGGCTCCAGAGAGATAATATAAATTAGATTTTGACTAGAAGAATAATAGTGCTGGGAATTCTATAGAATACAAGGAGTCTAAAGTGGGCAGTCACTCTTGCCTTAGCTTATTGTTTCCATGAAGAAATGTGAGCCATGTAATAATGAATGAACACTTTTTTTAAGTGGAATCAGAAATCTGCAGCATTATGATAGAAAAGTAAGCTAATAATTAAAAATATTTATAATAAGAACCACAAACCAAAACCCACTAGGAGTCAAAGAAAATGCATATAGCAAAAATGTTCTTATACCAAAATTAATGTAAACTTGTAAGATAGCACTAAAATTTTCTCTGAAAATATACAACCTAGACAATGAAATAATTAAACAGTCAAAATTTTCTAAGGTGATCAGTAACAGCGTTCAAACCTAAATATGAAACCTATAATCAAAATAAAGTACAATTTCCAGATAGTATTCAAAGGAACTTTGAGTATCTTTCAGCTTTTGGTAAAGAAACATTCAAGTAACATAATTGGGGACATTTATTGGAATTTTATATATTGGCTGTGATTAGAAATGGAATGAAAAAAAGGTAGATTAAGCTTAGAACATTCGGTCTTAGGGAACTCCATAATAAAGCAGATGGAGATTGGGAAAGCATGGATTAGAATGAAATGTCACAAAAGAAGACTTGCTAGAAAGGGATTACGTAATGTAGGCAAATGACTATCAAGAAGAAAAAAGAAGATGACAAATAAGCTTTTGCAACTTCTGTTTGCATAAATCACTCCATTCTTTTTCTCTCATTGCCGGTTGCTCTCATGTTATTGATACTCCACACTCTGTGTTTTCTTAGTATAACAGGGTCACATCCTCAGTTAAATATTTTTCCATTTTGCTCAGATTATTGCACAGGTATTATTATTATTATTATTTAATCAGATGTCCTTAGTTGATAGATTGTATACTGTGACCTTCAACCTCTGCCAGTACATGTACAAATATCATGCCAGCCAGGGTCTAAGATAAAGGAAGTGATAAACTGCAAGGTGAAGAGTAATGCCAAACTACTAACACTACACAGATAAGAGGACAGAGGAGAGTCCACATAGTTGACGGAAAGCCAGCGATCTATTCTCAGGTAAGAATGTGTAAGCTGTAGCTGCCAGAGTTACATGAGGGTCAGAAGTCTGCCAGTTGGTTGGCAGACATCCAAGAAGGTCAATCCCTTGTCAACCATGAGGTATCCAATAGAAATGAAAGGACAGGTGTTGCCTGCTCAGAAGGGAAGCTGTGCCATTCAATCTGAATGACCCAGAGAAATTCTGTTTTTCTATCTGGGAATAAATAACTCTTTGGAGATTTGTTCTTTTCCTGTTCTCTAGACACTTCCTCTTGACAAAAGAGCATTTTTGAAAAATCAGTTGTATTTTGAGCCTATAAAAAGTTATTTCACATTTGCTTGCCTGAAAAGGATCTTCCTTCTCCTTCACTTATGAATTTTAGCTTGGCTAGATATAAAAGTATTGGTTGAAAATTCTATTCTTTAGTTATGCCTCATTTGTAAACGTGTTAAGTGCCTCAATTAAAAGGCACTGAGAGGCAAGTTGGATAAAGAAGCAAGATCCTATACTTATAATGTCTTCAAGAGACCCATATCATAGCCAGTACAAGAGATATAAAAAAAAAAGAGAGAGGAAAAGAGGAAGTCAAACTATCACCTTTTTGCAGACAATATGATTCTATGACTAGAAAACCTCGTAGTCTCTGTCTCAAAACTCCCTGATATGATAAACAGCTTTAGCAGTTTTAGGATACAAAATCAATGTACAAAAATCAGTAGCATTTCTATACACCTTCAACATCCATGCTGAGATCAAAATTAAGAATGTAATTCCATTCACAATAGCCACAAAAAGGATAAAATACCTAGAAATATAGCTAACCAGGGAGGTGAAAGATCTCTACAACAAGAACTACAAATACTGCTCAAGGATATCAGAGATGACACAAACAAATGGAGAAACATTCCATCCTTACAGATAGGAATAGTCAATATTGTTAAAATGGCCACACTGCCCAAAGCAATTTACAGATTCAATGCTATTTGTATGAAACCTCCAATGAGATTCTTCACAGAATTAGAAAAAAAAATTTTCAAAATTCACATGGAACCAAAATAGAATCAAGATAACCAAGGCAATCCTAAGCAAAAAGAACAAAGCAGAAGGCATCATGTTACCTGACTTCAAACTATACTAAAAGGCTACAGAAAACAATACAGCATGGCAGTGGTGCAAAAAACAGACAAATAAACCAATGAAACACAATAGAGAGATCAGAAATAATGCCATACACCTACAATGATCTGATCTTCAAGAAAATTGGCAAAAAAAACAAGCAATGAGGAAAGGATTTCCTATTCAATAAATGTCGTTGGGACAATTGGTGAGCTATCTGCAGAAGATTGAAACTGGACCACTTTATTACACCATATACAAAAATCTACTCAAGATGGATTAAAGACTTAAATGTTAACCTTAAAATGATCAAAAACCCTGGAAGATAACTGTGAAATACCATTGTGAACACAGGAACCCTGCAAAGATTTTATGATGAAGATGACAAAAGCAATTGCAGTGAAAACAAAAATTGACAAATGGTACATAATTAAACTAAATGGTTTCTGCACAACAAAATAAAACTATCAACAGAGTAAACAAACAACATACAGAATGGGAGAAAGTATTTTCAAACTATGCATCCAACAAAGGTCCAATATCCAGAATATATACGGAAGTGAAACAAATTCACAAGCAAAAAACAACTAACGCCATTAAAAAGTTGGCATATGACATAAACAGACATTTTTTAAAAGAAGACATTCATAAGGCTAACAAGCATATGAAAAAAAATGCTCAGCATCACCAATCATTACAGGAATGCAAATCAAAACCACATTGAGATACCATTTCACACCAGTCATATTGGCTCTTCCTAAGAAGTCAAAAAATAACAGATGCTGGCAAGATTGTGGAGAAAAGGGAATGCTTATACACTGCTGGTGGGAATGTAAATTATTTCAGCCATCATGGAAAGCAGTGTGGTGATTCCTCAAAGAACTTAAAACAGAATTACCATTTGACCCAGCAATCTTCTTCTTGGGTATATGCCCAAAGGAATGTAAATTATTCTACCATAAAGACACATGCAAGTGTGATTCATCACAGCACTATCCATAATAGCAAACACATCAACCTAAATGTCCATTAATAGTAGACAGGACAAAGAAAATGTGGTAAACATATACCCTGGAATACTACACAGCTGTAAAAATTAACAAGATCATGTCCTTTCCAGAAACATGGATGGAGTTATCCTAAGCCATCTAACATAGGAACAGAAAACCAAATACCATATGTTTTCACTTATAAGTGGGAGCTAAACATTGAGTACATATGAACACAAAAAGAGGAAAAGCAGACACTGGAGCCTACCTGAGGGTAAGAGTTGGGGAAAGAGAGGGTCAAAAAACTATGCTTATTATCAGGTACTATGCTTATTATCTGGATGATGAAATAATTTGTACACCAAGTCCCCATAACACACAGTTTACCTATGTAACAAACATGCACATGTACCCATGAACCTAAAATAAAAATTTAAAGGAAGCTGTTTAAAGATGATAACATATTAAAATAATTTCCTTTAAAAATGAGGCTGGAAGCTGAAGATAATTTTAAGTATGTACACAAAGGGATTACATAAAAATAACTTTTTAAACTTTCCTAATAAACCAAAATGTTCAGCTTTAAAACAACAAATAAATCAATAACAAAAATCTGCTGGGTATTTAAAATGGAAATGATCCTATTTGACATGAGGGAATGTCTGTATCCCAACTGAGGGATGCATAGATTTCCTTTCATTTGTCATTTTGATAGTCTGTGTGCTGCTGCAATCTCCCCTTAAAAACCCAATCTCTATATTCTTACAGAATTTTCTTTTCCATCTATTATATATTATTGGTATCATCTAGATTTCTTTATTCACTTCCTTTTCTTTTCAAGCCATAAGTTGATATATTTTTCTTTAAATGCAATCAAACAAAAGAAAAAAGGGTCTCTTGACCTCATATCATTCCTACTAATTATCAAGTTTCTTTACCCACTAGAAGTCCAACTTCTGAAAAGAAAAATCTATTTCAGATGTCATCACACTTTTTTAGTAAAGGGCCAGATAGCAACTAATTTTGGCTTTGAAGTCCATACAGTCTCCATTCCAACTACTCAAGTCTTCTGTTGTAATATGAAAACAGCAGCCATAGACATTGTGGAAATGAACAGGCTTGGCTTTGTTCCAACAATAGTTTATTTACAAAAGTCATTGGTAGGATGGTTTTGGCATATGGGCAGTAGATTGTTGATCTTTGTTCTACATACTCACTGACTTTACTTCTTCCTACCAGCAAATACATCTTCATACTTTACTCAGCTTTCACACCATTTAAACTATTTCAATTACATCAACTAAATAAAGTGTATATGGTCTTTTTAAAAGCCAGACCCTCCACTTGATCACTAGATTCCTTCCTCTGCCTTTATCATATAAATGCATCTAATAATTCTCCTTTTCTGTTTATGCAACATCAGTTTTCTAATACCTGTTGGATCATTGGTATCAACATAGCACTATCATTTCTACCATCTTTAGAAATAAACATAAATATTGATGACTTAACTTCCTCTGATGGTTATTGTCCTGTTATTTGATAATCTTGAAACATTTTTCTGAACTCACTGTCTCCAATTCATTTTATTCCATTTTCTTTTAAATCCACTTCAGTCAAGATTTTTCTTCCATCACTACAACCTGAACTGATGTTTGATGTTTCCCTTATACGTTTTCTTTCTTGTTTCATGCTTTTTCTAATTTGTCAGCACCACTATCCACTCAATTTCACCTCTAGCAAATCCTTTACTGCTGTCTGTCTCTTAATCATTACATCTGTTTTACAAATTTTTGTGCTTTTATGTCCTAAATATTACTCATTCTCTTTATTACCCATGATGAATGTGCATGATCGGAATACTATTCCCTCTCACCTAGACTACCAAACAACCTCCTGACTGGTCTTCCTGCCTGCAAACTTTTCTGGAATACAGTCTGATATAAGAGATTTTGCTTTAACACGTAGAAGAAATGGGTTAAATATGTATTCAAAACGCCAAGTGTGGCAGCTCACCCCTATAATCCCAGCACTTTGGAAGGCCAAAATGGGAGAGTTACTTGAGCCCAGGAGTTCAAGACCAGCCTGGTCAACGTAGCTAGACTCTACCTCTACAAAAAAAAAAAAAAAAAAAAAAAATTAATTAAAAATATATATCTATTTAATAACTTTTAACTCAGGGTAATAATGCAACTGACCTTAAGGATTTGATTGTTGCATTAATGGAGACTCCGGAACAAAATAAATTTTCTACGGTGTGTCAAAGTGTAAGTAATGTTACTGTAAAAATAAGCTTCATTTTCTTGTTTATTTTTATACAGAGGACTAATCAAGTAATAACACATGATTATTTTGTATGAAATCAAAAGAGGTGTCAAGAAATACTCTTTCCTCCCAGAAGAAAATAATTAAAATGGAGCTGGATTGTTGGGGAGATTGGCTGAGGCAAAAATGCAGAGGCTATGTGAGTAAAATAAACCATCTATAGGAACTGGAGGACTAAGAATAAATGAACTTGAATGAATAGACTGGCCCAGTTCATTCCCTAAATATGTCTTACCTTCTGGTTTTTACTTTCTGCCAATCATTTAATGAGCTACTTATTTCAATATTGCAACAATATTTGCTACAAGTACTCCCCGAATTTTTCTCTTTAAACAACAAATTATATAAAAAATTTATCTATTTGCAATTCATATCTATCATGCAATTCATTATTACATCATATAAATTTAGTGTGCATGTTGACTTTCGATTTGCTATCTTAATGTTATACACACTAGGGATCATCACAACAGTTTGCTCTAAGACTGAAACACAAAGTGTGGGAAAATTTATCTGAAGAATAAAATGATAATATTTTGGCATTCAGTTTGTGAAAATCATCTAAAAATTTTAAATTTAAAATGCATTTGTACTTAAACCAACTATATTTTACAACAATAACTTATAATCTCACACCAGATTTTAAAATCTAGGCAACCAATAAAAATCAGTAATTACATTGTTGACATTATACCATTTCAGGGGCAGTTACCATTGCTTTTTCTCACTTTTAAGTTTACAATAATTTTATTTAACAAATTAAAATAGTGCTTAGTGTTTCTGATCCTCAGCGCTCTGTGTTATATTGGATAAACTATTACTTGCTTTTAGAACTAATTTTGGTTACACAGTAAAAATAATATGAAGTATTTTACATATAATCGGTTATTGATTATTATCTGCAAAGTTAATTAATTTTTAAAAATTTCTGTATATTAAATGTTTGCTGGAGAATGAGAAATAATGTAGCTATAAAATTTTTTTTGTAAAATAATCTTTGAGAATCCAGGTGAGCCATGCCTAAGGCAAGTCCAATTTTAAATTAACACTGTGGTATTAGGGCTAAATTAGATGTCATGAGCTTCTATCTAGGGTTGTCACTTAATGCTTTACAAATTGGAAAGCTGAATAAGTCCTCATGTTATTTCAATCTTGTAAACTTATCCGTACAATGAGAAAGTAATATTTTGGTGATTATGAGGATAAATTAAAACCTACTATGTTGCCATTTTTATGTCCATGAGTACTCAATATTTAGCTCCCACTTATACATGAGAACATGCTGTATTTGGTTTTCTGTCCTTGCATTAATTTGGCTAGGATAATGGTCTCCAGCTGCATCCACGTTGCTGTACTAGGTACTCCTAGAGCGGGGAGAGAGGGAATGTTGCAAGGGCTGAGAAACTAACTGTTGGGTACTATGCTTAGTACCTGGGTGATGGGATCATTCATATCCCATACATCAGCATCAGGCAATATACCTAGGTTACAAACATACACGTCTACCCACTGGATCATAAATAAAAATTGGGAAAATAAAACCTGTTTTGATAGAATTTTGTTACTAAAAATCTATTTTTGTTGATCTTCTAGAATAGGAGAAAATTAGTTAGTGTTAACAGACAGAATTTAAGTTTAATTAATAAAAGCCTAAGTTTCATGGTCAGACCTTTCTTGATTTAAATCTTAACTTCTCCTTTTGTTATATGATTTTTATTGGCTTCATGACCTCTCTAGAACTTTGTTTTTTTAATCTGTTAAATAAAATTATTGTAAACTTAAAAGTGAGAAAAAGCAATGGTAACTGCCCCTGAAATGGTATAATGTCAACAATGTAATTACTGATTTTTATCGGTTGCCTAGATTTTAAAATCTGGTGTGAGATTATAAGTTATTGTTGTAAAATATAGTTGGTTTAAGTACAAATGCATTTTAAATTTAAAATTTTTTAGATGATTTTCACAAACTGAATGCCAAAATATTATCATTTTATTCTTCAGATAAATTTTCCCACACTTTGTGTTTCAGTCTTAGAGGAAACTGTTGTGATGATCCCTAGTGTATATAACATTAAGATAGCAAATCAAAAGTCAACATGCACACTAAAGTTATATGATGTAATAATGAATTGCATGATAGATATGAATTGCAAATAGATAAATTTTTTTATATAATTTGTTGTTTAAAGAGAAAAATTCGGGGAGTACTTGTAGCAAATATTGTTGCAATATTGAAATAAGTAGCTCATTAAATGATTGGCAGAAAGTAAAAACCAGAAGGTAAGACATATTTAGGGAATGAACTGGGCCAGTCTATTCATTCAAGTTCATTTATTCTTAGTCCTCCAATTCCTATAGATGGTTTCTTATTTTACTCACATAGCCTCTGCATTTTTGCCTCAGCCAATCTCCCCAACAATCCAGCTCCATTTTAATTATTTTCTTCTGGGAGGAAAGAGTATTTCTTGACACCTCTTTTGATTTCATATAAAATAATCATGTGTTATTACTTGATTAGTCCTCTGTATAAAAATAAACAAGAAAATGAAGCTTATTTTTACAGTAACATTACTTACACTTTGACACATCGTAGAAAATTTATTTTGTTCCGGAGTCTCCATTAATGCAACAATCAAATCCTTAAGGTCAGTTGCATTATTTTTTCTTCCATAAATAATTATGACATTTATTTTGTATAACTCAACACTTGGACCAAAACTTAATATCCAAATGTGAAATAAAGAGTGATATATATAATATATATGTATATATAAGTGATATATATATGTATATACACACATATGTGTATATACACACACTCACATATGTATATATAGAGAGATAAGATACATATATATATAGAGAGAAGATATATACATTCTTAGATGTGTTTCTATTGTATCTTCTCTTTACTCCATTTTCTTTGCCTATTTCTCTAGATCATTTTTTAGAGTAAGTGTTAACTGCTTTGGAGGGCAAGAAGCAATAACAATCTATCTTGTATTAAATTGTTAGAATGTTATTATAAATATAATTATTTGATAGCTATCAACTATTGACATTTAACACACTGTTGTGTTGCAGTTTGCTTTAAAGTTTGATTCCACACAGGAATAGAATGTGTTGGCAAGCATATTAAAATAAGAATTAGATGAATTGGACCCTGGAACTTTAACATTTCAAGATGCAAGGTTCTTTTTCAATTTGTAATAACATGTACGGCTTAAATTCTCTTATAAATTCACAATTCTTCTGTACTTGCTTCCTTTTCACAGTCTCAGAATTGCACATCACATGATATTCTAACAGCAACTTCCTTCAGAGATCTGAATGACAAAGGTATTATTTCAGGAGCTCATTAGATATTGTTTTGTATTACATGTGGAATCTACAATTCCCAGTAAAAATTGTAATAAAATTGTTCGAAAAGAAAAAATAGAGAAAAGCATTTCTTCTCAGCATAAATGTCACAAAATGATTCAAAAGAGTTGGCTTTGGCTAAATTAATTTTGTGAGCTATAGGATGCAATAGGCTTCTTTGGAATGTGAACAATTGTTTGAGGTAATATATTTAAGTTTGTAGTTTAACATCTGAAAAACTTCAACAATGACTACCTCTTTTTTAAGCAAGCTATAAAGAGCATCAGCCTTAAATTGTATACCTATCTATTCCATTTGTTAACTTTTTATGAAACAAAAGAAACAGAGAAAAACTGTGACATTCACTGATGAACTGTCCTTAAGTCATGCCATCCTCTTCCTAAATCCCTTTCTTTCTAGCTTGGTTTGTCCCTTCCTATAATAGAAAATCCCTTTTGTTCCTGGCCTTTGAGATGCTTGTCCATCTCCCTGTTACAACAGTCTCCCTTCCCCTATTAGAAGAGTCCCTTTCTCAATATTGTAATAATCCTTTCTTATAAATTCTCTCTAAGTCTAGATTTGATTTTATTTGAAAGTTTTATTACTGAATTATATTAAACATTTTGCTTGAGAGATAATATGTCTCTCTACATCTATAAACATAAGGGATGTAATTATCTGGTGTCTAACAATAGACACAGACACAGCTGTGTAAACACAAATTGATGCTGTTGCCGTGACTTTCCCTCAAATTTGCCTTTAAACCACATTTTGGGGGTTAAATTTTAACAAAAATCTTAACCATGAACTTGAGGTTCTCAAAGTCCAATCAGGAGCTAAACAATATATTTTTCTGTAAGGATAACTTTCCCTAACTTGAACATACCTGTTAATTATGCTATAAAAATTACATTACAAGTTGAGTGCATAATCTAGAAGGGTGAATGCCGTAGAGAATATTTTAATGCCCCACTTTTAATAATCTTTTCCTTCCAAATCAAGTTTAAAATTAACCTTTCCTTCAAGGCCATCCCATTATTCCACGGAGGTTAGATTATCTATAAGTTCCTCCTGCTCTCCCTCTCCTATACTTGACACCATTTATTTCTACCTATTATTTAACTGGCTGTGTGGCAGAGCAGAAAGAACTTTTGAAATAGAATCATATAAGCTTGGGTTAACTTACAGGCTCTGCCATTCATTTTCCATTTCAACTTTGGCAAATAATATACCCTGTCTATTTACAAAATGGAGGTAATAAATCTATCTTGCAAGATTGGTGAGAAGATTAACTAAGATAAAGATGCAGGACTTTGCAAAAAGCAATTGGTTTTTAAAAAACAATGATCCCTGTCTCTTCCTGGGAGTGATTTGCCAATGACTTTATAGAAAACTGAGGAAGCTCTTGCTTCGTGAAGTCTGGATAGAAAGCCATGAATATTGTTAAAGGATAGGATAGCCAATAAAATTTTTGCTGCTCTCTGCATGAAAGCATTTAGTTAATTATCATTTTCCTCTAGGAGAGTACATAGACAGCATTATTAATATAAATCTGGAAGAATTTTCCAAATCACTTTCTATATAATGCTTCTTACCACAATTATTATTCCTTCCCTCTGTATTATTTTAAAATATGAAATCTAAGCAGTTTATTTCATTTTCCGCTGTCAACATCATGTACAGTTCTGCTAATTTCTTTTTTGAAATTAGCAAAACTAATACTACTAAAAAATGGTGGAAAAAAAGCAATATTTATTGTGGCCAACAAGATAACACTTCTTAAGTAAAACAAGTTATCTGTATTACTCCTCTTCTCCTCCTACCCTTTCATTAGGGGTTCTTTGGTTTTACTTCTGTTTTGTTGTTGTTGTTTAGATTATATGTCTACAGGAATTAAAAGCACTTGCTGGTCAGGCTTGGTGTCTCATGCCTGTAATCCCAGCACTTTGGGAAGCTGAGGCGGGTGGATCACTTGATATCAGAAGTTCGAGACCAGCCTGGCCAACATGGTGAAACCTCATCTCTACTGAAAATACAAAAATTTATTTTGTAATATAATTGTTTAACTTAAAAAATAAAATTGGTGGATGATGGCGCATGCCTGTGATTCCAGCTACTCAGAAGGCTGAGATATGAGAATCACTTGAACCCGAGAGGTGGAGGTTGCTGTGAGCAGAGATCATACCGCTGCACTCTGGCTTGCATGACAAAGTAAGACTCTGTATCAAAACAACAACAACAACAACAACAATAAAAAGCACTTGCTTATTGATTTCTATATTGGTATTTACTTGGATTTTCCTTATGACTAATGATGTAGAGCTGGGGTCCCCAACCCTTCTTGGAAATGGAACACACAGTAGGAGATGAGTGCTGAGTGGTCAGCAAGACCAACATTACCGCCCAAACTCAACCTCCTGTCAGATCAGCAGCCGCGTTAGATTCTCACGGGAGTGCAAGAGTGCAAACCCTATTGTGAACTGCACAGGACAGAAATCTAGGTTGTGTGCTCCTTATGAGAATCTAATGACTGATGATCTGAAGTGAAACAGTTTCATCTCAAAATGATTACCTCATCCCCCCATCCATGGAAAAATGTTCTTCCATGAAACTGGTACCTGGTGTCAATAAGGTTGGGGACCACTGTATTAGGCACTTAAATTGTGAAATGTGATGTGACTTTCATCCATTCATTCAACACCTACTGCCTTCCAGACTGTATTCAAATTTAGGAGAATGATAATCTATATTCCAAAGTACTTGTTCCCCCATACACTAGAAAGTTTCAGTAACTTCACAGACTCATCAAGACTAGGTATTACCTATCATTTTAATGGTTACCATTCTGATGAGCTAATTGCATTGCTATTTTAGGTTCTTAATATGAAATATAGCTTTAATATTAATGGTAAAAAAGCTTAGAACTGGCAGGGCACGGTGGTTCACACCTGTAATCCCAGCAATTTGGGAGGCCGAGACGGGCGGATCATGATGTCAGGAGATCGAGACCATCCTGGTTAACATGGGGAAACTCCGTCTCTACTAAAAATACAAAAAAATTAGCAGGGTGTGGTGGCGGTCGCCTGTAGTCTCAGCTACTCAGGAGGCTGAAGCGGGAGAATGGCGTGAACCCAGGAGGCAGAGCTTGCAGTGAGCTGAGATCACACCACTGCACTCCAGCCTGGGCAACAGAGCGAGACTCCATCTCAAAAAAAAGGTTAGAACCTTTTCATACTTATGGGCTATTTGGATATTGTCTTTTGTAAAATGCCAATACATGTCCCTTATATATTTTGATTGATAATTCTCCCTTATTTAAAAATATGGATTAATAAAAGTCCTTCTTATTTTATGGATATGGGAACTTTTATCTGTGAGTTGTAGTTATTCTCCCTTCTGTTACTTTTTTCACTGCTCTGATAAAAAGAAGTTCATTTTAATGTAGTCTAATTTATCAGCCTATTTCTTTACAGGTGTTTACATATGCAAGTGTTTGTGTACTGTTCAAGAAATGTTTGCTTACCCCAGGAAAATGACCGTATTTCCTCTAACACCTTCTATAAGCTTTATTGGTTTAGCTTTCAAATTTACATATATATTGGACTGGGAATTGATTTGTGTATGGTGTGGAGTAAGTGTCAAATGCCATTTGTTTTTCATATAACATTTATTGAAATTTATTAGATGACTAACCTTTTTTCATTACTATGCTACTTTTGTCAAAAATCCGTTGTCTTTTTTATAGCTGCCTGTTTTTAAGCTCTTTATTCTTTGCCACTGATCTACTCTTCAGTCCTGGTACCCGTAACACAGTAATTTAATATGGTTTCATAAAAAGTCTTTACAATTAAGAAAGTAAACTCCCCTTGCCCCATTATTTGTTTTCAAGATTGTTTTAGCTATTCTTTAAGTCCCCAAATAAATTTCAGAAAGAGCTTGCTGATAGCTAGCCAAACAAACAAACAAACAAGCAAATAAAAAATCCACGCACAAACAATGAGGTTTTGTTTAGGATTACGCTCTTTTAATTTTTTTGAAAATAATGGTATCTTTATCATATTGAGCTGATCAACCCATAAACATGGTGCATCTTTACCTTTATTTAGGCCATTAACATTGCTTAGTAGTACTTTATGTTTTTCTGACTACAGTTTTTCCTATGTAAATGATGCTTTTAGATGTTATTTTAAATGTTGTATTTCCCTAATTTATTTCTATTTATTTTTAGGTGCATAATATGCACACTTTTGTATGTTGACCTTATACCTGACAATCCTACTAAATTTACTAACATAAAAATGCCAATAATTTATTTGTATTTCTAGATGTTCTGCTTTCAATGTTATGTCTTTGGAGAATATTGTTTTATTTGTTCTTTCCATTTCCTAAAATATCTTTTTCCTTTACATGAATGGAACTTCAAGTACATCATTGAATAGAAGAGGTGATAAATAAGCCTTCTTATCTAATTTCCCTTCATAAAATGTAAGTTCTGTCTGGCACATCACCATGAAGTATGTCATTTTCTGTATTTTTTTCTTTTTTTGTTGACATCCTTTATCAAATCAGACAAAGCCCTTTCTATTCCAAGTTTGATAAACATTTTTTTAATGTTAGGAACAGTGGTTAATTTTTATTCTTACTTCATAGTATTCGTTTTACTGTCTCTGTTTTTTTCATTTACAAAAAGTTGTTAGTCAGATATGGAGTGTTAAAATGTAGTTGTTTTAACAATACACTTTTTGAATCCTAATTCAATGCTGAAAAATAAATACATCCATAATCTGGAGCAGAATTTTCAGATTACATGAATGTAATTGTCATTTTTTTCTCTTCTTTCCTTCTGTAAATTACCACGCTTCATTTTATTTACCAGATTGGCAACAATATAATAAGTAATATGCATGAACATTATTTAAATGTTGTTGGTTTTACAATTTAAGAAGGAAGCAATGAGTTTAGTTGTCACCATTAGCCTCTGTTATATTTTATTTGTATAACTATATACAGAATTTCTTGCAAAATAATATTTTATATTTAAAACTTTATGCTTAGTTCAATGTTAGTATTTTAATAACATTTTTCTAAAAAAATTAGCACTATAATAAAGTGGTAATATGAACTCCACTGCATATGTCAATTATAGAAACTTTTAATAATATTTTTCATGATCCTGTTGCCTAGATACAATATGAAGCCATTTTTTTCTTTTATCTGTGTTCCTGCAAAGCTAGCATTTCTTCTATACTTCTTGCTCTATTTTCCCGTTTTGCAATGATCACTTTCTAACATATTGTATTTTCTCAAATATTTTATTTTTCTTCTTTCCCCACTAAAATGTAAGTTCCATGTGAACATGTATGTTTGTCATTTTGTCACTGATATACCCTGGCATGGAAAACAAATAATAATAATAGTGAGAAAGAATTTAAAGAGAGTTTCAAATTTTCTAGCATGGGTAACATAGGATTACTAGAATAACTAATACTTTTGTGGGAAGATACATGAAACATGTAACATTTGTTTGTTTTTTGTTTTGTTTTGTTTTTTCTTTAGTCAGTGCCAACAGTGGGATAAATTGGAGATATTCAAGTTGTAGAGCTCACTGCTCACATATTGTTTCAGACTGACACTATTATAGCAGTATGACTGATACTTGTTATTGGGTTTTTAATAATCTTTAATTTAGTTAACTGTAACAATTACTCTGGTGGGCAAAGCAACTGTTACTTTGTAATCTGCTCCATTACTACTGTAATAGATAATGTTATTATTTATATTTTAACTTGAGAAAACTAAAATTTAGAGAGATTAGGAAACAATCTCAAGTTGCATATTAGACAAACTAAGATTCAAATCCATATTACTATCATGTAGCATCCATCTAATTGTAATTTCATACCTTCATGGTTTGTAAACATGGCTGATCTTTTAGACTTACTGCTAAATTTTAAAAATATATACTATAATCTACATGAAATGATTCCAATTTTAAGGATCTGCAATGGATTCCAAGTATCTACATTTTTTGGGAAGTTCCCCAGATGGTTCTAATAAGTAGCCTGATTGAGAAATCAGAGACATGCTTGATGGTTTTACTTTTCCCAACTCAGTTTAGGCTAAATAAAGAAAGCTATTTTAGTAGTACAACTAAATTAAGACAATGAAGAAGGCAAAAAAGTAATTATGATGGTATAAGAAGCTATAAACAATAGAACTTAACAGAATTTTATACTTAAATACTGGGTCAGTCAGAGTTCAATTAGCAAAGCATGGATCACCATAGATATTATGGAATAAGGATTTATATATTACAAAATTATGGAAGATCTAGAAAAGTAAAGGTCTGGAAAGGGGGTTAGAAAAGTTAGACAGAGCTCAGTAACTAGCCCTGGTATAGGTGATAGAATTGGGGTTTTCAGGGACACTAGAAGCTGTATTCTCTACCTGCTGGAAAATAATTCTGACAGTAGCATGGTATTAAAGTATGTGGCAGAATGTTGGTTCTTTGTGACTACTGCTTTCCTGAATTTGCAAATAGATGTGTCTTTGAGCTAATGGTAAATGTTATATCAGCAGGATGAGCACTTAGAAAAAAGAGCACGTAGAAATGCAGGAAAGAGCAGAAGCAAAGTAGTTTCAACTAGGCCATCTCTATCAGCCTTTCATTTTTCTCTAACCAACAAAAACCTTTAGAGAAAAATGATTGCTTCTTTACTGCTGCCTCCAAAATCTTGCATACTTTCACTTTTGACCAACTCTCTTCTAGAATGGGATTCTGGGAACATAGATTTTAATAACCTAATTAATATTAAAATAGTCCAATACACGTGGTATTAGAAAAGTCAGAGATGTGCAGCCCTAAAAAACAGTAAGATCATGTCCTTTGCAGCAACATGGATGCAGCTGGAGGCCATTATCTTAAGCAAATTAATGCAGGAATAGAAAACCAAATATCACATGTTATCACTCACATGTAGGAGATAAGTATTGGGTATTCACAGACATAAAGATAGCAACAATGGATGCTGGGGAGTACTAGAAGGGAAGGGAGAGGGACAAGGGTTGAAAAACTGTTGGGTACTATGCTCACTACCTGGGTGATGGGATCAATCATACACCAAACCTTAGCATCACGTAATATACCCATGTAACAAATCTGCCACGTGTACCCATTGAATGTAAAATAAAAGTTGAAATTATAAAAAAAAAAGTCACAGTTGGATGATGATGCCTAAGGTAATTTGCAAAATTTTAAGAACTAAGAATACTGAATTAAATAAAACAGAGCAGAACTGAGGTATGGGTTGGTAGTAAATTTAATGCATTATTCTTTCTAATTTTCTATTTCCAATTTAACATCCTGGTTAGTATTCACACAGGATATCCAATAGAAATAGAAATGATTGCAAAGCTAGAAAATAATAAAACATATTTAAGTTTTCTGGTATCTGTATATTCTTTCATAATATTGGGATAACAAAATTTCCCTCTATGACGTGTTGGTGTTACATAAATGAAAAAAATGATTTTTTGGATTTTTTTTCTATCTCTTATGTGCTACAACTTCTCTCCTGATACACAATAGAGCAATTATCTGACTGCGAGACATAACCGAATTTTGACTTTTGTTGATATTTCTATTTACATTCTTTTATCTATTACTCTAAATTTAGTCAATTGTCTATATATACACATATATAAACGTCTATATTTTATATATACACATATATAAACCTCTATATTTTATATATACACATATATAAACCTCTATATTTTATATATACACATATATAAACCTCTATATTTTATATATACACATAAATAAACCTCTATATTTTATATATACACGTATATAAACCTCTATATTTTATATATACACGTATATAAACCTCTATATTTTATATATACACGTATATAAAACTCTATATTTTATATATACATATATAAAACTCTATATTTTATATATACATATATAAACTCTATATTTTATATATATACATATATAAACTCTATATTTTATATATATACACATATAAACTCTATATTTTATATATATACACATATAAACTCTATATTTTATATATATACACATATAAACTCTATATTTTATATATATACACATATAAACTCTATATTTTATATATATACACATATAAACTCTATATTTTATATATATACACATATAAACTCTATATTTTATATATATACACATATAAACTCTATATTTTATATATATACATATATATATAACCGTGTTTATATATATATAGTGCATCTAAGCTTTTCATACAGTTTTAGAGGGGTATTTTAAAATATTAAATGATTTTTAATTTGAATTTGAAGACTATAAATTGTCTTTCACACATTTTCTTTTACATTTCCTTCTTGTTGAGCTAAGCTGTTAGATATTGGTTTTTCTCATATAAATTTTAATTACAATAATAATTACATTTTTCAAAAACTGACTGGTTTTACAATATAATATTCCCAAGTAGTTATACATTCATTCTTACATATTTAACTATTTTTTTCTGACTAAGTTACATATTTAACTACTTTTTTCTGACTAAGAATATTACTTTTTTTCTGCTTAAAAATTTTTTTTATTAAGATTATATAATCTAAAAAAGACTTGAAAGTTCCAATGCAGGAGCAGATACAGGAATCATTCAATAAAATTGGGATTGACAACAGGTATAAGTTTAAAAGAGGTGTACTTGAATTCAGATCTTAAGCCAGGACCCGAAATTAAAATTAAACTGTATTTGTTGAGCAATTCTAAGACACATAAACCATAGGAATTAGGATAAAACCATTCAGAAAGACTACTAGTTAATTCAATTGATTTTCTGTTAATAGAAAATGCTAATTAATAAGAATTTATTTGTAAGATCAGGCTTGAAAGTGAATATGTACTTACCCAAAATTTCACATTCCGTCCTACATTATCATATGTGTTTGCTTTTCTCTTTTCAACAAAGCTCCTGTTCACAGAGAGCTCATGTCATTTCTTTTGTTGAGTCCTGTCACCTTTGCCAATAGTTTATCACAGGGATTTGATAAAACAATTTTAAAATAACTCAGCTGGGTGTGGTGGCTCATGCCTGTAATCTCAGCACTTTGGGAGGCCAAGGTGGGTGGATCGCTGGAGCCCAGGAGTTCAACAGCCTGGGCTGTAGCAGGACGAGCAGAGGACAAAACCTCACAGACACCGAGGAAGTGAAGGAAGTGGCTTTAATCAACTGGAAGCAACAGCAGACTAATGTCTCAAAATCTGAGCTTCTCGAGTGCACAATTTCTCTCCCTTTTAAGGGCTCACAATGCTGAAGATTTTACATGAAAGGGCAGTGCTTGATTGAGCAATCTAGGGGGTATGTGACAGGGGCTGCATGCACTGGTAGTCAGAGTGAAACAGAACAGAACGGGAAGTTTCCCAATGTCCTTCCATACAATGTCTGGAATCTATGGATAACATCAGTTGCTAGGTCATGGGTTGAATTTTAACTACCAGGTTAGGTCTGGCAGGCCCAGGTCTGGTTTTGGGTCTGGTTTTGGGTCTGGTGCCTGGTGCTGGGCTGCCTGCCTTTGGTTTTGCTTCCTTGTTTCTTCTTAAAACAGGTACTGAGCATAAAACAACATGGGGGTGTCTCTTTCTCTCTTCTCTCATTTCCCCCCTTTGAGACCCTCACTTATTTTATTAGTGGGAGTTCTCACTTTCATTTTCACTACTTATGTCTTCCTGTGCAATAGATTGATAGTGATTCATATAATATACTTGTGCTGAAGCATTCTGGTGAACTAGGGTAGCAATGAAGCTTTTTATCATTTGAAGAAGTACAGGTAGCAAACAAGGGAGTAGTAAGCAGGTTCCTATTACTATTATAACTCCTATTATAAGAGTTTCAAATCCTCCTATTGCTGGGAACCAAGTTCCAAACATGGCCCCAGGATCAAATCCCTGCCACACTTGCACAGGTACATGTGCCAGTTTTGTTATATCTTTAACTATGTCTTCAGCTAATTGCCCCTGATAATCTATGTGTAGACAGCAATTAGTAAGGTTAAATTTTCCACAAACCCCTCCTTCAGCTGCTAGCAAGTAGTTGAGAGCTAGTCTATTTTGGTAGATAGCATTTCTCATCTGAGTCTCTTGCCGGACAAGAACAGTCAAGGCTGGACCGGTTTTATTAGTAATAATTTCTGAAACAGCTTGTAACCATATGATTTGGTTGAGCATGTAGATGGGGATCTGATATACCTATGAGCCATCTTGTGCCCAAGTGGTGGGCCCCTAGTATTGTATATTTCTTTCAGGGGGCCATTCATCATCTTTCCTGTTACCTATGGCTAGGCTTCGCTTTTCGCAGGAAGCATAGACAGGGAATCCTAGGAGTTTGCCTGTTTTTATGGGCAGTAGGAAGAAAGATGGTTTAATACTGCCAATTACACAACTACCTGTCCACTGATCAGGTAGCTTAGCATAGGCTCTAAGTCCACATATCCAGTATAACACAGTAGGGGCTGTCCAGTCCCGGTGCAATTCTGGATGGGCCCAAATGGCCTGTAATCTTGGATATTTACTGAATGGATTTTTTTTTCTGTGTGGTTTGAACTCCACCATGTAACTGTTTTTATGGTACCATTATACAGTTTCTGTCCAAGACAACTAAGCAATCCTACAGGATGAGTGAATTATTTTCCTTCTCTAGCTATGCAATATTGCCCAGTAACTGAGACTTTTAGAACCCAGAAATTGTCAGGGTGGTTCTTTTGGGCTGGGAATTCATCAGGAACTGGGTCCGTAGGGACTAATTCTCAGTCTTCCCATGGCCATTGATCTTCTGTTACAGTTCCTCCACAGACATAACATGAAGTGACTTTTAAAGACTGTGCTACATGCTCGGCTAATTGCAAAAACAAATTTCTAGTTTTTCCTGGAATCTCAGGTACTGGCACATTTAGTTCATCATAGAAAGTCTGAAATACTGGCTCTGGAGAGCATTTTTGAACCTCCCCTTTTATTAAGATATTTACTCTAGGATCTAGTCCTTTTCCATCAATGCCTAGAGATACGTGCTCTCCTTTTTCCCACTTTGGGTCTGAGGGATTTATAATTATTAATTCTAAAGGGTAGCAGCTTCCATTTGTGCAGGAGGGGCTGCTTTTTCCTTTTTGGAGCCAAACAATATCTTTTTAATCTTTTTTCCAAGTAGCCCAGATGATACAAGACCAGTACTGACACACATTTGTACATGAATATGATTCATGGCAGACATACTTATTTCCTGCTGTGTAACTCTTTTCCCAATCTCTAGAACAGCATCCTAGTCCTTGCTGATTACTATTAATAGTGGCCCAAGTGTCAAATTTTAGAGTTTCATGTTTGGGGACCCCTCTTTCTTCTGTTCTAGCTATTACTTTACTTGTGTCACCTAGAAAAGGACCAGTGCTTAGTCTTATTTCAAAAACCGTGATCATGGGAGGTTCAGAGGGGTCATAGCACACATCTGGCTGATCACTTCTTGGATTACATACTTTGTACTGAGTGTTATTATATAAACAGGTTCCTTTTCGAGTTCCTGGGCACTCATAAAAACTATAGAACAAAAAGATTGTCTTAACTTGTTGTCCTACCTCAGTGATCTGATGCATGCACTGAAAGCAGTCCTCTGTGTGGGAAGAAGCAGTGGAAGCTTTTACCACACAAGTCCGTGTCATGAGGAAAATAAGTCCCACGACGATTTTCCTCATGCTTCCACCATGTGTAGATCAGTCAGCTTCTGGGTGTGACTGAAGCAGGGCTTGTGGTCCTCCTCATGGTCACTTTACGGGGATTGTCCAGGCTTGGTTTGGCCTCCCAGGTTTCAGTGGCTGCAGGCTTTAAGCAGCTGTGGTGAATCCAGGCCGGGATTCCTTCCACCTTTACAGCTGTGGGAGTGGTCAGGATAATGGTCTGGGGTCCTTTCCACTGTGCCCGCAAAGGGGCTACGTTCCAGTCCTGGATCCACATACGGTCACCTGGAGAAAAAGGGTGAACTGGGGAGAATAAGCTGACAGGGTACCTCTCATTTACCCAAGTTGCGATTGTCTCAGTAATTTTCCCCAAGGCCTGTAGCTGTCACTGCAATTCAATTTCACCCAACTCTTGGGGAGTACCCGGAAGTCCTCGCAGTATAGGAGGAGGCCTATGATATAATATTTCATAAGGGGAGTATCCTGTTTTCTTAAAGGGGTACACCTAATTTTAAACAATACCATAGGAAGGGCCTGTATCCATTTTAATCCTGTCTCTTGACATACTTTCCCTAAACTATTTTTGATAGTCCGATTCATTCGCTCCACCTTTCCGGAACTCTGAGGTCGGTAGGCAGCATGTAACTTCCATGTGATTCCCAGTACCTTTGCTGTCTTCTGTACTAAGTCAGCCACAAATGCCGGCTCATTATCTGAGCCGATCCATAGAGGCAGTCCAAACCTAGGGATGAGATCTCTAAGAAGCACACGGGTTACTTCACCAGCTTTTGCAGTTTGTGTCGGATAAGCCTCTACCCACCCAGAGTAAGTACACACTAGAATCAGTAAATACTTGTTACCTCCGCATTAGGGAATCTCTGAGAAGTCCACTTGAAGATCTTCAAAAGGAGCTGCTCCATAGGCTTGTATGCTGGGAGGAACAGAGGGGCCTTGCTTTGCATTGTGCTGTTGACAGGTAATGCATCGCTGCACTACTGTTTTAGTAAGAGCTGGCAAGTGTGAGATGTAGAAGTACCGGCTTAACAGCTTTTCAAGTGACTCTTGGCCTAAATGGGTAGTTTCATGTACAGCTAGCACGACTGGGGCTCCTAGCAGCTATTCTCCCATCTGGTAACTTTATCCATCCTTCTTTTATTGTTTGTCCTCCCTCTGCCTGAAGAAAGTCTTTTTCCTCTTTAGAATAAATAGGGACCAGAGCAGGTGTTTGAGGGAGTAGAGGGGCTGTGACTGATGCCCGGTAGGGAGTCGATGCTGCTTTTCATGCCTCTGTGTCTGCTCGGGAGTTTCCTCAGCTCACTGAGGTGGAAACTCACTGGTGTCCCCTGCAATGCATGACTGCCACCTTTTGCGGTTTCCACACTGCCTCAAATAATTGTAGAATTTCTTGTTGATATTTTATGTCCTTTCCCCCAGAATTTAACAGGGCTTTTTCTTTATATAATGCCCCATGTACTTGAAGGGTTAGAAAGTCATATCGAGAGTAAGTATAAATGTTTATAGTTTTACCTTCACTGAGTTCTAGAGCCTGAGTTAAAGCAATAAGTTCTGCTTTCTGGACCGAAGTGCCCTGAGGCAATGACTTGGCTTCAATAACATTATCCGAGGTTACCACCACATATCCTGCACATCTTTCTCCTCGTGGGTTGATGAAGCTGCTCTCATCCGTGTATAAGTCCCAGTCTACTGATGCCCATGACTGGTCTTGAAGATCGGGTCTGCTAGAATAGACTGAGTCCAACACCTCTACACAGTTATGTTCAACAGGGCTGTCTGATACTGGGAGCAAGGTGGCAGGATTTAAAGTATTATAGAGTTCAGTGGTTATGGAGGGGTTTTCACACAATAAGCTTTGGTACTTGGTTAATCTAGCATTCGTTATCCAATGGTGTCCTTTGGTATTCATTAAAGTTACCACCACATGGGAGGCCTTTATATTTAAGTTTTGCCCAAGAGTTAGCTTATCTGCTTCTTGTGCTAACAGGGCTGTAGCTGCCATGGCTTTCAGACATGGAGGCCAGCCTTTTGAAACTCCGTCTAGCTGTTTTGAGAGGTAGGCCACTGGTCTTGGCCAGGGCCCCACAGTTTGAGTTAAAACTCCGAATGCCATTTTTTCTCTTTCTGACACATAAAGTGTGAAGGGCTTGGTCAAATCTGGTAGTCCCAGAGCTGGGGCTGACATAAGTTTTTCTTTTAACTTACAAAAGGCTTGCTGTTGTAGAGGCCTCCATTCAAAGGGCTCCCATTCGCCCCCCTTTGTAGCCCCATACAATGGTTTGGCTAGCACAGCAAAGTTTGGAATCCATAATCTGCAAAACCCCACAGCTCCTAGAAATTCCCTTACTTGCCTTCTGGTTTTAGGTTCCAGTAGACTGCAGATGACCTGCTTTCTTTCTGACCCCAGGCTGCGCTCCCCTGTCTGCAGATCTGAGCTTTCTTCTTGGACACCTTATATCCACAGTCCTTCAGGTGCTGAAGTAGGGCATCCATCCCTTTTGCACACCCGATGCCACGAAGTGTCCCAGCAGAAGGTCATCCATATACTGGAGCAAGACACAGCCTAGGCCTTTAGCAGGAAACTTCTGGAGGTCTTGAGCCAATGCCTCCCCGAAGATGGTGGGGGAATTTTTGAACCCTTGGGGAAGCTGAGTCCAAGTGTACTGAGTGGTGACACCTGACCCCGGGTCTTGCCACTGAAAGACAAACAGCTTTTGGCTCTCAGCAGCTAGTCTGATGATAAAGAAGGCATCCTTCAAGTCCAGGCAAGTGGTGAACCAGCCCTCCTCAGCCGGCAGCAATCCCAACAGTGTGTAATGGTTAGGAACAGTTGGGTGCAGAGTCACGATAGCTTGGTTAACCAAGCATAAGTCCTGTATGGGTCAATAGTCCTTGGTCCCTGGCTTGGGGACAGGTAGGAGGGGGTGTTCCATGCAGACTGGCAAGGAACTATAATTCCAAAAGCTTTCAAGCATCTAAGATGAGCCTGTATTCCTTCAAGAGCTTCCCTGGGAACCAGATACTGCTTTTGTCTGATTGGCTGGACCCCAGGCTTAACTTCTGTGAGTACAGGGGCTTGATTGATTGGCAGCCCTGGAGGATTGTCCTCCACCCATACACGGGATCATTGCTTAGCTAGAGCCGGTTTTATCTCCTGACCTGGCTCGATTAGAAAAAGCCTCCATTCTTCTTCTTGGGGGACCGTAAGGGCCATAACTCCTGTTCCCGGTAACTTCAGCTGTATAGAGCGCTGTTTTGTAAAGGAAATAGTAGCTCTCAGCTTGCTAGGCAAGTCTCTCCCTCACAAAGGCAAGGGGAAGTTAGGCACATACAGAAATTGATGGGTTACTTTGAGTCCTCCTAATGAGCAGGTCCACAGTAGGCAGAAAACCTGCTTGGCAGAGACCCTGTTGCTCCGATTATATCAATGGTTTTCTTAAATAAGGGGGCCGCTGGGGTGGTTACTACTGAGTGTTCGGCACTGGTATCGACCAAAAATTCAATGTCCTTACTCCTTATTGTCATCCTGACCATGGGCTCCTTGGGGGCATTTGAGCCCAGTCCCCTTCACTGTAGTAGCCCTTTGGCCAGATTGAACAAAGTCCCTTCGTCTTTATCTGTGGTCTTTTGCTCTGCATCTCCTTGCTTCTCATTTAGTTGGGGACATTTATCTTTCCAATGTCCTATTTCTTTACAGTAGGCACATTGATTATGCTGCAGATGGGAGTGATTGGACTGGGCATTCATCCCGGAATCCCCCTTTCCCTGTCCCTAGGGGGAGATTCCCCTAATTGCTGCAGCCAGCAAATCAATGTTCCACCTGGCCTGGCGTTCGCCCTCCTTATGGCTTTCTTGGCAGCTTGTTGATCTCTATTTATGAATACTTGATTAGCTATCTCCAGTAACTGCGAGGTATTCATTCCTGCAAAACCAGCCGTTTTTTTTTTATAATTTCCTTTGGATATCTTCCGCACTTTGACTAACTAAGGCCATGTTAATCATACGCTGATTTTCAGCACTATCCAGATCAAAAGGAGTGTACATACGATAGGCCTCACACAGTCTTTCAAAGAATTGGGCTGGGCTTTCCTCCTTTTCTTGGATGACTTCAGAAACTTTATTTACACTGGTGGACTTTTGAGCCCCTTTTTTTCAGACCTTCAATTAATGCCTCCCGGTATCGTCTTAGCCTCTCCATATCTGGTCCTTCATTCGGATCCCATTGAGGGTCCATTCCTGACAGCTGAATTCTTATGTATTCCTGGGGATTTTGGTAATCGGCATGGACGTGCTCCTCTAGCCATTTAGTTGCCGCCTGGAGCACCCTTCGTCTTTCATCTGTGTTAAAGAGGTACATAAGTAGCTGGTGGCAATCAGCCCAAGTAGGATTATGAGTCTGGATAATTGTTTGGAGCAAGTCAATTAGAGCTTGAGGCTATTCAGTGTAAGATGGAGTGCTATTTTTCCAATTGAGGAGGTCAGCAGAGGTGAAAGGGTGATACACAAAGGCATGCCTTTCCACCATGTGTCTGTCCTCATCTATCCCAGTATATCGCTGCTCTCTCAGGGGCATTTGGATTCCAGCCTTGGGCCGTAAGTGACCCGCCGAGGGAGGAGTTTCTCCTGCAGCTTTACTTCCTTTATTGTCTACTTTGGGTGGTCTAAGGGCTGTGGGCTCAGGAGTAGGGGGCCTCTCCACTTGGTAAGGGGGGGCACTGTTGGTGCCATCTCCTGCCACAAGTCTTCGGGCTCTGGGTCAGACAGAACTTTAGGGGCTGGCTTCCCTCAGCAGGCGGAGCAAGAACCTTCCTTAACTAACTGTCCCTTTGCTACTAGTACTGCTGCTGCCTGTCCCCTTAACCACTGCGGGGGATCTAAAACTAGCTGTAACCAGGAATCTCTATATGGGAACTAATCTGGGTGCCCTGGTTTGCCAGTTACTTTGTGCCATATGTTTGAAACAGGAGACCTGTCCAGGCTTCCTTCTGATGGCCAACCTACCTCTAATTCTGCCCAATCTGTTTCACACAAAGTTCTAAGTTTTCCTGGAGTCATAGTGACTCCGTAGTCTCCTTTGAATCCTTTCTTGAAATTCTTTAACATAGTTCCCAATGGGGTGGGCTTACTTTGTGCCTTACCCATGTTTTCTAACGACAAAATACCATGCTCACACCACACACTCACCACAAAACAAAGAATGGGTAAAGAGGGCACACACACCCTTTCATCATTTATACCAAACCAAAATCAGAGTATCAATAAATTCAAGCCAAGTCGAAACCAAAACCAAAGTATCAAACAATTCAAGTCAAGTCAAAACCAGAACAAAAGTGCAGATACAGGCACTCCATGAGTGATCAGGCCATGCTTCCATTCAAATGGAGTGGGCAAGTTACAAAGACTAGTCTTACCAAGTTTCAGATGTCCGGACTCCAAGTGCCAGTTCTTTCCTGGTGTTCAGACACTGTGTTGATCCTCCATGAGGGCTTGCCACGCACTGCTCTGGTGAGGTGTTCCACCGGGGCAATTGCCTACCCAGGAGAGCTCTTTGGATCGTGCCGCTCAGGCGGGCCAGAGTCCCCTGCAGGGATGCTCCACAGGGCAGTCCTAACCTGCCTAAGGGGCTGCCTTGGCCATCTGTCAGTCACCTTGCTTCCCAGTCAGGGAACCAAGAAATGTAGCAGGATGAGCCGCAGACAAAACCCCACAGACACCGAGGTAGTGAAGGAAGTGGCTTTAATAAGCTGGAAGCATCTGCAGACTAACGTCTCAAAATCCGAGCTTCTCGAGTGCACAGTTTCTGGCCCTTTTAAGGGCTCACAATGCTAAAGATTTTACGTGAAAGGGCCGTGATTGATTGAGCAATCTAGGGGGTATGTGACAGGGGCTGCATGCACCGGTAATAAGAGTGAAACAACGAACGGGAAGTTTCACGATGTCCTTCCATACAATGTCTGGAATCTGTGGATAACATTGGTTGCTAGGTCATGGGTTGAATTTTAACTACCAGGTTAGGTCTGGCAGTCCCAGGCCTGGTTTTGGGTCTGGTTTTGGGTCTGGTGCCTGGCGCTGGGCTGCCTGCCTTTGGTTTCGCTTCCTTGTTTCTTCTTAAAACAGATACTGAGTATAAAACAATATAAAACAATATGGGGGGGGGTCTCTTTCTCTCTTCTCTCAGGGCAACATGGTGAAACCCCACTCTACTAAAAATACAAAAATCAGCAGATGTGGTGGTGTGTGCCTGTATTCCCGGCTACTTGGGAGGTTGAGGCAGGATAATTGCTTGAACCCGGGAGGCGGAGGGTAGAGTGAGCTGAGATTGTGCCACTGCACTCCAGCCTGGGCAACAGAGCAGGACTCTGTCTCTGAAAAAAATTAAAAAATAAAATGAAAATAAATAATAACTCATTGTTAAGTAAACAAATATATAAAATAATAGCTAAAGTTTAATACATAAAATACCACGAGAAAAACAAAACAAAGTTTAGAAATGAACCGGTAGGTAAAAATCAAACAATGGAATTTAAATTGTATCTTTCATACTGAAAGCAGTTACTAATGTTTCGAAGTTTTTATTTTAATTTTAATCAAGCTTTTCAATATGTTCTCATACACTTATTTGGTTTTAGGATAATGCATCTATTTTCATTGATGCTTTATTCCAAATGAATATGAAAAATCAATTACTTGTGAATTAAAAATATTTAATGAAGTTGAAATAGAATGTTCACATAAAGTTTGCAATCCTAAATGTAATTCTAAGGGATGACTAAATTTAAAGTATATGTACTTTATGAAAAATTAAAATGAGACCTGCTATTACTAAATTGTTGCTCTAATGTTTTTTCTTCAGTGCATTCAATTGAAAATTCCTATCACTAGTGTGACAATGTGTATCTGTGTTTTAAAAAAAACTGCTGCTGTTCTTTAAAAATGGAAATATCTAAATTCTACTAACAAATAACATAGGACATAGTGGTAAAGTGTTAGAGGAGGTCAGAGAAGAAAGAGAAAAAGTCATTTGGACAAGCCTTCAGAGAAGGGATAAAACTTCAGCGAAGCACAGGAATATCTGAAACAAAACTTCTGCTGTGGTGTGTTACTTGTCACAAACATAGCTTTTTTGCTTATTTGCATTTTGTTATAAATATCATAATTTTTAAAGCTATTTCCTTCGAAAAAATATAAAAGTAATAGTATTTAAGATATTCTTGAGAGATTTTCCACATATAACATTTTGTCTAGATTTATTTGTAATACCTCTGGAGCTATCAGTCTGTGAGCAAAAGTGAAATTATCCAGGAATATTTATATGGGATTTTTACCATTTCTCATTTATTCATTTATCTACAAACTCATAGCTACTAGCTATGACCCTCTTTTGTAGGCCAGGCACTGTTCTAGGAACCAAGGATACAAGAAAAACCTTTTTTCATAGATCCTAGACACTTAAGAAAAGACAGAATATATGCAAAATTAAAAATTAAATTATAAAGCAGTGTCTCTCAGTGTCAGCATTATTGATATTTGGAGCCAAATAATTATTTGGTGTGGTGGGGGCATGTCCTGAGTACTAGAGCATGTTAACAGAAACTCTGGATTAACCCTCTAGATAGTAGAATGCCCTTCCCTATGGAAGGGAGAAAACAAAAAATGAAAGCTAAAAGCATTATTAACGTCTCCTGGGGGGAAAGTTTATCCCATCTGAAAAGCATAAAGGCAATAAATAAGTAATAAAGGTAATAAATGGTTTGGATAACAATAGAAAAGAATAGATGTTTTTTCTTGATATGGTGATTTAGGATCACAGCTTTTTCCATTTGTGGCTCAACTCAGAGCTCACTTTCCACAGGAGAACCTAGAAAGAAACAAAAGTATTGGGAAACAAATACAAAATTGAATAACTTGTTCCTAAGAACAAATCCATACCAGAGAAAAGGAGGATAAATTTTTAATAAACTGTTGGCAATCCCTTCCTTAACTAGTAGGAACAGAAACCACTTCGGAGGGCTAATGCAGTATCCAGAAAGTATGTAAACATTTTAATGTTATGCTATTCCAACTTCCCTCTGTATTTGCATTTTTCTTATTCTGCAACACTTTATTTTAGACATCCTTGGATTTTTTTCCTCATTTACTTACTAATAATTTCCAGAAAATGGCATAATCTTTGAATAATTGGGCTGTTTGTCTACATTAATTTATCTCCTCTCTCTATTGATGTCTCTCAGAAATAAGGAGTTCATTCATAAGGTGTATGGCCATGGCAAAGGGTGTAATGTGTAATGAAACTAAAGTATACGAGAATCAAACTCAAAACCCTTTTCTTATTAAACACATTGCTTCTTGAAACTAAAATAATCAGCCTCAGATTATCGTCTATGTAATCTAGAAGACAGGCATTCAAATATTTATGTTCACATCTGGGCAAGAATATAAACTAAAATAAACAACAATATATACACATCTAATTATTTAAATACATATAGTAATAAAAATTTTTTAACGTAGGACTGAATTTTATATCAATAATTATTTAAGCTCTTATATTTATTGTTTCCATCTTATCATCTCTAAAATAGATAATCTTTTGGGAAATATTTAGACAACTTTTCTTCCATATTAAGGATTAATTGCCTGAACACGAAATCTCCAACTCAACAATGAATGATAAAAATCATGAAGTAGGGAATTGAAATGGTCAAGTTATCAGTAACAGGGGGAGGTGAGTAATAAATTAGTTATTTTGTAATAGATTCCTCTCACTCTATTATAAGCAGCATGTTAATTTTTTTATGTTTTATTCAGTAGCAAAAAAGTATTTTGGTTCATTTTTTAATGAGCAATGCAAAATAGTTATAATTTAAGAAACAATATATGGGGAAAGCTATTCCACTAAATTCTCTAAAATTAACAATTTAATCCTTAAAAGCAGGACATTTATATCTAGATCTTTTAATAATCTTTCTTTTATTTTTTCTGGCACCAAAACTCCTTCAATGCACATACAAGGACCTCCAGTTACGGAATTGAACTGATTTGGGGGTATATGTTGCTCGCAAATGGTGCTATAGAAAACAGACTTGCAAATCCTTGTGATATTATATGAAATATTGTTGAGGATAATGTTAATTGTATTATATAATTTGATTTTTGTGATTACTCATAAGTAAAATAAAGTCTAATATTGTCTCTCTAAACTAACAAACCTTTTGATATTATAGGTATTAGATACTTTGCAATCATCATCAATTTCCTCTTTACTAATAAAATTCATGGGATTGTAAAGACAAAATTTGTATTCTAGTAATCACACGTATACAGTTGACCCTTGACCAGCACAGGTTTGAACTGTGTGGATCTACTGATATGTGGATCTTTTTCAATAAATATATTAGAAAATCTTTTGGAGATTTTCAACAATTTGACAAAACTTAGACAAACTGTAAGGCCTAGAAATAGTTTAAAAATTAAGAAAATGTTAGATATATCATGTATGCATAAAATGTATATGTATACTAGTCTATTTTATAATTTACTACCATAAAATATACACAGATTTATAATAAAAAATTACCATTTATCAAAACTTACACAAACACAGAGCATACGTGGTGCCATTTGCAATAGAATGTAAACAAAAAGATACAGTATTAAATCATATCAGAATAAAATGAACTGTAATACATACTGTCTACTGTACTAATTTCATAGCCATCACCTGTTGCTATTATAGTGAGCTCAGGCATTGGAAGTATCCACTAATATGCTGTGTGATGCTAATCATATCCAAGTGAGCGGTCAGCCATTCCAGTAAATTGCTATTGCAGTAAGATGTCATCTCTTGCGGTTCTCAAGTATTTTCCATTGTTAGTGCAATACCGTAAAGCTTAAATAACACATAAGAGCCCTATAACATGCAGGTAATGATGCTGGAAATGTTCCCAAAATTCAGAGGAAAGTGTTGACATTCAAAGAAAAAGGCGAATTGCTTAATATGTACCATAGATTCAGGTCTGCAGCTATGGTTGCCCCCATTTCAGACAGATGGTTTATCTTGTAAACAGATGACATAAAATTATGATACTGGTAAGTAAGTATTGTAAATATAGTCTCTCTTCCTTATGATATTCTTTTTTTAATTTTTATTTTAACTTCAAGGGTACATGTGCAGGGAGGGCAAGTCTGTTATATAGGTAAACTCATAATCCAAGTATTAAGCCCTAGTGTTCATTAGTTATTTTTCCTAATCCTCTCTCTCTTCCCACCTTCTACAGTCTGAGAAGCCCTAGTTTGTGTTTCTCACCTCTATGAGTCCATCCATTTTTCATCATTTAGTTTCCACTTATAAGTGAGAATGTGCCATTATTTGGTTTTCTGTTCCTACGTTAGTTTGCTGCGAATAATGGCCTCCAGCACCATTCCTGTCTCTACAAAGGACATAATCTCATTCTTCTTTATGGCTGCATAGTATTCCAGAGTGAATATGTACTACGTTTTCTTTATGCAGTCTATCTTTGATGGCCATTTAGGTGGATTTTGGATTTCATGTCTTTGCTATTGTGAATAGCACAGCAATGAACATATGTGTGCATGTGTCTTTATAACAGAATGATTTATATTCCTTTGGGTATATACTCAGTAATGGAATTGCTGGGTTGAATCACATTTCTGTCTTTAGGTCTTTGAGGAATCACCACACTGTCTTCCACAATGGTTGAACTAATTTACACACTGACCAACAGTGTATAAGCACTGTTCTTTTTTCTCCACATCCTCACCAGCATCTGTTACTTTTTGACTTTTTTTTTTTTTAATAATAGTCATTCTGACTGGCATGAGATATGATCTTATTTTGGTTTTGATTTGCATTTCTCTAACGAGCAGTGATGTTGAGGTTTTTTTCGCTTGATTGTGGGCTGTGTGTACGCCTTTTTTTGCTTTCTTCATTGTAAGAATACAGTATATAATACGTACGACATACAAAATAATTGTTAATTGACGCTTTCGTTATAGATAAGGCTTCCAGGGAGCAGTGAGGTTATTAGTAGTTAAGGCTTTGGGAAGTCAAAAGTTATATGAGAATTTTTGAGTGTGCAAGGAGCTTGGCGCCTCTCACAACCATGTTATTCAAGGGTAAACTGTATGGGTTTTTGTTTTCTTGCAGTACCCTCACTTTTAGTGGTATTATAAGGCCCTACCCTACTTTTTCTTTGCCTCTTCTAATTTCAATTTATATTATTATATGTCATATGTCTCGACTCAGCCTTAAATATTTCCAAACCACCAATATATACAAATAAGATAAAAAAGAAAGTAGATTGTTTCTATTGTGTTCTAAAAACCCAAGTAACCATGTGTTAATTTATACAGGTAAGAAATATTTTTGCCCCATATATAGGGCTTAAGTCAATATTTACCTGTTAGTTGAAATTTATATTTTTCTTTAAACTGGATACATCAAGAAATTTTAACTAAAACAACACAAACAACAAGAAGAACAACATGAACAACAACAAAGCTATTCCCTATATTCCATGATTTCATCATGTGCCTCAATTCAGTAACACACTAACAGATCACTAGGACTCACAACTTTCTATCATAGCCACAATTTTTAGTGTACTCTTCTTCACTTTATTCCAGCATGTAGCTGAATTTTCACCTTACTAGACTGCATTCCACACACTCCTGCCTGATATTTCCTTTAAAGATGACTGCTTTTTGGCAGGGCGCGGTGGCTCACGCATGTAATCCCAGCACTTTGGGAGGCTGAGGCAGGCGGATCACGAGGTCAGGAAATCGAGACCATCCTGGCTAACACAGGGAAACCCTGTCTCTACTAAAAATACAAAAAAAAATTAGCTGGGCGTAGTGGCGGGCGCCTGTAATCCCAGCTACTCGGGAGGCTGAGGCAGGAGAATAGCCTGAACCCAGGAGGCGGAGCTTGCAGTGAACTGAGATCGCGCCACTGCACTCCAGCCTGGCCGACAGCCAGACTCTATCTCAAAAAAAAAAAAAATAAATAAATAAATAAATAAATAAAGAAAGAAAGAAAAAGATGATGACTGTTTTTTAATTATTATTAAAATAAAGCATATTCCAACCAAAAAGTCTATAAAATATAAACACAAAGAACTAGTTTTTCAACATGTGTGTATGAAACTTTCCAAACTCTCCTATGAACATCTGTGCTATGAACAGATTGGAATACATACATTTCATAGAAACTATAAACACTACAGCCAATACTTTGTAATTCCCTCCTTTCATTCACAATTTTTTTCCAATATCATTAAGCACCCTCCCTCAGAGCTATTTAATGATCACAAATCATACTACTTAGATGACTTACTATAATACATTTAGTAAATCTGCCATTATTAGGTGATTTAAATGATTCAGCAATAGAAGCAATGCTTTGACTGTTATCTAATAGCTTAAAATTTGAGCTGATTGTTTCTGAAAAATAAGTTGTTTGAAGTGGAATTACTGAAGCAAAAGCCATGCCGAATACCAAAATTTTCACATATCAAATTGCTTGAAAGCCTGCACCAATTTTAAGTACTTTTGTTCCAGATTGTCCTTGTTATACTGACATCTTTATCACATTGCTACCTAGCTCAAGAATCATTACTGATTATGTGAAGCCAATGCCATACTCCTCAATTTGCCACTAGAAAACATTTAGTGCAGACTTATTTTATACACAGTTTTCATTTTATCCTAGCTATTGCCTAAGGCAAGAAAACTAATTTTCTAATATTTTCATGCATAATTTGTTTTATGCTCACATTCATTCATATTGTCACTCCACCTATACTTCACGCACACCATCAATTAAAATTCTGTGTTTACCTGAAGCCTCATCTCAAGTATAACCCACAATCAATTTAAAATTAAAAATACATAAAATCTTATAAGAACAAGAGCCATGATCTCCAACTTTGTAATTCCAGTGGTGATGATCATATAAACCTAGATAAGTTTAAGAATCATAAGAAAGATTGTATTTGGTGAGTGCCTATTCAAGGGTAAGCACAAAACCTAATTTTGGCATAGTCAGTATGGGAAAACTAATTTGCAAATTAATTTTTGAGAAATAGTGGAAGAGTTGATTTTAACATACCAACTCCGATTTCAATTAACTGTATCAATTATTTCAAATGACTACCTCGTAACTAAAGCTGTGAACCCCATTTATATGACAGGAATAAAACTTTTTTAAAAATTATTTTTATAATATATTTCAAAAGAGTCAATGTCAGCTAGAAACAGGGCAGGAACCATATCTGCATGTTCTCTTTGACTCCACAATATTCAGCATAGTATCTAATGTATTACTAAGTCCCAAATGAATTTCTGATGATAAGATAAAGCATTTCAACATTACTGTCTAGGAAATATAGTCTAATTTTTATTTTGCTTTGTGTTTCTTGTCTGTTCATCAAGTACAACAACTGGAAATCAGTGGCTCAAAATTGTATAACTGGTCGAGTGAATATCAAGGTTTCGGCTTTAACATGCAAAAACATATATACATTTTGATGATTTCTTAAAAAATATGTAGCTACAAACAATGAAAGAAAATCACAAAAGAAACTTTTTAAACATTACTAAGAGAAAATGATATAACTATAATTTAGGCAATCCATTTAAGCCCAGCATGAGATCTTGTTGAGCTAAAATTCTAGAGGAAAATACTATAATTAGAGAGGGCAGCATTATAAAATATTTTCATTTGATGCAATTCATTTCAGTGTGGAAAAATTTCTTTAGCACAAAATCTATTTAAATTAATTCAGAAATACCTCCAAAGTAGATTTATTTTTGTAAATGCTATAAGATGTGCAAATAAATTCTATTTTAATAAGAGAATTTCTTAAAACCTAGGGGAAGAGAGACACCAAATAATTTAGACAAGCACATATTTTTTGTCATAATCCCCAGCACAATAAAACACATTTTTTAAATTATTCCTACTAATGCAACTTTTATTTGGAAAGGATTTTTCTAATCAGGAAATAGCTAAAAACATCTAATTAGCTAAAGATCTACCAAGCATTATTAAAACTGATACCAGTGTCATTATGAAATACATATGTATAATTAGAAGTCATAATGTATTTGGAGAGGGTAAATTAATGATGTAACTGCAGTATGCTATTGCATTTGACCGTATTTGCTATCCATCATTGTTACAAAAAAAGTCTATAAGCAAATCTATTCATTTATAGGAAACAATCAAGACAGACATGCTCTATCAACTGATTTCAACAGATTTCTACTTGTAAATTATATGTATAATTTCAGCTAGAGACATACTTTAAGGCTACATTAAAATGCATAGAAAATAAATGGTTAGTATTATTTACTGTAAAACCGTATTAAATATCTATTAATGCCCTTTGAGATCATTAACATTTTTGTGAAATTAGTTGTAACTTATTGCAAAAAAAGATAATATTATTTTTAACGTATTATAAAATAGAGAAAAGCACAGTAGAAAATTAATATGGACTCATAATACCTTTACTCAGAAAATTTGTTAAACCCTGAAAAAAAATTAAAATTCTTTTTCTGTTTCTATAATATTGGCTATATTAATATATTAATATAAACTTGCTTATATTAATAACTATATTATACTAATATAAGATATATTTCATAATTTTAAGTTAATTTTATTACATGTAAAATATACAGATATTATTAAAATATTAAAATTTCCATATTTTTCTATGTATTTTTAGACAGATATAAGAGGATCAACACAATTAAAGACCTTTAATCTAGCCTCATTTCCTCTCCTTGCAATCCAACAGTCAATAGTACTTTTAATTTAATGTGTACACTTTACTAATATTACTATTATACATTTATTACAAATTTATATTTAAAAAATATACTGTCTTTTCAAAATCTACCCTAATGCTAACATCTAAATATATCTTTTTATACTTCAGTCTTTTTATTAAATTTATATTTTTAGAATATTAATCTAGGTTTATAAAGATTTAATTATTCATTTTTACTGCTATATAAAACACATACATGTGCAATGTATTTCCATTTTTCTTTTCGTGTAAATGCAAGATGTTTCCAATTCTTCTCCATTACAACCATACTATAGTGAAATTGTGTGAGCTTCCTTGTGCAAATACAATATTTTTAAAATTGTATGCCTCTAGTAGAATCACTAGGTCCCAGGATACATATATCTTTAATTTTGTTAACCATTGCTGAATATCTTTCTAAACTGATTGTAACAAATTGTATTTCACCAGCAAAAATACAAGTTCCCTGTTCCCCATATTCTCCTATTCTTGCTCACAGTATATACTACAAGTGTTAAAATATATACTTTTCCGAAACTTGATTAAAAAATTTTTTTCTTTCTTTTTTTTTTTTTTTTGAGATGGAGTCTTGCTCTGTCTCCCAGACTGGAGTGCAAGGGGCGTTATCTTTGCTCACTGCAAGCTCTGCCTCCCGGGTTCACGCCATTCTCCTGCCTCAGCCTCCTGAGTAGCTGGGACTACAGGCGCCCACCACCAAGCCCGGCTAATTTTATGTATTTTTAGTAGAGACAGGATTTCACCATGTTAGCCAGGGTGGTCTCGATCTCCTGACCTCGTGATCCACCCGCCTCGGCCTCCCAAAGTGCTGGGACTACAGGCTTGTGCCACCGCGCCCGGCCTGTTTCTCTTTTAAGTTATATGCCCTAGATTATGGGTAGAGTGAAATATCATTTCACATTTTATCTGGCATTTGAATCGACCATTTTGTGAACTGACAGTTCATAATTTTTTTTACATTTTCAATTCATTTTATATGAATAAATTTTGGATATTCTTTATATATTATTGATGCCAAATTATTTCTATCATTTCTTTTTTTTTATTTTAAAACTTCCTTTGTGTATTTTCTGACACAATAAAATGTCAATATTAGAATTTTATCAATCTTCTATTTTTTTCACTAATTGAATAAATTCCTTTCTATATATAAATTATACATGTCTATTTCTGTATTTTTCATTTAAAATATTGACATTGTATTTCACTTTTCTGTCTTTTATATTGTAGAAAATCTGTATGCATACTGTGAGTTAAAAAACTAATTTCATACTTTCTGAATGTGATAAATTATTTATTCCCAAATGAATTTATTATACAGTTGAGATTTTTCTTACTGACTTACAATGCTGACTCTGTCACAAATGTTTATGTATATGTGGTCTTTTTCTGCCAAACTGTCTATTCCTGTGCCAATAACATTGTGTTCTAATTGTTGTGCTATCCAGAGTTTGATCAAGAAAGCAGAACCCACGCCAGAGTTCAATGTAGGGAATATAATATGAGAACTATTTATAAGGAGACAGAATAGAAAGATCAAGCGGGATGGTGAGGCAGCCCAGAACCAGCAAAAGCAGAAAGACTGTACCTCCTGTAGGACTAGATAGAGACACAGAAGAGTTGGTGTTTTCAGAGTCCTGTAGGTATTAAGGCAGGAGCTATTTGGTCTGGATGTAGCTGGAACCCTGGAGGAGATGCAGCCACTGCCAGCGATGCCACCTTAAAGCAGAAAGAATGGAGTAGAAGTAATCCATTTTTTCCCTGACTTCTACTCTTCATTCTTCTAGAGTACAAGCCACTAGCTTGAAGCCAGTAAGTAAGGTAAAATTGTTAAAAATCTCAATATTCGTTTTTCCATTATGATTTGTGGATTGTTCTTTTCTATATTATGCATTTTAATGCTTATTTTGTTTATCATCTTTGGTTCTTTTTGTTGGATATTACAAAGTTATGAAGTCATTTGGTCACAAATTTTCATGCAAATTAAAGACACTATTTATAAAACTCACTCCAGCATTTCGAAGCAGGTATGAGATGATGAAGCAGGTGGCTAACACAGGATTTGAATGCAAGTTTGTTTGACTTTGAAAATCATGCTCCTTTTACTTTATCTCCAATAGTAGTGGCAGGAAATTTATTTTCACCTCCTCCCTTGTATATTTTGCGAAGTTGGTAAAGTGCAGCAAATGTGTCAAATAGAAGGAAAGCCATTATGAGAATTTGTGGTCAAAAGACGAAGGATCCAAGTTGAAACTGGAGAATCTAGGTGATAGCTTGTTGTTGGAGAATGGTTATCACTATCAGTGCTTTTTATTGGGGGAATTGGGCATTGATGAATAGTAATCATGGATATGCAGTGCTACTACTACTTCCTGCTACAGATAAAAAGAATCCTAAGAGGAAACTCTGAGGTCAACTACACATTGTCATTAACGGAAGAGCTTCTTTAATGCATGGTAGGAGGTACTTGCAAAATTGTTTTGACCACTAGTTCAATCAATAAGATGGTATATGTTCATTTACATGACAGTATGTTGCATAGAAGCTTTATTTTTATAAATAACTGGCAAACAATGCAGAACTTGAACTTGGGGTTCTAAAAGCAATTCTAGACAATATATTCTATAAGTAACAGCAACATGATTAAAATAATTATGTAGTCTTTTGAAGTAATCATTTTAAAAATTGATACAATTTTAGTAATATAAATTCTATTATATTTGCTTAAAAGTTATGTATTAGTTTGTCATAATTTGTTCAACATATGCTCACATTTCTAAAATTTTGAACTTTTTAATATTTTTCCAAAATGAGACTGGGACAATGAGAGACAACAGCGAAGTGAAGCAATTGTGACTGATCTTCATCTATAATCTCTCATTATTCCAAGAGAAAACCACCACTGAATTGTACAATTTCTGTGTTTACAATCTTTCATTTTACTGCAAACTAAATTTCATTCTCAGTCTGTCTTTTAGTCTTCCAAGGCACATTGCATCAAGAACAAGGTTATATTTTAAAGCCAGAAAACATATTTTTGTCAGTGTGGAGACTGAATAATCAATTGCTCACAAAACATACAATGAAGCCCTATGAATCTCCTTTTTTGTCCTTCTATAATGCCAAGTTACCCTAGGGAAGGTTGAAATATATCTACTATTAATCCAGAAATACGTATATGCTAGTGTGACAGTACAGATCATCTTTCCTATTTAAATTTCCCTGCTCTCTTCCAGATTAATGTTGCACCAATTGGCATACTGATCTTTCTATTATTACCATGACATTCAATTTTGCCAATGAGTTCCTAGACAAATGAGGTAGGTTATCTACACTAATGAATGATAGTAAAATGCTCTTAAATGTTAAATCACATTCCTGATGTATTTAACACAAATCCTTTCCAAGGTGTTCTTTGAGAGTTTTCTCTCCCCTAGCTATCATCTCTATTCCCCTAAATTAATATATTTGGCATTTCTGTATTGGAGTGCTAATTTATCCAGAGCAAGTTGAAAGTGATGGCAAATATGTGTTCTTCTGATTATTCTTAAGAAAATATTGAGAAACCGGGAAAGAAATCTATCTTTCTTCTCATTCATCTTTTCTCCCCCAACCACAGTCTTTCCTTAATCCCTATTCTCATTCTTTCTTTATTTCCTATATATTTTTGTCTTCAGCCAGTCAACAAATGATTTTTTTTAATTATTATACTTTAAGTTCTAGGATACATGTGCACATCGTGCAGGTTTGTTACATATGTATACATGTGCCATGTTGGTGTGCTGCACTGGTTAACTCGTCATTTACATTAGGTTTATCTCCTAATGCTATCCCTCCCCCCTCCCCCCACCCAACAACAGGCCCCGGTGTGTGATGTTCCCCACCCTGTGTCTAAGTGTTCTCACTGTTCAATTCCCACCTATGAGTGAGAACATGCGGTGTTTGGTTTTTTGTCCTTGCGATAGTTTGCTGAGAATGATGGTTTCCAGCTTTATCCATGTCCCTACAAAGGACATGAACAAATGCATTTTTTAAAAAATGTTGGGAGATACATGGTTATCTGTTCCTGTGTAACAAGTCAATCAAATTTAGTGGCTCAAAGGAACAATCATCCATCTGCCTCATAATTTTGCAGGTTGGCACTGGTCTGGACTCATCTTACCGATTCTTTTAATCTGGGTTAAGCTCACCTGGGATTATTTATGTTTATGCAATCAGTTGACAGTTTGGCTGGAGGCTTGCTGGTCCCAGGTGATGTCACTTCATATGTCTGGTTGCTGGACACCCGTCGTCCTGGAAGATGAAAATTACTGGTCCACTTCTTTGTTTTCATTCAGCATACTAGCCTAGGCTAGCTCCCAGGGCACTTTCAGAGTTCACCGAGCAGCCAGGGAAGCCAAGTTCCAATGTGCAAGCACTTTAACAAGTCTATTCTTGTTCCATGTTTGCTGTTGCCCATTGACCAAAGCAAACTACATGATAAATGTCTAATTAAAAGTCATTGCTGCAAAATCTTCCACAACAGCCTATGTTGTTAGGTATCTCTGCTGTTACTAAAAATATAATTAATATAATAGGGGGCAGCAAAATGTCAAGCACATATGTACACTGAGTAAATTTAGAGAATAATTACCAGTTTTGAAATGCCTGCTATGTCTATAGAATTTTCATACATCAGCTTATTTAATATTACAAAACTCCTGTGAGATAGAATATATTGTGTTGCTGGCTATACCAATGAAGAAACTAAAGTTGAGATTATCTTTCACATTACTACAGAGAGGATGAGTTGCAGAGCCAGGATCTTGACAGAGTATGCAGTGTACCTAAAGTTGTTTTGTTTCTCTTTTGTGGCATGCTTACCATATTAATAAGACCCTTTCAATTACACAGAATATTCAATATTCATTGACACTATAAAGAGACCATCCCACAAACTACATGCCTACAACAAACAGTGCTTAGCTCCTGTATGGTTTTCAATGACTTAACAACTGTCTTAAGCTCTCAAAGCTGCCTCAGGGACAAGCTGACTAAGTATCTGGGTCCATTTTTTGTTGCTGTAAAAGAATACCTGAGACCAGGTAATTGATAAAGAAAGTAAGTTTATTGAGCTTACAGTTCTGCAGGCTGGGAAGTTCAAGATGGAGTGTCCGCATCTGATAGCTGCTGGTGAAGGCCTCATGCTGCCTTAAAACAAGGTACAGAAACAGAAGGGAACCTAGGAATGCAGGAAAATAAAAAATTAATAAATAAATAAAATAAGAGAGAGGCAGCCATAATTTATTAAAAATAATGTCTCTCCTAGTAACTAAATCAACCCCACGAGAGTGAGAATTTACTCTCGGAAGAAAAGCAGGCATTAATCTCTCTTACCAAACTAATCACCTCAGAAACACAATCTCCCAACATCGCCAAAATGAGGACCTGCCCTCCACTTGAGTTTTGATGAAATAAACCATATTTAAACAATAGGGCAGGTAAGGAACTAAGCTAAACAAAGCAACAATTATCAATTAAATAATTGCTGAAAAACTTATATACTTAAGGGTTCTCTTACTGCTCTTAAATTATTGACTCCAGACTTTCTCGTCCTTCAAAGTCTTGGATGGATATTCAAACCTTGACTAAAGTCACCTGATAAGGTGAGTTTCCTTTCGCTTGAATTTATACAAAAGGCTGTCGTGTCTGCTGATAGTTCTGAAATTCCTGCTGCTTATTTTAATAATGTCTTAGCTTTAGCGTTGCCAGAAGTCTGACTATTTAAAGCTCTCTTCTCATCACCTAATTCTTTTCAGACGCCACCATTCAATGTCAATACCCTCAGATGCCTCAAATCTTTCCTGACCATCCACATTCATAATAAATGCACCAAACTAAGGCTAACTGAACTCTGATTTTACAGCTTGCTTTTTGATTTCTGGAGCAAAACATTTCCAAATACTCATTCTTTTTCTATGTAAATCTAAATATTATCATTTAAAATTACCTATTTACTTACTAGGTAAAAAAAGAGCATATTAAAAAAAAGCATGAAAACAGAAGAAAGTAAAAATGGAATAAAATGAAAGAAAAAAACAAATCCCTCAAGATTATTAGTATTAATCTTCAGGAGAAATTTATGGTAGACATTAATTTACTCTCAACTATTTACCTGGCAACGTGTAAGCAATAAATATAAGTAAGACAATTCCTACCCTCAAGTAATTAATATTTCAGTTGGTAAAAGCAAGAATGCAGTATTGTATGAAAAGACAAAGCATTAAACATGTATATAAGACTGAATTGTCATTAATAAGGAAGAGATTTTTTTAGAGTTATTTGGGAGAATCTAATGAAAAGTGACTTCTAAACTAATTCAAATATAAATATACATTTTAATTGGAAAAATGAGAATGAGGAAATATATTACAGCATAAATAAAATCAGAGAAAAGAAAGAGCATGATTTCAAAAATTATGAATAGTTCAGATATAAAGCTGAAGAATTAGCTTCTTTTATACCACTGTATATTTTATCAAGACCAAAATTAAAAATAAATTTTTGAAGTGATTTCCTTCTCCCTATTGCCCATGAATACAATTGTAACAATTGATGAATTGGTGAGTATTTTATAAACTAACTACATTTCTCTACTTTTGTTAAAAGCCATATACATGTATATATTACATACATAGGTATATATATATAATGTAAATATATGTACATTATATATGTATGTATACACATATATTTTATAGTTATAGTGATTACAGTTTTAAATTTTGAATTAAAGTAATTTTAAAGACTTTTGAACTATTCATGAAATTTTTAATATTTCTAATGATAGAAATTCATTAAATTTAATTTTATGTTAAATTCAATTTTATGTTTTTGGACGTATTCCAACTCATTCTTTTGGAAGTAAGGGAAGGATTTGTCTATTCATACTGTTACAAGCATAATATGTAAACTGTCAAACCATTTCTTTTAATGGTGATATTGAGGCCAAAAAAGAACAACCTAGAACTAAAAAAAAGTTCTTAGTGACACAACATTTAGACTAAAATGGATGAAGCTGGGAACTATCATTGTCAGCAAACTAACACAAGAACAGAAAACCAAACACCGCATGTTCCCACTCATAAGTGGGAGTTGAACAATGAGAACACATGGATGCAAGGAGAGGAACATCACACACTGGGGCTTGTTGTCGGGGTGGGGGGCTAGGGGAGGGATAGCATTAGGAGAAACACCTAATGTAGATGACAGGTTGACGGATGCAGCAAACCACCATGGCATGTGTATACCTATGTAACAAACCTGCACATTCTGCACATGTACCCTAGAACTTAAAGTATAATTTAAAAAAAAGAAAAAAAAATCCAGACCCAGTCTTACAGTTGGAAACCCTCATAGGCCCCCTCTTTACTGTGAAGAGCTTTATTCTTTTGCTTATTAAACTTTTGTTCCTACCTGAAAAAAAAAAATTGTGCTGACTGAACCCTAACTAGGTTCATGTCTTGGATTTGAAAGTTAAGATGATTGCAAACCTAGGCTTTTCCCATGGTAAATGCATAGCTAGTAATGCCAATTAATTTTACTTTGGGTCATACTTGTTCCCAAGAAAAATAGTATCTTTTTTTTACCTGATAATATTCCAATGCATTAAAGTGTAATTTTAAAACAAGTTAAAACATTATTTTCAGACAAATATAAAATGAACATATGTTGAAGACAGTATTTAGCTAATTAACTGATGATAAAACTAGTTTAAAAGATAATTCAGTATGGGAGAAACCATTTGTATTACTTCAACAACAATAACAAAACGCCTCACCATTTTTTTCCCTGCAAGTTAAGTTATATCTCTACAGAGTTCCAAAGTAGAGCAAACCAATATAAAACACACAAGCTCCTCGGCATCAGACATACCCTAAGGGCCTACTTGACAATGTGCAGCATTTCATAGAAATGGCTCCTAGTAATGTTTTGACTCTTTTATTACTTTACAATTTTCTCAACAAAGTTTTTAAAGATATGCTTTTATATTTTTGAGACAATTGTATTTTAATATATTTTTAAATGACAGTGATTGTTGTCTCCCAGCAGGACAAAATAACTTGTATTTTTCAGGGGGCTTTTTTTTTTCTACAAAGCAAAGGAAAACCTTGGAATTCATTCATTGTCTTGATATCAGAAAGACATCTAACAATAAAAATACTCTGTATGTATTGGAATTAGACATCAGAAAAGATGATAAGAAATATATATAATAAGTTAATAAGTACCAGTGGCATGAATACATTGCATTTGCTGACAACTTCAAGAGATCTGAAAAAATTGCAAAAAAAATATTTTTCCTCCATTATTATACATGAATAACTTAGCATCTAGAGAAAATATGGTTTAACAAATTTGCGTACATTTAACAGTCCTCACTCCTGATATAACTAAACACATCATTGATGGCAGAAAAGTCAATGTCACTATTTAAAGGCAATTCAATCACTTTAAGTTAAAACTCATTCTTTGTGGGTGGTATAGATAAGAAATTTCCTGTAGAATAATCTATTTTCCTGGACGGCTTGCCTTCTCCCTTGCTTTCCTATACATGCTGCTATCTATTTTTGCTGGCCTCTGTTGAGGTGCAGCTTCTCCTGCACAGAGCTGGACAATGGTCTCTGATGCTTTCTTATCTGGTTATACTGGTGGCCCTGTTCCTCTCTTAGGCATCAATCTGTACACCCTGTGTTCAGTCTGCTTCAAGCTCAAGCTAGTTCTCTTCCAGTTTTTCTTCTCTCAGCCCCTTCTGAAACCCTCTCAAGTAGGCTTGAATACCACTGGCTACTTTCCTTGTAGCAGATTAGGGAACAGACCTCTGTGAAGGTTCCTTTTGGTATAATACTGATGATACCTCCTTTTGCACCAGCTACGCGGGTACCAGGAGGAATACAGAGCTTCCCTACAAAGATCATAGCTGTCCAAGATTCACTGCAGACAAAGCAATTAGAAAACCCACCCTCACCCAGATTTGGATCAAATATGCTGTGTTGGGCCCCTTCTCAGAATTTTACCTGTATCAAAACTTTGACATATCTGTTTGAAAATTTCATTTATCCAAGCTGGTCCAATTTTGTATTCTTCCCTTATAGAGGAAAAGTGCAGATTCTTGATTTCTTAAATTCTTGCAAATTGATTTGCCATCTGTGACATAGGATAAGGTGTGTATGCTGTGAGTGCTCTAGTTTTGATCTTTTAGATGCAAAAGCACATTTTAAAAATTCCAAAGTTAAGACTTTTATTCGCTTAAGTGTCTGGGCCTGAGAAGCACTTTGCTTTGCAAACTACCGTGTTTGTTAAATATTTAGTAAGTCTACTTAAGGGCTCCAAAACTAGTTATTTTGCTATTATTTCTTTAACACTCCTATTCTGAACAGAGGTAATAGAAAATTTTAAACAGCTCAAGACGTGTTAAAATATGTCAAAACACTTATTTACTGTAGGGTGAAAAATCTATTGGTAGAGTTACTTGAAATCAGTATGCCAAAATAACTCATATATTACTGCATTTCTTTGTTCTATTAAAATAAATAGAACAAAGTAAGATAGAAGGATTTTTATAAATATTGTTAGCATTCTGGTGTAATATCTGTCATAACCAGTTTCATTCTTTACCTTTCCCATGTTACTGTCATGTAGAACAAAATTAGAGTGTATTTAGCTGTTTCATACAAAATATTTCACTATTTATAATGCCATGTCAGGAAGTTGGGACTTCCTTGACTTCCCTTGAGTTGTCAAAGAAAAGATCAAAATATAGCAAAGTAAGATCAGTTCATTTGTATTTGACACATACCTTTGTATTTGCATAATCAAAAACAGCTCAATAGCGCTCTAAACAATATAAAACTTCTCAGAGTCCACACAAGGTCCTATCAAGTATTCAGTTGATCCCTCCTATGCTCAATGACTTACTTTTCCTGCGTACACTCTTCTAACTGTAGTTGTTGTAACTTAAAACTTACACCATATATATCCACACAGCACATTCATTTTACATGTGTTCAAATGTACTAAAAGCATATTTTGGGAGGCAATGAGATTTACCTGGGAAATCTGAAGACTGAGTCTTCTGACTAAATAGTAGAATAAAATGAGATCTATGGCTCCTTTTATGGCTTCCCAGTGTCTGAGGACTCAAAGTAGGTGGAATCTAATTTATCCAAATTGTGGCATTTTGAAACTGACAATGAGCACTAATAACCATTATGCTGGGATACCATGCATAAACTGAAACTTTCCCAGGCAAACTGGGCCACACTACCTAACTCAGTTAAAAGGCCAATTCTGGGAAATATTTGTCTCAACTTGGAAATAAAAAAGAATAAGCCCGCTACACTGATATAAGTATATATTCACATTTAATTTCTGATTCTTATAGTTGATGCCTCTTTGGCTTTCTTATTACTGCTTAGCAAATATCTTTTCTTTGCACCCACCCTCCGTCCCTCCATCCATCCATTTCTCTCTCTCTTTCTAGTGAAATTTCTCCTAACTTTATGCTCTACCATATTCTTTTCAGTCTCATTGCTTGGCCTTTTCACAGATATCTCTATCTTTAGACATTTTCTCTTTTCATGGCTAATACCCATTTACTATTCAATATTCAAATGAATATGTTTTGCTTAGGGAAATTTTTTTCTGGAAGGTTCAGATAATAATGGGGCCTATTATATTATCCCATAACACTTAGGATTTATTATTTTAGAATACTTATATTTTAATGTTTTTTTAATTCTTTAATAAAAAATTAATTTTAATTTCATGTGAAATTAATTTAACTAATTAATCAATTTTTTAAATTTCATATGTGATTATTTTTTAATTTAATTTTTAATTTTTAATTTCATATGTGTTAGAAAACATATATATATACATTCAATAAAATCTTTAAAAAATAGTGTCACTCGTATTTACCATTGACTTCTACATCTCCATGCAAAATAAATACACATACTTCCTTTAACTCCATAACCTTCAACCAAATTATATATGTTGTTGTTTTGGTTGGAACACCATTTAGTGCTCAAGTCCTCTACTTATATAATCATTTTCCACAGAGAAGCCAGAAGACATACTATTGTTACAAAGCAAGAGGGGCTTGCCTGCTGATGTACTAAAGGCAAATACTGTAACACCAGGAAAAGAAGAGATTTTTATTGCAAGACTCAGGGTGACAGGGGTGCAGCTTAAATCTGTCCCCTGGGCTGGCATTAAGGCAGTAATTTCATTAGAATATGTTTAGGGGATGACTTCTGGGATTACTAGGTGATTGGTAGAAGAAGATGGGTGGTCTGCAAAGTCCTCCAGCATGTGCAGTTATCACTTTATGCTATCTCATGGATTGCAAGTGTCAGGATCCTTCGGGTGTCGCTTCACCAGCCAGAAACCTCTGTGGCCAGAGGCACCTCTGCCTGAGTTTTGCTCACGCCCTCTGGGCTTGTTCTACCCATTTGGCCCACCAGTCTGCTCTCAGCTCATGCTACCAGCCCAGATCCCATGCCGGCCAAGGATAAACCAGGCACAGAACAGTGAGGGGTGTGTGAGCAAGCAAGTGCAGTGTCCGGCCACTGTGCACAGCCAGGCACACCAGCTGCTATGGGGGGGGGGGGTGGGCAGCTCCAGGTGTCGGCACAGGTGCTGGCTCCATGCAAGGCTGCAGCTAGACCACACATACCACAAGTGGCTTCTGCTGCAGGCATCAGCTTCTGGACAGGGGGAGTGCGGTGGAGCCTGAAAGCTTGGAGATGCCAGAAACCACAGAGACCCAACAAGGGTGTCACAGCCCTGGCCTGGGGAGCCCCAATGTCTGGGCTTCCAGAAGGGCCACAGCTCTTTTCTCCTTCTCGTCTCCCACAGAGCAGTGAGCCGAGGGGCTTGTTTAGAGGGCATGTTTCAGCCCATTTGTGTTACAGTTCTTTCAGTCCCACTGCCCCTCTCCATCCCACAACTCCTGGGTTGGCCCGGCCCCACTACTGCTTCCCATCGTGCGTGGTAGTTGCCTGGTGCCAGCAGAGGCAGGAGGGCTATAGCATTATAGCAGTTCTGGCTCGAGAATCCCAAGGTCTGGACCCCCGGAAGGGTCATGACTCTTCACTCCCACAGTCCGGGAGCGTATCACCACCTGCAACTCTGTGAGCCAGTCAGGAATATGTTACAGCTCCTTTTGCTCCTGCCATTTTGTGGGTCCCAAGTTTGCGTCCTATGTCCAGGAAGAATGAGATTATGTGGACAACTGGAGGGTAAGCAAGGTGGAGAGGAGCTTTATAGAGTGACACAACAGTTCTCAGTGGAGAGGAGACTCAAAGTGGGGACCTCCTATCTGCAGGCAGGTCATCCCAAGGAGTCTCTGAGTCTGGCTGAGTCTGGGATTTGTATGGGCTCAGAAGGGAGAAAGTACATGCTGATTGGTTCGTGGGAAGCTATGGAAGGGCCTGGAAAAATCACCATCCAGTTGGCCAAAAGGCATTAAGGAAGTTCTGACTGTGGGTTGCAAACTCTACCTGGAAATGAGAACCCAGCCCCCAGGCTTAGGCTCTCCCTGGCTTGCAGGTGGCATTTCACTGGGGACCCATTCCTTCCCACTCAGGAACCTATCTGACTCCTACTACTATCAACATCCCTTCTATGGCACCCAGGCTATCCACACCAAATGGCACCTGCAGTCTTGCATCAAGTCACCCTCAGTCCCCTGGCCTCCCTGCCATGCTTGTCACTGCCCAAAGTCTGGAGGGGGCCAAGGCAGCAGGGGGCTGGCATGTCAGCACTGCCCCCAAATGCAAGCACACCCAGCCAGTTTGGAACAGCTCCCTGATTCAGCCACAACTTTGCTCTGCATTGGAGTAGACACTAGGAGTGGGGAGAAGCCAGGGGGCAGGCATTTCCAAGCCTGCAGGGCTAGGGGAGTTCCTGGGAGCACATTCCGCAATAGCACAGGGATGCCCAGTTCTGGAGCCATGGCTGGATGACTGCAGCTGTGCCTAGGAGCACGGGCTCCCACCCCCCCAACTCGGTAGGACATGGGCCTCCTGCTGGGATTACCTGTTCCTGGCTCCTGTTGGTTCCATGAAGCATGCAGTCCCAGCTGTGCCTCCCAGCTGCAGCTGGCATCCTCACAGCAGCTGCAGCAGACAGGCCACCATCACCATCACATGTGAAAATTCAGGGACAATTAGGATGAAACATGTTGAGAAAATTTGAGTTGTGGCATCAGCAAGCTTGCTCTGTGCAAATTCTACTTGACCCTATTAGTTCCAACCCATTTCAGCCAGTTTTCTTTGTCTCACCAAAGGAGAAAATTTCAATGTTTCATCCAGCTGTTTATATACTTATCTGTTATCTTGCAAACTCAAGAATGTTTCTCAGTCATAGGTTTCAATTATGTGTGTGTGTGTGTGTGTGTTTGTATATATACACATACACATTTAGAGTTAGAGTCTCACACTGTCACCCAGGTTGGAGTGCAGTGGTTTGATCGTAGCTCACTGTAGCCTCTAACTTCTGGATTCAAGTGATCCTCCCACCTCAGCCTCCCAAGTCACTGGGACTATCAACACTATATTTTTCTGTAGATACAGGGTCTTATTGTGTTGCCCCAGCTGGTCTCAACTCGTGGCTTCCAGAGGTATTTCCACCTCAGCTTTATTTTATTGTTTTTATTGGAATGCCATTTATTGGTCAAATACTGTACTTATATAATCATTCTTCACAGATACACTAGAAGACATACTATCTTTTATTTTCTTATATTTAATACTTTTTCTTAGAAAAACACATTGTCTTTGTTGTTGTGAAATCCTAAATTTTCTATCTTACAAATCCATTCTTAAAGTCACTGTCACAAGTTCATGTCTCTTCTCAATAAATTTTAAAATATCAGTTATTTATTATTTGTCCTTATGTGTTTTCTTTGGAGGATAATTTATTCTAAAGCTTCTTTCTCCCATGCCATAGGCCCACACATACTGCTCACCCAGTTACACATCCCATGTTTTACCATTTTTGTTTTATTCTCTTGTTTAGGGAAGTAAAACCTCTATGAAAATTATAAGAAACATAGAATGAGAGCCAAAAGAACAGAGATCATGTATGGCATATGGGCATTTATATTTTGTATATGAAAATTTTGTTGGAAATCATTCTTTTTTGCAGATACGATCAGACTGTCTCCTAGTTTCTGGAACTGACGCTGAAGCATTAGATGCTATAGTGATTTTCAATTATTTCAGGGTGAATTTCTTTACACATGTTTCTCTCAGTACTGTCTCTACTCCTCCAACTCCCATTCTCAGAAAGATTTTAGAATCTTCTTTTTTATTCCCATATTCTGAAATTTCATGATTATCCTCTTTGCTGTGGTCATATATTATGGATTCACTTGGCATTTAGTAGTGCATTTCAGTCTAACCCATCTCTTTTATTTCTGGGAATTTTTAAAAATTAACCTTTGATAATATTCTTTTTTGTTTCTTTACTTTTGTGTAATTATTTAATCAATATATTTTTTTCTGATCTTAGCTCTATATCTTTTTCCTCTTGTATTGTTCAACTGTTTTTTTTCACTTTTCTATTCATGAAGTTTCTCAAACTTTATCTTCTATTTATTCTATATATTGGTTAAAGATAGATGTTGCTGTATATAATCTAATATTCCAGAATACATGTGGCTTAAGCAATATAGAATTTATGCAATTCTAACAAAATTTAGCTAAGAAGTTAGGGAGCCCAGGACCGATATGGAAGTTTCATTATGACATCAAGGACCTGCAGTCCCATATTTCACATTTCTATTTTATTGTCTTAGTGAATGGCTTCTATCTCTTAAAAGAATGTATAGTCCAAGAGGATTGTTGGAACTCCAATGAATCTGTCTCCATCACAAGGCCCAAGAAGAAAAAAAAAAAGAAAAAAAAAGCATTTTCTATCATTAAAGTAGCTTTGCTCAGATCCCAAAAGTCATACTCTGCCTACATCTTTTTGGTCAAAGTTTATTCACATGGGCACACTTGTCTACATGAGAGCACTGGAAAATGTTCTTTTTAATTCTAGTTGCAGTGTAAATTGAGTTCTGTGCCCAGGAAAACGTGTAAACAACAGTTTCTACTAAAGAGTATAATATTGTTCTCAAGATGTCTTGTTTCATAGCATTATGCATTATGATGATACAATAGATTCATTTAACTGTGAAGACTCTGAGGATATGAATAATATGTTTTTAAAATCTTTTTTTCATGAACTATCATTGTATCCAACTTCCATTTTATTTTTACTGTTTCAGTCTCAGTTTTTCATGTTCTCAGCTATTGAGTTAAACTAAACTATGTTGCTCATTCATATTTAAGTGTAGGACACGCAAAGAAAAGCTAATTAGAATCTATAACTCTATTGGGGAAAAAAACTTTTGAACTCTTGAACTGCAATATATGATTATTTCCTGTGTGAGCTTTGGAGGGAAGCTACAACTATCAGAAATATAAGATTTTTGCTCTTTTTTTGTGCTCCTTAACTTCTCTAAAAGGAATAATGTGATTTATAGACCAGCAGACATAAACGTCACCCTCAGATTTTATTTTATTTAATTTTATTTTTTAGATAGGGTCTTGCTTTGTTGTCCAGGCTTGTCTTTAACTCCTGAGCTCAAGCGATCTGTCTGCCTTGGTGTCTCAAAGTGCGAGGATTACAGCCTGAACCACTGTGCTTGGCCTCAGATTTTATTTATTTGTTTGTTTAGTATTTGCATTTTTTAAAATGAGACAGAGTTCTGATCTGCCATCCAGGCTGAAGTGCAGTGGAATGATCATGCCTCACTGCAGCCTTGACCTCCCTGACTTCAAGGAATCCTCCTGCCTCAGCCTCCTGAGCAGCTGGGTCTACAGATGGACACCACCACACCTGGTTTTTTTTTTTTTTTTTTTTTTGGTAGAAATGGGGTTTCTCCCTGTTGTCCAGGCTGGCCTCAAACTGCAGGGCTCAAGCACTCCTCTCACCTTGGCCTCCCAAAGTGCTGGGATTAAAGGTGTGAGCCACCACCATCAGCCCAACCTCAGACTTAAATGAAGAAAGAAGGGTGAATGTTCACCATATAAGTATTTCTTAAATTCTTTATTCTGATTACAGCAGTCCAGCCCTCTACTCAGCTATATGATTATAGTCAGCAATCTTCACTTGCTTATGGAAGGTGCCTGCTCTCTAATTATCTGGCATGGTAAAGAAAACTTCAGGAACTCATTTCCAATTGATGCATTTTAATCAATAATTTCACATGATCAAGGATATAAACAGAGAATGGATAAAATGGAGATAACATAGAGAAAAATTACCTAGTTGTCAAGTGTTAAAGGCTTGTAATTGAGGTGAGAATAAAGATAATTTTTTCCACTCTTTTTCACATAGATGGTGAAGTAAGGATCCACATAGAAGTAGTTTGTTATTACAGTTCTAATACATACAGTAAAATATTTCATGGTGAAGAATATAAAGACAATTGACAGGTAAACACTAAATTCCTCTATGTTTCCTAAAACTTTCCAGTGTATTTGCTGTCCACAACAGCCATTAACCCTCTGGATTTACCCATTAAAATACACAATTTGACACTATGCACATTGAATTTGACAATGTAGACAACTGTAAAAGGGTATTCAATTTCAAAAAAGCCCAGAGTCCTTTAAAAAATACTATCCCGAAATAATCCTGTAATTTATTTTGTACATATTCATTAGGACAGATAACATTTTAGCAGAACTTCAGCTAGGGATTTTAAACTGGATTTTAATTATTACAAATTAAAAGAAACACAGCATCTAACAGTTAATTTTTTTTTAGTAAAAAAAAAAAACTAAGGAGCAATAAAATGAGATTTTAAAAGTGTTTTCTATCATTTAATCTGAATGACAAATCTTAACTCTTCCATTCTGCAAAAATGAAAGCTAATATTAAACACTGTAGGTATTTTTAGAAGAAAATTGCTAATTTTATTGGTAATTATCACACATGAAGGTAATGCTGTCTAATCTCAGTGTAATTATATTTCATGCTTCATAGAAAAATTTAATCACTACAAAAGTAAAAGGAAAACTATTTATCTCCTCAGAAAGCACTACGGGAAACCTAGGTATCACAGTAGATGCATTTATCTTTATTAAGACATTCGCGGTTAAGAAATTTCAACGCTGTGGTCAAATAATCACTTATTTCATATGTTATTGCAAGGATAAGATATTACCAGATTAAATGGTTACTAAATATAATGTTGCATTAGAATAACATTTAATATTGTCTCTGCCCGTGAATAACACTTCTTCTTTATTAACATTTTTATTATTTCTTTTTCTTCTGATGGTGGTTAGATACATTTTTGGATGCCCTAGTCATTAAATGCCCTAGTCATTAAAACGCTGGGCCAACAGAAAGAGAAATATTTCCTCATTTTGTTTTAATTTTCTTTTAGTGTTGTTAGAAAATAAAAAAGAATATTAAATATGTCCTTGAAAACATGAGCTAAGCATACACAAATGGACAAGCATTATATAATTATACTTATGTGAAATATCTGGAGTAGGCAAAATTATAGATACAGTGGATTAAATGTGACAATGGGCTGGAGTAAAGGGTAAATGGGGAATTATTGTCTAATGGGAATAGAGTTTCTGTTTGGGTTCTGGGAAAGTTTTGAAACAGAGGTGACGGTTTTACAACACTGTGAATATAATTAATGCCGCTGAATTGTACATAAAAATAGTTAAAATGACATATTTTATGTGATATATATTTTACTAAAAGTAAAAAAAAGTAAATACATAAGAAACATCGTTAGAGGTGAAACAAATCACATAAACTATTTTTTAAAATGCTTTACAGAACAGAAGGGAAAAACTGCAGTTGAAAAAAGGAATAGTGTATATTGCCAGGAACAAAAATTAAGTGCTTTTTTTTGTTGAGATACCCATGATAAAGGGGTTAAAATCACTGCATAACTGTCTCAAAAATGGATTCCACTCAATTTTGTCCTGATAAATTCTTTAAAGGTTATATATTCCTAATTGTCTGGTAGTATATCTATGTCTTAAATGGTGTTTGGCAGCCTGCAACTGATTAATGAATTTTTAGGCACAGTATAAGACACTGGAAAATTAGTGAAAGAGAAAATAACATATTCTATATAATATAATCATTTCTAAAATCCCAATGTCATCAACTGATCCATTGTGAGTCTCCAGATTCTAATGCTATGGAACGTTGCTCTACTAACCTATGAAACTATTTATTTTAGTTCATGCACATAGTCAATGGTCAATACATATTTGTTGAAAACAGAAAACCAAATATGTCATGTTTTCACTTATAAATAAGAGCTAAAGATTGAGTACACATGGACATCAAAATGGGAACCACAGATACTTGTGGCTATTAGAGGGGAAAGAAAGGGAGGGGGCAAGGGTTGAAAAACTACCCACGAGAGCGATCCTCACTACCTGGGTGAGTGGATCAATCACACTTCAGACCTCAATATGACAAAATATAAGCATGTAACAAACCTGCCCTTGTACTTTCTGAACCTAAAATAAAAGTTGAAATTAAAAAAAATAGCATCTAAGAGAGAAATACTCATCCAAACATCATGTCTTAGAGCAATGTTCATGTTGTGTTCGAGAGCTAAACAAAGCCTTTAGTTCTTCAGTAGGTCAGGCATTTCACTAAGAGACAATTGAGAGATAGTAAACTAACACTTTTAGCAAAATATGGACAGGTTTCCCATGGTAAATGATTAGTGATAAAATTTGAGCCAATTAATCATTTTGTGAGCTTGACTTTATATATAAACTAAAAATAGAAAAAAAATTAGCTATAGTTTTCTTAGTCAATTATGATAAACAGAACCACTTTAATATTTTCTAGGTAGTAAAGAAAACTATGTTCAGTAATATATAATAGGAAAATTATTGTCATTTCCAGTATTCCCTACTTTATGTTGGAAGTTCTGACAAAGAAGACAAAGAGAGCAAGAGAGACAGAGAGAGAGAAGGGAAGAGAAGGAAAAAGAAAGGAAGAAATAAAAATGATAGGTAGGTAGATTGATAGAACTGTCTTTTATCTCTTTTCCTGCTGTGCTGAAGAAGAAGCCCTCATGCTGAGATGAATAAAACATTAGAGGAAAGCAGCCTGGGTTACTGAGCCATATAAGAAAGAACAATTACTCTGAAAGGTATCTAGAACTGCTGCAGTGGTGACCATTAACTGAGTGTACACATGCAGACACTCACAAGCATATATGTATATGGTAGTGCATGTGAGTGAAGCCACTGATTGAAAGTTGGCACTATTTATTCCTGTCCCACAATGTACCTTAACCCAACTGGCCCACAAAAAAAAGCTTAGATTCTTTTTCCCTAATTTGAGTTCTTTTAAAAAACGATTCATGTATCTATCAAATTATGACAAAAGTCTTGCTTTTTAGTCAAGTCTCCTAGACTGTTTTATGTTCACATAGTGCCAAATGAGTGAGTTTTGAAACTGGAAGCAGATATAAATGGTCTTTATCAAATTTATATATGCATTTGGTGGATCATTTTCAAACAACTTCCTAATACATTGGGTCACACTGACATATTTTTATCCAGTGAACATAGATATCTAAAGGGTTTCTGAGACCTCATTCTCATACAGGGGCTGATATGCTAACACAAGGCCTGGATTTATTTTTTCTCACGTTTCTTTTTGGACAGTGCTGCATTGCTGAATATTATTGTTCACATTCCTGGGCGACAATTATACTGGTCCTCTAAGCATATAATTCCAATGTATGAGATTTTAACCTCGTCCTAAATTTCATTCTAATTATTTATATCCTTAATTTATTGCTAATTTCGACATGCATATACATGTGTACAAGCATTATTTATGTGCATTCATGTTTATTAAAATATTTAGATTTTATAAACCATCTAAGACTTTAAGGAAAAAAGCAAAATATAAACATCATGTATCAAAAACTTGGATACAGGCTTGGGGAACGTTGTCTTAATTTAATACCTTTTTGTAGTAATATTTATAAAACTGATTGAGAAATTACTTTGAAAATCTTTAGATAATTGTAACAGATGAGGAGAGTGTTTAAGAGCAGAAAGAAATTATTAGCCATTGGAAAAGTCAAGCTTTTAGTATATCTGCAAGCCAGATAGAAACTTCTAAATCAAAATAATACATAAAATATTTTAAACAATAAACTATTATTTTTTGTGTACACTTGACTACCAGATAAAAGATCTATAGAATTATGGCAAATTTCTATAGTGATTAGTATTATCAATATTTTAGAATATAGTGAAAAACATCTTTGTATAAAGGTTATATTTTTAAATTGTTAAAGTTTGAAAGTCTCTAAGATTGCTTTTAATAAAATAAGCAAGTAATCTTCACCTCTGTATTGCTAAAAAGTATTATTATTTACTAAAAGATCTTGTAAATAAACCACAGAAATAAAAGAAAACAAAACAGAAAATCTATATTTTCTTTAATAGACTATGTTTTAGAGCAGTTTTACCTTAACAGCAAATATTGAGTAGAAGGTACAGATATTTCCATATAAACTCCTCCTCCACTCATGCATAACCTCTCCATTTTCAACATTCCCATGAGAGTGCTACATTTATTACAAATAGTCATTACAAATGACTATAAATTTTTGCATTTCCACCAACAAGTGTGAGTTCCTGTTGCTCCACATTGAATCCACCTTGACACACCATTAATACCCAAAGTCCACAGTCTGCATTAGCGTTCGCTCTTGGAACTGTATACTCTACATCATTAGACAAATGTATAATGTCATGTATAAACCATTATAGCATCATACAGAGTAGATTTAATGCCCTAAAAATCCTCTGCACTCCATCCACCTGTCACTCTTTCCCCATTAACTCCTGGCTAACCTGTTTTATTTTCTCTATAGGTTTGCCTTTTCCAGTATACTATATACTGAGAATTGTATAGTATATAGCCTTTCCAGCTTAGCTTCCTTCTTTTAGTAATATGCATTGAAGTTTCTTTTGTGTCTTTTCATGTCTTTTTAGCACTGAATAATATTCCATTGCATATATGTTCCACTGTACCACAGTTTGTTTATCCACTCACCTACTGAAGGACATCTTGGTTGCTTCCAAATTTTGGTGATTATGAATAAATTCACATGAATTATCAACATATGTATGCAGGGTTTCATGTAGACATACATTTTCAACTCCTTTGGGTAAACAACACGGAGCATGATTGCTGGATCTTATGGTAAGAATATGTTTAGTTTTGTAAGAAATTCCCAAACTGTCTTCCAAAGTGACTATAACTTTTTGCATTTCCACCAACGAGTGAGAGTTCCTGTTGCTCCACATTCTCAGCAGCACTTGGTGCTACACTGTTCTGGACTTTGCCTATTCTAATAGGTATAGTAATATTTCAGTTTTGTCTGAATTGTATTATTTTTTCAGGTTTCTCTAAGTGCAAGATTGAAGTTGGATTACAGGTATTTTCAAAGACTGAATCATAAGTAACACAAGTCTTGCCAGAGAACTGAACAGAAGACTATGACAAGCATCCACTAGTTAAAATTAGACACTATGCCTTGACTTCTCTACCCTCCCCGACTCCCTGCCAATACAGGCTTGCAAAAATATTGCAAGATGGATGAGTTGGGTAACTGTCAACTCTGTAGGTTTACCTTGTGTTACTGGTCAATGCTTCCACCTTGGTTAGATTCCCTAGTGATGTGCACTCATCTGGTCTTATGGATTAATATTATAATTAGAATAATTTTAGAGGAGATAGTAGAGTAAGGAGTATCTCTTTATTAGATGTCCTTGTTGCACCGATTTTCACACTTACTAAAATTTCCAGAGTTGGCCCTAACAGTAGTTACTATTCCATTTCTGGATCTTGATAAGTGTAGACCATGAGCACCACGTTCTCTGAAGGATCTGTCCAAAGCGCATGTGCTAACCCACTGCTAGTATGTGGCCAAAGAAATAACTGTACCCACACACACCTATTTGTTTACTGAGTATTTTTGTCATCTTCACCTTTCTTTTCTCTCATAGAGTGTTGTTCTTCCTTATTTTTATCATATAATGGTCATTGGTCTTGATACTTGAGTTTAAAATGAGTAAAGAACAAGCCCAGATTATCAATGTATTAATTTCCTTATTTCTCTCACAGATATGATAAATCATGAATTTATATGCCAGTGTCAACCATAGTTTTCCAAATTTAGGTCACATTATTCAATCTTCTTGTGTTTTCAGTTTTTATCATAACAACAGATAAAGCTACTAAAGCCAGCTAATCATGAAGTTAACTTGCCAAATATACAGTTGTAGACAAAGAAAGTAAAAAATTCAAAAATAGAAGGCTGAAAAAAATGACCTAAAATACATGGATCACAGTAAATTTATTGGAATAATAGGATATAAAATATGAAAATTATTTAAATTCAAATTTTTCTTTAGTTTGTTTGCATTTCTAAGAATACTTAACCAATAATTAGATTAAATTTAAAAATATGCTATTTTTAATTTAAATTTCTGGAAGTACAAACACTGCTGAGCTGTTGGTTATAGGTGTGGTGTTTTGTATGTGTGTTACAAGCAATTTGAAGAAATTGACTGTTTCCATTGACCTGATTAACTGAATAATAATTAAATTTTCAACCTATTGAAACATAGTTAGACAAACAAATGATATTTCTTCAGGTATCAGGTGAGTCTCTGGCCTGATGAGCTTATCTGGAGATTTGAATGTAGAATAGAATCATGTCTTAAAAAGTCAAATCCCAGCCTTCAATAATAAAAAAGAAGAAAAAAACAACGAAAGAAAAGAATAAAGCAAGAGAAAATTAAATGAATGAAATATTTATTGCTCTTGTTTAGGATGAGTAAAACATAGTGCCTGTTACACATGCTGACAACATCAGAAAAACCTAAAGGCCAGACTTACAAGGGAATTGAGTGTATTTAGAAAGGTACTTGTAACAGAAACCTCTGATTACAGTGAAATGCTTTAGTTTTTAAAGGGCACTCTGCAAACAGAGAAATCTATAATTGCTTTCTAGAGTGGTTAAAACCGCTGAGACAGCTTTGCAAATTCAGTATAAAACGGAACAACACTTTATGGAATGAAATAGTACCGGATTGATTGTTAACGCAAACTGGCCTTGGAAACAATACTAAAATTCTGAGAACTGTGATGACCATAGCAAGCCATAAGGGAAATAACTCTCACAGTGTTTTAATTTTTCTCACATATAAATCTGTTTGAAATTCAAGGGTATTCTAAATACATATTTTTTTGAATTGCAATTAATCTAATTCACTGATTCTCACTTGTGAATGTACATAAAAACCAGCTGGGGAGACTGCTACAATTTGAATTTCAAGCCTCTCCCTCCTAGAGATGTTGACTATCAGGCCTCAATGGAACCAAATCTCTGTGTTTTTTTCTGAGCACACCATGTAAATCTTAGATTTCACTTTCAGAATCTTTACTAATCATTACAATGTGTCAGGAAAAAAGAAAGCAAAATTTAAAAATTTTAAATAGTAAGTTAATTGTTTTTCCTTACGTGCATGAGCATGAATTGTTATTGGGCTTACGTTAGAGGGTGAAATAAATTCATCATGGAAATGGAATGAAGAAAATTAATGAAGATCTTAATTTTGGTCCTTCAGTCCTATGTCCATTGCCTTCATAAATCATTATAAAAACATTCAAGAGATAACTATAAATCTGAATCTCACTATATAATGATACAAATCACAAGATGATGTACTAGCAATAACAAAGGAAATGATATACCATCTTACCTATATATTGAAACATCAGACGTATGTTATATTGTTAGAGGAATTGTTTTGGACTAGTTTTACTTTTTGCTGACAAATTTCCAGAACCAAGCATAAATAACAAGTAATATATTTTTTTCTAAGTTGCCTTGGTTGTTTGGGGGCAAACACATTTGCATTTGATATTCTGGGCACTCATATTGAATATTGCCAAATCTCAGACAACTTCTCAATTACCCTAGTCTCTCAGATTTTAGTGAGAAAACCATAAAGCACTATTTTTTTATAAACTTGACATGAAAATGCAGAATTATTATGTTGTCTACCCTCATTTCACTCTCACCCCAAATAATAATTCAGCTAAAATTAATAATGATAATAGTTTATAAGCATGGCTGAGCATTTACTACAGGAACAATCACTGTGCTATGTGAATCAACTTATTTAAGTCTCATGACAGCCTTTTAAAATAGATACATTCCATATGAGCATAGTATAGATGAAGAAACTGAGTCTTAGATGAGATGAGCTGTTTTCCCAAAGTCGCATAGCTCGCTACCCATGTACAAAGAGCAATGGGTAACTGGAAGTGAAAAATACATCGGGATATAAGACATGGAGTCCTAACTTGTCTTTCTCTCTCAATTTGATTTAAGCAAAGAAAACGTATTCTTAGAGGACCTTACGTTTTAAGGCAGCATTCCTGATGGCAATAGGCTGTAGGGAACAGAAAGATTAAAGACACGGTCTCTTTCTGTAGGGAATAGAAAGATTAAACACACAGAACTCTACTAGAGTTCACTGTCTAGTAGAAGAAAAAAAAAAAAAAAGAAGTCTGAATTCTAAATATAAGTAAAATTAATATGATGTATGGGGTTTGTAGCAGGAATACCTTATGCTGCTTTTAGGGGGACAGGAAATATTTGACATATTACTTGCACTTGACATAGCTCTTCCATAATGGAAAAATTCTTATGGAAAATAGGTCTTTCAGTCTAAAGGAACAACCGAGGCAACCTAAAAAGAGACAAGTACATTTTACCAATCACATAATGAGTGGCAAGTGGAGTGCTAAAAGCCACATATTCTCTCTATTAGTTCTGTCAGGCTGGTATTGTTTTCCTAGGAAATTAAAACTTAGCAAATTAAAATATAAAGAGATTGAATGATTTGCCGAAGGTCACCAACAAATAATTATTACATGGGGGATGGAATCTGAGGAAACTTGACTTCAGCTCTCAGGCTTTTAACAACAACGTGGCTATGATTCCCACTTGAAAACTTGGTTGATGCGTTTGGGGACCAGCAGAAGAGTGTAATTAGATTGCAATGATTTTGAAGGGCATAATGTGAAATGAGGCTGACGAGTGAGATTAGGAACAGATTGTGGATGGCCTGGGATGTCTTACTGCAGAGTTTAGAATTCATTCTAACACTGAGTATAAGCAATACTCAGTGAGTGTTAAATATGAGGAGAGGAAGTGTAGTGATCAGATGCATGTCTTAAGATAGCTCTGAGGCAGTATGAAATCAGAATGGGAAAATATTTTATGCAGGCTGACAACTGTGGAACATATTAAAATAGTTTACATGCGAGTTTAAAAATTGAATCAGCAGTAGAGATAAATTTCAAGAAACAGGCACTAATTTAAGAGACATTATAATGACAGAATGAATACAATTTGGGAATCTATTTTATGTATAGAAACTAGTCAAAGGGTAGTTTATTTCACTAACAAAAGTTTGTGTAAAAGTTTATTAAATGGCAGGCATTGTTCTTTCATCTTACAAACATTCATCCAATTAATTCTCATAAAACTCTAATAGGAATGTACCATTATTATTTATTATACTTGTAAAGAAACTGAGGCAAAGAACAGTCAAATACTTTGCCTTAAGTCTTCCAGATAGTAAGAGGTAGAACAAGATTTGAACTCAGCCTGTATGCTTTATTAGACAAGTTTATTAGAGAGATGGCAATCCATTCAACTGATATTTGCAAAACAGGACAAGGAATATGTTACTATGCCTTAGAGAATACAATTCCAAATGGAACATTCTGCAACATAATTATGAGAGAAACATTACCTCAGGGAAACCAGCAGGTTGCCCAGAGAGGCCCTCATTAGGGGGCTTTATTCTGTGTGAATTGGCCAATCGCAATTTTAACCCTCAATCTTTAAGGCACAGAAATTTGATATTATCTCTCTCCCCACAGTGATCAAATTTAAGAATTATAATTCATAATAAAAAAGCTTATAAGAAAAGGATACATAGGCTGCAATGTCTATTTATTTTCTAATAATGATAAATATATTTCTTAGAATCTGATCAGCTTCAGCATCACTCTCACAAAAACAGGTTTCACAGGAAGCCAAATTACAATTGGAAGTTTTCTTAATGAGCATGAAAATGGTGTAAATTGATTTAATTATGTGACACAAGAGCTAAAAATCCACCAGGCTCTGCTAGCCTAACAAGTCCCTCTCCACACTAAAGATTTGCCTACCAGGAAGCTAATATGTGTGCATTTAATCTGACAGGAAACCTCTCTCATTGAGAGTCTTTAAATGAGTGATGCCAACATGTGTACAGATAACTCATCCATGCTTCATTTGGTGAGCGATACCAGTAACAGTGACTCAACATTTGTACCATTGTCTGATTGCATACATATCACTCTATAAAGTACATATATTACATATATGCACTACAATGTATACCGACACAGTTATTTGTATTAAAAATGGGTCTCTACTCATTTTGTTCATTATGTGTTAATTTAAACTGTAGAGTCAAGCTCTCGTCTTACTTCCCTCATTTCCAATGCTTACTTGGTGAAGGCATCTTTTGCTGGTAGAAGAAATCTCTTACCAGCTTCATAATATCCACTTCAGAGATGTTGATACTGAAGTACTGAGGGGTTATGCCTCTGGAGGAGTCAAGCAGGAATCTGGGAATTTAAAAATGGAGCCCAAGAAAAAATGAAAATAATATCAATTATAATAAACATAATTCAATAAAAATGATCATAGCTCTCAGAGCTTCCACCTCAAATATACTTTATATATATATAATACATAGCTTCTTAATACTTAAAATAATCTTACAGGATGGTAACAGAGGAGGAAACAGGTTTGTCTTTTTGCATACTAGGAAAATGAAATTGCGGAGCTTTATACTATTGAGCTAAAACCGAACCCAAGTCTGATAGTTCAAAAGTCTGCAAGCCATTCAACACATCAGACACAGGGAAGATAACACTTTAGTGTTTACTTGAGTCACCCTGAGACTGGAGTAATTAATTCTTCTAGAATATTATAGTGACACAAGTGAATATGGACAATTGATCTTGTTAGCTCGCTCCTTACACTTATGCTTAAATTTATGTAGCAATATATTTACCCCATTTATGAATCATGAAAACCTGAATTAGAGATGAGATCAACATCCACACAACTAAAATGGACCTGTGCATCAATAATCATGGATTAACTATTTCTCTTCTTTGCCTACAGGTTTTCATTTTGGCATTTTCAAAAACTGAAAGAAAGAAAACCTTCCAGAGATTTTTTTTTCATCATACTGAAAACAGGGGTGAAAGGAGAGCCTTTTAACATGTTACAATAACCTCCACTGGGAGATAAGGGCAGACATAATGTTGATCATTGTGCTTTTTATGAAGATAATACTCTATAGAAAGGGCATGGCCATGCCTCAGACTCAAGAGACTCACATGCCATCTATAACATTAAATAAAAGCATATCTGCCTGACAAAATTGAAACTACTATATATTTGGCATGGTGTATGGCTGCATCTAATGCATCCTAATTTTAGTGGTTTACTTAGTTGCCACTATTTTACTGTGGCAAATGTATTATATGCTTCATAATGGAAATCAATTACCCAATTGTGTGTGGTCTAAGATTAAACTCATCATTCCACTATACACATGGGTAGGCAGATTATTTAAGCTGTTAGACGGAAGCTAAAGCTAATACAAAATAATCACAGATAAATGTTTCTCTTTCACCAAATGTCAGTTTTATAATTTTACATGATCAGCTTCTCTCCCAATTATGAATCATAATTTAGTGTTGATAAAAGAATAAAGCACAACACTTATGTTTTTAAAAAGTGCAGTGCATACATTTAATGCCAAACTTTCTGAAAGGAACGCTTCCTAAAAAGATGAAAAATGGTTATAACTGGTCATTGAAGAGAAGATTGGAGTAGTTTGATTTTCTGAACACACGTTTATAGGAATAATTACCATTTTACCATTTTACTTTGTAAACTCTAATCAGTTATTAACGTGCTATGTGATAAGATCAGCTCACACTCAAGATTTAGTCACTAGTCAATCTCTGGTGTTTCTTTAAGTTGATTTATTGGCATACTATTCAAAATGTGACCATTTGTATCATATAATCTATTTAGATGAGGTAAACAAATGGTAACTCAAATTCAATGCATACCTGAAAATTTATAATACTGAATTGTGCATGATAGTGAATGGTTTTAGAAAAACCTGCATTCAAAATGCATTTGCCATTATCTTGTTAATAGGCCCTACAGCTTTAAATCTACAAGGAATGCAAATAACTGATAATTCTGCACTCATTAAGAAAATCTCCAGTGACTTACTTCAGTTAAATGTTCCAACAGGCATGTTTAGCACTTCTTTTGGGATTGGTAAAGTTCCAAAAGTCTGTAAATTGAAGTTCTTCAGAGTGCTATCAAATATGCATAATAAAGCCCTAGATGTAAATTAAGAAGATTTATATGACTGCATTCTGCTTACGTTATTCAATAGCAATGCCTCACAGGTTTTTATGAAGCAAATAAAGTGTTCTTTTTCTTGAATTCCAATTTAAATTGTCACTATGGATTCATTCTTACATTACTTGGTTCACCCATTATAGAATGGATAGTCGTTTTAAATCTATAATTCATCCTAAAGGTTTATCATACAACACGGTCAAATTACATGATACTCCATACATACTGCTGCATAAATGAACAGCTCAAGCTAATGCAGAGATAAATGTGTGTTATTTATATTAATGGTCTTTCAAATCTTTATCCAGGAATTATGATGTGGCACTCCAACAGTTTCTCTCTCTTCTTAGATTTAGTGATGCTGGTCTCGCCATATTAACTCTGAAATGTGAAGAATGTTATAAATTTGGTTAGAAATATTAAGATCTAATAAGAGGAATATATAAATTTTACCTGCATAGAGATAATTCACTATCACGTATAATTCTACTACTGAAGTAAGACTTGTGTTTGATATAGGAAGTATGAGCCTGTCTACTTGGCAACATACATTGTTTTATAGAATAGTTAAGCATCAAAATAGTACATAAGCCTTCAGATCATGCTCTGCATTAGACTAAAGGCATTAGAAAAGAAGAAAAAGGACAAATAAAAGAGTTTGGCATTCAATTTTTAAAAGCTATTTTGAAACCTTGTGACTAAAAGATGTAGGGGAGAGGGTGCCAAGCAGAATTAATAACTAACGTTAAACACTTCAAAGAATGTCTAAGAAGTTTAGGAGCTACACATATCTTTGAATGTTTAGGTCTGCATGCATCAGGAAATAAATGCTATGTTCAACGTAAGGAGATTGGATCATTTTCTAAAGAAAACATTTACTCTTAGCAGCACAAATTAGAAATCAGTTTTCTCTTTTTCCAAATCCATGTATCTTTATTCCCGATTAACTTATGGACATGCATAGCATGTCAAAAATAATATCATATTGAGTATTTTAAACAAAAAAAGAAAAGCTTAAAGCAGACTAGACAATCAACAAAATCTATTAATATCGAAGGGTTCACAAGCTTTATGTGAACTATCCTTTAGAAGTTAACATACATGCTCTCCATTTACATTTTGTCTTTATGCAGACAATATTTTCTCCTCTATTAATTGTAAGACTTTTATATTTATACTCCTATTTTGAAAGAAGGTATCTATCATTGTGGCAAAAAGGGATAGCTGGGGAAGCTTAGCCTCCAACCTATTATTTTAACTCACTTTTGAATCTACTACATATGAACGTGATTATCTCAGTAAGATCATTAATCTTCTCATGATTTAAAGCTTATAACTTTGGTTTAACTAAAAAGATGGGCATCTTTTTAAAAAATTTCAACTTTCACTTTTGATTCAGGGAGTACAGTGTGGCTGTACACGCTGGCTGCATGGAGACATTGCATGATGCTTAGGTTTAGGATATGGATCCCATCATCCAAATAGTGAGCACAGTACCCAATAAGCAGTTTTTTTAAACTATTCCCCCCTCCCTCTCTCCCCCCTCTAGTAGTTTCCAGTGTCTATTATTTCCAGGTTTATGTCCATGTGTGCTCAATATTTAGCTTCCACTTATAAGTGACAACATGTTGTATTTCATTTTCTGTTCCTGCATTAGTTTACTTAGGATTAATGGCCCCCAGCTGCATTCATGTTGCTGCAAAGAATGTGATTTTATTACTTTTTATGGCTGCATAGTATTCTACGATCTGTATGTACTGCATTTTCTTTATCTAACCCACCATTGGTGGGCTTCCAGCTTGATTCCCAGTCTTTGCTATTGTGAATAGCATTGTGATGAACATACAAGTGCATATGTCTTTTTGGTAGAATAATTTATTTTCCTTTGGGTATATGCCCAGTAACAGGATTGCTGGGTTGAACGGTAGCTCTGTGATAAGTGGGACCTAATTAAACTACAGAGCTTCCACATAGAAAAATAAACTATCAACGGAATAAACAAACAACCTACAGAATGGGAGAAAATATTTGCAAAGTGCATATCTGACAAAGGTCTAATATCCAGAAACTATAAGGAACTGAAATAAAGCAACAGGCAAAAAACAAATAACTTCATTAAAAATGACCAAAGGACATGAACAGATACTTCTCAAAAGTAGACATGCAAGAGACCAACAAATACATAAAAAAAGTTTCACATAACTCATCAGCAGAACAATGTAAATAAAAACCACAATGAGATACCATCTCACACTAGTAAGAATAGTTGTTGTTAAGAAGTCAAAGAGTCTCAGATGTGGACAAGTCTGCACAGAAAAGAGAACACTTATACATTGTTGGTGGGAATATAAATTAGTTTAGCTACTATAGAAAGCAGTTTGGAAATTTCTTTAAGAACTTAAAACAGAGAGGTACCTATTCTTAACACTTTACATAAAAGGGCTTATTTTAAATTAAAGGTTACATGATTGATAAAATAGATGAAACATACCTTAGGCTTTTTGTTGTGTGTCTTCCCTTGTTCCAGCCTAAGTTTCCAATGTTTATATTTAGAGATCTGCTCCAGACCCAGGATCATCGGGCTTTAGATTTTTATAGCCAGTTATTCATTACAGAGGTTGAAATAATTCAGTCTGAAGACTCTGAAGACATTTGCTATAGCAACCAGAAAAACAGACATTTTCTTTTAATTTTTATAAATTATGAAGAGTGACTGTAATTTCTGTATCCATGGAGAGACAGAGGGGGAGAGAAAAAGAGCATATGCATGAGCGAGTAAAGCAGAAAGGTCAAGAAAAGATTACTTGCTTTGTTTAACTTGGTGTCAACTTCAGTGGGCCACGGTGCCCTGATATTTGGTCAAAAATTACTCTGGATGTCTCTGCGAACATGTTTTTTTGGGATGAGATAAACATTAAATTGATAAAGTTTGAGTAAAGCAGATATCCTCCATAGTGGGTGGACCTCATTTCATCCCATCAGTTGACGGTCTTAAAACAACAAAGACTGGGCTGGGCTTGGTGGCTCACGCCTGTAATTCCAGCACTTTGGGAGGCTGAGGCAGGAGGATCAAGAGGTCAGGAGATCGAGACCATCCTGGCTAACATGGTGAAACCCTGTCTCTATTAAAAAAATACAAAAAAAAAAAAAACATTAGCCAGGCGTGGTGGTGGGCGCCTGTAGTCCCAGCTACTCAGGAGGCTGAGGCAGGAGAATGGCGTGAACCCGGGAGGAGGAGCTTGCAGTGCCATCTCAAACAACAACAACAACAAAAACAACAACAAAAAACAAAGACTGATCTTCAAGAAAAAAAGTAACTCTGCCAGGAGAATGCACTTAGATTCAAACCGCAACTATTCTTTAGGTCTTCTTCAGTCTGCTGGCCTACCCTGCGTATTAGGTGTTTGCAGCCCCATAATCACATGATTACATGAGATAATTCCTTAAAATAATGAGCTCATGTGATCTTATAATTACGGAGGTTTTACATATCTACATTCAGACACAACATTATATATATATTTTTATATGTGTCTATATTTCTGTATCTTTATATATCATCTGTATATCTAGATATAGATATAGGTCATATAAATGTGATCTATATATTTCTATTCTAGAAATAGAATTCACATACATATAAATAGAATCCATATATATAGAATCCATATATATAAATAGAATCCATATATATAGAATCCATATATATATGAATCATATATATATATATGTATTATATTTCTCTGGAGAACCTAATTTATCATCCTATTATTTTCATTGTTTTTGAACTCATCCTTGCCTGGAGCTATATCTACTTCTGATCTTTTCAGTTACTTGAGGCCATTCATCTCCTTTTTGTTAAAAATAATTTAGCTTGATATTCTCTGACATACAGGTGAAGGAATCTCAACACATTTGCTATATTTTGAAAGAAATAGAGTGAATAAAAAAAGAAAAATACTTAACTGATGGATGCTAACCAATGGCTGTATAATTTTGAAGTAAATGATTTTATTTTCTGAGCCTTAGCTTTTTCATCTCTAAAATAAATATAATGATACAGAAGTCATTTGAGGTGTAAATAAAATATCTGTATCAGTGTTGGTAAACTATAAAATGTCATAAAATACAAAATGGATACACATTTCAAAAAAGTTTATAATTTTGCTTACATTTTATTTAAAAAGGGATTTCAAACTGTATTTATTTTATGTTTCTTTGTAATTTCTATAGTTTAAATAGTAATGAGATAGAAAAATACTCAGAAATATTGTAAGGAATCTCTAAAATATAATTGATAAATAGTTGAATAGGATTTGTAAATCTTTGTGTTACACTATTGAATTATTGTCTGAGTTTTATGTAGCGGTGAGAAAGCCAAGTCAAGTAGCCTGTAGACATTTTGTGTGTAGCATAACTGTGTACTTTGTAAGTTGTGTTCCCACGTTAAATACCAGCTTACAGAGATTTTCTTCAGAGAAATAAAACCTGCACCAATGTACAAAGCTTAGCAGTATGCTTTATTGTATGGCTTTTCTGAGAAGTTCTCCAATTTGAAAAATCTGTTTAGCTATATTAAACTCAATGTTCCAAATTGATTGATATTATATAACCAGGGATATTTTTAATATACAGCATATATTGTCTCACCCTCTTAAAATATTACAGAGAACGCAATTTAAAAACATGGTAGTATGTCTACGTTCACAATAGACACTTTTGAATTCAGTGGCAAATCTACAACAACATATTTCTCTACCAATACAGATTTCTGTAGCACCTTATAGATTACATTCCACTCTTATATACTTAGTAAATCCTATGATGAAGCTAAACCCAAGGAATGAGGACATAGTTAAAACAGAAACAATAATTGCCAATCCTAAAATTCCTGGTTGTGTGAGTTTGTAGGAGATGTACAGAGACATAAGAAAAGAAAGAAATAATAACTGTGTGCAATCAATATGTATGGCCTTCTTCCTAGAAACATGAAATGTGCTAGAAAACTGTCAGCAAGGCTGAGATTTCTAGGAGAAGACAATTTGATCTAATTTTTCACCTTTTTTTATACTTTTAACTTCAAGGGTACATGTGTAGGTTTGTTACATAGGTAAACATGTGTCATAGGCGTTTGTTGTACAGATTATTTCATCGCCAAGACATTAAGCCTAGTGCCCATTAGTTATTTTTCCCGATCCTCTCCCTCCTCCCACCCTCCACCTCCAACAGGCCCTAGTGTGTTTTGTTCCCTCTATGCATCCATGTGTTCTCATCATGTAGCTTCCACTTATAAGTGAGAATATGCAGTATTTTGTTTTTTGTTTCTGTGTTACTTTGCTAAGGATAATGGCCTCCAGGTCCATGCTGGAACATAAATTGTTCTATTAAAAAGACACATGTACATGTATGTTCATTGCAGCACTATTCACAATAGCAAAGATATGGAATCAGCCTAAATCCACATCAATGATAGACTGGATAAACTAAATGTGGTACATATATACCACTGAATACTATGTAGTCATAAAAAATCTAATTTTTACAGATGCATCTTATAAAATAAAAAAAAAAAATGGATGAGTGAACCATGTCTTCCCAGCCTATCTAAAAAAAAAAATGTGAATTAAAAACATGAGGACTCCAATTTCCAAAACCCATTAAGTTTATGCTTGTATTAGTTAGGGTCTCTAGCGGGACAGGACTAATAGGATAGACGTACTTATAAAAGGGAGTTTAATAAGGAGCATTGACTCACGATCACAGGTGAAGTCCCACAAAAAGCTGTCTGCAAGCTGAAGAGCAAGGAAGCCGGTCTGAGTCCCCAAACCTCAAAAGTAGGGAAGCCGACAGTGCCGCCTTCAGTCTGTGGCCAAAGGCCTGAGAGCCTCTGGCAAATCACTGGTGTAGGTCAAAGAGCTCAAAAGCTGAAAAACTTAAGAGTTCAATGTTAGAGGGCAGGAAGCATCCAGCATGGAAGAAATAGGAAAGCGAGAAGACTTAGCCAGTCTCCTCCTTCCACGTTCCTCCGCCTGCTTTATTCTAGCTGTGCTGGCAGCTGATTAGCTGGTGCCCACCCAGACTGAGGATGGGTCTGCTTCTCCTAGTCCACTGACTCAAATGTTAATCTGCTTTGGCAACACCCTCATAGACACACAGGAACAATACTTTGCATCCTTTAATCCAATCAGGTTGACAGTCAATATTAACCATCACAATGTTACACATAGGAAGCTCTTCTCAAATTATTTATTACCACTCAGTTTTATTTTTATAATATTTTTTAAGAGATACTTAATATCATTACAGAGAAAAATATATTTTCCATAACATGGGCTTCCTAAGATACTCATGTGGGTGGGTTTGTATAATTGTAGGGGACTTACATGATTTTTTTGTTACATCATGCTTACAGATTTTATTTTATTTTATTTTATATTTTAGAAATCAAGAAATTAAAGTAAGTTGATTTTTTTTTTGGTAATGATAACCTCCCAAACTAGTCAGCATGGTTGTATTGATGCTCAGAATATGATATCCCTAAGTGAAAACCTCAGAAGTAGTCTCAAAAGCAAAGTTTCTCTCTGACTTCCTACTGTCCCCCTGCCTTCCTTCCATTGTTGTCCCCTGAGGCTAGCTGTAGAAACTAGAATTCCTCTTCTCCTAGGCAGGTTATAGTAACCAGAACCCCTTTACCTCAAAGCCAGCTATACAAACCTAAAAAATTACAAGAATTCACCCCCCAACTCCACCTTTCTGTGTAAGAGCTGGCCATAAAGAAATTATCTGAACTACCTTGTTTGATTGTAGGCCATAAGATCTCCATTCCAGAATGGGTCCTGCCCCATAACTGGAAGGAATGCTGCATGCAGAGGCAGTAAAAGTTAGATATGTCATGAAAGCATACGGTAGATGTGGATGCTAATAATATGTTGTATCATTTGCTACTATAAAATATACGTGAATCTACTATAAAGTAAAAATTTATTAAAACTTATGCCCACGAACACTTACAGACTATACATGCTGCCATTCAAAATTAAGAAAAATGTTAACAAATGTAAAGATGCAATATTAAATCATAATACTTCAAATGCAGTTGGTTTTATGATCAGGACTACCTTTGTCTATAAAGCTGAAAACCCTGAGCCTTAAAGGAAAAAGATTAGTATCAGCCATCAATTTTATGGTTGTATAACAAGGTCTAGACAATGAGGACTCTTAATATGACAAGGTATACCTAAAACCATAAAAACCCTAGAAGAAAACCGAGGCAATACCATTCAGGACATAGGCATGGGCAAGGACTTCATGTCCAAAACACCAAAAGCAATGGCAACAAAAGCCAAAATTGACAAATGGGATCTAATTAAACTAAAGAGCTTTTGCACAGCAAAAGAAACTACCATCAGAGTGAACAGGCAACCTACAGAATGGGAGAAAATTTTTGCAATCTACTCATCTGACAAAGGGCTAATATCCAGAATCTACAATGAACTCAAACAAATTTACAAGAAAAAAAACAACCCCATCAACAAGTGGGGGAAGGATATGAACAGACATTTCTCAAAAGAAGACATTTATGCAGCCAACAGACACATGAAAAAATGCTCATCATCACTGGCCATCAGGGAAATGCAAATCAAAACCATAATGAGATACCATCTCACACCAGTTAGAATGGCGATCATTAAAAAGTCAGGAAACAACAGGCGCTGGAGAGGATGTGGAGAAATAGGAACACTTTTACACTGTTGGTGAGACTGTAAACTAGTTCAACCATTGTGGAAGTCAGTGTGGCAATTCCTCAGGAATCTAGAACTAGAAATGCCATTTGACCCAGCCATCTCATTACTGGGTATACACCCAAAGGATTATAAATCATGCTGCTATAAAGACACATGCACACATATGTTTACTGAGGCACTATTCACAATAACAAAGACTTGGAACCAACCCAAATGTCCATCAACAATAGACTGGATTAGGAAAATGTGGCACATATACACCATGGAATACTATGCAGCCATAAAAAATGATGAGTTCATGTCCTTTGTAGGGTCATGGATGAAGCTGGAAACCATCATTCTCAGCAAACTATGGCAAGGACAAGAAATCAAACACTGCATGTTCTCACTCATAAGTGGGAATTGAACAATGAGAACACATGGACACAGGAAGGGGAACATCACACACCAGGGCCTGTTGTGGGGTGGGGGAAGGGGGAGGGATAGCATTAGGAGATATACCTCATGTAAATAACGAGTTAATGGGTGCAGAACACCAACATGGCACATGTATACATATGTAACAAACCTGCATGTTGTGCACATGTACCCTAGAACTTAAAGTATAATAATAATAATAATAATAAAAAGATGACAAGGATGAAGACTTACAAGCATCCACCTCCACTTAATGAATAGTAACATATTTTCTCTTCCTCATAATTTTCTTAAAAACATTTTCTTGGCCGGGCACGGTGGCTCACGCCTGTAATCCCAACACTTTGGGAGGCTGAGGAGGGCGGATCACAAGGACAGGAGATAGAGACCATCCTGATTAACAAGGTGCAACCCCGTGTCTACTGAAAATACAAAAAATTAGCCGTGCATGGTGGTGGGTGCCTATAGTCCCAGCTACTCTGGAGGCTGAGGCAGGAGAATGGCGTGAACTCGGGAGGCGGAGCTTGCAGTGAGCCGAGATAGTGCCACTGCACTCCAGTCTGGGCTACAGAGCGTGACTCCCTCTCAAAATAAACAAACAAACAAACAACAACAACAACAACAAAATTTTCGTTTGTCTAGTTTACATTATTGTAAAAATATGTTCATGTTATTGGTCAAGCTTTCAGTCAACAGTATGCTATTCACAGTTATGTTTTGGAGTCAAAAGTTATGGACAAATTTTTGACTATGTTGAGGCTTGGCATTCCTAACCCCTGCATTGTTCAAGGACTGACTGTATAAGAAGTATATTGAAAGACAGACGGGCACTAAAGGGGCACTAAAGGGGGAGGTGGTTTGGAATTATTTAGTTCATGATATGATGCATCTACACTTGCTAAGGTGGCTGAAATTGGAATTGAGGAGTGCTCTTGCCCCTACTTTGGCTGCGAAAACCTGCAATCATTGGATAGCAAAAATCTTAAATATTGGAACTTTCTTCTCTGCTGATATATTAGATTCATCCTCAGTCTGTTGTTGGACAGATAGTTATATGCTCTAAGAAAGCAGTGTTTTTTCAAAGCATACCACAAAATGTCAAGAACTGGGACAGAAAAAAATAAAAGGACCCCTTTCTGGAAAACATCTCTGAAATAAGGACCGGGTCCCAGTGGCAAGCACTTTTCTTCTGATAATGATATCCTGGTACAGATTTTACCTATGAGTATGGATTGTTATAGTGTGGAAAGAATCTGAATTTGAGAGCTATGGTGTCCAGTTAGAAAATGTTTTTCATTTGTTTAGGAAGTAAATTTTGAAGGTGTATTGGCATCATTAATCCAATACAATTCTTGAAGACTTGTGACTGCTGCACCAGTATGAGATGTTCAAACTTTGCTAGAATCTCAGGTGGAGTACAGGACTGATGTTAGCACAAAATAAATCCATTTAATTTGTGACAGTTGGGGTAATAGCTCAGTTCCTCTCCTTAACAAGTCAACTGACAAATATAGGTTTGTTTCTAAAAGTAGTGAAAACAAACTCATTAATTATGACTAGTATATGCTCAAAGTGGAAAATCCCATGTAATAAACTGCTACTTTGTTTTGAAAGAAATAACACTACAGTATTAAGTAATTAAAAATATATTTGTGTTAAAATTCATACCTAGTGTGCCATTTATCAAAATCCAAATATGTTATTATGCTTTGAAATAATGTATTGGAGTCAAGACAGTCTAAAAAATAATTCTGTCAACAAAGAGAGAAATAATAAAAGTGAAAAGAATTACATACTTGTAGCATTCATTGTTTACTTTTTATTACTTGCAAATGAAGAGTTAAAAGTAAAAGACTGAATCTGACTTCAAAGTTCCTCTTATTCTAATAGTCTATAATCCTACATTTGAATGAAGATGGCTTCTTAAATTTTTATTTTGTTATTTTCAATATTTATTTAGCTGAAATATTAATGTTGGTTATTTCCATTTGATATGGTTTGGCTCTGTCCCCACCCAAATCTCATCTCCAATTGTAATCCCCACATGTCAAGGGAGGGTCGTGGTGGAAGGCGATTGGATCATGGCGGCGCTTTCCCCCATACTGTTCTCATGATAATGAGTGAGTTCTCCTGAGATCTGATGGCTTTAAAAGTGGCAGATTCCCCTGCACGCTCTCTCCTGCCATCATGTGAAGAAGGTTCTTGCTTTCCCCTTCACCTTCTGCCATGATTGTAAGTTTCCCAAGGCCTTCCCAGCCATGTGGAACTGTGAGTCATTTAAACCTCTTTGCTTTATGTAACAAATTAACCAGCATCAGGTATTCTTTATAGCAGTGTGAAAACAGGCTAATACACCATGTTTTACATCATTCTATTTGGGAGGCTGAGGCAGAGGAATCGCTTGAACCTGGGAGGCAGACGTTGCAATGAGCCGAGATCGCACCACTACACTCCAGCTGGGCGACATAGCAAGACTCCGTCAAAAAAATAAATAAATAAATAAAAAGAATAAAGCAAAGGAAAATTTTGATTTCAGAAAAAGAATTAACAATCTTGATAGTCAAGTCTTAAGGAAAGCTAGATGTACTGCATAAAATGGAACTTTTGGCCTAAGGGGTGGATAGTAAACCTAGTTGTGAATTGAAATCTACAAGGATACATGCTGTCAGTCCCCAAACCATTTAATACAACTGAACTGAATATCAGGATCCCTCCAGAAGTAGCTGGATAACAAGTGGAACTTTCCTCATTTAGTCCTATGTTTAACATATATATCAGCCTTGCATTTTAACAGGTGCTCACAATAACAATATGTCAAACATCATCCTTGTGACTTCACTGTGCATTTAGAAGAACAAATAATGCAAAGGCATTTAAAATTCTTTTTAATTAGGATTGATTTTAGCTGTTGACTACAGATACAGATTTTATTTAATTAAAGTTTATTTGTCTTAATTCTTTTAGTAGCATGTGCGCACGCACACACTTTTAAAATTTTTAGTTATTTTGAATAAAGGCAAATGTTTTAACTCTTTGACTATAAGTTCTTACCTGCAGAGAAATTTCTTCATAAATTCTATACCATAAAATTAATATATTCCCAAGAGTACATTTCTTCTTTGGTACTGTATTATATCAAGAAAATGTTTTAGCATACTACTTCTAGAGAGTTCTACCAATCATGTTAGTTCATATGAAAAAAGAATTATAGTATACTTCTTGCTAGAGAGTGATAACAATGTAACATTTTTAGGAAGACAGATATTAATTGAAGAAAATTTAAATTGAAATTTTAGATGGAAAAGAATATTTCCATTGTCACATCAAGATTCCATTCAATTTAGGCTAACGCCAGATATGTAATTTCCCTCATTTATTTTGGGGATATTCATTTTCTTAAAGATAATTCTCCAACTTATGAAAACAATAATGTAATATTTTAATCTCATTGACACTGGTGAGTCCTGTGATTAACTAAATATATGTTTGGTTCCACAGTTATAGTGTACATTTACTTGACAACAACAAACCAATTTCATTTATTGGAATTAAATTTCAGTCATTATTATGAATCTACTTGGAGAAAAAGAGAATTGTTTAAGCAGCCATGCAGACAGTATTTAAGTGAAAAATGTATACATTTGCTGTGACTCATTGACCTCTTTCAAATAAATTCAACTCAATTTTAAGCGTTTCTTTTAGTGTGTCACAGAAAATTTGAACTGCAAAGAGCTATAACAAACCATATCTGTGCCCTTAATATGAAGTTTATCTGTCATGGAAAAAGAACACTACTTCAGTAAGAACAAAATGAATTGTAAGTTTGTCTTATATTTAGTAATATCTTCATTAATATAGAGGCAAGCTCTTAGAATATACCTCATGGCCCTCTCCTGAGTACTAAAGTGGTTGACAAGTGTCTTGCAAATTTTAGCTGTAGAAAAAGTAAAATTCTGCCTAAGAGGAATGGAGATTAAATACCAGAGTTAAAGGTTATGATATAAAAACAATACATTAAAAAGGCACTTTTCTTATTTGTGTCCTTTTTGCCAAAAGCTTAACTTAATAGGAATAAAAAAAAAAGTAGACTATTGCCCTGGTTTAATGTGGATGGGAATATATAAAATGTTCCTATAAATCAATAAGATACAGGCAACTGTTCAAAAATGAATAAAAACATACAGTAGCTTTGTAAAGGAAGATTTTTAAATGGCTGATAGGCTGATAAACATATAAAAATGTTAAACATCACTCATTTTAAATATCTGATAGGCTGATAAACTTAAGTGTTAAAGCATTGCTAGTTATTATATATATAATTACTATATGTATAACTATATTTAATAACTATATATACATATGTAGAATAACACACACACACACACACTTTTCTGATTTGTATCAAAAAGTCTTAATTTTTATCTAGTCATGTCCTTATCTCATTATTTTTTGTCTTTCTAGTACCTTCAAATTTATATAAGTTCATGTGCTTCAGCTATGCTATTTTCATCAAGACCAGCAATGTTTGTTAGGTAGGGTACGTGGCCGTGAATACAAAACTTTTCAAGAAGTCTATAGGCATAGATTGTTAAAGCAATGAGTTTCTAGATGATTGATTCCAAGCTATATTCTACCTAAAATGCACAGGCCTGAGAATGTGTATTCAGTTGAGAGACTAGGCACAGTCTTTCTCCTCGCCTCACCTTTCACAACTATGCTACCCCACTGTGTAGAAGAAAGATCTGTAGCTCTCAATTAAATGAGTTTTATTATCATGTGTTTCACTGTGGTCCCAAGGTCTGAAACCAAGGAGCAAGTTAAAAGTCAATATTTATGTGAGCAAAGACTTCTTTAATCAAGGAACATATTAAATAATCTGGAGAGCTTTTTATCTTTCAATTTCTAAAGACTAAACCTCATATTAAAATTAAAGTATATTGGCCCATGATAAATATTTATCTGCATATCAAATTCATGATCATATATTCTTAGAATTGACAAGTAAAATGGCTGTCATAAAAATGAGTATTAAAAGTTGTTGAAGCTAATAATAAAATTATATGTTTTCTAATGAAAAGTAAGGCAGATTTTTGTTTGGCAAGAAAATATGCCTTTCACAACTGAATTTTGTGCTATAATTTTCAATGAATTGAATGAGCTAAGTTATAACCACAATAATTCTATGAAATTATATTGAAAGCATTTTTAAAAGCTATGTTATCAAAATTATTTACCATGAAGTACTTAAAATAACAATATTTTAGAGAATTTTTTCAGGTTAAAAAAGATGCCTTTAATTTAAAGAGTAACTTTCCTGATAACAGCCAATGACTTTGTAACAATGAATTGGTAATAAATCTTTTGAAACTTGGAGAATTCAAAGTTTTAGAGTTTACCAAAATTAGAATATGACCATTAAAATATTTTATATTATTTTTACATGATTTTTGGCATATAACACAAAAAATTTAAAAGAAGTAAATGAAAACATTATAATCTGATGCTTTTAATTCTAATCTACTTAATTATATGAACATGGCTTATTTCTTTTGCGTCCACATATGCCAAAATAATGAATAAACTAATGATTAACTTTTACTCATTCTATCAATGTCATTAATTCATATATATGAGCTACACAGAGAAGAGTAATACATTACTCTCTTTTTCTAAATATTTAATGCATTTCAGAATATTTTTATTTAATAATCATATGTTAAAACTTATTTATTGTCCTTAGTTTATCAATTGTGCATTAATACAAGTGCTTGAATAGAATTATGCTTGAATAATACAATATTTTAAACATTTGTTTTTGTGTGTCACAGAAAATTTGAACTGCAAAGAGCTATTGCTAAGCATATCTGGATGCTTAATATAAAGTTTATCTGTCATGAATACGTTTTCTTGAATACTCTTTCATGGCTGATATTAGAAACAATCTGTCATGATATGTAGATTTAATTCATACTTTTCAATATGAGATGTATTTTTTAAAAAATTTCAAAATGCCACTGTTTGGCTTCCAACTCCGATATGGCTAAGATCCTACTGGACCCAACTCTCCCATATTTAACAATTATAAATTCTTGACTAAATTCAAAAATCAAATTTACTTATGGCATTTGAGAGTAAACAAAAGCCGGCAGATTCTGGAGGTGAGCCAAAACTTGGAAGAAAGAGGAAAGAGACAAATAATAGAGACAATTAATTAAGCCAAAAGTTAACTCTTTGAAAAGATCAATAAAGATAATTAAAAAAAAAATATGTAAGTAGATGAACCAAGAAAAAAAAAACAGTATGAAGTTTACCAATGTCAGGAAGGAAAGATACGAGAATGTAGAGATATATCTTCATGGATTTGACAGGTATTAAAATAGTAGAGGTCTTTGATAGCTACTTTATGACAACAAATTCACCAACATAGGTGATAAACACATTGTAAAAAAAACTACAATTTAGCCAAACCTGGCACAGAATAAAATATGAAATATATTTACAGTGGAGAGGAGCCTAAATACCCCCTGTACCTATATGAGTTTTTAAATGGGATCTTTGACTGGGTCTGGGAACCAAATTGATACAAAACGGGATAACAAGAGAAAACCAAGTAAGTTTTATTAATTTTACATATACATCTTCACAAGACAGAGAAGACCCAGAGAAATGACCAAAGCAAAAAGCTTTTATACTTTATAGACAAAGAATAATAAATTCTGTGGGAAAAAAAAATGGCAAGACATAGCGGTCTGAGCTAGGGGCAGTAAATCCAGGGGAGTCATTAGGAGATATACAAAAGCATGTGAAGTTGACAGAATATAAAAGTTATTTTAGGAAATTTATTGTACAGGTCCATTGCAGCATCAATTGTCAGTCACTGATAATAAGAATTATCTTCTCAAGTGCTTTGAGGTCCAAATAATCGATGTGCCAGATTGAGGCAATTTGGGGTGTTATAACCCTAAATTCTTCAATAGCATGATCTCAATACAGGCATGAAATTTGTTGCTTAAGACATTCTGATAATGAAAACTCTAAGTACATATGGTTTCACTTGTGATCCTATTAATATTAAGGCATAAATAACGAATGTCATATACAATCTTTGTCGGAAAAAATGAGAGAACCCTTTCCAACTGAAAAAGACATTCTACTAAAAAAATTAAAAGGAGAGAGAAAGAAGAATGACAGAAAATTACACACCAATATCCATCATAAATATCTATATAAAATACTTAAAAACATATCAGAATAATAACTAATTAAATTAGGCAATATAAAAATATTTTTAAAAAGCACATTTACTGAGTAAGATTTATCCCTGGAATGTAAGGTTACTTTAACACCTGTAAATCAGTCTATGTAATTGAACATTTTGATACAATAAAAGATAAATATCATGAAATTAAAATAGATTTGGAAAACAAATTTGACAAAATTAAAATGCATAAATGATAGAAACTGTGAGCAAACTAAAAGTAGAAGAAAATCTTCATAATCTGACAGAAAACAAAAATCATCTACAAAATATCAATGTGTTCTACATGTAAGAGGAGGGGAGGTATGCTTCATCCTTCCTAAGGATGGAGTAGTTACATAATTCATTTGGAATTCTTCTGTGCTTGAGATTTATCTATTCTCTCCCATTATTTATTTATTCAATCTTGTATTATATCAGTATGAGAACATGGATATTTATTTTATATTTTGGGGTATAATCCAATACTATTATTTTATTTATTATGGTTCACATTATTCCAACTTTAACCATTAGGGATTCTTTCAATTTGGCTTCTTTCCTGTGTCCCTTTGACATATCCCCATCATTCTTTTAGTTTTGAAAAATATTTCTTTACTTTCTCACACTACAAGATGATCCAAGTTCATCTACTGTGTTTCCTGACTCAGTCACAGAATAAGCTGCTTCTCCAAAGAGTTCTCATTTTTTTTATTGGAAATTAGTATTAAAACTAAGATTAACTGTGCTTGTTACTACTGCAGTCACTGCCCTTAGGCCCTGTCAGGTGACAAAGCTATATACTTAAGTATTCTCTGAGTCTATAACTATTTTCATAAATTTGACATTCTCTTAAAATTAACCTTTGGTGATACTTAAGCATTTTTATTAGTGCTAAATTTTCTCAATACAAAAATTAGAGAATGGTTGAACACACTTTCAGGGAAAAACATTTGCTGTTTATTTCTCTCTCTACATCATAGGTTAGCTTTTATTTTCCTGACTTATTTGTGCCTGTTCTAGGATGCACTGTATTATTTATGAGATCTGATCTTAGCATTAATTGTCCTTCACCTAATTTTAGTAATTATCTTATATTTCCTAATTGTATGCATTTGTAACCACACTATACCAAATATATTATAAATGCCATGAAGATGCAACCTACCTTACATTTAGTTCCATTTCCCAACACATCCAACATTGAATTTCAGAAAGGGTAAGTTGCTGCTGAGCTCATTTCTCTCTATGCCAAATAAGAATTCATCTATAGTATCATCTGTATATCTGGATTAAATACACACACACAAACACACATGCATTATAATTTTAAAAATTTTAATTTGATTGGATGTGTTTTCTCCATTTTTATGTTTACTAGAGGTGACAGCCATGTGAAATCTAGCAACACTAGATTCTTCTATTTAGAAAAAGTGGTTTGTTTTGAATCCCTAAAAACTTCACTTGTGGTAGAGTATTAACAAATATCTGTTGAACTATTTGTTGAACTAATAAGTGAGTGTTGAAAAAAATAAGTGAATGTGAAGGAAACAATATAATTGTTTCCTTATGTGCTCTCTTAACTGATTGATAGACTGATTCATGAATTGGTTATAGGTTTTCTCGACAATTTTTTCACTTGGAATCACTCATTCTGGATGTCTTTTTATTTTGCTTATTTTTAATTTCACTGACGTTTGGAGTTTCGCTAGGTAAGTTGGTATTCTTCTTTATCTACTATAGTGCCTTCACTTTTAGGGATATTGGGATTCCTAAACTGTACACCCATGAATTGTGAGAGGGAAAGGAATTTCTACATTGGTCCTTTTACTTTTTTGCATGACAGAAACATGAGTCTAGTCTCTGTCACTTGAGTACAAAAATGATCATTCATATCTGACAAGTGGCTGCCAGCTGTAATCCACTATATCCGGGCCCTTAGCATGTCCTCACTCTGACTGATGCCTACACGTAAAATTCAGTTCACAGGCTTGTATTGAGTTTCAGCAATTGTGCTTTTTGGTAAGAAAGCTCATGGCCCTTGGAAAAGAGCTGACACTGATTAAGTATCCTAGTCAAACTTACATCTGCCAAACAAAGAAAGCCTCCTGTGTGCTATTGACAAGATAGACAATTCTGAAAAACATAAAGAGCCTCAGGGGTACCTATAAAAATATTGTCCCAGACCTATTGACTACATGACTCACTTCATGAACACAATTTGCTACAGACCAATTTGCCATTTCTAAAGTTAATGGCAAATTTTCTTTTTATTAGAGCATTATGCACCTCCATATACAATGATATAAATAACCTATATTCACTATTAAAAAGCCTATGGGAGTTTTCAAAATTTTTACCCCTAACTAGGATGATTTTTAGCATATCTTTCTGGCCTGCTAGAAGAGATTGCTAGAGTCAGATTAAATGCTCAGAATATTATTGAATATTTTCATGCCTGAGTTTGTATTTCCAAGCATACTACATAGAAATCAGCTCATTAGACTGATTAGACTTCCTTTCTTTGAAGGCCATTTTCTTAGCTGGAGGAATGGTTCAAGACCTCCAAACATAATCTTTCTCAGTCAAGAAAATATTACTCTCAGTAAAACAAACTTGATTCTTTTTCTTTAGAATTCAAAGTTTGTTACATGAAATGCCATAGACATAATTTAAAGATAATCTGGTTTAGATGGCGTCAGAATAGCTGATACTTAATGATGGACTCCTTTCAATTCTCAGACTAATTTTATTTCATAAGGAAACATTAGTGAGTTAATTAAAATTTTTAGAATCCTAAGCCAAATCACAACTTACAGTGTTTATCTTTCATTACTTTTCAGCAACATCAGAAAATATTGAGTATTTCCTATTTCTACAAATATTTTGTTAATTTGATTATGGAATGCCTTCTCACACTGTTAATTTTCCATTAAAATTAAATTCTGAAGGCCTTGGACACCTACAGAGTCCTCCATTATTTAGTATATGTAGCACTTCAAACTCATTTTCTAATATTGCCAACCTCCCTCACCACCTCCTGTCCACACTGCTTTTCTTGTTCTTTATGGAATATGAACCAAGCACATGCCATTATTCAGGCTATTATACTTGTGTTTCCCGTACCTAAAATGAATTTCCCTCAAATAGTCATATAGTATCTCATATCAGTTCAAGTTTTACTCACATACTACTCCCATTATGAGGGTTTCTCTGGAAACCCTATAGAAATTACCATATTTTATCATTATCATGATTACTCTATTTCTGTGAGATAGGGTCTCACTCTGTCACCAAGGCTGAAGTATAATGGCTCCATCTTGGCTCACTGCAGCCTTGATATTCTGGGCTCAAGTGATCCACCTGCCTCAGCCACCTGACTAGCTGGAACTACAGGCATGCACCAACACGCCAGGGTAAGTTTGCATTGTTGGAGGGATATTTTGCTATGTTTCCCAGGCTGGTCTTAATCTCCTTGCCTCAAGCAAATTTCCCGCCGCCTCCCAAAGTGCTGGGATTACAGGTGTGAGCCACGGTGCCCAACCATGATTATGCCATTCCTATGCTAAATTTTTATTCCTAAAACTTACTACAATCAAATATTTATACTTTATATGCATTTGTAAATTAAATTATTGCCTATTTTTCTTTAGATTTTAAATGTTATAAAAGCAATAAGATTGTTTGCTTGATTCACTATTGTAGGTAGCTCATCAAGTGCTTATAATTCTAAGTGCACAATTGTCATCGTAGTCTATGAGAACTATGCTGTGTCCCACATAGTCTAAATGAGACTTCGGTGAGTTGTATAGTAGTGCACAACCTATATTCTGTATGTATCTATCCTAATTGCATCTCTAGTACTTACATAGGTGACTTATATAAGAGATGCGTCATAAATATTTTTGGATCATTATTTTGTAATCTCAAGGGCTTCATTGAAACATCTTGTCCCAGAGCTATTTGAGGCTCTTCAGTCATCTGGTTCACTCTCAACCCATGTTTAGCTAGTCTTGCAACATGTAGCTACATTATAACATTTTTAGTTTTAAGGCCTGATTGCACTTTACATTAATTAAGATATACTAAACTGCTATCAAAAACAAGCCAAAAATAAATAAAGCTAAAAGACAATAGATATTTTCTTCTTGTTCACTCAACAGTCTAAGGCTGATATGCTCTTTGTTGATGGGTGTCTCTCTTCCATACAGTGATTCAAGAAAATAGGCTTTTTCTGTCTTATAGCCCTGCACCCTGAGAACCTTATCATCTTCTGTTTTCAAGTGCTCAAAGAGAGACTATTGAGAAAACTACCTTCAATATGGAAAATGTGTCTAAACCGGTGATTTGAGAAACATTTTTAAGTGTTAGCGCTTATATGGAAAAGAAAATAGGGCTAAAATCAGTGATTAAAGATAAAATATAAAATGTAAGAAACTAGAAAAAAAAGAGAGTGAGTTCAAAGTGTGTAGAATAAAAGAACAAATACAGATAAAAGCAGAAAATTTTTTAGAAAAACAGAAGATAGTCAAACAATAGAGAAAATCAACATAGTCTAAAGGAGGTTCTTCATAAAAAACATTTTAAGCATATCGATAGATTCATTTTTAAAAAGCATAATCTAGACAGAGAGTAAATTAATCACAAATAATAGGAATAAAAAAGAGGCTTACACCAGAGAGGCTACAATTATTCAAAGGGCAGTTGAAAATATTATGAAAAGCTTCATGCAAATAAATTGGACATACTGAACAAATTTATTTTAAGATACAATTGTTAAAAATGACACAAGATGAAGCAAAAAATCTAAGATAGTTTATAAATTAAGCTCTTTGTTTAATTATAGATTGTTTACGAATTAAACTCTTTGTAACACAATACCAACAAAAGAATAAGAAAAAGAATAGGCCTAATAGTCAAGGAAGAAAAAAATAAATAAAACAGCAATTCTCTCAGAAAATAGAGAAAGAATCTCTCCCCATCTCATTTTGAGAGACTAAGATTGCCCTAATTCTAAAACTTGAAAATGATACTTCATAAAAAGAAAGAAAATTATACATTAATATTTTTCCTGAACACAAACGTAATATCCTTAAAATATTAAGAGATCAATATATATAACAATCCAATATAGCAAAGAGTATCATAATCAAGAAAGCTTTCTCTGAGGAATTCAAGTCTTTACACACATGATATTTGAATATCCTTTCACTGTTTCCTTTTCATTTTCTTTTAATATTTTGTCTTTTCATGTTCACTTTTCACTTTTTCTGTGACTATATTATGTTACATTGGAAACCTCAGTGAAATTGTCAACATGTTATTCTCAGCAAGCCACTTGTAATAAAATAGTATATGCTAACTATAATCACTAGTTCAACTATATTAAATATAAAGAGATAAACTTTCACGAGAAACAACTTGTACGAAGACTGAGTAACTGTATATCACTACTTATAAAGTTCTGTTAAATTGTTATTGTTTAGCTTCCAGAAAATATTGATTTAATTTTCTGGTTTTCTTTCACTTATTAAACATATTTTCCATAAGATGATGTTTATCCAATTTAGGCATTGTTAAAATAAGCTAAGATTCAGTAAAAATTGTGATATCTTTTTTTTCCTTTTTTCTTTTTTTTTTTTTTTTTTTTTTTGAGACAGAGTCTCACTCTGTTGCCCAAGCCAGGTGCAGTAGCGCGATCTTGGCTCACTGCAACCTCTGCCTCCCGAGTTGAAGCAATTCTCCTGCCTCAGCCTCCCAAGTAGCTGGGACTACAGGTGCATGCCACCACCCGTGGCTAATTTTTTGTATTTTTAGTAGAGACGGGTTTTCACTGTGTTAGCCAGGATGTTCTCAATCTCCTGACCTTGTGATCTGCCCGCTTTGGCCTCCCAAAAATTGTGAAATTTTAAAACAGCTCTCCTAATGTAATTTACCATTACATTACTATGACAGAATAAAGGGAGAAAAACAATGTTATGTTCAAGTGATACAGAAAAAGCATTATAAATAGTTCACAATCATTCATAATAAAAGCTCTTAGCAAATTAGAAGTATAGGAGAAATTCCACAATATATTCAAGGGCATCTATAGCTAATATTATACTTAGTATCAGGACCATATTGAGAAAGCTTGATTTTACCACTTCGATTCAACATTGTAATGGAGATTGCAGCTTTTGCGTTAAGAAGAGGAGAAAGGTAATAAAAGTATTAAAAATAGAACTAAAAAATGAAACTCTCATATCACAGTAGACATGACTATGTGGAAGATTCTATAAAACCTACAAAGTAATGACAACTTAAACTTGGCAGTATGAGCAGAAAAGATAACTATGGGTACTAGGAATAATACCCAGGGGATGAAATAATATGTACAACAAACTCCCACGAGATTTACCTATGTAACAAGCTTTCACATGTACTCCCGAACCTAAAATAAAGGCCAAAATCATAAATAATGCAGTACGACAGCAAAAAATGCCATTTAAAAATCATAATATTTTTCCATATGAGTAACAATTAGAAAATAAAATTTTTAAAATAGCATTTATAATTTTATAAAAATTAAACTACTTAGAAATAAATTTAGCAAATATGTGTAAAATCTTTATAATGAAAATACACAACATTACTGAGAACAATTAAAGATCTAAGTAAAAAATATCACTTATATGACGGAAAGCTTAATATTGAGATGTTTTCCACAATTTGACTTATACTTTCAGTGTTCTCACTTAGAAATTGACAATTTGATTCTAAAATTTATATGGCAATGCAAACATCCTAGAATAGGAAACCCTTTTAACAAAGAGGACAGAAAGTTGAAGAACTTGCATTACATTTTAACAAATAGTAGTATAAAGCTTCAATAATTAAGATAGGGTGGATTGGGCAAAACATAAATATACAGATTAATGGTATAGATTGGAGTACAGAAAGAGACCAACATGCATGTGGTCAGTTTTTTATGAAAATCAGAAAAACCACAATAGGGAAAGATATGCCTTTCTTCTAATGGTTCTAGAAAAACTATATGTTTACACAGAAAAAAAATCAGCATTAATTTTTATCTCACATCATACAAAAAAAACTAACACATGGTATATTACAGACAAACAAGAGAGCTATCACTATAAATTTCTAGAGAAAAAATAGAGAAAAAAACGTAATGGCCTTGGGGGAAAAAAATAAAGATTTCTCTAGTTAGGACACAAGAAAATACTATGAAGAGCAATATTGATGAATTACCTTTGGTCAAATTTTTTTAAAAACATATTTTTGCTTTCAAAAAACTTCAAAAAGGTAATTAAAAGGCAAAATATAGAATGCTGTGAAATACAGTTTATATATTTGACAAAGGGTTTAAATCCAACATGTGTACAAAATAATTACAACTCAAAAAAATTACCAAAACATTTGCCAAAATTTTATAAAACACTTCAAAAAAGGCAACACTTTGCATATAAATACACAAAAATTTCAATATTATTAGTCATTCTGCAAATAGGAAATAAAATAACAGTAACATAAAATTACAGAAAAACTTAGTTCTAAAATTTATGAAGGTGTAGAGGAAAATAAATTTACATATCCTACTGCTGAGGATGTAGAATCATAAAACTACTTTGGAAAACTGTTTAGTAGTTTCAAACATATTTAAACAACATTGTTCCTATAAACCAGACATTTGATTTATTTGTATTTACTCAAGGGACATGAACATATTTAATATTATGATTTATACACAAATCTCAACAGAAGCTTTATTCTCAACCATCAAAAACTGGCTGCAATATAAGTGTCCATCACTAGGTGAACAGACAAAATGTATTCACCGAGCTTGCTCATTAATGGAAATAAATCATTATTGACACATGGGTACATTTTGAAACCATACGCTAAGTAAAGGAAGCCGGAAACAAATGTCATATGTTTCTATTTACATACAAGTCTAGAAACTACAAACAAACTTACAGTGACCCTCAGCAAATCAGAGGTTGCCTGGAGCTGGGAATACAGGAGAGATGGATGGATTGCAAAGTGGCCAGTAAAACCTTTTTGGAATGATGGAAATGTTTTATATCTTGATTGTAGTAGTGGTCTTGTGGCTGAGTATATATGTCAAAACTGTTGGAATTTTGTACTATAAATTGATTCAGTAAATTATGCCTCCATGAATTTGATAAAAGTAAGCATAGAAAGTGAAGTAATAAAATATATCAAACCCATGCAGAAAATAAGCATAAGAAAGCTAGAAGAGCTATAATCTTAATAGACAATTAGACTTAAAGATTTATAGTTTTACAAGAGGTATATATGTTACTGGATTTGGGGGGTGTTGCTTTTTCTGGTGGGAAACCTCTGTGGCTGGTGGCGCCTTTGCCCAAGTTCTTGTCCTGCGTCCAGCAGGAATGAGGTATACAGAGATGTGGAGGGTGAGCAAGACGAAGGGGAGCTTTATTAAGCTTTGCAATAGCTCAGAGGAGACCTGCAGTTGGTAGCTCCTCCTCCGTAGGCAGGTTGTCTTCTGGAGTGTTCAGCTGTCAACAGAGAGGCCCTGTGGTTGGTGGACCCTTTCTGCAGCTGGTCGTCCGGTTGTCTTCCCAAGTCTCAGCAGAAAAGGTAGCTCCTTTTGGCAGCTGGTCATTCCATCGTCTCTCTGTCCTCTGCCCTGCTCTGGCTGAGCCTGGGGATTTTTATGGACATCAGAGGGCAGGAAGTGCGTGCCAGTTGGTCTATGGGCAGCAATGGGCAGGCCTGAAAACGGCACCACAAGTCCCTCCTCTGGTCCACGGGCCTGGCAGCCTGGCCCCAAGCCTTCAGGTCCTTCCTGGCCTGAAGCGGGGGCCTTACTGGGGACCTGCTCTCTTCCACCCAGGAAACTTTGCCTCCTGCTGCCATTCATGGCACCTAGGCTTGGCCCCAACTTTGCTCCTATATCAGAGCAGGAGCGAACAGCAGGGAGAAGCCAGGCAGTGGGAGCAGGCAATTCCTAGTCTGCAAGGGCAGGGAGGGCCTTCCCGGGCCCCCAAGACTGCAGGAATGCCTGAGGCTGCAGCTGCAGGTTTGGGCAGCTGCAGCTGTATGGTGGGGTGGGGGAGTTCCTGACTGCTCTGTAGAGAAGGAGGCACAGTTTTGCAGCCGTGGTTTCGGTGGCTGCAGTGGCACCCAGAAGGGCAGCACTCCTGCCTGTTTGCTCCCTGGAGCATGCAGCCTCAGCTGCGCCCCCTCGCAGCCTGGGGCAGGGGCTCCTGATCCTTGCTGGGCCCCGGCTGGCGTCCAGGGCAGGGGCAATATTGCCATGAGCAGCCCGTTTCCCTGGCACTCAGCGGTGACCCGGGGCAGAGTGGATCACTCCCCGGGCCGAGCCATCGGGAGTAGAAGGCTCAGCAGTCACCCTGACGCCAGACAGACCCTGGGGACACGGCCCCAGGCGGCCCTGCACAGAGACTCCTCCTGAAGCCCAGGAATCTGGCACCCTTGGTCGGGGCAGCGGGGCAGCGGCCGGGTCCCTGAAGCCGGCACCACTCCCACTTCCTACCCCAGGCCCCAACAGTGCGGCCTAAGCTCTGTACTGAAGACACTCCCTGCCCCACCAACCTGGCTGCTGCCCCTCTGAGCCGCTCCCCCAGCGGTGGGAGATTCTGCCACGGACCATCGCCCTGGCGTCAGGGTGGCGGGATGCGGGGGATGGGCTGTCTGCCTCCTCCTGGCGCCCTTCAGCAGCTGGTGTGTTGACAGCAGCCGCACCAGGTAGCCCTCTGCTGCCACCAATATCACATGTCAATAATAGTACTTATTAATCAAGAAGACATAAGAATCACAAATATGTATGCACTTAAAATCAGAGCATCAAAATCTGACAGATTAATGGTAGAAATAAAAAAAAAACTCCCTCAGCAAATTATAGAAATAGACAAAAATACTTTCAGAATATAGAAGAATTAGATGTCAAATTAGATGTCAACTTGACCTAGTTGACATTTAGAGAAAAATAGCTAATACACATCCTTTTCATGAATTCCTGAAAATGTTTCAACCAACTTTAGAAATTGTCAACTTACAGTTTGTTATCTGCTCAAAATTGATTAAATTAACTGTAAATAACAATACGTTTTCTACAAAATTCCTTAGACCTTTGGAAAGTATACCTTATTTTATTTGTTGTGCTAAGAAGACTTAACATGAAATCTAACCTATTAGCACATTTTTTTTCTTTTTTTTTTTGAGATGGAGTCTCGCTCTGTTGCCCAGGCTGGAGCCAGTGGCACCATCTCAGCTCATTACAACCTTTGCCTCCCAGGTTCAAGTGATTCTCCTGCCTCAGCCTCTTAACTAGCTGGGACTACAGGTGTGTGCCACCACACCCAGCTAATTTTTGTATTTTTAGTAGAGACAGGGTTTCACCAGGCTGGTCTCAAACTCGTGACCTCAGGTGATCCGCCCACTTCAGCCTCCCAAAGTGTTAGGATTACAGGAGTGAACCCCTGCGCCCAGCCCTATTAGCAAATTTTTAAGTGTACAATAAAATACTGTTTACCTTAGAAAAGTATTGCACAGCAGATCTCTAGAACTTACTAATCTTCCCTAATTAAAACTTTATGCCTTTGATTAGTAATTTTCCATTGCCATGCTCTTCTCCCACAGCTCCTGATAACAATTTTAATCTCTGATTCTATGACTTTGACTATTATAGATACTTCATCTAAGTGGAATCATGCAGTATTTGCTCTTCTGAGTGACTGGCTTGTTTGGCTTAGAATAATCTTCAAGGTTCATCAATGTCATAGTAAATGACAAAATTTCCTTTTTTAAAAGGTGGAATAATATGCCATTGTATGAATACACCATTTCTCTTGTCTGTTCATCAGTTAATGGACACATGGTCTGTTCTCCGTTTTGGCAATTGTGAGCTTTGCTGTAATGAATTTTGGGTTGCTAATATTTCTTTGAGATACTTATTTCAATACTTTAGGATAAATATTGAGAAGTGTATTTGCTGGATCATATGGTCATTCTATTTTTAATTTTTTGAAGAACCTCCATACTGTTTTTTAAGTGGCTGAACACTTTTACATTCCTATCACCCACATACAAGAGTTTCAATTTTTTTACATCTTTACTATGTTGTTTCTTCTTGTTTTTGTTGTGTTTTGTATTCTTTGTTTTTGTTTTGTTTTGTTTTTATAATACTCATACTAACCACTGTGAGGTGATGTCTCATTGTAGTTTTGGTTTGCATTTGGATATGATTAACTATGTGGCCTGTATTTTCATATTCTTATTGACCATTTGTCCATCTTTGGAGAAATGTTTATTCAAATTTTTGGCCCATTTTTAACTTTGGGTTTTAGGAGTTTTGTGTGTGTGTGTGTGTGTGTTTTGCTTGTTTGGGATTTTCTTGCTATTGAGTCATAGGGGTTTCTTAAATACTTTGTCAATTAACCTCTATCTAATATAATGTTTGCAAATATTTTCTCCCATTCTGTAGCTTGCCTTTTTGGTTTGTTGATTGTTTCCTTGGCTGTGCAGAAGCTGTTTAGTCCTATTTATTCCCACTTGTCTATTTTTATTTTTGTAGCCTATGCTTTGGTTTCATATTCATGAATTCAATGCTAAGAAAAATATCATAAATATGTTTTTCCATATTTTCTTCTATAAGTTGGACAGTTTGAGGTTTTAACGTTTAAGCTTTTCATCTATTTTGAGTTGATTTTTTATATGGTATAGTATACGAGTCCTAATTCATTATTGTGCATGTAAATATCTAGTGTTCTCAACACCATTTGTTGAAAAGACTACCATTTCCTGATTGTGTGTTTGTAGAACCTTACTGAAGATCAATGAACCGTGTGTGTATGGATTTACTTCTGGGCTCTCTATTCTGTTCCATTGGTTCATATGTCCGTATCTATGCTAATACTCAACTATTTTGATTACTATAGCTTTGTAAAATAATTTAAAATTAGGAACCATAATACTTCCATTCTTGTTTTTGTTTATTATAATTGTATTGGCTTTGGGGACTCTTTTGTGTTACATATAAATTTTAGAATTGTCTTTTTATACTTATGGAAAAAATGCCACTGGGAATTTGGATTTTGATAGGAATAACATTGAATCTGTAGATTACTTTGCATGGTTTGAACATTTCAACAATGCTAAGTCTTCTAATAAATGAATACCAGTTATATATTTTTCTGTGTCTTTTTAAATTTCTTTCTTCAATATTTGGTAGTTTTCATGTACAAGTCTTTTTCTTCCTTACTTAAGATATTCCTAAGTACTTTATTCTTTTTGATAGTATTGTAAATGGAAGTATTTTGTTAAATTCTTTTTTTGATAGTATGTTGTTTGTGTATACAAATGCAACTAATTATTGTATGTTGATTTTGTATACTGCCACTTCACTTTTTCTAGGTTATACAGTTTGTTGGTATAGAATTGTTTACAGTAAGCTTTTATGAACCTTTATTTTTCTCATAACAGTTGTAATGTCTCATCTTTCATTTATGATTATATTTATTTTAGTATTTTTTCTTAGTCTAGCTAAAGGTTTGACAATTTCGTTGATCTCAAATTACCAACTCTTGGTTTTGTTTTCTATTGTTTTTCTATTCTCTGCTTCATTTACTTCTCTTCTAATCTTTGTTATTTCCTTTCTTCCTCAAACATTGGTCTTGGTTTGTTCTTCTTTTTCTAGTTCCTTGAGGTGTAATGTTAGGTTGTTTATTTGAGATCTTTTTCTTTTAGTATAGGCATCTGTTATTACAAGCTTCTCTTGTAGTACTACTTTTGATGTATCCAATAAGTTTTGCTATGTTATATTTTTATTTTCATTTGTTTAAATATATTTTCTTATTTTCTTTGTGATTCCTTCTTTGACTTAGTAATTTTTCAAAACTATTTTGTTTAATTTTCACATTTTTGTGTATCCTTCAGAAGTTTTTCTTCTCTTGTTTCTGGTTTCATTATACTGTGGTTGAATAAGGTACTCGGCATGACTTCAATCTTCATAAAATTTTTAAAACTTGTGTTTTGATCTAACATCTGGTCTATCCCAGAGAATGTTCTGAGCCTACTTGAGAAGAATATATATTCTGCTGCTGTTGTGTTGCATGTTCTTTAAATATCTCTGGTTCATATAGTCTTAGCATTGCTCAAATCCACTGTTTATTGATTTTCTGTATGACTGACCTGTCCATTTGTTAAAGCGGAGAGTTGAATAACCTACTGTTGTTTTGCTTTCTCTCCCTTCAATTCTGTCAATATTTGCTTTATATACTTAAATTTTCTGATGTTGGATGCATATAATTTTTATATGTTCCCATTGATTATTTATTGATTATTTTAATGTCCTTCTTTATCTTTTGTAACAGGTTGTTGCTAAAAGTTTATTTTGTCTAATATAAATATACCTACTCTTGCTCACTTTTGCATGGAATAACTTTTTCCATCCCTTCACTTACAGGTTATATGTGTCTTTAAATCTAAAGTGAATATCTTAATACAGCAAACAGCTGAATCTTGCTTTTGTTTAACCACTCCACGTCCTTTGATTAGGAATTTTAATGTGTTTACATTTGAAGTAAATATTAATAGGGAATGATTCACTATTGCCATTGTGTTTTTTTCTCTTTGTCTTAGCGGCTTTTGTCATTTTTTTCTCTTGTTTTCCTTTGTGTGTCATAGATATTTTATATTGTTATGCTTTGATACCTTTCTCTTTGTGTTTGTGTGTGTGTGTGTGACATTTGTAGTTTTATTCATGTTTAACATGGGCCTTATGTAATATATAACCATCTATTTTAAGCTGATAAGTTCAATAACATACTAAAAAAGTGTGCTTTTGCTTCTTCCCAGCCACATACACATATTATGTTATTGATGTCACAATTTATGTCTATTTGTATTGTGTACTCATTAACATTGTTATTATAGATTTTTAATACATTTGTCTTTTAAATTTTATATAAGAATTCGAATGATTTACTAACCACTTTGACAGTGATACAGGGTTCTATATATGTCTATATGTTATTTTAGTCTTTCTTAAGCTATTGTAGTGCTGCTTAGCTTCCTTTTTTTACCTTTAACAACTCTCTTTAGCATTTTTACAGTGTGATCTAGTGGAGATGTATTCCCTCAGCTTTTATTTCTCTGAGAAAATTTATATCTTTCCATTATAAGAAATATTTTTGAGGAACTTTGGGCTTCTTGAATCAGGATGTCTATTTTCTTTCCCACATTTGGGAAATTCTCAGTTATTATTATTTATTTAAATAACTCTTTTAGTCTTTTGTTTATCTGTTTTTATTCTGGGACTTCCGTAATGTTTATATTTAAAAGCTTGATGGCGTTCCATTAGTTCCTTAGGTTTTCTTTACTCTTTTACATTCCTTTTTTCTTTTTGTTCCTCTGGCTGATTAATTTTCAATGACTTGTCTTTGAGTTTCTTGATCCTTTCCTCTGTTGGATCTAGTCAACTGTTTAATGCCTCTAATAAATTTTTTATCTCAGTTATTGTATTCTTCAGCTCCATTAATTCTGTCTGGTACTTTACAAAACTTCTTTTTGTTGAAATTCTCATTTTGTTCACGCATTGTTCTTTTGACCTTGGTGAGCATCTTTATGACAGTTATTTGAATTTTCTGTCAGGTAAATAACACACCTCCATTTTATTAGTCAGTTTATGGAGATTTATCTTGTTGCTTTGTTTGAAAGGTATTTTTCTCCTTCTCTATTTTTCCTGATTCTCTGTGTTCATATCTGCATATTAGAGACAACAGCCGCTTCTCCTAGTCTTTGCAGACTAGCCCCGTACTGAACAAGACCCTCACAAATCAGCCTGGGCCAGAGATTCTGGAGGCCCCTCAAATATTCATGCTGTTCCAATCCACTTTTTTTTTTATTTTTAGTAGTCTGTGGTGTCTAGAGTATGATGAAACCTGTCAGTACTCACAGAGCCAATTTATCAGGCAACCCCTCCTTCAAGTTGGGTTGTAAGGTGCACAATGTACTTCATTCATTTTCTAGATAGAAGTTGGGATCTTAGATTTTTCCTCTGTCTGTGCTATCCTGAGCTAGTGTCACTGACTATGGTGACAGGCTAGACTGAAACCAGTCTTCTGGGTAACCCTTGGAAAAGTTAGGATATTGAACACTCAATGCATCTCTTTTCCCTTCTTCGCTTCAAAATGAACCTGGGAGTTGAGGCTTTTCATCCACTTGCTTGTTGCTGAGCCAGGGAGTGGCTATGGGGACCACCAGGCCAAATGTCTATCTCTGATCTCACAGGGAGGCCTTAGGTGGCGAAAATGCTGTGTCCCAGTTTGATCAGAGCTCTGAGACAGAGTAGACAGATGCTAATCTTTTGGGTAGCTCTCTGAAAAGTTGGGACATTGGACCTTTAGTGCGCCACCACTTTTCCTTCTCAGGAAAAATCTGGGAGTTAGGGTTTTACCACTGCTATTTCTGTGCTGAGCCAGCGGGTGTGGGGGTGTTGACCCTCAGCCTGAACCATTGCTTCTGTTTTCACCAGTTCCAGGTGGCTAGAGTATACCATGTTCCATATTCTGTATTCTCTTCAAAATAGGATGGAAAAATTCAGTCCTCTGTTAGCCTCTGAAAATGTTGGGATGTAGGATACATGGTGTACCTCTTTTTATGCCCAGAGAGAAGCTGGGAAAAGGTATTTCACATTGTCCTACTAGCTTCAGTGTGACTTATTTCATCTTCTGCAGGAGTGCAGTAACTTCTTAATGAGTTTCTGAATTTCTCACAAAGAGAAAATGTCCATGAATTACTGTTGAAAACATGAGTTAGTCAGAGTAAAGGAGGGTTCAAGACTTCCTGTTCTGTTGTCTTGCTAATACCACTCCCACTGGACAGTACTCTTTTACATAACCCCTAAAGCAGATAAATTCAAAAGAAAAAAATGTTTAAAGTATTTAAAAGAATGAAAATAAAAATTTAATTATACCTATTAAAGAAATGAATTTAATAATAAACTAAACTTTTAGGCATAGATTTTTTTCTACCACTGATGAATTCTATCAAATTTGGCATAGAAGTTATGCCAAATCTACACATATTTCTCATAAAATTAAAAAAAATGCTATATTGATAATTTTATATTTGTTGAAATTTGTATACTTAATGGAACAGTAATCAATTATCATAGGAGGGTAGAGTCTTAATCAAATATAATTTTGAACAGTAAATCCAAAGAAGAATTTTGAAAAGTATTTGATTAGAGCACACTATATTTGTACATTCTATTTTTTTTTTTTGCCCAAATAGATCATCAATGCAATTTCCTTATTCATTTTAAATTATATTAAAACTGTTTAATGCTGAATAGGTAGTTTTACTTGGTAATTTTAGACTGTTTAACTAGTTTTATGAGCTTTTATAAGCTTTATACTTTTTTAGTCCAGAAGACTTAGGTGGTGTTGTACAAAGAATTCAGAATCTAATGATTTTTATAGAATCCAAAGTCTCAAAAAATTGAACTTACTCCCTATGGATTCTTTTTATGTAAACTGAATCTCTGGAGACTTTGACTCTTTTAAAATGTCCTACTCATTATTTATGACCTTCCTTACATGGCATGTAATAAATGATGTGATCTATAGAGTGTGTCAATTTCATTGCCATCCAAATAGTCAAATATATAAGCATTCTATTTGATGTTAGATTACTTTTTGTTTACCAACGATAGTGCATTCACAAATTTACAAATGGAAGAAACAATATGGGGAGAGTTATGTAATATTTTTTCAGTTCTCTTTTTTAATAACTGAAGTATAAAGTTTTGTAGGAGGTAGGAAATAGAGTGTTATAACCAGGCACCATATTGATGAGAAAATATGCAATTAGTGAATGTGGTCATTTTAAAAGCTAGTCATTTTAAATTGAAGACTGATGGAGAAAAGAATTTTCCTAGCCAGAAATATAAATCTTTCTCTGCTCTTTACTTCTCAAGTTTTCATTTCTCAAATAAAGGATCAAAAATTTCAATGTCAAATGGGGAGTTTCTTAATTCTGTATATATAATTTCATATCTATGCACAGTAGTTCCTTTAAAACCTATAATCATGAATTCTGTATAATTTGGAGAACACTAGGAAATTATGGCAGTAAGAACACTTGATTAATGATTTTGCTATTCACAGAATAAATAATATATGAAACGGACTTGTAAAAATTGGATTTTATTGTAGTTAAATTGAATGTATGCAATGCTGGGAAAACATTATTGGTGGTAAAAATAATTAATAACCTATTGCCCTCAATGAAAATCACACTTATCAATAAAATGTGTAATGTTAATAATAATGATAAAAATTTAATATCACTTGGAATTTTTTTGACAAATTCCTAAGGCAATATTATGACTTCTCAGTATGTATAATAACACAGCTTATCTTTAATTGATTAGCCTACAATTGTCAAATACAATCTTTCATTGGATATTTCCACAGGATGCTTTGTCATGAATAAAAACATTATGTAGGTTGTGGCAGCAAATGTCATGTAAAGGACAAAACATTGGGATATTCTCAAGAGAGTCCAGATGGTTCTCTCAAAAGGATTCCTAGGACACCATCAACGTGGTAAACATGCCACAGTCTAGGAACTCCAAACTCATTCTGACAGGTTCCAAATACTGATTTCCTGGTACACACATGAAGTTATCTCCAGAGAAAGATTTGCATTCACCTCATGGAAAAGAAATGTAATTAAACAGAGCCTCCCTGTTTTGATGCACATTAGATCTAAAAGGAGGCCTGATTTTCCCATAATCACTCATCTGAATGAAGAGACTTACAGCTCCTTCCTGCCCCACCCTGTTAAAGTTTAAAGCACATGGTTGTTCTACACATAAGGAATATATGAGGGGGTTGAGCTCTTTATTATTTCAGCCTTCATTAATGTTAACCAAAATGCGCCTTTTTGCATTCTCTATATCTTCACCAACTCCCACAACCTGATATAACGCCTGGCATTTTCGTGATAACCATTTGTCAAAAAGAATATAATATCAGGCTTATCTTTCCAAGTCTTGGTCTTCACACATTCTACTCATGTTTGTAGAAAATGCTTTTTCCTGTCTAGGATAAAATTTCTTTTTGGAAGTCATTCATGCATACTCTTCAGTTCTCAAGCCTCATTTTAACAAGAAATTATTTCCTGGCCTATGAATAGCTTTATTCCTCCAGTGCTAGTTTTGTAACAATATGTATTTTATAACACTCCGTACAAGTTGGGGTAAGAAATTGTCACATTTTCTGTTTTCTAAATAAGTATAAGCATCACGGGGTCTGTTTCTCTCTTTCTGTGGATCCAGAGCCGTGCATACAGTAAGGATTCAATAAATATTTGTGGGAAAAATGAATAGGGTTGAAGAGGTAGCCAATAATTGCAAATTTCATTGAAGAGGCTGTAACAATTACCTGCATGATCTCAGTCCTACCTTCTTTTAACCAAACATTCTGTCACTTTTTAAATTTACTATTCTCCTCCTACTTTATGCAAGTTAACAGGTTGTAAGCTATAAGTTTATGGCTTGAAATTTTGACATGAATACAAAAACACAAGCTTAAGAAATCTGTGATATGATATAGTAAATTAATATTTATGGATATAATTATGATTTGATCTACACTAAACTTGTTACTTTCAATTAGGCTATGAAAACAATACAAATATGATTTTGAAGTATTTACTCAATGGAACATTTTTAAGTTTATTCTGTAAATCGAAGTTAAGGCTATTTTGAGTTCAAAATAAATTTTTATGATATTTGCTTCTTAATTACTTTTTCTTCTCTTTTTGACTTATGTTTAATGACATTTTTGTTTTAGAAAAAGAATGGGAAAAAACTCAACAGGATCCACAACTAAATTCTATTAAGTTAAATCCCATATCTAACAGCAAAAGCCATTATTAATTTTCTTTTAAAAACCTATTTTGTCAGGTTTAAATATCTGTAAAATAAGATTTTTGTGATATTATCACTAAGTTCTGAGCTCTGATTGAATTCTGTAGTGGATAGTTGGCTTCCATGGTTTTGCATTTGTATTTGTTTTTAATTTTGTTTTGATAGGTTATCCAGAATAAATGAATGGAAGAAAACATTTGATAGATACAGAGTCTTCGTTCTCATTTTCAAACTTGAACGCATTTGCTTTATTTAAAATAGTGTTTGTAGAGGCAAGTAATATAAAATAAAAAATGAAAAAAGATATATGCAATGGCTTTATAGATCTGTGCCAGATTCTGTTTCACTATTAAAGTTGTTTATAATATTATTAAGATAAATAAATGATAGAGTCAGCTTGAAGTCCTAATGGACTAACCATTTTGGACTATCCTTCCACTCATAAACAATTAGAAAACTGATAAAAAGCATATGAAAAACAACTTCATTTATGTTAGACAATCGATAGCATAGAACTATGAATCCTATGGGAAGGAAAAACATAAAATGAAACACACAAAAATTTCTCAGCTTTAGGCCTGTACACACTTACAATGTTGCAATGCAGGAAGTTAAAAGTCCAAGAATATCCTGGTGGTCCCACTGAAATGAAGAAACAGAGATCAGAGTTGAGGAGGCTAAAGTTGCTAGACTTTGTAAGGCAGAGTACTAGAGAAGAGGAGGTCCAGAAATTGAAATAAGTAATTCTTTCATTGTTTATCTCAATAATAGCCTATGCATGCACAGGAAAAGACTCTGCAAGTTTTGAGTGAGAAATGGTATCGGGGAGCTCTGAGGTGAACAGACATTATAGAAGTTGCAAAATGCTGGGAGTTGTTTGGTTTCCCAGGAACCAGCATGGAGTGACATTAGTGACCTTTCTGATATTCAGCTGAAACCTCAGAAAGGTGAACACCAATCCTTTAGTGATACACTGGATCTGGTTTAACAGATTAAAGCCAAACTTTGAAGAGTTTTTTTCTCATTAAAATGTAGAAAGTTGCAAGAAAACATCATTCCATCTCTAATGGCAAAATAAATTGTTAATCTGTGAAATCAAAACTATTATTGACCTCTTCATAATGCTGAGGTTGCAAGGCAACTAGGTAAACTAAATTCCAAATAGTCACAAGACTCTGAGAAGAGAGCTGGAAACCAGAACACAGTGAAAGGCAAATGTTAAAATAACGCATTTTTTTATCAGAAGTGAAGAATTTCTTCAATGGGTTTATTACAAGACCAGATACAGAAGATGAAAAAATGAGCAAACTTCACTATAAATTACTAGAAATGGTCAAAATGAAAATGAAGAAGAGAAAATAAGTTAAAGATACATAATAAAGGACCCAAAGGCTTTGAGAAGTAATAAATCCTCTACATGTAACTAGAATCCTAGGAGGCAAAGGGGGAAGAACAGAGTAGAAGGAATATTTGAAAAAAGAATGGCTCATTATTTTCCGAAATTACTGAATGATTCCAAATCACAGATGTGTAAAACTCAGAAAACATAGAAAACAATGAACACAGAGAAAAAATATATCTAGGCCCATCAAATTCCTACAGCTAAAAACCAAGAAGAAAAGAGAAAAATATATTGAAATTAAGAAAACATAAAAAATCACAGTAAAATTGTAGTAATAACAATAACAGAAGATTGTACAGCAAAAATTATAAAGTATAAAAAAACAGAAAACCTGTCAACACAAAATCTTATAGCCTAGAAAATCAATTTTTTTAAATTTAGGTAAAATAATTTTTTAAATACAAAGAGAAATGATGAGAGAATTCATTGTCGGTAGATCTGCCCTATGAAAAATACTTTAATATAACAGTTTTCCAGTTTATGAAACATATTGCCAGATAGATATTTGGGTTTACACAAGGACATGGAGAATATTGGATGTATATATAAGCATTTTCCCTGTTTTTTTATTATTTTAAAATATGAGTCTATGTAAAGTTAAAAAAATATATTTTGGGGTTTATAGCATATGCAGAATGAAAATTGTATAACTACCATTACACAGAACTGGGAAGAGAAAATGGGAGCATAGAGTTGCAATTAAATGACATAATATTATTAGAATGCAAATTGTTATAATTAAACTTGTATATTGTAAATTCTAATACAATTAATAAAAATATATATAATGTAGTTAAACTACCAAGACAAGGCTGAAGATAAAATGGAATCATAAAAAAATCAACTATTCTAAAAGAAGGCAGGCAAAACATTAAGGAGAAGGACTCAAGAATATATAAGATAATAAAATAACAAAAATAAGACAGGCTTAAGTCCAAACAAAGCAACAAATTACATTAAAAGTAAGTGGTCTAATGACTCCCATTAAAAAAAGAGATTATCATAATAAAATTAAAAAACAAACAATGCCACACCCTACACTGCCAATAGAATCCCATTTTAAATCAAAGGAAAAAGGGTAGTTAAAAATGAACGGATAAAAAATTGCATACCCTAAAAATTCTCATCAAAAGAAAATTTGAAAGATTATATTTATATTACGTAAGTATACTTAGCAAAAATAAACATTACCGTGAAAAAAATGAGCATTTACCAATAAATCCTATCCAACATTTAAGAAATAAGCAATATTAATGTTTCCACAACTCTTTGATAACATGAGAGAATACCTTTAAAATTGTTGTATGAGAACAACATTGTAATTATATGAGAAGATTATCATGATATTACAAGAAATAAAATTAAGGACACATACAAATCATAAACATTCACCTCAAAACCTTCAATAAAATATTAGCAAGTAAAATCTGGTACTATATAGAATTATAATATGAAATGTATCCCCAAAATACTACATGAGTTTAACATCCAAAAATCAATTAACGTAAACCACTTCCTTTACTTATTAAAGGCTAAAACTTATATGCTCATTAATAAGATGCAGAAAAACAGTTAATATATTCAATATCCATTCATTATTAAAAACTTTCTATAAACTAGGTATAGAAAGAAACTTTCTCAAACAGATAAAATGAATTTACAATAAAACCTAATGCTAGCAATATTGTGGCAGACAAACCTTACAATGATCCCCATTGCTCCTTACTCGCTGATGTGTATGCTGTTGTACAATCCTCTCCCACAGAGTATGAGTGGGACATGAGACTTTCTTATAACCAATAAAATATGGCAAAGGTGACGTAATGTCACTCTTAGTAGGTTAAATCATGTACCCTATCTTATAATTTAGCAGTCAAAGAATGTCCTTGCATGTTTGATGTGATAAGCAGACAATAAAGAAATCTACTTGGCTTGAAACTACAGTTGCCTCTAGGACATGAAGATGACCTTCAGCCAACAGCCAACAAGACTTTGAAGCTTTCATTCACGTATTCACAAGGAAATGAATTCTGCCAACTACTTGAATTAACTTGGAAGTAGATTCTTCCTCAATGGTGCCTCCAGATGAGAATACAGTGGGCCTGGCAACTTGAGTTCAGCCTGACCCTGTACAGAACACTGATTTACCCATGCCCAGATTTATCTGATCAACAGAAACTATGAGGTAATAACAGTGTATTAAGTTAGCCTGATGATTTTTTACTAATTTGTTGCACAAAAGTAGAAAACTAATACAATTATATTTAGCAGAGAGAGGGAGAAATACAATCCACCCTAAGGCTCAGAACACAGCGAGAATGTATAGGTCCTAAACATTGCAAATGGCTAGTAAAATAAATAGAAACCATACATATAGGAGAGAATGAAATAAAAGTAGTTATTTATATAAAGTATGATTATATAGTATGGGATCCAAGGATTTATTGTTTAAATTTCTATTAAAACCTGTGTAATGTTATGGTCAACAGGAATTGCATAGTTTCACTTTGAATAAACTAAACACGTTCATTAAGTGATGTAGCTTTAAATTGAGAGCATGTATTTAATAAAAACTTAACACACTATAGGGAAACATGTGTGTTCTAAATTTTAAAATATTTGTAATTTATTAGCTCATGTAATTATTACATGTAGGGCTTAGAAAATTCAGAAAAAAAAGCTAGCCTAAGAACATATATTTGAGAAATCAAGTTATGTAATTAATTTTTACAATTAGGATTGTTGGACAAATCTAATAAAGTCATATAGATTTAATGAAACCATACATGTGAAGAATCTTTATAAGTTAAATAATCTGAGTTTAACTTTATTCTTAAGAAATTTTAAGTTTTGGACACAATTTAAAGTTCAACACAACGATTTATCAATTCTGAAAAGTAATTGGAAATCATCAACAGAGAAACCCGTGACAGCCTACCTAGGAGATATCTAACAGTCCTGTTGGAAGTATGACCAGAAGTTTGAGAAAACAATTTTAGTTGCTATTTTGATTTCTTTTTAAAATCTGATTCCTACATTTCTTTATAAAAAGCTGTTTCTTCATTCTGATTTTGATTTATTTTGGTATTTGTAAACATGCTAATTTTTAGTTTGCAGATTTTAAAAAAAATTTCATGTTACTCTGCTTTGTCACTAAGCATAATGATAGAATTGCTAAAAATTGAAAGGATAATAAAATAATAAAAATGAAAATTTTTAATAAGTTAAATTTTTGGCTCTTTACCTTTTCTTGCTTTTCATGTGGTATGTACGCTAAAAAGTAACCAAAATAATTGATAACAAGAGTCAGTGAGTTATACAATCAACTAAATTAAAATCTAGCTACTAAATAATCAAGAGAAAAAATTATATTATTGCCAATACATACTACAAATTGCAGGATAGTATTTGCCTTGCAAAATTAGTCATCACATTTTACTGTTAATGTTCTAATTAAAATTTGCACATAGGCCTCAGTATACGTTTACGTGTAGCTATCAAAATAAATATTTATTCCTTTTTTGTATCAATCACTTATCATAATCTCCCTTCTCCCCCACAAATAAAAGACCATGTATATAGGAGATTCACAAGCATAAATAAATGAGAAACATTTGTTTTCTTAAAAACTTTACCTTTAGCAAACTTTAATCAAAATGTCTTTTGTAATATATTTTGTGGTTTGCATCCGAAATGCACATTGAAATGAGATTAACTTGTTATGATATCATTGTCATTTCAGAGCATAGAAATGCACAATTAGCATCACCATTAGTTCCACAAAGTACTTTCTTCAGATTAAGAGTCAGCAAATTATTGTAAACAACATGATTTAATTCATTGGCAGTGATATTTTTGGCAGCTCAGTCACTGTTAGAGTTGTGTTAGAATTATTATTTTTTATTAGGAGACTCGATGAAATAGATGTGAGAAAACAACTGTGAAATTATAATCTGCATAATAAGTAATACTGAAGAAGTTATTCTTGTTTCCATGTGTATTTCAAAATACAAAGATAAATTTAACTTCCAACCATTTCTCATGTTTTTCTGTACTAACTAGCGATACCAAATGTTTATTTGTGACAGGAATACAGGTCAAGAACATGTGTAATCCAGATACATATAAAAGCAAAATAGATGACATAATAAAATACAGTTTTTGTATTAGAGCTCAACTGCTATTCGAGTAAACTTTCTAGATATTTAACAATATGTCCAATTAAATCTTCTTCTAGCCTTGGATATTTTTGGTTTTGGTATATAATTTGACTATTCACTAGAATTGTTCTCTAAAGTTGACAGGTTATGAGTTTTCAAAAACTCTCTAGTTTAATTTTGATTCTGCCAAGTTAGAATTGTATTAAAATGTTATAAACCATAAGCTGTTGAACAGATAAATTATAAAAATATAATTAAAATGTAAATATGTCCAGTAAAAGCAATGAGTAGTCTTGCAGAAATGGAAAAATGTTCTGATGTTTAAATTTTAAAATAATTTTAGTATTAAGGGAACTCTATAGAAACATTGGCTAAAAAATATAAACATGCATGTATTATATTTTAAATAATAGGGAAGCAATTAATTCTAAATAAATAGAGTGAAGATCATTTCATATTTAACCTTTTAGTTTTAATGTGTATGGGTAAATTCAATTAATAATATTAATGTAAATATGTTTATATTTGAGTCTTTTTTGACAAATACATTTTGAATAGTACAGTCACTTGAAATAAAACTGTCAAAAATATGCAAATATTTATTGAATCCATGCAATGAAATATAAGTAAGACTTTTTCCATGCTACACAGGGACTTCAAATACGTGACAATAGAGACAAATGAATGAGGAAAAGAAATACAAAAATATACCTTTTATCATGAGGATTATTCTTTCCTGAAGGTGAGAAACATGGAGGATGAAATACTGTCAGAGACATGACATCACTAATTGTCCTTTGTCCCTCCAGCAGGTATTATAACTAGTTTTTTCTTAGGAGCTAGTATTTTTCAACATTCTGTTTAAATGGAATTCCACAACTTGTCATAAATTCATCCGGAAAGACAATGCAATTTTTTAGAATATAAGTTCTGTATTGAGCCAACAATTAAACTTTGCCAGTTTATCAGATTTACTTTGCTCAGATAGTGCCATTAGCATCTGGCTGCTAATTGTCAGGCCTCTGAGCCCAAGCTAAGCCATCATATCCCCTGTGACCTGCATATATACATCCAGATGGCCTGAAACAACTAAACATCCACAAAATAAGTGAAAATAGCCTTAACTGATGACATTCCACCATTGTGATTTGTTTCTGCCCCACCCTAACTGATCAATGTACTTTGTAATTTCCCTCCCTTAAGAAGGTTCTTTGTAATTCTCCCCACCCTTGAGAATGTATATTGTGAGATCCACCACCTGCCAGCAAAACATTGCTCCTAACTCCACCGCCTGTCCCAAAACCTGTAAGAACTAATGATAATCCCACCACCCTTCGCTGACTCCTTTTTCGGACTCAGCCCACCTGCACCCAGGTGAAATAAACAGCCTTGCTGTTCACACAAATCCTGTTGGTGGACTTTCTTCACAAGGACGCGTGAGACATTTGGTGCAGAAGACCTGGGTCAGAGGGACTCCTTCGGGAGACCAGTCTCCTGTCCTCATCCTCACTCCGTGAAGAGATCCACCTATGACTTTGGGTCCTCAGACCAACCAGCCCAAGGAACATCTCACCAATTTCAAATTGGGTAAGCGGTCTTTTCACTCTCTTCTCCAGGCTCTCTCGCTACCCTTCAATCTCCCTGTCCTTCCAATTCCTGTTCTTTTTCCTCTCTAGTAGAGACAAAGGAGACACATTTTATCAGTGGACCCAAAACTCCGGCACAGGTCACGGACTCAGAAAGACAGCCTTCCCTTGGTGTTTAATCATTGTGGGGATGCCTGCCTGATTATTCACTCACATTCCATTGGTGTCTGATCACCACGGGGACGCCTGCCTTGGTCATTCACTCACATTCCCATGGTGGTAAGTCAATTGCGCGGACGCCTGCTTTGGCTGCTCACCCACATTGCAGTCCAGGGCTACTCCCCACCCCACTTCTCCGTGTCTCTAACCTTCTCTTTAAACTTGCCTCCTTCACTATGGGCAACCTTCCACCCTCCATTCCTCCTTCTTCTCCCTTAGCCTGTGTTCTCAAGAAATTAAAACCTCTCCAACTCTCTCCTGACCCAAAATCTAAGCGTCTTATTTTCTTCTGCAATACTGTTTGGCCCCAGTACAAACTCGACAGTAGTTCCAAGTGGCCAGAGAATGGCACTTTCGATTTGTCTATCCTACATGATCTAGATAATTTTTATTGAAAAATGGGCAAATGATCTGAGGTGCCTGACATCCAGGCCTTCTTTTACGCATTGGTCCCTCCCTACTCTCTGCTCCCAATGCCACTGATCCCAAATCTTTATTCTTTCTCTCCTGTCTGTTCCTTCAGTCTCCACTCCAAGCTCTGAGACCTTTGAATCCTTCTTTTCTACGGACTCATCTGACCTCTCCCCTTCTCCCCCAGGCTGCTCCTCGCCAGGCCTAGCCACGTCCCAATTCTTCCTCAGCCTCTGCTCCCCCACCCTAAAATCTTTCTATCACCTCCCCTCCTCACACCTGGTCTGGCTTACAGTTTCGTTCTGCGACTAGCCCTCCCCCACCTGCCCAACAATTTCCTCTTAAAGAGGTGGCTGGAGAATAGTCAGGGTTAATTCTCGTTTTTCTTCATCCAACCTCTCCCAAATCAGTTAGCATTTAGGCTCTTTTTCATCAAATATAAAAACCCAGCCCAGTTCATGGCCCATTTGGCAACAATCCTTAGACGCTTTACTGTCCTAGACCCCAGAAGAAGGCTGTCTTATTCTCAATATGCATTTTATTACCCAATCCGCTCCCGACTTTAGAAAAAGCTCCAAAAATTAGATTCTGGCCCTCAAACCGCACAACAGGACCTAACTAACCTCGCCTTCAAGGTGTACAATAATAGAATAGAGGCAGCCAAGTAGCAACATATTTCTGAATTGCAATTACTTGCCTCCACTGTGAGAGAAATCCCAGCCACATTTCCAGTACACAAGAACTTCAAAACGTCTAAACCGCAGTGGCCAGGTGTTCCTCCAGGACCGCCTCCCCCAGGATTTTGTTTCAAGTGCTGGAAATCTGGCCACTGGGCCAAGGAATGCCCACAACCTGGGATTCCTCCTAAGCTGTGTCCCAACTGTGAGGGAACCCACTGGAAATCGGACTGTCCAACTCTCCTGGCAGCCACTCCCAGAGAACCTGTGACTCTGGCCCAAGGCTCTCTGACTGACTCCTTCCCAGATCTCCTCAGCTTAGCAGTTGAAGACTGATGCTGCCTGATCACCTCAGAAGCCCCCTGGACCATCAAGGATGCCGAGCTTCAAGTAACTCTTACAGTGGAGGGTAAGTCCATCCCTTGTTTAATCGATAACGGGGGCTACCCACTCCACATTACCTTCTTTTGAAGGGCCTGTTTTCCCTTGGCCCCATAACTGTTCTGAGTATTGACAGCCAAGCTTCAAAACCCCTTAAAACTCCCCCACTCTGGTGCCAACTTGGACAACATTCTTTTATGTACTCTTTTTCAGTTATCCCCACCTGCCCAGTTCCCTTATTAGGCCGAGACATTTTAACCAAATTATCTGCTTCCCTGATTATTCCTGGACCACAGCCACATCTCATTGCCACCCTTCTTCCCAACCCAGAGCCTCCTTCACATCTTCCTCTCATATCCCCCCACCTTAACCCACAAGTATGGGACACCTCCACACCCTCCCTGGCAACCGATCACATGCCCATTACTATCTCGTTAAAACCTAATCACCCCACCCAATGCCAGTATCCCATCCCATAACAGGCTTTAAGGGGATTAAAGCCTGTTATCACTTGCCTGCTACGCCATCGGCTTCTAAAACCTATAAACTCTCCTTACAATTCTCCCATTTTACCTGTTCAAAAACGGGACAAGTCTTACAGGTTAGTTCAGGATCTGCGCCTTATCAACAAAATTGTTTTGCCTGTCCACCCTGTGGTGCCCAACCCGTACACTCTTTTGTCCTCAATACCTTCCTCTATGACTCACTATTCTGTTCTTGATCTTAAAGACGCTTTTTTCACTATTTCCCTACACCCCTCGTCCCAGCCTCTGTTTCTTTTACCTGGACTGACCCTGACACCCATCAGTCCCAGCAGCTTAATGTCATGCACGTCCATGTGAAAAGACCACCAAACAGGCTTTGTGTGAGCAACAAGGCTGTTTATTTCACCTGGGTGCAGGCAGGCTGAGTCCCAAAAGAGAGTCAGTAAAGGGTGGTGGGATTATCATTAGTTCTTATAGGTTTTGGGATAGGCAGTGGAGTTAGGAGAAATGTTTTGCAGGCAGGGGGTGGATCTCACGAAGTATATTCTCAAGGGTGGGGAGAATTACGAAGAACCTTCCTAAGGGTGGGCGAGATTTTTACAAAGTACATTGATCAGTTAGGGTGGGGCAGAAACAAATCACAATGGTGGAATGTCATCAGTTAAGGCTATTTTCACTTATTTCATGGATATTCAGTTGTTTCAGGCCATCTGGATGTATACATGCAGGTCACAGGGGATATGATGGCTTAGCTTGGGCTCAGACGCCTGACATTCCTGTCTTCTTATATTAATAAGAAAAACAAAACAAAATAGTGGTGAAGTGTTGAGGGGGCGAAAATTTTGGGGGGTGGTATGGAGAGATAATGGGTGATGTTTCTCAGGGCTGCTTCAAGCAGGATTAGGGGTGGGGTAGGAACCTAGAGTGGGAGAGAGAAAATTGAAGAAAGATTTGGGTGTAAGGGGTGATATTGTGGGCTTGTTAGAAGGAGTGTTTATTGTATAGAATGCTTGGTGATGGCCTGGATGCGTTTTTGCATGAATTGAGAAACTAAATGGAAAGTCCGAATAAGAGAAGAAAAATAGGTATTAAAGGACTAAGAATTGGGAGGACCCAGGACATCCAATTAGGGAGTGCCCAAGGGGGTTCAGCATAATTATTTGCTTGGTTGGCGAATTTTTGGGCTCTATCCTTGAGTTTTTTTATGTTGTCATATACCAGGCCAGATTGATTTAGGTAAAAAGCCACAGTGGTCAGGCATTCCTCTAGGATCTCCTCCCCTAGGATCTTGCTTCAAGTGTGGAAATCTGGCCACTGGGCCAAGGAATGCCCGAAGCCCAGGATTCTTCCTAAACCATGTCCCATCTGTACGGGACCCCACTGGATATCTGCCTTGTTGCTCACACAAATCCTGTTTAGTGGTCTCTTCTCATGGACGCACGTGACATTAAGCTGCTGGGACTGATGGTGTCAGGGTCAGTCCAGGTAAAAGCAAAGAGAGGCTGGGACGAGGGGTGTAGGGGAATAGTGAAAAAAGCATCTTTAAGATCAAGAACAGAATAGTGAGTTGTGGAGGAAGGTATTGAGGACAAAAGAGTGTATGGGTTGGGCACCACAGGGTGGACAGGCAAAACAATTTTGTTGATAAGGCGCAGATCCTGAACTAACCTGTAAGACTTGTCCGGTTTTTGAACAGACAAAATGGGAGAATTGTAAGGAGAGTTTATAGGTTTTAGAAGCCCATGCTGTAGCAGGCGAGTGATAACAGGCTTTAATCCCCAAGTAATCGAACTACAGTAAGAGCAGCTTTCATACAGTGATGTTTTTAGTATGGCATATGAAAGTTACATACAATCTCTAATTTAATTCTTATGAATTTTTGATACTGAAACCAGATTCAAAAAGGTATTGGATGGCTTTATAGATGATGTTTCCTTGAAAGAAGAAAATGAATATGATTCTTTTGATCTTAAAAGCACACTATTACAAATGTTTCTGTTTACATTGCTATATTTTCCACATCAAAAACTTAGAAATTGCATTTTAAAAATAAATGAAGACATTAAGATAAATGTTTAATTGAATAAAACAAAAATGAGCAAAATGTATGTTTTGCAACAAATTGTAACAGTGTATAAATTCATTTATAGTATAAATAATTATTATTTTTAATTTATTTTCTTGTGTCTTTGCCAGGTTTTGGTATCAGGATGATGCTGGTTTGGTAGAATGATTAAGGAAAGAAGCCTTCCTCCCTAATTTTTTGGAATAGTTTCAGTAGTATTGGTACTAGCTCTTTGTTTATCTGGTAGAATTCAGCTGTGAATTTTTCTGCTCAAGGACTCTCTCTGGTTGGTATATTTTTTATTACAGATTCCATTTCAGAACTCAATATTAGTCTCTTTATAGTTACTCCTGCTTCCTGATTCAATCTTGGGAGATTGTTTGTTTCCAGGAATGCATACATTTCCCCTAGATTTTCTAGTTGATGTGCATGGAGGTGGTCATAGTAGTCTACGAGACCTTTTGCATTTCTATGGAATCAGTTCCAGTGTCACCTTTGTCATTTACGATTGTGTTTATTTTGGTTGTCTCTCTGTTTTCTTTTTCTTTGTTAATCCAGCTAGCAGTCCACTGATCTTGTTTAACCTTGCAAAAAAAAACAACTTTTGGTTTTCTTGGTTCTTTGTATAGATTTTTTTATTCTCACTTTTGTTCAATTCTGCTCAAATTTTAGTTATTTATTTTCATCTGCAAGCTTTGGGGTTACTTTTTTCTTGTTTTTCTAGATGTAAAGTTAGCTTGTTAATTTGAGATATTTCTAATTTTTTGAGGTAGGTGTTTAGCACTGCAAACTTTCCACTTAACACTGTTTATGGTGCATCCCAGGGACATTGGTATGTTGTGCCTCTGTTTCATTTATTTGAAAGAAGATTTTTATTTCTGCCTTAAGTTTATTGTTTACCCAAAAGTCATTCAGGGACACGTTGTTTCATTTCCATGTAGTTGTGTGATTTTCAGATATCTTCTTGGTATTGATTCTTGGTATTGTTCCACTGTGGTCCAAGAGTATGGTTGGTATGATTTCTATTTTTTAAATTTATTCAGACTTGTTTTATGGTTGACCATGTGGTTGATCTTGGAGTATGTGTCGTGTGCAGAGGAGAAGAATATACATTCTATTGTTGATGTGTTGATGGGTAGACTGTCCTGTAGATTTCTCTTAGGAACAATTGGTCAAGTGTTGAATTTAAGTCCAGAATTTATTTATTAGTTTTCTGCCCTGATGTACTGTCTAATGCTCACCGTGGGTAATAAAGTCCAACATATCTGATGAACATAGATGCAAAAGTCTTTAAGAAGACACAACAAAATCAAACAGTATATCAAAGGTTAGTCCAACATGATCAAGTAGGCTTTATTCCTGAGATGAAATCTTGGTTCAACATAGCAAAATCAATAAATGTGATTCACCACATGAACAGATTAAAATAAAAACCATATGATCATCTCAATAGACACAGAAAAAGGTGTTGACAAAATTCAACATCTCTTCATTATAAAAGATCTCAAGAAAATAGGCATTAAATGAAGATACCAACATATTAAACGGGCAGAAAACTAGAAATATTCCCCTTGAAAACTGAAACAAGACAACGAAACAGTCTTCGAAACGAGACAAAGAAACAGTCTTCCTTCACCTCTTCAATACAATACTTGTGTTGGAAGTACTTTCCAGAACAATCAGACAAGAGAAAGAAATAAAAGCATCCATATAAGATTTTAAAAAGTCAAATTATCTCTTTTCACTGACAATATGATTCTATACCTAGAAAACACTAAAGACTCCACCAAAAGGCTCCTGGAACTGATAAATGACTTCAATAAAGTTTCAGCATACAAAATCAATGTATAAAAATTAGTAGCATTTCTATACACTAATAATGTTCTAGCCACAAGCCAAATTAAGAATGCAATTCAATCTACAATAGCTGTAAAATTTAAATATCTAGAAATACAGCTAACCAAGAAGGTGAAAAATTACTACAAGAACTAAAAAACACTGCTGAAATATATCATATATTACACAAAGAAATGAAAAAAAATTGCATGCACATGGATTGAAAGACTCATTATTATTAAAAGGGTCATGTAGCCCCAAACAATCCACAGATTCAACACTATTTCTATTAAACTACCAATGTAATTCTTCATAGAATTAGAAACAATTATTCTAAAATTCATATGGAAACAAAGAAGAACCCATATAGACAAAGCAATCAAAAAGAGCAAAACCAGAGGTGTAACATTAGCTGACTTCAAACTCTACTATAAGGCCACTGTACCCAAACAGCATGGTGCTGGTACAGAAACACACACAGGCCAATGAAACAGAATGGAGAAACCAGAAATAAAGCCACACACCTACAGTAATATGATCTTTGACAAAGTTGACCAAAATAAGCAATGGAGAAAGGACTCCCTATACAATAAATGGTGCTTGGATAATTGGCTAGTCATATGCAGAATGAAGCTGGATCACTACATTTCCTCATGTACAAAATTTAATTCGAGATGTATAACAGATTTATATGTAAGACCTCAAACTTTAATAACTCTAGAAAAAAAATTCCAGGAAACACCATTCTGGACATCAGCCTTATGAAAGAATTTTACTTAGTCCTCAAAACCCATTGCAACAAAAACAAAAATTGACAAGTGGGATCTAATTAAATTAGAGTTTCTGCATAGCAAAAGAAACCATCAAAAGAGTAAACAAACAACCTACAGAATGGGAGAAAATATTCACAAATTATGTATCTGGCAAATGCCAAATATCCAGAATATATAGGAAACTTAAAAAAATCAAGAGACAAAAAACAAATACTCCCATTAAAAATTGGGCAAAAGACATGAACAGACACTTCTCAAAAGAAGACCTACAAGCAGCCAACAAATATATGAAAATATGCTCAGTATCACTAATCATTAGATAAATGCAAATCCAAACCACAATGAGATACCATCTCACACCAGTCAGAATAGCTGTTACTAAAAAGTCAAGAAACAGCAAGTGCTGGCAAGGCAGTGAAGAAAAGGGGATGCTGATACACTGTTGGTGGGGAGGTAAATTAGTTCAGCCACTATGGAGAGCAGTTTGGAGATTTCTCAGTGATATGATTTGGCTCTGTGTCCTTAAACAAATCTCACGTCAAATTTTAATTTCCAGTGTTGGGACAGGGACCTGGTGGGAGATGACTGGATCATGGGGGCAGATTTCCCCCTTGCTGTTCTTATGATAGTGAGTGAGTTCTCACAAGATATGGTTGTTTAAAAATGTGTAACACTTCCCCCTTTGCTCTCTCTCTCTCCTGCTCCACCATGCTAAGATGTACTTGCTTCCTCTTTGCCTTTCATCATGATTGTAAGTTTCCTGAGGTCTCCCAGCCATGCTTCCTGTACAGCCTACAGAACTGTAAGTCAATTAAACCTCTTTTCTACATAAATTACCCAGTCTCAGGTAGCTCTTTATAGCAGTGTGAGAACGGACTAATGCATTCAGTGAACTTAAAACAGAATTACCATTAAACTCAACAATCCCATATATATATATTTCGTGTGTGTGTATATATATATATATATATATATATATATATATATATATATATATAAAATGGGATTGCTGAGTTGAATGCTAATATATATATATATTTCATGTATATATATATTTCATGTATATATATATTTCATGTATATATATATATATTTCATTTATATACATGCATGAAAATAAACCATTTCACCAAAAAGATAATGCACTTATATTTGTCACAGAAATATTCACAATAGCAAAGACATGAAATCAACATAGGTGCCCATCAATGTTGGGTTGAATAAAGAAAATGTGGTATATGTACTCCATGGAATATTATGGAACCATAAACAGAATGAAATTATATCCTTTGTAGCAACATGGATGGAGACGGAGACCATTGTCCTAAGGTATTTAACATGGGAACAGAAAACCCAAATCCTACATGTTATCACTTATAAGTAGGAGCTACACAATGGCTACTCGTGGATGTAAAGATGTCAGCAATAGAAACTAGGGACTTGCTAGAGCAGGGAGTGAGGAAGGTAAGTGTTAAAAATCTAACTATCAAGTACTATCCTTAGTACCTGGGTGATGGGATCAATTAGATCCCAAACCTCAGCATCATGAAATATATACATGTGATAAACCTTCACGTGTACCCCCTGCATCTAAAATAAAAGTTGAAATTATTTTTAAAGGTATAAATTATTACTAATTTTAATTATTTTAAAATAAATTAATACTATAAGCTTAAAATTTTTTAGATACACCATTGTAAATAAAAAATGTTACTATTTTTACCCTTCAAACTGGGCTTTCTTGATGAAAGGGATAATGGGTTTTCTCCAACACTGTCAGAATAGAAATATATAAGGCACATATAAAACAACTTTTACTTAGGCAAGTACACCACACAAAGGATCTCTCTTTTATTCACCATGTGAATCATTTATATTCCACTTAATTGCTACATTCTATTGGTATTTTATTTAATTTTAAAGAGTAAGAAAAGATAAAGGAGAAATGTAAGTAGAACATAAAAGAAGGAAAAAGGAAACAGATAAATTGCTTTAAATGCATTCCATTATATTTTTGGATGAATACAATTAAAAATATATTTTATCTAAAGCATGTTAATATGATATTGAAATGATGTGTATAAATATGTGGGTATGTGCATAACATGTGTTCATGTCTCTCCAGTAGGGAAAGTGTGTGTCATACACACACAAACACTACCTTCCATAATAATAAACATGGTGTGCATTTCCAAAAAATAAAAATAAAAACACACATATGTCTTTTAGTCTTGTCTCTATAGGAAAGAGGGCATTGATAATTGTTAGTTGTTATTGTTTCTCCTTGATTATGCTGCCTATAGTCAATTATTCTAAATCCATGTTGATCACAATTCTGTGGTTTCTCTTTTATTTCTGATCTTAACCAATTTTAACATGACATTTAATTGTACCTGTATTTAACTTGTAATAACACCTATCCATGTTTCTTGTCAAATTATGTCTTTCTTTTTGAGAGACAGAGATAGGGTCTCACTCTGTCATGCAGGCTGGAGTAGAGTGGCATGATTATAGTGCACTGTAACCTTGAATTTCTGGGTACAAGTGATCTTCCTGCCTCAGCCTCCTCAATAGCTAAGACTGCAGTAGCATGCCACTACACTGAGGGTTTTTTTGTTTTGTTTTATAGAGACGGGAGCCTCACTATACTGCCCAGTCTTGTCTTGAACTCCTGGCCTCAAACAGTCCTCCTACCTAAATTATGCCTTCTAGTTATAGAATTACACAGGGTGAGACCAGTAGCTTCTTTGTCCCTGAAAAATCAGCAGGAGAAAAAGAATAACACAGATGGTAATGAAATCTGTAAAGAAATAAGAATTCTGGTCAATAGAAATAATAGGTAATAGAAGCAAACCCACAGCTGGCCCATATATTGAAATTATCGGACAGTGTCTAGAATAACTACAGAAAATAAGATAAGGAATACTAGAAAAGAGATGGAAACCATAAAAAGGAATATAACTTAAACATTAGAAAAACCCAGGAAGCATCAGAAATAAAGAATTAATATGATGGGATTAATTGGTATCTGACACAGCAGGGGAATGCACTAATCCACAAAAAGATATACCAAAAGAAAAAAATCTAAACAGGGGACGTGAAATAATACTCAGAATATATGAGACAAAACCAAGCAATCTAAAACATGTGAAAACAGAGAGAGGTACAGAAGAAGAAAGGAGAGGGTATGTGGCTAGAAGTTAAAGGGAAAAAGCAATACTGGCCTAAATTATTATGAAATTGAGAAGAAAATATAACCCACAGTTCTAAGAAGTGCAATTAACTCCAGCGTGGCCATGTGCATGTGTGTGCACATGTCTAGGTACTTCAGTCAAGTTGTTGGATGCCAAAAAAAGAAAAGGCTTAAAAAGCAGGGAGAGCGGGGATACACACATAATGTAGAGGGGAATATCAAAAAGAAATATGGGTGACTCCTCATCAGAGCTAAGAGAGACCCAAAACAATAGACTGCTTTTTGGAAGTTGAGTTTTGGTGAAGCTTTTCTTTCTGATTTGTAGAATACTGCCTTTCTGTATCCTCACATGACTCTTCCTAGACCCAGAGATAGATGAAAGAGAGAGCGCAAGAGAGAGAGAAAGACAATGCTCTGGAGTCTCTTCTTATATGGACACTAACCTTATTGGATCAAGACCCTCCCACTTAGGACCTATTTAACCATAATTACGTCCTCAGAACTCTCATCTCCTAAGACAGCCATGTATGGGTTTAGGGCATCAACATAACATATTTAGGGGACAAAAACTTTCAGTCAATAACAGACAAAAAAGGAAAAATGTTAACAGTCTATTATAAATACTTGAGGGGAGAGGAAATATATAAGAATGTCATGGTCAAAATATGAAGCACATTCAAATTTAGAAAAATGTTAAGCAGTAAATAATGTATTAGAAAGGAAGATTTTTTTTTACTCTAATACTAAAATCATTTTGTTTGAGAGGCCCAGTGAGAGATGACACTAGTCCTATAAAAATATAAAGGACTATAAACTACATGATAACATTTAGCCATAAAAGCACATATTATTTTTAATTGTAAAAAGTACATATAAGATGTGGTTCAAAAGTGCCAGTCTCAATGAGTTTTGGCAATTGATGCTTATAAACGAACCCCAAACAAGATTTATATTACTTCAGCGACCAGAAAGTGAAGATTGCCACCTGCCTTCTTTTGGTAAACTATCTCCTATCCCAGGTTACCACTTTCTTATTTCTGTCACCACCCTTTAGTTTTGCCTGTTATTGCACTCTGCTCATATGAAGCAACCTATGTTCAAGTAACTTAATGCTTTTGAGATTCATCAATTTTCTTTTATATGTCGATAATTTATTCCTTTCTATTATCTGATAGTATGCTATTGTTGTGATATATCACAACATATTTTTCCATTGTCCTATTGATGAAGCTTGGGTGTTTCTAATTTTTTTGGCTCTTATGAATAAGACTACTATAAATATTCTTGTGTAAATATTTTATAGGCATGATTTTTCTTACATTTTGCATAAATAGAAGTCCTAAGTGTATGCTTAATTTTTAAAGAAATTATTAATTGTTCAAAACAATCATAATATTTTTCATGGTAACTGGAAATATTTGAAATATTTGGAATTTCTGGTTTCTCCAAATTATTGCTTACATTTTTATGATTAGTCATTTTCTGTTTACTGAAATCTTAACCATTTGTGTGTGTGTGTGTATGTGTGTGTGTGTGTGTGTGTGTGTGTGTGTACTAAACAGTGGTCCTGATTTGGATTCCTTAATAACTATTGATATTGAAAACCTTTTCATATGCTTATTGGTCATCTGTGTGTCATCTTTTCCGATGTATTTGATTAAGATTTTGCCCATTTTTAATTTTCAATATGTAGAAATTCTTTATGTATTCCAAATATGTGTTTTACTGTTAGAAAAAAAGTATTGGGACTGTATTCTCCAAATATGTTTATTATCTATTTTTTTTTTTTTTTTTTTTTTTGATACGGAGTCTCACTCTGTTGCCCAGACTGGACTGCAGTGGTGTGATCTTGGCTCACTGCAAGCTCAGCCTCCTGGATTCACGCCATTCTCTTGCATCAGCCTCCAGAGTAGCTGGGACTATAGGCACCTGCCACCATGCCCAGCTAATGTTTTGTATTTTTAGTAGAGACAGGGTTTCATCATCTTGGCCAGGCTGGTCTCGATCTCCTGACCTTGTGATCCACCCTCCTCGGCCTCCCAAAGTGCTGGGATTACAGGGGCGAGCCACCACGGCCAGCCAAATATGTTTATTATCTTATAATTTTTTTAATTATTTTATTTGATGGGCAGGTATTTTAAATTATACAGAGTCTAACTCATTTTTTTCTTTTCCTATGCTGCATGCTAGATATTTTCCAGAACATTTACACCTACGTTATTGTTACAAAGTATATTTTTAGCTTTTTACGTATATAACTTCTCTGACAGGAATTTATGTATTGAGAATGACACAGGTAAAAATTATGACTTTTTTTTTTTAATATAGATATTCATGCTCCTTAGTTTTTGTGGGAAAACTCCACCAGGGGCAGTGTTCTAGTTCCATGGATTGACTGGGTACCTTGGTCAAAACTCAACTGTCCCCGTATGTGAGACTCTATATCTACACTTTTATCCTGTTCCATGGATCGATTTGTCTTATACTGCTCCACACATAAACCTGAGTAGGATTTCTTGGATTGACCAGGGCATCATCTTGAACGTCTTTTTTGAACATTATTTAAGTTAGTCTAGTCTGTTGCATGTGACCCCCACTTTTTGACAGAAAGCAAACAAGAATAATTGTCTACCCACCCCCGCCAGAAAAAACTCTACAACTCCAGGCCATCCACAATGCTGTAACTAATTACTGAGTTAAAATTTCCATGCAATAAGCGATATATATAGTTATACAACCATTTTTATTACATGCAATAAACTATAAACATGTGTGTATTTAAAGTATACTATTTGATAAGTTTTGACTTATCAAATGTTTACACCATGGTACTAACATGCCATCAAAATAATTAATTTATCCATCAACTCCAAAATTTCTGTCTACTCCCTGATAACCTCTCCCTCTGACATACTTCGGGCAACCACTGACCTGCTTTGTAGAACCATTAAGATTGGTTTATATTTTCCAGAATTTTGTTGAGATGAATTCATATATTATACACTCCTTTTGGTAGGGAAGAAGGGGTGTCTGTTTTACTCAATTATACTGATTCATCCATGTCATGCTTACCAATAGTTTATTTTTTATAACTGAATAGTATTCTATTGTGTTTTCTCCATTTTATTGCTATTAAAAATAGAATAGCTATTAAAAAAGTGCTTGAAATGTCTGAAGACAAATGCTTTCATTTCTCTTAATACCTAAGAGTGGAAATATAATGATACATTCAAGGTGTTTTACCTTTTATTAATTTAGCAGGGTCTTGAAAGACCGACTCTGAATTTTAATCAAATGTATCAATTTGTTTCTTTGTGGGTCATGCTTTTGTTATTGTGACTAAGAAACATTTGCCTATTATAAGATAATAAATTTTCTTTCCTATATCTTCTTGTAGAATTCTCACAGTTTTAGGTTTATATTTAGTTCTACTATCCACTTTGAATTGAGTTTTGTATACAGTGCAAGGTATAGACTATCTGCATATGGATATTAAGTTATTGTAGAACCATTTTTGGTAAGCCTATGTTTTTTCCACTCAGTTGCCTTTTGACAACTTTGTCAAAAGTTAGATTAGAGTTAGCACTCCATATCTGTGGATTTCACATCTGTGAATTCAACATAACCACAGATTAAAAAAAAATTAAAAAATAAAATCCATCAGTTGCATCTGTACTAGGCAGATATTCTTCCTTGTCATAATTCCCTAAGCAATATAGTAGAACCACTATTCATATAGAATTTATACTGCATTATATAGGATAATTAATCTAAAGATGATTTAAAGTATATGAGAGGATGTATGTAGCTTATATGCAGTACTATGCCATTTTATATAAGGGACTTGGGCATCTGTGGATTTTGGTGTCTGAGGGGGATCCTGAAACCAATCATCTACCGATATGACAGGACAACTATATATACCTGTGGGAGGCTATTTCAGGGCTCCCCATTCTTTCCAATTGATCTATTTTTCAATAATGCCAAACCACACTTTGTTGAATATTTTAGCTTTATTCAGTCTTGAAGTCAAATGTTGTGTTGAAGAATGTCTGGGAAAACCAAATAGAGCCATGTGAAGTAGAGCAGCACATCAATCAAAATAAATGTCAGTGTTCATAATTAAACATAATAGAAATTAAAAGCACATAGACTATATACTGAATAATAGAATATAATAAATAATTTCATGACAATTCCTTTATTTTGAACACTCAGTTAACTTCTGAATAAATATCACATCATTTTATGTTATTCCCTAAACCAATAATTTTCTGACCTATTGCTGTCTCTGAAATAAACTACAAAATCTGAGGGATCTCTATGCCAGTAGATGCCAATGAAGGTTTAATAAGGAGCCTATTTCCAAAGAATTCTTGATAAAAATAATGCTCACTGTCTTGTTTCTTTTAAAATATCTCCATGAATAAACATTTAAATGAAATTTAAGCTGTATTATATCAGGTTAATACAACTTTATTAATGAATTTTGAAACAATATTCATGGATTATTGTATCTTTATGACTTAATTTTATCTATCACTGTCACTTTTATTTTTTGATTCTTATCATAGGCTGAATAGTACTCCCCTACCCTGAGATATATGGCTATATTCTAAGCTACAGAACTTATACATGTGGGGTCAGTTGGAGAAAGGTCTTTGCAGATGTTATTAATGTAAGGTTCTCAAGATGAGATCATCCTGGATTATCCAGGTAGGCCCTAAATCCAATAAAAAATGACCTTAAAAGATACCCAGAGGAGAGATATCTGAAGGAGAAGAGGCAATGTGACCAAGAAAGTAGAGATGAGAGTGATTCGGGAAAGGAAGCTTGGAAATTCCAGGAGGCACTGGAAGCTGGGAGAGGCTAGGAAAGAGTCTCCCCAGAATATGCAGGCTGTCTGTGGCTCTGCTATTTTGGATGTCTAGCCTCCAGAACTGTGAAAAAAAATTACCTATTGTTTTAAGCCCTCCAATTTTTGATAAATTTTACAGCATATTTAGGAAGCTCATTTAATTGTTATTAATATGTATTGATTTAGATGAATATTTCTATTGTTTAATATTAGAAAAAACTGGCCAGGCATGGTGGCTCACACCTACAATCCTAGCACTGTGGGAGGCCGAGGCAGGGGGATCTCTACTGCTAACACTACTACTACTACTAGTAGTAATAATAATTATAAATACAACATTTTGTATAACAGTACAAACTACAAGGTGTTGTAATGACCTAATGTCATTAAAGAATCATTTTATCATAACATACGGCCACTTGCTTATGAGTCATAAGCTACTTTGTAAGCCCACTGAATTTTATGGATAAGAGCCCATTTCCCTTAAAAATGCATAACATGAAGGAATGGAATGTGTTGTTAAGGGTTCCTAAACTACATGTTAAATTTTGTAATGTTACCTGAATATAGAATGTTATGAGTTAAAAATATAAACTATAAACTTTAGTGAAACTACTAATATATACATGATTTACAGTAAATAATGTAACAAAGGGTAAAAATGGAATATAAAAATTGCTACATGTTAAGAGTTTTATATGTGAATTTACTTATGTTGGTAAATTAATATTTTATTTTTTCTAATTTTGTTAAAATATGCTTGATATATTGATTTTCAAATGAAACATTTATTCGGTTCTCCACAAAAATGATGAATCTTTTACTATATAAATTGCTCTCTTCAAGGCAACAAGTCTCCAAAGAAAATACAAACAATGAAACCACACAAAAAAAATTGCCTAATTTAGTCAAAGGTAGCATAAAAAGAGAAAATGTGAATCAAATAAGTTAGAATAAATTTTTTTAAATTTTTAATTGCTATTAATATGTACATTAAATGTATGTGGTCAGAACAGCTAAATTAAATAGAAGAGATGGTAATATTGGATTTAGAAAAGCAAAATCCAATGATATGCTTCTTATATGAAACTACTTTAAATATAAAGTAAGTTAAAAGGAAAATATAGAATATTATAGGCCATGCTTACATTAATAAAAAATAAACTATCATTATTAACGACAAAAATAAGATTAGGAGCAAACAAATAATGTTAGGGAGGGGAGGGCTATTGCATAATAAATAAGGAGCCAATTAACCAATCAGATTTATACACCTTAATGCAGATCATCAAAAGACATAAAGCAGAATCTGGTAGATCTTCTGTCTCTACCAATAATAGACAACTTCACAGTTATAGTCAAAGATTTTAACTCTTACAAAAATTACCAACTATATAGAATACTTAAATAGTATGATAATCTAAAGTGGTCTAATTTATCCAGAAATAACAGAATATAGTTTTCTTAAGATTCCATGAACAATTTATCAAAGTGAACTATATTTTTATGGACCATAATATACATCTCAATAAATTTAAAATGATTTAATTCATGCATGAATGCTCTCTGACCAAAATAGAATTAAATTGGAAGTCAATAACAGAATAGTAACTGGGAAATCCTCTAGTAACTAAAGCTTAAATACACTTTTTTTTTTTTCAGAGACGGAATCTCGCTGTGTCACCCAGGCTGGAGTGCAGTGGTGCTATCTTGACTCAACTCACTGCAACCTCTGAATCCCGGATTCAAGCGATTCTCCTGCCTCAGCCTCCTGAGTAGCTGGGACTACAGGTGGGCACACCACGCCTAGCTAATTTTTGTATTTTTAGTAGAGAAAGGGTTTCACCATGTTGGTCAGGCTGATTGCGAACTCCTGACCCCGTGATCCGCCCAATTCAGCCTCCTCAAGTGTTGGGATTACAGGCGTGAGCCACCTCCCTGGCCGTAAATAGACTTTTAAATAACCCATAAGTGAACGAAGAAATCACCCATAAGTGAACGAAGAAATCAAAGGGAAGCTAAGAAAGTATTGTGACCTGAATGACAATGAAAACATAAAATATCAAAAATTGTACATTGCAAGTGAAGAAGCTTCAGTGTGAAATTTATAACACTAAATGCCTATATTGGAAACAAAAAAGGGATCTCAAACTAATAACCTCAGCTCCCACCTGAGAACAATAAAAATACAGTAAATGATACTTGAAGTGAGCAGAAGAAAATAATAAATATCAATGTGGAAATCAGTGAAATAAATAATGAAAATCAGTAGAATAAACGTAACTAAAATAGAAAATTTGTTCTTTTTGAAAATCCGTATAATTTTTAAACTTCTCTCTCGAATGATCAGGAAAAATATAGGCGACACAAATTACCAAAATCAGGAATAAGAGAAATTATCATCAATGATCCTTCAGAAGTTAAAATTACCTTAACAGGATATTAGGAATAGCTTTTTGCCAACCAATAAGACAACATAGATAAAATTTTAAAAATTACCCGAACTATATTATTTACCAGAACTGACTGAAAAGAAAATCGAAAACCTGAATAGACCCAAGAAGTAATAAAAATTAGGTCATAATAAAAATCTTTGTATAAATATAATTCTAGGCTTAGATTGCATCACAGGTAAATTTTATCAAACACTGAAGAAGAAACAATACCACTACAACATAAACTTTCAGAATGTAGAGAAGAAGGAAAAATTACTAACCTAACCTATGAAGCCAGAATTGAGGTGATACCAAAGCAAAATGGAGGCTTTATTAGTGTAGAAAACTACATACTAATATTTCTCACCAAAAGATGCAATATCATTACAAAATGTTAACATGTTGATTCTGAAAACATATTTAAAGGATTCTACAGCATAACCAACTGGGTGTATCCCAGGAATTAATGTATCCTACAATACAAAGAAGATTTAAGATTGGAAGCAAAATAATCTAGTATACCACTTCAGCAGAATAAAGAACAAAAGCTACCAGATTTCTCAAATAGATGAAGAAAAACTATCTTACATAACTCATTACACATTATCCTTCAGTTTTTCAACAAACTAGAAGCAGAAAGGATTTTTTTCAACTTGATAAGAAATATCTACAAAAAAGCAAAAGTAAATAAGACACTTATTGTTTAAACACTGAATATTTTCTCCCTAGGATTTTCCAAATCAACCTATAAATTTAATACAAATGTTATTAAAATTCCAGAAGAATCATTTTAGAAGTTAAAAATCTGAACCTAAAATTAATATAAACTGCAAAGGAACTGCAATAGTAGAACAATTTTCAAAATGAATAAAGTTGGAGGACTTATACTACCTGATTTCAAATTTAATAAAAAGCTACAGTAATCGACATACATAAATCAAATAGACAATATAACAAGTCCAAATGTTGACCTATGGTCAGTTAATTTTTACACATTTTAAAAATGCTGGAACTGTTAGATTTATATGCAAAAAAGTAAAATTAGAACCTTACTTCATATTGTCTACAAAAACACTCCTAACGGTAAAAAAAAAAAAAAAAATTGCAAAACTTCTAACAAAATATTTCAGAAAATCCTCATAGGTTTGGATAAGGCAAAGTGTTCTCAGTTGTGACACAAAACTTTATCCACCCTTTTAAAAAACTGATATCACGATAAAAATATTTTGCTTTCAGAACATATCATTAAGTCCACAGAAAGATAAGGTACAGATTGGTAGAAAATATTTACAAATCATATATTCAAAAAAGAACTTTTATTTAAAGTCTATCAAGGACACTTCAATGAAGTAACAAAAAGACAACTCAATTATTGAAATGAGCACAAGTTTTGAATGTGGATTTCACCAAAGAAAGCATAAGAGTGGCTGATAAGCACATGAAAATATGTTCAAAATAATATCTCATTAGGGAAACGTAAGTTGAAATGTGACCACTAGAAAAGGCATAATCTGAAAGACAAATTGTGCTAACTCATGTTGAGAATATGGAGAAACTGGAACCCTCATACATTGCTGGTGGGAATATAAAACTACAGCCACTTTGGAACACTTTTTGGTAGTTTCTTTAAAAGCTTTATCTAAATTTACCATATAACCCAAGAATTTCACTCCTACGTAATTACTCAAGAGACATGAAAACATATGTTCACAGAAAGACTTGCACATAAATATTCTTAGCAGAATTATTCAAAATAGCAAAATACAAGAAATAGGCCATATTCCCATCAACTAGTGAATAAACAAAATATGCCACATACACATTTTAGAATCAAATAATATTCAGTAATAACAAACAATGAACTATTGACACATGCAACATTAATGAATCACAAAAACATTATGTTGAAAGAAAGAAAAACAAGATAATTCTTATTCTGGGATTCATTTTACATGTAATTTCTAGGAAATGCAAAATTATAGATTCTGAAAGCAGATCAGTGCTTGTCTGTGTCTCGGGGTGGGAAATGTTGACTGACAGAGGGAACAAGAAAAATTTTCTGAATGATGGAAATGTTGAAGTATTAGATTGTGGTGATTGTTTTACAACTGTAATAATTTACCAAAATTATACAACTGTATATTTACAATGTTAGATTTTATGGTGTACAAATTACATCTTAGTAAAGCTGTTTTCATTTACTTACTGTTTTAGCACAAATATATAAAGAACTTGGGAATTGTCATTCCCATCTTTACAACAAGAAAAATGCAGAACAAATTAAGGGTCAATGACTTGTTTTATAGTATCCATAAAGATCTGAACTTTTTAAGATCCACAGAGATTGTGGGTGAAGACCATCTCTGAAATCTGGAGAAACAGGCAAATACAGAAAATTGCAGCTGAAACAAAATCTCTTGAAGTCATAAACTGGTAAGAAAACTTAAATGGTAAATTGATGAATTGATAGATGCTGATTATGGACTAGTGTGAGAGTTGATAAACCCCTGAGAGCTACTGCTTGGGGGAAGGAGATAAACTTTTATGTGTTTTACCTTCACAAACTGACCAGACTTACACAGTGAAGAACTTAGAAAGATATCCTCATGACAAGCCATTTTGAATTGGGTCCAGAATGTACCTCTTATAAAAGGCCAATTCTCAGAATAAAAGACTTTACTAGAGCCTTATCCCTCTTAGGGATAGGGTGTTTATGCAACTTGAGACCCCTTTACTCTTCCAGGCTAACCTAAGGTGAGAGATTAAGAAACACTTGTGAAACTCAAAAGACAAGAACACAGACCACTAAAAGACAGAGACATAATCATAAATATATAAAACACCTTCTCTCCTCCACACCTTACCACCATGTCAATAGGACTTCAACATAATAACATTGGGTTACTACTGAAAGAGCTGCAAGGTGCAGACTCCATGTAGGGAACATTTTGTAGAGAAGCCCAAAGACAGCAGGAGAGATATAAAGGTCAAAAAGGAAACTACTGAAACCTGTGGCTACAGCAAACATTAAATACAGCCCTACTCTTAATTAGACTAACATAAAATTACAATAAATGCTGTTATCTGAGTTGCTTTTACCCAATACATCAAATGTAGCATTTGACTAAAAATTACAAGTCATGCTAAAAGTAAAGAAAGAAACCACACACCGAAGAGACAAATCATGTATCAGATCAGATTCAGATATGACACAGATTTTGGAATTATCAGACAAGGAATTTTAAATAACTATAATTAATATATGAGCTCTAAAGGACAAATTAGACAATATGCAGAAACATATGTGAAATGTAAGCAGAGACTGGGAAACTCTAAGAAAAAATCAAAAGAAAATGTTAGAAATCATAAACAATGTAACACGTTTGAAGAGTACCACTCAATGACATATTAGTAAATTGGGCATGGCTGAGAAAAGAATTAATGATTTTCAAGATACATTAAAATAAACATCCCAAAATGAAATGAAAGTAGAAAAATAAATGAAAACAACAACAACAACAACAAACTATCCAAGTACTGTAGGACAATTTCAAAATGTGTAACATTAATATAATTGGAATACCAGAGAGATATATGAGACCATAGCAGAAAACATACTTGATGTAATAATAATGGCTGGAAATTTTACGAAGTTGATGATAGGTATCGAAACACCAATCTGGGATGTTCAGAGAACATCAAGCAGATTAAGTACCAAACTGTCTATATTTAGACATATTATATTCAAATTGTAGAAAACCAAGTGCAAGGAAAAAAATCTTTGTAGAATATTTTGTAGAAAGTCTCTGTAGATGACTGATGACATTAACTATAGAAGAAAAAAGATAATAATTAGAGTAAACTCCCCATAAGATAACATGACAGCAAGAGAGTGGAGTTAAATATTTAAAGTATAGTAAGAACAAAATACCAAACTAGAATTTTATGTTTAATGAAATTATTCTTCAAAATAAAGGAGAAATAAAGTCTCTCTCCAACCAAAGGAAACTAAAAAAATTCATTTCCAGGAGATCTACCATGCAATAACTTTTAAAGGAACTTATTCTTGGAGAAGAAAATGTAATATATAATAGAAATTTAGACTTACTAAAGAAAGGAAATCATCAGAGGAGGAATAAAGATAAAATACCTTTTATTGTATCATATTCCCAAAGTGATCTAAAATATAACTGTATAAAGTAATAAATAGTGTTAATTGAAGGTGGACTTATTAGTTGTAAATGTACATTGCAAACTCTAGGACAGCTATTTAAAAATTCAAAATGTTGTATATTGATAAGCTAAAACTCATATAAAATGGAATAATACCAAAAATTCAATTAAATCCAGAGAAGATAGAAATAGAGGGGAAGGCAATACAAGAGTGAGAAGAAACAACAAACAGCAAATGCAACAAATAGAAAATAGTTACAAACATAGTAAACCTATAATCATTTTAAATGTAAGTGGTCATGATATACCAGTAAAAATACAGATTTTCAGAATAGATGAAAATATAAAACCCAACTTTATGTTGTCTCCAAGAACCTATTTGAATATCAACAGACAAAGAAAATAGATAGAGAAAGGAATGCCATGCTAGTTAACCCTTATCAAAATAAATCTGGAATGATTATATTAAGTTCAGACAAAGTAGACATTTAAAAACGGAAATTATGACTGATAATAAGGAACACTACATAGTGACGAAAAGGTCAATACTTGCATGTATTCTCTTGTGTGTACCTAATAACAAAGCATCAAAATCTGTGAGGCAAAAAAAAAAAAAAAAAACTGATAGAAATGAAACATAACGTAAAACATTCACCAAGGTAGAACATATTCTGGGACATAAACCACAGATTAACAAATTCAAAAAAATTGATATCATGCAAAGTATATTCTTAGATAACAATGGAATTAAACTAGAAATTAGTAACAGAAAGATAACTGTAAAATTCCAAAATATTTGAAGATTAAAAATCATACTTCTAAACATGTGCAAAGAAGAAATGATAAGATTAATTAAAAATATGTTTTGAAGTAAAGGAAAATGAAAATATAGGATCAAAATTTATGAGATGCAGCAAAAACAATGCTTAGAAGGAAATATGTAGCATTGAATGTGTAAACAAGAAGAGAAGAAAAATCTAAAATTTATAACGTATTTCTACCTTAGAAAACTAGAGAGAAGAATAGCACTTTAAGACAAAAGAGGAAAAATATAAATAATTTAAATAGAGCTGAAATCAATGTAATTTAAAATATAACAGCAATATAAATTAATAATAAAACCAAAAGCTGCTTCTTTGAAAACATCTATAAAATTGATAAACCTCTAGCCACGCTGACCAAGAAAAAAGATGTAAGTCACAATTTACCATTGTCAAAAAGGAAAAAGGGATCATCAGTACTGATCCTAGTGACATTTAATGGATAATAAAAAATATCATGAACAACTCTGTGCTTACAAATTTGGTAACTTAGATAAAATTGAGCAATTCCCTGAAAGACAAAACCTTCCAAAACATACTCAAGTAGAAGTGAATAATTTCTACAGACGTATATCTACTAAAAAATTAAATCAATAATTACTGACATTTAAAAAAAATGTCTCAGTTGGTTTAACTGGTGAATTCAATTAAAAACTTAAACACTTAAGAAAGAAATGATACCAGCATTGCCCTACTACTAAAATCAGAAAAGAAAATCACTTAGAAAAGAAAGCTAAAAATCAATATCTTTTCAATTCGAGATGCAAAATTTAAAAAAAAAATTAGCTAAATACAAGAATTTACAAAAAATGTACACCACAAGCAAGTAAAAACTATTCTAGATATGCAAAGCTGGTTCAACTTCCACAAATAAATTAATATAATCCACTCTGTCAACAGAGTGAAGAAAAAGTCATATGATCATGTAATAAGTATGGCAAAAGCATTTGACAACATCCAACACTCATTTATAATAAAATATCTCAGCACACTAGGAATAGAAGTGAAATTCCTCAATTTAATAATGAACACCCCCCAAAAATCTTATAGTTAATGTCATATTTAATGGTATTCCAAAGATTGAAAATGAGACGAGCTGTCTTCTCTTACTCTCCTATCACATACCATACTGGAAGTCCTAGCTAGAGCAATTTGACAAGAAAATAAATGAAAATAATGCCATTTAAAAAAGAAGAAATAAAACTGACTTTGTCTACAGATGACCTGATTGGCTAAGTGGAAAATTCCAAAAGATTCCATTAAGAAAATACTCTCAGAATTAAGAAGTGATATAGCAAGTTTAAGTGCAAAAAAAAAATATTTTTCTACGTACCAGCAACAAAGAATTGGAATTTGAGATTAAATATAATGCCATTTTAATAGCCTCAAAAATGTAATACTTAAGTAATCATATAACAAAATATGTGCATGACCTTGATGTGAAAAATGTAAAATTCTGATGACACAAATAAAAGGAAATCTAAACAGAGGTATATTGCATGTTGATGGATTGAACAAGTCAATAATGTTAAAATGGCATTTCTTCCCAAATTGATCTACAGATTAAATGTAATCCCAGTCATACCTCAGCAAGATATTTTGCATATGTCATCATGCTGATTGTCGAGTTTATATGAAAAGGCAAACAACTTAAGATAGTCAAAACAATACTAATGAAGTAGAACAAGCTGGAAGACTCATACTATTCAATTTCAAGATTTACTATAAAGCTACAAGATATCATGATACTGGCAACATATAGATACATAGGTGAATGGAACAAAATACAGAGCCTCAAAAGATATCCACACTAATATAGTCTACTGATCGTTGAGAAGAACTAAAGACAACTCAACGTAGAAAGGGTAGTCTTTTCATTATATGGTGTAAGAACAATGGGATATCCATTTGATAAAAGAAATAAATCTAGGTACAGACTCACAAACTACATCATTCACAAAAATTTAATCAAATGGATTACAAATTGAAATATAACATGGAAACAAAAGCTAAAACTGAAACAGTAGACATCTAGCAAGGATGCAGAAAAAAGGGAATCCTTGTACACTGTTGTTGGGAATGTAAATTAGTACAACCACTATGGACAACAGTTTGGAGGTTCCTAAAAAACTAAAAATAGAGTTACCATATGATCCAGCAATCTCACTGCTAAGTATGTACCCCCCAAAAAGGAAATCAGTGTTTTGAAGAGATACCTGCACTCCTATTATATGTTCATTGCAGCACGATTCACAATAGCCAAGATTGGAAGCAACCTTACAAAGAAAATGTGATACATATACACACTGAAGTGTTATTCAGCCATTAAAAGGAATGAGATCCTATCATTTGCAACAGGATGAGTGGAACTAGAGGTCATTATTTTAAGTGAGATAAGCCAGGCATAGAAAGACAAATTTTGTATGTTCTCACTTACTTGTGGGAGCTAAAAATCAACATAAGTAAACTCATAGAAATACAGAGTAGAATGATGATTACCAGAGGCTGGGAAGGGTAATGAGGGAGGGTGAGAGGGAACTGGGAATGGCAAATGAGCACAAACAAATACTGAGGATGAATTAAATCTAGCATTTGATAGAAAAACAGGGTGACTATAGTCAATAATAATTTAATTGTATATTTTAAAATAACTAAAAGTATAAAATTGGATTGTTTATAACACAAAGGATAAATTATTGAGGTGATAGATACCTCCTGACATGGTTTGAATCTGTCCCCACCGAATCTCATGTTGAATATAATCCCCAGTGTTGAAGGTGGGCCCTGGTGGGAGGTGATTGGATCACTGGGCCAGAGTTCTCATGAATGGGTTAGCACCATCCTCTTGGTGCTGTACTCATGATAGTGAGTGAGTGAATTATTAGAAGATCTGGTTGTTTAAAGGTGTATTGCACCTCTCCCCTTTCTGTCTTCCTCTTTCATCAGCCATGTGAAGACAGACACCTGCTCACGCTTTTCCTTCCACCATGATTGTAAGTTTCCTGAGACCACCCCAGAAGCAGATGCTGCCTTGCTTCCTGTACAGTCTGCAGAACTGTGAGCCAATTATTTGGTGTTATACAATTACTTTCAATGGCAAAAACCACACACATGTGATAATTTTAAGATAGTGTTCAGAGTTCTGAATAAAATGGATGTTAACTCTTAAAGAGTACTTGAAAAAAGCTGCCACAGTTTAAAATCGAGATAAGGGTATGAGGGAATGCATCTCTGAGAAGGGGACATTGAAGCTGAAACTTTAATGTTAAAATGTCTTATAAATATTGAGTATACTGATGGCTTCGTGGGAGAATTAATAAGTCAAACTCATCAAATTATACACTTAAATATGTATTATTTATTGTATGTCAATTATATCTCAGTAATACTGTTTTATAAAAAGGTTGATCCAGAAAATTCCTTAGGCATTTTCAAAGATGCTTCTGTAAGGGGAAAATAAGCTGATTGTTGTCACATAGGATGATCTTGGGAATGGCCAGGCAGGCATGCTTCCTAAGCTGACAGATACCAGCCATGATCTCTTGGTCTGTGTCCCCATGGGCTGTTAGAGAAGCTCCATCCGATGGCATTTGTCAATTCATCTCTCTGTGTGTCCATCTCTGTTTCCCTGGGTCTTCCCTGAATTTAATTCAAGTACCACTAAAGGTGGGGTCTCACCTGGAGCTGTGGTAGTTCATAGATTGTTCTGTGACTGCATTTAAGACATGACTGTTGTGGGGTGGGGGGATGGGGGAGGGATAGCATTAGGAGATATACCTAATGCTAACTGACAAGTTAATGGGTGCAGCACACCAGCATGGCACATGTATACATATGTAACTAACCTGCACATTGTGCACATGTACCCTAAAACTTAAAGTATAAAAATAATAATAAAGAAAAGCAATTGAAGAGTAGCAACCTCATAGAAATCAGAGAATGAGCCTCGGAGAAGGGAGTAGTGTGGCCTCTGAGAGAACAAGTAGCAGTGATTGTGAGCCAGGTAGCTGGCCAAGTCAAGAAAGGGCCACAAGCCAGGTTTGGGAAACATGGATGCATTTACCAGAGATTCCTGAAAATACATGAAAGAGAAATTTACTAAGCAATTTGAGCGTCTTCAGCTTGTAAGAGCTCAAGGAGTTCTATATCAAAAGGGTCAACATGAGTAATAAAATGGAAAGAAGAGCCTAGGTACTTGGTTTGTCCTTGAAGTTGCATTTAAAATGCATCCAGAATCTGATGGAAATCTTGACAAACGTTAAAGTCTCCAGTGAGTCTGCAGTTTTACATGAGAAGAGTTAAGCCACTGAGATTTAATTCATTAATTATATCTATATTTATTCATGTATGTATAAATACACACACACACAAATGCACACATGCAAAAACACACATATTCTCCTATGATCTAGGAACAGATCTAAGCATTCCCCAGCTAATGTAGGCACTCAGAAACAGCACTAAAGTAAACACACTGCATCTCTGATATTTAATAGTAATTAAGTAGTAATCATCAGTAAACCAAAAATGTGATAATTTAAGAAAATGATAAGTGCTAGTAAATGTACAAAACAGAGACGTGGTTTACAGAGAAGTACTGAAACCGGTCAGATACAAGGGTCATGAAAAGCCTCTCTGAAAATTATCTATTTGAATTGAGATCTAAATTGTGTAATGTCATACATGGACATAGTCAGTTCCAAAGGCATTAATTCCACAGAGAGGAAGCAGCATATGCCAAGGCTCAAGCCAATAATGAACTTGGCATGTCTGAGGAATAAAAGGCAAGATGGTGTGGCTGGAGCATGGTCATGGAGCCAGTGGTAGAAAATGAGGTTCTGGACACAGAAATTGGCAAGATTATGTCGGACCATGATGATATGCTGAGATTTTTCTAGGAATTTGGAAAACATGCTAATAGTATTGAGGAATATTGAAAAATTATAATCAGAGGAAAGACTTCAATTTCAAAAACGAATGTGCTTTGTCTTGGGTACTACCTGATGAGCCCAAAACCTGTTTATTATTATTATATAATCACAGGCTGCGCTGAAGGGGGGTAGTTATGATTAAATAAAGTTTTTGCCCTTTTTTTTTTAAGTACCTTTCTAGTTGGATTTCAATCTGAAATGTTTCCTTTTGCCAAAGGAGATAACACTATTTCAAAAAAAGAAATAAAAAAAAGCATACTATGTCCCATGGAAAGCATATGTCAGGGTATTACTTTTACTCATTCAGGTTCTGAAAGGGGTATTTAGATAGTCTGCAACTTTTAATCTCGCTAGGCTTAGTCAATTGAACACCACTTCCAGAATTTGGATATCAACCAGTTTTGTCCTGTTAGGAAATGCTGTTGCCTCATCTCTACCTGTTTTACAGCCAACCTCTCCATTCCCAAATGTTCTGTTTCTTTCCATTCTATTTCCATACGGGCACTTTTTTAACCCTGGACCTCTGGTGTCTAACCTATGACTTCTATCTCAGACTATGTCCCTTCTCTCTCAGTTTGGGCTTCTGCTTAGCTTCAGGATTTTTTTTACAGAATCAGCCCTCCCCCACCCACCTGCCCCCTAGTCTACCAGACAAAAAGACTCAAATCAGACTCACTAACATTGTCCCTATTCCTCAGTGATAGCATCAGAAATTACAGGGTAGTAAACAATACCAAAAAGCACAGTGGCAAAAATATGTAAAGATACTACTGCTATTTTAGATTTTGCAATTTTAGTGTAGGGGTTTGTGGCAGGAGAAAATAATATTAACTAGACAGATATAGTAAATTGTCAGAAGTTTTTGTCCTGGAAAATATTGGTGAATTGACCATTATTTAAATTAAGCAGACCATTGGCTAGGTAGACACTATTATATGGTAATAATATTACATATAGTGAGACTTTTGTTCTTTGGCAACAGATATTTTAGAGGCGTATTTTATTTTAAGAAGAGCACTATTAAGATAATTTTTTATTGATAATACTACCTATCACAACCACTGAAAGAAATGGTGATGTTTTAGTTATGTGTATTTTTTTTTTTTTTTGACACACAGTTTCACTCTGTTTGTTGCTCAGGCTGGAGTGCAGTGGCACAATCTTGGCTCACTTCAACCTCTGCTACCCAGGTTCAAGCGATTCTCCTGCCTCAGCCTCACAGGTAGTTGAAATTACAGGCATCTGCCATTGCGTCTGGCTAATTTTTGTAGTTTTTAGTAGAGATGGGGTTTCACCATCTTGGCCAGGCGAGTCTTGAACTCCTGACCTCATGATCCACCTGCCTGAAACTTCCAAAGTGCTGAGATTACAGGCATGAGCCACTGCACCTGGCCAGTTTATGTGTATCTTAGCAGAAATAATTAGCAGATTGTTCCATCTTATTAAGTTAACCGGACAGTTTTAAATAAGTGCATTATAATGCTTATAATAATAGGTCATATCAATTTTACTCAGAACATATTTACTTGTTTCTTCCCACATTCAGGACATTTGTGTGTGCTAGTGGTTGGTGCAAGAGTTAGATTGAGAGAGAGATGAATAGGCAGAACACAGGAGTTTTTTATGGCAGTGAAACAATTCTGTATGATACATGGATGATCTGTAATGTTCAGTCTCTATGGTAGCCCAGGAAACAAGCTATATGCTCTAATACATTCTTGTTGTTTGGTTCTAACCAAGTATATACTGTCGATGTATATAGAATTTTTTAAAAGTCACTTCAAAATCATTTAGTGTCCTATATGTATAATATCTGGGAATACTTGAATACATTTAATTTTTGATGATTAATTATAATAAAACAGTAACCTTAAATATCAAATATCATATGAGGAGTATCCAAAACTTACAATGCCTATGATTTTTCAGATTACATCCGTTTCCAGCAAGTAGATTAATTGCAGTGTAAAAATGGGTCACAAGTTATTTGATCAAATGAAACTCTGATTCAGAAGTTCTAAACAAAAAGGAAGATGACAAAGTCAAACTAAAAAAGAGATTTAGAAAATTGTGTTTTGTTTTCTTTTTTTTAACTTCAGAGTAGATTCAGTCTGAGTCAAGGCTGAATTACTTCAAAGACTTTTCATAAGTGATGTCAAGTAATTTCAAATGAATTGAAGCTGCCAGCTTCAAGAGAGATATTGAAGGTATCAGGACCCTAAGGACACTGGAAACTTCACTAGTTTAAAATTAATTTAAAGTATATTAACATCAAACACTGGGAAATGCAGGTTAGCAATAGCATTAGAGGAAGACTTTGGGGATACTACTCTAGGCTCTTTCCTTATGAGATATTAGCTGTCACTGAAAAGCTACTTATAGCCTATATAAATGTATTTTCAAACTTTTAGAAATCCAGATTCTATATTTCTTAGAAATTCAATTCTGGATTAACTGGTGGTGGTTTAGTTTCCCTGCTTTAGCTGCACTTGCTTCTGAGAAATCATCCACAAATCAATGCATCAACACTGAAGTTTGCTTGTGTAATTTTATGCTGCCCAGACATTCTAGTACTTTATAACAAAATAAACTAAATTATCCTGGGAATCGTAGCTTTGCTTATTCATTCCTCAATGTGAAAATTAGAATGAAAATTACGTTACATCCCAATTTTTAAGCAAAGTTCTTAGTAACAGAATATCCAGTTTACATCAAAACAATGAGGTAAAGCTGGCTGAATGATATTTTAACCAGGAAAAAAATAAAAAACAAAACATGAAAATAAAAATAATAGAAAAAATGAGTATTACGTGATAGTATTGAAGAGTTTTGTTGTCATTTTTCCCTTTCCTACACCCTATTGGGAACAGTGTTCTGTGACTTCTTTTTTTTTGAAACAGGGTTTTATTCTATAGCCCAAGCTGAGTGCAATGGCACAATCTCAGCTCACTGCAACCTCTGCCTCCCAGGCTTAAGCCATCCTCCCACCACAGTCTCCCAAGTAGTTAGGACCAAGGGCGCACACCACCACACCTGGCTATTTTTTGTATTTTTTGTAGAGATGGGGATTTTGCCATGTTGGCCAAGCTGGTCTCAAACTCCTGACCTCAAATAATCTGCCTGCCTCAGCCTCTCAGAATGCTGGGATTACAGGTATGAGCCACTGTGCCCAGCCTCTGGACATATTTTAACCAATATCGGAAATTGTTTTTTGACTGATGCTTACAAATTCTTTAAAATTAAGTAAGTAAAAAATAGGTAGGCACATGACTATACCTTCAGTATTTGGGATAAACTGTAGAGAGATAGTTTTTCCAGTGCCAATATTAAGTAACCAAGGTTTTGAAGTTTTCCAATGGAGCTACAGGAGGTCATGCCAAGTAGCTTAGAAAAGGCTTTAAGATCTTCTTTATTTCAAAGTCAAATAATTGAAACTTCTTAAAAACTAGGATCTAACATAACTTTCATCCTAGTTTTCACATTAAAGAATGAATAAGCAAAGCTACAATTCCCAGGGTAAATCCCAGATAATTTAGAACCCACTAGCTACCATTATAAGAAAAACATAATTTTTGGTTTTCATTGAATACAATTATCCATCTTTGCTATAATAGAAGACTTTTAACCAACAGGATCAGGAACTATAGGAGGTTGATTAGTCAAAAAAGGTAAATAGGGCATGGAGACATAAAAAACTAATATTTAAAACTAATAATTAAACGCTTTTTTCTTTCAATTTTAATAGAGTATTAATTTGCCAAACAATTAATATAATTCAAAGGCTTTTCGTTATCGTTGTTTTTGTTTTTCATTGAGTCTTTTCTTTTTACTGATTATTCTGTGGAACATATTTACATTAACATAACTGTGATGAATCACTTATTTCCATTTTTAGAGTTCTTTTAAGATTTTGAGCCTAAAAACATTTATTAACACAAAGAATAGTTTTTAAAAATAGGATAATTTAAAACATTTTATTCTTGATTATTTTTTCAATCATTTTGCCCACACTTAATTTGATAGATAGCATGATTATTAGCAAGTTCAATGTCTTGAATCTCTGCAACATTTAGTTTAGTTTTAATTGTGACGTTCTTTTTATTTTTACACTTGAATTCCAACTATTTATCAAAAATTTTATTAAAATTTATGTAATAAAAATTTAACTCCAGCAATATTTGGGATCAAATACAAATAGTTTTCTTTAAGCCTCCAATTCGATTGGTGCGAGTAGCTCAGACTGTGGCAGAAAATAAACTCATTAATTTTTGTTGTAAAGTAGAGGAGAAGCTGGTGCATGTCAATTAAGTGAAGTTTATTTAAAAGATCTTGTCCATATAATTAATCTATCCTAAAATATGATCTTTCTCTATTGCATTGTGCCTTTGTGAACATCATTATTATCAAATAAAAATAAGTTCCAATTTAACATGTTAATAGGTGCACTTTAAATATATTTTAAAAATTTCTTTCCAAGGCAATTTAAAGTGTATATAAGGAAAACATAAATAACATATTTGACAACTTAAATGCTTTTTTATGAAAATTCTAATCTGTTTCAGAAATCATTTCTACAGGAAAATCAAATCTTAAAAGCTCTGCAATACAAATGGGCATTTTATTTAAAAAAGGAAAACACAGAAACCAATGAAAAGAAAGGGTTTTTAAGAGCTATTTCAGAGTAAAAACTTAATATATTAATTCTTTCAGAAGCAATTTTTGTTGTGAAGGAAAGGAGGAGCTGGTGCATGTCAATTAAGTGGAATTTATTTAAAAGATCTCATAAATATTATTAATCCATCCTAAAATATTCTTTCTGTACTGCATTGCACCTTTGTGGACAAACTGGAACAGAGGCTGAAAATGTGACTGCAAAAGAGATAAAACAGTGACTTTCCTTGAGTTTAACTTTGAGAAAATATAAAATCATATATATCCATGTGTGTTTGCATAATTTTATTACATATGATTTCATTGGAAAATATTTTCTATTTGAATATATATATTCAAAAATAAGATGAGGAGGGAGAACAAAGCTTTAATAAGTGGGCAAAATAGAAAACAAGTAAATAGAAAGTGGATTTAAATACAAATATGCCAAGAATTTACATTAAATACAAAAAGAATAGATACCCTAATGAAAAGACAAATATAAAATAAAATAAAAAATTGAAAGCCATCTATAAGAGACTTACAGTCAACATAAGCAAACTGTTAGTATTTAGAAAGTTTTAATGTAAAAATTTTTCCATGAAATCCATAGCCAATAAAAATTTAAGGCATTTATTTTAATATTGGTCAGAGTAAACTTTAAGGACGGAGACATTACTAAGAATAAAGAAAAACTTTTCATAATGACGATGGAATCAAACTCCTAGGAAGATAACACATTTCTAAATTTCATTGTCACCAGCATTATTCTAAAATATGTGTTTAAAAATGAACAGCCTAAAGGGATGAAACAATTAGTTATATAATCATCATAGACAACTTTTTTTTTTTGAGACAGGGTCTGGCTCTGTCACCCAGGCTGGAGTGCAGTGATGCAATCACAGCTCACTCCAACATCCACCTCCTGTGATCAAGCCATCCTCCCACATCAGCCTCCCAAAGTACTGGGATTACAGGCATGAGCCACCACGCCCAGCCCATAGCAGAAGATTTGAAAACAATTCTCTCAATGGATGACTTTTTTAAATAAGAAAAAACTCTCGATATTGATACGGAAGATCTGAAAAACAAAATTAACAAATGACTTAGTAAACATATACAGAACATAGTATCTAACAAAAAATAAACTATTGTTAATATAGAAAAATAACATAAATTGACCTTATTGTGACTCTTAAAAATAGCTTCAACCAATATTAAAGGATTAAAATTATTTAAAGTATGCTTCTAGTCACAGTGGAATTAAGTTGTAAAATACTAACCAGAATATAATGTGAAAAGTTCCATAACATTTTATTCAAAATGGCAATAAATTAATGAATATACTTCTTAACAATCTATGGGACTCAACAATCAATAGAACCTCATATAAGAAAATATTTGAACCTAATAATTATAATGCAGTCATCAAAACAAACAACAAATGAAAAAGTCCAAAATCATGTGCATTACAGTTAATTGTGCTTAGAAGAAAAGTTGTTGCCAAAAATGCCTGTATTAAAAAAATAAGTCTAAAATCTTGCTACCATTTTAAATATTTAAAAATGAATAGCAAAGTAAAAAATAAAAAGAAGAAACTTACTAAAATAAAAATAAACAAATATAAAGAAAGAAAATTTAGAATTGAGAAAACCAAAGGACAAAAAGTGGATTTTTTTGAAAATGTAAAACAACTTTTTAAACTTCTAGCTACTGCAGTGATGTGAGAGAAAGAGAACAAAATACGAACATAGATGATTAATTCAGGAACATCACTCTTGATGGAGAAGACATTAAATACAATGAAAGGATATTAAATATAATTTTATACTAATACTTTTGAGTATTTTGATAAAATTAATGTTTTTCTAAAATTTCAACTTTAAATGAAAGACATAGATAATTGAAAATGACTAATATATATTAAAATAAGTTTATCTGTTACTAAAATGCATTTTAAAAATAAATTTCAAGGCTCCTACAGACTGGTTAATTCTTCTAAAAATATATAAAAATTATAACATAGGTATTCTACATGCTCTTTAGAGAAAAAACTGAAAGGGACTTCAAGCCCATTTTGTTTGTTTGTTTGTTTGTTTGTCTGAGACGGAGTCTCGCTCTGTCACTCAGGCTGGACTGCAATGGCCCGATCTTGGCTCACTGCAACCTCCGCCTCCCAGATTCAAGCAATTCTTCTGCCTCAGCCTCCTGAGTACCTGGGATTACAGGCATGCGCCACCATGCCTGGCTAATTTTTGTATTTTTATTTGAGATGGGGTTTCACCATGTTGGTAAGGCTGGTCTCGAGCTCCTGACCTTGTGATCTTCCCACTTCGGCTTCCCAAAGTGCTGGGATTACAGGCGTGAGCCACTTCGCCCAGCCAAGCCCGTGTTTCAAAGTCTTAAAACTCTGTAACCTAAAACTGATAAGAGCATTTAAGAAAGTAAAAATATACAAATAATACTTCCTTGAAATAGAACAAAATGTTATCAAATAAAATTCATTAACAGGAAAAAGTTGAGTTTATTCCAGAAATGGAAGTATTAACTAACATTTAACAATTTACAATTAATACCATCAATCTCTTCAATATGTCACATTAATAGTAAAAAACAATCACATGACCCTATAACATTCAAAAAAGCAGTCGACAACTTTAAACACCCATCATACTTAAAATTCTTATTAAATTAGGACTATAAAGACAGATTTCTCAATCTGCTAGAAATATAAACAGTAAACCAGCTGCAAAAAGAGTAAAATATTTAAAGCTTTCACCGAGGTTTGTAATCAACACATATATTCACTATTTTATTTGTGGTTCTAGAACAGTACAGAAAAGCCTAGAAAGGCTTGGGGAAAAAAAATCACTATTAGCAGAATTGATGACAGCATAGTAAACCCAACAAAATCAATAGAGAACTGACTAGAATTAATAATTCTACACAGCAAGGTCCCGGGATACATAGAAAAATAATATATATTTTTATATAAAGTATATATTTATATAAAATGTATTTAATATAAAATATATATTTATATAAAAAGTATTTAATATAAAATATATATTTGTATAAAAACATATATATTTATATAAAATATATTTATATTTAAATATTATATAAAATATATTTATATATTTATATAAATATATATATATTTTTTTAAGGTGGAGTCTCACTCTGTCGCGAGGTGGGAGTGCAGTGGTGGGATCTTGGCTCACTGCAACCTCCGCGTCCCGGGTTCAACCGATTCTCCTGCCTCAGCCTCCCAAGTAGCTGGGACTACTGGCAGGTGCCACCACGCCCAGCTAATTTTTGTATTTTTAGTATGACCGGGGTTTCACCATGTTGGCCAGGATGGTCTCAGTCTCTTGGCCCATGATCCGCCTGCCTGGGCCTCCCTAAGTGCTGGGATTACAGGCATGAGCCACGGCGCCCGGCCAGAAAAATACAATAAATTTAATGCATGCATATACAGTATGTATACATGATATATGTGTGTACTTATGAATGTATGCATGCCTCTGTATATCCAATAATAAAGAAATTGGACACAAATTTAAACATACACTATTCATCATAGCATCAATAACATGTTTTAAACCACCACTCTTTTTCTATGATACTCAAAAGTAACTCATTTTCTGCTGAAAATGCCTAGATTATTGTATGGACATATGATAGCTGAGATAATTACTCTTCTATATGTTTGCTGCACAGAGAAATATAGTCAGTCTCCAGTGCCCAACCAATTAGGAAAATTTAACCCAATGGTGCAAACCCAGATTCTATCTTGCTCCTGAGTTAGTAAGGTGTGGTAGATACATGAAATATGAAGGATCACTATCCTCATATCCTATAAAAATTCTTCTATTTCCCAACAACCATAATTATATGGACCTAATATCCACTTTAAGTAAGAATTTTCTTATAAAAATGTGTAGATTCTATTCTAAGAATTTAATTAAAATCAGTAGAACTGCATTTTTACTTACTTTTCATTACAATATATAGTTTTCAAATACAAAAAGCACATATTCTCATGAAGCGATACTTACTAAATGCTATTCTTCAGAACAGATTTTTTTTACATCCTATGAAAATAAATATATTTGTGTAATTTTCCAATAAAACTACATACCCAGACATATCTATCAGTTGTAAATTTCAAGGAAATTAAAATGGCTGAGAAATATACCTCTGAAAGAGAGGCATAACAAATAATGAGTGACCTTTAACTGTAACGGTTCTAGCAAGAACAGCTATAATCGTTTAGAAAAATGAAAGAAATTATTCCTGTGATTAATCTGCGGCCTGAATCCAGTGGTAAAAATGAATTGCTGCTATGTGATTGCTTTTTGAAAATTGGCTACCAGGTGAATTTAATTCATGGGAAAGACTAAAAGGTTGCATGAAGATAAATAAATTTAAAAGTCAACAAAAAGAGGAAAGTATGCATGAACCACAATTATTTTGAAAGTCTCTTTACCCTTTAATGTTTCTGGAATGAGAATTTTTTCTATTATTATTATATAGAAAATCTTTTCACCATATGATGTTTAGATTCTGGGTTCCAGATAACTATATCTATTCTTAATAGATTTTGCAGAAAGCATGTAATTAGTTTAAGTAGCCTATGAATAGAAAATCAGATATCAATGCTACAGTGTCAATACAAGTACAGCTAAGGAAAATACTTTCCATCCCACAAGACTCTACTGTAAGAAAACTCACTATTGCCACACTATTCCTTTTGGAACATAAGATGCTATAGACCAAACATTCACCCTTCACCAGAATTGACTAAGAGGAAACAAATAGCTCTAACAATATGCTTAAAAGAAATATACATCTCCAAATTCACATCCAGTTCCAAGTTGCTAATTTCTTCATTTCACATTTTATGTTGGGGCTACTGCTTGGTTTAACCTAGACCACATCTACATCCTTAGTCACAAGAGACCCTGAGAAATACAACTTCCCTGGAAGAGAAGGTCGAAGGGCAATGGAATAGATATTGAGTAAACAATCCTTAGAACACACTTTATTTTTGTGAAAACTCAACTCTGCCTCTTTGAATACTCAACATCCATGGATATAATCAATCATACAAAAAAAAATAATAGCAACAAATCTATGTTCTTGCCTAACATAATAAAATTTTCCTTCATAAAAATGAGATGTACTTGCACTTCTTCCTAAATTAAAGAGATAATATTCCAGTGGTCACTATCTTTGTCTCTAGCTAATGTTCATTCCTCCCCATGTTCAGTCACAATTCTGCAACACTGTAAAGCAGAAAGAATTATTTTAATAACAACCTGCAAAACTTGAATAAAATTATAGAGGAAAAAGAGCGGGAAACAAGAAAATTGATAAATATAAATATGTACATAATAAATAAAATAACATTATGAACTAGCACCTACATTTTTTGTTTCTTAAATAAGCCTCAAAGCAATAATTTATGTTAATAATTTCCTCCTTACACTACCCCCTCCATTTATCCTTGTCTTTATTCAGCAACCCCAAGGGTCAGCGTGCTCTACTTGTTGGACTAAAACTCATGAATTTTTGTAGTCATACCAATATGTTTAAAGTGTAATTTTCTATTAGTTTTACTAATAGATACACAGTGTGATGATATAGCCCAGAGGATCACTTGAATTTCAGGTATCACCTTCAGTGAATATACTAGGTGGTTATAATGCTATTTCCTCTTAATAATAAGAATCCATGTACCCAGCTAAAATGATAATACATTTTCTGTTTTCCTTATTTGAATGAGAACTAAAATTGGTGTGGTGGGCTATTCCATATCTTTCTAAATGGAACAGTAGTACAATTTTTCAGTGAAGGGAACTGAAAAATTGCAGGTATAGCAATCAAATATTCACAAGTAGACCTTTAGTATATATTAGTGAATTGTTCTACTCCTGCGTATATTTTGATATTAATACCTTAATATCCTACTTTTGGGAAATCTGGAACAATATAAAGGTGACTCATTCAAAATATATATTTCACCCCATATGACAGCATCCCCCCAGAGACAGGGTTCTCACAAAGCTATAACTTTGCCTTCAATGAGCCAAATTCAACGTCGTGTAAGTAAGGCTATGAGGGAATCAATTTAGCTCTCCTTACTGGAGTATGTTTTGTACCTCAATACATCTCAGACAATTGGAACTGTAAACATTTTACTGTGATATCTTGTGATATCTGGATTACCTCTTGTATTACTTTTTTTTTTAATTTATGAGACATAAATTGCCAAAACTGTAGCTACTTAACCAAGCAGAGATTTATTATTTCCTAGTTCTGTAGGTGAGAAGTTTGATGGTCTTGAGTAAGTACTCTATATAGGGTTTTACAAAGTCAAAATCAAGTTGTATGCAAGTCTAAGCTCTTAGAAATTAACTGGGAGAGCCCATTTCTAGACTCAATTCAGTTGTCGGTCGATTTTAGCTCCATGTACATGTAATATTGATATCCCGGCTGTCAGCACGTATTGTTGGCAATTTCTAGAGACTTGCCATATTTCATTGCTCGTAGTTCCCTCATATTTCTTTAAAGCCAGCAGGAGTGGATGAAGTCCTTCTCACACTTTAAATCTCTTTGACCTCCACTTTTGCTCTTCTCCTTTGTCAGCTGCCAGAGAAAGACCTCTGTTACTAAGAGCTTGTGTGATTAGACTGGACTGATCAGGATCTTCCAGAATAAAAGAAAACCAATAGGGGAATACATAAAGACACACACGTATCACACATATTCACATGTTGATAAAGGTTTATTGGAAGCCGTGGGGGGATTGACCCAAGAAAACACACCAACAAAGTTTAGCATGTTTCAAAGTCTGTTACAAGTTGGAATGCTTTTATTAAAAAAGTTTAGAAAAAGGGAAGGGGATTCCTTATATTGGAGTTGTCCTTTTTTATTGGAGGGTATGATACAGAGGTTACAATTATTGGCTACGGAGTACAACGTGCGGGCTAAAATAAAATGTTCTACATGCAAAACAATCAGTAAAATTTCATAATTCAAAAACAAATGAACAAAAATATATGATTCAGTAACAAATTATTGCTTTTAAAAATGTCAATAGGTTACATATTAATGAGTGTGAACACTATTGTGAGGAACTCACGATAAGATTAGAGGAATTCATGATAAAATTCTTTACTCAGGGACAGGAGGTAAGCCATGAATCCTAGGACCTTTCCCGAGCAGTTAATTTGGAAGCCTGTCAAATGTGACCTGTAGCTTATCTATGTATCTATCTAGGTATTTATGTATCTATCTATGTATCTATCTATGTATCTTTCTATCTATCTATCTATCTATCTATCTATCTATCTATCTATCATCTATCTATCTATCTAAAGAGATTTATATTAAGGTATTGGCTTATATTATACAAAGTCCAAAATCTGAGCAGTAGGCTGGTAGGCTGGAACTCTAGCAGGAGCTAATGCAGAACCTCAAGTCCTAAGGCAGTCTGATAGCAGAATATCTCCTTTCAGGGAGATCAGTTTTATATTCTTAAGGTTTTCAACTTATTGGATAAGGCCCAACCACATAATGTGGACTAATCTGTTTTATTCAAAGTTTGTTGATTTAAATATTGCTAAAATGATGTTGTCTTGATTACCCTAACAGTCACCACAGCTATACAAAGGAAATGTCAACTTTGGCAATCTTTGGTGCTCGCCCACTGATAGTGTTATGCTATGGACTCACTAACTGCCACTAACATCTTCTTTGATCCACTCAACTGGGGTATAGGGGATAAGTGGGAACCTTCTAAGTCTAGAGACTAACTTAAATTCCCTTAAATGGCCCTTGATAAAATTCCCACTCCTGAGTCAGTTCATAGATACAGAGTTCCTTGAAAGTTGCTGAGGCTTGGATCTATTTTGGAAGCACCCTGAGATAACTTCATAAGCACAACTTCCTTATGGTTTTCCTTAATGGCACTTACAACCACTTTTCAGAATGTTCAGTGGGAAAAGTACATTTTGGGGGATGTTGGCAACACTCTCTGAGTTAACACCAATTCCTGAGAACACAAAATTCTACTGTAATTCACCAGCAAGTAGGAGAAGCTTCAAAGGTTCAGTTGATAAATGATTTATAAAGGTCTCAGTAGGCCTGAGAAATTATTCTATGGTAATTCCCTCAGTTTTCAAAATTTGTAATTTTGGGGGGATTTAGAAACAATATAGTGAAGTCCAGTGTACTCTTCAGATAGTTTCCCCCACTAGTTACATCTTACGTATAGTACAATATCAGAAGCAGCCATTTGACATTGACACAATATGAGTGTGTAGTTCTAAGACATTCACCACGTACAATTATGCCATCAAGGTACATAAAACTATTTTGTTTATTATTCTAGGGATAAAATAATCAATCAAATCAAAATAGTGAATTAATTTCACTGGTAACATTTCCTATGCCACAAATTGGGCAGTTTCAAGGAATTTCAAGATTGGAGTTCTATTCATGAATATGTTTTTCAATGTTATAGAAAATAGTATTCTCTGGATTCTCTCAGGGACATAGTTAGGATGTAAATGTTGTATCACATATAATCCATCAACTCCAGCATTTTGATTCCTTATATACTTCTTTATATCTTATCATGATATTTCTTGAATTTCAACTTCATATTTAATGTGCCACTAATGATTTCCAGATAAAGCCCATGAAATGAAACAGCAGTTAAAATCACTCTTAATTTCTCAAGCTAACACATATATTCATAAATTTCTGCAAGCCCAATATATTTATTCTAATATACGATTATTTCATTCTCCATCTAGCCACTTCAAAATATCCACACACAATTCCTAGATTCCTGATCCTAATAAATTTGGAGAGAGATTATGTCTTGTACTTATGTTGGTATATAAACCATTCTTTATAAATTGGGCCTTCTGATTTCTCTCCTGGAACATCCTGAATATGTCATCGTTTATAGATCTGGTGGAAATGAAGGAAGATAGGAAAGGGATATTGGGAAATCTGCATCCCGATTGTGTTAGGGTTTGTAGATAATTTAATAAGATATAGATAGACATAGATAAATAGGTATGTAGATATGTAGAAAGAGATTTATTATACAATACTGGCTGACAGTATTTTTTTTTTCTTTTTGAGATGGAGTCTCGCACTGTCACCTGCACTGGAGTGCAGTGGTGTGATCTCAGCTCACCGCGAGCTCCGCCTCCTGGGTTCAAGTCATCCTCTCGCTCCAGCCTCCCACGTAGCTGGGACTACAGGTGCCTGCCACGCTAATTTTTTGTGTTTTTAGTAGAAATGGGGTTTCACCATGTAGGCCAAGCTGGTCTCGAACTCCTGACCTCATGATTCATCCACCATGGCCTCTCAAAGTGCTGGAATTACAGGTGTGAGTCACCGTGCCCAGTTGCCATTGATACTCTTAACAAAGCATATCAACTTTCCCAAGTTCTTCTTTGGAGCTGTTTGGTGCTTTATTTATCCTGTTATATGAGTATAATTGTGTGTTAATATTTTTTTCTGATTAATGATTGGCGACTTTGTCTCTGAACCTTTATTTTAGAAGTATGTACTTATGAATCTTTAAATTTCTAACACCTAGCTAAGTAGCTGTCTTCATTATACTTGTGAAATAAATGTTAACTGAATTAGAGATTGATTGAACAGATAGGTAAATAAATGAACATAGAATTCCTCAGGCTGCCATCTTAAACATTTAGTTTTTCAGGTTTGGACAATATTTCTCTCTGGGTTTTCCTCCTTTTTCTTATTTCTTGTATTCTATTCTTTGTCTCCTGCTGTCTTCCAACACACTGTAGTGTTTTTGACCAACCTTGGATTATCTTATTTTCTACATATTCAGGTTCTGTATTTATAAAGTCCTTGTTTATATTTATTCATTAATTTTAAGAGGATTATGAACTTTTCAAAGATAATTGTCATTTATGTTAGTACTTTGAATTTTTTCCAGTGCCTAGTATTGAGGTAGAGGCCAAATTTAATCTACCATTGATTTTAATGAAGCCATATATGTGCCTTGGAGCAGTGTCTATTCATCTAGGGTGAAGAATCAAAATCCATCTTGTAAATTTTCTCTAAGGTAATGTATATAATTTTTTCAACTTTTATTTTAGATCCAGTAGGTACACATACAGTTTTTTTCCTTGGGTATATTGCATGATGCTAAAGTTTGGGGTACAGATGATACCATCATCCAAATACTGAGCAGAGTACCCAATAGTTAATTTTTTCACCCTTCTCCCCTTCCTCCCTCTCTCCCACTTCTAGTAGCCCCTAACTGCTATTGTCGCCATCTTTATGTCCATGAGTACCCAACATTTATATAAGTGAGAATGTGTGGTATTTGGTTTTCTATTCCTGCGTTAATTTGTTTAGGATAACGGCCTTTAGCTGCATCCGTTTTGCTGCAAAGGACATGACTTTACTCTTTTATATGGTTGTGTAGTATTCTATGGTATGTATGTAACCATATTTTCTTTCTTTAATCCACCATTAATGGCCACCTAGGTTGGTTCCATGTCTTTGCTATTGTGAGTGGTGCTGTGATGGATATAGGCATGCATGTGTCTTTTTAGTAGAACAATTTGTTTTATTTGGGGTGTATAGCCAGTAATGGGATCATTGGATTGGAGGATATTTCTAAGTTAATATTTCTTAATTACGTGTATGAACACGGTGTTTGCCACCTTAACCCTTAGTGGCTTTTTTTTTTAGTTTTCAAAAAATTTTCTAATTCATAAACTAGAGAGACAAATCTATCTTTAAGACCTGTTCTATGACTCCACCATCCGTATATTCTCATCTCTTTTCATTTTATGTTTTTTAACTCCTTTCACACTTTAAGGTGTGTTCTTACTAAATGGGGATGTGCTATCACATTTAAATCTTTGTATCTTATTTCTTCCTTATAGCGTATCATTTACCTAAGAAACGTGCCTCAAGGCTCAATTTAAGCTCAACCTCTGGGAGCCTCATTTGTCTCTGAAGATACCTATGTACTATTCAAAATACTTTCACAGCATTGTAGAAATTTTAGTTCATCTTCTGTCTCCTACACATCATAAAAACTCCAGGAAAGTTTTCAGTACTATTTCTTACTTACCAATGCATTACTAGTAACTACTACCATGCTTCATATTTTAAATACTCAATGAATTTTTTTTTTTTTTGCTAAACAAAGGTGTTATTAAATTCAACTGGAACCATCTGAGGCAGGGAATCCAGATTGTATAATGAACAATCCATATAAACATTTAAGTTTTTATACATCAGTTATTAAAGTAGTTCACAAAATTCAACTAAGAAAAATTTAAAAACAAATATACATAATTCCAGGTATGCAAGGCTGTTTCAGCATTTGAACACCAATTTAATCCATAACATCAACAGGTTAAAGAGGAAAAATTATATGAGTATATCAAATAGATGCAGAGAAGACATTTGAGAAAATCCAATACCCATATATGATTAAAAACAAAACCTCTCAGCAAACTTGGAATAGAGAGAAACTTACTCAACTTGATAAAGAATATCCACAAGAAACCTATAGTAACATCATACCTAATGGTGAGAAACTGGATGTTTTCCCTTTAAGATAGAAAATGAGGCAAGGATGCCCACTCATCATTTCTAGCTAATGCAAAAAGACAAGTCATGAAAATAAAAGGTAAAGATTGGGAAGCAAGAAATAAAACTGCTGACAGATGACATGATTATCTATTTATAAAGTCTGAAACAATTGGAAAAAAACCTCCTAGTACTAATATGCAGTTATAGCAAAGTTGCAGAATGCAATTTTGGCATACAAAAGTCAGTTGATTTACTATATATCATCAATGAACAATTGAAATATTATTTAAACAGAACACCATTTATATTAGCATGAAAAATAAACAACTTAAATTTAAATCTAAAAAAAATATGTTCAAGTTCTTTTTGATGAAAACTGTAAAGCTCTAATGAAATAAATCAAAGAAATCTTTTCTAAATAATAGAAAGATACCAAATATTCAGGAATAGAAAAATTCAGTAGTGTTACCATCTCAGTTCTTCACCATTTGATCCATAGATTCAATGCAAACACAAGTTACTTGGTGAATTTTGAAAAACTGATTCTAAAGTTTATATGGAAATGCAAAGACCCAATATAATTGACACATTAAATTAGAATAAAAATGTGTGCCCTGCAAGACACTGATCAGAGAATGAAATGACAAGCCACGAAGTGAGAGAAAATATTTACAAGTACATATTTGATAAAGGACGTTTATCAAAAAAATACAAAAGACCTTTAAAAACAACAAAAAGGAAACAGAAAATGCAATTAATAAGTGGACAAAAGATTTGAATGTACAACTCACCTTCAAACACAAGAAACTGCACATAAGTGTCTATAGTAGTTTTATTCATATACGACACAACTTGGAATCAACCAAGATGTCCTTGAATGGGTGAATAGATAAACAAACTGTGGAACATCGATACAATGCAATATTTTCAGCAATAAAAGGAATGAGCTATCAAACCATGAAAATACATGAAGGAGCTTAAATGCATATTTCTCAGTGAAAGACACCAGTTTGAAAGGGCTGCAAACTGCAGGATTCCAACAATATTTCATTCTGGAAAAGGGCAAACTATAGAAATGTAAAAATAAAGGGCAGAGAGAGAAAAGTGAATAGGAAGAGCCCAAAAGTTGTTTTGGGCAGCAAAACTATTCTGCATTATCCAGTAATGGTGGATATATGACACTACAATTGACAAAACTCATACAACAGTATAACACAAAAAGTAAACCCTAATATAAACTGCGGACTTTCATTAATAATAATGTATTAATATTGGTTCATCAATTATAACTAATATATCACACTAATGGAAGGTGTTACTGTAAAAGGAGTTTAAATGAGCAGGGGTCCGGAGTATATTGGAACTCTTTGTATTTTCTGTTCGATTTGTCTGTAAATATTACATCACTGAAAAAAGAGTCTATTGATTTAAAAACCAGTATACACAGTGGATATGCAATTGGTTATGATACAATACAAATTTTCTGCTTATTCATTTACCTTAAGCTAGTGTATTTCTATTAATAAACTCTTGGTCAGTAGCAGAGTAATAATTTCTACAGGATGTTTACATCTGAATTAGTAATAAATACTGTATTTTTCCAAAATATTACTTGACAACAGTTAAAATTAAATACCCAGTACTAATTTGCATGAAAAACATTTTAAAATCAATTATTAGAGGTTATATTTCAACTAAATAGCAAATGAACCACTAGTGCGTTAAAATAACATTCATAATAAGGTGCATTTTAATGAAATTTTCACATATATATTCTCATGCAAGCCTTAAAATAATCAATTTGAAGTTCCTATTTTATGTTTTTGAAAAATGAGTCACTTTAAGCCCTGAAAGGTTATATCTGAATGTCAGAATGCTAATATCTGCCACAGCACGATTAAGTTCTGCATTTCCTGAGTTCGATTAAGTTCAGATGGCTGATGTGAACTTGCCCTCCTCAGTCTCCATTTCCATTCACAGGAAAGGCAAGCGTGGAGCTACAGTGTCTTCAATCTGTTTGGGAAATGCTAGGCGTATATGATACTATTGCTCGCACAGCATAGTGCACAAGTGAATTTTAGTGTTTGCTAGACAACGTGTGCTTAGCGGTATGTACTATTTGTTTTTAAAGTTTCCAAATACCTCATAGTATCTTTCAACTTTCTGCAGATTCCATGCACATAAATATGTATCATCAGTATTTTAAAATGACTGCAAAACTATGTGAAGTTCTATATTGTTGCCTCTGGGAATATTTACAATTTAAAAAGCAACTGGCTTAATTATACGCAAAATGCCATAACTATTAAAAATACATTATTACCTTAAATACTTAAACTTTTGTTTTTGCAAATCTTTAAAAAGAACACAAAAACAAAAAAAAAAGGCAGATTTCTTAAAATCTCAAGATAAAAGTGTGCTCTAAGTATTGGATTGCCAGATAAAATACAGAACATTAGCTAAATTGGAATTTAAAATAAACAATGAAGTTTTTACCTATAAGTATGTATAACGGAGATACCCATAGTAAAACATTATTCACTGTGTATCTAAATTTCAAATTTAACTGGTTGTCCTATATTTTTATTTGCTAAGTATGGCAACTCTAATGTAAGATGAAAACCCATTTAAATGTGTTAATTTTATACTGGATTCTGCTATTAAAAATAAATGACTAAAAGTAGATTAAACTAGAATGTATTGAAACTAGTAAGTTTCACTTGGTAAGAATTGGTTTTCTTAAAATAATTTAGGGATGTTATACCTGATGCATGTTAAATTTTCCCATAGTAGTATGTCTGAAATACATTTAACTATTCTTTAATAACATGTCTGATACATATTAAACTATTCTTTAATAATAAATATGAGTGAAATAATGATTTATTAAAATAACCTTTATTTTAAATCTAATCTTTCCACCTGTAAAGCAAAAACTTTATTATATTTCAGAATTCAATTAAATCATTTGTATATTCATTAAACATTCATTTATTATACTTCTATTGCATTCTCCCAGATACTTTTCTGGGAGTTACTAGAGAAACGTCCAAATGCCATGAAAAAGTGAGATCAAGGTGGGAGAAAGAGAAACAAACAAAACCTAATCTATGAAATATCAGTGTTATCACAAAAGACAAAACAAAGCAATGATAAAATTATTACTATCCAATGAAGGCAAAAAAGATGATGTCACTGAAGAGAGATGGCACTTACAACTGGACTGTAGAAAATAAATATTTCCATGTGGGAGAAAGTGCATTCAAGGAAGATGACATTGCTTGACTAATACTTGGAGGCAGCAAATAGCCATAGGTCCAAGTTAACTGACTGGGATATGTAATTTGTACATGTATTCGAAATGAATATATTCTGGCAATATAGCTAGGGAGGCCATACTATGCTTTGAATGCCAAGATCAAGTTTCCACTGTCTGATTTAGTTAGGTGATATATGCTAACTTATAAGGGAGCCACCAAATTTTGCACTAGTGGTAGTTAACCACTCAAAAGCAAATGAAAAGTTTGGGCAAAAAAAGTGATTTATGTTAGGAAAGCAGTCACTGATGCTATTGTTAGTGGAATGACTAGTGTTGATGTTCCCTCTAAGATCAGCTGAAGCTCTGGCAACCTTTGTGTGCTAACTTTCCTGCTGGGAACAGATTTCAAAGATAAATTAAGATCCCATATCAGCTGACCTTAGCACAGGGAGAATATTGGGGTGATCCAGTTGCAGTCACATGAGCCCTCTAAATATAAATTTAGCAAACAGAGAAAGTGAAGTAAGATATATTCAAATCATGAGTGAGATTTGAACCATGAGAAATTCTCCATTGCTGGCAGGATGGATCACATGGAAATGAGGACAAGTGGCATCTAGGAGCCGAGGGCTGCAGCTGTCAACAAGAAAATGAAGTCCTTTATCCTGCAACTATAAAGAAATGAACTCTCCCAACAATCTGAAGGAGTTTCCAATGAGATTCTTCCCCCAACCCTCCAGATGAGAACTCAGTCTAGCTGATACCTCAAGATGGCAACATAGTCTGCTTTGTAGTAACATGAGGAGAGAACCTAGTCACATCAGCCTGGGTTTCTAGTAGCAGTTTATTATATATTTGATTATTTTAAATTATTCTAGATTCTTTGGGAATTGTCTCCATATATGTAGTGTGTGTGTGGGTGTGTGTACCCTATTTTTGGAAACCTTAATATATTCATAAATCTTTTTCTGTAACTTGATTTAATTATGTTCATAATATATGCTGTGTATTATGCCTTCTCAGCTCACGTAAACTCTATGTAGAGAAACAGTGTTGTGTAATGGTTAACAGTGTAGCAAACGTAGCCAGACAGCCTGATTCAAGTCTCAGCTCTGACACCTCCATGCTGTGCAACTTTGGGCAGTTCATTTTTCTAGCATTGATTTTCCCTTCTGAAGCATAGAGGCAATAAGATTGTTGTGAGAATTCAATGAGTCAAGACCTTTGCAAACACCAAGAATAATTCCTGCCATACAGCAGGCTCTCAGAAATGTTAGCAAATAGCCTTATTTCTTTTAAATTTCAAACTGTACAAACAACATGCAAATACATTCTCCTGTTATAAGAAAGGAAAATTGACACATAAACATATAAAATATGAAATCACTGTCTTTATTCTACTCATAATCATATTCTCTTACCTGCCTCAGTAGCATAATTTATGAATTTTTATAGCTTTAAAGTTTGCTATGTTGCACCATATAAAAGTATTTCCTATGTATTTGACATTTTTGCATATTTTTATATATTTCTATGATGACATTCTTCAATGTGTGTAATCAGCTCGCCAAATTCTATCAGATATGCCATGTGAAGGTTTTAAAATTTCATTTAATTATCAGATTAATTTGAGGAGTATAGTCATTTTAATAGTAATGGTTTTACATTGATTTTAATTTTTACACAATAGACATATTGAGAGATACTTAAAGGATAAAAAAAGTAAGCAAAAGTAATTGTTGATGAGCTAATAATTGACATTTTCAAATGCCTTCAAACTAGAACTAGCAAATAATTCATAATGATATTGTAGTCATTTCTTTTAGTTACTAAGAAATCCATGTGATATATATGTTTTAAAATCAACATCTTCATCTTGAATTACAATTATAAGGCAATTGGGAAACTAGTGTTAGAAACCTATGGTATGTTTATCTCTAATTAGAAAAAGAAAAACACCATTACAACAATTGTTTTCATTAATTAAATTTTAGAATGACTAAACTTCAATATGTTGATTTTAGAACAACAAATAAAAATAATGGAAAACATAAAATATTATACAGGATTTCCACTAGAATTTTAATTATTGTGATTATATAATGTGCCTGTTATTTGGCTAGAGTTTAAGCAAAAACAAAATCTTCAATTTGAAATCCTTTAAATTTAGCATTCCCTTGGTTAGAAAATTTTCCAATTGATTAAGATAAGTTTTAGTCTCCTATTTAAGAAAATTGCTCTTTTAATATGTCTTTATCTTCCCATTTGTATTCATCACAACAAAGCAAGGAAGATTGTTCAGTGTGAAATAAACACTATTAGCACTCATACAGTTTAACAAAGAATAAGCTGTAAGTTACACATACACCTATGTCTGATACTAGTACTAACAAGTGGTGCTGTGAACTTTGGCAAGCTGACAGGCTTCTTGTGAACAATTTCAGGCAATTGAAAGGATAATGGTACAGCTGATAGCTTGACTTTCAGTAATACAAACAATGACTGGACCATGAAGAGCACCACATAGAAGTTAATACATGCAAAATCCCCAGCATATAGTAAGCACTCAGTAAGAATTAGCTGGCCAGGTTTGGTGAGTCACGCCTGTAATCCCAGGATGTTGGGAGGCCGAGGCGGGTGGATAACCTGAGGTCAGAAGTTCAAGATGAGGCAGGCCAAGATGGTGAAAGCCCATCTCTACTAAAAACTACAAAAATTAACCGGGTGAGGTGGCAGGTGCCTGTAATCCCAGCTACTCGGGAGGCTGAGGCAGGAGAATCGCTTGAACCCAGGGGGCGGAGGTTGCAGTGGGCCAAGATCACACCACTGCACTCCAGGCTGGGCGACAAGAGCGAAACTCCATCTCAAAAAAAAAAAAAAAAAAAAAAAAAGAGCCGGCATTAGTTGCAAACATTAGCAATCCCTGAAAAGCATGGGCCCAACCTGGAGGTAACTAGAAGATTGAATGCGATTTTATTCTTGATAAAAAGAAGCAAACAGTTTAAAGTATAGTTATAAAATAATAAACCACCAGTCAACATCAACAGAACAACCCAAATTATTTTCATTTCTTTTTGAATGCTTGATCTTTATATTTTGATAAAAAATTAACATTTTACAAATTTAGTTGATTGATAATAAATGCTAACACCAGTGAAAAATATGCTTATGTATTATAACACATCAATTTGAAACCTCAACTGACTCTACTACTGTATGTTAAATTATAGTCCAAACAATTTTTGGGAAAGCCTGTCCCTGCTAATTGTACCTGTCAAGCAACCATTAAGTAAATAATGTGATCTTCTAACTAAGGAGCTGTCTCAAACTTTTCTATCAGTCTAAGGGGCAGGTACATTGTGTATACCTTTTATTTACCATTTGCTAAATAACAACAAAAAAGAAATAAATAAATAAAGTCCAAGCCCAGATAATAAAGCACATGGGTCTGTACGTAACTATCAATACAGACTATTAGCTCTTTATTTACTTTTTAAGGCAAGGTCAAGAGGAGAAAATAGAAAATGTTAATATATTTTCACTGGGCACAGTGGCTCATTCCTGTAATCCCAATGCGTTGGGAGGCCGGTGCGAGCAGACCGCTTGAGCCCAGTAGTTCGAGATTAGCCTGGGCCACATGGTGAAAACGTATCTCTACAAAAAATACAAATATATATATACACATAGACAAATTAGCCAGGCATGTTGGTGCATGCCTGTAGTCCCAGCTACACTGGAGGCTGAGGTGGGAGGATTACTTGACCTGGAGAGGAGAAGGTTACACTAAGCTCTGATTGCACCACTCCAGCCTGGCCAACAGAGTGAGACTTCGTCTCAAAATAAATAAATAAATTTTATTTTGTTTTCAATGTGACACTTTATCTTCCAGTTCCTCTCAAAGTTCAGCTGTACCTTGTCCTTTGAAATCAGTGATTTTCAAATTCCATCATTACTTTAGCATAGCATATAAATTTTCAATCAGAGATTAATAGAAAAATCTTAATTATTAAAAAACAATTCCTATCAACATAAAATACTGAATGTGAAAGCACTAAGAAAAATTTCTCTACATTATTCATTTCTGTTTTATTTCAATTTAACTTTTAATGATGGATTTTCAAAGGGGAATTAAACATCCATATTGATATTCTTAAAATTTTTCCATAGACATGATTTTGTTTCAGACACATAAAATTTGATAAATGAAATAAGATAACATCGTAAATATGCTAAGAAAAAAGAAGTCACCTTGGGAATACAGTGATTTGCATTCTACCATAAATATACTCCCAAATACTCAAAGAGTTTAACTTTCAAATACATTGCAAAACACAGAAATCTGTATACTCATTCTAATATTTAATACCAATCTTAAGAAATGAGATAAGGCAAAAACCCATCTCTGCAAAAAATACAAAAAAAATAATCTGGGTGTGGTAATGAACACTTATAATTTCAGCTACAGGGAGACTGAGCTGGGAGGATTGCTTGAGCCAAGGAAGTCAAGTCTGCAGTCAACAGTGATTGTGCCAGTGCACGCCAGCCTGGGTGACAGAACAAGATCCTGTCTCTCTCCATATATATATATATGTATGTATGTATATATGTATATATATGTATGTATGTATATATATGTATATGTAAAGGAATTTTATACATATAAATGCACATATATGCATAAAGGAATTTTATACTTATCTTTTCAATTGAAATATAACATCTATATATTAAAATGAATAAATAGTAAGCATCAAATACTACTTGTACTTTTAAAAAGAATATTGTGGAAGTATCAACTATATCAAGATGTAAAATATTACGCCTCCAGAATCTTCCCTTATGCCTCTACTCAGTCACTGGGCCTCTCAGAAATGTAATCAGTATTCTGGCATCTAACACCATAATAGACTCTGCTTGTTTTTGAATGTCATCAGTGCGCAATATTCTATTTGTAAATTTTTTAACGAATCAAGATCTATGAGGTTTATCTGTGTTGTACGTAGTCGCAGGTTGTTATTTCTTATTGCTGTATAGTATTCAATTGTGAGAATAATTAGAATTTATGTATCCATCCCACTTTGTCATTTTAGTGTTGTGGTAATTTTGATCATTTATACTTTAGGTGCCATGAATATTGCTTCTTTAAATATTCTTATCTTTGGTGACATATATCAAGATTTTTCTGGGTATATATCTAGGAATTCAATTGATGAGTCATAAGTATACATATGTTGGTGGATACTACTAAAGAATTTCAAAGTGGTTGTAAAAATGTATGCTTTCACCAGAAGTATATGAGAGTTTCTGTTACTGTATATTCCTACTAACACTTGGTATTTCATTTTTATTTAATTTTAGCCATTCAAATATTGTTACAATAATATTTCATTGTGACTTTGTGTTGAGTAAATACGTTGAGCATATTTTCTGAAGGTTAATTTTAGATAACATCTAAAAAATGACTGTGCAATTCATTTATTCCTTTTGATCTTTGATAGTCTATATTTTCATTATTGATTTATAGTTATTCTTTATGTTTATATGTCTTCTTTTGGTTATTTGTACTGCAAATATCTTGTCCTAGTCTTTGGATTTCCACTTATTCTTTGGAAATTGTCTTTTGATGAACAGATTTTTTAAAATTTTAATAAAGTCTAATTTATAAGTCCTTTTCCTCATGGCAAATAATTATGTTCTGTTGAGGAAATATTAACCTATCCAAATGTCATCTCTATGCAAAACTGCAGAAAATTTATTGTTTCACCTTTTATATTTTTGTTTCGGTTTATGATCCATCTAGAATTGATTTTGTACGTGTTGTGAATCAGAAGTAATATTTTTTTCCATATGGTATATTATTCCAATATAGTTCTTGGAAAGGCCATCATTTTCCCTTGCATTGTAGTGAATTATTAATGTAATTCAAGTGACTTGCTAATTTTACAGTTCTAGAACTTCTATTATTTAGTATTATATTTTATATATATATATATTTCAGGTTGTAGAGGCTTGAGACTATTTTCTTATAATTTAATCATAGTTATTTATATCTGATTTATATTTGAGTATTTCTGTGTCTTTTAAAATTCTTCTTCATTTAGTCCTGTTTGCTGGTGTGCTTGGTAAAATGTTGAATACTTTATGTGAAAAGTTGTATGGTCTCTGGATCATATTATCGTCCTTCAGAGAAGACTTTGGTTCCTTCACACAGATAGCATATACACAAAACACCGTACTCCAACAGAGACTACAAATACTTGAAACTTTAAGTTTTGTGAAGGTTCTTCTATTTCTTATTTGTCCTTTCTGTTAGGGCATACCCCTTTAGGACTATCTACTATAAACTTGGGTGGCTCGGGGGGTCTGAGCTCCTTCTTAGGCTTTCACTTATATTGATTTCCATCCTAGCACTCTGAGACTGCCAAAACTTCAGTGGAGTTTTCATCCGTTGAGCAGATTTTTGGTTTGTTGTTTTAACATTTTGCTCTGGAAAGGTAGAATTTAGGAACTGATAAATTTCTCATAGGAGAGCCATATACAAAAGGCCTAGTTCAACTTCCAGGATTCCATTTCTCTGCCATTCCGGCCTCTTCATTCCTGGATGCTGTGCTATCCATGAACTCTAATGTCTATTTCCCCAGCTCAGTGAAAACAACACAAACTCCAGGCTACACTCACTCCTCAGCCCTCTACAACCTGAAGATAAAATCAGCATATAGTCTCCGGGGAAAGGCTGCTTTGAAGGCAAATTTGATACATGTGTTTATAGTCTTTTTCCTCAAGTTCTGGTACTTCAGTGCTTTCTAATGCTTCCAATCAGTTCTTTTTAATTCAATCGTTGTTTTTATAATTTGTTAAATTTGTATAGTTGTCAACGAGTGATGATATATGACATGAGTTACTCATTACAGCTAGGAATAGAACTCAAGATTAATTTGTGTCAAGTTGTATGGGTGGTAATAAAGAAGTAAACAAACAATAATAATAAAATGCAAGTCATTTGATTCCCCATCACTCTAAGCAGATTTCTAGGAAGTTCTGGGCAGTAAATTTTTAACAAGACAAAAAGTTCCCGGACTTGGAACCTCATCAAATCCTCCACCATCCAGTAAGCAGCAATGATTCTCTCTCCAACAAGGTCTGAAACTCAGCCCTCAAGGGTAGGGAGAGAAGTTGTTTCATAAGTACCCTACGTTACCCCTAGAAGCATGGCTGTTCCTTATACCCTCTATTCTTTTATTTTGAAAAGTTCTCTTTACTTCTTACTCCCATTCCCTCATTACCATGTTACTTTTATTCCCCATTATAGTTCATTTATATATATATATAAAATATATGACATATTATATGCACACAGATATGTGTGCATGTGTATATACTCATATACAGAGAAATATACATATTATATGATTATAATCATATAGATTCTGTCCAAATCATTCCATGCACTCTGTGGTTTCTCTTTCCTGACAATCCTTACTGATGAAGGCATATAAGTACAAGTTTTGAGGAAGATCCAGACATAAGTAGCTGGGACATGGCCACTTTAAATACGGTTTTGGAACGAGTGTCCTCGACTTGTCTGAAAAAACTGGTACAGAGAAGACAACAACATATAGGTAAAATATAAATTCAGAGTAGGGATATCAATAATGAAGTGTTGATGCTAAATCAGCAGGATGCTTGCCTACTTACACTCAGAAATACTCAGAGTTCAAAAATAGTATATCAGAGTGAGGGTTTGGATAACCTAATCTATTCAAGCTAATGGCCTGCAAGTCAGAAAGTTGAGTTGGTAAAAACAATAGATAAATATTAATGAAATAAAGCTATTCTTGGACTTTGAAGAGGCACGATATTATAGTAGTTAAGAATCACGCATTTACAGAAAGATAGTCAAGATTTGAATTCTGGAAGTGCTTCTGCTCAATGGTGGAAATATGGCAATATTTTAAATCTTCAGGCCCTGAGTTTTCTGAAAATGGAAAAAAGAAAATCTTAAGTCTCTTCAGTCATAGGCGTGTGTATGTGTTGTATGTTTGTGTGTGTGTTTGTGTGTGTATTCACATATATGATTACAGGGAAAGTTGGTAGAGAGATAACAACACAAATATATTTTAAGAATAGGAAGAAAATATATAGAGTGAAAACAACACACATACATAAAAAAATAGGAAAGGAGGCAGACAGATAACAAGAGCCAAGGTGGATGTTTTTCAGCATTATTATCAACATCATCAGCATCATTTTCATCATCATCATCATCGTCAGCAGCAGCAGTAGTGGCAACATCAATACCATCACATTAATAATAAAATGCAGTGGTAGCAGAAGAACTAAAACTATTTCTCAGGGAACTCTATACCCCAGAACTCTTTGCCCTGGGGAGGACATAAACCTCTTGATCTTCTAATTTTTTAGACTCTAAAAGCCTGAAGGCATGAGCAGAGCCTTTTTAAAGGTTTTCAGAAATATTGCTATAAGCTATATTTTCCCCTAGCATAACAATCTTAAAGCAAGAAACCATTTTAATTTTTAAAAATGTTTTTGATTGATCGTTTTGTAGTTCATGAGCATGATGATTGGGTGTTCATGCACATGCGTGAGATGTGCTACTCTCAAACCTTGTTACGATGTCAGCACATTACCAGTCTGACCTGAGTAGAAAAAAAAGTTTTTGATGTTCGTTTTTCATTGAAATATACTTCTCCAATGTGACACTGATACAAAGTTGAACTATCTAAATCATGACATATAAGTATCACAGAGGTCACCCCTTTAACAATATCTATTACTCCCTTTGCTAATAATTTACTTAATAAAAAGCATTTTGGTAATTGTGTTTTAGCATGCCACGTATTCAGGGGAAAAATGTGTCTGACAGTTTCATAGACAATTCAGCTCTTTATTTACTTTTAAAATAAATTGATTCTAAGTTAATATGTTGATATTCTGGGTTTTACGTTGATGCATTATGCCTTTTGTCAATATGAATTAGCTTCTTTATTTTCAATCCACTCTGCGATACTGAAGAGATCAAGATCCTAAGCCATCAGGACCAAACTCATGATAATGGTGAATTCATGAAGGTAAATATGACCTCATAGTTGGATCCATTTGGGTAACCACTGAGCATTCTCAATATCATTTTCACCAGAAACATCCAGTATGGACTTCCAAGGTGAAACTGAATAAACTTAAAAGATTTTTTTTTCAATCCAATTTATTATGCTCTCTTTATAAAATAAGCCATAGATATTTGAAATAGCTATTTGTACAAGTTTGAAGCTAAAATAATATGTAAATAAGTATTATAAGATGAGATCAATTCCACAAATATGTCTTATAAAAGTACCATAAGAATTCATGTAATATTCAAGATGAAAGTATCATATGTAACCTAAAATTGTTCATATTTTTAAAATGTATATCTAGCCAGTGTGATAGTCTTCTTATAATTTTGTTATATATATTTTAGTCCACAGTACAAATTTAACAGTTACTTAAAATTGCCTGATTGGTAGAGTTAAAATCTTACACATGTAAAATTACCATGGAAAGGAAGGCATAGAGGATAAAAACTTTTTTGTTTCAATTATAACATTGTCATATTCTATTTGAGGGACAATTATGTAATAAATTAATAACCATACTTTTTGAACTTATTTTTCTTTAACATTTTTACAGCACTTACAATTATTACTGCTTTTATAATAGACAATAATTTGGATCCTTGAATATTCTGAAGCTGTATTTATTAAAGTAATTCATTATTGTAGGAATGGAGAACGCAGTAACATTAAACAACGTGTAACTTTTTATATAACTCTACAAGGTTTAGCTCTAAAAAAGTGAAAATTTGGTATAACAAATAATTAAAGGGAAAAACAAATGTAAATTAAACATAAGATTTTACTTTCTTCATTAAAAGTAAATTAAGATGTTAGCAAACGATTATCTAAGCTACCCTCCCACTCAGCTCAACCCAGCTGCATCTGTGACTCAGACTATTTTCAGTAGCTTTTAATTAGCAGTTTTTGTGACTATCTCAGAGGTTGCAAATTAAAGAGAACACTGACCGGCAGAATCTGTACTGCTCTGAAAGGAAGTATCCTAGGGAGAGCTCCAAATAGTGATAAAGAATCTCAGTAGTAGCAGGAAGGCAATGATAGGGAATGTATCAGGAAGTAAAAGAAAAAAAAAAAGAAAAGGAAAAAAATGAGAACCACTGAAGTCTCAGATTTGATACTACAAAAATAAGATGCAGAAGACATTAGATGAGTTTGTTTCCTAAGATTAACAAAAATTCAATAAATAAATCTACCATCTAATCAGTGATACTTTAAACTATACTAAGTAGCTACATGAGGTGATCTAATTACTCTGATTTTTAGTGTATGATATCAGTTTTAAACATTTGCCAAATTTGAGGCAAATCGGTATTTCCAAGATTTTTCTTCCACCCTTCCAAATATCACATAATACTATAGCTCATGCTATTTTCTGTAATGTGAAAAAAACAAAAGCTCTGAGCTCACATTGAAAATTGTGTCCCAGGATTTTATTTTCATTTTTGATTTTTACATCTTTGGGCAGCCAGGGCATGGTGAATGCTGGATTTTTAAAAATTAAAGTAAACGATGCCTAAGATATTGTCCTGAAGCAAAATAATTATTCCAATCCTGTTTCCAACTTAGAACACTTTCTTCTGAAACTCTACTAGTAAGTTGCTTTAATGGACTAGGGGTTGCATTTTATATAAAAACTACTATGAATGTTGTCTGTGATTGTTAAACTACTCTATAAAGTTTACCCAAATATCTCTTATTTATCTATGTAGGTACAACTTTGCATATCTGTACACCTTACTGCAGTTTCCCCCCAAATAAAATCAAGATTAAATCAATTATAAAAGCAGAAAATTCAAAAAAAAATATTTCAAAATATCAAAATAGAGCTCTTGCTCTCTTAAGGTCAAGATAAGTCTGTCTGGTGTGTTTTCATAAGGAACATTATTATTTTTATTTTTTAATTCAGTGCATTTATATAGCATGTATTGTCAAGTTAGTATATCCATTGATAGGTAACAGCTGAGCTATTGTACCATTCCAAAAGCAACAATTAATAAAACCTATTGGACAGGTTTATTTTTTACACTGTCTTGTTTTCTTTCCTCTATACACCAACTCATATAGACTAGTTAGTTTTACCTTATCTCAAAAAAAGCCATACTGATTCAATATATTTCCTCCTATATTCCTCAAAATTATGTACTAACATCATGCTGTATGTTGGTGTAGAAAAATAAAGATAATATGCTCCTTCTATTTAATGGTCTTATATTTTATAGAGGGTTTTTTGTGGTTCTGTTATCGTGCCTTAGAAGGCATAGTCATGCATGCTTATTTACATATTGTTGCAAAAATTAATTCAGAATTTTATATATAATTATTTTCATCTAATGCACATACATATTTCTTTAGTTTTCAACAGAATATAAACTAAACCTCATACAACTATGTTAACAATGATGTAGTTCAGATAATTTTTTGGAGAAAACTATATAATGTATAACATACATTGAAAATACAATATGAAAAATGTCATGGTTGCGCAGAAGGGCCTAATTTGTCATTTAGAAGGAGCATATGTCTCTGCTGGTTTTAATGTCTTCACTTACATTTAAAAAATATTTATAGAAAATACCTTAACCCAAAGGTACTGTTTGATCTTTGTGGTTACATAAGGCAAAGTGAAACAAACAAACAAACAAAACAATCAGTTGATTGTTTCCTCACCATATTCAGGAGCACCTTATCAATGACGCCATTCACTCTTTATGTCCAGCTCTCCTTAATCTAGTTATCCATTCATTCATTCAGCAGGAGACAAACTCATCTTATTTTTATAGTATCAAGTCTGAGACTTCAGTGGTTCTCATTTTTTTCTTTTTCTTTTTCTTTTTTTTTTTTTAACTTCTTAATACATTCCCTATCATTGCCTTCCTGTTACAACTGAGATTCTTTATCCATTCAGTAGAAAGAACTGGATATAAACCAATTTTTAAAAACTAAGGTAATGTTTTGTTTCCTTGTGAAACATAAATTCTAACGGGGGAGAGAGTAAGACAATAAATGATTAAATTTTATAGTCTGTTATGGAGGCATAAATGCTACATTAGGATGGAGTAAGGAAAATTGAGAGTCGGGGGAAAGGTACAAAACATTTTTAAAAACGATTTTGGTGTTAATGATTAAGAGAGGTTTCATCTGAGCAAAACTTTGACAACAGTATTGTGGGATTCAGCCATGAGCAGATGTTGTGAGAAAGAACATCCCAGGCAGACAGAAGCCAGAGAACACTTGGAGGCCAGTGTGGAAGCCTGTGTGGCTGGAACGAAGTGAGGGAGGGAGGACAGGGCAGGAGAGTCAGAGGTCCTGTGGGGGCAGATGACTTCGTGCTTTGTAGACCATTGTAAAGACTGTGATTATATCTAAATGAAATGAAGAGTCACTGGATGGTGTCAGCAGAGAAGTGATACAACCCAAAGATGATTTGGAAAGGATCTGTGTTGAGAGTAGACTGAGGAGACAGTATAAGCATGAAGACCTGTTAAGGGACAATTTAGTGTAGGACTCCAGTGAAAGAAGATGAGAGCTCGACATGGTGGTGAGAAATGGACATATTCTGAATAGATGTTGAAATTAGATCTATCAGAGGTGCCTGTGGATTGGATATACAGTGTGATAGAAATAGAGAAGTCAAGGTTGGATAGGGTGGCTTGAAGAGCATCAGATGCTTTATTTTGAACCCGTTAGGTTTAGATAACTTCAATATCCAGGTGGAAATTGCGAGGAGGCAGACAAATACAGGAGTACAGGAGAAATGTTCAAACCTGAAAATGCCCCAAGAATTCCTGGCAGTCACTAGCAGTTGTCTCACACGTTCTCAGAAAGAATTCCCTTCAGCCATCATAGTGCAGGCAATGTTGCCTTATTCTTCTCCTGCCACTCTCACACATGCATGTATGGGTATTACTGTTATTTCTCCTAAGCACTGTTGCCCTGTCAGGCGTTCCAGTTCTTTCCAGAGTAGTGCTTTGTCTGAGGGGTACAAGTATCTTCCTTTTTGATTGCTCAGTGAAAGCCTCTGGGATAATCTTCTATTGCAAGGTGAAGGAATGCCAATTTCTCCAGAGAGAGAGACTGTGTGTGTTTGTGTGTGTGTGTGTGTGTGTGTGTGTGTGATGATGATGATGATTTTGCCGTGGTTGCCACATTCACTAAAATATTGTTTAATGAAAATGTATTATATCCAATTTAGATGGGTATTGTGAAAATATATAATACTCATATTTATATAAACTTATAAAGATTGACTGCCAGGAGCCATATCCCCTAAATGGGGCTAAGACTGGGGTGTTTCACATAATATTTTGTTGGGAAAGAAAGTTTTCTATTTGACAGACACAAATCACAGTAAAATAAGCTATCAATGTTAGTATTTCTTTTTTCTTGTTACTAAATGATTTGACCTGCTAAATAACAAAATACATTTTAGATTAGGAAAATATTTTCTTATCTATAAAAATAGATTTATTATTTTTATTAATATAACTGCCATTATTATACAAATAATTTAATAAATGAGGTAATTTAAAACAAATACAAGTTTACAGTAATTTTTTTCTTTTATCATTCTAAGGATAATATAGAATGCTTGCTTATTAAAGGATTCAGACTTCTCAGTAACCTAAAGTTTGATATTTCATTCAATAAAGCTGAGCAGATATTGATGGAACACAAATATCTGAGCACAAATATTTCTCTCAACTGATTCAAATATGAACTGAAAGGAACTAGGAAATGAAAAGTCTCAAGGATCTATTTCCACCCTCTTCTGTTGCTATTACCGTATTTTGCCCAACTTAAGGTACATTGGCCAGTTACAGGAATTGGCAACTACCTGTATAGTACTCGGCCTTACAGTTTTCTCTTCTGCAAAATAGGCATTAATAACTCTTCTAAAGTATCAATGGGAATAAAATCATTTGATGTATATAAGGTATTCCGAATAGTTAATGTTACATAGTAAGAGGTATATTTACTAGATTTATTATGTCATTTTATTATTCAATGTAATATACCCATTTAAACTGATTTTCTACATTTTTATATATGATTATATAAAATAATTATTTCTGATAAATATTTATCAAAACAATTAAAAATGTTTTCCTCATAGAATGAAAACATTCATTATGAACATTTAAAATGTATCATTAACAGAATTTAATATTTAACCATGTAAATAATGGTATTTAAGCATAACACGAATTGTGTTTACTAGAGACTTTTGTGATATGTTATATATGTGATACACTTTTAGGTTTTTAATTTAACTCCATAGACTCAGGTTAATGTGATTGCATATTTTTTAGTTTAAATTAATTTTAAGCATACTGAATAGTTACAAGAACTATCAATATAGTTTCTTATTTTTCTGAACTATTTGATAATGTGTTGCTCAAATAATGGCCAGTCAAAATAATTTTAAAAATTAATAAATTACTACTATCAAATACCCAAGCTTCAAGTGTGGTTGACTGGCCCGTAGAGAAAATATGTTCACTCGAGGACCACAAGTTGCATTTTACATGTCTCAATAGTCTCTCAGGTTGGTCAATCAAATTACTGCGTGTGTTTCTTCAGGTATACAACATATACCTATTGAGTTATTATTTGTAGAAGAGTTCCTATTAAGTTCTAGGAACTGAGAAACACATAATAGTGATAATTCATTTTCTTACAAAACTATGTTGAAATTAAAATGTTTAAGTGTTTGCTAGTATTGGGAGTATTATACAATATATCTAGAGTATTATGATATAAAATAGTAATTGGGGCAGAAAAAGAAATAAAATAACATTTTATTATCATAATACAAACTAAAAACAGAGAAGTAGTTAGAATAAATCAACAATTTTGAAAAATAAGTTAGACGTTCAAAAAACAACACTAATGAGTAAAATGGGAAACTACCCTTCAAATGTTAACAACGAATCTGGAATACATGAATGCCATCTAAGACACAACAATTTTCTGGTGATTTCAGAGAATTTTTCCCACTTCAAATGGCTGATTGTTATATAAGCAATTTCCTAGAACATGTGAAATTTAAGTCATTGAAATCATTCTTAGCTGACATTTTTTACTGTACAGAAATAGCTTTAATGTTCCTTCCATTACTTATAGTCAAATGGCAAATCCAAATGTGCTAGATTTGTAAATGCATCAAAGGTTGGGAGTTTTTAAGAAGAATCCAGGGTTTTTCTTTTGTGCAGTCTCTTCTAGGCAGACCTAAGCATCCCATTCCTAACTTATAAATGCTTTGGTTTCCGTACTAAAACAGAACTGGTGAGCTAATATAGAAAAATTCCTGTGCTTTAAATGTGTAAATATGTATTTATACAGGTCATGTTCTAATTTAGATAAACAAACTTAGCTTTGAGAAATAAAACTGCATTTTATCTTCCAATATTTCCTGATCTTAATCACTGTTTCGAAATGTCAGTTATTTAGGATTGATATTGTTTTGGGTTACACAGATTTCATTCTCAAATTTGAATGAAACTATTATATTTTGTTTATAAAATGAAGAAATATGTTTTTAAAAGTCTTATTTTTCAGATGTAGGCTTGGCTTATTTTGTATGAGCTTCTTTATTAAAAATGTAGACTAATATTTTGGCATGCAACTTTCAGTGTAATAAGTTGTGGAGGCTAAAGTTTACTTATTTAAAAAATTTGAATATTAAAGGGTCTTGAGGACTGTCTATATATGTTGTAATGTGAAATTTATGCCAATTTCTCACCCAGTAATTTGACCCAAGATTGGTTTATTAGTTGTGTAAAAAAAAGAAGAACTAACAAAGCAGCCTGGAGAAAATTAGTGAGAAATGGGGGAAGGGACACTAGTGTCATGAAAAGGATTTGAAGAGTTTCAGAAATAATCCATTACAATCTTGAATGCTATGTAGGTGGAAAACAAGATGACTAAAAACTGTCCATTGGATTTAGTGGCTCAGGGGCACTGTGACATGAGTAAGCACTTTCCAATGGCTTGATCCCATTTTGGAATGGGTTGAAAGTGCATAGAAGGTGAGGATATGAAAATAATTGCTACAAAATATGGCTTCAGAAGTTTGGCGGCTAAGAAAAATTAAATTTTTGATGAAGGGAAATAGGAAGTGAGGTCATTTTATATTAATGTACTTATTATTTTGTAATGTGACGATATAAGGCTTTTTTTTCAATGAGTAGTAGGATCATACTTTAAAAGAAGACATTTTATACACAAGGCAGAAGAAATAATTTGTAATGAAAGATTACTGGGGTTGAGGGAAAGATAAGCACTATGTTATCAATATTATGTTATTCATCATGAACTCCATTACTGTTTTCCTAAGATCAAATGTTCAATGAGCAGGTTCCCATTAAAGACAGATAAATAAATGCTTCTTCTTCTGTACTCCATTTTGTCTGATATCAGTATAGTTACACTAGATTTCTGTTAGTGTTTTCTTTGTTTATATTTTTTATTCTTTTATTTTCAGAATTGTTATATCCCTGTATTTATCATGGGTATCTTGTAAGAAGTACATTTAAAAAACAATCAGACAGTCTTAATAATTTAAGCATTTTATTCCATATAAACTTAATCCAATTAGGGATAATTCATTTATAACTAACTACCTTGTTGCTATTTATTTTTCATTATCTCTTCTAATTTTTGTTCTCCTTTTGTTCTTTTATGGTCGTATTTTGATTTATTCACAATATTCAGTTATTCTACTTTTCTCTCATAATGTTTTACTTATTTTAATAGTATTTTAGTGCTTATTTTAAGCAATACATTATGCATCAATGCTTTATTAGTCATTGGTATTATCAATAAATAAATCACTACTAATAATTATTAATTTATATATTTCAGTAATAAAAATTACTATTTTTCAACTTCCAAGACAGCACTAGAAAACTTTTTTTTTTTTTTGAGACAGAGTTTCACTCTTGCTGCTCAGGCAGGGGTGGCAATGGAGCGATCTTGGCTCCCCACAACCTCTGCCTCCCCCGGTTTAAGCAATTCTCCTGCCTCAGCCTCCCAAGTAGCTGGGATTACAGGCATGCCCCAGCACGCCCAGCTAATTTTGTGTTTTTAGTAGAGACAGAGTTTCACCACGTTGCTAAGGCTGGTCTTGAACTCCCGACCTCAGGTGATCTGCTCGCCTCAGCCTCCCAAAGTGCTGGTCATCCCTGCTTCTTGTGTTATGATCATTAGTGTTATTTTTACATATATTTAAAATTCTAGTGGAGAATATATTATTTTAGATAGCCAATATTCAGGCATATTTATCACATAGTGACTTTTATCACTCTGCTTTTTATCCTAAGTATCTTTTTTCCAGCTGAGATCATTTTCCTTGTTTCCATCTCTTTAGAACAGATATTCTTGGAGAAAGAATATGTTCAAATTTAGTTTTATGTTAGTTTTTAAATGATGTTATTTCCCATTTACATTTGGAAAATAATTTATCTGGAACTATAAAATAAGAGTTACTGTCTTTCAGCACTTTAAAAATATCATCCTATTCTTTTCTGAATTCCATTTGTGTGTGTGTGTGAAGTCAGCTATGTCTTCTACTGTTTCTTCTTTGAAGTTAATCTTGATTGATTTCTGTTTTTCTTTTTTTGTAAGTTTTCAGAAGTTTTACGAAGATATAACTAGTTGTGGACTTTGTTGTTGGTTTTTTCTTCGTGGAGCTTTGGGCTCATAGTCCTTGATCTGTGACTCAATATCTTTTATTACTTTTGCAAAATTGTAGTCATTTTCTCTTCAAATGATGTTTCTGTTCCATTTTCTGTCTCCTCCTCTGGGATTTAAATTACACATACATTAAATTTATCTTTTATGTCCCATATGCTGCTTATATTCTTTATTCTCTTTGTATTTACCCTTGTGTCTACCGTCTGCATTCTCAGGCCCAGTGCTTTTAATAGTTTTATCTTTCTTCAGTGGATAAAGTAGCTTCTTCTTTTGCTGTCTTCAATCTTCTGTCATAGGCATCATATAGTTCTTAATTTTTCTGAATTTAATTCTTTTATAAATTTCAGAATTGCATTAGATTATGTTCTCATAGATTTTAGATTCAAGGTGTCTAGTGAAATTTTCCATCTGTCACAAATTTTCTTGAATATATTAAGCACAGCTATTTTATAAAACCATCTTTTATAACTCCAAAACCTGGGTCATCAATGGGTCTGTGTATATTGTGTTTTTTTTTTTTTAAACTGGACCCTCTTTTTGACATTCTATTACATTTTGATGGATTGAATGTTATTAATTGAAAAAAATAAATTGTGGAGACTCTGAATGAAGTTCACCCTCATCTATGAGGTGAATGGAAGGCTGGCAGAACTTTCTATCAGCCTATGACTGAGCTGACTCAGAGCTTGACTTACAGTTTTTAGAAGGGTCAACCTACCTACAGGTTTACCTCTCTACTCTTTTGGCAGCCTTTCAGGGTTTCTAACTGAATTCTGCAGTGTTTGCCAGTATTCTCTTGGAAGGTTTTGAACTTAATTTTCAATCGCCTTGGCATTAAGAAAGTCTAGAACTCTATTCTGCCTGTCAGCTGCTTTCTGCCTGACTTTTTAACCTCTTTTGGCTAAAGCCTCATGGTGAAACACTGTATGAGTTTCAGACCCATTTCCATGTCTCTTTCTTCTGATAGGGGTCTCACCTTCATATCCAGCTCCCAGCTACTGTGACTACCACATAATTGATTTTGGGGTATCTGTACTTACTTAGATTACCTATGTTTCTGCTAATTCTTTGTCTCTTAGCAGCCATCTAAGGGGATTAGCACTAAAAATAAACATATGCCTTGAGGTAGAAAGTCTGGTGATGGAGAACCTTCTCACCCTTTCAAGTTTCCCCACTTACTCTCTAAGATATTGGTTTCTGCATTTGTTTGCCTCAACCTTTCCCCTATTGCTTCCAATCATGTCTTATGTTTGTTTTGCTTTCCAACTTTTCTAATTGTTCTTGGTGATTGCTTTGGCTTATTGCAAGATTCTCCAACAGAGCTTAACTCCATTGTCCTTTAAATTAATCGTTAATATAGCAGCAACGTCTACTTAAAATTGTAATATAAAGGCCCAGCATTGATGATTGCAAGATAATCCTGTTCATCTCTTATTTTGATGGATTTTTTCAGATAACCACTGTAAGCACTAAACATTAGCTTTGACTGAGATTTCAAATTAATGCATCTTTCACAAACGTTATTTAAAATGAAGTAATTGAGACAATGCCTATTCATATGATATAATTTGTAAGGAATTAAGTGAAAGATGACTCTTCCATTTCTCAGAAATGTTTTTCTAAGGGGAAAATAAGATGTCTTACATTAATATACATGTAACATATTTTAATCATCGATAGATTAATGTTCCAATCTAAGCAAACAAATAACTTTTGCCCTAAAATGATTAGAGTATAATAAAAATAAAAGAATGATAACAAATTCACAAATATGAGCATAATTTTCTTCTGGATTTTATGTTTTATTCACATAATGAAATTATTATTAAAATTAAAATTATTATTAAAAATAAAAATAAAAATTTTACTAAGATGCCTTCTCATGGGAAGACTTAATTCAGTATTATAGTACTGAAAATTGAAATTAGATCCCTTCCACTGAGGCAAATACAGTCCAACTCTAACTTATTTAAAAGCATCTTGTAGACTAAAGTAAAATTTTTAGAGAACTGTACATGCTTTTATGAAAAGTGCACATTAAAATCTTTGCTTATGACAATAATGCAAAGTAATACATGAGAAATACATAATTTTTTATTGATCATAGGGCCAGGTTTCAGAAAATTTTCTTATTATGAAGGAAAAGAATTCACCCAACAGAAAACTCACTCTTGTTCTCAGTTAAATAATCACTCTTAGAGTTTGGATACTACGACTATCTAACTATTGGATAAACTGATCTTTGTCATTGTTCCTCTGGTTAAAAATATGCTGACATTTAAACATCTAAATTAAATTTATGCTCATGAGTGTGTACTGTCTTGGAGACTACATATCTGCTTTCTTGGTGATAGAAGGCAGAATAGATTTGAAATTTATTACTTGGGAAAAAAAGAAAAAGAAAATTACCTACAAAGTGTTGAAACACTGTGGAATGTTTTAAAGAAATTTCCGTGAATTAATATTAATGGAATGTTTAGACTGACATCATTTTTAGAAATACTGATTTTTGAAGGTATGTTTGAGGCTCTTTTTTTTTGTTTTTAGAAAAGATGAGACTGATTTAAGGCTAAATATAATAAATTGCATTAATGATTATGATACTTGGAACTTTGATGAAAAGTAACATAGGCTTATAAAATCACAATGTATTATATTGTTTATTACTCTGAAATTATTCTATGCCATATGATTGATCATAGAGCTATAATGGAATTTAATAAAAATATATATTTTAGATATTTTAAAATATTTACTGAAATGCTATCTTTTCTTGTATATGAAACTTAAAAACCTATGAAAAATGTAAAATACATAAACAGATGGATGTTCATATTTCTACTTCTTTTTCATTGTGCTAATAAAAAACAAAGAAACGGCAACTTCATTTGTTAAGAGCTATAGGCTTTATGTGCCACTACAGTGTCATCTCCTTTCGCTCAGGATAATGGTCTTGGATGACTCTGCCTTTACTCCATACATTGAAATGTATAAATAGCCTTCTATTCTCACCACTGGAAAAAATAATATTGCAACCCAGTCATCTAGATTTCATATAGGGCCTATTTCTTTCCTAGAATAACTCCTTAGATCTATAGGAAAATCACAAGATGTTATTTATATTTCCGCCTGAACTATGGACATAGTAAAATAAAAATCAGAGTTACTTATCTAATTGTCTTAGGTTGCTTATTCACCATTTCAATTTAATTAATTAATTAACTATATTTTAATTCCCACAGAAGTGAGAACCTCATTTGCTGCCAATAGAAGAGATTATCTATCCTGTTATTCCTAGCAGGTAGTAGTTGAATCCAGTCGAATTTGGTTAAAAATATAATGAAATGTGGTCTTTCTTACATATACGTGTATTTGAAGCAGGACGTTTCCCTGATCCCTACACAGGACTCATGAAGGGGATGCCTCCTTTACTCAGCCCACAGCTCTCAACTCCCCACAGGAGGGAGTGCGTGAGCCAATGGGACAGGAACTGGAGTGCAGGAGCACTGGAACCAGCTGGCTGCTCTAGCACCAGCAGGGGCGAACTCCAGTAACTGAGACCCACTGCATTCCACCCTCATGGGAGAGAGCATGCAAGTGAGTGGCTGCAGGAGCCAGGGAGAGCAATTTTGGGCGCCAGCAGGAGCATGGGAGTGTGGGCCCTGTGGCAGCATCTTTTCTGCGGGTGCCCATGACCCCCTGAAGCCCCAGAGGGAGTGTTACAGCACTCTTTTAGCTCTGCCATCCGTGGATGGCTTAAGTGTTCACAGCTCAGTGGGCCCTTTTGTATCAGCACTTGTGGCTCCTGAGCTCTTGTCTGTGTCCAGGAGAAATGAGGTCGCAGGAACTAATTAAAGGATGGCAAATGAAGGGGATTTTATTGGTGATTCAAGTAGCTTTCAGTGGGAAAGGGAGCTGGGAAGGGGAGCTGAAAAGGGGCTGGGGAGGGAAGGTAATCATCTCCTGAAGACAGCCAGATTCTTTTCCAGAATTATTCCATCAAACTGACCCTTCTCTCCGATGTCCAGCCATAGTCTCCTAAGTCCAGCTCCTTCTACTTTCAGCCAGAGGAATCTGGGGTCTTTATAGGCACAGAATGGGGCAGGATGGAGCCATGGGTGGTTCAGGAAAAGGCAACTTTGGAGTGGGAAAACGGATATAAGTTTTCACTTTGTTCCAGGTCTCAGGCTTTTCAGCTTGAGGGTGGAGCTTTGCCAGGGACCTGCCCTTGTCTGCCTAGAATTTCTCTGCCCCCGGTCCCTATCATGTTGAAGCTACTCATATAGCCAATTGCCTAACTTGAATCTGTCTATTTGTTTAAATTTTCAATTTAGTGACAAATCTCAAAATACCTGAAGTGTACAAATAAGTGAAAAGTTTTGACTAAAATGTGTGTATGGAAAACATAGGGTTGAACTATAGATACATTTTTTAAAAATTGAATAGAAGTGCTATCAATATCTAACAATTCTAGCCATTTATCTATCTACTCATATAGGCTGACATTTTCAAAGGTTCTGAAGACAATCCTTCTGTGTGCATATAAATTTTTGTAAACAATCAAGTTAAATGTGGAAATATGATGTTCATTTTCAGGAAGAATTTGCACTTGACTTTGATTCCATTTCAAAAGCCACTCCAATGTACTTATCAAGTGCAGCTAAAAAATAGATTCAAGTTGAAAACACCCAGGTGAAAACTGAATTAGGTATTATATATTCAACTGTAGCTCACTTATGCTCAAAGGTGAGCTACATTCTGAATTAATTTGTTCCTGAGGTTTTTGAAAAGCAAATCCTTTCAATGCAAACATCCAACATTTTAATCTAACTAATTTGCACTCAATATTGACCTCTTGTGATATGTCAAAATTAAAGTTCATACAACTATACTTGTTTAAAGTTTCATAGGAGAAAAACTAAGTATACACATGGATGGTATTTGATTAAGTGAAACCTAGAAAAGGATGGTTAATTTTGTACCTAAAAAGATACAGAATAAGACTAATATTTATTTTCTATAAACAGACAAGGAGAAGAAATTTAAATTTATTTCCAAAGTAACATTTCAAAAAGTATAGTCAGCCTTCTCAAAGAAAACTGGAGCTAAAAGTGTGGCTAAGAAGCTAAAACACAAAATCCTAGTCAAGAGACATTAAAAAACAGATTTGTCAAACACATGTAAATGATGATATACAGGTCTAAATTATAGGTAAATAAAATTTTGAGAAAACATATTTGAAGCTATTTGTATGGGGAAAAGACTATAGAAAATGCACAAAGTAACACATTTTTAACTGAATATGTATATATATATATATATATATGCATGACATTCACAGAGAAATTATATTTTGCATTTTTATTTTGTATTACGGCTTATACACCTGTTTAACCAGAGCTCAAGGGTACCATTTTGAGTGTTAGTTACTAAAAATAATGAGCTTAAAAAATTTCCTCTTTTCATTAAGTTACCTTGGGAAGTCAGTAACCATTAGGCCTTGTGGTTAACCATAACTCATATTTTCCAAATATTACTTGGTTAGCAAATGTCTCCCTGAACGCTGCTTTAAGTAATAATTGATTGTATGCATTTGGTTTTGTCTGGATGTATTCTGTGAGCATAACATGACACAAGGGACTGGAAAATCATGAGGATAAAATGGCTGCCCATGGTTAAGTATATTTTAAAAAATGAGGCAGGGAAGTAGAAGTTTAGGAGATTAAATTAATATATTTCTGACTGGAAAGCCAATCTAATCGCAATTCAAAATCCAGTTGAGTGCAAGAGGCTGAGCTTGCTTGAAGTCACTTTATGAAGGAAATTTTTAGGAAGAAATACCTCATCCAAATCAGCTGAAAAAATTGCTGGCTGAATATACTCTCGGTTTGACTTTTCCAAGAACAGAAAACAGCAACATTCCACATAACAAACAGCACTGTCTCCCTTACATAAAGTAAAGTTTGGCTGGCAGCCAGAGGCACTCTTGCTGTGAAAATAAATTAAAGAAAAGCAAATACAGCATTGCAACTTAGCAAGGGAAGAGGAGAAGGAAAAAAAATGAGAATGCAAAGGAGAAGGCAAGAAGACAAGGGAAGAAAAGAGAATGGGTGCAAATTGAATGCACAGCATAGCTGAAACTGTCTACCCAATACCACGGTCTATGCATTGATACACAGATATAAAAAGGGATATTTTATTAGGTATTTTTATATGCAAAGGAAAGAACATAGGACTCAGCCATCAAGAAATTAGTCTTGGTTCTGCTGTATGGCTAAGATCTCTCTGTGTTCATCTCACTCCTCTGGGCTTAAGGATGCTTCTTTAGAAATAATCAATAAGTTAACGAAGGAATTGGCTTTATGAACTGAATGTGTCTCTCCAAAATTTGTTAAAACAGCTATCCCCAGTGTGGTGATATTTGGATGTGGAGACTTTGGGATATAATTTAATCATGAGAGTGGAGGCTTCCTGAATGAGATGAGTACCTTTAGAAAAAGAAACCCCAGATAGTTTTTTCACTCTCATTCCACCACGTGAGGGGACAAGTCCTCAGACTGCAACCTGTACGATCACCCTCTTCAGAATGCGACCACGCTGTCACCCTCATCTCCTATTTCCAGCCTTCAGGACAGTGAAAAAAAATGTCTGCTATTCATAAACCATCTTGTCTGTGGTATAGCAGCCATGAACTGACTAAGACAGGTGATTTGGAGATGATGAGTCCTGTGAACCCTTTAAACTATGAGACCTGCGAAATGATAATTTCTGGTTCATACTTTTTGTAAATTAATGGTAATTTTATTACCAAAGTGCTTCATCAAAATCTAAAAGGACTGTGTCTGTATGAATTATATTAATAAAATAACCATTTTGTAGAAATTTGTTTATAACTTATAGTAATAGTGTGATTTCATGCAGTTTATTAACTAGTGAGAACTGAGCAAAATTACTGATAGGCAAAACCAAACACACAAAAACACACCAACAAACTTAACCTATAGTTTTTTTGGTGGTTGTTAACATTTGTTAAATGTTGTTACCATAAATAGAATGTTTACTGAACCGTGCACCTAAGAATGGTTAAAGTGGTAAATTTTGTGTCTTGCATTTTTTACCATAACAAAAAAAGTATGCAAAAATACATGTGATTAATAGAAGCAGGAATGTGTTAAACACTTTGAGGTATTTATTTACATCTTTGAGTGAATTTGGGTAAGGTTATAGAGAAAGAATGTTAGATTTCTCTCCAAAATATTGTTCTTGCAGGTTGGGTATATTCTCTAAACACCTTAAACATTTCTTTGGGCAGTGATACTCAATCTTTGTTGTGTGACAGAATTGTATAGTGAGCTTTTTCAAAAAAATACAGATGCCTGGACTTCCACTCCCAGACTTCATTTCAATTGCTCTTGAAAGACTCTATGCAGCAGGATTATTCAATTCTAAAATGTGGCCAGGGTAGACAACCACTGATCTAGAATGTTGAATTCAGGAAGAAAGAAACTACGTTTGTCTTGTTCATCACTGTGTCTCTAGTATATTGCCTAGCCAACTAAATATTGTCAGCCAAATGAAAGATGAAATAAATGTTCTTCTAGTATATTTTACCTGTACATTTACCCTACATCAGTTTCTACTTTGAAGATGGAAGATCATGCACATTCTATAAAAACAGGCAGATAAAAAGGAGGTAAATTTAACAAACCAACAAACAAGCAAAAAACAAATACTGCTTCTTCTTCTCTCCTATCCTACGACTCCTACCCCTAAAAAACAAATGTTAACAGTTTGGTACCCAGACGTCCAACCACTTCTTATTAATTAGATATAAATATGTATATATTAAAAAATTATTTCCACCACTGTGTTTCCCAGACAAATGGGATAAAAATATCCACAAAATACTCTGCATTTTTTCACATAAACCTTTTACTTCAACTTTTCTCGATATCATATCATGAAGAGCTAGTTCATTCTATAATGAAGAACTGAATAGTATTATAATATTCTGTTCCCTAGCTATTTCCACTAACTTTCCTTCCTTTCTCTCTTGAATACGCACCAGTGTATTCTGTTTTGGCTACCATCATAACAGAAAAGACAATATTTAAATCGTCAACCTCATTTTCCTCAAACTATGCGTAGCATTGGACCAAGTCCTTACTCCTTCCTTATTGCAACACTTTTTTTTTTTTCACTTGGTCTCAGGCTACCACCATCTCTAAGTTTCTTGCTTCATTGTCCCAATAACCTTTATGAATAGTCCCTCATCTTTTTCAGCCGTAAGTTATGAACTAAGTCCCTGAAACTGTTGTTTTTTTTGCATTTACCCATTCTTTTATTTCATCTAGTCCCAGAGGTATTAACTAGCTAAATGATGATGGCTCCAGATGTTTTTAATCCCAGTGGGAATTCTCTTCTAAACTATAGAATCATATATTTAACTAGTTTGCTCATATATCAAATTTTGTACAAAATAAGTGTCTCATACTCAATGTACCTAATATGAAAATTTTGACATTCCTCTAAATTTCCTCTTATCTTCTCGTATTTCAGTTACATCAATTTATAGATAAATTTTGCTCTTAACTGAGAAACCCTTTCAGGATACAACCACTTTTTACTGCTTCCTTGTCAAAGGCAATACCATTTCTTACTTGGAATCTGGCAATAGTACCCCAACTGGTCTCCTTGGTTTCCTTTCGGTCTCTGAAAATCTATTCTAGAGACAATAGCAAGAGTGATCCTTTGACATGAATCAGGTCACATCATCACAGCTGTTCCCAGTTCTTATGAGGCTTCACATTTTACCTAGTCATGTCACTTTTCTTCACTCATTCAAAGCAAGGGTGACTGTCTCCCTCTGCCATCGCTCCTCTGATTTAATCTTTATGCCATTTTATCATATTATTTACTTTGTTCCAGTTCTTCCTCTCTACTTTTGCTTCTCTGAACAAACAAAACAGATTCTAGCTTTTGAGTATTTGGACTTACTCTTCACATAGCTTGAGCAATCCTTATGTAGATATTTGCATGGCTTGATCTGTCATTTTATTTCAGTCTCTGCTTACATATCAGCTAATCAGAGAGGTCTTGTTTAATTATTTTAACTCAAATAAAACCATAAGAACTTGCTACACCTTACCTTGCCTCATTTCGTTTATCTTAACATTTATCATACAATTGCTGAATGAATAAATTATGGCTGTCACCAATATGTTCCCTGCGGAAAATGTTATATCAGTCATCTCATATTCGTATTTCCTTACATATTAGTGCTTTAAAATATGGCATTGATTTACAGAAATAATTTAGTCACTTCCCTCAGAGATTTATCAGACTTTTTCCAAAACTACTGTAGTTTTTCATATTTTCATAGATATTTTATATCTAAACACATTGTCAGAGTGCTGGAAATATTTTCTGTCCTTCCCTGGTTCCTTCGTTTTTCTTTCTCTTTCTTTCACTCTTTCTTTCTGAGACTATTTTAAAATACATCCAGAAATTCTTCAATATTTCCATTTTCATATGTGGGAATGTAATCTGCCTTTCCCTAAGTGTGAACTGGTCTTAATAACTTGCTTCTAATAGATAGAAGAATAAAGCAGAAATAGCATGCATTTTTACTTGAAATCACTCCGGTTATATATATTTGTGTGTGTGTGTGTCCATGTACATGTACACATTACTCTATGTATACAAACACTTTTACAAATTTTAATACTGTAATATTTTTGATAGTGTCCTTTTAGTTTTTAAAACATTAAACAATATTTTAACTTATGAAAGAATTTTTATTATTTAATATGTATACAGACTTCTAATTCTTTTAGATTATCATAAAACTATAGAAATATTTTAATAAAAATTAGTTTGATATATTATGACTTATATGAGAGTTTGTAAATGTTTTCAGTCGTGTTTAATGATTATTTCTATTTCAACTCCTATAAATGCCTTTTAATGCAGTCTAACTTCTTTTAAAGTAGACATTATTTTACATAGGGAAGTTTTAATATGTCAGGCTCTCTATGCACTTTTACTGATGTATGACCTTTCATTATACATTACTACTTTATTATATATGCTTTATATGCTTATACATTAAAATTTGGATATTTTAAAGTAATAATAGTGCAAATCCTTAATGATTTCCTATGGTCTCCAATATATTAACATTTTTAGAGTATTGGTTGTTTAAAAATAATTTTTGAAATATTACATTTACTAAGGAAAATCTGGTAAGAAAAATTCGCCAATCATATTTGATTTATTTTCAAATACTGAGCACTCCCATGTGACTAGAAACCAGAAAAAAGGGAAAACATTATAGAAGAAATAGCCTTTAAATAATATATTAAGTGCATTAAATAATTAAATGAAAATGTTAAATTAAAAATAAGAGATAATCATAATGATGTTTATGAAATTTTACATAAAGGAGGAATTTATTCATTTCAAGAAAATGGGTAAAATCAAAATTATTTTGATTTAAATATATATATATAGTCACATAAGCACACAGAAATTAAACTTCTGCATATAAATATAAGCCAAAGTATCAAATGCAAGGTAAATATTCAGGACAGATTTTAGTGCACAAAAAACAGAAGAAAGCTGTTGCCCTTAATACATAAATTAGTTACAAAATGTAGAAGTACCACTCTAAAATCCAGTAGATAAATAGACAATAGGCTAATGAAGAAATGCAAGTGGGAGAGAAAGCAGGTGAAATATGTACTCATCCTCTAAATTCAGAAAAAAATTAAAATTCTATAACATTTTGTACTTCCCATTTAGCTAATATTTAAAAAATAATTATAACCCCTCCTGTTCTGAAAGAACAGTCAATCGAGTACATGCTTATGTAATAGTTGATCTTTCAAATTGGAATATTGTTTCTGGAAAGCAATTTGAAAAGTACATATTAAAACCATCTAAATATTTATGGTGTCTGTCTTCACAAACAAATTACTGATGAATTTTATAATCATTCATCATGGCTATAATCTACTATCTTATAAAGTAGAAAATTTGTCAGCATAAAAAATCCCATCAAAAAATATTTATGATTTATTTAATGAATGTGTCTATCTATCTAATTGCACCATGATTTATAGTATAAATTTAACAAATATAATAGGCCCAATAACAGATGATATATAATGACCTGAATGGTTAAAAAAAGAATCTCAAAAATAATTCCATGTGCAATGATAATAAAAACTCTTATGGGAGAAAGAGGTGAAAACAAGTAAAAAGACAATTGCATTAAGGTTGAAATTGTTGCAGCTAGTTGTTAACACAGATGTCATGGGAAATGAAGAGCACCTACTATAGACTGGTTGGAAGAGAGTTGAGGACAACTTGTCTAGAGGAAAAATCATATAAACAAAATAGAAAAGAACAAAGAGAAATGCCCAGGCAAGGCCGGAAGTGGGTGAGGAGAGTGTGTTAGGAAGAGGGAACAGGCTGCAGAAAGGTCCAGGGATTCGAGAAAATCATTTGAGAAATAAAATATTCAAGTGCATTTATATAGATTTTAAACTGGTAGGGTGAGAGCTGGAATCTAAAATATTGAGGCATGTGTGGTGGGATAAAGGGGCAAAGAAGGAGGAAAATGTAGCTGATGGTGGGATATGATGCTGGAGAGGTAAGGGTGGGCTAGAACATGAGACACTGGAAGATTTACAGGATAAGCAGACACTAGTTTGTATGAGTAGAGATTTAAACTTTAAGAATGAAATTAAGGAGGAAAGTGACATCAGATTTGTTTTGTTTAGAGAGGACTTAGATTACTATATGAAGGATAGATTAAATGGAGATTAGACAAAAAACAGAAAATATATTAGTATCCTGTCACATAGCCCAGGGCAAAGAAGATAGTCTTGGGGACTGGAAAAAGAGCAGGGCAGACATAAGATTCCAGAGATATTTAAGAAGTAGACCTGACTGAGCTTTGAATGTAGTATGAACAGAGAGAGAGAGATCAAATAGTCAGTGTGGAAGCCTTGGGTTATGGCACAAAGACTAAAAACAGGAAAGGAAAAATGACTGGGGTAAAACAACAATAGCTTTTTTTCTGTATTGCTAATGTTAATGTGTCTCTGAGCTGTCTAAGCACTTATGCCTAATAATCAGCTGACAAAGAAAAAGAAAAGAAGATGTCTAAACCAAGGAGAGAGACCTGAATGAAAGATGAATTTTCAGGGAATGAGAAGCAATTTCTCAAGAGTTGAGACGTAGATAAACGTAGATGAAAGACTGGTTACATAATTTAAATTGAGAAAAGGGGGAGATAAAGAAAGCTGGAAATGGAAATGATCAAAAGTTATTTGAGATCTAAGAGAAGACAAGTAAGAATTAGTGATGTAAATTATAAATCAGGAGGCTGATACATAGAAAAACATAACCCAGCACACATTGATACTGGATGGAATAGCATAAGTCACAAAGGGAATGACATTAACGACATTAAGAATGACATCCAAAAATATACTGAATGACTAAATAGATTAGTGCCTATGTACCATGTGGGCAGAAGTAAAAGAAATACATAATACATCGATTATGTAATACATATCATAATATGTATTATGTTTTATAATACATAGATTATAAAAACTACATTTGAAAGCTCATGTGGGAAAAGAAACATAATGCATACTTGATAATAATCTGAATATTACATATACATTAGGGAATCATAATTTTAATAATTGATTAAAGTAATCTAAATTTAAAATGCTATGAAATATGTGCAATCCAAAATTGTCCTTTAAAATTACATAAATACGAAACTATATTGGTAGGTGAAGTTTTTCTTGCTAGAAGCCATAGAAGTACAGATTATGATGGCTATTTTCAGACATGTGTAGTTATGTTAGTGGTTCCATAGAGAAGTTTTTGTCCCTAGTTATTAAGTTCCCTGCTAATTGAATTAGCCACTGGCCTAAAGAAAGAAATATTTTCCTCTTTCCTCTCTTAATCTTCTTCATACTCTTGGATAATGTTCTTATGTGTCATTTTGGAGTTGCCTATGCAGATAAAAAGATAGGCAAAACACAACGTCTTTTTATCTTAAGCAAAACTCTCTGGCCCAGTTCTAGAAGACAGAAATAGAAATGAGGTTGTTGACTACAGACTTCTGTTGGGCAAACACTATCACTTGCTTTAAACATACCAGTGCCCAGAATTGAGCCAAACAGATGGGGAAAGTATAAAATAAAGCTGTGTGAGCTCTGTTGAGGAAAAAAGCAAAAAGGAATATATGTATATATATAAATTTTACTTTTTGTTTCCTTTTTATACAAATTGATCCCTGGGAAAGGTTGTCTCACAAAATTTATTGTTCATATAAACAGTGACAGAGAAAATGGGAAAGAATACTCTAAGATTTTATAAAATATTTTAAATGGCGTTATACCCTTCAAACAGGAAATTAACAGACTTCCAGACTAAATTATATGGATATTAGTAGTCCCCTAGAAAGTATATTCGATTGGAAACCCTCTCATGTAAGTTTCACTAGATTTTTAAAGATATTTTTTCTAACTTGTTTATAAAAATAGACAATAGTTCTGATTATGTGGGAATAAGAATGTTTTTAGTTTATTCCACTTTAATACATTCTATTTTATCTTATTTGCCATTTTATTGTAATTTATAATGACATTTCATAATACTAAGTTTAGCGTTATGAAATGCCATTCATAAGACTAAAACTAATGTAATTTACCAAGATGGTTTCAAGCAGGAAAACAAAATCTCCAGAAATATCTGGTTCCAAAGCACTTTTTAAAATATTTACCTATGCAGTAAGTAAGTCACATATATTATGACATAAGCAGCGGTGTGCTTCAAGAAGAATATATTATCAGAATTTAAATTTAAAACATACATTCAATACATCTTCCTACTGAAGTTCAAATGTATTGGTTACCATGCAAATTAAAGTTGTATTTTCTCCACTTAGCTTGATGGTGTAATTTACACATTTTAAACAGACAGTCTCAATGAAACTACTTTAGCCTGCAATCAATGTTCTCATGGAGTTATAAAACCTAGACAAAAATCATATGGAAATCTTACCAGTTAATTAGTTAGTTGCTAATCTGGACCAAAGAAAAATAGCACATCTTCAAAAGGCTAATAAAATATAATATCTAGTATTTAAACAAAATGAACATTGGCAAATCTCTGAGAGAAGTCAATACCATTTTCCTTTTTTTTTTTTTTTTTTTTTTTGAGAGAAAGTATCACTCTTTCACCCAGACTGGAGTTGCAGTGGCACTGTCTTGGTTCACTGCAGCCTCCATCTCCCGGGTTCAAGCAATTTTGCTGCCTTAGCCTCTGGAGTAGCTGGGATTACCGGTGCCTGCCAGGATGCCTGGCTAAGTTTTGAATTTTTAGTAAAGACGGGGTTTCACTGTGTTATCCAGGCTGGTCTCGAAGTCCTGACCTCAAATGATCTGCCCGCCTCAGTCTCCCAAAATGCTGGGATTACAGGCATGAGCCACTGCACCAGGCCAATACCATTTTCCAAATACATGTTGTTATCTATTATTTGGTATAAGGAGTTTGGTGGTGTGGCATCTTTTAGTTCAGAAACCTTTAACATTTCACTCCTTAATTTAATGACACCAAAAACTGTGTCGTCCTGTACTTTATTTTTCTCTCACACCCTATTTCCAAGCCACCAAATATTATCAAAAATCCTTCCACCTCATAATCTCCACTGCTACTCTAATGCTGTTGTCCTGGCCAAGCCTTTTAAGCTAGTCAATTTGCTCTTATTCTTATACTACTACAAACCATTTTCAATACAATGTCCAGAATGATTTATGTATCAATTAAAAAAAAACTGTTATAAAACCATAAGACAGGCCAACTCTCTGCTCAAAATCCTCCAAAGCCTTCATACTTCACTCCAAGTAAAAGCCAAGACCCTCACGGTGATCTACAGGATTTCCTCACAGTTGGACATGCAACTTCCTTTCTGACTTCCTCTCCCACTATTCCCTCCCTTAATCACCAATTAACCTATATCACTTCCTTGATGTACCTAAAATATTCCATATATGTCCCAGTCACAAATCTCTTGCTTTGGATGCCCCCTCTGTCTGAGAAGAACTTTTCTCAGATATCCACATAGCTAGTGCCTTCTCCTCTTTCAAGTCTTTGGACAAATAGAATTCTCTTTGAGTCCACATCTTCACCAACCTATTTAAAATTATGACCTGCCCCACCCCCTCACAGACTGATATATCTCATAAAATTTATCCTGCTCCATTTATTCCTCATCAGTGACACTCATAACCTTATAGTTTACTATGCAATTTATTGTCCGTTATGCTGTTTATGTAAGCTCCACAAGGCAAGAATTTTTAAATTCTGTTTTGTTCAGTGATGCATCCCAAGTACCCACAACAGTAATTGTAATGTGGTAGACACCAAAGAGTATCTGGTGGTGAACAAATGAAAGAATGATAACCTGGCATCTGTATCTTGATGACTTGCTGAAAAAATAGATATCTTGGTGACTTTTGATAACATAGAGCAAACCAGATGGTCCAAAGATTCATTAGCTGTGACAAGGCATTTTGTAATACATCTTGTTAGACTGAAGTATGAATTGATGCTTGCACTACAGCATTTTGATGGGGACAGACTGTATTCTAGAAGTCAAATAATTTGTACCCTTACAACAATATATATTTTATTTAGTATTTTCCATTAGTAATTTGTAAACTCCTTATTCAGTAATAAATTTAGCAACAGTGAGCAAAACATAAAAAATATTTTAAATATTTTACATGTCTGTAGTCATGACATAACTCCTAGAATTTGGATAATAATGTAATCATGTGGGAAAAAAAGTAAACTAAAATCATATTGTAATGTAGTTAAATAAAATGTCCTTCATATGATGTGATACCAAGAAGCCACATGCACATACACACACACACAAATTGTAGCTGCATTTGGGAACCATAAAATATCTGAACAAATGATCGCGAAAATAAGTGAAATATCTGAATTGCATCATTTAAGTGATTTGAGGCTGTTTGACTACTATAGTAGTCAATATAAAGTGGAATATTTGAAGATTTTTCTTTGGAAAACCAAATGAGCTTTAACAGCATATATTTTCTGATACTTTGTAGTTTCAAAGTACTCAATGAAAAAATAAGCTGTATGTTTGAGATTTTTGATATGTAGGAAGCAGGAAGGTACAGAGAGTTTTAAAATTGTTCGGCAAAGGGAAATAATTTGATGACTTCTCACCTTAGCTAACTGAAATTGAAAACAAAAATCCACATTTTTTATTGTAAATTGACAATTTATAACTGTATACGTTTATGGGGTACAAAATCATATTATAATTTATGACTACACAGTGGAATTAAATCAAGCTAGTTAACATACCCACCACCACAAATCAATGCTTTCAAGCACATTAAGAACAGGTACTTATTCCTGATTTTTCTAATTATTGTTTATTTGCTTTTGCAAATAGAATTGATAGTAACAGCAACGAAATCATTAAGAACAGAAACAATAAAAATACTTATCAGATGTTTACTATGTGCCAGTCACTGTACATCTGCTGGTTTTCCCTGACATTTTGAGATAATGTTAAAGTTGACTTCTGAAATTAAAATGCCTTTAAGTTATAACTGTTATGAAAAGAAAATATCATAAAATAGTATTATTTGAGGATTTTCCTTTGCATGTATTATAGATAATATTCATAATCTTTGGAACTTACATGTGAGAAAATCTTTGCCATCTATGTATATTTGTAATGTGACAACTTCAATCTGGCCACTGATAAATGTCACCTACATAATCCAAACTATATAAGAGCAACTTGCATTAACAATTACTAAACTACTGGCTTGTGAAGGTGTCTGAAGTTTAGTTACATATTAAATGTCATTTTGGGACACTTTGATCCTAAAACAATTATGATCAAATGTCAAGATTTAGAGATGATGATAGTGGCAGGAAACAGCAAAATCCTAGGAAGACAAGGGCAAGTTCCCGATGAAACCTGACTTTCAAGCTAAGGACAGTTTAAATAAAGCCTAGCTACAATTCCCAGGTAAATCCATGGACCAGATTGAGAACCCATCTTCCCATTTAGTGTGCTTTCCTCTGATTGATCCCCACCCTTCATCTATTTTACATGCACCTACCCTTTCCTAATTGGTTTTTTACACTGTCATGCCCACTTTCGAGTGGTGTCTTTGTTTTATCCTTTTTTGCATGCTCATAAACCAATCAGCAAGCACTCCCAATTCTGAGCCCACAGAAGCCCGGGACCCAGCCACACTGCAAGAGAGACCATCCGACTTTGAGTAAGGAACCGCCCTCACATGCCCTCTCTGCTGAGAGCTGTTCATCGCTCTATACAATTCTTCTTGCTCTCCTCACCCTTTGATTGTCTGCATAACCTCATTCTTTATGGACATGGGACAAGAACTCGGGATCCACTGGATGTGGGTACAAACAAGGCTGTAACACTGTGGCCCTCTGCCCTCTGCCTGCAGAAGGCAGCCACCCCAAGCAACGGGAAGCAGTGGCGGGGCTAAGCCAGCCTCAGAGCCATGGGCTGGAGTGGAGCAAAGGGCAGAGCTCTTAATGTGCCTCGGTCCGTGGGGCTGCAGACAGTGGGACTAAAAGACCTAATTAGCAGGCTGTAACACCTACCCCGGGGCTTTGGGGTTGCGGGGACCCCTGCCGTAAGACCTACGTGGAGCCAGCTCCTGTGTCTGCACTTGGAATGGCCGGCTGGACCCCGCACTCTCTTGCTTACACACTTACTCCTGCTTGGAGCTGGGCACACAGTTGGGGTAGCTGTGGGAATCGCCCTGGAGCGCAGGCCAGGTGCAGTCTGGTAGGCTGAGTGGACGGGGTATCTCTTGTGGCAAATTCGAGCCCTGGCAAGGCTTGGGCAGGGTCGTCACCAGCTGGAGATTTCCGGCTGGCAAAGTGACCCAGAAAAATCCTGTGTCAAAGAAAGAGTTCTAATGACATAATGACATATTAACTCCGTCATTAATGGTTTTCACTAGGCCTCAATTATGCTGGATTATTGGAATTTTATTATAGATAGATGATTCTAAAAGCACATGTTAATTAATTTCGCAATAAGAAAAGTCAAATGTCTATTGAAATCCAGCAAGCAAATAAATATCAAACTACTGTCCAATGTAGGTATCCTGAACCAGAAAATGTTTAATAGGTCCTTCAGGAAGTAAATAGGACTATTCTTATACTGAACGAGGCACTTTTGTTGTCCAGGCTCAATATTCTTAATTGACTTTTGATGTAGATGGAAGTAATCTACAAGTGGGCTTATCAGTGATTTCAAAGTACTTACATTGACAAGTCCCAATTTTCAAAGTGATTCAAAGACCTTACTTCTTAAGAGTTTACCTCTTATAAAATAAGATAGACACCAGAAGGAGAAACAAATATCTTAGGCTTTTTACTGGAGAAAAAAAATTAATTCATTTAACTACTTTCGGATTACATGACCTAACAACATAGGTTAACTTGCTTGAAGTGACTGACAGAGAAGCTAGCCTAGACATCAGTTATTAAACCACTTAGAAATACGTAAGTAACACTTTTTCAGTGTTTTACATTTATTTAGCTGCTGTAGAGACTGCATCAAATATTTTTCTCAAAAAAATTTATATCTAAGAAATAAACTCTTAAAATACATACTTTAAAATTGGCTTGCAATCAAACTAATATGTCTATGCGATTATAATGTGCATATACAGTATAGTATAGAATAAGGGTGAGAGCATAGACTCTGAAGCCAGACTGCCTAATTAGAGTTTGATGCCTAATTTCCCTCTAGAATTCTGGGTGATATTGTCCAATGTATGCAATTTTTCTTTCCCTCAGTATACTTACCTATAAAATTTGGGAAAATAATAGTAGCTTTCTACCCTACAAGACTGCCATGAAGATTAGATAAATACTGTAAAATGTTTCCTATAGAACATGGCATGTAGTATGAGAAATACAAGTTTTAGCAAATGCATATAATATGTGATATATAATAGAAAACAAACATGTGATATGTAATGTGTGATGTATGTTATTATATATGTAATATATACAACAAAACTTTGTAAAATATGTACATTTAACATACATGCCATGTACATTTACATAGTTACAATGGGGAAAACTGAAAAACAATAAACATAGAAGTGTAAAACATTTTTTAATATTACAGAGTTTAATACTGAATTGAAACAACATAAAATGCAGGATCATAATATATAATATAGCATTAAATAAGTTCATTTTTGTAACCATATTTAATATCCTCAACTGAATTAAATGTATGAAAGTTTGTGTTCAATATGTATGTCATGATGTTAAATTCATTTTTGATTGCTTATGGTTAATCAAACACTAACAGATATAATTGCTTTGATGAAATAAAATAATAAAAGACAATTTTTAAGGAGTTTCTGACATACATTTATATGATATGTAAACTGTGTAAGATCGCCCTTTGTAAGCCCCATTGTCTCTCAATTATTCTTTTCATTCCTTACTTTGTGCTTGCTAAGAGAGAGCCCAAAAGACTCAGAAAGGAAGGAAGGAAGAAAGTTGATCTACTCTCATGACAAACAAAAACGAAAAACCTTTAGAGAAGCTGTCGCTTGATATAACTCCCGACAATGACTTTCTCTAAACTCATAGCCTCCCTCTACTTCCAAAAGTTACCACTTCAGCATATATTGATTAACACAATGAATACTCTTTAATGTAGTTAAATGGTGTTACATTTTTATGAAATGGATTTATTTGGTTTTAGCAAATATTCTAGCTTTAAAAAATCAGAAATGTATGCTTGATAGCTATAGCATTAGCAAACATTGATTGTACCATTAGTGTGCACTCGCTCAATAGAATTTTCTCCTGCCATCTAATAAAATTTACTAATACAATTTGAAAGAGTGGAAGTATTGTTGAGTGAAAAAGAAGTTTAAGATAATTTGTAACGGAGGCTATATTAGAAATTGTTTACTAATATCCAATTTAAAGTTATCTGCAGGAGAACAAAGATATTTGAGGGGAAAGGATATAAAAAGATTGAAAAAGCAGGAGAGAGAGAGAGTGGGGGAGAGATAGACAGAGAGAAAGAGATAACAGACACAGAACAAGACAAAGGGAAAATGTCAAAAACTAATCTGTTTATTTACAAGTTTTTAAAGGGTAACTTCTGTATTCTAAAACAAAAAAAGCCCTTCATTTGTGTGTCTGTCATTGATTTAAAACCAAAAGTAGTATCATTCATTCTATAATGCTAGTGCATTGAATTAAGTAATATATTACAAGCAGCTTGTCTGGAACACTTGATGATATTAACTAGTATACCATTGTTTCTGTTAAGAAAATGAACTTTAGTTTTAAACAGCCGGGCGTGGTGGCTCACGCCTGTAATCCTAGCACTTTGGGAGGCCGAGGCAGGTGGATCACCCGGTCAAGAGATCTACATAATCCTAGCCAACATAGTGAAACCTCATCTCCACTAATACAAAAATTAGCTGTGCGTATTGGTGCATGCCTGTAGTTCCAGCTACTCGGGAGACTGAGTCAGGAGAATCACTTGAACCTGGGAGGCGGAGCTTGCAGTGAGCCATGATCGTGCTACTGCACTCCAGCCTGGTGACAGAGCGAGACTCCATCTCAAAAACAAACAAACAAGAAATAATAAAAACATAGTTCTAAAAACAATCTGTTCCTAGGTTACAGGAACTCTTTATGTAAAAGTGTCACCATTTGTTTTCCCATGGAAGACAGCCTAAAATACTACAGATTATTTAAAGCTTTTGATTTTTCTTTGCCAACAAGAAGCTTTGAAAATTAGTTTTCAGCGAGAATTTTTTATAGTTTTTAATGTTTTAAGTTACTTCTGCTTATCTGTACAGTAAACAAGGAAATAAAGCATAAAACAAAGTAACAGAATCAAAATTTGATGGGGCACTCCCATGCTGAATATCAGCTTTAGGATCCAATAAAAGAATATTATCTCTGACACTTGATTTCTTTTGCCTTATGCAGGATTTGACTCAGCATATGACATATCCCAAAACCCTCAGTGACGAATTCTTACTCAAGGGAGAAAGAAAAACTTGCCTCAAGCATAAGTTGTATACTGGATTTTGCTCTGGAGACATTATCATTTGAGATATTTGTATCTCACCAAAATACAAATTGTAGGATAGATTTTTTTTCTCTTCATTCACAAAACTCATTAAGTAAGTTTCAGACAACTTAGGTGAAAGATATCTAAACCATAAAGACAGATTTCTTTCATTAAGTTACTCATGAATTTATTCAACCATGCCATATACATTGATTACACACCGCATTGCATTAAATATTAGGATGTAAAGGAGAATGAGATCTATTCTCAAGAGTTCACAATTCACTTGATAAGACAAAACTGAAAAGAAAAACAGATTAAAACATGCTATGGAATATGAAATAATATCACTTACGCTGGCACAGTGGCTCACCCTTTTAATCCCAGCACTTTGGAAAGCCAAGGTGAGAGGAGTGCCTGAGTCCAGGAGTTGAGACCAGACTGGGCAAAATAGTGAGATCCTTATCACTACAAAAAACTAAAAATATTATGTGGGTGTGGTGGAGCACACCTGTAGCTCCAGCTATTTGGGAGGCTGAAGTGGAAGGATCACTTAAGCTGGAGAAGTTGAGGCTGCAGTGAGCCATGATTGTACCACTGCACTCCAGCCTGGGCGACAGAGCAAGACCCTGCCTCAAAAACAAATAACTAATGTCCTAATAAATAAACAAATAAATCACCTGTTTAAATTTAAAAAGGTAGATCCCAGAAGGGATGCATAGTACTGTTAGAATTTTCAAGCAGAGTTTCATAAAGCACTGGGTCATTTATGAAATGGACATGCCCCACTAGACACTACAAATATAACTTAACTGTGTGCCATGTTAATCAGTCTATGAAAATCTATTAAAACACATGTGAAACAGCTAATTTCAAGAAAAAAAAATGTGGCGTGGGCGATATTAAAGGTAGAAATAAGTCATTCCTCTTGAACCAGATTGAGACAGAAGATTAAAGTTGTATAAGTGATCCAAACTTCTATGAAAACAATTTAGTAAAAATAATAATTTTGTGCTGGGTGCGGTGGCTCCCGCCTGTAATCCCAGCACTTTGTGAGGCCAAGGCAGTTGGATCACGAGGTCGGGAGATCGAGACCATCCTGGCTAACATGGTGAAACCCCATCTCTGCTAAAAATGCAAAAATTAGCCAAGCATGATGGCTTGCAACTGTAGTCCCAGCTACTCGGGAGGCTGAGGCAGGAGAATTGCTTGAACCCGGGACGCAGAGGTTACAGTGAGCCGAGATCACACCACTGCACTCCAGCCTGGACAACAGAGTAAGACTCCATCTCAATAATAATAATAATAATAATAATAATAATAATAATAATAATAAATAATACTTTTGTATGTAATAGAAGAGTTTTGACTCCTAAACTAAACGGCAAATTAGGATTTCCTGTTGCATGACCATATTCTGAAACAGTCATTTGACTATGTAAGCACTCAAACTGTCCCATCTGTGAAAATAAACGGATCTCAATGTGTTATATATGTTATTTTATATTTTACCTGTTAAATTATTCAGGTAATCAATGTAGAGTAACTTAAATTTGTTGACTGCTATTTAATTTTCATAATCAGTATATTATTGATAAAATAAATGTAATGTTCAAAGTATCAGACACGAGTGTTGATTGATGGCTGGTGTGCCTAATTTCTATTAAAATTTAGGATATGGGCTAGAGCAGAAAGATGATGGCAAATGAAAAGTGAGTGTTAAAGGTAGAGGAACTCTAATGCTAATATTTATTAAAAGTAAAGGGTTATTTTTCTCCACAATCTCACCAGCACCTGTTACTTCTTCAAAGACCTAGAGGCAGAAATACCACTTGACCCAGCAATCACATTACAAAGTATATACCCAAAGGAATATAAATCATTCTATTGTAAAGACACATGCACAAGTATGTTCATTGTATTAATAGCAGTATTCACAATAGCAAAGACATGGAATCAACCTAATTGCCCCTCAATGATAGACTAGATAAAGGAAATGTGGTGCATATACACCTTGGAATACTATGCAGCCATTAAAAAGAACAAGATCATGTCTTTTGAAGGGGCATGGATGGAGCTGGTGGTGATTATCTTTAGCAAACTAACATAGGAACAGAAAACTAAATGCCACGTGTTATCACTTATAAGTGGGAGCTAAATGATGAGAACACATGGACACATAGAGGGGAACAACACACACTGGGGCCTTTCACAGAGTGGAGGGTAGGCAGAAGAAGAGGATCAGGAAAAATAACTAGTGAGTCATGAAATGATCTGCACAACAAATCTCCATGGCACAAGTTTACCTATGTAACCAACATGGACTTGTTCCCCTCAACTTAAAATAAAAGTTAAAAAAAAAAGAGTTCTAATGAGAACACATGGACACAGAGAGGGGAACAACACACAACGGGGCCAGTCAGGGGGTTGGGGACAAGGGGAGGGAGAGCTTAAAGACATATATCTAATGCATGCAGGGTTTAAAACCTAGATAACGGGGTTGATAGTGCAGCAAACCACGATGGCACACGTATACCTATGTAACAAACCTGCATGTTCTGCACATGTATCCTGGAACTTAAAGTAAAATAAAAATTAAAATAAAATAAAATCAAGTCAAAAAATAGAAAAAAAAGAACCTTTAGAGAGCAAACTTTGGATAAAAAGTTATTACTTTTGTATTGTTATTAATTTAAGCATGTTTGTTGGCAAGAACTGAAACATTTCAACATGATTTACATTCCTTGAAAAGCCTATCCCATTTAATGATATGAATATAATTTTGTTAAGGCATGTAGTAAAAAAAAAACCTACAAAAAATAGACATTTACCTGTAAAATAAATAGGACTTTGGTTATGAATTGTTTTAATCTACATGTAATAATAGGTGTATTATTATTATGAAAATCTAAACAATCCTTATGATTCTACATTCATTTGCTAGCTCTCACCCAATAATGATCGTGTGGCTAGTTATAATCATTGGTCTGGTATGTCAATTCTCCCAGGTAGAAATAAAGGCCGCTAGTCACTGCAGAGCTATGTACTGTTACAAACAAGTTTTCCCTGATCCTTAAGATTATTATTTACCCAGCAGTCATACTCATGATCTACGTTTTGTTGCAAAAATAGTTTTCCTTGTTCTTGAAGGAAATTCTTTACCCAGGAGCCACACACTTGGAAGATCAAGTACCAACACATTTCGCAAAAAAATGATGAGTAAATATACTTGCGGATACACTTCAGGAGGAATTCTGGATTGAGGTCAACTATGAGCAAGAAGCTATTGTTATTAATATCTCTAAAGAGAATACTGTTAGGGAGGAAAAATTATTCTGGAGAGAGAAAGCATATGGAGATAGATGGAATACTCGTGTACACACCTGAGTATCTTGGACTAACATTGATTTGGCTTCTAGAAGAAAATACATTTTAAGGTCCTGCTCTACTTTTCTATAAATGTTCATTCATTGTTAGTTATCAGAATTGTATTATAACACCTAGAAGTTAATTTACTGTAGCCAATTCATAATAATAAACTTTAAAAAAATAACCTATTTATCTTGAGTAAGTTCAGTGAAGACAGGGTTTGATTTTACCCACCCATATTGCTGCAGGGTCTTATACCATACTTGTCACAAAATGAATGAATCAAACTATCAAATAAACAATTTTTCAAGTGTAGATCTATGTAAAATCAAATGAGGAATTTACACTAATGATTCTGTAGAAACTTATTTTAGTCCATACATTACTTAATGAAACATAAAATGATATGGAAAAAGTAGAGACTGGATTAAGTAAAACAAACAAAAAAATCTAATTGAAATAGCTTTGCATTTGCAAAAATATTTTCACCCATCGGTTCAAAAGGTTCATTGAGTTATATGTAATTTGCTGAAGTAACAGCATCAAATGCCTAATAATATTCACAAATTATACTTAGATGTATTTGAGATGTATTTGACAAAATCATTATACATATGTGCGTGTGTGTGTGTATGTGTGTATATATTCCTCTTGTTGTATAAATAACATTCTATGGCATTTAATTTCAAGATACACTCCTTTATATTTATTTAGTTGTGGAACATTGGGTAAAAATTTATTGACATACTAACATTTTCCAAGATTAAGATCTTAAATCTGTAAAATAAGGAGTAAATTGTCTATGCCATAGAAGTTTTGTGATTATTTAAATAAGCTATAAATTAGCATAAGAAGCATGCTTTTTCTTAACTCTACCTTTTTTGGTCAAGAATGTCCATCATATATTGTACTGTAAGCTATCTGTGGGCAGTAATTATTTTGAGTGTGTTTGACAAAGTGACAAAGTACACTGCCTTTTTATCGTCAACATTAAATTTATTCTCTGTGTTAACACCTACCCTATATTTCATTTTATTAAATTATTTCTTTTTTAAATTGACAAATATTTGTATGCATTGATGCTGTACAACATAGCGTTTTAAATATGCGTATATTACATATAGAGGCATAACACTGTGGAATGACCAAATAAAGCTAATAACATATTCATTACCCCACTTACTTATTTCTTTGTCATGAAAATACAGTTTCCTCTAAGCAATTTTTAAGCATGCAATACATTGCTTTTAACTACAGTCAACATGTTGTATGATCTCTCAGATTTATTTCTTGTAACTAACCGAAACTGTATACATCCTTTTACCAGTGTTATTCTAATCCTCCTCCTCTATCTACCAGCCCCTGGTAACCACCATTCTACTCTTTTCTCTATGACTGTAACTTTTTTACCTCCCACATATAAATGAGATCGTTCAGTATTCATCTTACTGTGCCTGCCTATTTTCGTTTAACATAATGTCCTCTAAATTCACCCATATTGTCACAAATGGCAGGACTCCCTTCCTTCTTAAGGCAGAATAATATTCAATTGGGTTTGTTTGTGTTTCTGTATATATCATATTTTCTTGACTATTATCAGTTGACGGACACTTAGGTTGATTCCATATGGTGGCTATTGTAAATAATGCTCCAATGAACATGAAAAGGAACATATCTCTTTATGTACTGATTTTATTTCTTTTGTATTTATACCCAGTAGTAGGATTGCTGGATCATATGTTAATACTATTTTTAATTTTGTTATGAAGCTCTGCACTCTTTTTTCATAATAGCTGTACTAATGAACATTCCTTATCCTTACCAACACTTGTTATTTTTCATCTTTTAGGTGATAGCTATTATAACAGGTATGAAGTAACATCTTATTGTGGTTTTAATTTGAATTTCCCTGATGAAGAGTGATGTTGAACATTTTTTCCTATACTTTACCGTGTCTATTCAGGTGTTTTGACCGTTTTTTTCACTAGGTTATTTGTTTTCTTCCCAGTTTGTTATTTGAGTTGCCTATATATTTTGGATATTAACCTTCTCAGATGTATGCTTTGGAAATATTTTCTCTCTCTCTGTAGGCTTTCTCTTAGGTGTCGATTTTTGTTGTTGTTGTTGTTGTTGTTGTTTCTGCAGACGCTTTTTAATTTGATGTAACCGCAATTGTCTATTTTTTATTTTGTTTTCATTCCCGAAAACTTTTATGTTCATACCCGAAAAATTATTGCCCAAACCAATTCCACAGAGCTTTTTTCCATAATTACCTCTAGCAGTTTTACAGTTTCACAGCTTACCTTTAAGTGTTTAATGCATTTTTAGTCATTTTTATATGGTATGAAATGAGGAGCTAATTTTATTTTTCTGCATGTGGACATACAGTTTTCCCAACATTACTTATTGAAAAGGCTGTCATTTCCCCATTGTTTATTTTTGGAAGCCATATTAAAAATTAATTGGCTGTAAATTCATGGATTTATTTCTGGGCTCTCTACTCTGTTCTATTAATCTAGTGACTATTTTTATATTAGTGTCATGCTTTTTTGATTACTGTAGCTTTGTAGTAAATTTTGAAATCTTCTATGTGATGCCTCAAGCTTTCTTCCTTTTGTGCTAAATTCTGTTAGGTTTGGGGGTATTTTTTCTGGTTCTAGACAAATTTCAATATTTTTTTATTTTTGTGAAAACTGACATTGAAATTTTGATAGGGATTGCATAAATCTGCTGATCACTTTAAGTATTAGGGACATTTTAACAATATTAATTCTTCCAGTTCATGAACACAAAGTATCTTTCCATTTATTCATGTTTTCTTCAATTTCTTTCATTAATGTTTTATTTTCAGAGTATAGATATCTTTCACCTCCTAGGTTAAATTTATTCCTAAGTATTTTATTTTAGTGGCTATTATAAATGGAATTGTTTTCTTGATTTTTGGATAGTGTATTGTTAGTGTAATAAAGTGCACTTTTGAGTGAGCCTTTGAGTACACACTGAAGAATCTAAACTTGAATTAATCTCAAACTGATTATTTACCATCCAGGAGAATATTCACTAACCATATTTTTAGAAATATCACCATTTATTTTTGAGTGGAGAAGGACCTTCACTACTAAAAATTAATTATTTCTGCTAAAGTCATATGAAATATATACAACAACTTTAGTAATAGCCCTTACTTTAAGTAAATACCAGAAAATATATATTTTATTGGTGGAAATGTAAACATGTCCTAATTTCATCAATTTCTCCAATAGTTCCCAGAGTATCAAAACTGAGGCAGTGAAGATAGGGTGAGAGGTAGCATATTATTACTTGACCTTGGTTGTGGCCTGATTAATACAAAATTTTTTAAAGTCCAGTGACAGTATTTCATAGTTGGCTACCAATGACAACGATATTGAGTTATCAATAACAAGAAAACTAAATATTTCTTGGGGCACATAGATTTGTTTTTATAGTTCCTTTATCCACTGTTTCTTCAACTTACAATGTAGGCTCTTTTCTCTTTGCCTAATAAGGCCTATATCCATCTTTTTCATTTCTGCTAGATTGACTCTTCCAGGACAATTGAGTATCAAAGCAACCTATTATTATAAGCACTCATTGTATCTTCCCCATATGTTCTTCTAGCAGTTGTCACAGATGTTGTCTTAGTCCAGACCATATAAGCAATTATCATAGACTGCTAACTTGAACAACTAACATTTATTTATCACAGTTCTGAAGTTTGGAAAGTACATCATCATGATGCTAGCAGAACCTGCGTCTGGTGAGGACCCACTTCCTGGTTTGTGTGTGGCTGTCTCTTTGTTATATTCTAACATGGTGGACAGCAGAGACAGACAATAAGCTCTCCTGTCTCTTCTTATAAGGGCACTAATGCATTCATGAGGGCTCCACTTTCATGACTAATTACTTCCCATAGGCCACACTTCCTAATAACATTACATCGGGTGTTAGGAGTTCAACATATAAATTTGGTTGGGGGTGGGTAAACATTTCATTCATAATACTCCTTCCTTGACCTCCCAAATGCATATTCTCATATGCAAAATTCTGTTGGGAGCTATTGGCTTTTTTGAAACCTAAGTGGTGGCTTGATGATCTCTGAATCACCTCTTGGGTCCTTATTCCTTTTGTTTAAAGGATAGCACATATTTTTAATCTTTCTTCATTCCTTCTTTTTTCTCCATTTCCTTTATTCCCAGCTACCACTGTTTCTGTCAGTATCCATATCTATTCCTGGCTTCTGTGAAAATGATTAATTAGGTACATGGTTTACAGCCACACTAATCTCATTATCAAAAATTCAGTCCACTAGACCTTCAGCCTCTTCTTCTGAACGATGATTTTTGCATTTTTTTGGTAATATGAGCAGGCAGGAGAATTTAGGAAGAGCAGAGTTACTGAATCTTTTGGCCTTCATCTTTTTCTGTGCTCGATGCTTCCTGCCCTTGAACATCATACTGCAATTCTTCAGCTTTTGGACTCTTCGACCTACACCAATGATTTGCCAGGGGGTCTCGAGCCTTCAGCTACAGACTGAAGGCTGCACTGTCCGCTTCCCTACTTTTGAGGTTTTGGGACTTCGACTGGCTTTCTTGTTCCTCAGCTTGCAGACAGCCTATTGTGGGACTTCACCTTGTGAATATATATATATATATATATATATATATATATATATATATATATATATATGTATATATATAATTTATATATATGTGTATATATATAAATTATATATATGTGTATATATATAAATTATATATACATATATAATTTATATATATGTATATATATAAATTATATATGTATATATAATTTATATATAAAAATTATATATATGTATATATAAATTATATATATAAATTATATATATTATATATATTATATATTATATATATTATATATTATATATTATATATATTATATATTATATATAAGTAATATATATTATATATATTATATATTATATATAAGTAATATATATTATATATATTATATATTATATATAAGTAATATATATTATATAATATATATATAGTGGAGAAGGATCTTCACTAGTAAAAATGAATTATTTCTGCTAAAGTCATATGAAATATATAAAAAAAACTTTAATAATAGCCCTCACTTTAAGTAAACACCAGAAAATATATATTTTAATGGTGGAAACATAAACATGTCCTAATTTCATAAATTTCTCCAACGGTCCTCAGAATATCAAAATTGAGGCAGTGCAGATAGGGTGAGAGGTAGCATATTAGTACTTGAGCTTGGTTGTGGTGCTCTCTCTCTCTCTGTCTCTCTCTCTCTCTATATATATATATATATATACACACACATATATATATACATGTGTATATATATGTGTATATGTGTGTGTGTATATGTGTGTGTGTGTGTATATATATATATATATATATATATATATATATACTTTTAGTTCTGTCCCTCTAGATAACCCTGACTAATACACTAATACAATGAGTGAGCTAGGAATTTTCCAAATCTTTAGGTTCTAGTTCCTTTTGGCTTAACAATGGCATCCTAATTCATTTTCTCTTGCTGAATTTTACTATCAGCGGTCAGGAGGAACCAAGTTTCTCATTCGACACTCTTCTGATAAGTCTCCTCAGCTAATATTCTATTTCATCATTTGCAAGTTCTGTCTTCCAAAAAACATTAGATTATGAACATAATTTAGCCAAGTTTTTGCCACTTTATAACAAGGATCGCCTCTCCATTGTCCAACAGCATATTCCTCCTTTCCATCTGAGACCTTTACCATGAATGGCTTTCACCATCCATATTTCCACCAACATTCTGCTCATGATTACTTATGTATTCTCTAAGAAAATGATTTTCCAAAGAATCACCTAATACTGGTGTGAGGCATCTCACACAGAACAGAGCATTTTCATCTTGTGTTTAAAGCAATTTCTTGGCTTCGGCTCCTCACCACTTTCTATGCCAGTCTCCCATTTACGTCCCTAGTAATGCCTATGCGAAAAAAAAAAAAAAAAGAAGAAAGAAAGAAAAAGAAAAAAGAAAAAGCTGATGGTGAAACCTGCAGGTTTAAGGGTTTAAATCTCAAACTTTGTTAGGAGTAACAGGAGTGTGCTGAGAGGGCAAGCGATAAAACAAATCATACCAAAAAGCCACATTGCTCTCTCCTAAGCCCCAACCCCACTCTACTCCTGTGGCCAGTGGTCCAAACATAAAATAACCAGAGAAGACAAGGAGGTCAAAAGATCAGGGAACTAAGCATTATGTGAATTCACCAGCAAGATGTACAGAATGCTTGTGTTAACATTGTTTTTATGTAACTAGCAGAATAAAACTGATCTATTTTATAAATGAAAAAAAAAAGAAAATGATTTTCTCTTCAACTCTCCTCTTTTCTTACTAAGTCATCACAAGAATCACACAGTTTCTTTATGGCAATATTGGCTTCTTCTAGCATGCATCTGAAAATTCTTTCAGCCTTTAGCCATTACCCAGTTACAAAGATGCTTCCACAATCTTAGTTATTTGTTTCAGCAGAACCCACTTCCAATATTAGCTTACTTCCTAATCTGTGTACACTGCAATAAAAAATTTTCATAGGCTGATGTCTTACACCAAATACATTTATTTACCACAATTCTGGAGACTGGGAAGTCCAAGCTCAAGGTGCTAACAGACCCTGTGTCTGGTGATGCCTGCTTTTTCAGATTGTTAACTTCTTGTTGTATCCTTACATGGCAGAGAGGGCAGACCCAGATAGGAAGTTCTACTGTCTCTTCTCTAAGGGCATTCACCCCATTCTTGAAGCCTCTATCCTCATATTCTAATTACCTCCCAAAGACCCCACCTCCTATCACCATGACATTGGAGTTAGAATGTCAACAGACCAATTGTAGGGAGACACAAGCATTTAGTCCATAACAGATGTAAATTTCTTATGTGTGTAGATATGCCATAGGTGTAATCTATATTTATGTTATGTGTGTGTGTGTTTGAGTCTGTTTCCTTCATAATACTACAAGCTGGAGTATTTGACACGAACGTATTTTTGTTTTAAGTCATCATTATATCCCATCATTTTGCAACAGCATTTCACATAAAGTAGGATCTCAATTATTATTTTTAGTTTTACTTCTTCTGTATGTAAAATATTACAAAATTATACCATCAATACTATTAATGGCAGGTATTTGAAAACTATTTTGTTGATATTGTTTTCTTTATTTTATTCATATAACTTAAAATACAATCAATACTTTAACAGTGCTTTGTCTTCTGTTGTTTTCTTCTTTTGGTTTGTTTTAACTTATCACTTCATCTCCTGACCTGTGACACTTTCTCAAGACTTGAACTCCACTCTTTGTGTTCCTCACTACCTGCAGAGCTCTTGAATTCACTCTTATTTTCAACATTTCTTTTTTGGGGTTTCTGTGGATTTTCTCATCAGTGGCACTTGCCTTCTCAGTTTTATGTTTCTTAAACTGATGCAACACTCCTCAATTCCTCCCTGGGAAAAATTCAGTTTTGACATTTCATTAGTGGTGCTCCATGTAACCTAACATCAAGTTTCTGGTACATCCATAATGTTTCCCTTCCTTTGGAATATTGTTTTCCACCAGAGGTCAGTTGATCCCTCTGGAGACCCATGTGCTAGATATTTCCTTCCTTTTATGGCATTTGTCTTGTCAATTCTTTGCGTCTCAATCACTCCTTTTTTCTTCCTCTTTCACTCTTTATTCACCTTGTTAATGATCACAAAACATCAATGTTTGGAGTTATCATTTATTTAATGTCACCCTTTGTATTATTATGCTCTATTACTTACACAAACTCTATTACTCGATGATCCAGAACTGCAGAAAAAAAAAGATTTAGAAGAAAAAGAGAAACTGTTAAGAACTACTAAATTTAAAGGTACATTAATTTGGCTTGTTGGGGATTACAGAACTGCTGAAGAGAAAGACAGAGGTAGGCAAAGTTAAGAGGGCAAAAGAGGAAAGGGAGAGAAAGGAATCAAAAGATGCAAAAGGGTAAATAAAGAGAAAAGTGTAACCACATAACTAAAATTGTGTTGGATGGAGAGGAAGTGAAAATGACAAAACTAGAATTTCAACGGTTTAATTTATGTCAAAGCCTTACAGTAGCACGGGGCAGATGCTTGGAAGAAGTGGCCCTATGAATAATTTTTCTCTGAAATTTCTTCACTTACTCTGGCTTTCATATCACTTTAAAATTGCCTATAAGTTTATGTTGATTTTCAACTGCCAATCAGCTCTTTACTATTTTCTGTTGCAGGTGTTTTGGTACCATTAATAATTAATTTAAAAATATGTTTTCTGGATGCTAACGGTCCCATTGAGTATGGCATTCTTCACAGAAACCATTTTAGTACAAAAATACATCTTGAAATGCAAAATAACTTGTTAGAGTTTTTCTGTTAAATAATGAAATATTATAAAAGGCTCTTCTAGTAGTCACTCAAAATATATTCATTTGTTTGTTTGAAGAAAGAAGATATGCTAAGGAGCCATTTATAAACTTTACTTAATGTCTCTTCTAAAGCCTTAGATAGAATTGATAAACAAATGTAAAAAAAAAAAGACATCTGGAAATAGATCTTTACAACTTCAATGCCTCACTGTTCTGGGAGTTTGGGACTCCTGCTATCAAATTATAGAACATTCCCAGAAGGCTCAGCAGGATCTGATGTTCACATCAGTTACGGTAATGCACAAAACCAAAAGTTTATCATGAGGTCTTGAATGACAAAAGTCTTCTGAGTTTAATTTCCACTGGAGCCATTAAAACAGCTGATGGCTTCACCTTGCAGAGCTATGATGTGAACAATAATTTCATCATTAAAATCATAATTCCTCATGGGCATCAGCATGATTCAGGTCATATCCAATGTGGTTTGAAAAGGAATGGTAGTGCAAACTCTGCATTTCTTAATATTTATTTCCCTGAATTAAAGGAAAAGAAAAAAATCGATGAAATCCTTGTAGTGACCTTAGTGACCTTATAAGGTTTTTTGTCAAGACCCAGGCTGAGTTCTGTTGTATGTTTTGTGTGGTAATGTTCTATCCTGTGTTTTGTGTGGTAATGTTCAGGCATTTAGTTAGTATGCTAGTCTAGTTCCTAATGACCTTCTGAGTATAGCAAGCATCCTGTTCTGAAACCCGTATCATAAATCTTGTTATTAAGTCTCTCCAAGAAATTATTGAGGAATCAGGCTGCTCATTATACAATTGGGCAACAATTATACTTAGAGTTCTATTGTTCTGTTCTTGATAATTTTGTTTGGTCTTTCTTTTTGCTTTGTTTTTTGAGGTGGAGTCTTGTGCTTGTTGCTCAGCCTGGAGTGCAGTGGTGCGACTTTGGCTCACTGAACCCCCACCTCCCAAGTTCAAGTGATTCTCCTGCCTCAGCCTCCCGAGTAGCTGGGACTACAGGTGCCCACCACCACATCTGGCTAATTTTTGTATGTTTAGTAGAGACGAGGTTTCACCATGTTGGCCAGGCTGGTCTCGAACTCCTGACCTCAGGTGATCCACCCATCTCTGCTTCCCAAAGTGCTGGGATTACAGGTGTAAGCCACTGCGCCTGGCCTAATTTTGTTTGGTCTTGATGTGACTTTTACCAGGAGAAAATATGATCTCGTTATCAAAGTGAAATAAGGAATTTTGTAAACATGAAAACAATGATGAGACTCTTGGAGGAAAATAAGAAAGTGACAAAAATAGAGATATAATTAGTTCCCTTTACTCCTGGTAGTTATGTTCTATAAAATTGCTGCAAACACTGTATTAGCCAATATAAAAATGCAGAGTTATGTTCCTATGAGCCTCTAGTAAAAATATTTAGTCAACAGATCAATACATAACCTTGTTTTATGTGTGTTTCTGTTTAAAGATGTCTTATCTAATGCATATTTGTTGATTCATTCATATTGAACTTATGGCCAACAGCATTGTAACTCATGCCTGAATGAAGTTTATTGAACACACTTGTTGTCTCTGCAAGGGATATCATAGCCATCTCATGCTTAGGTTCACTAGACAGCACTTATGCCCTATGCCTGGGGGTCATCTTAATGAACAAAATCGTCAAAAACCCCATAGAAAGTTGTGAAGAAAGCGGTACTACATAGACTGCAAAAAGGACACTGTTTACAGTATAAGAGCTGATATAAGAAGGCAGAGCAGCACCTTGTTTGACTTCAGCTGGGAATATGCCCTTCGGGGAACTAGAATGTTTTGCCACCCTGCACATGTCCACAAACGACTGTGAAAGTACTATAACTATTGAGATGAAGTTTAAAAATAAATTTTAGCAAGTAGGCAAGTTTGCAAATACGACATATATGAATAGTGAGAACTGGCAATACATCTCAAATGAATTACAAAAACAAATATTTTGCTTTTCACAAATGACTGTTGAAATGGGTACTTCAGAACAATTTCAAAAAAGACACCTCTTTCCAGGACCTAAGGGATGATGGTGGGTCTGAAATATTAATACAGAACTGTTTCCAACCTCTGAGAGTATGAGAATACGTAGTATTTTACTTTTTCACTATTAGAAAAGTGTGAAATATCATATGCATAACTACTAGGGGTTTAAAATATCTGGATTTTTTCTTTGGGGAGTTGCCATTTTTGTATCCTAAAACATTTATTTTTCTATTATATGTTGTTTTCCTATGGGATTTAACTACAGTTCATATTTTAATAATATTAAATTATTTTATATCTTTTTAGCAATGTCCCTTGTTTTTCATTTTAATTATTTGCTTTTTCAAATGGATTTATTTGTACTTGCTGAGTTATAACAGTCCTGTGCACTCAGCAGCCCAGGCCAGAGGAAAGAAGTAATTTGGCATTTTAGCAAAATAAGACATCCTTCTTCACCTGAGTCAGCTCTTTTCATGTTATTAAAAACGTGTTTTTGAGATTTACTTTTTCTGTAAAAAACTAACTCCCACAGTTCCTTTTTTTCGCTCTTACTATTAAATTTTCAAGTATGCGTAGTGTCAGATAACCCCAATGTTATACTTTTTGTGTTAACAAATATGTACCTCTCCAGAATCTGAGATTCTGGGTATAAATCTGTGTTTTATAACAAAGTCCTCCATGTGTATCTTATGTGCTGTGGGAACTACTGTTGTATATATATCATGCACTTAGTATTTAATGGATTGTGGATCATATTATCTTTCATCTTCCCATCTGTCCTTTTTTGTTGTTGTTGGCTGCTTCTTTATAGGTTTTTTTCCTCAAAAGTATATAATGAGCAAACAAAGGTAAAGACATAATATGGCACAAATAAAGGCAAAAAGAAAGAGTGACTATTACATGACTATAAAATGTATAAAATACATAGCACATGGATTTAAAAGATAATAGTCAGGAAAGGAATGTGCCCTTCATAAAAACATATCAAGAACATTGATAATCTCATGATATTAGAGGCATCATAAACTCACTTAAAATTTTTAAGCAGCCAACAAAACTGTCTTTTTAATTTACTGAGAAAGTCACTGAAACCAAACCTAAGTAGCATTTGTCAGACAATGGAATTCATGCTTGTTATTTCTGGCTTAAGCCAAATAGTACGTGAAGCAATTAGTATTTAACATGGCCAAAATCATGAGATTATCAATGTTCTTGGTTTCAGTGACTCTCTCAGTAAATTAAAAGGGACAGTTTCAGATAGTGAGAATTCACAGGGATGGAAAATCAGAACTAATGAGAAAATCATGAATGTTCTTGGAGAAAGATAAGCTTTGGTGAGTTTTTCTGCTAGAGCGCTGGTCAGTGTAATACCTACACCAGCAGCATTGCCATTATCTGGAAACTTGTGGGAAGTGCAGATTCTTAAGTCTACCTCACACTTACTGACTCTGAGATTCTGGGAATAAATCTGCATTTTATAACAGTCTTCCATATATTTCTTATGTGCTCTGAGAACCAGTGAGCCACTGAACTAGATGAAAGAACTGCATGGAAAAATAATAGGTAAGGACATTGTGCATGTATGTATGTGCGTGTGCGTGTGTGTGCTTGTATGTGCTACTGTGTAGATAGAAACATTGTGTACGCAATATAGTCATTGGATATTGTAAAAAATGACATCTGCATGTTACAGCCATGTAACAAAAGCAGAAGTTCTGCAGTTGTCAAGAATGCAGTTTCTGTTCTCATGACCAAGTTATGATGATGGTGAATACTGATTCCCGCAGAGTGAAGATGGGCTTTAATATGTCTTCTCAGGGGAGGGCCTCTAGCATATTGATTCAGCATGTGGGCAGTGAAAATTATACTACCTGGGTTTCACTCTGACTCTCTCACTTAACTACATGCATAACATCAGGTCAGTTAGTTAATGTCTCTTGGCTTATGTTGCTAATTTATAAAACAGGGAAATCAGTAATAGTTATCTAATAGGTTTGTTATGAGGAATAAAGAATACTTATGCAGAACTTAAAAGAGTATATAAAAATAAACTTTTCATATTGTCTTATTTTGTGGGTTTATTCCTGGAATGAATAGGGTATATATTCTTAAATAGAATTACATGCACAGGGTCCATGTTCTACTACTGTGTATTCTCTAAGATATATGGAAATTCAAATTACACAGTGTATCTGCCTCCCTAAAATTAGAAAATGAATTTTAATTAATTTTTATAAAAATCATTAAGGTGATACCATAAATATTAGCATTTTTATTTGAAACAAATATTCTCTATAATCTATTTTTCCTTTTGTCCAAATGGCATTTTCCATATTTCATCTTTCATCATTGGCACAATCTCTTAATTTTGAAGCACAGAACTTCATCTTAACCAGACAGATGTGCTTTGCTAATTTTCCCAAGTTTTAACAGTGTGCCTGACACTCCATTTCCCTGACAATTTGGAGAAATCCCTTTCTGTCTTTGTCTGCAGTTTCTATGCTTTTGAGGGAGCTCTTTTACCCATTCTTTGAAGCAGGGCATCCCTGTCAGTCATTACAGCCTATTGTTTTTTTTCTGAGACTTGCACATTGATCCTTAATCTATGTCCCCTGAAAAGCTTCTAGGTTTTTTTTTTCATTGTTTCATTTGACTTACTAAGTTTACAGTTCTAATTAAAGGATTCTGGGTCACAGTTATAGCAGTTGCACACCATCGTTGCAAAGATCACAAAGATTCACTATAATTTCATACATCTGTCTACTCAGCCTTATCCACATCCCATCAGTTGTAGCAATCCTCTAAGTATCTAGCAGATTTTAACACTTATGTCTTTATTGGCAATAATCTAAAGAGGCCTTTGCTTATATTTGAAGCATAAAGGTACTGAAAAGTTACAATCTGTGATGCTGGCATTGGAAGATTTTGAATGCCTAAATCTCTTTGCTTCTCTAATGATCCCTTTTACTTTATAGTGCTTTCAAGCTACCTTCAAATAATTGAGCTGGAATTAAGTGAATCCTATAGTTAAGCTATCCTGTGGAAGCCAATGGGAGAGGAAACTGAAGGTCTTTCAGATTAAAAGTTCAAATTGTGATGATTGCACCTTTTAGCCTCCAAACTAGTTTTTACCTTGATCTCCCTAAGCCTGTTCAGTTCCTCATATTGGAAAGATTATGACATTTTAAAAATCACTTGTGGGGAGTATTCCATTTCAATTCAATGACTAAGACATTCCCTGGGCCTACAGTACTATCCTGCTGTGTTTCATCTTTTAATGTGGAAGTAATTCTTATGTTTTTAAACTTTTGTGGCTTTTTAAATCCCACAAGGAAATCTTATACTTTAATGTGAGATAGACTGAAAAAAATTATTCACTATACCTTGGCTGGTCCAAAAGGAAAAGCTTATCAAAGGTAGGGAAATGCTAGCCATAGCCATTTTAAACATCAGGAAGAAGAAATCACAGGACAAGGAGAAAACATCACACAAAACAGACTTTTGATGCAAGGAATTTTGATTTGAGATATCAAATCTGAATTTTTATTTTGTACAAATAGTATTTTCATAATTTCATCAGTAATATATATTCTTTGAAAAATATATAAATTATTTTAGAAGCAAGAGAAAGATATTTCCTCTACTTGAATACAAGCGTGGATCACAATACATTTTTTAGTTTTATACTATGCTTATACACATGGGCAGAAATAAAATAGTTATCTGAATTTTGCATTGTCTTATAAATTTATCCATACTGTTTAGACGTTTTCTAAAATGACTTTTAATACTCCTTTTATAGAAGAATCATAATTATGTGTTATCACATTTGTAAGATTTTTAAAAATCATAAATCAATTATAATGTTATGAGTATTTTTGTAAGTAAATCTTATCTCACTTATTTGACAATTTATTGTCTAATGCTAAATTTCTAGCAATGAAACTGACAGTTAATGATTTTGAGTTTTACATATATTGCAAATATTTCCTCCAGAAAAGTCATACCAAGTTTTGTCCCCAACTTTGGCAATAGTGTGTTTTATAAGTTAAAAAAAAAGTTTGGTTAAAAATGTAATTTTTTATTTGTATAAATTTAAGAGGTACAAGTGCAATTGTTACATGGATACATTGCTTCCTGGGGAAGTCTAGGGTTTTAGTGTAATCATCACCTTAAAAATGTACTTTGTACCTATTAAGTAATTTCTTATTCCCAATCCCCTCCCAATTTCTGACCCTTGTGAATCTCTCATGTCTGTTATTCCATACTCTCTGTTCATGAGTACATATTGTTTTGCTCCCATTTATAAGTGGGAACATATAAATGGCATTTGATTTTGTTTCTGGGTTAATTCACTTAAGATAACAGCCTCTAGTTCCATCCATGTTGCTGAAAAAGAAATGATATCATTATTTTATATAGCTGAATTATAGTCCATTGTATATAATACCACATTTTTATTATCTTTTCATCCTTTGATGGACACTTAGGTTGATTACATGTCTTTGTTATTGTGAATACTGCTGTGATAAACATACAAATGCAAGTATCTTTTTATTACAGTGATTTATTTTCCTTTGGGTAGATGCATAGTAGTGGGATTGATGGATGGAATGTTAGTTCTGTTTTTAGTCCTTGAGAAATCTCCATATTGTTTCCATAGAGGTTGTATTAATTTAACTTCACACCAACAGTATATAAGCATTTCCATTTCTCTGTATCCTCACCAACATACTTTTTTTTTTTTTTACTTTTTAATAATAGCCATTCTGACTGGTGTAAGATAATAAAATATATCACTGTGGGTTCGATTTGCAATCCTCTGATTAATGTGATGTTGAGCATTTTTCATATGTTTCTTGGCTATTTGTGTATATTCTTTCGAAAAATGTCTGGTCATGTCCGTTGTCCACTTTTTAATAGGGTTATTTGTTTTTTGTTGTTATCGTTGAGTTTTTAAATTCCTTGTATATTCTGGGTATTAGTCCCTTATCTGAAGCTTAGTTTGCAAATATTTTCTCCAATTCTGCAGGTAGTCTGCCCATTTTGTTGATTATTTATTTGCTGTGCGTTAGCGTTTTAGTTTAATTCAGTCTCACTTGTCTACTTTTTGTTTTTGTTTCATTTGCTTTTGAGGTCTTAGTCATGAATCTGTTGCTTAGGTCAATGTCCAGAAAGTTGTTTTCTCCCTAGATTTTCTTCTAGTACTTTTATGTTTTCAGGGCTTCTGTTTAAGTCTTTATTCCAGCTTGAGTTGATTTATGTATATGGTAAGAGATATGGGACTCAGTTTCATTCTTCCGCATATTTCTATTCCATTTTCCGTATACCATTTATTGAAAGGGTATCCTTTCCCCAGTGTATGTTTCTGTTGACTTTGTTAAACATTGGTTGACTGTAAGTATGCGGCTTTATTTCTGGGGTCTCTATTCAGTTCCATTGATCTATGCATCTTTTTGTTTGTTCGTTTGGGACAGGGTCTCACAATATCACACAGGCTTGAGTGCAGTGGTACAATCATAGCTCACTGAAGCCTCAAACAACTGGGCTCAAGTGAACCTCCCTTAGCCTTCCAAGTAGCTATGACTACTGGCACACACCACACTCAGGTAATTTTTTCATTTTTTGTAGAAATGGGATCTTGCTATGTTACCCAGGCTTGTCTTGAACTCCTGGCTTCAAACGATCCTCCTTCCTTGGCCTCCCAAAGTGCTAGGATTTCAGACATGATTCACCACACCCAGTCTTTATGTGTGCCTTGTCATATAATTTGAAGTCAGATAATACACTGCCTCTAGCTATTAATTTTTTTTAGGTTAAGATTGCTTTGGCTACTCAGGCTCTTTTTGGTTCCATATGAATTTTAGATTTTTTTCCTAATTTTGTGAAAAATAATGTTGATATTTAGATAGGAATTGCATTGAATCTGTAGATTGTGGTGGTATAGTCATTTAAATGATAATGATTCTTCTTATCCAGGAGCACAAGATGATTTTCCATTTGTTTGTGTCATCAACAATTCCTTCCTTCCTTCCTCCCTTCCTTCCTTTCTCTCTTTCTTTCTTTTTCTTTTTTTTTTTTTAAATCTCACTCTGTCACCCAGGATGTAGTGCAATGGTGCGATCATGGCTCACTGCAGCCTCCTCCTCCCAAGTTGAAGTGATTCTCCTGTAGCTGGGATTACAGGTGCCCACCACCATGCCAGGATAATTTTTATATTTTTAGTAGAGACAGGGTTTCACCATGTTTGTCAGGCTATCTTAACTCCCGACCTCAAGTGATCCACCTGTCTTGGCCTCCCAAAATGCTGGGATTACGGGCATAAGCCACTGCATCTGGCCCATCTACAATCTCTTCATCAGTGTTTTGTAGTTTTCCTTGTAGAGATTGTCTACCTCCTTGATTAAATGTATCCTTAATTCCAAATTATATTAACTTCTTGCTTTGGCTCTCAGTTTGATTGTTATTGGTATGAACATTCTACTGATTTTTGTACACTGATTTTGTATGCTGAAACTTTACTGAAGTCTTTTATCAAAGATAGGAGTCTTTTGAAGGAATCTTTCGGGTTTCCTAGGTATAAGATCATATCATCAGCAAACAAAGATTATTTGCTTTCTCTTTTCCAGTTTGGATTGTTTTATTTATTTTCTTTCTGATTGTTCTGTCTAGGCCTTCCAGTACTCTGCTGAATACAAGTGGTAAAAGAAGGCATCCTTTTCTTGTTCTAGGTTTTAGAATGAAGGCTTTCAACTTTTCTCTGTTCAGTAGGATATTGGTTGTGGGTTTGTTATAAACGGCTCTTATTATTTTGAGGTATGTTCCTTCAACTCTGGGTTAGTTGAGGGTTTTTATCATAAAGTGATGTTGAATTTTGTCAAATGCTTTTTCTAAATCTATTGAGATGATAGTATGCTTTTAGTTTTTAATTCTGTTTATGTGGTGAATCACATGTATTGATTATGGTATATTTAAGCATCTTTGAGACCTTGGAATAAAATCCAACTGACTATGGTGTATTATCTTCTTTATGTACTGTTGGATTTGGTTTGCCAATATTTTCTTGAGCATTTTTGCATGTATTTTCACCAGCGATATTAGCCTGTGGTTTTCTTTTTTTGTTGTGTTCTAGTCTGGCTTTGGCGTCAGGGTGATAATGGCTTCACAGAATGAGTTAAGAGGATTCCTCCTTCTTAATTTTCTGGAGGAGTTTAAGTAGGAATTGTGCCTGTTCTTCTTTGTATATCTGGTAAACTTTGGCTGTGAATCTGACTTGTGCAGAATTTTGCTGCAAATTCATCTAGTCCTAGGTTTTGTTATTGTTGTCGTTGTTGGAAGATTTTTTGTTATTAATTCAATTTCATAACTCATTATTTATTAATTCAGGATTTCTATTTCTTCCTTGCTAATATTGGGAGGTTGTATGTTTTCAGGAATTTATCCATTTTCTCTAGGTTTTCTAGATTGTGCACACAGAAATTTTTATAGTAGACTCTGATGAACTTTTATATTTCTGTGGTATCAGTTATAATCTCATTTATTATTTCCAATTGTGCTTATTTGAATCTTGTCTTTTTTGCTTAATTAATCTAGCTAGCGGTATATCAATTTATCATTTCAAAGAACCAATTCTTCCTTTTGTTGATTCTTTATATCTTTTTATTGTTGTTGTTCTCAATCTCATTTAGTTCTGCTGTGATTTTGTTATGTCTTTTATTCTTCTGGCTTTGGGTTTGGTTTCTTCTTATTTTCCTAGCTCTTTGAGGTGTGCTGTCAGGTTGTTAATCTGCAGTTGTTCTATTCTTTGATGAAGATATTTAACACTGTACACTTCCATCTTAGCACTGCTTTTGCTGTATCCCATGGGTTGTAATATGTTGTGTCTCCATTTTTGTTTGTTTCAATTTTTAAAACATTTCTAACAATTTCTTCTTTGACTTAAAGATCATTCAGAAGCACGTTACTTAATTTTCATGTATTTGTAAAGTTTCGAAAGTTTCTCTTGGCATTGAATTCTGGTTATTCTGATGTGCTCCAAGAAGATACGTGGTATGAATTCGATTTTAAAAAATTCACTGTGGCTTGTTTTGTGGCTTAACATATCTTCTATTTTGGAGAATGTTTTATATGCTGATTCTAAGGATGTATATTCTGTGGTTGTTGGGTAGAATGTACTCTAAATATCTGCTAGGTCTATTTAATCTAAAGTCCAATTTAAGTTTAGCGTTTCTTCACTGATTTTCTGTGTTGATGATCTGTTTAGTGTTGTAAGTGAGGTGTTGAAGTCCCCCAATATTATTGTATTGTTGTGTATGTTTTTCTTTAGGTATAGTAAAATCTTATTTATAATCTAGTTGCTTCAGTATTGGGACAGATATATTTAGAATTGTCATATCTTCTTGTTGAAGTGATCATTTTAGCATTATATAATGACCTTCTTTGTCTTTTCTATTGTTCTTGATTTAAAGTATATTTTATGGTATAATATAGCTACTTCTGCTCACTTTTGCTTTTCATTTGTGTAAATATATTTTACACCCCTTTACCTTCCGTCTATGTGTCTTTACCAGTAAGGGGCGCTTTTTGAAAGCAGCATATAGTTGGTTCATATTTTTTGATCCATATTCCACTATTCTAATTCTTTTAAGTGAGGCATTTAATTCATTTACATTCAAGGTCAATATTGGTATGTGAGGTTTTATTCCTATCATAATGTTATTTTTCATCTAGTATTGAAAATTCTGTTTCTTTTTTTTTTTTGTATTTGTGATTTGGTGGTATCCTGCTCTCTTCATATTATTTATTTCTTTTCCTCTTTTGCATATTTGTTTTATAACACCTGCGAGTTTTATACTTTCATGTGTTTTTATGATAGTGAATATTGATGTTTTATTTCCGTATATAAATCTCCTTTGAGCATTTCTTGTAGGGCCAGTCTAGAGGTGATGAAAAGCATTTGCTTTTCTAGGAAATACTTTATTTCATCTTAATTTATAAAGCTTGTTCTGATAGAAAATAGAATTCCTGGTTGGCAGTTTTTTGTCATTAAGCATTTTGAAAATAGAATCCCAATCTATCCTTGCTTGTAAGGTTTATGCTGAGATTCTCCACTGTTAGTCTGATGGGGTTTCGTTTAGAGGTGACTACAAGCTTTTCCATTGTTAATTTCAGGATGTTTCCTTCACGTTGACTTTAGACAGTCTTATGACTGTGTGATGTGGTATGGCCCTTCTTGTGATGTATTTATTGGAGTCTGCCAGCCTCTTGTATCTGGGTGTCTAAATCTCTTGCTAAACTAAGGAAGATTTCCTCAATTATTTCCTCAAATAGGTGTTCTATACTTTTTGTTTTTTCCACTTCCTCTTAAATACCTATGATTTATAAGTTCAGTCATTTTATGTAGTTCCATACTTGATGGCTATGTTCATATTTTTAAAAAATATTTTTTCTTTATTTTTGTCTGACTGGATTAACGTTTGTCTAAATGAATTTTTTCTGACTTGTCTTCAAATTCAGAGATTCCTTCCTCTACTTGGTCTAGTTGATTGCTGAAGCTTTCCACTGTATTTTGTCATTCCTCAATAATTTTTTTTTTATTTTCAGAAGTCTTCTTGGCTTTTTTTAAAAAAGATATCTATTTTCTTGATGATTTCTCATTCCTGACTTCTGTCTCCTTTCAGTGGTGTAAACTCTGTATGATCTCCCTGGTGATACAGAGCATTAGTGTGGTGGTTTTGTCAAATGGCAGTTATAGTAGCAATGTACCAATTGGGTGCCAGTAAGTGGTGCTCAACTTTTATTAACCAAGAGATACTCAGCTGTCCCAGGCAATGGGTTGGGCCATGGAACTCTCAGTGATCCCAGTCTGGTGCTCCTCCTCCAAGGTGGGAGGTAGCAGAGGTGAAGCTTGGTAGAGTTGTGATGGGTGATTGTACAAGCACTGGTCTCAACAGGAGTCAGATGGTAGTTCTCAGGCCCCTAGAGCAATGCTCCAGGCAGAAGCAGTGCAACTGCTGCCATACCAAAGACCCATCATAATAGTCCAGGCTCCACAGCCTAGCAGGTGGTGGTGGAATCCACTTCACACTCATGCTTCTGACCTGATTGGGTTCCCTCCCAAGGCCCAGTGCTGGCTGCAAGTTGGAACAGTTGGCTAAGTCATAAGCAGTTTTTCTTCAGACCGCAAAACCACCCAGGCTATAAAACTTGCTGCCTAAGTCAAAACTGTGGTTCTCAGGCTAAACCTTCCCTGGCCTAATCCCATGAAGTGGGGCTATCCAAATCCAGCGCCCATGGCTTGAGCTAACACCACACTCCTCTCTTAGTGATGGCTCCTCCTCCTTTGCTTTAGAGTAGATCACAAATCCCCATCCTGAGATTCTTCAAACATGTGACTGCTGCCCATTCTGACTGGCATGTTCCCATGCAGGCCCCTGTGAGTTAGGGTTAGAAATGGCTTCCTTTTATCAGTGCCCAGGTCTGCAAGTGTCTGCAGGGCATGTCACGGTGCCATTCCTTCTCAGTTTCTTTACTGCTTCCCAAGATTAAGGGCTTGATTAGGGTCAAGGAGCTCTCCCATAGCCTGGATCACCTGGCTCTTCAGGGGAAATGTGCATCTCAAAAACACTCTCTCCCCCACTGATGCACTGAGTATTCACTCACAGTTTTTTTGCCAGGTCCACCACGTGGGCTGCTACCCGCTTTATTTTTCCCTATACTTGAAGGTATGTTTGTTTTATGTGAACTCCTCTGTTGCTTCTTAGATATAGTTCACAGCGTGAATCTCTACATACTATATTATAATTTCTTAGTGGATGAGGCATGCTGTCTGTATTTTTCTGTTTTCATGCTGCTTATAAAGAAATACCCAAGACTGGGTAATTTATAAAGAAAAAGAGGTTTAAAGGGCTCACAGCTCCATGTGGATACAGAGACCTCATAATCATGGCAGAAGGTGAATGGCACATCTTACATGGCAGCAGAGTAAACAGAATGAGAGCCAAGCAAAAGAGGAAACCCCTTATAAAATCAGATCTCATGAGACTTATTCACTACCATGAGAACAGTATGGAGGGAAACCACCCCCATGATTCATTTTTCTCTCACCAGGTTCCTTCCACAACACATGGGAATTATGGGAGCTACAATTCAAGATGATATTTTGGTGGGGACACAGCCAAACCATATCATTCTGCCCCTAGCCCCTCACAAATCTCATGTCCTCATATTTCAAAACCTATCATACCTTCCCAACAGTCCCACAAAGTCTTAACTCATTTCAGCATTAACTCAAAAGTCTTCAGTCCAAAGTCTCATCTGAGACAAAGCAATTCCCTTCGTTATGAGCCATAAAATCAAAAGCAAGTTAGTGACTTCCTAGATGCAATGGGGGTACAAGAATTGGGTAAATACGCCATTAAAAATCTGAGAAATTGGCCAAAACAAAGGGTCTACAGGCCCCATGAAAGTTCAAAATCCAGGAGGGCAATCAAATCTTAAAATGACAAAATCATTTCCTTTGACTTCATAGCTCACCTCCAGATCATGCTGATGCAAGAGGGTGGGTTCCCATGGCCTTGGGCAGCTTTGCCCCTGTTGCTTTGCAGGGTACAGACCCCCTTTTGTCCTACTTCACAGTCTGGTATTGAGTTACTGTGGCTTTTCCAGGTGCATGGTGCAAGCTGTTGGTGGATCTACCATTCTGGGGTCCGGAGGATGGTGGCCCTTTTCTCACAGCACCACTAGGCACTGCCCTAGTGGGGACTCTGTGTGGGGACTTCAACCCCACATTTCCCTTCTGCACTGCCCTAACAGAGGTTCTTCAAGAGGGCTCCACCCCTGCAGCATACCTTTGCCTGTATATTTCCATACATCCTCTGAAATCTAGGTGGAGATTTCCAAACCTCAATTCTTGACTTCTGTGCACCTACAGGCTTAACACCACATGGAAATTGCCAAGGCTTGGGGCTTGCACCCTCTGAAGCAATGGTCCAAGCTGTGCCTTGGCCCTTTTTAGCCATGACTAGAGTCGGGGGATGCAGGGCACTAAGTCCCTAGGCTGTACATAGAAGGGGGCCCTGGACCCTGCCCATGAAACCATTTTTTTCTTCTAGGCTCCAGGCTTGTGATGATGGGATGGGCTGCTGCCAAGGTCTCTGACATGCCCTGGAGATATTTTCCCCATTGTTTTGGTGATTAACATTTGGCCCCTCATTACTTATGCCAATTTCGGCAGCCAGCTTGTATTTCTCCTCAGAAAATATGTTTTCTTTTCTATCAATTGTCAGGCTGCAAATTTTTTGAAGTTTTATGCTCTGTTTCCCTTTTAAAACTGAATGCTTTTAACAGCATCCAAGTCATATCTTGAATGCTTTGCTGCTTAGAAATTTCTTCTGCCAGGTACTCTAAATCATCTCCCACAAGTTCAAAGTTCCTCATATCTCTAGGGTCAGGAAAAATGCCACCAGTCTCTTTGCAAAAACACTGAAAGAGTCACCCTTACTCCAGTTCCCAACAAGTTCCTTATCTTTATCTGAAATCATCTCAGTCTGGATTCCATTGTTCATAACATTATCAGCATTTCGGGCAAAGCCATTCAGCAAGTCTCTAGGAAGTTCCAAACTTTCCCACATTTTTCTGTCTTCTGAGTTCCTCAAACTGTTCCAATCTCTGCCTGTTATCCAGTTCCAAAGTCACTTCCACATTTTCAGGAATCTTCACGGCAGCATCCTACTTCCAGTACCAATATACTATATTAGTCTGTTTTTACTCTGCTGATAAAGACACACCTGGGGCTGGGTAATTTATAAAGAAAAAAATTAAAGTTCCACATGGCTGAGGAGGCTTCACACTCATGCTGGAAGGCAAAAGGCACCTCTTACATGGTGGCAGACAAGAGAAATGAGAGTGAATCAAAAGGGGAAACCCCCTATAAAATCAGATCTAATGAGGCTTATTCCCCACCATAAGAAGAGTATGGGGGAAAATTGCCCCCATGATTCAATTATCACCCACTGGGTTCCTCCCACAAGATGTGGGATTATGGGAGCTACAATTAAAGATGAGATTTAGGTGGGGACACAACCAAATCATATCACTCTCAAAGCTTCCTCTCCACCATTTTTTGAGGGAAAAAAAGATAAATTAAAAGAGATCTTATTTCAAACATTGTTTATTGCTTCACTAGAGAAAACTGACCCTGCTTTTTATATTTTTATTTTAGGTTTTGGGTTGGTCTCATTTATTCTTAACTTTTCTGTCATTCTTGTCAACAGAGAAAAGTAGAATTCTTCTTCTAATTTTTGCAGCATTATCCTTATTTATTACACAGTTGTATAAAGAAGTTTTATTAACTTTTAGATATTTTACATTTCAAATAGTATTTCTAGCAAAATACAATAGGGGCCCTAAACTGTTTCTTTGCTAATTTGTCAGAAGCTAGAAAATCTGATTATATTTCTGCTCATGTTGAAGTTTGTACCTGCTAGAAAACTTGAAAGAATTATAAAGGCCAATAGAAAAGGAGAAACTCATTTTGCTTGAAAGAACTCTAGATAAAGAGTAAAGAACCTAAGACCTTCTTATTTCTGTTTACTATCATATCATAAAAGCAGTCGAACAAAATATTGTTATTCTGACCTTTCCCCTTCTTGGCAATGTTTGTGTAACATATTGATCTTGTTTTTATAACACTTTCTCGAGGAATTGCATATAGATGTTATATTTCTAGTCTTTTTCTCACCCTCCCATGCAAACCAGTTCACAAATTTGTAGAAATAAAATCTAAAAACCATGATCCTCTTCAACTATAAATACTTTGGCAAAAATGTTATATAAACTCATCTAAAGTATTGAATTTGTATCCAATGACAGGAAACAGTATTATCTGCTTGTCTGTAGCTTGTTTTTCTTACTTTTTAAAACTTTATGGAAATATTACCATATAAGTCTCCATAATACACTAATCAAACATTATTACTGAATGCATAATATCCTACGTTTTGTATAGTTTTATGTCGTTTTAACTATGGTTTTTATTAACAAGCATTCACATTATTTATATTTTGGGTTTTTTCTGTTATAAAAATACTATAAAAATACAAGTATTCTCTTATGTACAAATATACAAATATATATACTGTGTCATTATAGAACTTATGAAGTTTATATCTATCAATCAATATCTTATAACAGATGTTATCAGATTGCTTTCTAAAATTATTGAATGATTCACATTTTTAACAAAGTATGTAAGCACAAATTTTTATTCAGTCCCTGGAAGGAATAAATATCATCTGTCCCATGTTTGGCAATATGATGGGTATAAAGTGTTATACTAGTGTTTTTTTTATTTTTCATATTTGTGATTACCAATATTTTTGAAAATTTTCTATCATGGTTTTTATCTATTTATAATTCCTGTTCTTTGACCTGTCTTTTTATGTCCTTTTCCTATTTTCAATGGGTAAAATTGAATTTTTTTCATGATTCCTAAATGCCCTTTTAATATTACAACTATTACCCACATATCTGTCATTTGTACTATAATATTTTAAATTTAGTGTTTCTTTTAAAATTTTTCTTTCAAAGGTTTATACAGACTGCTGTTTCGTAAATGTTCAAGTAAGTCAAATTGTTTTCATTCCATTTTTGTTTAATAAGTATTCTGTTACTTTAGAAATACTAACTTCAGATTTTAAAATTAAATATTTTAGCTTAAACTTCAATATGAAAGTTTTGCTCTTCTTGACTTTCTTCAAGTAACTTTGAAAAGCAATTAATAAGAAAACTGTTATTTTATCCATATGATTGTCAGGTTTATGAAAGAAAGTTGTTCTTTGTTCACTTGTAGATATCATTTTTAATTACTAGCTTCTATTTTTCAAAACAACTTGTAGTCTTGCTGAGTCTCATAAATTTTTTGAAAAACAAAATTATATATCTATAGTTAAAAGCTACTGACAAATTCATACCAATATTAATAGTTTTTTAACAAAAAGGGAAAAGGGCCACAGGCCACATCACTAAAAGGAAAAAAAATGCAATAATCAGCTTTGATAGCCACATGTATTAGTCCATTCTCTCACTGGTATGAAAAGATACGTGAGGTCGGGTAATTTATAAAGGAAAGAGGTTTAACTGACTCCCAGTTCCACATGGCTGGGGAAGCCTCAGGAAACTTACATCATGGTGGAAGGGGAAGCAAACACATCTTTCTTCACAAGGAGGCAGGAGAGAGAAGTGTCAAGCAATGCAGCGAAAGCCCCTTATGAAACCATCAGATATCATGAGAACTCACTCACTTTCAGAATAGCATGACCGTAAAAGCCCCCATGATTCAATTACCTCCCACTGTGTCTTTCCCATGTCATGTGAAGATTAGGGGAACTACAATTCAAGATGAGATTTGGGTGGGGACATGCCAAACCATATCACCATTATCTAGAAAATTTATAGATATTTCTGCACAATGCTTTACCTATAGGTATATTAAAATTAAGGAAAAAACACTGGAATTGAAATAACTGCAAAACTGCAACATTACATAAAGAAGATCCTAAGGAAAAAAGTGTATAAGATATTTTATAATACAGTAAATATTTCACTTTTTAATTTAGAGACCAAGTATGGTGCTGTCACCCAGGCTGGAGTGCAGTGGTGCAATCATAGCTCACTGCATCCTCTAACTCCTGGGTTCCAGGGATTCTCCTGCCTCAGCCTCCTGAGAAGCTGGGACTACATATGCATACCACCATGCCCAGAAAATACAATTAATATTACACAGTATATAGAATTGAGCTAGGCTTGGAATCTAGAATTGTCTTACCTCAAAGCCTGATGATACATGATTTTATTTTTTCACTTCATTCACATTTATGGAACCAGTGAATATATTTTCTTACATGGCACAGTGACTTTTCAGATGTAATTAAGAATGTATACCTTAAAATAGGGACAGTATCCTGGTTTGCCCAGGTGGGCCCCATCTAATCCCATGTACCCTTGAAAGCAGAGAACTTCCTCCAGCTAGAAGCAGAAGAGAAGAGGCAGAGGGGCAAACAGAAGGATTCAAAATATAAGAAAGACTGAATGCTCTGTTGGTTTGACAATGGAGGAGCCACTTCAGAAGAAATGCAGGTGTCATTAAGGAGCAGAGAGATTACCAGCTGACAGTAAGTATATGGGAATCTTAGACTTACAAATACACAAAACTTAATTTTGCCAACAATTCAAATGATCTTGTAAGTGGATTCTACCTGATAGTCTCCAAAAAAGAGCCCAGGAGAGCTGACTTTGATTTTAGCCTTTTGGGCAAATAAATCAAGTCCATCTGGTTCTATCTTCACTTCTGTGAGGTAATAAATAAATATTTTAAGTTGCAAATTTGCATTGATTTTGTTTAAGAAATAAATAGTACATTAGTATAAATACCTATAGAGCAAAAGACGAGACAAAACTTATTTTGTCAGAATATTGAGAAATGTCCACCAAACACATGATTAACTAACTAGATGAAGAGGAGAAAAAAAAAATGGTAGCAAACACAGAAGCCTGCTATACTGAGAGAAAGCAAGATGTTGCAATATCTAGTGCCCTTCCATCCCCATAGTCACCACATGGGTTTAAAAGATTTGGCTCTATAAGAAATAGACAACCAAGTAGTGTTATTCTTGCCTAAATTCAATCAGAGTATATTGCCAAATCACAGAGTTTCTAAATCAAGTAGAAGTTTGCAAATATGAATAAGTGGCAGATTCTTCCTGATAGGGCCACATTGTATTAGGTTGGTTCAAAAGTAATTGTCACTAAAAGTAATGGCAAAAAACACAATTACTTCTGCAGCAACCTGACATCTTGAGGTGGCAGTGTGCTCAAAAATTTGTAGTAGCAAATTCAAATAGAAAATTCCAAAGAAAAAAAATGCAAAGATGAAATAAACATAAAAATAGCTCTAAAACAAAACTCTGTTAGCAAGGCATTTTTAGAACATAACTTTTTGTGTACTTGTTTCAGCTTGACAGAGGACTATTTTAGTGGGTAGAATACGCTGCCCCAAAACTTAATACCTGCTATGTTCATGGAATTTAGTTTTTAATTAGATCTAAACGTTGTATATAACCACTATTTAATTAATGAGTCAAGTAAAAGGCCATAAAAACCCTATTATAAAAGATCTCTATACATTTATAAATTGTGTGTGTCTGTGTGTGTATGTATTTAGAGAGACAGCAAACAGTCTAGCAAACAAAAAAATGCTGAAATTGAAGACACTTTTAGAAGAAAACTGCTTAGATTCTGGTGGAGGATGCACAAATAAATGGCTCTTTGTAGGAAAAAAAATTCACTTGAACAAAAGAGAGACAAGGGAAAAACGAATAATGAATGCAACAAATTGAAAATGTCTAAATAAAATTAATATAAAATATGGCAAAATGTTCTATATAAATAATGGAAGACATATTTATTAATGTGGAGAATAAATTTCTTAAGCTTTTTTCTTAATTAAGGGAAAAAAACCAGAAGTGATTGGAATGTTAATAGTTTTAGCTATGGAAAACTATGAATCTTAACTATGAATAACAGAAGATAAATAGAAGAAAAACATTATAAAAGACAAATTGAGTTAAAGTATGTTCTGAGTAAAAATTACACAAAGCAAGTCAAAAGGAATTCTATTTATTCCAAGGATAAAGGAATAGTCTAGAACATTCAATTAGGAAAATGAAATGTCTAATATGGTAAAAATAAAGTTTTTCTTTGCAGATGTAAATGGAAGATGAAAAGAAAACAATTATGATAATTTGAAAATGACACATTTATGTTTAGCTTCAAGACAGAGTAGAGATTTAAAGTAAATTGTAGTATTTTATACTTTTAAAATAGAAGATAATATTATATATGCATCAGAATATTTTCAGACCTCCATTTGATAATCTGTAATCCAAAACAAAAATACACCAAGGAGCTGTATTAATTAAAGGTCCTCACTAAAGCTATGTTTATATATTTCCAAAACTATTCAAACACAACAATTTTTAAGTGGAAATGTCTATTTTTTCTTTTCTTTACTTAAATTTGAAAACTTAATTTTTTTCTCCATAAAAATGAACATTTATTAACATTATAGAAACTTGATTATTGTGTTACACTTTCCTTTTGACTCTTTATGACATGTCTGCTACATGGTCTATGTGGCATAAGTTTGGTGTGACAGGTATGATACACAGGTCGCATAATTGGTCCATATGAGGAAATCAAAAATTAGTTTATTGACCTTGGTAATTTGATTTTACTGCCATGTTAAATAGGTAACCAAAAAAAAAATTGCCAAATCCTATCTGACTTCATAAAGATTCATTTTGAATTCTCTTGTCAGAGTAAAGAACATTATTTATTCTAATTTAGCCAATAGCTAATGTATGAAATGAATACTAGAAATATTTACTATGTTTATGGAAGTAAGGGAAGGTTATTCAGATTTTTAAAAAATGCCATTCGACAGAATGTTATCACCAGTGATTGTATTTGAAAAATATACTGCATCTAAAGATACATTTGAGGTCGAATATGTTGAGAATTTACAAGTGAAACAAATAAATGCAATCTATACAGTGTGGTGCAACGCAAGCGGAGTCAGGGTTTTGTGAACCCTGAGAGAAAGAAAGATGAAGAGACAGCTGCTATCCCTTCCCTGGTGACATTCCAGTGCCTCGTCTTTCCCACTGCGAGCCTGGAATAGGGAGATGGTGCTGTATCTGTAACATGAAAATCATATATTTTAAAATCACGTAAGTCATGTCACATCATGCCTTTATTAGACAGATATTCTTATTGAAAGAAATTTACACAACGGGTATAAAATGATAACGAGATTTATTTTCTTACATATATATTTTAAATTTTTCTACATCACTAAACGTAATATATATGAAATTACATTACCAAGCAATAGGCTTATATTGTCTATCATAGCCATACCGCAGCCACTACCACTACCACTTTTGGCCACATACACTGTGGTAAGTCCAATATGAGTTGTATCATAACTATAAAATACACAGTGAATTTCAAATTATTTGTGTGATAAAAATAATGTAGAAAATGTATATATTACATACATATATATGTACATATACATAATAAAATGATGTAGATGTAGATACCAAAAGCCATTCAGTCTTTTATCACTGAACATGATGTTAGCTCTAGGTATAAAGTTGTTGCCCTTTATCAACTTAAGGAAATCAATTTATATTGCTACATTGATCATTTTTAAAATAAAACATTTACTAGATTTTGTCAAGTGCTTTTTTTAAATCTATTGAGACAGTCATATGTTTACTTGTTTGTTTGTTTGTTTTTAGTCTATAATATGTTGAAAACCCTCGATTTGTATTCAAATGTTAAACCACTCCTTCATTTCTTGGGTGAACTCTGCTAGCCTATATATATAGCAAATATATATATATAGCAAATATATATATATAGCAAATATATATATATAGCAAATATATATATATAGCAAATATATATATATAGCAAATATATATATATACACATATATTTGTTTTTTAATGTACTGTATAGTTGGATTTCATTTGGTAAAATTTTAGAAAGTTTTATATCTTAGTTTATGAAATATGGATATGTAGTTTTCTTATGACATTTTTTTTTGTTTTTTTTAATCAGGTGATTGCTAAACTTATAAAACGAGTTAAACATGTTTGCTCCTCTTTTCTAGATAAACTTCTTCAGAATTGGGATTATTTCTCCCTTAAATATTTGAAAAAAATTAGCAGTGAAGTCACTGGTGCCTGGAGTTTTCTTGGTGAAATGGTTTTGTAACTATAATTTTAATTTTTTAGTAAACATTGAGGTATACAGATTATCTCTTCTTGAGTTAACTTTGGTAGTTCATGCCTTTCAAATTTTTTTTGTTTAATATAAATTGTCAAATTTATTGGAATAACTTTGTGTTTATAATATGTCATCATTTCAAATAGATGCAAAATCTATACTAATGGCATTTTTCTCATTATTGATGCTGTTAACTTATGTAATCTTTTTCTTTCTTGGATATTTTGCCTAGAGGTTTGTTAATTTTATCAGTATTATAGAAGAAATGATTTTGGTTTTATTAATTTCTTAATAATTTTTCTATTTTTTAAATTGCTTTCTGCTCTTATTTCCTTTTGCTTACTTTGGATTTATGGACTCTATCTTTATTTTTAATTTCATAAGAAGGGAGCTTAGAGCAAGATTTTGAGATTTGTTATCTAATACGGTCACTTGTGTCATAAGTTTTCTTCCAAACAGTGCTTAACATGCATTCTATAAATTTTGATGTTATCTTTTTAGTTTCCTTCCATTGAAATTGCCTTCTATTTTCCCATATTATTAACTATGAGACCTATAATTAGGTAGAACTGTATTTCATAGTTTCTAATTCCATCTTTCTTCTATAATTGATTTTTAGTTTAATTCTATCGTTGTTAGAAAACATATGCTGTATTATATGATTTTTTTTTACATTTTTTGAGATGTGTTTTATGGCCTAAAAGATACATATGCTCTATTGTGGTATATCTTTGTGCTTTTGAAAAGCATGTGTATCCTGTTGTTAGATGAAGTTCTCTACAGATGTCAATTCATTTGAATAGGCTGATAGTGTCATTTAGGTCTTTTATATTTTTACTAATTTTCAATTAACGGTCTACCAATTTTTATGAGAGAGATGTTAAAATATCCAACTATTTCTGTTTCTCCTTTCTGCTCTAATCATTTCAACTTTATGTAATTGAAAGCATAATTATTAGACCATATAACTATTTATAATTATTATGTCCTCTTAATTAATAATTCCTTTACTGTTATGATATATCTCATATAACCAACCCTCTTTATTCCTGGGGATATTCTTGCTCTGATATCTACATTATCAGAGGTTAGTATAAAAACTCCAGATTTATTTAAATAGTGCTGACATACATATCTTCTTAAATACTTTCATTTGTAACATTTGCATATTCATATTTTAAGTGGTTTTCTTGTAGGCAGGAGATATCTGCATATCTCCATTTTTGAACTGTCCATCTGTTCCTTTTTATGAGGATGTTTGGAATATGTACATTTATTGTGATAACTGATACACTTTGGTTTAAATCCACCACTTATTTACTTATAGTTTATTTGCCCTATCCATCCATTATTTATTCCATTTTTCTCATTTTTATAAATTTTGCAATTTTATAAATCAATTTGTTACTTTTGTTACCTTTTGAGATACTCTTTTTTCATGGCTGTTCTATAGTTTATAGCATATAATTGTAATTTATAACAACTTGCTTTCAAATAATATGTGATTTCTTATACAAGAAACTTAATATAGCATGCTTCTATTTCTCCTTTCCAGATCTTTGTGATATAAATGGTCATATGTTTATTTCTTTTCTCATAATATCAGCTTTTACTTTAGATTTGGAGGGTACATGTGCATTTTGTTACGTGGGCATATTGCACGATACTGAGGTTTAAAATACAAATGATCCTGTCACCCAGGTGTGAGCATGGTACTCAACAGTTAGTTTAATTTCTATATATATATATCTATATATATATAAAATATATATAATACATATAGTTGCTATTTTCACTTTTAACTCGAGTATATTGTAAAGATATGTAAATTATAAGAATAACATTTCATATTTAGCCATATATTCATAATTTTTACATATCCATATTAACATCTGGTATGTTTTTTCTTCTGGTGGAAGAAGTGATTATATAATTTCTTGTTTTATAGTTCTGTGGTGATGAATTCTTTCAACTGTTGCATGTTTGAAAAATTTTTAATATCACCATTATTTTAGAGCTATTTTGATGATTATTGAATTGCAGGCTGATAGATGTGATTTTCTTTTAATGATTTAAATATTTTGTTATTTTGTTTTCTAATGAGAACTTGGCTGGGTTTTTTTTCATTTTGTTTTTTAATTTTGATGTACTCTGTTTTTAAGATTTTCAGTTCTAATCAATTTAATTAGATTGTGTCCTATAACTTAGTTTTTCATCATGTTATTCATGCCTGCGATTTTTAACTGCTGGATTTATAGATTTATAGCTTTTGTCACACTTGGAAATATTTCTACATAATATCTTTAAAGAATTTTGTGTCCTTCCCTCTACTTCTTTTCAACAACTCTAATAATCTGTATATTGGACTGCTTGAAGTAACTCTCAGCTCCCTGATATTCTGCAGTTTTGTCAGTCCTTTTTTATGTGTGCTTTTATTTTTGATACTTTGTATGATTATATATTTTTATTCACCAATATTTTCAAACACAGCGGCTACTGTTCCTTTCAGTTTGTGAAATCCAGTGTATTTCTAAAATAAAATTTACTTTTATGTAAGTTTTAGGTTGTAGCAAAACTGACAGGAAGGTAGAGGGATTTCCCTTATAACTCCTGTTCATACACATGCTTAGCCTTTTCCATTATCAACATCTTCCACCAGAGTGGTACATTTGTTACAATGAATAAGCCTACATTGACATAATTATCATTCAAAGACCAAAGTAAATAGTGTTGTCCATTCTATGAGTTTACACAAATATATAATGACATGTGTCTACCATTATAGTATTTTACAAAACACATACTACAGTCAGAATTCAATTTTGATTTACCAATAATGAAACATTTTGGGGTGATGGGCATGATGGCCTTTATCAAATGTTAGTAGATGTCTGATTGCCTTATGTGTAATAGAAAAAATACACAATTACTGAAAATTTCATAATCAATGAACTTGAATTTTTTCTGCACATACTACTTGTTTATAGTATTTATTTAGATAGTTTAAAATTCTGGCCTATCAAGTAATATTCAAAAGAATATTTGATAAATTATATCTATTAATATTAGCCAAACAGAAAATAGCCAGTGATAATGCAGACTAAATAAAAATAAACAAAACATTAGTTATAAATAAGCCACTTCAATCTTTTACACTGATAAGTAAAAGCTTATGCACACTAATTAAAAAGAAAAATTACTTGATTACAAACTGAAAGCAGGTGATTTAATATTATCATTTAATTTCAATTTTTATTTCCTGCCAAAATATTTGAAATGTCAATTGAAAAATCTGTTGGATGGTAAACTGGTTTCTGTATAGATATTTTATATGAATCAATGTTCATGTAGCTTGCAATGGATTAATTTCTATTTACATTTATTGTAATTTTTAAAATATTTGTATAACCATAAATTGATTAATATTTTATGCTTTTCATTGTATGTAAGATCTACTTTGAAATGAATATGGTTACTAAGGCACCTGAAATTTGGTATTTGGATTACTACTCACAAAATGTCCTTTAATTTTTAAGAAAAAGTTATGAAATGTGGACAATATAGAATCAGAGAATGTTTAATTATTTACATTTATTCAATGTTATTATTTTTGAGTTGTAACATTTATGTAATTAGGCAATTTATGAATAGTTTAATGCAAGAACATTTTTACTCAAAAAGCTTTAACACTGCTTTGAGTTATGCAGGACTCCTCTAAGCTATTACTGCCATTTACAGATTTAATATTTAGCTTGTAATAGTTTACTTATTTATTACAATCTTATTTTCCTTTCTTAAAAAGTGATTAGTACACTAAAACTAAAGCCACTGATTAAATGGGGAACTCTTCAGCTGCATTTGGTTGAAATCATTGCCACAGTAAATAATGACAATAAACAGAAACAAGATAGAATTATATCAAACTATGCTTTTGAACAGAGAATGAAGTCTGCAAATATTTTCGTAAACCAATCTCTATAGATCATTTAAACTAGAAACTTTAGTTCTGGAAATCAAGAAAGTAGCAACAATGAGTAGAAGTAAATTTTAAATGAACAAATAGAATGCTGTTTTGTTTTGTTTTTGTCGGGAAACATCTTTTTTATTTCATTCTCAATGGGTCTCCCTCATAACCTGAATTATAGTTTTGAGTTAGGAGAGATGATGCTTGTCTTTAACTAACCTTGATTGTTTCTACTTATGACAGATTGGAAATATTTGGAAGTAGATTAAAATTTGAAACGGTGTCTTTAACCTTAATTTTGCTGAGTTAATTATGAGAAATATTTTCCATCAGAGGCTAAAAGATAAAGAAAATAATTCTATACTCATATTTTTATTAAGCATATAAAAAGTAATATAAAGTGCATTACATAAAGTAATATATATTTATAAAGAGTACATATTTTTATAAAGAGTTATGAAATAAATATTGTATTGCCATGAAGCAATTAAGTGTTATGAAAAGCTTTTAAATTACTTCTGGATTTTCTTTCAATTTTATGTCTTAAAATGCATACTTATTAAAAAATACATATTTTGAGTTGGTTTTTGTGCATGATGTGGAAGAAAAGTTTAATATCATTACACAAGGTATTGCATCAAACTGAAAAGCTTCTGCACAGCAAAAGAAATAAGAGTGAAGAGACAACCAACTGATTGGGAGAAAATATTTGTAATTTATACATCTGATAAAGGGGCTAATATCCGAAATATATAAGAAACTCAACTCAATATCAAGAAAACATGAACCCGATTAAAAAATAAGCTAAGGACATAGCTAGACATTCTCAAAAGAAAAACAAATGGACAATAGATACACTATATTAAAAAATGCTCATAACCACTGTATTCGTCTATTCTCACACTGCTAATAAAGACATACCGAGCCTGGATAATTTATAAAGAAAATGAGGTTTAATGGACTCACAGTTCCACATGGCTGGGGAGGCCTCATGATCATGGCATGATGTGAAGGAGGAGCAAAGGCACGTATTATATGGTGGCAGGCAAGAGAATGTGTGCAGGGGAACTGTGCTTTATAAAACCATTGGATCTCATGAGACTCACTGTCACAAGAATAGCATGGGAAATTCCACCCCTATGGTGCAATTACCTCCCACCAGGTCCCTCCCATGACAGGTGGGGATGATGGGAACTACAGTTCAAGATGAGATTTGGGTGGGAACACAGCCAAACCATATCAATCACTAATCATAAGAGAAATGTAAATTAAAACCACAGCGAAGTATCACCTCACACCCCTTAGAATGGCTATTTCCAGAAAGATGAAATGTAGCAATTGCTAGCAAGGGTGTGGAGAAAAAGGAGTTTATGTATCAATATAAATTGATACGGCCATTATGAAAAACAGTACGAAGTTTCCTCAGAAAACAAACACAGAATTATTACATGATCCAACAGTCCCACTAATGGATATATATCCAACAAAATTGAAATCAGTATGCCAGAGGTATCTGCACTCCCTTGTTCATTGCATTAATCACAGTAGGTAAAATATGAAAGTAACCTAGGTGTCCATCATTGGATAAACGGATTTAAGAAATGTAGTCTATATTAGCAATGGAACACCAGTCAGGCTGAAAAAGGAGAGAATTTTGTTATTTGCAACAACTCAGATGCACTTGGAGGACATAATGCTAAGTGAAATAAGCCAGACAGAAAAAGACAAATACCACATGGTCTCAATTATATGTGGAACTTTAAAAAGTCAACTTCTATAAGTAGGGAGTAGAATGTTGGTCACCAGGGGGATGGATGGGGAAAGGCAACATGTTGATCAAAGAGGACAAAATTTTACTTAGACAAGAGAAATAGTCTTTAGTTACATATTTTGCACTATGGAGACAGTAACAAATAATGTATTGCATATTTTAAAATTACTAAAAGAGTTGATTTAAAGGTCATCACCACAAAAAATGATAAGTATATAAAGCAATGAATTTCTTAATTATTTTGATGTAATCATTCTCAGTGTAAATAAATATCAAAACATCGCATTATACCCCATAAATATATAATACACATAATTGTTATTTGTCAATTAAAATAAAATAATTCTTTCAAATAAATAAATACATTAAAATAAAAATAAATTTCCATGTAAGTTCTTATGAGAAAAAAATTGCTTAGGTTCAATAATAAACTATTAGCATATATTTACCTAATTATTAATGTTTTGTTTACCGTTTTGAAATTTATTCATGTTTTAGAGTACAGTTAAGATCCATTAGGCCAAAGCTATATCAAAATCTCTATTTTTTTATTGAAGCAAACATTCAATAAATATTTCAATGTCTGTTTTAGCTGTAACCAAATACCAGTGTGTTTACTTAACATGCTGAAACCAACTCTTCATTTTATTCTGTTTATGGTGTTTCAATAGTTGTCATAGAAAACAAGTGTTCTAAGGTGACATTAACTTTTCATTATTTTGCATTTGCAGTGCTTTGAGCTTCAGTTTATAGTCCCGGGTTACTCAGAAAATGCAAGAAATTTAAGTCATTTTCTCCAAATAGACCAAGGCAAGAAGATAATATACATTATGATGATGGCAAAGAGGAGTTTGAAACTTTAAGAAAAATTGAAACCTTCCCACTCTAATCCATTTTACAAGCTGTTGCCAAAATATTTTTCTCAAAATGGTTCCTATGTTTACAAATCATAACTCAGATTATTCTTACCCATTGGATGTAATTCTACTTCCACATTTCATACTCTCTGATATAACAATTTTTATTGTCCTTTCCAAGCTCAATGATTTACCATATTTATAAAGAAGGTCCTTATTTATTTATTTATTTATTTATTTTCTTTTTTGAGACAGAGTCTCACCCCGTCGCCCAGGCTGGGGTGCAATGGCGCGTTCTCCGCTCACTGCAACCTCCACCTCCCAGGTTCAAACAATTCTCCTGCCTCCGCCACAGGCGCAGGCCACCACGCCTGGCTATTTTTTTTTTTTTTTTTTTTTATGTTTAGTAGAAACGGGGTTTCACCATGTTGCCCAGGCTGGTCTCGACCTCCTGACCTCGTAATCCACCCACCTCAGCCTCCCAAAGTGCTGGGATTACAGGCGTGAGCCACTGCGCCTGGCCCTTATCTGTACATTTTAACTTTAGCTTTCCACTCACGTGTTTTAAAATTTTGTGTAAAGCCTTTGTTTTTACTCCTTCCAAAATGCACTCATATCTTAAAGGAAAATTTTTAGGCGTAACTCGTTCCGGCTGCCCAGATATGTATTTGACTCTGACTCAGATATTTTCTTGCTCAATTTTTTAATATTAGTGTTTACTCCATAATATTTTTTCTACTTGCCAAACATTTGTTGCATATGTGTGTAGGTATATATGCATGTTATCATTTTAACTTTACTCATTTATGATGCACCAAATGAAATTAAAGAAACACTCAAATAAGGTAAGGGGAAAGAGAGGGAGAGAGCAGAAAATTAAATATATTTTATATATTGCATTAATTCAAAATTGTAAGCATATTGTGGTGCTTTTACCCCAGGGTAGATAATAATTACCTTGAGTAAAAGGACAAAATAATTTTCCCAAATTTATAATCCTTCTAAAGTTACCTAGCAAAATAACATTCGCTGTAGTTTTAAAATAAAAACAAATCTTCTGATATGCTGGTAAATGACAACCAGATAGGTGTGCAGTGATTAACAAAAAAGTTTTAATGGTTTGAAAGAAATTTGGGACTAATATACTCACTGATCCGTGATAAGTTATTTCTACTGCCTATATGTCTGTTTCCCATTTGTAAAATTGACTTATAATATTTATCTCAGTCTTACTGTGAGAAGTTAAAATGTGATACATGTGAAGTTCTTGGTGTATTTTTGCTATCGATAAGAAAACCTCTACAAATTAGCTACTATTATTGTTATTGTTCTTAGAGGAAGAGGGCATCCATTAAAATCCTCTTAAAAAGTAAAATATCAGCATGGTGATTTTAAGAAACAAAATAAGGCTAAGAAGGAAAGCTGTACAACCTGAGTAAAATTCGTTGTGATTAAAATTTGTTGTGTATTCATCTCTTACTCAGTGAACTGGAAATCATTTGAAGAAATGATAAAATGTTTTTTAAAAAGAAGGAAAATCAGTTACTAGGGCATATAGCAATACTAAATATTAAAGGGTAACTATAACAATTCACACTGCATTAAAATTTACCATAAAAATGATGTGTTCTCATATGATTCCAGGGCACTAAAATATAAGGCCATCAAAGTATACTTAGCGTCATGAATCAAATAATTTTAACCATTATAGTATTATATGTAGAATAATGTTTTCACTTTCAGCATAAACTCAACAATTGTTCTAGTCTAACACACACACACAAAAAACAATTTAGGTTTCATTCTCACACCAGAAAAATGAAAGCATGTGTTCTTTGTTGCAAAAATTTCAAAGTCTATTCTTTGAAATATTTTTGATTATTAAAGGCTTACAGTAGAGGCTTTTTTTTATACATACCCATATACATAGATAGCCATGATGACCAAACATTAGAAGTGTATGCAACTAATTTCTGCAGTACAGAAAACAATCAGGTAGAGACGGTACTAGGTCCTCTCCCCTGGAAGTTTCAGTCTCGTTTCTTTTTCTCCTACAATCTGACTTGATGACTTCATAGAGTGAAACTGTTAGAAACTAAACGATTAAAGAAGATGAAAACATTCATTTTAGTGTCAATTGCATATTGTACAATTCCTTATTAATGTAAAATATATTATTAACCATTTGTTGAATGAAACAATGAACACTTAATGTTCACACTTAACATACTTCATAATATAATGGCCCGAGAATCCAACTATGTAAGATCAAATCTTGGTTGCACCACTTAATATGTTACCATGAGCAAGTTATTTTACCTGTGACTCAGTTTCTTCATCAGCAAAATGGAGAAAATTATGTTTATATGTTCCTCAGGATTACATGCTAGAGTATGAATAGCATGTTTAAATATTGCCTCTTGTGTAGTGAGCTCACAATACATGTTAGCTCCTCCTACCCCAAATTTCAAAGCATAAAATTTGGAAACTATCAAAATACATCAAAAAATAAACGAAAAACTGTATGAATAAATCGTTGTAGAAATTTGTAAAACAATTAAATTGCCATAGAGAATATTTACTTAAAATTATGTTAAAATATTTCAAACAATTGACTATTACATTCACAGAATAAAATACAAATGAATATTCATAAACATTAGAATTTAGTCAAGAGGGTCTATTATCCATTATCCCCTTAAATTGTTGCAGAGGAATTAGCCAACAAATTTCAATATGAAAACATGGTAGATGGAAATGTTCAAAATTAGATAAAACATCCGTTATTGTTTGAAGGTATATTCATTTGTTTTTGAACTGCTAGAAAGGAATACCTGAAACTGGGTAATTTATAAAGAAAATAAGTTTAATTGGCTCACGGTTCTGCAGGCCGAATAGGAAGCATGGTGCTTGCATGTGCTCCTGATGGGGCTTCAAGAAGATAACAATCATGGAGGAAGGCAAAGGGGGACCAGCAGGATCACACAGCGACGGCAGAAGCAAGAGAGAGGGAGGAGGCGCTGCACTCTTACACATCCAGATATTGCGTGAACTCAGAATGCAAACTCACTCTAGGAGGCCATCAAGACATTCATGAGGGATTTGACACCATCAGCCAAACAACTATCGCTAGGCCTCACCATCAACACTAGAGATGACATTTCAACGTGAGATTTGGAGGGGATGAATATCCGAACCCTATCGGCAGGTGATATAAAATTAAATGAAAAGATTCATACAGAAGAAAATTCTGGTACATTTGCTCTCATTAGAAAGTAACAACTATTAGATTAAAAATAATTTAAAATACTTTTGTTCTTTTTCTGAAAATGGTATCGGAATATATAACAAATTGATTTCATATGTGCTACTTATCTTAATTTTAATTATTTTTAATTTCTTATGCTAATGATTTTATTGTTATGTGACCCATTAAATATGTGAAAATTTTATTTTATTGTTAATATGTGAATGTATTTTATGAATTAATTAATTATTATTTTATTATTTTATTGTTAATATGTGAACCATTAAACATTTATCACATATTTAATGGTTCACATATTAACAATAAAATAATTAGCATAAAAGTCATGAGAACTATCCAGGAATTCTTAGAAAAGAAGCTGCAAACTTTACTTGCCTTCCTTAGACAAAAGTAATTTGAACATGTGGATAGATTATATTACTAAATAGAAAGACTTTGTGTGACAATAATTTTTAATAATTTTAATAATAATTTTTAATAGTAAGAATAGCTAACATTTATTGAGTTTGTGTTCTATGGTAGAAACTTAACTTCATGCCTTACATCAATTAATGCATATATTACTGTCAGTAAGTCTATGAGGCAAGTGTTAATGAAATCCCTAATTTAAGAAAATCGTGACACAGAACAAGCAGAGTTAACTTGTTCCTTTCACATATCTAAAGAAAGGTGGTTAAAAGATTCAAGCACATCCAGATGAATATAGACACTGCACAGTTATTTTCTAAATTTATCTAAAATGTCACTAAATTTAAAATAGGAAGTTTTATAAAACTAAATGAACTAATTTTAAAGTTCACATGGAGTAACTGACATTCCATAAGAAGTTTAATATTTCTGAATAAAAGGGATAGATTGCTCCTTTTCCATATAGATTCGAATGAAGAAATAAAAAATTGTATATTGAATGGTAGGAATCATGCCCCAGAAAAGGAAGAATAGTCAATAAAAAGAATTAAAAATATGTCAATAGAATTATTTGGAAAAAATGTCTTATCTCATATTTTGAACTAACAATATACGGTAATAAAAATGTAAATGATAGAGTAGCCAAATTTAAAAAATTGAAGAAATTATACATAAATTTATTTTTAAAAAGAAGGCAGTTCCAGGGACATGAAATGCAGAAATAATTTAAAAAATCATAAACACACACCACCAGCCAATTTCTAAAAAATAGAGCAACTATTAATAAATATAAAACTGTAAAATTCAAACCATCAATCTGTCTGTAACACCTGTAAAACTCTCTTATTATTCAAATATATATTACCAACAAATACCTGTTACTAACACATATCAACATAATCAATATTTTACAGGCAAAAATTTAGTGAAAAGTGTTTAAAATTATAGTAATAATACATATTAAGTACATACAGATATTTTTTATTAATCATAAAATATATAGTCTCACAAATAAAAATACAAAATTTAAAAAATAAGGAATTTTTAACCAAGTAATGTAGAAGCGATAAAAAGAACATTCCCTATTTGTGGTAGAGAGTAAAGCATTCTCACATACGAAAATGGCATATGTTCCTTGAACTTTAATTGATGAAATATATCAATAACCATAACATGACACATAATGCTAATATTAAAAATTATTTTTCTATTCTTTTTTCTGAAGAATATAATCAAATATGATTTTTGAATATGTTTATAATTATAGATTCTAATATTCATTAAAATATAAAAAAATTTCTAGCTTTTAAAATATTGGCAGGGCTCTGTCTTTTGCTTTTGAGATACAGAGGAAGAGGAGAAAAAAACAATTAAAACAAGCAAACAAAAACTGCCATGAGAATGTTTAAGTATACAGCCCAGAGTCCTATAATTCATGTGAAGCTTTATCATAAAATTTTACCTTATTATTATTAGAGGAAGTGTTGCAGCTTTTTCACTCCTGTTGTTCGATGGGTGAGAGAGAGTGTTACAGTTCTTTTACTCCCATGGCTGGCAAGCTCCGGGTTCTTGTCCCACAACCAAAAAGAATAAGGCACATGAACATGGAAGAGTAAGGCAGAATCAAATTTATTAAGCAACAGAAAAGCTCTCAGCAAGGAGACGGGACATGAAAGAAGGTTGGGAGCTATGGGGCTAAGTTCAGGAATTTTTATGGACTGGGACAGGGTAGGAGGACACTGACTGGTCTGCCGACTGTCTTGGGTTCACAGAGTAGGTATTTCCATTCAAGAACACAGGCTCTTTCTTATCTGGGGCCTGCAGCGTGATTTTCAGGCTGTCCTTAGTTCAAAGAAGTTATAATGAGGACTCACCCTAACTGCCTGCCTGACCGACCAATTTCTTCCTTCCTCCTCTCTCACAAGTACTTCCCCAAAAGTTATTTCCCAAACTTGAGAGCAGCAAGATTCCAGAAGCTTACTACAGGTAGGCAAAAGTTGAAAATGTTCCAGAATACAGTCAGTAAGAAAAGATTCTGTTTTTGTTTGTTTGTTGTTGTTGTTTTAAGTAGATTAATGATACAGCTTGCAGATATATGCAGACACCAGTAAATCATTATATGAGTATTGTAACAAAAGGTAAAGTTGACTGCTTCTTGAAATTAAAATTATGTTTTGAATCTTGTCTCAGAATCTTCTTCATATTTGCAATTGTCTTGCTTATTACACTATACCTCACATATTTGGCTAAACGAACATTTTTAGAATAGGCTGGTAATTTTCAGTTCCACTAAACAAATAAAAAATGCAAAATTATTTAAAATGTTTACCATTGGACAGGCGTGCTGGCTCACGCCTGTAATCCCAGCACTTTGGGAGGCCGAGGTGCATGGATCACCTGAGGTTGGGAGTTTGAAACCAGCCTGACCAACATGGAGAAATCCCATCTCTACTGAAAATACAAAATTACCTTGTTGTGGTGGCGCATGCCTGTAATCCCAGCTACTCATGAGGCTGAGGCAGGAGAATCACTTGAACCCGGGAGGCAGAGGTTGCAGTGAGCCAAGATCGCGCCATTGCACTCCAGCCTGGGCAACAAGAGTGAAATTCTGTCTCAAAAAAAAAAAAAAATATTACCATCCTTTTAAAATAAAGAAATAAAGAAAATGTAGGTCCAAGATGTAGAAAAGTACACATAAATATCCTACAGCCAGTACATTTCTCAGTTATCTTCTGGTTACACATAGAAAAGTAGTCAAAAAGATATGGATGACTTCTTTTATCATGGAGTTGCCAATGAAATGAGGTAGTAAGATATTAGATCAGTATTTTAACAAATAAAATTTCATTATGAATGTTGAGAAATACTACAAAAGATAAGTGAATAATTATGGAAAATGCATATGAGATCACTTGTTTTCAGTGATTCTCAATCCGAAGTGATTTTGCCTCCCCCAAAAAACATTTGGCAATATCTGAAGACATTTTTGTTTTTCATAACTGGGGCAGGGTATGTTACTAACATCTCATGAGTAGAAGCCAAAGATGCTGCTAAACATCTGAAAATGAACAAGGACAGATCTCCACAACAAGTATTTAGTTAGAAGCACTTCCATAATGGTGGAATAATGGCATCTGAAAAGCTGGTCATCTATAAAAGTAACAAGAAAGCTGGAAAAACTTGTCAGAATCACCTTTTCAGATCTAGAAATTAACCAAAGGCTTGGGAAAATCCATAGGGTGTTTATTCAAGAAAACGGGCTGAATCTTGTAAGTAAAGCAAGCTTTGTGATGTTTTAACATGCCTTCTTCCCAAACCCTGATCTCCAGCTCTATAGCAGCCCTGAAAACTGAAAGGCTTGTGACTATAGGAGCTCTATAAAACAGCAGCTTAGCAGCCGGTGGAAATGTAAGAACGTTTTTTGGAGCTCTAAAAAAAAGCCTCATCTGCAAAAAAATTTGTCATTATTTTACCTGCCAGAGAAACTCCATTCACAGGACTTGCCTTTATTTGACCTGACTCGGAGCTAACTCTGTACAAACAGTTATAGCCCAAGTGTTTGCTGAAAAAACCAGGCAATTGTTTAACATTGTAGCTGCCTGAAGTGATGTTACCAGCTGTGTATAACAAGACCGAAAAATTAAAAGTAAAAATTTAAAAATAAGATGTACATAAGGTGCTTTGCAAAGCTCAAACATATCCTGAGGGATAGAGAAGGCCATGCACACATACTGGTCTGTACATATGCCCAGAAAAGACAAGAAAAAGCTCTGGTCTCTCATCTCTAGCTGACACTGAGGTTCTGTGAAAGTAAGAAGTTGAGGCTAAGGCAGAGTTTATACTGCCTACTAGAGCATTGCAAGCATCCTCCCCACACACATACATAGCCACTCAACAAAGTCTGGGAGACTTAGTGGCTCAAATCATTTAAGGAAACCTGTCAAATCATTAACTGGCCATTAAGCTAACTGAGCAGAGTCCTCAATAGGCTGACATGACAAGAAAACAGACTACCTAAAATTAGCTCAGGAAAGTCACTAAAAAAATGACAAGAACATTGTTCAATTCCCACCTATGAGTGAGAACATGTGGTGTTTGGTTTTTTGTCCTTGCAATAGTTTACTGAGAATGATGATTTCCAATTTCATCCATGTCCCTACAAAGGACATGAACTCATCATTTTTATGGCTGCATAGTATTCCATGGCGTATATGTGCCACACACCAGCATGGAACATGTATACATACGTAACTAACCTGCACATTGTGCACATGTACCCTAAAACTTAAAGTATAATAATAATAAAAAAAGACAAGAACAGAAACATCACCAACAAATAATAACAGCAATACACTCTGAGGATGCGGGATCTGACTTCCAGAGATGCCCTATGATTTAAAATTTTAGTTTTCAATAAAACATCACAAGACACACATAAAAGTTGGAAATTATCTCACATACACAGGCTAAAGAAGCAATCAATATAAATTGTATCTGAGGAAGCCCAGATATAAACTTATTTGACAAAGACTTTAAATTAGTATTACAAATATATTTATTAAATAACGTCTAAAGAAGGAAAGGATTAGAATAATGTGTCACCAAATTGATAATGTCACTAATGAGATTAAAAAGTATGATAAAGAACTAAATTGTATTTCAGGAGTTGAAAAATAAAATAATGTTAAAAATTACTGGAGGGATTCAACAGCATATTAGAAGTAGTGAACAAAAGAATAGAGAAACAAATAACCCTATTTAAAATGTGTAAAGAACATAAACAGACACCCCTCAAAAGAAAACGTTCAAGTGGCCAACAGAAATAAAAACTGGTCAGCATTACTAATCATCAGAGAAATGCAAATCAGAACCACACAAGATATCATCTCAAAACAGTCAGCATGGCTATTATTAAAAAGTCAAAAAATAACAGATGCTGCTGAGGCTACAGACAAAAGGGAATGCCTATACACTGTTGTTGGTAATATAAATTAGCCACAGTTGAAAGATTTGGAAATTTCTCAAAGAACTTAAAACAGAGCTACCATTCAACCCAGCAATCCCATTACTGGGTATATCTCCAAGGAAATGCAATCTTTCTTCCAAAAGGACACATTCACTTGCATGTTCATCACCACTCTATTTGCCATAGTTAAGACGTAGAATCAACCTAGGTGTCCATCAATGGTGGATTGAATAATGGAAATGTGGTATATATATACCACGGGTTACTACACGGCTATAAAAAGAATAAAATCATGTCCTTTGCAACAACATGAATGTTGCTGGAGGTCATAATCCTAAGCGAATTAACGCAATAGAAAATCAAATACTGCATGTTCTCACTTATAAGTGGGTGTTAAACATTGAGCACACATGGACATAAACAAAGGAACAATAGACACTGCAGGCCACTAGAGAGGGGAAAGAGGAGGGTATAGGTTGAAAAACTACCTATTGGTTACTATGACCACTACCTGGGTGTTGGGATCTGTACCCCAAACCTCAGCATCATGCAATACACCCATATACTAAACCTGCACATCTACATCCTGTATCAAAATAAAAGTCAGAATTTAAAAAAATTATAAACTGGAATATATAGCAATTGAAATTAGCCAGTCTGAAGAACAAAAGAAAATGAAAAAGGTAAAATGAATAAGCCTCATAGATGTCTTGGGAAGGCATCACATATACAAACATACAGATACTTGGAGAACGAAGAGAAGAGAAGGGAAAGAAAGAGACAGAAAAAAATTGAATTAATAATGGCTGAAAACTGTTCATTCAAAATTATTTTGTAATCATTAAAGTTCAACAGATTCCAAGCAGATTTCAAAGAGATTCCCAACTAGCTACATCAAGAGGAATGCAAAAGATCATGTAAAAGTTATCCTCAATAAAATCAACAGCTGATTTCTTATCAGAAACCATGGGAGACAGAATATAGTCAGCTGATATATTCAAAATGCAGAAGGAAGACTGCTAACTAAAAACTCAATATCTAGTAAACGATACTTTAAAAACAAAAAGAAATTAAGACGTTAAAAGATAAACTGGGAGAATTCATTGCTAGCAGACATTCTCTAAAAGAAATACTACAGAGAATTCTTCAGACTGAAATGAAAGAAATATAGATAATAATTCAAATCTTCCTTTGAAAAACATTACTAAAAATAATTGCATAGGTAAATACAATGGTAGTATAAATATTTTTAGTTTTTAAATAAATTGTCTTATAAGAGCTAAAGGAAATTGAAAAAAGTAATAATTATAGAACTATTGATGAATTTATTGGAGCAGAGCACTTGTATACTATTGAAATTACATCTGTATTAACCTGAATTAGGTTGTTTTAAACTAAAATGTTAATTGTAGCCTTCAGGGCAACTAAAAAAATAAAACTTAAAAATATATAGTAAAAGAAACAACACACAAAATAGTAAAATAGAAAATAAATATTTAATACATTACTGCCTTAAATTAAGGCAGAACTTATTAAAATAGGCAGCACTGCAGGAAGCGAGAAACAAAGAAAAGTCCACACTAGACATATAGAAAACAAATAGCAAAATTGCAGACATGAATTATATCTTATCAGCAATTACATAAAAATGCATTAAACATTTTAAACACAAAGACAAGGACAGGGAGAAATTGGAAAATTTGTTTACTGTTGAGGAAAACGTAAAATGGTGCTTCTACATATACCAATATGGCAGTTCCTTTAAAAATTAGAAATAGAATTACTGTATGATCCAGCAATTGTACTTCTAGGTATATCCTAAAAAGAACTGAAAGCAGAGTCTCAAATATATGTTTGTACACTCATGCTCATATAAGGTTTATTCACAATAACCAAGAGATAGAAGCAATGGAAGTATACATCAATAAATTAATGGGCAAACAAAATGAGGTATGCACAGTCAATAGAATGTTATTCACAGCCTTAAAAAGGAAGGAAATTCTGATATATGTTACAACGTGGATGATCCTTGAAGATATTATGATAAGTGAAATAAGCCAGTCGGAATAAAACAAATACTATATAGTTTCATTTATATAAGATATGTATAGTTGTCCAATTCATTGAGATAGAAAGAAGAGTCCCTTCTATCAGGGACTGGTAAAAGCAAGATATGGGAAATTAGTGTTTGATCAGCATAGAGTTTCAGTTTTGCAAGATAAACAGGATCTGGAAATGGATGGTAGCCATGGTTGTACAACAATGTGAATGTACTTCTTGACACTGACTATACACTTAAAAATGGTTAATGTGAAAAGTTTTGTATTGTATAAATTTTACCACAATTAAAAATTTTTTAATATTTTTTTTAAATGTGGAGATTTACAGTGTAGTTAGAAGTTGTAAGCCAACTGTGTTATTTAAAAGTGACAGACTTTAGATTGACATACAAATGAATAGGTTAAAAATAAAATAATGGAAAATACAAACAGTGATCAAAAAACGATATACTAATATCAGACAAAGAGACAATAAGACAAAATGTTTTTCTAGAGACAAAGAAAAAATTTATAATAATAATGATGGTAGTATCAATTCCATGCAGACCTATAAAAATTATAAATATAAAAACTATTTAGTGACAAGATGAAACCTTTACACTTATGGACAATTAATTTTCAACAAGGATATCAAGATAATGTAATCATCATAAAATACACAGTCTTGTTAACAAATGGTGATCAGACAACTGTATATCTATATTTACATGCAAAAGAAGGAAGTTTGATTTCTACTGCCCACCACTTACAAAAATTATCTGAAAATTAATCATATATCTAAATGTAAAAGCTAACGCTATAAAACTCTTAGAAGAAAATATTTGAATACATCTGAATTTAAAGTAGTTTTTTTCTAATTCTGTGAAGAAAGTCGATTAGGCAATGGTTTCTAAGATATGACAAAGGTTAATGAAATCATAGAAAAAACAGACGAATCAGGCCAGGCGCGATGGCTCAGGCCTGTAATCCCAGCACTTTGGGAGGCCGAGGCAGGTGGATCACGAGGTCGGGAGATCGAGACAATCCTATCCTGGCTAACAAGGTGAAACTCCGTCTCTACCAAAAAAAATGCAAAAAAATTAGCCAGGCATGGTAGCGGGCGCCTGTAGTCCCCGCTACTCGGGAGGCTGAGGCAGGAGAATGGTGTGAACCAGGGAGGCGGAGCTTGCAGTGAGCAGAGATAACGTCACTGCACTCCAGCTTGGGCAAAGGAGCGAGACTCCGTCTCAAAAAAAAAAAAAAGAAAAAGAAAAAGAAAAAATAGACAAATCATACTTAATTAAGTTGAAAATCTTGTCCTCTGAAGGACCAGATTTAAACTATAAAGAAAGAGGAAAGGTAGCACACAGAATTAAAGAAAGTATTTTCAAATTTAGTGCCTAATAAAGAATATGTATCCAGAATTTTAAAAGGCCACTTCAAACTCAACAATAAAAAGACATTTTTTTAAAATAGGCAAATGATTTGAATAGACATTTCTCCAAAAAAGACATAAAAATGGCCAATAAGCACATGACAACCTGCTCAACATCGTTAGTTATTAGGAAAATGCACATAAAAACCGCAATATGATAAGATTTCTTATCCATTATGCTCAAGGCCTTGGGAGCCCACTCCTCACACTAGTGTGTCCTGGAAGTGAAACATGAATTCAAAAGTGATTATTTGGGAGCTTTAAGATTTAATAACTGCCCTCCTGGGTTTCAGACTTGCATGAGGCCTATGTAGCCCCTTTCTTTCTAGGCAGTCTCTTTTCTCACTTTTGGAATGGGAGTATTTACCCAATGCCTATACTCTCATTGTATCTTGGAAGTAACTAACTTGTCTTTTGTTTTCTTTTTATTTTACAGACTCAGAGTTGAAAGGGGCTTGCCTTTTCTCAGATGAGACTTTGGATTCTGGACTTTTTGAGTTAATGCTGGAATGAGATAAGGCTTTGGAGGACTGCTGGGAAGGCATGACTGTATTTTGCAATGTGAGAAGTCCATGAGATATGGGGAGGGCCAGGGACAGAATGATATGGTTTCCATCTGTGTCGCCACCCCAATTTAATGTTCATTTGTAGTCCCCAGTGTTGAATATGGGTCCTGCTGGGAGAAAATTTGATCATGGGGGTGGGGTTCTCATCAATGGTTTAACACCATTCTTGATACTTTATAATGATAAATTTCTCATGAGATCTGGTTATTTAAAGGTGTGTAGCATCTCCACGCTCTCTCTCTCTTCCTCCTGCTCCAGCCATGTGAAGTGCTGGCTCACCCTTTGCCTTCCGCCATGATTGTAAGCTTCCTGAGGCTTCCCCAGAAGCAGAAGCCACTATGCTTCTTGTAAAGCCTGCAGAACCGTGAGCCAATTAAAACCCGTTTCTTTATAACTTACCCAGTCTCCATTATTTCTTTATAGCAATGTGAGAACAGCCTAATATACATTTGTTTGGCAAAATTAAAAAGATAGACAATAACCACCGTTGATAAGAATGTGGAGAGATTGAAACCCTCATACATCATTCATGGGAAAAAATTTTAAAACTAGAATTACTATATGACTGACCCAAAAATTACACTTTTACTCATACACCGGAGATAAATGAGTTTATATATTAAACCTTGTACATAAGAGTCCATAACAACATTATTCACAATACAAAAAAAGTGGAAATAACACAGATATCTATCACAAATTGATGAACAAATTGTGATATATTCACAAATAGAATGTCATTTGATCATAAAGTGTAATTGAATACTGATACACATTATAAAATGAATGGATGTAGAAAAGCAAGACGAAAGGACCACAAATTTTGTAATTTCATTTATATAAAATATTCAGAATAGACAATTCTATAGCAAAAGAAACTATATTAGTATTTACTAAGGATTATGGGGAGAGCGGGATGGGAGTAACGGCTAATGGGTATGGTATTTCTTTTGTGGTGATGTAAATTATCTCAAGTCAGATGAGTGAAAACACTAAAAATAATCCTCTTGTTGGATACATTTAAATGGGGAATTTTGTAGTATATAGTTTACATATTGATAAAGCTATTATTTTTTACATGTCAATAATGTTAAGGTTGAGAAACTTTTTTTTTAATTCTAAACTGGAAGTTTGGAGATGACACTTTTGCAGAAGTGGCAGTTTAGCTAAGACTTGAATTATAAATCTACTCATAGACCTGCGTATTAAAACAGAATAAAAAGTAAGAAAGAAAAAATGAAGGAAGTAAGGAACAGAAGGAGGGAGAGAGGGAGAAAGGAAAAAAGGAAGGAAGGAAGAAAAGAAGAAAGGAAGGAAGAAAGGAACAGATATAGAGAAAGGCAGGAAGAGAGGAAGATAGGGATAGAAAAGAGTAGAAAAAATACATTGAGAACAATAAAGCTAAGAGTGTTTTTGTTTTTTGCTTTGTTTATTCGTTAGTTTTAGTTTGTTATATAACCTTTTGGACGACATTTATTCCAGTGACTTTCCTAATGAAAAGCAGTACTGAGGAATTAGAGGCTTAGAGATGTTGATTAACTTACCCAACTCATGGAGCTCTTCGGTTTTAGTTCTAGCTGTTCAGTTTTAGTTTTAGCTTTAGGATGAGCCAGAAGCATTTGGTTCCTGTGTCATGTTTCTTACAGGAGAGAGAGAGAGTTTGGAACAAGGTGCCTGTGAAAATAGTAGATTTGTTCAGGACAAATAATTTGGAAGATAGTATGGAACAATCAGATGGAGATGATCAGTAGGAAGCTAGACCTTTGTTAATTTGAATAAAGGAGAGGCAGAAGACCACAGTTATTAAAAGCAAGTGGGTTTTTGAAACAGCCTGCCTGAATCCATGTCCAGCCTCCATCATTCATTAGTTTAGTCAATATATGCCTTAGTTTCAAATTTTCTTATTAGAGATACTAATTTTAATAGCTAACTCATAAAATTGAGTATTAAGTGTAAAGAATTTAGAAATGTGTTATTGCAAACTAAGGTCAAATGTTAGCTTTTACCTGTGGTGGTAGAATTCAGATAATTCAGGATATGAAAAGGAGAAATAGATATTGATGTCATTACACTCATGTAGTCAGCTGAATAGTTAGGTGTGCATAGAATTATGCAGGAAAAAAAGAAAGAGAAGAGAAGTAAGACCTGGGGAATTTTTATATGTTTTTATTTGATTTTGATTAAATATGGTTTTAATTTTTTAAGGCATAAATTGGGGCTGCGTTTGGACTCCAGATATATTGAATTAAAATGACTTTTGCTTTATTATTTGGACAAATAAAAGAAGATGTAATTTGACAGCAGAGGCATTTTATAGTGGTTATTCTAGAAAAGTGACTGTGACATGTGAAATTGTTCTGATTGTAATAACTAAAAGTAGGTACCACATTTGAAAAATGCTTTGGAAGAACATGTTTGATAGATGGGATATGGCTGACTAAGGACAAGAAGAAATCAAAGACGACTGCATATTTAATAGCCTGCTGAGCTAAGAGTATAATGGCAATATTGACAATGATGGAAATACAGAGAAGTTATAGCGAATAATGAACTTGGTTATAGACATGTTAAGTTTTAAGTGTCAGCTGGATATTCAAGCAGAGATATCTTGCAGAAAGCTGAAAATGAGACCTTGAAGAGCATATAGGCCTTAAATTTATTTTTTCAGCTTTCTATGTATTACTTTAATTTTTATATTTTCGTTCTCTTACTGTTTTGGCCATGAAATTCTTTCTCTAAGTTCCTTCTGATTTTTTTTAATATTCCATAGTGTAAACATCTGGAAATATTTTATTTTGTTTGAAGTTGTCTATTTTTAATGTAAAATCTAATTATTTTCTCACATTTCCTTCAATACATGAGGAGGTTATTTTATTCAGTTTTCTAATTTTCTTTTGAAATACTTAATTTGAAATTGCTAATAGCAAAATGTATTATATTCATAGATGCAATAAAGCAAAGTATAAAAATAACAACAACAAAACTAGCCCAGCAAAATTCCCAAGTTTTCATGTATTTGTCAAGCATTTTCTCATATTTTCCTTGTTTTGCTATTTTTTCTCTTGGCTAGCTTTATTTATGTAAATGTGTGATTCCATGCTGTTATTTCAAAAGTGCCCTGGGAGATATAGGAGGCCTCTATCAAATAAAGGATGAGGACTCGCATCCTTCCAGAGAGCTTCATCAATTTAAATTAAGTCTATAATTTATATTGCAGTTTCATATCTCTACAGTCCACAACAGTTTAATCTGACCTATACACAAATGTTTGAGTGAAGAAAGTGAGGTAGAAGACATGCTAATGTAGAACTGAATATTGGGGAAATTATTAGCATTAAAAGAAAATTTCAGTACTCTAATTTTCTATGTGCAAATGAAATCTTTCAACAGAACTCTAGCTTTCTAATATTATATGTCATTCACTCTTCATACTAGAAGCTATTATCCATTGAATATTCGCAGGCTTCCACACGAACGACCAATAGATGTTCAACAATGTGCACCAAGACTCTACCTCGGTCCCTAATTTTTTTGGCACCAGTGACTGGTCTTGTGGAAGAAAATTTTTTCCGCAGATGCAGGGAGAAGGGGATGATTTTAGGATGAAACTCTTTCAGTTCAGATAATCAGGCTTTAAATTCTCATAAGGAGTACACGACCTAAATTCCTCACATGTGCAGTTCACAATAGGGTTTGCACTCCTATGGGAATCTAATGCAGCAGTTGATCTGACAAGAGGGGGAGCTCAAGTGATGATGTTGGCTCACCTGCAGCTCACATCCTGCTGCATGGCCTGGCTCCTAACAGGCCATGGATGCATAGGTATCTGTCCACACCCTGGGGGTTGGAGACCCCTGCTCTCTGACAAACTATTGATTCCCAGAGGAATCAATAGTTAACACATTTTACAGAGGATTTGTTTATGACATATCTATAATCTGACTTTGGCAAAAAAATTCAGGAAATGACTAATATTTGACTCTATAGTGATAGAATAGTGGTGTAAATAACACAGGTGTATGCATTCACCAAAACTAAACATACTGCAAAAGGGAAGCTTTTGCATTTCATACTATGTAAACTCTACTTCAATAAAAATATTTAAAAATCTTTTATGACTTTTGTGTCACATCAAGGCTTACAGCATATTTTGTTGTTAAGTGTCTTTTCTCTCAGGCCTTTTAAAATATTTTTCAAAATTAAAAGTAATAGCAAAAATCGTGATTACTATTGCACCAACCTAATAGTAGATACTTGTCACTGTAAAGTTTGAACTGATAAATTATATTATTTGTGTGTTAATAAAATGATTTCACTAGAAAGTGCTGTACATCACTTTAGATAGCACAAGAATAATCCATGCCATAGCATGGTGTTCACAGAAGTTTTTTAAAAATCACTACTAACGTCTCATGATTACTGATAAAGTTAACTTTTTAAGAAAGATATTCAGGTCACTTTTTTCTTTTTTTATTATTATTATACTTTAAATTCTGGGATACTTGTGCAGAACGTGCAGGGTTGTTGCATAGGCATATGCCATGGTGGTTTGCTGCACCCAACAAACCATCATCTAGGTTTTAAGCCCCGCATGCATTAGGTATTTCTCCTAATCCTATCCCTCCCCTTGCCTCTCACCCCACGGCACGTTCTGGTGTGTGATGTTCCCCTCCTTGTGTCCATGTGTTCTCAATGTTCAACTCCCACTTATGAGTTAGAACATGCAGTGTTTGGTTTTCTGTTCCTGTGTTAGTTTGCTGAGAGCGATGGTTTCCAGCTTCATCCATGTCCCTGCAAAGGATATGAATTCACTCTTTTTTTATGGCTGCATAGAATTCCATGGTATATATGTGACACGTTTTCTTTATCCAGTCTATCATTGATGGGCATTTGGGTTGGTTCCAAGTCTTTGCTATTGTAAACAGTGCTGCAGTTTACATATATGTGCATCTGTCTTTACACTGGAATGATTTATAGCCCTTTGGGTAAATACCCAGTAAAGGGATTGCTGGGTCGAAGGATATTTCTGGTTCTAGATCCTTCAGGAATTGCCACACTGTCTTCCACAATGATTGAACTAATTTATACTCCCACCAACAGTGTAAAAGCATTCCTATTTCTCCACATCCTCCCTAGCATCTGTTGTTTCCTGACTTTTTAATGATAGTCATTCTAACTGGCATGAGATGGTATCTCATTGAGGTTTTAATTTGCATTTCTCTAATGATGAGCTTTTTTCATGTTTGTTGGCCACATAAATGCCTTCTTTTAAGAAGTGTCTGTTCATATCCTTCACCTACTTTTTGATGGCTTTGTTTGCTTTTTTCTTGTAAATTTGTTAAATTCCTTATAGATTCTGGATATCAGACCTTTGTCAAATGGACAGATTGCAAAAATTTTCTCCCTCTATAGGTTGCCTCTTCACTGTGATGATAGTTCTTTTGTTGTGCAAAATCTCGTTGGCTTAATTAGATCCCATATGTCAATTTGGCTTTTGTTACCAATGCTTTTGGTATTTTAGTCATGAAGTCTTTGCCCATGCCTATGTCCTGAATGGTATTGCCTAGGTTTTCTTCTAAGGTTTTTTTATGGTTTTAGGTCTTACGTTTAAGTCTTTAATCCATCTTGAGTTAATTTTTGTATAAGGTGTAAGGAAGGGGTTCAGTTTCAGTTTTCTGCATATGGCTAGCCAGTTTTCCCAACACCGCTTATTAAATAGGGAACCCTTTCCCCATTGCTTGTTTTTGTCAGGTTTGTCAAAGATCAGATGGTTGTAGATGTGTGGCATTATTTCTGAGGTCTCTGTTTTGTTCCATTGGTCCATATATCTGTATTGGTAACATTATCATGCTGTTTTGGTTACTGTAGCCCTGTAGTATAGTTTGAAGTCAGGTAGTGCGATGTCTCCAGCTTTGCTCTTTTTGCTTAGGATTGTCTTGGCTATATAGACTCTTTTTTGGTTCCATGTGAAATTTAAAGTAGTTTTTTCTAATTCTGTGAGGAAAGTCAATGGAAACTTAATAGGAATAACAATGAATCTATAAATTACTTTGGGCAGTATGGCCATTTTCACGATATTGATTCCTCTTACCTATGAGCATGGAATGTTTTTCCATTTGTTTGTGTCCTCTCTTATTTCCTTGTAGTTCTCCCTGAAGAGGTCCTTCACATCCCTTGTTAAGTTGTATTCCTAGGTATAGGAATTCTCTTTATTCTCTTTATAGCAATTGTGAATGGGAGTTCACTCATGATTTGGCTCTCTGTCTATTATTGGTGTATGGAATGCTTGTGATTTTTGCATATTGATTTTGTATCCTGAGACTTTGCTGAAGTTGCTTATCAGCTTAAGGAGTTTTGGGGCTGAGACAATGTGGTTTTGTAGATATACAATCATGTCATCTGCAAACAGAAACTATCTGACTTCCTCTGTTCCTATTTGAATGCCCTTTATTTCTTTCTCTTGCCTGATTGCCCTGGACAGAACTTCCAATATTATGTTGAATAAAAGTGGTGAGAGAGGGCATCCTTGTTTTGTTCTGGTTTTCAAAGGGAATGCTTCCAGCTTTTGCCCATTCAGTAGGATATTGGCTGTGGGTTTGTCATAAATAGCTCTTATTATTTTCAGGTATGTTACATCAGTACCAAGTTTATTGAGAGTTTTTAGCATGAAAGGGTGTCAAATTTTATCCAAGGCCTTTTCTGCATCTATTGAGATAATCATGTGTTTTTTGTCATTGGTTCTGTTTATGTGATGGATTATATTTATTGATTTTTGTATGTTTATCCAGCCTGGCATCACAGGGATGAAGCTGACTTGATTGTGGTGGATAAGCTTTTTGATGTGCTGCTGGATTCAGTTTGCCAGTATTTTATTGAGGATTTTCGCATTGATGTTCATCATGGATATTGGCCTGAAATTTTTTTTATTATTGTGTCTCTGCCAGGTTTTGGTATCAGGATGACACTGGTCTCACAAAATGAGTTAGGGAGGAGTCCTTCTTTTTCTGTTGTTTGGAATAGTTTCAGAAGGAATGGTACCAGCTACTTTTTGTATCTCTGGTAGAATTCGGCTTTGAATCCGTCTGGTCCTGAGCTTTTTTGGTTGGTAGGCTCTTAACTACTGCCTCAATTTCAGAACTCGTTATTGGTCTGTTCAGGGATTTAACTTCTTCCTGGTTTAGTCTTGGGAGTGTGTATGTGTCTGGGAATTTATCCATTTCCTCTAGATTTTCTAGTTTATTTGCACACAGCTGTTTATAGTATTCTGTGATGGTAGTTTGTATTTCTGTGGGATCAGTGGTGATATCCCCTTTATCATTTTCTACTGTGTCTATTTGTTTCTTCTCTCTTTTCTTCTTTATTAGCCTGGCAAGTGGTCTATGTATTTTGTTAATCTTTTCAAAAAACCACCTCCTGGATTCATTGATTTTTTGAAAGGTTTTTTGTGTCTCTGTCTCCTTCAGTTCTGCTCTGATCTTAGTTATTTCTTGTCTTCTGCTAGCTTTTGAATTTGCTTGCTCTTGGTTCTCTAGTTCTTTTAACTGTGAAGATAGGGTGCCGATTTTAGATCTTTTTCACTTTCTCCTGTGAGCATTTAGTGCTATAAATTTCCCTCTAAACATTGCTTTGGCTGTGTCCCAGAGATTCTGGTACGTTGTGTCTTTGTTCTCATTGGTTTCAAATAACTTATTTATTTTTGCCTTAATTTCTCTATGTACCCAGTAGTCATTCAGGAGCAGTTGTTCAGTTTCCATGTAGTTGTGCAGTTTTTAGCGAGTTTCTTAACCCTGAGTTCTAATTTGATTGCACTGTGGTCTGGGAGATTATTTGTTATGATTTCCATTCTTTTGCATTTGCTGAGGAGTGCTTTACTTTCAATTATGTGGTCAATTTTAGAATAAGTGCAATGTGGTGCTGAGAAGGATGTATATTCTGTTGATGGAGTGGAGAGTTCTGTAGATGTCTATTAGGTCCCCTTGGTCCAAAGCTGAGTTCAAGTCCTGAATATCCTTATTAATTTTCTGTCTTGTTGAGCTGTCTAATATTGACAGTGGGGTGTTAAAGTTTCCCACTATTTTCGTGTGGGACTCTAAGTCTCTTTGTAGGTCTCTAAGAACTTGCTTTATGAATCTGGGTGCTCCTGTATTGGATGCATGTATATTTAGGATAGTTAGCTCTTTTTGTTGCATTGACCCCTTTACCATTATGTAATGCCCTTGTCTGTTTTTTTTTATTATACTTGAAGTTTTAGGGTACATGTGCACAACGTGCAGGTTTGTTACATATGTATACACGTGCCATGTTGGTGTGCTGCACCTATTTGTCTGTTTTGATCTTTGTTGGTTTAAAGTCTGTTTTATTGGAGGCTAGGATTGCAACCCCTGCTTTTTTTTGCTTTCCATTTGCTTGGTAAATATTTCTCCATCCCTTTATTTTGAGCTTATGCATGTCTTTGCGTGTGAAATTGTTCTCCCTAACACAACACACTGATGAGTCTTGACTCTTTATCTAATTTGCCAGTCTGTGTCTTTTAATTGGAACATTTAGTTCATTTATGTTTAAGGTTAATATTGTTATGTGTGAATTTTATCCTGTCATCATGATGCTAACTGTTTATTCTGCCCATTAGTTGATGCAGTTTCTTCACAGTGTGGTTGCTCTTTATATTTGGGTATGTTTCTGCAGTGGCTCATACTGGTTTTTCCTTTCAATATTTAGTGCTTCCTTCAGGAGTTCTTGTAAGTCAGGCCTGGTGGCTATAAAAATCCCTCAGCATTTGCTTGCCTGTAAGGGATTTTACTTGTCCTTCACTTGTGAAGCTTAGTTTGTCTGGATATAAAATTCTGGGTTGACAATTCTTTTCTTTAAGAATGTTGAATATTGGCCCCCACTCTCTTCTGGCTTGTAAGGTTTCCACAGAGAGATCCACTGTTAGTCTGATGGACTTCCCTTTATAAGTAACCTGACCTTTCTCTCTGGCTGCCTTTAACATTTTTTTCCTTCATTTCAACCTTGGTGAATCTGACGATTATGTGTCTTGGGGTTGCTCTTCTTGAGGAGTATCTTAGTGGTGTTCACTGTATTTCCTGAATTGAATGTTGGCTGTCTTGCTAGGTTGGAGAAGTTCTCCTGGATAATATCCTGAATTGTGTTCTCCAACTTGATTCCATTCTCCCCGTCACTTTCAGGTACCCCAATCAACCATAGGTTTGGTCTTTTCACATAGTCCCATATTTCTTGGAGGCTTTTTTCATTCCTTTTCATTCTTTTTTGCTCTAATATTGTCTTCACACTATATTTCATTAAGATGATCTTCAATCTCTGATCTCCTTTCTTCCTCTTGATCCATTCGGCTATTGATACTTGTGTATGCTTCACGAAGTTCTCCTGCTGTGTTTTTCAGCTCCATCAGGTCATTTATGTTCTTCTCTAAATGGGTTATACTAGTTAGCAGTTCCTATAACCTTTTATCAAGACTCTTAGCTTCCTTGCACTGGGTTAGAACATGCTCCTTTAGTTCAGAGGAGTTTGCTATTACGACCTTCTGAAGCCTACTTTTGTCAATTCGTCAAACTCATTCTCCTTCCAGCTTTGTTCCCTTGCTGGTGAAGAGTTGTGATCCTTTGGAGGAAAAGAGGCATTCTGGTTTTTTTTGGAATTTTCAGCATTTTTGTGCTGGTTTTTCTCATCTTTGTGGATTTACCTACCTTTGATCTTTGATGCCGATGACCTTTGGGTGGGGTCTTTGCGTGGGCGTCCTTTTTGTGGATGTTGATGTTATTGCTTTCTGTTTGTTAGTTTTCCTTCTAACAGTCAGGCCCCTCTTCTGCAGGTCTACTGGAGTTTGCTGGAGGCAAGTCACTTTTTTCTACTTTTATTGTTTAGCTAGCTGCTGCAGAGTGCCTTTGAATAAAGCAGCAAATTCAAAACTCAGACAATATTCATAAAGCATGAATATAGCAGTTTATTTTATGTGATTATTTTATTTATAGTGTTAGTACTACTTAAAAACAAAGTGTAGTTTTTTTGTGTAATAGTAAAAATGCATATGTGAAATAAGATATCAAGAAAAAAATCGTTTGATTCAGAAGTTTTGAAATATATTTGTATATGACAGATCCTATTTTAAACACTGGTGATCTGATAGCAAAAGCAAAAATAAAAATAAAAAAATACCCTGTTGTCATAAATATTGCACTATACTAATGGATAAATAAAAATTAAAATAAGGAAATAAAAATATAATGTTAAATAGTAATGCAGAAAGGGGAAAAAGCAAATTAAAATGAATAAAGGAATGATAGAAAGTGCTACTCAAAATAGAGTCATTAGGAAAGTTGTACTGAAGAGGTAATATCACAGTAGAGGTCTAAATGGTGAGAAAATAAGACACTAAAGATTTTGCAAATGTAGTTTCCAACAGAGGGAATATGAGAGAGTATAGCACCACTATCTTTCTGTACAATTTAAATTCCAAACTCTAGCAAGGTATTGTATTTTTAAAAAATACCTTTAGCACCAATGTATTTCTTGATATATTAAGTTTTAAAATGTAATACATGTAGGAAGTTGGCTCTATCAATATATCTAGAATTGTACTTTTTTTTCCAATTTCTACAGCTGCCCTCATTATTGAAATAAACACCATTTAGTACCTGCGTTACTACCAATGCCAGAAAACTGTTATGCCTTTACCCCATATTTCACCATAGGGACATAAAAATCTACTTTAAAACTAAGACAAATAATATAATGTCTCTGTTCCAAACCCTGCCAATGATCCCTCTGTTACTTAGAGTAAAGGCAAAGTCCTTGCAGTGGTCTTCAAGGATCCACGTGATTGGGCCTGCAACTTTTTCCTCTACTCCAGCAACTCTTCCATGAAAGCATTAGTCTTGTTTCTTCTACCCCAGGGCCATTGCACTAGCTGTCCTCTCCGCTTGGAATGATTTTCCCTAAGAAATCAGACTCAGGGAAGAGTCAGATCCCTTTATTTCTTTACAGTCTTGAACGGAACGTTATATTATCTTTCTATATCCAACCAAGAATGCCTATTCCCCTTATTAAGCTTGATTTTATACTCCCAAATTTATCTTCTTGCTACTATGTTATTTGTATATTTATTGTTTCTGTTTATCTGTTTTATGTCTCCCCACTTATAATTTAATCTGCATAACTTCTTGCTTTGTTAACTAAAGTATTACTAGTAACTTGTACAATGACTAGCTCACAGTAACTCTTTTATATATATCTTTGTGCATAAAATGGTAGATTAAAACAAATGAAAACAAAGATTATTTGCATTCAATTTCACATATTTATATCTGTGTGAGATCAGCATTATACTGTCTTAGGTTGATTTAGTACTACAACTTGACATTGTTGATTTAAGATTTGTTTGGAGAAAATTGAGAAGGGTTAAAAATTAATCAGTATAGTAAACAATTATTATAGAATCCCTGAATATCTTTCAAAATAGAAGATTAGTCTTCAGCAGCCATGTCTTTTTGTTCTGATTGATTGATTTGGATGGTATTGTCTCATATGTAGCTGTATATCCTACAGAAATTGTAGGAAATTGATCTAGAGTTTGAATCCTATGATTCTGTTGCTGAGGCACATGGGAATATGATCTTAAATTGTACCTTGGGGTACACCCCACACACAAATGCCACATGTGAGAGGTATCTTCAGGTGTGATGAACAGTCTGCATACCTCTGTAGAGAATAATGTCACAAATGACTAACTGAGAAATAATATTATAGAATTGTCCTGAAAACTGGAACACTAGCTATAATAGAAACAGAGAATTTGTCTAAAATAGATAAATAACTTCACAAGTTTTTGGTATCCCAGTTATTGGTCACCAGTATGTACTTCAAGCAGAGACAATGTGTCTTTTTACTAATAGGTCCCTCTGTGACTATATAGGGCACATATACTGGGGAGTGAAGAATAGAGAGGAGTCACTTTGTTCCTCTGTCCACGTACCCTGCAGAGCTTTCTTGGTCCATAGTTTGTAAAAGTTTCTCTTACACTTCTGGATATTGCTCTGCCCCCAGGGACTAAAACATTTCAGAACATAAAAAGTTGCTGCAGTTGTTTGAAACAACTTTTATTTTTTCAGGAAAGAGTGAGCCAACAATTTAATAAGAGGGCAGATAGTCACAAGACTAGTGGGAAAAGGATATTTCATCTAATATCTAAAATGCTATACAAAAAGATTTGTAAAATGTATGATGTTCTTTGGGTTATGAGTAAAAAAGAAAATGAAAAGACATAAATAATAAAATGGACCCAATAGAGTTTATGTAAATATTTGTCTAGCGATGTGCAAGCACCACACAGACCTGAAATAATATTCACAGGTCCAGAGGGCAACTGTCTGTCAAATTTAAGTATTTATTTCAGCATCTTATTTCGATATCTTCTGTGGCCTTCAAGGTAGCTGTATTGAGCATCCTGAAACTGAAATGTCAGCACCTATCTACATATGTGAAATGTCAAGATTTCTAGAAATTAGTTTATTTCAGTTGAAAAAGTAGAAAACTGGTGATTCGTCAAAAGGGACAATTTGAAGACAGACTGAACATATTAACCCCTTGTTATAGCACTATTTGCCTCTCAGTGCTACTCAGAATTATGCAGTAGACTCAGAATGTGAATATTTCTTCACTTTTGTGGTGAAGGCAGTGGTCGTCAGTTGAATCTCTGCAACTGTTTTCTTATGTAGAACCAAGTTACTTCCGTTTGTTACTTCCCAAGAAGACTGAAAAATGCATACATTGACATCTGAAAATTGAGAATCGGTATGAAGTGATCAGAGGAGAAAAAAGACCTTTTAACTAACAACATTAGTGGGTCAAAAGAACTTCTCTTAAAAATATAGTTTCACAATCTCACTGTGATATCAATTCTCCCAGTATTGATTTATTCTTTTAACCTTAGAGTTAATGTACTGAGAAGATTTTTGGAATGCAGATTGCATAGTTATTATAATAACAATAAATACTTTCTATTTTTCCATGCTTGTGTAAATGATTAACACTTCAGAGCTGAACTGGTGACCTTTCCTGTTATTTATCTTCAGCACCTTCCACTCTATTGGGGCACGTGGATTATACCTTACAAGCTATCTGTAACAATATAAGCAATAAATAAGAAAATAAGTACATATTTTAGAATAAATTAGAATATCAAATTGCTTTTTAGTTGAATTAGTTTATTCATAAAAATATAAATATTTATCAAATGTCTATTAATGTCAGGTGCTAGGAAGGCAATTATTTACATGACACAGTACCATCTTCGAAATCTCCTTGATCTAGAAGAGGAAAATAAAGTAGTAAAACATATTATAATGGCTATGGTGCTATCGTATCCTGTGGGTTCGAAGGAATAAAAAGTCTATTTTTTCTGTGAAGATCAAAAAACACTTTCTACAGCTGAGTCTTGAAAGTGGGAAATTATGGCATATTGGAACATGATGAGATAAAGGAACATGAGCAAGGAACATCGGAATGGATAATGGGAGTTTGAGCCTGTTTTAAGAGTTCTATTTCTGTACCACAGGATAAGGATGGTGGTAGAGAAGCATGTAGAGGAAAATTCACAGAAGTTCATGTATGTTACATTAGACATTAAGAAGGTAAACATATGATCAATATATCAATGGAGTATAGGTAATTGGATGTAAAACAGCATAATTTTAATGGGAAGGACATGGTTAAACCTAGGTATGGAATATGTAACACTAATCAGGAAAGGTAAAGGTTCAGGTTTTAGTCAAATAAACAGTAAGTTCACCTAATATGACAGTAAAAAAATGGAAATTATCTCTTTCTTATTTATAAAGATGGGATTGTAATTCTGGGGGTTTTTATGGTTAGAGAAAATGAGGCTTGCTGTGAAGAAATACATTAGACAAAAAGACTATTAGGTTTGGAATACTTTTTATATAACTCAATTGACTTTGTATAACCGAATTGATCTATTCTATTTCTTTAATCAAATTTTTTCCGGAGTATAGAAACATATTTTTTGTGCTGATATCCTCAGGATGTCAGTAAAAACATATGTGTTATATGTATTATATCCAAAAGAAAAATGAATGTACATTTCATTTTTAAAAAAGTTAGCTACAGACTGAAAATGATGGTTTTAGGGATATGAGCATTTCATACTAAAATTTGGGAGTAAACAGTTTTACTCAAGTTATAGAAATTAAACGTATTATCAGTACTAAGAGGAATTGTTGGTTTACAGTTCAGTCATTTCGTCATAGAGTACTGAATTAATTCATAAGATTAATCAAAATTCCCCAATATTTAAGTATAACTTGAATACATAGTGGATGAATTAACTTTATTCAACAATATTTTATTAAACATATGCTACAGTATTAGATGCTGAGAAGATAAAATTGGTTAAAATATCATTTTGCTAAAAAATATTACAGAGCTACTGTATATGAAAGCCAACTTAGAACCAAGTTACGTCAGTCAGGCAGCTTTGCAGGGCATCAGACTTGAAAAAACTTAGTTTTACTTTTTTTAAAAAAAGTAATTTTTGTGAGTGTATAGTAGGTTTAAATACTTATGGGGTATAAGAGATGTTTTGATACAGGCGTGAAATAGGTAATTATCACATCATGAAAAATAGGGTTTACACCCTCTTACAATCCAATTATAAGACCTAGTATTTGATGGCAGAACAGAGTGACTATAATCAATAACAACTTAGGGTTTTAAAGAAACATGGGCGTATCAGATACAAAGTGAATGCTCGCTCAAAATTATTCACCTAGTTTATAATATTAAGAACATGCACATTTTCTAGATTTTGAGGGAAAGAAATTGTTTTCCTCTTTGGGGAGATATTTAATGTATGATATCTATGAGTAATCATGAGTGGTGACTCATGAAATTTTCAAAAGTCTACGGAGTAATTAATTTGGTATTGAATTATTAATTAGGTTTGTATTAAACATCTGTCACAAAATTACTGCAAATATTCTTCAAATAGAATGAGCATTAAGTTAACCTTTCTGTATATATGAGTATAAATACTTAAAAAACTAATTGCATTTAATGTGATTTGCCACATTAGCTATATATCACTACATAAATATTCTTGTTAAACTAATTATCACCAACTAGGAGTTAGACAAGTTGATTTACAGATGTGTCAATAAGCCTGATCAACTTTTTATGGAAGATATTAGTATCCTCATGGTTTAGATGAGTAAGCTAGGACTAGTGTCTTTACTTCCCAATGCACTTTAAATCGTAGGTTATAGAGTGGATCCACCACTATCTCAAAACACATGTATTTAAAGCTATACCATGTTGCATCATCCTTAATTAAATTCAGAATTGGGTTTGGTTTTAAATTATCACTTATTGTATTATGGGATAGGAATACACTTTTGAAATTTTGTTTTGTTTGTTTTTTTGAGGCGGAGTTTTGCTCTTGTTACCCAGGCTGGAGTGCAGTGGTGTGATCTCAGCTCACTGCAGCCTCCACCTCCTGGGTTCAAGTGATTCTCCTGCCTCAGCCTCCCAAGTAGCTGGGACTATATGGGTGTCCACCTCCATGCCCGGCTAATTTTTTGTATTTTTAGTAGAGACAGGGTTTCGACTTGTTGGCCAGGATGGTCTCGATCTCCTGACCTCGTGATCTGCCCACCTTGGCCTCCCAAAGTGCTGGTATTACAGGAGTGAACCACCACGCCAGGCCAGAAATCTACAAAAGTTTGATTTCACATGTTAATTCCTTTTTCCTTCTCAAGATGTTTTTCACAGCTTATGTAAAATGTCAGGGTCCCTAGAAATTTCACTCTAGAAGTTAAAGAAAACTTATGTCATATGAATGACATGGCAGAAAGACAAAAGAATTACATAAGAAAAATACTTAAATGACTAAAACAGAAACTAGTTAAGGAAAATAAACGTGTTTACTCATGATACAGTGGCAATATAAGAGCTGATATTTTTATTCTCTATAGCAGTGGTTTACCGGAAAGGCATGAATAGCCCTCAAGCTTGGTTGAGTGAACATAAAATATTTATAATGTTTGATGTTGTTTCAAAGTTTATGGTTATGAATTATTATGATCTCATTTCCTGATGTATTTTGTTTTTATTAAATTATGTAAACACAGAATAGTATAATGTTCCCTTCACTTTTGACTTAAAGTCAAATGGAAGTTTACATGTGTTCGTTGGACATTATTACATATTATTGATATTATTTTCTTGTGTATTCAAATAGATACTAAACTGTCACTAACACATGGAACTAACAGCAATGAAATGGTAAACTATGATTGCAATTAGGAGAACTCCACTCTGTCTCTTTCTTTCTCTCTCTCCCTTTCTGCACATCTCATAATTTTTGGTTGAAAATTGTACACTTTAAATAATATAAAGTTGCGATTCTTGATATGAGCATATTCCCAAGGCTGTTGTTATTGCTGTTTGTCATTGTTTTTGGTTTAGTGAATTTTCTGATACAATTCTCTAAAATCTGTATTCTTTATCATGAGCAGTCTCTGCTCAGTTAACTTAGTAGTCATTCAATGATTGGACAAAGAGTTCCTTAGCTGCCAGGAACCAGTAAGTATTCTAATCTTTGTAAATAAATTCTGTATGCATGTTGGGTTATGCCTTCAATACTCAGCCTGAAACTGACAATCCTGATTCGGACTTCACTTTCTCCTTATGCATATTCTCAAGATTAACTAGAACAGAGAGATTAGGGCCTTCCCGGATCATCTTGATGTATGTACACAGTCTTGGGCATGCACAAAGTCCTCTGCATGCATGTGTTCCTTCTAGACTTCCAGGAATAGGTGGATAATCCCTAACACTATTTCATTATCCAGATTTTCCTTGAAAGGTTTTCAATCAGTTGTTCATTTCAACTCCTATTCACACTCTTAGGCTGTGAAATTTAACAATTGCCTATCTACGTATATATATATATATATTTTTTATTTTTTATTTTTACAACTACCCCTGGGGAAAAGGCTTTTCACACCAGGTGAGCTCTAAGTTAAGTCCAATACAAATAGCTTCATAAGTGAGATATTCCGGGAAACCACCAGACAGATAAAATACTGATAATTCTCTTGCAATGAGCTTTTAAGGAGCTTCTAATTTTACTCATATATATATATATATATATATATATATATATACACACACACACACACACACACACACACACATACATATATATACACACATATATACACATATATACATATATATACACACATATATACACATATATACATATATATACACACATATATACACATATATATACATATATATATGTAAAGCTGTCTAAAATATGTATACATGGGTAAAATTAGGGGGTCCAGAAAAGTAGATAGATAATTGAATTGAATTACTATATTTGATATTATGCAAGATAATATAAAATATATGTGAATTGTTTAGCACATGAAACATGATCTTTAATAAAATGACATAATTTTCAACCATAATTTGTACAATGGTTCCATGAAAGTCATATTAATATATGTATATATAACTCATAGCTAAGTTAGGGCCTTTGAATTTAGGGAGAGTTAGTACCCTTTTTGAGTTCTTAATCTTAGATACTGCTGAATAATATTTTAGAATTCCAGAATAAATTGGCCCATTTTTAAGAACACCTCACAATGTAAATGCTTACACATTGATTTATTTTTAAGGTATGTTTGTACAAATATAATTATACATAAATCAGATGGCTATACCTGAAGGAAAAATGTAAGAACCTCTGCATTTGTTGTCCCTTCTGCCTAGAATGTTCTTTTCCTAGATCTCTATCCCCTCTATATACCTGGAATACATGTAGCACATACTTGACAAATCTTTGCTGAATTATTATGCTTCATCTGTGAAAACCAAATCCTATTCTTTCTTTTTACCTGTGATTCACCTACTGCACTGTTCTATATAGCATATCAAAATGAGAGCATTTCTCATTTTGATAAATATTCCTATATTTTCCTGTTTTGATGAGTGATGAAAAACTTTTTTTCAGATACAGTGTTTTTCAAAATGGAATAACAAGTTTTTGTTAAAAGTTTATAATTTGCAAGTAATTTCTCTTTTCTTAAATTACAAACTATGGTTTTTTTTGAAATTGAATCTTGAACATAAATTATGTCAGAGTTGCATTGTCTTTTTTGCATGTTTACTTCAAAATCCATGAAGATTAATTTGTATTTGAATGAATATGCTTGCTATTTGTTTATCTAATACAATATATAACCCCTTCTCAGGTGGTAGTGTTTTTGGAATAATGTTCAGTAGTAGTATATGGATACATAGTATCATGGAAAGGAAGCTCCCTGTTAGATCTAAAAAGTTCCTGAAGGGACAGCTAATCTTGCAACTAATTTTTGACATCCTAGGTTCCTATATTAACTTTTCTACCACTATTATACTTTAAAGTATTATTTTTATAGATTTTTGTGAAGACAATTTAACTAGTACCAGTCTTTCTTTCAAACTGTGAAACTATGTATCTCCTTAGGCAAACTTTTAATGATTTTAATGATATATATATAGCCTTAGGCAACCTTTTAATGATTTCAGATTTAAAATGAAATTTCTACTTCATAGTATCCATTATACCTTTTAAAACTAACTAACACTTTTCTAATACCATTATTCAATCACCTAGCTCATGCAATTCTGCTTACCTCCAATTACTTCAAAGGTTGGCTGAGATTGAGGTCTACATTTTAATATATAGGCTGGCAAATTAATAAAAGACCTGGAATGATATTTACCCTGACTAAAAACACTGTTAAAGATATAAAAGAAAATTGTTTGGCCAGAATGTCTTTTATTATGTCTGCTGCCTCATTGCTGTAATACAAGACTCACTGGACTCAGACACCCACCAGCAAATCTTTCTATCATTGTTGCATCAAAAACAACCTCAAGCCTTTTAGAAAATTAGATTTGTCAACATTATTGAGTTGTGTGGCCAAATACACAGTAGATGAGAGTGAAAGATCGTAACTTAAGCCCTTAAAGCTTTTTATAGGAATGTATTATTTAAGTTTATATTGCATTCACCTTTCCCAAGTGTGCACTGGGTGTGCTATCGTTTGATTGTTTATAAATGTTTTATGAGATATTACATTCACTATTTTTATATTTGTTGGCATACATAAGAATATTTGTTTTATTGTTTTCTTTTGTAGAACTTTGGAGACATTAATACTATAAGAGGAAACTCAGGAATTTATATTTCAATATAAAATCAGTTGAAGACAGAAGACCTCTCACCTGGCATAAGATGTGTGATCCATTATATGGCTAGCACAAAGTTGTGAGGCATCTATTTTGACTGTTTTCACATCTAATTTAGGAATATGTAATTTTAAAGATGGAAATGGTATTCAGATCATATAGATTATTTTGCATATGTGAATAATGCGTAACAGATCTGTTAAATGACTTCACATGGGTCAAACATTTAATTAAGAAGATATCTGCTAAAATAAATAGCATGTGATTCCTAATTCAATGAACTTCTACAGGCATGTAATCTTCTTTATGTCTATGTTTTGAAGTAAATCTAGTTATAATTATTATACTGCCATATTAAGCATTTTGGAAATTTTACATAAAAATAAAAATATGAGTATATAGCTATATATATAAATGAGTAGATACAATTAGTGAATATATGTGTCTATGTATGCATATAAAACACTACGGAGAAATCTCTCAGGAAAGAAAATGTTCTACTAAATTAAAATTATTAAATTCAGCTTAGTCAGTAGCTATGAAAAATTTTACCTTCTCTCTACTGACTTTAAGGTTTATGGAAAAATGTAATTTTACTGTTATTTTAATGGATAAATTTCAACATACATTTTTTTGAATTGATACTCTCTTCTAAACTAATTTTCACCTAAATTTATGTGTTTTTGAAGCCATTATTACATTTAATAAAATTATCACACAAAAACAATGAATATGTGTAAGAATCATGACTATAAAAGGTTAATTGCTTAATTATTTTACTTTTTTTATAATGTCTGATTTAGTTTGCCCATAGTATATCTACATTTGTATACATATGTGCATATACGTATGTATGAGGTTTCATAAGATTATAATAGAGCTGCCCTATACAGGTGCATCTTTCTATCTTTAAAAAAATGTTTTATTAATAATTAACAAATAATAATTGTACAAATATATGAAGTATACTGTAATGCTCCAATGCATGTATACATTGTATAATTACTAAATCAGAGACATTATCATATTCATTACTTTAAACATTTATCTCTTCTTTTTGGTGATAAAATTAAACATTTTCTCTTCTTGCTATCTTGAAATACACACTGCATTATTATTTGTTAGTCACTGTACTGTGTAACAGAACACCAGAATTTATCCTTCTTCTCTAATTGTAACTTTGAACCGCTTGAGCCATCTCTCCCAGTCTTCCTCTCTTCTACTCTCTCTAGCCTCGGTAACCACTATTCTACTTTCTACATCTATGAAATCAACTCTTTCGGATTCCACATATGAGTGAGATCATGCAGTATTTGTTTTTCTGTGCCTAGGTTATTACCCTTAACTATGTCTTCTGGGTTCATTCATGTTATGTCAAATGACAGGATTTCATTCTGTTTTAAGGCTGAATAGCATTCCATTGTTTATATACACATTTATCTTTACCAATTATCTGTAGATGAACACTTAATTTGATTCAGTATCTTGGCTATTGTGAATAGCACTACAATAATGATGGGAGTGCAGATATCTCTTCAACACACTTATTTCATCTCCTTTGCATATATACTCAATAATGAGATTGCTGAATCATATGGTATGATAGTTCTAGTTTTAATTTTTTGAAGAAACTTCATATTGTTTTTTATAATGGCTTTGCTTATTTACGTTCTCACCAGCAGTGTATAAGAATTTCTCTTTCTCCACATCCTTATCAGCATTTGTTTGTTTTCTTTTTGATAAAAACCGTTCTAACCATAGTGAGGCAGTATCTCATTGTGGTTTTGATTGCATTTCCCTGATGATTAGTGCTTTTGTCCATTTCCTTTGCTTAGAACAGATTACATGAACCTTGTCGATTTATAAAGTAAAAAAAAATTATTTCTTGTAGTTATAAATGCTGAGAAGTCCAAGATGGAGAGGTCGCATCTGGTGAGGATCTTCTTGCTTGTGGGGAATCTCTGCATACTCTGGAGGTGGTGCAGAGCCTCACACAATAAGGAAGCTGAACATGCTAGCACAAGTCTCTCTTTCTCTTTTTATAAATCCAACAGTTCCACTCCCACGATAACACATTAATTCATTAACCCATTAATCTGTTAATTCATGAACGGATTCATCCATTCAGGAGGGCAGAACTCTTATTATCCAAACACCTCTTAAAGGCCTTAACCCTCAATACTGCCAATTGGGGATTAAGTTTCAACATGAATTTTAAAGGGGGATAATATTCCAACTATAGCAATTAATTGTTTTTGAATTTTTATACCATATTTTTACTGTAACTTTTCTATGTTCAGATGTATTTAGATACAAAAGTATTTACCAAACTGTTTCAATTTTTCCCAATATTCAGTACAGTAACAGTTTAAAAGTTTGCAGCCAGGGAGAAAAAGATTACTACATAGCCTAGGTGTGTAGTAGGCTACACAATCTAGGTTTGTGTAAGTGCAGTCTACAATGCTCACACAATGGAGAAATTGCCTAACGATACATTTCTCAAAAGATATCCTCATTGTTAAGCATGATATTGACTATTGCCATAGTCAATGGTCTTATAACCTCAATGGATAATATTTTTGATAAAAATATATTTGAATCCATCTCATTTAATTTAGAAGGGTAAGAATGTTAGTTCAGAAATTCAAGAGTACCAAAAATATTAAAAATTTGAAAGTATGATCCTTAATTCACACTCTGGTGAATCGATAAGAAATTCATTAACAGTGACTATTGAGTCTAGGTCCATTTTCTCAGATTTCACCAAGTTCCAAGCTCTTACTCATTGCAGAAGACCACTCCAGTTAGTGGACATTTGTGCATGCTGGTTATTACAGTGATGTCCAAGGTGCTTTCTGTTTCAATAGCTCCGCTGCTTTTATGCAATAATTAAGAATGCATTTTTTTTGTATATTTGGAGCACCTGGGTCTTGAATTCAGCCTTTACTGATTCATCACAGTTATCTCTTCTGAGATCTTGCTACATCCTACCCCAGATGCTCCCAAAGAGCAATAAAGAAATATGCTCATTGTCTTAATCCACTTGGCTGCCTTAATAAAATACCACAGATTGAGTCACTTATACAACATAATTTTATTTTCCAGCATTCTGGAAGCTGAAAGTCTGAGATCAGAGTGTCAGCATGGTGGGATACAGGTTAGGGTTCTCTTCCTCACTTGCAGAAGTCTGCCTTCTTGTTGTGTCCTTGCATGACGAGAGAGAGAGAGAGAAAAAGAAAGAAAGAGGATGCTGTTTTTCCTTCCTATAGGGGCACTAATCCTATCATGACAGCCTCGCTCTCCTGACCTCATCTAAACCTTAATTACTTCTCAAGAGCTTCATCTCCAAATACCACCACATTAGGGGTTAAGTCTTCAACATATGAATTTTCCAGGGGGATACATTTCAGTCTGTAGTACTGAGTTGCATATTATTTATGTAATCTTCTCTCACCACATACACACATACACACAGACACACACACACACACACACACACAACCTGTGGCCTTTTTGAAATATATCTATTTTTGATTCTTGTTCTCAAAAATGCCTAACAGATTGCAATCCATTATTTTTCAGACAGCTACTACAGTATTACTATTACAAATAAAAATAAAATAATGAAGAATAATAAAAATCAGAAAAATATTAAATACCCTAGTATCATCCTGCAAGGAATGAGAATAGAATGGTGTGGGATATTAAAGGCTGGGTACAGTGGCTCACACCTGTAATCCCAGCATTTTGGGAGGCCGAGGTGGGTAGATCACCTGAGGTCAGGAGTTCGAGACCAGCCTGATCAATATGATGAAACCCCGTCTCTACTAAAAATAAAAAAAAATTAACCAGGCATGGTGGCACGCACTGTAATTCCAGCTACTTGGGAGGCTGAGACAGGAGAATTGCTTGAATCGGGAGGCAGAGGCTGCTGTGAGCCGAGATCATGCCATTACACTCCCGCCTGAGCAACAAAAGCAAAACTCCGTCTCAAAAAAAAAAAAAAAAAAAGAATGGTGTGGGATATTTTGTCAAAAATATTGTTGAGAGCTTTTTTATTTTGAATTTTATTTAAGATGGTAAGCAAAAGGCTTAGCACAATAGGTAATTATGAAATACTCTTGTTCTACCACCAGAACTATTTTTTTTACATTGTATAAAAAGGACATTCCAGTTTCTCAACAATAAATTGTGTTGCTCCATGTCACCTTCTGTTTAAATCAAAACCTCCTCCACTCCTTACAGTTCCTTATTTAATTGTTCTTGGAGCCATAATTTTAAGCCTATCAGTCAATTGAAGGGAATCAAAGATGCTTCAAGAAATTATACCTGGTTTAACCTCCAAGCGGTAAGTACTAATTTTATAAGAAGAAAACAGACATATCTATAAACTATTTTAAACAACCTAAATATGAATAATTATGCCCATATTAAGAAACTAGACTTTCTTCAAACACCCTTCAAGTGTCTTCTTTAATTAAACGTGAAATAAAGGAAATGTTCTAAATATTAAAGATTATTTTCATGTAAAAAAATCATTGTTATGATTCTTAATAATATTAATGGGCTCCCAATGTTTACAGAAATCTGGGGATAATGTCACAGAGACAAATTCTAAAACCATGGGCAAGCCGGGTGCAGTGGCTCACACCTATAATCCCAGCACTTTGGGAGGTTGAGGCAGGTGGATCACTTGAGTCCAGAAGTTTGAGACCAGCCTGACCAACATGGCGAAACCCTGTCTCTACTAAAAATACAAAAATTAGCCAGACGTGGTAGAGGGTGTCTGTAATCCCAGCTACTTCAGAGGCTGAGGCAGGGAGAATCGTGTGAACCCGGGAGGCAGAGGTTGCAGTGAGCCTAGATCGCACGACTGCACTCCAGGCTGGGCTACACAGAGCAAGACAGTCAAAAAATATTGTGAGGAAAAACAATAAAAGTTCCTTTTGAAAAAAAGAAATTTCGGTGCTAGATTTCTAGCTTCTCTGTCACGTGTTGAACATTAAGAACACTTACAAGAATAGTGAAAGCAGTAAAGTATGGCCTGGAAATCAATGAACTGATTGACATCAGACTGGAACTCTAGACCTAGGGTTAGCAAATGATTTTATGTTTGTTAGAGAGAAGCACAAGTTCAGGAGCAGTTTTACCTTGTTGCCTCATCTGAATCAGTTTGGGCTGCTGTAACAAAAATCCCATAGACTGGGTAGAGTAAACCATCAACATTGATTTCTAACAGTACTGGAGGCTGAAAGTTCAAGATCAGGGTGCCAGCACAGTCAGGTTCTTGGTGACAGCTCTCTTTCCGGTTTGCAGGTGGCTGTCTTCCAGTCATATCCTTCTAAAGTAAAGAACACAGAGAGAAAGCAAGCTTTCATGTCTCTTCTTGTGAAGTCACTAATACCATTGATGAGTGCTCCACCCTTATGACTTAATTACCTCCTGCAGACTTCAACTCCTAATACCATCACATTGCGGGTCAAGATTTCAAAATATAACTGGGGGGATACAAACATTCAGTCTATAACATCCTTCATAATTTTCACAAAGGTAACAAATGGTGATGCTGTAATAGATTAAATATGGTTGTTAAATAGGAGTATTATTTGGCATTTTCTAATGCCAGTTATAATTATAAAGAATATAGATTGATAAAATGTATAGTATGTAGGAATACTGACAAAAGGTAGAAAAGCTATTAATTGCTAAGCACTACTGAACCCAAATCTTCAGTGATTGCTAATATCAAAGAAAGCTTCATGCCACCATTATTACATTAGCCTCATACATCATAGAATCTCAACTTGTGAATTATGCTACCTAATTACCTTCTAATTATTGTCTTCCTTGTTGAAGCTTCGCCAGAATGGGAAATAGTTCTGTTTTGCTATTACCTCTTCTTACAAGTAAGTTTAGGATTACAGTAATAGCCCACTGAGGTGTTTCTTGTTGTTTACAGTTCTTCATCCTCTCAGTCACTACAACAATGTTCTCATTCAGTTTGATCATTTCAGCTCATTTAGAAAATAATGATATATATTTATACTAGATTATGCTCATTTAATAGAAGTCTAGAATAACTAGATGCAATTTTAGTATGAAACCTCCAAGATACTTGTAGCTTAAAGAGGACACTTTAAACACGACAGAACAAGTTTCTATAAAGTGGCATGTCAAACAGTGTGACTGTGTGGTAGTAATAATTTTGAGAAGAAGGAAGAATCTGTGAACTTCCTCACACCATTATTTGACAGTGCTCTCTCATGAGTTGTTCCAATTGCTGCTGCCAGAAGCTCCATTCTGTCCCTTCTTCCTGCACTGCATTTCAATTCCACAGATGTCCCTTCACCTCTCAAATCTTCTTCCATTTTCATTCCTTTCAGGGACTGACTTAGCAAATCCTCTCTATTTATATCTACAAATCTACCCATCCTGCATCCGTGCTATTGATAATTTCTTTCCAACAGCTTAAAGGGAACAGAGTTCCCTCTACCATCAAAAACCAACCTGTCCACAAATCCTCCCTTTTACCATCTCAAGTATTTTTCTTATTTAGATTATCTCATTCACACTATAAGCTTCTCGTTTCTGCAGTGCCTAGAAATATATTTTAACCCTTACATTTTCAAGAATAAATCCAAATAATATGAAAGCCCATCTGATCCCCACATTTCTGCATGACAACTACTCTACTTCGTTCATTGCCTTCAAATCTAAACTTCCCATAAGACAAACTTCTACACGCTATTTCCATTTCCTGTACCAACCATGTGAATTGCAGTCTTCATGTATTCTTGTTGATATCTCAACCATTACATCTAGACTGTTCTCAAACCAACCAGTCACTTCTGTTTGTTTGTGTCTATTGACAAATTTAAACATTTCAGCAGCCCTTAACTGAGCTATCAACTCTCTCCTTAAATTACCCATCTTTTCCCTGGTTTGCTCCCACTCTCAAGGTTTTTCAGCCATACTCCAAATTTCTGTAGACTCCCAGTCTTTCACTCTCCACATGGTGATGTTGCTTAGGGCTCTATTCCAAGCCTTCCTTTCTCCTTGACTTTTTTCTCTAAGGGATCTGAACTACCTTGGCAATTTTGAATGCCATGTATATGCCAATGTTTCACAAATAGTGATTCTCATTTTAAGTTCCAAGGATGTATACGTCCGTGTGTGTGTGTGTGTGTGTGTGTGTGTAGATATATAGCAGCTATCTAATTCTACTTATCAAAGGTATCTCAAGTTTCTTGAAAGCAAACTTTGTGGTAGCTCTGATCTTAATTTCACTTTAACCATTTCAGTGTCATTAGCAGCCAATCAGTTCTTAATCTTTGCCAGTAATTTAATCCAGTAAAAGATGACCTCCATAACTAGTCTCTATCGTCTCATTGTTTTTATTAAATACATAATTTTAAAAACTCCACAATTAGCAATTTTAGATACATATGCTAATCAAATTATGAATTACTCATTTCCTTTGCTAGAGATTCTATTGTATCAGGGAAGGATTATGGCCATCTCTATTTAATTCATCTCTCCTTACTGTACCAAGCAGGGTAGTTGGGATTTCTTTGAACTAGTCCCTACTTTAATTTGATTGCATTAAAGAGAAATTTTTCCAAGAAATAAGATTTTTTTCAAAGGAGTTCACAAACTGCATGGAAATCCACATTACCTTTTGCCTTCTGGCCAAATTTTACTTTTAAGACACACTTACTCAAAAAGTTAGCTGTCTGATTTTGAAGTCCAGTTCTGCCTCTCCCTGGATTTGTTATCCTTGGTAAGTTACACAGTGTTTTTATGCCCTAATTTTCTTGTCTGTAGAACAGAGACAATATCTCACAGGGAAATTACCTCAGAGTATTGCTATAGAATTATTTACAGGAAACACTTGGAAAAATTCTTAGAGCATAGTGACCACCCAGTAAGTGCTGTGTTAGTTGTCATCACTGTCATTACCAGTATCAACTTCACCAGCAGCATCATTTTCATTTTTAATAATGGCATAATACATACTACTACTATTCTACTTAAATAATACAGATGTCTTATTTATCTTCATATCCCTATGTATTAGTTATCTCTTGTTGCTGCAGTAATTTACCAGAAACTTGGTGAATTAAAAAAGAAAATTCTTTTGTTACAGTTCTGTAGGTCAGAAGTCCAAAACAGGTCTCACTTGCCCAAAATCAAGCTGTGAGTGGGGCTTTTTTTTTTCTGGAGCCTCTATGGAATAATCTGTTTCTTTGTATTTTCCAACTTCTGGAGGTTGCCCACATTCCTTGGCTGTGCCTCCCCGCTTTCTGCTTTCAAATCCAAAAGTGTTGCATCTCTCTGTCCTTCTCTGCAGTCATTTCTCTCTTTCTGACTGCAGCCAGGAAAAGTTCTCTGTTTTTTAGCACTTATGTGATTATATTGGACCCACCTGGATAAGCCAGGACAGTCTTCTCATTTGAAGATCCTTAATCTTCATCACGTATGCAAAGTCTCTTTCATTCTGGGGATTAGGCAGTTGATACATTTGGAGAGCCATTATACTGACTGCAATACCTTTTTTTCTAACATACTCGATGACATATGAAGTGATGATAGGTGATAAAGCTGCTAATAGAAATTCCTTATATCTTTGCATAGAATAGAGCCTGCATCTGCAGGAGTTACCTAAGAGCTTCAGTTCATAAGGGCTATCAGCCTGGTGGTTAGGTGTGCAGGTCCTGGTCTGAAGACTAGATTCACATGTGCTGCCCTAAAACCCTTTAAAGTCCCCAGGGTTGTCTTAAAGCCTGGATATGTAGGATCCTGCCCAGCACTCGGGACTACTGGAATAGTTCTGGACCCTGGGCTAGGACTGGACCTTGGGGCTGCAGGTGTCATCCTGACACTGGGTAAGTTTAAAGCCTATATTCAAAGGATGCAGCTTTGAAGCTGAGTCTGCAGCACCTGGTCTGATGATCAGGGTTGTGGTGGCCAGCCTGCTACTGGGGTGTCAAAAGTCTGAGTATGTGGCAACTGGCCTGGCACTGGGGCATTCCAAAAGCCTGGGGTGACTGGGGATAGCTGAGTGCTACAGTTGGTCCAGAGCCTGGGTTCACTGAGGTTGGTCTGGTAGTGGGACAGTTTCAGAAACTGAGTCTGCTTGGCAAGTCTGGAACCCAAGGCTGTGCAATCCAGCCTGGCTCTGGAGAAAGCCTTGAGGCTTAGTCTGTGGGTACTGGATGGGAGTATGGGGGTTAAAGGTCCCTGCCTGGCTCTGCTGGATTATCCTGGGATGAGCCTGGTGTTGGAGTTTGAAGGAAAGTTTAGCGCTCATTTCCCTATTCGTTCCCTAAGCGGATGATTCTCTCCATGATGTCCTTCCTGGGTTTGAGGAATGAATAATGCAAGTAACATAAAACTGTTCTTCCTATCCTCTTTAATGTATCTTTTCCTCTTTCTGTGGTACTCAACACTTGGTAAAGTGTTGTAATTTATTACATAGTTTCCATAGGTCTTGTGAAGGTATTTTTGTATGTGTGTATAATTGTTCAAATTGATGTTCTTACTGTGGGGGTGTGTGGGGGGGTGTCAAGCAATGGAAATTCCTATTCCATGGTCTTATTGGTAACCCAGTGTCACATAATTCTCTTCTACATACATGAACATTCTCTTGAGGGAAGGCAATTTAGTTCAAAACACTATGCGTTATTGTTAATGTGTTAAAAAATAACTTTAAATATTAAATTGTCACCAATATGCATTAAAATTCAAAGAAGCTCACAGACTCTGAATTTAATTGCAAATTTAACCTCACTGGCCAGTATTTTCTGATAGGAAGCCATCGAGAAGCCATTATGTTAGGGACTAGAAAACTCATGGCAGTTTGAAATGTTTTCATAGTATGAGGAGTAAATTTTCTTTAGGGGATGAGGTTGGTTAGGATTGTGATACTGTTAGATTCTTTGGGGAATTATGTAAGTGTTATTTTCAGTTCATTAACGCCTCTCCCTTATTTACTGTTAGGGTGGCTTTAAGGTGATTGCTACTGAGAAAAGGGTTGATTAAATAAGAAAAATGTATCTATATTAATGAAGACAAGAAGAAGCATAGAGATAGATTAATAAATAATTAAAATAAACTAAGTTATTTATGTATTAGTAGGGAAATTGTGCAAGGATGAGAATAAAATTTGATAGATTCTATAGCCAATAGCAAAGGTGATTGATAGCATTTTGCCAATTTTTCTACAGCCTTCTTAACGTTTCTAAGTATTCATATGAAAAATAAGCAGTTCCTAGACACTGTAGAGGTTATCTCTTTCCATGTCTTAGCAGCATATTGCTGTTTGTGAACTCAGTCATTATTCTTTAATTTTATTGAAATTTAAATGTATCTGACATATTGAACCTAAGTTGACATTTTCTGCTCTTTCTAAAAAGAAATGTAAAAGTAATAGATGAATGCATTCTCACTGTAAAATATTCATATAATACATAATTATAGAGAATAAAGTTTAAAGTCTTTATGACACTAGCCTATCACATCTCTAATCTCCCCACAGACAGAAGCATGGCTAAAGTTTTGGGAGTCATACACACCCACCGCCCCCCCCCCCACACACACACATACACACACGGACACACACACGGATTACCCAGATATTTAATTTAAATATAGTATAGTTAAGCATACTTAAATATGATGTAATAATTATAATCAGCATGCATATTTTGATACAAAGACTTAATTATTCCTTGAAGATCAATTTCTACAAGTGGTATCCTGTCAATCATTTTTTCCAGCACTATGCATTTCTTGACCACGGCAGTATTCAATTTTCACAGTGAACACCATTCTGCCATAGTTCTTCAATAATTACTATTCTTTTTAAGTATAACATATTATTACTTTAATATGAATTTTCTTTAAGCTAAAAATTGCTAGATCTTTGTATTTGTATTAAAAAATGAAAATACCATACAAATTAATGTTATAATGACATATTTTCAATTAAAGGTGAAGCATTCACCAGTTATCTTTCCTTATTGTCTGCATTTATTTAAAAATTATTTATCAAATGAATGCTTATTATTTGCCAGACTGAGAATAAAAATGTAAACAAGATCATTAAAAAGTCCTGCTTTTTTATTTTTCTCTTTCAACTTTTATTTAAATTCAGGTGGTATATGTGCGTGTCTGTTATCTAGATATATTGTTAAATACTGACGTTTGGGGAAGTTAAGCAGAGTGGGGCTTGGTTTGTACTTGGGTGGGAGGCTGCTTGGGAAAGAGTCAATTAGAAAAAGAGGAAGACGGCCGGGCGCCGTGGCTCACGCCTGTAATCCCAGCACTTTGGGAGGCCGAGGCGGGTGGATCACAAGGTCAGGAGATCGATACCATCCTGGCTAACATGGTGAAACCCCGTCTCTACTAAAAATACAAAAAATTAGCCGGGCGTGGTGGCGGGTGCCTGTAGTCCGAGCTACTCAGGAGGCTGAGGCAGGAGAATGGCGTGAACCCGGGAGGCGGAGCTTGCAGTGAGCCAAGATCGCGCCACTGCACTCCAGCCTGGGCGACAGAGCGAGACTCCATCTCAAAAAAAAAAAAAAAAAAAAAAAGGACAAATATGAAGATGAATGAATAAATAACATACAGTATGACATATGGTGATAAGAACTACAAAGAAAAATAAAACGGAGAAGGGAGAAATTGAATCTAGGTAAGAAGAGGATAGGCTGCAATTTTAAATATAGAAGTAAGGAAAGGTCTACTTATATTTAAGCAAAGAGCTTAAGAAATTACATAGATATCTCTCATAAACCTTTTTAGGCTGAGGACCCGAAGCAGGAATGTGACTGATATGTTAAAGATCATCAGGATTGCTGGTCTGACAGGAAGGAGTGAGCTGGGAAAGGAGAAGCAGGCAGTGAGATTAAATGGATAGCATGTGTAGCACCATGCACAACCTGTTAGACAATCACCAGAACCTTGATTTTAACTCCAAGTCATATGAGAAGCCAAACTTTTGAAGGATATGAAGGAGGAGAGTGACAACATAAATCGCATGAGTAAAAGCTCATACCGGCTTTGGTGTTGAAAACAGACCACAAGAGATTAGATTATAAGTAATAAGAACAATATTAGTGTATTGTATTTTTCTAAGTATGACATGATGGCAGTTATTTCTAAAGGGTTAGAAACAGTGAAAAATATTAAGATTCTAATTATATGGAGAAGGCAGAACTTCTAAAATTTATTGCTGCATTAAAGCAGAATTTGAAAGAAAAAAAAAGTGAAGACATTTGAGCTTGACTTCTGCGTATGTTGACTGAGGAAATGGAAAAATGTAATTGCCATTTGTTTAAGTGCGCGAGGGAGAAATTGTGCTATGGAAGAAGGGTGAACTTGGGGTTAGTCATCATTGTGGCTCTGAACATTTACTTTTGAGTTGTTGATAGAGGCAGGGATGTTAAGAACGCTATAAAATATTTAAGTCATGAGATCAGAGAAGTGCTGCCTGGAGACATACATTTGGGAAACAGATGGCATTTAAATCAATGAGACTAAGTGAGGCTGAAGAAGAGTTCCAAGGGTTGAGTGCTGAAGACTTCCAGTCTTTAGTGGTTGGGGAGCTCAATAGAAATAAGCAAGGAAAACTGAGAAGGAGCCAATGAAGTAGAAAGAAACCTGGAATCGGCTTGAAGCCAGGCAACAAAAGCATCTCTAGGAGGATGGAGTGCCTAAGTTAAGAAAATACATATGAAATGTCAAGTAAGATAAGGACAGAGAATAAAAGACTGACTGCCACTGGCAATTTTTACAAGAACAGTTTATGTGGAGTTATCGATGTGAAATCCTGATTAAGATAGGAGACATAACAGTATGTTTCTATGTAGATAGAAATCATCTACCAATGTGGAAAAATATAGTGCTCTGAAAGAGAAAGGAGAGAATTATAAAGTGATAACTTTGAGTAGGAAGAATGCAATCTAGCACTTTGCTACTCAAAGCAGGGTCCATGGACAGGGAGCTTCGTCACTGTCTAAGAATTTGGTAGAAATGCAGACTCTCAGCACTTCCCAATTATTGAGTCAAGATCTTTATTTATCAAGATCTTCATATGCACTTTATAGGCACATAGGGGTCTCAAATGTATCACATACTACAAAATTGCATATTGGTGAATTATTTGATAGCATTTTACTTCTGGCACTTAAATAAATTATTCTAAAATCAGCCCATAAATCAATTTTGTTTAGAAAAGAAGAATGAGATGTAGAGTAATGTGAACTGTTACGAGTTTTCCCATGTTGTTTTGGCTCATAACAATAAAACAGGTTGTTCTCTCTTCTTGGAGCATTCTTTTATTCCACTGCCTTTATTCAGAGATGACGTCCCAGACACTCTTTCCAACTTCTACACCAGATTTCTTTCAGTAACCATAGCTTCATTAGCATACAGCATGTCTCCTTAGTAGTACTAATCACAAATAGGGGACAGTAAACAATTGTGAAGTACCCTGGGATCCCTTGTTATAGGAACGTTGACATTTCTTCAAAGTGACTGTAACCACACTATTTAGTACATTAGGAGAAAAAAAAATCAAAACCATTTTCTTTGTTAAAAAATGTATATCAATGTGGATTCGCTTACTAAACCACTTCCATATGTTCAAATGAAGAATATGAAAAACTGTTAAAATATTGATCACTTTTGCATACCTCTTATTCTCCTTTTAGTAATTTTCCTCTCTTTTGTAGTTTGTCTCCAAATCTGATGATTTCTTACAGAGCATATTAAGGAATTTAAATAACTAGCATAGTAATCCTTCTGATTAGCAAACAATGAGTGCATGCATTTATTTCATTTTTTCTCAAACTTTTAAAAAAATATTTATTATTCAACAGCAAAACTAACGAAAATAGTTAATGGCAAAAATTCAAAAAACTTTGAATTTTCTAACTTCATTTGAATATTTTTGCAGTTAAAGGTTTACTAGCATAACTTGGTGACAAGAATATAACAATTTTTACAATTTTATAACTTAATAACGCATTGCTAGCAGAATGGCTAAAATAATAAAATGATATTATTAAATGATAATGAGGATGTAAAATAACTGAAACTTTCACATATTCCTGGTAGAAATGAAAATGATACAGTCAATTATAAAATTATATATTTGTTACTTACCACTCAACAATCCCAATCCAAGGTGTTTATTCAAGAGAAATTACATGTTCTCACAAAAGCCCCTAATAACCATTGATAACAGCTTTATTCATAATCACCAAAAAGAAGATACAATCCAAATGTCCAGCAAATGGTGAATGGATAAACATATCATGATACATTCACACAATATATAAAATAAAAGAATTGTTATATGCAACAATGTGCAGGTATCTCAAAAGCATAATGCTAAGTGAAAGAAGCCAGACAAAAAGAAAGACTACAGCCTGAATGATTCTATTATATAATAATAAGAAAAAGACAAAATTAAAGGCACAAGAATCACATTAGTGGTTCCAGGAACTAGGGGTGGAGGGTAGAGAAAAGGGACTTTATAACATAGACAGTAAGGGCACTTTAGGGGTACATGTGTTTGTAGTTTCATATATATATATATATAAATACTACCCTGCTTAACTGTACAGTTTGATTAATTTATATATATAAATATACTCTGCTTAACTGTACAGTTTGATTAATATATAAATATATATAAATTATATGTAGTATATATGTATATATGTATATATATAAAACTATATGTATAATAAAGTTGTTATGAATATATATGTAGTTATATATACACATATATACATATATACTGTATACAATTTGTATATTTTATATATATAAATTAAACTGTACAGTTAAGCAGGTTATATTTTACTCAATGTAAATCTGACTTCTAAAAAATGAAAAACCCAATGATAAATATTTTTTAATTTTTTTATTTAAAAAAATTTAGGGGTACATAGTAGGTATATATATTTATGGAGCACTTGTGATGTTTTGATACAAGCATGCAATGTAAAATAAACACATCATAGAGAATGGGGTACCTATCCCCTCAAGCATTTATCTTTTGAGTTACAAATAAACCTGTTACATTTTAAAATGTAATTTAAAATACACAATTAAGTTAGTATTGACTACAGTACTGCATTATTTCATTTTGCAAATGTTGCTGACTTTAGGCTCTAAGATATTGTGTCTACATATTCCCATTGCAAGCATCTTTAAAAGAGACAGCCCTGGCTAGAAAGTAGTTTTGTTATTTTCCTATACAAACCCCTTATATCTGGCTATGATTCTAAAACCATTTCTAAGATGTGGCCATGTCATTGAAAATGAGACAATTTACATTTTATCAATTTGGTTCAATGATGTATTATGGATTCTTGTATTTCTTGATGTAACTTCTTGCCGAGCTGGCTTTGTTTCTTCATCATTTCTAATCATAATTCATAAATATAATGTATATAATTTGCTAGCTGAGTGCATAGGAAGTCTTATCAGCATTTAATAAATGTGATGCATTGTTCTTATTACTGTTGTATTTTAATAATTAATTTGCAATCAATTATTGCACAAGTTAACATGTATAAAGCATATCATCTTTGTGAGAGGAGGCATCATGGTTTATTCATGACTGCTGTGTCCTCAAAGTCTAGCATGGTGCTGTGCAAAAAATTAAATAAATAAATATAAATTTCTAAAATGAGAAACTATTCTAAAATTAATAAAGTCTAAACAAATAAGCCGAAAATAATAATAGTATTAAATTAAAATGAATAATAGATAAGAGACTAAGCCTTGAACTCCTACTTTGTATTAGTGCCTCATAGAAAAAAAAAACCTAGACATTAACATAGAAGAAAACTGCTAAATTTAAGCATGTATTATAAAAGACATTTTAAAAATTACCATCTAGCAATCTATATTATTATTGGCCATAGGACATTTTCTACTTTTCTTCAGTGAAAAGATGCTGTGTTCATTTCAAGGATTTAAATAATACTTGAACCTATACATTCAAGTTGTCCTTTTATTAGCATTATCTCTAGAACAACAGGATTCATTTTTACAAATGGACTTTCCCCCTCCTCTGAGATGTGGCTTCTGTAAATGTAAGGGGAAGGCTGTGCCTTACATAAACTTGAAGAAGATGGTAAGAACAGGTTCATTAACTTGGATTTCTCTATATTCCCATGACCTCAGCCCAACTTGTCACTGCTTGCTTGATTGGCATCCATGGCTAATGCCCCGGGTTGCCCCGTCACTTTGTTAGACCCATTAATCAACCTCAGCAACTCAGCTTCCCCTGGCTCTTGTGGCTGCTAAGTCCCAGTTGCGTCCCACATCTTGCCTCCCTCAGTGGTACAAGTCCCTCATTCTGCTGCAGAGAGCCCAGTGATATACTCACTTGCTCTCAACTCCATGTCCACCCCTCTCAGGAGTGGGATAAATATTGGTGTCAACTTCATCTGACCCATTGTACCTATAGGGTCATCTGTATCTACACACATGTAGGGACTGGGAAAGCCAGAGGGCAAATGTCCTTCCAGAATTCTAAATAGTAGATGGAAATACAAGAGGTTTCCTCTACCTTTAAGTTTTATTCCTCACTTGTCTTAGACCACTGCATAGCCCTGAGCTGAAACTCAAAGAGGAAAAAAGTGGTTCAGGTTGTCCCAATTTGCAGTCCTCCTGCTCTCTTCTCTCCCTTTTGTCTCATTTCCACAATTCCCAGGCTCTGTGGAGATTTTCTTTTTTATTAAATTTTATAACAAGATTTTCCTAATTTCTGTGAATTCTCATAAAGAACAGAACTCATGATTTCATTGTCACAGGAAGAATGTTATTTGCTCTAGACAGGAGGAAGATTCTAGGAGATTGTCTCCAGATTCAGCTCCTGGTATGTTAATAGAAAGTTGAGGGAGAGGGAAGAAAGTCATAGAACAATTTTAAATATCCTCCTTCAAGGCAACAATCTGTGTGAGATTTGTGGTGCCCTGAAAAATTCTATTCAGCATATTAGAAACTGAATGTTGTCTATTTTCCTTTATAGTCCTATAGAGAACCATATTCTTAACTCTAGGCGAGACATTTCTTAGAACGTCCAGTGTAAAAGTCATGTACTCAGAGCAGGTGGGAATAAGAGTAGAGAGGCATATTAAAAAAGTAAGTTCACAATTCTACCCCATTGCATCTGGATATTTTCTTTATAGTATTTATCATATGCTATGTTGTGTTATTTATACATTCACTTGCTTAGAGTCTGACTCCTCCACTGGAATGTAGACTCCATGACATAAATGATTTAAAGCAGTTCATTCCATCTCTGGTGTCTTCAACTGCACTTGGCAAAGAGCAGATAGCTTTAGAATCAATAAATAGAGAATAGGAAATGGTTTCAGCAGCTTTAAAAACATTCATAGAAAATTGCTAGGAGACTGACAGAATTCTGGAATCTAAAAATCAATCATAATCATGTTTGTTTCTCAGTCCATGACTCTGTGGAACTCATGACTTCATTTACCACATTCCTTCTTTCTACTTAGCCATTTCCCTTGCTGAAACCTCCTCTATAGTATGCTTTCTGAACACTTATATTTTTAATAGGCACATAATTTCTGTGTATTGTATTTCATGTGCCTTTCTGCTTAACAAATTAACTGTTTTTCATTTTTTATCTGTGTTTCTTACTTTTACATAAGCAGCGATGCAATCCCCAGGGAATAGCAATTTCTTTTCTGGGACAGTTGACTATGGAAATAAAGTCAGCAATGTGTTTCATAATGCTTTTATAATGTTAAAAGCATGCAAGTGTTTTATAATGCTAAAAACATGCAAGTTGGTTTGATTTATTCATTATTATCCAAAATAAAGATCTTGACTTGATTTCTAAACCACTTTACTTCATCTGTCATTGGTCTTCTATTAATGGCTGTATTTTGGTCAGGTATTGAGAAACCATGTTCCAGTTTGCTCTGACCGGAACTTTAGGACTATGCAATACAGAGCATGGTGACATATATAGAAAAGGAACTTTCCGTAGTGTTAGTTAGAGGGGAGCTTCCTGAGTTGTTCTATAAATTATTGACTTTCATTTAAGTGATTTTAATCATTGTCTTAAAATTGTAAAATATTTTTATTAACTGAGGAATGGAAAGCATTATATTAACAGAGTTTCTTGTATTAAAATGTACTAACATGTCTAGGGTAAACTGTATTGTAGGCAAATTATTCTTTAAATACTTTAAATACTACTGAATTAGTTTTGCTACTTTATTTTAAATATTTGTGTAAATATTTACAAGTGAGATTTTCCTTATTTGTGTTGCAAGATAAGCCTACATAATCAAGGTTATTTTAACTTAAAAAATGAGACACTTCCCACTATTTATTTTGCCCCTAGTATATTCTAATCGTGAAGTTTCTGTTACTCAGGCCAGGCATGGTGGCTCACACCTATAATCCCAGCATTTGGGAGGCCAAGGTAGGAGGATGGCTTGAGATCAGGAGTTTGAGACCAGCCTGGGCAACATAGCAAGACCCTGTCTCTACAAGAGTTTCTGTTACTTAAAGGTTTGAAAGGACTCTGCAGTGAAACTCTCCAAAGGTTTCAACTTAAATAACTCTTGAAATTTATTCTATAGCTACTAGTTTACTCATATTATGTACTTTTTGTATGAGCTTGTTTGGTATTTATTTTGTTGAGGGGAAAAAGTGGAAAGTGGTATCAGGAAAACTTATGATTCCTAGATGCAATCCCACTGAATTTCACGTGCTTAAAATAAAATTAACATTTCAATATGTATTTTACCATACCTTGTTGAAGTACTGAAAGAAATTTCAAACATGGCTTAGAAGCGGTTCTGTTTGTTTTGGTATGACTTTGTTTTTATCTGTCTAAGGAAAAAAAAGGGAAACCAGAAGGGTATGACGATTTTTTTTTCTTATAATTACATTTTACATAAATGCACATAATATTCATGTTTATTATATATGATTTGTATATATTTTTGCATATTTGACTTATGGATACAAGTATAAAGTAATATGTTTACAGTTGAACTTATCACCAAATAAAAACAACACCGAGCTCAATGAAAAAAATTAGCACCTTCTTGGATATTCTCTATTATGACTTCTTTCTTTTCTTCCAAGACAACCATGAAATTCTAATGCCATAAAATACACTTCAGACACAGTAAGGGGAACATCACACACCGGGGCCTGTTGTGGGGTCGGGGGAGTGGGGAGGGATAGCATTAGGAGATATACCTAATGTTAAATGAGGAGTTAATGGGTGCAGCACACCAACATGGCACATGTATACATATGTAACAAACCTGCACGTTGTGCACATGTACCCTAAAACTGAAAGTATAAAAAAAATACACTCCGCAAATTTTGTAGAGACAAAGTGAACCGAATGTATTACCTTGGCTCAAGAATATTTTGTTCAACATTATTTTTTGTGAGATTCAGGCATGTTACAGCAATGCTTAATTTTCATTGCTACATAGTATTCAAGTATATACTATATTAGCAATTATTTATTTACTCTACTGTATGTGGATAATCAGTTTTTTTTCCAGTTCTGTGCTCTTACACATATTATTACTCTTATGTACACTTCGCTACACATATCTATGTTTGTTTATTCATCTACCTAGGAGTTGAATTTAATTTGTTTGGAATAGAACTTTTCTTTGAGAAATAATTTCTAAAAATGAAAATGTGTACTTAGATTGCATGCCTATTGAATTATATTTTATATGTTATATAGTATGTTATAATTAAATACTAACTGCATATTTTTTCTGAGCCATTACAATCATATTATTTGTATTTCTCTGAATATTATCATGAGTTTGAACATGCTTTCATATATTTTTAACTATGTGGGTGCTGTTTTATATACTTTGTTCAGTTTTCACTTGTATCATTTTACATTGTTCATGAATGTTTATTATGAATGTTACCATTTTTCTTATGGAGAAAAGCATTCATTATTTTCTCATTATTTGATTATATATCATCTTTAATATTTATTTTTATCTTATTAATAAATGTTATTTCCCTTTATATTTTTCTCTTGCTCAAGAATATTACCACAACATAGGACATAGGATTGTAAAGATATTTCCATAAATTATTTGGGTTTTTTTAGAGTTTATTGTAACTGTCTTACAAGTCTGAAATGTATTTTTATTCCTACCATTACTTCTACCTTAATGGCAATAAACAACAAAATCAGCTATTAAACAGTACTGATTATTAAAATATGCTTTACTGAAGAATGGAAATATATTTATCATTTATTAAGTGCTCTTATAGAGGATATACTTATTGAATCTCACTTTATTTGTATTCATTTATTTTTCTGTTACTATAAAATTATTATAACTTATTGACTAAAATAGTTTTATAGAAAGTTCCAACCAGTAGGCCATGTCTTCTTTATGAAACTTTATATAATGTTAATTAATTAATTTAATCCTCATATAAATATTTTCAGTTAAATTATGAGTTCTGATTGAAAACATAGTACATTTATATATTATATTTTGCAAATATTGATTTTTTCATTGTTAGATTTTTTTCCCTGAAACATTGTCTGTATTTCTATTGGTTTATGTCTTGTCTCATGCTGTTTAATAAGGTTTAGTTTTATATATGTAATATGAATTAAAAATGATCTCACTTTCATTAAGTGTATTCAAGATTAAATTCAATGAAGTAAACTGCTTACAAGGTTCATGAAACATAAAAAAGTTAGTAGATGTAATACAAGTTTAATATAAATGCTATCAGAATTAACAAATTAATAATTAGTAATATGATCAAAAAATAAAAATTATATATTGTATAAGAATTATAAAGTTACCTTTCACAGTTCAGCTCAAAAAAGGGACTGAAAGAAACTATCCGAGTGTCTTAATTTTACAAATGAAAAATCAAATTTGGTGAGTTTAGGTGACCTAATCATACCCCAGCATAGGACAGCAATTAGAACTGTCAGAAATCCAGTTTTCCTGATCAGAGTCCTACCTCTTGTATTTATTACCAAGCATAAAAACATTGAATAACTTTTATTTCTACAAGTGTCCTTGAGAAATGAAGTCCTATAGTAATGCTTGTTACAAATCTGTGTAAAGATCAAGTGCACGGGCACAAATAAAGGCAAACACACAATTTTAATTAAATAATAAATTAATGAAATATAATTCACCTAACAAGAAATCTAAGTATGTGTTTATATCTGAGAAAATGTTCATCTCCCTAAAAATTACCTATTGAAAATCAATTACCAGTAGATAAGGAGATCAGGGAAAAATATAAGAATATAAGAATATAAGAATATAAGAAGAGTACATGCTAAAAAGGTTGAATTCTAAACTTTGCAAGAGTAGAAGAGTGTGAGATATTATGAATATATATTGTTAAAGATAAAAGCACAGAGCTTTATCTAAAGAGGTTATTCAAAATTCTTTAGCCAGTGCATGTACTAGTGCAAAACATACAGGAATGTTGAATAAGAAAAGTGGATTATAACCAGTTATAAAATGTATCTGTTCTCAGCATATTTCTAATAATAATCACTGCTATTACATTGAACCCATTCTACTTAGGCAATGTATTTTTATTTGACTAAAAATTAGATTTAACACTCTAAATTAAGCAATGGCTAAGTTAATTGCAATGTTAGCTTCAAGAGATAATAGTAGTCAAAGAGTACAATTATGTTCTAGGGTTCTAAAGATCTACTGTTCTAGAGATCTAATATGCAGCATGGTGACTGTAATTAATAATACTGCACTCTGTACACAAAATTTGCTAAAAGAGTAGATCTTAAGTGTTCTCACAAAAAAATAGGTATTTATGTGAAATGATGCACGTGCTAGCTAGCTCGATTTTGGTAATCATTTCACATTGTATATGTATATTTCAATAAGTTTATTAAAAACATGAAAAAACAACTTATACATAATTTTAGGTTAATATGGATGACATACATGCAATACATTTTGAATGATATTTTCAGATTGACATACCCTTATGTAGTAATACATACATATCACTGAGACAATTCTTCATTTAACTTTCTCAGTAAGTATATAATTAAATCTTTATTATTTTCTTAGTGTACAGGTTTTAATTTTTATTTAGTTTTTTTCAACCTCATACATTTCCATCTCACATAATACCAGGAGAGAGGCATAACATCTAATGAAAAATCATAAAGTAACTTAAGGAGTCACTAAGCATTGTTCTGACAGACTCAGGGATAACAGAAGAATAATTCCCGCCATTCAAAAGCTTGATTCAGGCCTATTGAGTAGACTGGCACAAGATACTCTATCAACTGTTGTGAAGTTTTTTTATACTACAAACACAAGAGGAACGTGTAGTCTGTGAATTACAGTGAACAGTCATATACACAGAACAAAACATAATTAGTCAAGAGAAAATTTAGAAAAATTCAAGAAAATTTTAAGAAAGCTGTTACAAATATTGAATATTTAACATACATACATTTAAACCTATGCAGTTATTTCTTCAAAAACATATAAGTGATGTTGGGAGAATGTAAATATCTTAGATTTGAATTATGCAAAATAATTAGATAAATATTTTTGAAAAGAACAAAAACTCCACAAAAATTGGAAGATATTTAAAAAATTATAAAATAAGTTAAAAGTTAAATGATATTGTTATTACCAACAAAACTAATAACTGAAGGTACATGAAAATAACTCTAATAACAACTTGTAATGTTTTCTGAATGTTTTCAGGAAGCAAGTGATAACCTTGAACATTAAATAAAAATGTCTAGGAAAAATAATCTCAAAATCCCTCCTTATAATATTGAAAGTAGGATTTCTGAAAATTCTAATATTTTTTAAAGTGCCTGAATTTCTGAGATGATGAATATCAACCTCTTCTTTACCTAAAAACACAAAGATAAAAAATAAAAAATTAGCCTGCCATGGTGGTGCGCACCTGTTAGTCCCAGCTACTCCAGAGGCTGAGGTGAGAGGATCGCTTGAGCCTTGGAGGTGGAGGTTGCAGTAAGTCATGATTGTGCCACTGCACTCCAGCCTGGGTGGCAGAGCAAGAAAAAAAAAATCTCAAAACCTGGGGATCCTAATGAGAATAAATTTCAAATACTCTTCTTTCTACAGAAATTATTATGATGGGATTCTAGAACGCTTTTCCTTTGTGTCTCATGGATAGAATAGAAGTGTTTCTGTTATTCATGTATTATTATCCAGGACAACTTATCACTTTAACGGTGAAAAAACCTGGACCAAAATAAAGGCTTTGTATAGTAGAACAGTTAAGAAAGAAAGAGAGAAATGAAGGTGGGAGAAAGAGAAAGAGAGAGAGAGAGAGAGAGAGAGAGAGAGAGAGATACAGATACATCCTGTTTAATTTGTTACTGAAGCAAATATTAAAATTCAGTAAATTTTCTGAAGAAAAAATTAGGCATCATTACAGCATATTAGATCCTAAGACTACTTAGAAATTGGTCATTTATAGCATTTAAGCAGTCAACAAGTCCAGTTATCAGAACTAGGGTATACATTTTAAAAGATACTTAACATATATATATATATGAAAGAGCTCCTCTTCAGTCTCTTTCTATAGTCAGAGTTAGTCTATGAAATAAAGAGCAAGCCAGCTCCAGCAGGCAGGTCACATGTCTTTATCTATGGTATGGTGGCAGATGCTGGGAGGTGGGTAGATTCACTGGGGGAAATAAAAAGCGACCACACTCATGTTTACATCATAGCATTGCTTCAAAAGCCACTGTAACTAGTAATATAAGAAGTATTTAATATCTATATTTATTCATTGTATCTGAAGTCTGTGGAGCAGAGACCAGAGGTATTATTACTTGCATCAAGACCCACATTGGTACCCTAAACTCAGATCTGTTGTCTTCTTATGTGATGCAATGATAACCAGATATCACCCTGCTTTTACAGTAGTAAAACCATAGGGAAGGAAACCTAAAATTATAAACCTAGGAGTTTATATAAGGCAAATGTTCACATGCCACACTGTTCTCATAAGCTAGAAATATGATACCATCTGAATATGATCCTATGTTCACCTATAGGTTATCAATGCACATTTAACTTGTGCATTTAACTACAATGGAAATACTGTTATGCAGAGCATCTTGGAAGCTTATGTAAAAAAGATCGAGAAGAAAAAAGACTATATTCCTTTTGTACATGTATGCAACAATTAAGTAATGGATTTTCGCTCAACAAACTTGCAAAGCACATGTTTGTAAGTAGAATTCACTAAAATTTATTATTTTGTTTTGTTCAGATAAGACCCATTCTTCATTCCAAACTGCAAAGTAGTGTTTATTTCTTACCAAGTTTATGGAGATGCAAGGCCTTATACACACATTTTAATTTATTTAATCTAACAGAATAATAATAGGTAATAAACACTACTAGAAACAGCATTGAATGAAGTACTCAAGTAGGTTATTTTTGCTTATTTGCATTTAAGACTGTCCTGTAGTTTCATGCATGGGCAAAAAAAAAAAAAAAAACTTCTTTAAATTTCATAAGGAACCTAAAAAGAGCCCGCATAACCGAGACAATCCTAAGCAAAAGAACAAACCTGGAGGCATCACACTACCGGACTTCAAGCTATACTACAAGGCTACAGTAACCGAAACAGCATGCTACTGGTACCAAAACAGATATATAGACCAATGGAACAGAAGAGAGGCCTCAAACATAACACCACACATCTACAACCATCTAATCTTTGACAAATCTGACAAAAACAAGCAATGTGAAAAGGATTCCCTATTTAATAAATGGTGTTGGAAAAACTGGCTAGCCATATGCAGGAAGCTGAAATGGGATCCCTTCCTAACACCTTATACAAAAATTAACTCAAGATGGGTTAAAGACTCAAAAGTAGGACCTAAAACCATAAAAACCTTACAAGAAAACCTAGGAAATACCATTCAGGACATAGGCATGGGAAAATACTTCATGACTAAAATGCCAAAAGCAATGGCAACAAAATCCAAAATAGACAAAGGGAATTTAATTAAACTAAGGAGCTTCTGCACAGCAAAAGAAACTATCATCAGAGTGAACAGGCAACCTACGGAATGGGAGAAAATTTTTAAAATGTATCCATCTGACAAAGGGCTAATATACAGAATCTACCAGGAACTTAAATAAATTTACAAGAAAAAAAACCCCATCAAAAAGTGGGCAAACAATATGAGCAGACACTTTTCAAAAGAAGGCATTTATGCAGCCAACAGACATATGAAAAATGCTCATCATCACTGGTCATTAGAGAAATGCAAACCAAAACCACAATGAGATACCATCTCATGCCAGTTAGAATGACAATCATTAAAAAGTCAGGAAACAACAGATACTGGAGAGGATGTGGAGAAATAGGAAAGCTTTTACGCTGTTGGTGGGAGGGTAAATTAGTTCAACCATTGTGGAAGACAGTGTGGTGATTCCTCAAGGAGCTATAACTAGAAATACCATTTGACCCAGCAATCCCATTACTGGGTATCCAAAGGAATATAAATCATTCTACTATACAGACACATGCACACTTATGTTTATTGCGGCACGGTTCACAATAGCAAAGACTGAGAACCAACCCAAATGCCCATCAGTGATAGACTGGATAAAGAAAATGTGTCATGTATACACTATGGAATACTATGCAACCATAACAAAAGGATGAGTTCATGTCCTTTGCAGGGACATGGATGAAGCTGGAAACCATTATTCTCAGCAAACTAACACAAGAACAGAAAACCAAACACCACGTGTTCTCACCCATAAGTAGGAGTTGAACAGTGAGAACTCATGGACACAGGGAGGGGAACATTACACACCGGGGCCTGTCGGTGGGTGGGAGGCTAGAGAAGGAATAGCATTAAGAGAAATACCTAATGTAGATGACGGGATGATGGATGCAGCAATCTACCATGGCATGTGTATACCTATGTAAGAAACCTGCACATTTTGCACACGTATCCTGGAACTTATAAATAAAAAAATTGTAAAACCTAAAAATAATTCTACATATAATATAACTTGTTTTTAAAGTTAATTAATATACTGAAGAGATTAAAAGTATATCTTTCCAATTTAAAAAAAAATGCACACACACACAATTACATCAGAAACTTAAGACTTGTCTAAATGTAATGTATACATTTCTATAGGCTTGAATTATTTATCTTTGGGAACGTGTAGCAGTTTGCCAATGCAATTTACATGCATATATGGCCTTGTAAATATGTTTTGGAGTTTTCCAAACGGTATGCTGGCATAAACATTTTAAATATTTAGCTATTCTAGAAATCAGATATTTTATTTCTCTTTAATAGACTTTATTTTTAGAGTAGTTTAAGGAATCACAGCAAAACCAACCATAAAATACTGAGTTTTCCCATATCTTCCCAGATACTTTATTTACAGAATAAACACATAGAAACTCATTTTTTCATTTTTAGACCTTTGTACTATTTTTATGATAGACTAATATAAAGCAGCGTCTTTTAAATTAACTGGTAAAAAATATACATTTAACTGGACTAGATTTAATTTTCGCTCCTTATAGTCATTGGAAAATAGTCGTCCAGGTGAAAGGATGCTTCATTAAGAATAATGACAATGACATACAAGTCATACATTTTTAGGTATGCTACAAAAAGTAGCAAATGTCTAAGCAATGAAAATTTCAATTTTTTTTACAATTAATGGCATTTGATACCATAAATCTAAGATGAAAGAACACTAATCAAGATAAGTAATGAAAAAATTCACACTTAAGGATCTCATAGTCAATTATAGAAAACCAAAGACAAAAAGAAAATCAGAGGGGAAAAAATGCCTTAGTTTACAGAAGAACGAAGGATAAAAATAACAGTGGACTTCTTGTCTGAAACAATGCAAACAATCAGAGAATGAAATGAATTATTTAAAATGAAGAATAAAAATACTAACCTGGAATTCTCCATCCAGTGATATGTATTTATAAAGTGACGAAGAAATAAAGACTATCAAGGACAAACAAAAACTTAGGAAATTATTTGCCAGCAGATTCTTCTCTGCAAGAAATGTTGAAAGAGAAAAGTGTTCTTCAGGGATGAAGAAAATTTTGTACGTAGGAGAATCAGATGTAAATAAAGAAAGGAAAAGCATCACGGAAGAAATAAAGGAGAATAAAATGAAATATATTTTTTTAATTGTTTGTTGATCTAAACTACAACTCCTTATGTAAATTAATAATAATAGCAACAAATACTGGATGATTGTAAGCATACACATGAGTGGAGTGAATGACAATAATGGTATGTGGGATGGAAGGGAATAATTGGAAATACACTTTTATAAGGTAACTTCAATATCTGTGAAATATTGAAGGTTATTTTAGAGTAGAAAAATGTGTATTGCAACTCCAGGAGAACCACTAAAACATATTTTTAAAAGCACAATTTATAAACTAATGGAAGAAATAAAATCTTATAAAATGCTCGATTAACACTGGAGAAGACAAAAAAGGAAGAATTAAAGAAAAATACAATAAGTAGAAACCTTTAAAAATATGATAGACTCTAATTCGATTCTATTTGTAATAATATAGATGTGAATTTCTATATTCAGCAATTAACGCGGATTTTTAGAGATTTTCTTTTAAAAATTCAACTATGCATTGTGTATAAGAAAACCATTTTATACAGAAATACTCAGGTTAAAAGTAAAGAAGTAAAAGTAAAGAAATTATATATATATATATATATATATATCTTTACACCAATCCAAAAAAAAAAAAAAAAAGCTCCAGTTACTCCAGTAGCATAATCCAAAGAAAGATAGGGTAGATATATTAATTTTAATCAAAGCAGACTTCAGAATGACAAAATTTATTAGCGGTAAAGACTGGCTTTAGATAATGATATGGAGGTCAATTACCCAAGAGAACATAAAATCCTTGATGTATATGCACTTAACAACAGAACATCAAGATGCACGAAATAAAAATAAATGGGACTGCAAAGAGAAACAGACAACACTGCTCTTTCAGTAATTAATAGATCAAAATAGGTAGAAAGTTTGTAGATATAATTGACCCGACCCAAACAGTCCTAATAATCAACTTAATCTGATTAGATTTGTAGAATAGTCCAAATAATAGCAGAATATATGTATTTTCAAACTCACGTAGAACATTCACAAAGATGAAACACTTCCTTCATAGGCCATTAAACACACCTTAACAAATTTAAAAGAATTGAAATTTTACAAAATATATTTTCAAACTGCAATGAATTAAATAAGAAATCAGCAATGGGAAGATAGCTGGAAAATTCTGCAAATCTGGAGGGAACTAATTAATAGACCTATAATTAACACACTGGACAAAGAAGAAGTCACAATATAAATAATAACTTATTTTGAGCTAAATAAAAATGATAATGTATCTTACCAAAATGTGTGGTATGCAGCAAGAGCAATGCTTAGAGGCAAATTTATAGCTCTAAAAGTGTATATTAGAAAATAAGAAAGACCTAAAAATCATTACTATAAACTACTGCCTTAGCAAACTAGTGAGAGAAGAACAACATTAGCTGAAACTAGAAGAGGAAAATAACGAATAAAAGGTAGGGAAGAAATTAATGAAACTGGAAACAAAGAGAGAAAAATAAATGAAGCCAAAAGCTAATTTGAAAAGGTACATAAAATTGAACATTTCAGCAAGTCTAAGAGAAAAGAGAAGATGCAACTTCCCAACAGCAGAAATGAAAGAGGGGTTATCATTACTGATCCCATAAATAATAAAAGTATAATAAATGAGTATAATGAACAACTTCATACTTATAAACTTGAAAATGTAGGTGAAATGGATCAATTTCTTAAAGACACAAGGAAAATAAACTGTACATATTTGTATCTATCAAAGATACTGAGTTAATATTTAATAACTTTCCAAAACCCAAAGTACCAGTTCCAGGTGATTTCACTGATGAAGTCTACCAAAAATTAAAGGAGAAAAGGAGACCAGTTCTCCATAATCTTCTGCACAAAATAGAAGTAGAGGAAGTGATTCCTGTAGTGAATTGAATGGTGGCCTACCAAAATAAGATATTGTTCCCCAAATTTGTGAAAATAATGTTGTCTGGAAAAGGGGTATTTTAGTTACCATAAAAAGGATAGATGTAATTATATTAATGATCTAGAGATTAGATCATTCTGGATTGGTGGGGGCTAAGTCAAATCATACATGTCCTTGAAGAGGACAGAAATAAAGAAGACATGTGAACATGAAAGCAAAGATTGGAGTTACATAGTTTCAAGTTATCAACAAACTTATTCTTAGCTTTATATGGTAAGTCACAGAATCTAGAATAAACAACCTAATATTTAAAGTAAAGAAAAAAGTTGGAGGACTTCTTATACTACCTGAATTCAAGACTTAAAATAAGTCTACAGTGATCCAAAGTAGTTTTGGCAAAAGAATAGACAGAAAGATGGGTAGAACAAAATAGAGAACCCAGAAAAAGACCCATACAACTGTAGTAACTGATCTTTGACAAATAACTGCCTTATATTCATGATCCAATTGATTTTGGAGGCAAGAAATTGCTAAAGTGGACCCCATAACAGTTATTCAGCCATGTAGGGCCATCTGTTAGCGGATATCTGTGGGTTGTATGAGCTGTTTTCTGAATATGAGACTACTTCTTCATCCACAAAACATAGCATTCAGATGATAAAATAATGATGGTCAAATATAAATGTCTATGTGTTAAAAAAAATAAGCAGTATCAAATGGTATAAAATATAATGGTAGCATCCCTTTCATATTGTCTAGTCTTTTTACAGACTTCCTCATCTAACTCAATAAGCTCAGAGTGTAGCGAGTGATTATTTTCTTATTTCTCCCTAAGATGGTATATGTCTACACCACTGTAGATGAAATGGTGATAGATTAATTCCTGCACACATGGAAATATTAGAACTTCAGTGAGTATTTATTTTATATAGAACCCCACTTAAAGGAAAAAACAAAACTGTGAGTGCTTGTACATTCCTCCAGCCCTCTTCTTGAATTATTTGGTAGGCTATATATTCACAAGACTCTGATGAATATACAAGCATAGATTCATGTGAGAATATATACATGTATCTGAGTGCATATGTTCATATATACATATGAATGTATGTATGGCTGTACACATTTTTTAATAGGATGTAACTATTTTACTTATTTTAGAGGCAAATAAATGAAAGGTTTTACTTTTAGTAGCATACCAGGGGTCACTCCGTTCATAAGTGGCAGAGCCATATTTTAAAGTTAAGTTAGTTGAAACTACAGCTCAAAATCTTTACATTTCACTTCCGGTTTAAAATCCAAGTTATTTCATCTTTTCTAATTGTATTAATAATTAAATATTCATAGGTATATTTATTTCATGTTTATAACTAAATGATGCATATGAGTCTAGATAAACAAATTTCTATTCAAATTTATTATAAAATTAGACATGATAAATATTACAATCAATATTCTAACAAACATTCAATGTACAATGATGTAGAAAGAGATATAATGATATGAAAAGAGAACTTTTATTTAAAAATTTATATACTCAAACATGGTGTTATGTAAATTAGAAATGTTAGCTCTTATATCTGTATTTAAAAACTATCTCTGAAATGATTATTCATTGTTATTACTCAGATTGCTTCTGAGTAATAGAGTGTTATCATAACAAAGAAATAAACAATATGTATTTTATTCTTCCAGGGCTGCTATGACATTTCTACTGCATGAAGTCCCTTGTGACTCTGGTCCCTTTTCTTGAGTCTGAGGGTGAAATTACACTGAAAGTTACCCTCTTGACAGTCAGGTTTTCTTGACATCAACCTGAAGCTGAAGATTACTGTGCAATAAATTTATTAGGAATTACTCTTGAGATCTATGCTTTAGTGGGAAGAGGAGGAAGCAACATTGCACAGAGGCTGTAGTGCTGTGATAACAAGGTCACCAGACTGTGGGGAGCTCTGGAGCTCTGATGTCCTTGCAGAGTTGCCCGGAGGTGGCCCCAAGGACTGGACCTTTCCACCACACTAATCTCTCATTTGATGCAAGCTGCTATGAAAATGTGATGGTCTAATTTCAAATTTCAGGCAGAAATAAGGAGAAAAGTATGAATGAGATAAATATGTGTACTAGACCTCCTTTAAGGCTTAAGCTGCAATACAATGCTTATCCTCATGTTTTATTAGCCTGAAGTTACTAACATTTTGACCCTTTTTTATTTTTTATTTTTATTTCCATAGATTTATGGGAAACAGATGGTGTTTGGTTACATGAGTAATTTCTTTAGTGGTGATTTGTGAGATTTTGTTGGACACATCACCTGAGCAGTATACACCATACCCAATTTATAGTGTTTTATCCCTCACCCGCCTCCCACCCTTTAAATTTCATATGAAACCTAAAAAGAACCTGCATAGCCAAGACAATCCTAAGCAAAAGAACAAAGCTGGAGGCTTTTCCCCAATTCCAGAAAGTTTCCAAAGTCCATTGTATCATTCTTATGCCTTTGCATCCTCATAGCTTAACTCTCACTTATGGTTTTAAAAGTGCATACACTGTATATGTATTAGGAATGGCAAGAGATGTAGAATGACAAGAGATGTAGAAACGTATGGTTGTTAATTATGCACATCTCTTTTCATTCAGTTTCCTTGGTTGCTAAATAAAGAAAAGGGGCCAATTATGGATAGCTTCTATTAATGGCAGGGAAGAATGCGGTAATGGGAGCATGGGGAGCAAGAAGACAGGTGCATCCCAAAGACTACCTCACCTTGCATTTCAGGCACCCATTAACCAAAAGGGCTAATAAGATTGGTCATCATATAATCTAACCAAACTGGGGAAAACAGTTTGAAGACTGGTAGGGTAATGGACAGAGAGAAGTAAGTCATGGAGAAATACTTCCTTTATTCTCTGGATACTTAAACCTATATGGAAGGGTGAACTAAACCTTACCCTTTCTTACTATTTCAAGATGAGCACATCATTTACGGATAGACGATAGATAGATAGATACATACATACATACATACATACATACATACATACATACTAGCATTAATATAGGATACACAACATGAGCTAGAGAAAATCAGGAGATCTGTTATGCCCTTACTATAGGATATAGAATAAAATAGAAAATAAGTGTAACTGTGTAGCTGTCAGCATCATATCAAGGCAATCACAAGCAGCTTGGTAAGAGGTCATTGAGGTGAATGAGAAAATGCTATCACTGAACGATCATCTTTCAGCAATTAAAATATATTATATTTTTCACTAAAAAAAGAACATAAACCTAAGAACATGGCATCTTTAGACAAGACCCTAGACAATAGAGCCACAACTGGCTGTTTACCCCAGACTGAGGAGGAAGAAGAAAATCAGTATATTATTTTAAATTAGTATTTTAATAGGAGGGGCACTCCATGTTCCCTCCCCTCTCATTCATAAAACTTTTAAAATGTGGGAAGAATAACTGTTCACTATGGGATACTGGCTAGGGTTCAAATACGAACATATTTTGCTTGGGGGCTACCACATTAATTTTATTGAAAACAACCATTTTCCCCCACTTCCGGAAAAAAATAAATAAAAGGAAACAAAACAAGAAATGAGTTCTAAAAACTTGATCTTAATTTAAGTATCTTTTGAAAAGCTTTAAGAATTCATTTAATTCACATTCTAATCCACCTCTAAATCCCACTTGATGTCAATGTATGCAAGGTACTATTAGTCAAGGGGCACCAATGATCTCTTCTAACAAAATTCTTCCCTTGATCAGTCATGGTGTCTTGCATCCCCTGGATTAATATAATTAAAGCTCTTTCTTTCAGACTTTTAATTCATTTCTTGGTGAGGTATTATAAATCTAGGAAGTCCAAAACATTGACTAATTAGTAGTAATTGGGTAACGATTTTTCCACACTACCATAAATTTTGAAGAAAATACATATATTTGAAATTAATTTCTTGGCAATTTTGAATGTTTGCTGAAACAAAATCTCTAAATAAAAGTGCTATTATTTTTTATTTGGGAAAGGTAATATTCAGAAACACACTAATTAATACTTTCCACGGATAATGCATTTTATGTGACACATGCCATCTTAATTTATTTTGCTCAGAACTACATTATGCAATGATAACTACATTTTAAAATAAAGAGTGTAATTGAATGTTTTGGAACTCAATGGATAAATGCTTGAGGGAATAGATACCCCAATGTTCATGATGTGCTTATTTCGCATTGCATGTCTGTCTGTATCGAAACATCTGAGGTACCCCAGAAAGAAGCATATTCAGCTGTCTGAATAAACTAATTGGTATACTTAGCACCAAGAACAATTTCTTGAGCATTTATGGGATTAAAATGCTATTATAATTACACTATTTAGAATTTCAGATTCAATTTCAATTCATCTGGATTAACAATTTTTTCTTTAGTGTACTATTTAAAGGATCATTTCACAATGTTATTTTTCTCTGATATTGAGTTTAATGTTATCAAAAATAATAGAGATACAAGTAGTACATTATTCTGTGATTATTTTTACTCATTAGTAAGAAAACTACTCACTAAATATTTTATTTTAAACATGAAAATTTTACTTTCTAGAATATGCAGTTAAAAACATGCTAGTAAATTATTGGCATTTACAGTTATACTATACGTTAAGAATATAAGTTTTAATTAGGTTTATGCCATAAAGAATGAATGAGAAAAAGGAAGCACAACATTTTATGCTGTTTATGATGTTTATTTACTTGCTAACTTGGGGATACTCATTTTTCTCTTTGTATAGCCCCATTTCCATAAACCCTACTATGACATAATACCTTCTCAAACTTATAAATGTAGACTGAATCTCTTTACTGTATTGTTGGAATATAAAATGTGGCCAGTTCATGATAATTTGGTTTATAATTAGCAAAATGGCTTTGTCTAATTTTTCACTGTTTCTTTTATTGTTTTTCACTTTCGGTCAACTATATGTTGGTAATCTAATCGTTATGCCTAGTTCAGAAACCTCTTCCAAGGCCTGTATCTGTATTTTCAGTTTCTCCCTTCCCAGAGACGTTCAGCACTCTATTGTTTGTCATCATAGAAAGTGCTCCAAGTTACAGCAATTTATATATTTTTTGATATCCACCCATCCACTAAATTATATTTTGTCTGCTTTATTAAAAAACAAAAATGAGTGCCTAGCTTATTATAAATGCTAGATAGACACTTTTAAAATGAATGAATGAATAAATTAATAATGGCAATACCTGGAACAAATAAAAATTTTATTTATTTTACTTATTTTTTTATTATTTGCATTTTATTCTGTTTCTGAGACAGGGTCTTGCTGTGTCACGCAGGCTGGAGTGCAGTGGTGTGATCATGGCTCACTATAGCCTCGAACTATCAGGCTCAAGCAATCCTCTCACCTCAGCCCCCAGAGTAGCTGGAACAACAGGTGCACACCACAACACCCAGCTAAGTTTTGTATTTTTTGTAGAGATGGGGTTTCGCAGTGTTGCCCAGGCTGATCTTGAAGTTCTAGGCTTAAGAAAACCACACACCTTCACCTCCCAAAGTGCTGGGATTACAGGTATGAAGCACAGCACCCAGCAGAAGAATTTTAATTTATACTTCTCCCTTCCAAACTCATGGTTTTCTTTACAATATTATTTTCATTTGCTTTTCTGAGTGATGGTATTGTTATCTGCAGTCAAATAAACCATCTCCTTTGTTCTTAAAACCTTGATGAATATTAAACAATCAACTTCAGCTTTTCTCCATACTTTACAACACTTTGTTGGTTCAATTATCCAACAAGTCATTGTAACATTCTTTTAATATCTTTTTAACAACTCATTTTTATTTACAGGGTCTTTTTAAATGTTCTCTAAGTTATCTTCTACCAAAAGGGATCTGATTAAAGATATTCACTGTTTCTTCACAAATCAATTGTTTGAATACTGTGATCTTAGCCCATGTCTCTCTACCATTCTGTTGTACATGTTATTCTCTCTAAAATCTGAAATGATTTTGTTTTTAACTTGGTCATGTAAAACATGAATTTCCATTTAAGATTCAGAATAAGTATCATTGCTTTGATCCTTTTCTGATACTCCAAAGAAGGAAATTTTTCATGTCTGGTTTTATATTTATTCATCATACTGGTGAATTTTCAATTATGGCACATTATTTTGATCAAGGATACGTGATTGATGATTGATTAGTGATTGGTAACTTGCTTGCTCTCCAACTCAATTGAGTGTGATATGGTTTGGCTGTGTCCCCACCCAAATCTCATCTTGAATTCCCACATGTTATGGGAGTGACCCGGTGGAAGGTAATTGAATCATGTTGGCACAAGTTTCCTGTGCTGTTCTCATGATAGCAAATAAGTCTCATGAGATCTAATGGTTTTAAAATGGGAGTTTCTCTGCACAAGCTCTCTTCTCTTGTCTGCTGCCATGTGAGATATGCCTTTCACCTTCTGCCATGATTGTAAAGCCTCCCCAGCCACGTGAAACTGTAAGTCAATTAAACCTCTTTCTTTTGTAAATTGCTCAGTTTCGTATATGTCTTTATCAGCAGCATGAAAATGGACTAATTGGTACCAGGAGAGTGGGGTACTGCTGAAAAGATACCCAAAAATGTGGAAGCAACTTTGGAACTGGGTAACAGGCAGCGGTTAGAACAGTTTGGAGGGCTCTGAAGACAGCAGGAAAAAGCAAGAAAGTTTGGAACTCCTAAGAGACTTGTTGAATGGCTTTGACCAAAATGCTGATAGTGATATGGAAAATGAAATTTAGGCTGAGGTGGTGTCAGATGGAGATGAGGGACTTTTTGGCGACTAGCGCAAATGTGACTCTTGTTATGTTTTAGCAAAGAGGCTGGCAGCCTATTGCCCATGCCCTAGAGATTTGTGGAACTTTGAACTTGAGAGATGATTTAGGGCATCTGGTGGAAGAAATTTCTAAGCAGCAAAGAATTCAAGAGGTGACTTGGGTGCTGTTAAAGGCATTTAGCTTTTTTTTTTTTTTTTTTTAGAGACAGAGTCTCGCTCTGTCACCCAGGCTGGAGTGCAGTGGCGCAATCTCGGCTCACTGCAAGCTCAGCCTCCCATGTTCACACCATTCTCCTGCCTCAGCCTCCTGAGCAGCTGGGACTACAGGTGCCTACCACCACGCCTGGGCACGGTGGCTCACGCCTGTAATCCCAGTACTTTGGGAGACCAAGACAGGCGGATCACAAGGTCAGGAGATCGAGACCATCCTGGCTAACACAGTGAAACCCCGTCTTTACCAAAAATTCAAAAAGGCATTTAGTTTTATAAGTGAAGCAGAGCATAAAAGTTTGGAAAATTTATGGCCTAACACTGCAATAAAAAAGAAAATCCCATTTTCTGAGAAGAAATTCAAGCTGGCTGCAGAAATTTGCATAAGTAATGAGAAGCCTAATGTTAATCACCAAGACAATGGGGAAAATGTCTCAAGGGCATGTCAGAGACCTTGGAGGCAGCCCCTCCCATCACAATTCCAGGGATCTAGGAGAAAAAAGTGGTTTCATATGCCAAGACTAGGGTTCCTGTTCTGTGTGCAGCCTAGCGACTTCGTGTCTTGTGTCCCAGGCACTCCAGCCATGGCTGAAAGGGGCCAAAGTCGTGCCGGGGCCGTAGCTTCAGAGGGTGCAAGCCTCAAGCCTTGGCAGCTTCCACATGATGTTGAGCCTGTAAGTGCACAGAAGTCAAGAATTGGGGTTTGGGTACCTCCACCTGGATTTCAGGAGATGTATGGAAATGTCTGGATGCCCAAGCAGAAATTTGCTGTAGGGCTGGGGTCCTCAAGGAGAACCTCTGCTAGGGCATACAGAAGGGAAATGTGGGATGGGAGCCCCCACACAGAGTCTCTACTGGGGCACTGCCTAGTGGAGCTGTGAGAAGAGGGCCACTGTCCTCCATACCCCAGAATGAGAGACCCACTGACAGCTTGCACCGTGCATCTAAGAAAAGCCACAGACACTCAACATTAGCCCATGAAAGCAGCCAGGAGGGAGGCTGTACCCACAAAGCCACAGGGGCAGAGCTGCCCAAGACCAAAGGAATCCACCTCTGGCATCAGCATGACCTGGATATGAGGCATGGGGTCAAAGGAGATCATTTTGTTGCTTTAAGATTTGACTGCCCTGCTGGATTTCAGACTTGCATGGGGCCTGCAGCCCCTTTGTTTTGGCCAATTTCTCCCATTTGTAATGGCTGTATTTACCCAATGCCTATACCCCCACTGTATCTAGGAAATAAGTAACTTGCTTTAGATTTTACAGGCCCATAGGCAGAAGGGGCTTGCCTTGTCTTGGATGAGACTTCGGGTTGTGGACTTTTGAGTTAATACTGAAATGAGTTAAGACTTTGGGGGACTGTTGGGAAGGTATGATTGGTTTTGAAATGTGAAGACATGAGATTTCAGAGGGGCCAGCAGTGGAATAATATGGTTTTGTTGTGTCTCCACCCAAATCTCATCTTGAATTCTCATGTGTTGTGGGAGGGACCTGGTGGGAGGTAACTGAATCATGGGAGCAGGTCTCTCCCATTCTGTTCTCATGATAGCAGATACGTCTCACTAGATCTGATGGTTTAAAAAAGGGGGTTTCTCTGCACAAGTTTTCTTCACTTTTCTGCCGCCATGTGAGATGTGCCTTTCACCTTCAGCCATTATTCTGAGGCCTCTCCAACCACTTGGGACTGTAAGTCAATTAAATCTTTTTATTTTATAAATTGCCCAGATTCAGGTATGTCTTTATCGGCAGCATGAAAATGGAATAATACAAAGTGTGTTTTAGGAGATTGTTATATTAATCACTAATCAATAGAAAACAGTATCTGAAGATCTGAATTAAGCTTCTGTCTGTAACATTAAGTTTCATGATATTGCGAGCCATTTTTTAAGCCATGGTTAATCTACAAAAACAAAAATATGACTGATAAAACTAATATATGCCCTTCCTAATTCCTAGGGGTTATAAATTATAAAGTTCTGTATAAAGACTATTATAGGAGGTACTCATAATGTTAAAATAAAGACAGAAAGACTAAATTCTACTAAAGCTAATAATCTTAGGACCGCAGATGTAATTTCAGGTGAGTGATTCAGCAGTTATTATCAAGGTCTATAGAAAAATTAGATCTGAGAAATTCAAAGTTCTAAAGTTATTTCCAGTGTTATTTCATTGTATACATTTAACAGTAGAATTGTGGACATATGAGTATAAAATGATGAAAGTGTTTATCTTAAACTGAGACTTCACACTTAAGTCTCTGATATAATTTTTGGATGGATTATTGGTCATGGAAGCAGAATACCAGAGTGAATCTGGATAAATGAAGATATTCCTCAATTAGAACCTAACTTTTCCTGCAGCTTAGCATGTTGTTACAACTGAACCTGAGCCAAAGGAATTCTAAGATTAGACGTAGAGATGACATCAAGGCCAGATAACTAAACATGGGAGCAAACTTACATACAGCCTTGAGGCTAATGGCTGTCTATGTAGAAGTGAATCCAAGGTTCAGAAAAATCCTCAAAAAGTTAGTACAAGTGAGTAACAATCTGAGAATGTATATAGAAAACATCAATTAGGGAATCATTAAAAGATTGAGGTAAAGAAGAAAATATAGAGAATGCTATGCAGAAAAGAGGCTTCCTTGAAATAAAACACAGATATTAGGCTGCAAGACATGAACTTACTGCTAATAAAATTAGCTTAACAAGCTCCTGAGAGAGGCTGTCAGAATTAGTCAATATTTGGAGAGTGGATGACAAAGCAGTGGAAGATACAAGACCAGAGTCAGTTTTGAGAACAGCTTTTAATAAACCAAAATCTTTAGCATAGGCAAACACAAAAGAAGGGAGCCATGACTATTATTATTGTTATTGTCTCATTAATAATTATTTTCCCATTTGCTTTCCATATCTCTAAAATTGCTGTTCTCCACTTGACTGATTAATTTTGCTCAGGTAACCATGGTTTTCTCCGGTTAAAATATAATTTGACACTGACATAATATGCTACAGCTTCTACTGAGACTTCTCTGGTCTCACTCCATTTTCTTTACCAACTGATAATTTTCCTGGCTCTAAAATATGCTTTGTCTGAAGTTAATAGAAGTACTTTATCTTACCCCTGATTAGTGTTAGCCAGGTATATCTTTCTCCATCTCTCTCTCTCTTTATTTTTTTAATGAGATGGGGTCTCACTATGTTACCCAGGATGGCCTTGAACTCCTGAAGTCAAGCAATCCTCCCACCTCAGCCTCCCAAGTGCTGGGATACAGGTGTGAGCCACTGTGCCCAGCAATCCATCTTCTTACTTTTAATCTATTTGAGTCTTTATATTTAGAGTGAGTTTATTGTAAATAGCATATAATTTAGCAAATAATTTTTAAAAATATTTTATTGAATATGTACATATTGAAAAATACACATTAACGAATTTGTATAAACTTAATATACCCATATAATTTATACCTAAATCAGGAAGTAAAATATTGTTAACACTTCAGAGGGGCCCTCAGACTTCCAGTCACTTCACCCTATTATGAAGAGTTAATATGCTTACTTCTAAAAGCATAATTTCTATCATCGTTTTAGATTTCATTAAAAATTGTATTTGAATTGTAAATGATATTTTGGCTCTTTTCTCTGTCAGGAGTAATTGTAATAGATTTTAAAATGATGATAAATAAAACAAACAAACAAAAAAAACTGAGTGTCCAGGGTACACCTTTCCAAATTTCCCTTCCTTTCACCCCAACCCTGTTGTGGAAGAAGCCAGTTTTATATATTTTATAGATTAATTTCAAAACTCATTATAGGCTTATAACATGTGGTGCTTTGACTTTTTTGAACTAGTAATATCTGACTGATTCCCTCATTAATTAATTAGTTGCATAGATTTTGGCATGTGTTAAATTTATATTTCATTTTGATTTTTCGTATTAACCTATAACACCTTAAGGCTGAATGTATGTGTCTTCCCGAAATTCATATGTTGGAACCCTAACCTCCAATGTGACTGCATTTGGAGATGGAGTCTTTGGAAGATAATTAGGGTTAAATGAGGTCTAGAAGGTGGGACCCTCAAGATGGGATTAATGTCTTTATTGAAAGTGTGATACCTAAGATGAATCTCTCTTTCCCATTTTCTGAAGATACATATTGAGGAAAGGCCAGGTAAACACACCTCAGAAAGGTGGTCTTCTGGAACCCAGGAAGCGAGTACTCACTAGAAGCTGAAACAGTAATCACCTGGAACTTAGACTTCCCAGCCTCCAGAACTCTGTAAAAATTAATTTATCTTGCTTAACCCAAACAGACCATAGTATTTTGTTATGGGAGTGCAAGCTGACTAGTACATATGGGTCTACTAATCAAATAAACTATCATTTCTCCTACATGTTTTTTAAGAAAATTAAAAACATATAATTTTCTGTTCAATGCAATTGAATCATTGTTCTGACAAAATTGTTTTTCAAAAATATTTTTTGAAATTTATCAGTTGGAAATAATTTCCAAGATCTTTAAGTAAGTTAAAAATCTTATGTTTGATATTGAGTTTAGTTACATAATGGTCATCATTGATACCTAAATAAATTTTAAGTGAAAGACAACACTGAAATATTGATTAATAAGCATAAATTATATTTAGTTGCATATGATTCTTACTTTTATACACTACAGAGAGGCTATACTTTTATATTTTTGGGTCTTCTTAATAAATACATTTGTTTTATCACTTTAAGAAGGTGTAAAAGGGATGTGCAGGGCTGTCTCATGTAGGTTTATGAACTTTGCTAATTTGCTAAAACGTTTGAATAAGAGAGAAAATTCTCAATTACCTTGTCCCACCAGTATCTCTGTGAAATAAAGTTCGTTATGTTGATTAAGCCTTATGAACTCTTGAGATATTGAGAATGAGCAGTAGTGTCAGAGAAACATAACTGTACATGAATTTTGTTTTTTTTAAATAAATGTAGCAAGGAAAAAGATTAGTCTTGTCCTAAGTGATTGGTTCTCAATAATTGTGGTATTCAGGCTCCTCTACACTCTTGCTTTTTATTATGGATATGGAAGAGTTTTTGTTTATGTGTATTTCAGCAATCAATGTTTACCAATTAGAAAAAAGAAAGAGGTTTAGAAATACTCATTGATTTATTTGAAGATAGTAAAGATGGATGACTTACATATTAACATAACAACTTTTGGTTTTGACCTCATATACCCCTGAGAGAAAACTACTATTTTTAAATAAAGTATCAATTTGTTTCAGAATATGAAAGAGCATAATGAAGGACACCATGAAGTTACTTGTATTATTTATAATACGACCTTTGAAAAGAAGCCATAGCATGTTTTAAAATCATACAAATGTTCACTCTACTTCCTTAGTCTTCTGATAAATGGCCTCATCTATAACTGAAAATCATTCTTCACTTTACATTTAACCTCTCTAGATAGTAGAGATTCTATATTTTACCAGAATAGTCTTACGTTTTTTATGTTGATTTTACTATGTCCTTGATAATTTAAGAAAAAGTATACAAAGAATAAAGTTTTCCTGTCAAAGAAAGAGCTGAGGTTTTTACTGTGATTATATTTTACATATTTGTTTTTAAATATTTCATTGTAGTTTTGATTAAATAGGTAACTGAGTGCTGTGTTCCAGGCACCTATGTCCTTAAGTGTTCAGTCTCTTCTCACAACTTTTTTGGAGGTTTTCATAGCCTTTTAAAAATCAGATTCAAAATTTATAAAAAGGAAGGAAAAAAAGAAAAAACAACTTTCAGGATATCTTTTCTTTATACCTAAAATTATCTTTAAATTTTCATAAGTGCCTTGGGAAATTACAAACATTAGGTTTTCACTTTTTAAAAAGAAATAACAGAAATAATTGCCTATGTTTGATGTGTTTTTATTACCAAAGTTTCATGGATACAGTTATTTAGTCACAATAGATAGTCTTCCTAGGTTAAATTTTGTAGATAAAATGTCACCAGTAGTAATATTTTAGAAATTGTATGTTTTATGGATTGTCCCTGGAGATCTACTAATGCCCTTAACTTTCTTCATCATTTATTTTTAACCTCAGGAAAAAATAATCAAGACTCTTATGAAATAGTTTTGTCAAATATTCCTATATTGATCAGGGAAACTGTAGTGTTTTATGTGATGATATTGGGAAATTTCAGAATAGTATTGTTAGTCAAAATTTCATTTATTGTTTAAAATTTTTACTTTGCCACAATAATTACATTTAATCTAACATCTTTAGGCTAATTTTTAATAGGAATGTGCATAAGACTTACACATGGAATTTCATACAAATACAGATGTCTATGCATATTATTTATTGTGTATATCAAATTATGTCAGATTAGTGGGTTAAACAATACCCATTTATTATCTCAGTTTTTGTAGGTCATAACATTGGGTATCAATTTTTTGGCTCTAGGAATTGCTCAATTGTTCAATGCTGCATGGCCCTGGATTTGTAAAATAAACTTTAAAAATTCTATATGCTAAGTCATACTCTTACCAAAATAAAAGAGATTAATCAACCTTGTTTTGCCTGTCCAGAAAAAAAAATGGGAATAAGTAAAATGGGAAAATAAAGAAGAAGATTATTGAATGTTCTTTCTATTGCAACCTCCCAGGTTATCTTAGTCTTCCACTGTTTTTAAGAGTTTTGCAATTTTGTAAATGATAAATAACTTCTAGCAATAAAATTGACCTTAATTCATAAATATTCAAATAATTTGTCTGCTGAGGAAAAACTTGATTTCTTCCAGAAATCCTTCCTTTCAAATTAAGAAGTTTTGTATCTGTTCAATATTTCCAAATGTTTAGTACTCTAAATCCTTCTTTTAACAAACTGCTAGCTCATTCATTAGTTGTGGAGTTAAATAAATCTTTGGCATATATTCATTTTATGTTTGCATGAGTCATAATTTTACCTTTTAAAAATATCATCACTTATTTTCTCTTTTTGCTCAACATTGTCTTGATAGGATTAATTCATATTATTCTATGTAGCTGTAAATCAAGAAAGTATCATTGCATTGTCAATATCTTTTCCCATTTTAACACAAGGTAATATAATTTGGGGCCATATATTCAATTGATAATTTTCATTATTTGTCAATTTTTAAAGTTTAATATAGAATATATAAGTAAACTGTTATATAATTATTAATATAAAAGTGTGAAAAATTGAAATTCACAAACTTTTCAAATTTACAGTAGACTATAATTTTTGAAATATATTTGAATTTATTTATATACAGTCTAAAAATGTTTAAAATTAGTAGGTTTCCAATTCACATTATTTTATTTAATATTTTTACTATCATACAAATGTAATCCACTTTTCCTGCACAATTTTAGAGCCTCTAATAATTTATTTCTCTACTGACTTAACATTTAATTTTTTACACAATAAGATTTCTACTTAAGAGAAAAACATAATATAGCAAACAAAACAAAATTATCAATTAAAAATTTATTTTAGATATGAGAGTACAAGTGCAAGTTTGTTACATAAGAATATTGCATGATGCTGACGTTTGGGTTATGAATCCTGTATTAGTCAGGGTTCTTCAGAGGAACAGAATTAATAGGATACATGTATACATGACAGGGAATTTATTAAGGAGAATTGACTCACACAATCACAAGGTGAAGTCACACGATAGGCTGTCTGCAAGATGAGGAGGAAGGAAGGCAGTAACGGCTCATTCCGAGTCCAAGAGCCTCAAAATTAAGGAAACTGACAGTGCAGCCTTCGGTCTGTGGCCAAAGGCCCAAGAGCCCCTGGCAAACCACTGGCATAAGTCCAAGTGTCCTAAAGCCAAATAACTTGGAGTTTGATGTTCAATGGCAGGATGCATTCAACATGGGAGAAATACGAAAACCAGGAGACTCAGCAAGCCAGCTTATTCCACTTTCTTCTGCCTGCTTTTTCTAGCCACACTGGCAGTGGATTGGGTGTGTCCCACCCACACCGATGGCAGGTCTTCCTCTTCCAGTCCACTGACTCAAATGTTAATCTCCTTGGGCAACACCCCTACAGAAACACCCAGAAACAATACTTGGCATCCTTCAATGCAATCAAGTTGACACAATATTAACCATGGCAGATCTCATCACCCAGGTAGTGAGAAAAGTGTCTGATAGGTAGTTTCTCAACCCACTTTCCTCTTTCTACATACCCTCTCTAGTGGTCTGCATGTCTGTTGTTCCCATGTTTATGTCCATGTGTGTTCAATGTTTAGCTCCCACTTATAAGTGAGAGTGGTATTTGGTATTCTGTTCCTGAATAAATTTGCTAAGGATTATGGCCCCCAACTGCATTCATGTTGCTGCAAAGGCCATGATTTCATTCATTTTTATGGCTGCACTGTATTCCATGGTGCATATGTACCACATTTTCTTTATCCATTTCAAGGTTGATGAGAATTTAGGTTGATTCCATGTCTTTGCTATTGTGAATAGTGCATTGATGAACATATGAGTACATGTATCCTTTTGGTAGAGTGATTTATTTTCCTTTAGGTGTATACCCAGCAATGGGATTGCTGGGTTGAATGGTAGCTCTGTTTTAATGCCTAAAGTTATATGATAAACTCTGTTATAAGTTCCAATCTGGTTTCCACAGTGGCTGAACTAATTTACACTCCCACCAACAGTGTATGAGCATTCCCTTTTCCTCACAACCCCACCAGCATCTGTTGTTTTTTGACTTTTTAGGAATAGCCATTCTGACTGGTGTGAGATGGTATCTCATTGCAGTTTTGATTTGCATTTCTCTGATGATTAATGATGCTGAGCATTTTTTTGTTCGTGTTCATTGGCCACTTATATGTTTTCTTTCAAGAGGTGTCTGTTCACATCCTTTGTCCATTTTTCAATGAGACTAATTTTCCCTTGTTGATTTGTTTCACTTCCCTATATATTCTAGATATTCGATCTTTCTTGGATGCATAGTTTATGAATATCTTCCCCCATTCTGTAGGTTGTCTGTTTACTCTGTTGATAGTTGCTTTTGCTGTGTAGAAGATCTTTGGTTTAACTAGGTCTCACTTGTTTATTTTTGTTTTTGTTGCAATTACTTATGGGGACTTAGCCAAAAATTCTTTGCCAAGGCAGATGTTGAGAAGAGTATTTCTTAGGTTGTATTTTAGTATTTTTATAGTTTTAGGTAATACATTTAAATATTTGGTACATTGTGAGTTAATTTTTGTATATGGCAAAAGATAGGAGTCCAGCTTCAGTCTTTGGCAATGGCTAGCCAGTTATTCCCTGTAGCTTGTTTTTGTCAGTCTTGTCGAAGATCAGATAATTGTAGGTGTATGGCTTTATTTCTGAATTTTCTATTCTGTTCAATTGCTCTATTTGTCTATTCTCGTACCATTACCATGCTCTTTTGGCTATGATAGCTTTATAGTACAGTTTGAAGTCAGGTAGTATGATGCCTCCAGCTTTGTTCCTTTTAACTAGGATTGCTTTGACTATTCAGGTTCTCTTTTGTTTTCATATGAATTTTAGAATAGTTTTTTTATAATTCTGAAAAGAATAACATAGGTAGTTTGACAGGTGTAATGTTGAATGTGTAAATTGCTTTGGCAGTATGGCCATTTAAAACAATATCTGCCTTAAGTTTAATGTTCACTCAGGAGTTATTCACCTAATGTTCACTCAGGAGTAAGTGGTTTGATTCCAACACAATTCCAGTGTGTTTAGATAGTTTTGAGAGATCTTGATATTGATTTCTAGTTTTATTACACTGTGGTCTGAAAGTGTGCTTGGTATGATTTCAATTTTTTTGAATTTATTGAGTCTTGGTTTATGACTGAGCATGTGGTTGATCTTAGAAAGTTCCATGTGCAGATGAGAATAATGTGTATTCCATGATTGTTAGGTGGATTGTCTGTAGATGTCTATTAAGTCCAATTGGTCAAGTCAGTCGAGTTGAAGTCCAGAGTTTCTTTGTTAGTTTTCTGCCTCAGTGATCTGCATAAAACCATCAGTGAGGTGTTGAAGCTTCCCAATATTATTCTGTGGCTGTTTAAGTTTTTTGTAGACCAAGAAGAATTTGTTTTATAAATCTGAGTTCTGCAATATTGGGCATGTACATATTTAGGATAGTTAAAATTTCTTGTTGGATTGTGCCCTTTATCATTATGTAATGGCCTTTATTCTTCTTAATTTTTAATGGGTTAAAGTCTGTTTTATCTGATATAAGAATAGTGACTCCTGCTCTTTTTTTACATGGTAGATCTTTCTTCATCCTTTAACTTTAAGCCTCTAAGTGTCATTGCACATAGGATGGGTGTCTTGCAAAGAATAGATGGTTGGGTCTTGTCTTTTTATCCACTTGCCACTCTGTGTCTTTTAAGTGGGGTGTTTAGCTCATTTACATTCATGACTAAAATTGATATGTATGAAACTAGCCATCATTGTGTTATTAGCTGGTTGTTATGTAGACTTGATTGGATAGGTGCTTTATAGTGCCTCTGGGCTATGTGCTTACATGTGTTTTTGTGGTAGCAGGTGTCATTCTTTTGATTCCACTTTTAGCCCTCCCTTAAATACCTCTTGTAAGGCCAGTCTAGTAGAAATGTGTTCAATTCAGCATTTGCTTGTCTGAAAAGAATTGTATTTTTTCATCACTTATGAAGCTTAGTTTGTTGGGACATGAATTTCTTTGTTGGAATTTCTTTTCTTTAAGGGTGCTGAAAATTAGCCCCCAATCTCTTCTGGCTTGTAGGATTTCTGTTGAGAGGTCTACTGCTAGCCTGAGGGGGTCCCTTCTACAAGTGACCTGCCCCTTTTCTCTAGCTACTTTTATGATATTTTTCCTTTGTGTTGACCTTTATGAATCTGATGCCTATGTGCCTCAGGGATGGTTATCTGGAATTGTATCCAGCTGGAGTTCTCTATTTCTTGGATTTGCATGTCAACCTCTCTAGTGAGTCTAGAGAAATTTTGATGGACTGTATTCTCAAATATACTTTCCATGTTGCTTATTCTCTGTCCTTCTCTGTCAGGAATGCCAATGAGTTATCAATTTGGTCTCTTTACATAATCCCATATTTCCTAAAGATTTTGTTCATTTTTGTTAGTTCTTTTTTCTTTATTTTTGCCTGACTGAGTTGATTTAAAGAGCTGATTTTTGAGCTCTGAGATTCTTTCCTCAGCGTCATCTATTCTGCTGTTCATACTTCCAATTGTTGGGGTTTTCTTAAAATGGTTATTTCATCCTTCAGCTCTTGAATTGTTTTACTGGATTGCTTGGCTTCCTTGCATTGAATTTCAGGTTTCTCCTGAATCTTGGTGAGCTCTCTTGCCAACCAGATTCTGAATTCCATATATGCAATTTTAGACATTTCAGACTGGTTAAGAATCATTGCTGGGAAGCTAGTGGGCTTGTTTAGAGTTAAGTTACAATCTGGCTTTCTTAAGCTGATTCTTTCTCAACTGGAAGTGTTGGTGTCCCTTTAACTATGGTATAAATTTAGTGTCCTCAGTTGGCTTTGTTTATGAAAGTATTCAGAGGGCTAAGACTCTGTATAGGGTCTTTATTTATTGTTTAATTCTTGCCCTTAATTCAGCACAGAGGAGTATTAGCAAGTGTGTGTGTGTGTGTGTGTGTGTCTGTGTGTGTGTGTTTTAGTTTGGGCTGTGATCTGGTAGCTGTATGGCTTCTTTTTGTATACTCCTGTTGGCAGCTGTGCTCTGCAGTGAGAGTGAGAGAGAGGTAACCCCTCACCAGGTCCACTTCTGGGCCTTGGAGGGGGGCATCTCCAATCCCTGGCACTATGTCCTCAATTTATTGTTGTTGTTAGGTGTTGTGGGCTGTAGAGCTCCCTCAGACAGAGGCCTGGCAGGTACCAGCCCTGTGAAGGGGGGCATGCCACACCAGCCCACACACCTGTGCAACTTACCCCTTCCAGTTTTCTGACAGTGTGGGCTCCTCTTACTCAATTGCCAGACACAGGTCCTGGTTCAGCACTCCTGACCCATGGGCTGTAGCCCTGGTATGCTAGGAATTGCTTGTAGCTCCCTCCTCAGTGTTGGATTCTGGTTGCTGGGATATCCAAAAGGTTAGCAGGCTGCTCAAATGCACTCTGGTGGAGCAATGCAGTCAGGCTGGGCAGAAAACTTTGCACTATGTACATATTTCCTTTGGGCAGCCAGATAGGAGCCCTTGGAGGACCTGGCAGGGAGGTGGTCCTGCAGGACAGATGTGCCCCCATCCCAGGGGTAAGTTGGCCCTACTTTCTACTGGTCTGGGGATTAACTGGGGCTAGTAGCCTCTAATAGGGAGATGGGGAGCCCTGGGGGATGGGCATTTATGGCTGGGCTCTACTAGAGCTGTCTTTTACACAAATATACCTGGCTTTGTGCCTGCTTCAGCTCTCTCCCTCTCTCTCTCTCTCTCTGTCTGATCTCAGAGGAGATTCCTTCTGCCGGCTCAAACGTCCATGGAGGTTGTTGGGTCCCCTAGAGCTAGGATGCCAGAGGTCTATGGCAAGAGTGGCAGTCTCTTCACTCACCCCTCCCCCAGGAGCCATTTGGGGCCAAGAGCCAGCCCTAGCATTCAGGAACCCCATGCGGGGTTATCAGAATCCTTGCCCTTCTGCCTAGAAATCAGTGTCTTTTTTTCATTTACATTTGGTCTTTTCGTTCTGAAGATCTCTTCAAATTATGTTGATTTAGTAGAAATCTCAGTCTCTCCCCATACGAGAGGCACTTTCCAGCTGCATCTAGTCAGCCATCTTGAAGCTGTGCCATCAGTGTTTTTTATTCAATTCGCTGTATCTCTAAACAGATGAGTTCTTCATGTAAGAGACAAATGATTCAGTACATCTCATCCTTTTTCATTTGGTCTACAGATAAAATCCTCCTTTTGGTGTTTTGGATTTAAAAACATGCGTTTCTTGTTTCCTCTTTTATTCATCCATGGTTTTGCTTTCTTAGTCATCACATTGCTATCTTGTTTCACTAGACAGGCTTCCAAAAGGACTTGAATCACTGCTGGTTTTCTGTCTCCTGGAAATAGTTTCTTACTTCCTAGTTTTTTCTCAAGTAAGTTTTCATATCTTTATTTTACTTTCTACTGCATGGAATTTTCACCAAGACACGTATCCTATGGCCAAGATTCCAGTCATGAAGGGGAAAAAGGAAACAAATGAATCGTATTTTCTGACTAGACAACATTTTAGTCTGGGTCACAATCAGCCTTTAAATCAAAGCCTTAGGATATCAATAATTCCCTTGATCAACTTATTTGTAGGCATGTAAAGAATGTAAAAGTCATTAATGAAAATGTGATACATTAATAGGTGCAACTATGACAACAGTAAAAAGATCAGTGGTTGCCAGGGGTTAAGGGAGACAGAAGAATGGTTGAACAGGTGGAATGCAAAGCACTTTCAGTGTGGTGAAACTATTCTGTATGATACGACAATGGCAAATTCATAACACTATGCCTAACACTGTATGTCACAGAGACGGATGCTAATTAAGCTATAGACTTGATGTCAATAATATGTATCAACATTGGTTCATCAATTTTAGCAAGTTTACCACACCCCTTCAAAATGTTAATAATAAGAAAAAATGGGCAGGAAAGAGTATATTAAAACTCTACACTTTCTGTTTAATTTTTCTGTAAACCTAAAATCGCTCTAAAAGTCAATTTACAATGTTATGCATGTGTTGCAATTGTTAATATAATTATGTACAAAAAAAATAGTTTGCCAGACATTGGAATTGAGAAAATTGTATGCAAATTAGATAAATGTTTTTAAAATTAGATGTGGTTTCACTCTATAGCTAATAAAATAATTATATTTGTTTACTCGACCCATTTTTTGTAGTCTATAATTATGTATTTGATTTTTATTGTTTGGTTTACTTATTAATATCTATAGTTTTAGTTATTCATGACCTCTGGAATTGATATATGTGAGGATATACTAGACCTTATGTCGTCAAATATCTATTTTTACAAAGAAAACAAAGGTAAATGTGCCATATTATTTAAGAAAAGTTAACTCCGTTGCACGATGGTGGGAAAATAACTTCAACCACTTAATGAAATTCTAGGGAAGACAGGGCACAAATGATCAAATCACTCAGTAGTACTTTATTGTTGGAAGTATAAGTAGTTTTTACTGGATATAGCTGGAAATTCAGAAAAAAATTAGGAATAATCATGGATAAGCCACTGATAGCTGATTTTATCCAGTTGTCAAAAAAAAAAAGGTAAAGTATTTTACTTTTCCACTTGGGACATCACTGGAAAATTGCTTGTCTGTGAAATTGGTTGAGAAAGTAGTGCAAGTAAACTCTAAAATTGAAATTTGATAGACATTTCTCTTTGTATTAAGGAGACAAAAGCAGATTTTAAGTTATTCAGTGTCACATGCTACTTCCTGTTTTTCACTTCACAAACTGTGGCAAAAACAATTTTTGAAAGTGTAAAATGCTGTCTTTAGAAATATTAAGTCTAGTTTTCAAAGATGAGCAATACTGTGGAAGCAGAGACATATAATAAAAATATAATAAAAACCTCTCCCAGGATCTCACTATGACACAGAGATACCATAATTATAGTATATGGATGCTAAATGCTATAGTATATAGAGACTTCTGAATAAAAACAGTAACAGAACTTTTTCATTTGGATATCTCCAACAGAAATCTATTCCAATGGATTCCTTTTAGCATTTCTGGGCAATTCCTCAGCTTCTAAGGAATGGCAGCATACCATTATCAGAAGACATCCGTGGAGCCACTAGAGTTGTTTCAGACTCATGAGACTGATGCACAGAGGTTTCAAAGTGCATGAGATTTTACCTTTCCTTTGCTTATCCTGCAGCCAATGATTGTCAGAGTAGAATTTTGAAAAGTCAGCTGACTTATCTCTCGGATTGATAAACTCTAAGATAACTTTATACTCTCCAAAACTCAATGTAGGATTCAACTTGACTATGTACATTTACTTTATATATATATATAATTTACACATATTTTATATATGTACATTTACTATATATATACATATACATGTATGTAGGTAAATGTATATATAAAGCAAATGTATACATATATAGGTAACTGTATACATAAATTTATATGTGTATATATGTATATACAAATATGTGTAAACCCACACATTATATATTCATAGTAGATACTTTAAGTGAATACCTACTGATGTTCATATTAATAGTAAAAAGAAATAAAGTACAGTATTTAACTCAGAAAAAAATCAAAGTATGTAACCGTATAGTCGCATAAAATCATCACTTAGCATATACTTTGGAGCTTGACAGTGTAGTATCAAATCAAGTTTCTCATTTTTACTAGTTATATGACTTCAATCACATATTGTTATATCTCAAGTTTCTCATTTATAATATAGTGACTATAACAGTAACAACACACAGGATGAAGAATAAAAGCTAAAATATGTGAAATGATAAAAAGATATCTTGGTACTAAGTGCTACAAATTGTTAAAAGAATAAGTAGGTCACTTGAGATTCTGTAGGTCATGCTTCTTATTTTAAATGAATAAAGAAAATTAGTAAATTATGCAAGTTTTTTAAATTCAAGTAATTGACAAGATTAGAACCCTAAACTAGAGATCTCAACTCAAGGTCTGTCTTCTTCACATTCATTCATTTTTTCATCAAATATCTATTACATTCCCAGATGTGAGAGTCACTGACAACATAGTAATGAACAACACAGGCAGATACTTCTAACATTATCAAAGTTAAACACTATTAACTTAAAAATTATAAAAAATAAAAAATATAAAGAAAGGAAAACAATTAGAATATGTAGCACATTCAGTGATAAAGAGCAAAATATAAAAAGTAAATGAACTAGGAAAAGTCAGGGATGCAATTTCAGATAGCACTGACTTGAGAGGATCTCACTGAGAAGATAACATCTAAGGAAAAACCAAAAGAAAGACAAATGCAATCTATGGAAATATTCGACCATGAGCATTTCAGATAGAGGGAACAGTAAGTACAAAAACCCTAGGGAAGTATGCATTTGGTGTATTCAAGGAACAGTAAGGCACAATGAGTAAAAGAATGTTCAGTTAGACATTAGATGAGACAGGTAAGGTGAAAAACTATAATCGCGTGCTTTGTAAATCATTGTGACTAAAACAGTCTTAAAGTTTCTTTTTTTCCACTTGATTTAAATTTAGACTGCCTTCTTCCTAATTTTCAGGCTCTTGAGCTCTCTTTTCTTAGATTATTTACTTAGGAAACTTGTAATTATAAATCCTTTCTCTGCCCTTTGAGGTGAAAATCCTTTTATAGAGCTTCTTGCCATTTTAAATAACCAGGAATGTCTTCTTCAAGGACTTGTGAGCTATTATTTTGAAATACAACCATCAAGGAAAATAACATTCCTATAGCCCAATTTTGTAGGAGTTGTAGAAGCGTAACATTGGTGATTGTTTTGTTCCAAGTTGCAAAACTACCTGCTGTCGTGAAGATATGAGAAACTTACTATTTCCCTGAATGATGACCATTAGCAAATACAGATAGCTTAACATTCTCTAGCACATTTTCCATGAGCTAACCACAGTGCTTAAAAACCTTCTTACCTTTAATTCCTTGGAATTGAGTTCAGGCTCTCTCCTCTATTGCAATAGCTTTGAATGAAGTCTTCCTTGCCAGTTTAACTTTGGTGTCAGTTTTGCTTTGACAATTATAAGAGCTCTGACTTTTACCAAGGGAGATGAGAAAACATTTAAGAGTTTTGAATAAATGAATCACAAGATATGTTTCGCATTTAACAGAATCATTCTGGTTCCTCTGCAGAAAACATATGTAAGGAAGGCAAAGTCATCAGTAATTTAAGAGATGGGCCTGGCACAGTGGCTCATGCCTGTAATCCCAGCACTTTGGGAGGCCACAGTAGGAATATCACTTGAGGCCAGGAGTTTGAGACTAACCTGAGCAACATAGATAGACCCCATCACCACTAAAATTTTACAAATTAGCCGAGTGTGCTATCACATGCCTGTAGTCCCAGCTATTCAGGAGGCTGAGGTGGGAGGATTGCTTGAGCCCAGAAGGTCAAGGTTTCAGTGAGCTATAATCATGCCACTGTGCTACAGCCTGGGCAACAGGGCAAGACCCAGTCTCAATTTTTGGAAAAAGAGTTAGGAAGCTCTTGCAATAAGCTAGTCTAGAGATAGCAGTAGTTGGACAAAGAAAGTAACAAAGAAAGTATTAATAATGATCAGATATGACTATAATCAAATATGGATTTTGTTTTTAAATGTTCATTTATTAGTACGGGAAAATTGCAAGAACAACACATTTAGGGTAAATAATAGTAGTTCTATTTTGTACATACTGAATTAGATCACTCTGAAATACTGAATAGGCATATGAATATAAGAATTTGAATTTAATAAAGATGTCAGTGTTAGGAAAATACATACTGCAGATACCAGCCTGTAAAAGTTCTTTGAAGAAAGGAGATTTAATGAAATCACCAAGGAGGGAAGTATAGGTATTTAAAAAAAATAAGCAAAAGTTAATACTAGGGGGTATTTTTACAAATAGTTATAGAAAAGCCAGCAAAGTGTACTGAGTGCTCAGAGAGGTAGAAATTAAAAAGCTATGTTCTAGAAGACAAGGTGCTTCAAGTATAAGAACATAGTCAACTTTACCAAAGATTTATTAAAGGTTAAATGAAATGAGGACAGAAAAAATTGGTCTTTGAATATAGCAATTTGGAGATCAATGGTGACCTTGATAATAGCAGTTGTAGTGAAATTCAGCTGACAATAGACTGAAAGGGGTGGGTTGAAAAAAAGAATGCAAGGAGATGAATTATAGAGATCAATTTTTAAAAGCTCTTTTAATAAGTTTTATAGTAAACAGAAGGAAAAACTGGCATGAAAATTGGTTTTAAAAAGGCTTGTTGTCTCTACTAAAAATACAAAAAAATTAGCCGGGCGCGGTGGCGGGCGCCTGTAGTCCCAGCTACTCGGGAGGCTGAGGCAGGAGAATGGCGTGAACCCGGGAAGCGGAGCTTGCAGTGAGCCGAGATTGCGCCACTGCAGTCCGCAGTCCGGCCTGGGCGACAGAGCGAGACTCCGTCTCAAAAAAAAAAAAAAAAGGCTTGTTTGTGCTGGGAGAATAACACCTGGTCTTTATGCTGCTGGGTGTGATCCGGTAGAGAGGAAACTAATCTTGTAAGAACAAGGCAGTAAGATTGCTAAAGAAATATTCCTATGTTCTCACTTGGGGGAGAAGGGATGAGGTGTAGTGTCAAATGGAGGAGTTCCCTTTGTAAGGAGGATAGATTGTTTATTCATTTTGACACAGAAAAGGCAGAGTATTTAGATTTATGTACAGGTAAGTGGGTAGTATAGGAAGGTAGTAGGAGTAGGAGATTTTAGATTTTCTCTTGTGGTTGCTTCTTTTCCCTCACATCATATTTTGAAAATAAAGGTAAAGACCAAGGTGTAGGTTATAGGAAAGAAGCAGCACTGGTAGGATCATGTAAGAGAATGAAGACTAGGGAAATATTGTACAATTGCCTATTGACGTTGGTCAGGTAGGGACCACTTGAGGTAACTGATCATAAATTTAATTTGAGAATTGTAACAACGGTCTTGTGTTTACCTTTATCCATGTTTTTCTGTGGATGCAGGTGTCATGTAGTAGAGATTTGATTTGTCCAGTCTTGTGATTTACAAACATGAGTACAGAAAAGCATGAAAGGGGGGGAAATGCCTGTATGTAGTATAATGATTGAATGAACATGGGTCAAAACTGTAAGCAAAGAAACAAGGCCAGAAGGAGGGAAAGGGACATTAGTGGAATCAATACTTTGCAGCATCCAATAAGCTTTAAAGTATATTCAATGAATAAAATTAGAAGAATGGTATATGATGGCTGAATAATGTGGTATCTGCAATTGCTAATGACATCTAGAATACGATTTTGCATGGAAATGTCTGAGATGAGGTTGGAGACCTAACAAGTGGAAGATGTAACATCAAAGAACTGAGAAGCCATGGTAATAGGAAAATAACTCAGGCGGGCATTGAAATCACCAAGATTTATAGCAAAGGTCGTGTTGAATACAGTATAACTGTAGTGGGAGCTAAATTTTCCAGAACATGAGGGAGAGTGGCCCAAGGATTAGCAGATAATGAAAACAAGCAGGAACAGTTGGTGGTAGAGTCTGATTTCACGCTGATTGACTTTTTCCAGTAGAGGGAAAAAGAGCAATTTGGAACAGACAATGAGAACAAGGAGGAAAATTATTCCACCTCCAGTTTCTATAAAACAAGAGGTATGGAGAAAACAATACACTAACACTTTTTCATTGAAATAGTCTCCTCAAAACAGAACCTGGGTTTAGAATGAAAAAAAGAAACGTATTGTTCAAAGAAGAGCTGCAAGGTGTAACAAATTTTGCTGATGACTGATTCTAATTTACAGATGGTTCAGTGTAAGCATTTTATTAGTTGACATGAGATAGTATATGAAATCAATAAATTCTATGTACAGAGTCCTATGGGAATTGGAATCCTAGGTGAAAGGGAGAATTGAGGTCCTTTTGGTGAATGACAGGGACAGATTTAAATGCCATAATGAGATTATACTTCATATTTCCAAGACAAAGAGTGACAGTGAGCCATGAATGTTGGAGGGGAGAGAAGAGTAGGTGTATTGGCCTGAAGCACTCAGTATTCACAGGATCCCACATGGCTCTTGTTGATGGGTATCAAGACTAACAAAAGTGAAGATCTTATTCCAAGACATTCACTTACTTTTGGTGATGGATATCTATAGTATCAAAGATCTGCTCTATCTGAGAATGGGAACCTCTCATTTGATTGCCACCAATGGAGGCTTACAGTCAGCTGATCTAACTTGGAATGAATGGCCATTCTCTTGACTTCTGCCAAGATATATAGTATTTCTCTGAGCTCTCCTCTAAGATACTTGCTGATATTTCCAACAACATTGATATGATTTGGGGATGTCCCCATCCAAATCTCATCTTGAACTGTAGCTCCCATAATTCCCTTGTGTCACTGGAGGGACCCAGTGGGAGGTAATTTAATCATGGTTGCGGGTCTTTCCCTTGCTGTTCTCATAATAGTGAAAATGTCTCACGAGATCTGATGGTTTTATAAAGGGGAGTTCCCTGCACATGTTGTCCTTGCCTGCTCCCATGTAAGACATGTGCTTCTCCTTTGCCTTCTGCCATGATTATGAGGCCTCCCCAGCCATGTGGAACTGTGAGTTCATTAAACCTCTTTCTTTTATAAATTAACCAGTCTTGGGTATGTCTTTTTTAGCAGTGTGAGAACAGCCTAATATAGTAAATTGGTACTGGGTAGTGGGGTGCTGCTATAAAGATAACCAAAGATGTGGAAGCGAGTTTGGAACTGGGGAACAGGCAGATATTGGAACAGTTTTGGGGGCTCAGAAGATAGAAAAATATGGGAAAATTTAGAACTTCCTAGAGACTTGGAGGGCTCAGAAAACAGGAAGATGTGGGAAAGGTTGGAACTTCCTAGAGGCTTGTTGAAGGGCTTTGACCAAAATGCTGGTAGTGATGTGAACAATGAAACCCAGGCTAAGGTGGTCTCAGATGGAGATGAAGAACTTGTTGGGAACTGGAGTAAAGATCACTCTTGCAAGGAAAAGAGATTGGTGGTGTTTTGCTCCTGCTATAGGGATTTGTGGAATTTTGAACTTCAGAGAGATGATTTAGAGTATCTGATAGAAGAAATTTCTAGCAGCAAAGTGTTCAAAGGGAAGCAGAGCATAAAAGTTTGGAAAATTTGCAGCCTGAAAGTGCAATAGAAAAAGAAAAACCCATTTTCTGGGGAGAAATTGAAGCTGGCTGCAGAAATTTCCATAGGTAACAAGGAGTTGAATGGTAATCACTAAGCCAATGAGGAAAATGTCTCCAAGACATGTCAGAGACCTTCATGGCAGTCCCTCTCATCACATGCCTGGAGACCTTCATGGCAGCCCCTCTCATCACATGCCTGGAGGCCTAGTGGGGAAAAATGGTTTTGTGTGCCAGGTCCAAGGACCCCCTGCTCTATTCACCCTTAGGCTATGGTTTCCTGTGTCCCAGCTGCTTCAGCTCTGGCCTCAGCTAAAAGAGGTCAATGTACAGCTCAGGCCATTGCTTCAGAGGGGGTAAGCCCCAAGTCTTGGCAGCTTCCACGTGGTGTTGGTTCCATAGGTGCACAGAAGTCAAGAATTGAGGTTTGGGAACCTCGGCCTAGATCTCAGAGTATGTATGGAAATGCATGGATGTCCAGGCAGAAGTTTGCTGCAGGAGCGGGGCCCTCATGGTGAACATCTGCTAGGGCAGTGTAGAAGGGAAATGTAGGATTGGAGCCTTCAGAGTGCCCACTGAGGCACTGCCTAGTGAAACTGTGAGAAGAGGGCCACCATCCTCCAGATCCCAGAATGATAGACCCACCAACAACTTGCACTATGTACCTGGAAAAGCCACAGACATTCAAAACCAACCCATGAAAATACCCTGCAAATTCACAGAGGTGGAGCTGCCCAAGACCATGAGAACCCACCTCTTGCATCAGCGTGACCTGGATGTGAGACATGGCATCAAAGGAGATTATTTTGGAGCTTTAAGATTTGACTGCCCCACTGGATTTTGGACTTGCATGGGACCTGTAGCCTGTTTTGACTAATTTCTCCCATTTAGAATAGCTGTGCTTACCCAATGCCTTTACCCCCATTTTATCTAGGAAGTGACTAACTTGCTTTTGATTTTACAGGCTCATAGGTGAAAGGCACTTACCTTGTCTCAGATGAGACTTTGGACTATGGCCTTTGAGTTAATGCTGAAGTGAGTTAAGACCTTCAGGACTGTTGGGAAGGCATGATTGGCTTTGAACTGTGAGGACATAAGATTTAGGATGGGCCAGCAGTGGAATGATATAGTTTGGCTGTATCCACACCCAAATCTCATTTTGAACTGTAGCTCCCATAATTCCCATGTGTTGTGGGAGAGACCCGGTAGGAGGTAATTGCATCATGGGGGCAGATTTTTCCCCTGCTGTTCTCATGATGGTGAAAAGGTCTCTCAAGATCTGATGGTTTTATAAAGGATAGTTCCCCTGTACACACTCTCTTTGTCTGCCACCATGTATGAAATGCATTTGCTTCTCCTTTGCCTTCTGCCATGATTGTGTGGCTTTCCCAGCCATATAGAACTGAGTCCATTAAACCTCTTTCCTTCATAAATTACTCAGTCTCAGGTATGTCTTTATTAGCAGTGTGAGAACAGACTAATACAAACATACTTCTAAATATACATATATCATATATGTAATAGCATGCACATATATACAGACACACACACAAATATACCCACACAGCCATATATACATATATACATATACTCTTTCTTTCTCTTTTTTTTTTTTTTTTTTTTTTGAGACAGAGTCTCGCCCTTTTGCCTGGGCTGGAGTGTAGTGGCACAATCTCGGCTCACTGCAAGCTCCGCCTCCCGGATTCACGCCATTCTCCTGCCTCAGCTTCCCAAGTAGCTGGGACTACAGGCGCCTGCCACCACGCCCGGCTAATTTTTTTGTATTTTTAGTGGAAATGGGGTTTCACCATGTTAGCCAGGATGGTCTCGATCTCCTGACCTCGTGATCCGCCCATCTCAGCCTCCCAAAGTGCTGGGATTACAGGCATGAGCCACCGCGCCGGGCCTTTCTTTCTCTTTAATATGATGCTATTTTTGTTTTGATGCCCGTCTTTCCCAAATTTAGTATGACAGGGTAGCCTATGCTGTCCAACTTATACCTTAAGATGGTAACACACAGAGATATATATATATATATATATACAGATATATATATATATATACATATATATATATATATACACACACAGAGAGAGAGAAAAAAGAGAGAAATAAATGTTATATTTTATAACAAGGGAAATGTAAATATTCCTAATGCATTTATTTAACTATACCTATTTATTGAGTTCCCACCGAATACACATTAATGGGTGCAGGGAAATAAAGACAGTTTTGTCTTATGGCAAACAAGACTGTTGGCATATTTTCCAATAAGAAAAACTAGAAAATGACATATATTAGAGGTCCCTAAATTAGGTTGGAAAGTCAGGAAAAAAACTCTATATTTCATAATTTATTTTATTATGCTAACATGCTTTTGAGTGGACTCTAGGAAACAGAATCATTTACAATAAATTCCTATTACTACATCTGAATACCAAAAGGAACTAAGGTACTAAAATTAAGTGGTTCTACTGGAAATAATTTTAGCAAATATGAATAATTTGCCATTGTGTCATCACCAATTCATTAAAGAGATGTTTTTTAAATATCATACTGTTTACAATAAAATGAATAAAAAGTATTTCTGCCCTCACAGTACTCACAGACTAATGAAAAAGCCAATCATGGAAACAAATAACTGAAATACTAAATGATAGGTACAGCCTATGAATAGATCCCCAGAAGAGAAATGCCTATTCACGCTGGAATGATGATAAAGGGAATTAGAGGGGATTTTCTCAAGAAGATGATTTCTGATTTATCTTTTAAATAACATTTAAAATTAGAAAGTCCTCCCTAGAAAAAACATGGACAAAATGAATACTACCTATTCCCTCTTTCTTTCTGTTTAATAATATGCTATTTTTGTTTAGGTGCCCATCTTTCCCAAATTTAGTCATGACAGGATAGTCTGCACTGCCCATCTTATACCTAAATATGGTAATTGCATCATAAATAATCATATTACTTAATTCCAACCAATGATACATGAGAAAAAATGTACAGGTGGCTACCTAAAGAAAATTTACTGACTCCTGAAGGAAAATAACAGCAAAATAAAGTAATTTTATATATATACATAATTATATTTATATATAGTTACATATTTATATAATAATTTATATTATCTTATAATTTAATATATAATATATATTTTATTTGATATACTATATAGTATATTATAATTATATACATTTTATATAATATAAAAATATATAATTCTATACATATATTACATTACTATATTTTGCTATGATTTTTCTTTTGGAGTCAGTAAATTTGTATAAATATAAATGTACAAATAAATACGGTCAGTGAATATATATGTGTATATATATACACATATGTGTGTGTGTGAATTTATAGATATATATGTATTGCTGTGTAGCATTGTAAACCTTGAATAGCTACTAGGCTGGATATAAAGCTGATACCTAATATGGCAGAGATGAAAAAGGAAAAGTTTTTGGATATTCATGACAAGTGCCTGGACATTGCTGTGCAGATTGAGTCAATCAAACCTGAAGTCTACCTTATGTTTGGACTATTCGTCTTTTCAATCCCCGAATTAGCTTTAATTCAGTAAATTCTTTAATAATTTCTGCCTAAATTATTCTTCAATAATTTCTGCCTAAAATTCCGAATTGTATTTGCAAATCAATTTTTAAACTATTTCTAATCGTATCTTTCTCACATGTTACATAAACTTTTATAAAATAAGCATAAACATATGGATACGTTTAAATATAACAATGAAATATTTCTGCTGGATTTTACATTAACAGTTTTGAACTGGGATATATCTTACATGATTTAAGGAAAAATGTACTTTACCATTTTTCACATATCAGTATTGGAGTACTTTCTTTGTATCTTCAATGGACTGTGAAAGTCCTAACAACTTGGGATGGCCACTTTACTGGTTGAGACACACTTCAGTGACCTGAAATCAATGCCCATTTGTCACCACTTCTTATCATTTGATCTTCCCACTTCCCATTGTCACATTGTTTGATTATGTAGCTAAGCATCAAAGCACTCCTTATTCAGTGTTCTTAGCTAGATTTTACAGCCCTGACTTTTGTGTTAAAAGAATCTTTAAAATCCAAGTCTACCAGTAGATTATGTAACATATCATGTGGCTTGACAATGTTTTCACTAATGCCTAGAAAACCATAACTATTTTTCTTTATTCAAAGATATGACCACAATGTACATACAAGTCATCATGCATGTATATGAAATTTGAAGCATGTTTCATTACTTCACATTAATGGGAAAATTTAATTATGGAGGCTGACAGGTGAACACATTAATATCCCTGTAAGGTGAACAATAGGCAGTTACAAATATTTCAATATCTGAGTGGAATCTGCAAAAATATTAAGTGTTTTTGAGAAAAGTGTTCTATGTTCCAACAAGTTTGGGAATATGCAGTGGGATATATAGAGGTCACGTCTTGATCTCTCAGCTTCCTTTAAGGCCCATTTCTCTTGCATCTGTGGCCAACCATATAACCACTGGGCCAACCATAGTACTGCTGGCATCAGTAATCATTTCATTGACAAGCACAACATCTAAGTGTGTCCAATTAGAGCTCTTCTCCGAGCACACCTTCTGATTCACCAATCACAGAGAATGAAAACCTACATATGTCAGTGGTCCTTTTGATACACACAGAGAGATCCCCTCTGTAGAATGTAGCCAACAGACAGAAATAAACAGATAAAGAAGTAAGAAAATGATAGGCATCAATGATGAAAAATTTACTCTTCCATCCAGACATCCCACAATTTCTCCTATGAGCACATTAATACACAATAAATTGCTTTATTAGAAAATGTAGAGTTTGTATTATTTAAAATTTTAAAAAGCTCTGGATATTTCAACATACTCCTATACCACATGATTTCACAGCAACTTTTTAAGGTTAATTTATATCAAGGATCTCCAAGAAGAATGGCCAAACTAATTTAACTATGAAATTTATTTTTCTTTTTCTGAGGTGATAAACACATGCTAGATTATGCAGTCTCACAGCTCTGAAAGTCAAGCCCTGCACTAGGCTAAGTTAGTCAAGAAAGAAGGTTATTAGGCATGTGCTTGTAAAATTGTCATTTAGATCCATATTTTTTCTTAATCATATATATATATATATATTTGAGACAGAGTCTCACTCTGTTGCTAATAAGCCAGCTCAATGAAAACACACACATACATATATACACCAAAACCAAAAATCACTATCTAGGTTTCTGATTTCCTCGATGTAGCCCTGGCTAATTTTAAACAACCAATATTAGTGTCTGACTGATGCCCTGGGAAGAGATGCTAACCATTGATTCTGTTTGGCTGGTACAAATTGACACATCACTCTTTAAACTCACTTTGCATGAAAGGTTTGCTCAATGTAACATGACCCTATCCTACAGACTGAGTTCAATTCATCTGACAAAAGGCACCAGGGAAACACCATCTTCTGTATTTGGTGGCTAGACAAAGGAATGTTTCCAAAGTAAACTCAGACAGGATTCTAAATGGTAAGAAAGCCAAGGGCTTACTAAATTTGTATGGCCTGTTCATATATTTGTGGAAGTATCACTACAATATTTTATCAGAATCACACATTTTTACCAATTCATTAATTTTACTAATTAAATTCCATTTCTAAAATCAAACTTTCTAATTAACAAACTTTTAATTTACTCCATAAAAATCTATTTTGAAAACTGATTAATTAAGAACATGTCTGGGGCTGCTCAGTGACAAATATAGCTAAATTATGAAATGTGGACTTCTCTTTGGATAATAATTTTAAATAACAGTAACTGACAACTCCCTGAATATAGACAAAAACACACTAGCACATGTATGACAATAATTGACATACTAAATAATAGTGACTGCCTCTAGATGTAAAATAAATTTGAATAGTCTAAGTCAATGACAATAGTGATCATTGTTGTGAATCATAATTTGTCCCAGTTGGAGCCAATGAGGAAATGTCTATCATAGGAGAGCTGAAAAAACCACGAAAGACAGATATTCAATTTTCTGTTGTATGTTACACTTCTAACTGGATGTCAGGAATTATAATAACCAAATTGTGCCTATCATGGCAGCTAAATTAATGGGAAAACTCAAAGTGCTGTGGACTGTACAGCAGAAATATGAAAAGAATCTGTGCATTTAATTATGTTATTAGCACAGAATTAGAAACACTAAGAACTTTCCTAATGTATGTTTTTATATAAGATAATACATTTACATAATTTTAAAATCATATTTATTTACTTGTCTGTAACCTGGCTAGAAGACATCCTACCCTATATAAATGTGTGTCTGTATCTGAAGAGCCTGATTGATTAGCATGTTTTCTCAGGCATCAACAAAAATCTACCCATTATTTAGAAGATTCTAAATAATTCTCATTGCAGAATGAGTAGATATAAGAAATAGAATGATCTCTATTGTTTGCATAAGAATTCTTTTGATGATATATGATCATATATCAAAATTTAAAATAACATATATCTCTAAACATATATGCATAAAAATAAGATTAATACTAAGAAAGAAAAACAAAACAAAAAAACATATTTGGTAAACCCAAACCATACTTTTGGCATATTTCTTACACTGTGGCTAGAATATTGATATTTTTCACCATATTTAAAAATTATTGTATACTCAAGACAAATACTTATTAGCTGCCTGGATGTGGTATTTATGATAGTTTTGGTTTGAAAAGCAATCTTGGGGGAATATGTTATTACATTTTTTAATTAAACTGGAGCAAAAATGTTTATAGTTATTCAATTTTATTAATTTTATTTTTAAAAACAAAACATAAATAGTATGTTCCTATTACAGTTGAATCCTGGAGATGTTGGAAAGAACTAAATCACAAACTTTAAAAATCATAATCTTTTTAGTTTTTTCACAATGTCAAACATACTTTTGAAACTTTTTTTTGTGTAAGTTCATTTTGATATGTTTTGGCAAAGTTCTTCCTTGTGATAAACAATGGCAAATAGTACTCTTAAAACTTACGAGATTAGAGCAAAACATGGTTAACAAAAATAAATCAGGAAAATAATATTACCGATAGAGATCTGCAATAACCTCTGAGAATATGAAGCTTATCCAAATTCTGTACCCAAAAAAGAGATACATACATTTCAAATAGATAAGAAGTGATGTTGTGGCTGCCACAACAGGAATAAAGAGTCATGTAAGCTATGAACATTCCTGGTTTTCTGGGTCTTTCCACACTCTAACCCCATACCCGCCAACAAACAAACAAACCAAAAATCCACATTGAAGGAAGACTACAAAGAAATATCAAAGAGAACAGAATTTCTTCCAGTTCCCTGTGGTAACTACTCTCTCACCATGACCTCCAACAATTTTCTTCCTCTGTGTCCATATATACATTTCTCACAGCAACAGGTGGACGTTATTTCATCTGCTCTTGAATCTGTGCAGGCCTTATGATTGGCCTTAATAATGAAATGTGTCACAGTATGGGACTTTCCATTCCAGCCTTAAAAGGACTGCCAGTTTTCACTTTATGCCTCTTAGAACTCAGTCATCACTCTGAGAGAAGCTCAAACCACATATAGAGGCCAAGCAGTTAAGGACAGAGGTGTTTCATTTGACAGCCCCAGTTGAGACTCTGCACTAACTGTCTGCACCAACAACCAGCTGTGTGAATGAGCCATTATGGACATTCCAGCCAAGCCACTTAGTTTACTGCAGAACACAGAATCCTCACAGAATCATGAAAAATAATAAAATTGCTACTCTTTAATCCACTAAATCCTGTGTTTGTAAAATATATACAGCCATAGTTAACTGAGAAAATCTTCCAGACCCACCTCCTATCAGCATTCATGAGTTTCAACTTTGAGAATCATCAGTCTTAAAATTTGAATTGACCTGCTTTTGTATTCCTACAATCTAACTGAAGACACTTGTGTAGTTAAATAAAAGAAATAAGATGATATTTGAAAGACACTGAGAAGGGAACTTGGCAAACTGCGATACATGACAATGATATCTCTCTCAATATCTTTGTAGTGTATGGAAACATTACAAATAATGGACTTTCCATTATTTGGCAGTGTTATTTGTAAATACAGGATGCTTTGTGCATATATTAAATTTGTATCTTGTAGAGATTTCAGATGTTGAGAACAGAAAATCTGAAGGGATTTTTGAAAAACAATAAATACTATAAGATTAAATAAAATTAAAATTGGCTTACAAAGAGAAAAAGCCACAGATGTACTTGATAAGCTCCGAGAGACCGAGATTTTGAAGGGCATTGTAAACTCAACTAATAACTTTAGATATTTTTATACAGGTATTAGCCATTTTAGTGTTTCAAGTAGGCGGTTGTCATATTTGAGCCTGAGGGGAAAGAATGTTTTGTAAGACTAATGGTATTAAAGTGAAATATAGCCCTTCCACTTATGTTCATAAGAAAGTAACAGGGTCTGAAATTACTTTTCTGACACAAATGCCTGGAAAAAATTGATCAAGTATGTGACTATATATATATATGTATATATATCGAGAGAAAAAGAGAGTAAATATTGTTTTCTTACACAAAAAAGTTATAAGTATTTTAGTTAATACATATGCTATTTGTTTGATCTAGCCATTCCACAATATATACTACATCTTCATATCGTATACCTTAAATATATAAAATTTTGTGTGTCGATTTTTTAAAAATGTAAAAAAAAAAACCAGCAATTTGCAGATATCAGGTAACAAGCAGCACTAGAATAGTATTTTCTAAAATAAGGAACATACTGAATTGAGCTCTACCATTGCCAAGACTTTCTGCCTGGAGCCAGTTTTCAGTACATGATATAGGGAAATAGAACCTGGCATGCTCACTGAATGAAAGAGACAGCAATTTGAGTTCAGGGAAGCTGAACTGACTAGAATTTACAGGGTACAATTCCAGAGAGGAGAGAGCCAGGGGGAGAAGGAATTTCATAATTTGCATAGGGTTTTCTGTGAGTCTTTGGCTATATGCCAACCTGCACATGCATTGGCCAGAAGTCCATGAGACTGGGCAAAAAATTGCAAGAAAAAAAGAAAAGAAAAGAAAAGAAAAAGAAGGGAGGGAGGGAGGGAGGGAAGGAGGAAGGAAGGAAGGAAGGAAGGAAGGAAGGAAGGAAGGAAGGAAGGAAGGAAGGAAAGAAGGAAGGAGAAGGAGGAGGAGAAAGAAAGAAGAAAGAGAGAGAGAGAAAGAAAGAGAAAGGAAAGAAAGAGAAAGAAAGAAGAAGAAAGAAAGAAAGAAAGAAAGAAAGAAAGAAAGAAAAAGAAAGAGAAAGAAAAGGAAAGAAAGAAAGGAAGGAGGGAGGGATGGAGGGAAGAAGGAAGGAAGGGAGGAAGGAAGACAGGAAGGCAGGAAGGAAGGGAAGGTGGAAAAAAAGGAAGAAAGAAAGGAAAGGAAGGACAAGAGTAAGGGAAAGGGAAAGGAAAAAGTAAAGGCAAACGAGGAAACCATAAGACAATTACCAGAGCATTGGATTGGCATAAAAACAGACACACAGACCAATGGAACAGAATAGAGAACTCAGAAACAAATTCACACACCTACAGTGAACTCATTTTTATATAAAAGTGCCAAGAATATACACCGGGGAAAAGACAGTCTCTTCAATAAATGGTGTTGGGAAAACTGTATATCCATATGAAGAAGAATGAAAGCAGACCCATATCTCTGGCCATATACAAAAATCAAATCAAAATGGATTAAATATTTAAATTGAAGACCCCAAACCATGAAACTCCTATAAGAAAACATTGAAGAACATTTCCAGGACATTGGTCTGGGAAAAATTTCTTGAGTAATACCCCAAAAGCCCAAGCAATCAAAGCAAAAATGGACAAATGGGATCACATCAAGTTAAAAAGCTTCTGCACAGCAAAGAAAGCAATCAACAGATTGAAGGTACAACCCACAGAATGGAAGAAAACATCTGCGAAATACCCATCTGACAAAGGATTAATAACCAGAATATATAAGGAACTCTAACAACTCTATAGGAAAAAATCTAATAATTCAATCAAAAGATGGGCAAAAGATTTGAATAGACATTTCTCAAAAGAAGACATTCAAATGGCAAACAGGCATATTAAAGGTGCTTGCGGGGCACGATGGTTCATGCCTGTAATCCCAGAAATTTGGGAGGCTGAGGCGGGCAGATAACCTGAGGTCGGGAGTTCCAGACCAGCCTGATCAACATGGAGAAACCATATCTCTATTAAAAATACAAAATTACCCGGGTGTGGTGGCACATGTCTATAATCTCAGCTACTCGGGGGGCTGAGGCAGGAGAATTGCTTGAACTCGGGAGGCGGAGGTTGCAGTGAGCCGAGATCACGCCATTGCACTCCAGCCTGGGCAACAAGAGCAAAACTCCATCTCAAAAAAAAAAAAAAATATATATATATATATATATATATTTGGGCGTGGAGGTGTGTGCCTGTAATCCCAGTTACTCGGGGGCTGAGGCAGGAGAATCACTTGAACCCAGGAGCTAAGATTGGGCCACTGCACTCCAGCCTGGCGTTCTGTCTCAAAAAAAAAAAAAAAAAAAAAAGAAAAGAAAACGTGCTCGACGTCATTGATCATCAGATAAATGCCAATCAAAAGTATAATGAGATATTATCTTACCCCTGTTAAAATGGCTTATATCAAAAGACAGGCAATAACAAATGCTCTCAAGGATGTGGAGTTAAGGCAGCCCTTGTTCACTGTTGCTGAGAATGTAAATTAGTACAACCACTACAGAGAACAGTTTGAAGGTTCCTCAAAAAATCTAAAAATAAAGTTACCATGTTATGCAGCAATCCTAGTGTTGCCGATATAATCGAAAGAAGGAAATCAGCATATTGAAGAGATATCTTCACTCCTATGTTTGTTGCAGCACTGTTTACCATAGCTAAGATTTAGAAGCAACCTAAGTTTCCATCGACAGATGAATTAATTTTTAAAAACATGCTACATATTCACAGTGGAGTACTAATGAACCATAAAAAAGAATGAGATCCAATCAATTGCAACAACATAACAAAATGAATGGAACTGGAGATCATTATGTTAAGTGAAATAAGACAGGCACAGAAAGACAAACGTATGTTCTCACTTATTTATGGAATCTAAAAATTAAAACAAACTCACGGACATAGAGAGTAGAAGGATGGTTACCAGGGACTGGGAAGACTAGTAGGGCACTGTGGGAGAGGTGGGGATGGTTAATGGGTATAGAAAAAATAGAAAGAATGAATAAGACCCACTATTTGATAGCACAACAGGTTGACTATAGTCAATAATTACTTAACAGTACTTTTTTTTAATAACTTAAGAGTGTAATTGTATTGTTTGCAACTCAATGGATAAATGCTTAAGGGAATGGATACTCCGTTGTTTATGATGCACTTACTTCACATTGCATGCCTGTATCATATACCCCACAAATATATACATTTACTATATACCCACAGAAAATAAATATTAAACAATTAAAATTAACTGAAAATAACAAAACACAAAACATAAATTTCAAACAAAACAAAAACCTAGTAAAAAAAATGCTTTGCTATGAACTATCAGCTAGAAAGAGAATAGGCCCAGCATGTACAAGTTTTTGGGTTCCCTGGGTCACATTGGAAGAAGAATTGACTTGGGCCACACATAAAATGCACTAACACTAACACTAGCTGATGAGCTAAAAATAAAATAAAATAAAATAAAAATCTACACATAATTTTCGTGATATCTGCCACCACAGATAAGCAAATATGTCCTTGCATTCAAAGGGTTGGACAAGCTAAGCTATCGTAAGTGTAAAAACCTGAGTTACAAAGCATATATGCCAAAAAGAAAAAAAGAAAGAAAGAAAAGACAACGTGTTTCTGTGATGGTTAATTTCATGACTCTACGTGACTCAGTGAAGGATTACCAAGATAGCTGGTAAGACATTATTTCTGGGTGTGTCTGTGAGGATATTTCCAGAAGATAATAGCATTTGAATCAGTAGGCACAATAAAAAAGATTCTTCCTCACCAATGTGGTTGCTCATCATCCAGTCCATTGAAATTCTACCCAAATAGAACAAGCAGGAAGAAAACAAGAGAATTCTGTCCATTTTCTTAAGCTGGGATATCCATCTTCTCCTGTCCTTGGACATTGAATCTCATGTTTAACTTCAGACTGGGAGCCTTCACTAAGCCATTTAACTTCAGACTGGCTTTCAGTCTGAAGTTAACCATGCAGATTGTAATTCCTAGAGTCTGAAGGGCCGAGAACCATATATATTGATTATCTTTCTCTGGAGAACCTAAACTAACACAGTTTTTTAATGTTCTTTAGAGCTGGAGAACTCAGAAATAGCCAACAGATATTCATCTTTAAATGGAGGGGTCCCCAATATATGTATAAAGTTTAATGGCATGCTTTGAGAATAGCAACCAAAACTAGGAACAACCTTTATAGTCTCCAATTTACTGACAAATGAAGAGACCACTGGAAATTCAGTGAGTTTTAGGATGCTTTTATTTCATAAACTCTGGCAATTTACTACTGAAATTTCCTTCTATTTTAATATACAACTTGACATTTCAACAGTATAAAATTTGAGAAAGTCAAATCCAAATTGAATAGAACAGGAAATTTGGGTACAACAACAAAAGGTCTGAATAAAAGTTGAAGGAGGCCAGGTGCGGTGGCTCATGCCTGTAATCTCAGCACTTTAGGAGGTTAAGGCAGGTGTATCACTTGAGGTCAGGAATTCAAGACCAGCCTGTCCAACATGGTGAAACCCTATCTGTACTGAAAAATACAAAAAAAATTAGCTGGGCATGGTGGTGTGCTCCTGTACTTCCAGCTACTGTGGTGGCTGAGGCAAGAGAATTGCTTGAACCCAGGAGGCAGAGGTTGCAGTGAGCTGAAATCATGCCACTGCATTCCAGCCTGGGTGACAGAGAGACTCTGTCTCAAAAAAAAAAAAAAAAAAAAAAAAATTTGAAGGAGAACACAGGATTGGCATGTTTTATAAAATTAAGTAAGTTCAAATGTTATAACACTTGTAACAAGAAAAAAAGAAGCCCTAGAGATTCAGTCTCAAAACCTCTTATTCCTACACAGCAACTACCTCCTATAGAAATATGTACCTCACCTAAATATAAGACAGAGAAAATGATTAAAATCAAACTTTATATTAATACAAAAGGAAATATAAAACAGAATAATTGTTTTACAAACAAGAATTCCCATGGAAAATATGTACTCACAAAACATAAAACTGTAAACTAACATTTTGAAAATATTTAAATTTAAAAAAAACTTTAATCTGTATGTATTAGAATTTTTAAAACTCAGAAATGAGATGATTTGACAAAGAAAGACATGAGAACAGAGCATACAGAGACCAACAAAAAAATGGAAGTGAAAGAGAAAAATCAGTTTAGAAATACAGTTTGAAATATGAGGAGAACAAGAGTAACTAACATAACACAAAATAGCATATCAAAAATCTAGGATAAAAATGTAGGAAAAACCCACATTTAAAATGAGATTAAAATAACTGTGAGAAAGTAGTAAATATAGAGGATTAAAAAAGAGGAACCAACATATGTATAATAAGAAGCTGTAAATAGGAAAACCAAAGCTAGAGAACAATGTGAAAGGAAAATCTTGGGACCCTAAAATCACTAAGCCAAAGGGAGAAGTCAAGTTGGGAACTGTGTAAAGCAAACCTGCCTCCCATTCTATTTTTAAATAAGACAGATACAGAGATTTTTAAAAATAATAATAAAGCTACAAAACCTCCCTCACAACTTGCCCACAAAGAAGTTCCTTGTGGACAAAGGACAGGCAGAATTCAAAGTAATCCCTCTGCTCATGTGAGATAAATACATATCAAATTATTTCTTTTGCCCTATTGTTTCACTAAGCCAGACTAAGGCATAAGTGACTATTTTTGTAGATTGTGCATTCAGCAAAAGGCTAATCAGAAACTCAAAGGAATATGTTTGTCTCTTATCTTCCTATGACCTGGAAGCCCCCTCCCTGCTTCAAGTTGTCCCACCTTCCTGGACCTAACCAATGTAAATCTTATATATATATTGATTGATGTGTCATGTCACCCGAAAACGTATAAAACCAGCTGTGCCCCAACCACCTTGGGTACATGTCTTCAGGACTTCCTGAGGCTGTGTCACAAGTATGTTCCTAACCTTAGCAAAATAAACTTTCTAAATTGATTGAGATCTGTCTCAGATACTTTTTGGCTTACAATAAGTATGCAGTCATATACTGTTGTATGTTTAAGAGAACTTGGTCCTTTGGAATAACTGCTTTGTAACCTAAATTTAAGATATGTAAGGCAGTAGCTGATTTAACATTCTAATTTGTCTTAAAGTCTTTTAAAATATATTCATGGTTCTGCAACATTTAAGAGAATTTTAGGTTCACTGTAGTTGTAAATTATATGTATTTATATTTATAAAAGTTATTTAAGTACTCAGAAAATTATTTTATCTGAAAATTAAATTCTGAAGAATAATTCAAATAAATATGCAGGTTCTCTCTACATATTTAAAAAGAAGTTTTGAATTTAATTTACAGGTGAGAATAGAATTATTCAAAGTTTATTAAAATATGCCTGACTCATGCATACTCTGCTAAGATTTGCAAGCTGAATGTAAAAACCTACAAAAGAAGTCAAGTTTTGAAACGGAAACTTTAAAATTCCTGAATAGACTCTCTACATTCAAAAACAACCCTTATGACAACAAAAACTTACATCACAATTAGCTTAGGAGACTTTAGTTCTTGAGACATAATTTCACCCAAGAACTTATAGATGTGACTTGTCCAGGAGGGTTTCTAGGAGGGCAGTCACTTATCTTTGTAGTTAAAATAAGAAAAAGGGTACTTGTGCATTATAGAAGTTTTCTCCCGCTGCCTTTGCTATAATTTCCTATAGTAAGTTGTTCTGAGAAAAATACATACCGCTTAGGAGAAGGACCTCAGCTATAACTTTCATTTTGCACTGTAGAGGTAGTACAGTACTAAAAGGGAAAGCAAAGTTCAGAATATTTAGGCCAGAGGCTCTGAGCCTGCCTCATTAGCACTTCAACTGATCACTCTAGAGGAATGAGCATCAATTTGAATGATGTGTGCAGTGCCCTCTTCTCTGGGAGCAGCTGTTCCACTTTCCCTTTTTATGAACTACTTACATGAAAGAGACAACTACTTCTTCAAGAGATGCCCTGATTGGAGGAATAAGAGCATAATCCCACAGCACCAAGCCTGTGAGTGAGGAGTGATCATTTACTTTTAAAAAAGTGGGCTATATTCTCACAAACACACACATCGCCACATAGACACTAGTATTCCAATATACAAACCTGCATATTTTCCTTAATCCAGGAAGTATAATGTTGAATCACAAAATAATGGACTTTACATTTAAAGAAAAAACAAAGGGAAACAATTTAGAATGTTAAACCTGCGGGAAATTTCAGAGGTTATGATCTGTGCTCTCTCATTTCAGTGTCTGTAACACAAAATACATTAAATAAACTTCCCAATTTTACAACTAACACCTTATGAGTCTAAGAAAGACATGTTTGGCTTCCAGTTCAGTGTTTATTTTACTTAATAATTATAGAACCAACATTAGATTTTTCTGTGAATACACACAAATTAGATGACACATAATATTTACTATTCTACTGGCTTTACTCTTAGGAATCCTCTTTGGAGCATGTTTGTAGAAACTATATACCATAACTGTCAATTTCTTCCTCTTATTTAAGGAGATGCATGTTTCCATTAACTTTACAAATAACTTATGAGATACTCTGGCTTACTTTCCTATTTTATATATCCTTTTCCTCATTAAATTTATCCTAACATAAGTAATTTGAAGTTGGGAGCCAACTGATAAGTGTGCATGAGAGATGGAAATATTGAACTTAACATAAAAAACTTGGAACTTATCCAAAGCAAGAAAGCATGATTCCTGTGCTGTCTTCTGTACCTCTAGGGGAAAATCCTACTCTTGCTTCCAAATCTCTTCCTCCAGACAGAAAGAACTGGGTAATAATCCAACTTGAGCCAGGTTTTCCATCATTCAGTTGATTTCCCCTTCTGAAAGGATGTACATCTGGCTCATAACAGTTTGACGTACTGTGTCAAGAGCACAATGGGATTTCAAAGCAGGTTGGCCATAGGCTTCTCAAAATAACAGACAAGGGCAAAGAGCTTTGTTCTTTTCACAAAAGAACCACTGTCGTCACTCTCCATCCTATAAAGCAATTCCTGCAGGAGCTTGTTACAAGTGATTTTTCTTGAATTTGTGACCTTTAAATTTATGTGTGGCTGTGCACCAAGAAAGGCTGTTCTCATAAGATACAGTGAGTGAAATATTTAAGGCCCTTGGTTGTCTGAGAAGACTGCATATGGAAGGTCATGAATTGCTTGGATTTTTTTGGCAATGCTGTTTTAATCAAGTGTAGTTCTTTATTCAATTTGCAAGCAAACACTCATAGAGGAGATATATAATCTTCCGTTTAAACAAGCTGGAGATTCGAAAGAGTTGGACCACGAAACCCATTTTAGGACTCTAGAGCCTTTTTCATAAGAAAAAAACTGTTACAGGAATCCCAATGAGGCTCCTCAGTACATCAGTTTCATATTTTGGAATGCAAAAATACAAGCAGAAAAATTAAAATTCAAAGTAAAATTAAACAAAGGCAAAAATGGTACTCTTAGGAGACCAGAAGAGTCAGTAGGGAGTTTCTTTATTTCAGATGTTTTGCATTTTCTCAGAGTAGAATTGCTCATCATAAGCTGTATAAATTGGACTTTTAATGTTTGAACTTTATGTTACCCAACTGCTTTCCAGGAATATCTGTTTTGTTTTTGAAGATCGGTAGACTCTTTTCCTCCCACTGTCTTTTCTCCAGTCCCTTCTCACTCTCTTCATTACAGCATCAAACACAAGATTTTTGAAAGTCGATTTTCTAAGTACTTCTCTCTCTCAATTTGCTAAGACTGCCATAACAAAATACCAAAGACTGAAGGCTAGAAGGACAAGATCAAGGTGTCAGCAGATCTGGTTTCTTCTGAGACCTTTCTCCTTGACTTGCAGATCATTGCCTTCTAGCTGTGTACCCAGATGATTTTTTTTCTCTTTGTGTATATAATCTGGTGTCTTCTGTGTGTCCAATCTTCTTCTTTTTTACAAGGACACTACTCACGTAAAATTAGGGCCCATCCGAATGGCCTAATTTTAACTTACTTTAAATATTGTTGGGTACTGGGATCAACACATTTTTTGATCACATTTTTTGATCACATTTTTTTGACACGAATTTTGAGGGATATACAATTTAGCCCATAGCATGCTCCATCAATATATTCTAGCATACTTAAATGAATAAAAGACAGTTATTTCCTTTTATTATTCCTACTAGTTCACAGAGATACAATTAATATTTGCAATAATTACTTCAGTTTACAAATCTAACTATAGTAAATATTACATTCCCTAACCCCACTTTTAATATAGTGTTGAATTTTCATCTTATTTTTATACAAATATCAAGACCTTTATATATACACGCACGCACATATATATGCACACAAGTACGTATATATTTACATGTATGATATTTTATTTTAAAAAATTCCAATTATACCTCTTTTTTAAAACTTGGCATGTGCTTATTTTTTTCCATATTGCACATGACAAATCTTGTGTGAGAAAGTTGAATAAAAGCCATGATAATAAATATCTTGACCTCATTCCTATCTCAGGGAGAAAGCCATATTTCATCATTAAGTGTGATGTTTTTTATAGTATTTTTTAATTACTTTTATCAGACTAAGGGAGCTTTTTATTTTTAGTTTAATGCTAGAATTTGTTATAAATGATTAGTGAAATTATATTGAGTGCTTTTGTTCTATCAATTGAGATGATGATATAAATGATCTTTTCTCTTCTATTAATATAGGATTTGAACTGACATTTGGATGTTAAACCTATTTTACATTTTGGAATTAGCACCATTTCTTGTAATGTATTATCCTTGCCAGAGCATATGATTATTTACAATACCTATGTTTGCTTAGGAAATTTGTTATCATTGTAAGTATGATTATAATATTGTCATATTTTGGTATCAAAGTTATGCTACTATCATAAATTTTTTGGACTATGCTCTCTTCTTAGTTATTTTCTACAAGAAAGTTATTTATCCATTACTTAAATGTTGGAAAGATTTCATTAATAATGAAAATCATCTATGCTTGCACTTTTCTTTGTGGAAAAAATGTTTAATTCCAGAGTTTAAATTAAATAGATATAAATTCAATGTAATATATATTTCTCTTTTGTTAGATTTAGTAAATTTGGTGATTTGTTTGATTTATCCAAATTTATCTAAACTTTAAATGTTGTCCCTTAGTACCCTCCTACTATCTTTTAAAATTACTAGTGTCTGTAGGTTATTTTCAATTAATGTCTAATGTTGGTTTTTTGCATGACCTTTTTTCTTATTTAGTCTTGTCATGTATTTATTCATTACGCTGATCTTTTTCCAAAAACATCTTTTTGTCTTTGTTGACATCTTCTATTAAATGGTAGTTTTATATTTTATTAATTTTGTATCATATTTATTTTTTTCATTATTTTAATCTCACATTATCTTATTTCACTGATCCTTTAGTAATTTCTTGAGATAGACCAGGATTAGCAAACTTTTTCTATAAGGACAACATAGTAAATATTTTAGTCTCTATGGTCCATACAGTCTCTGTCTAAACTTTTAAACTCTGCAATTGTAGTGTGAAGATAGCCATAGACAGATGAACAAGTGGTTGTGTTTCCATAAAACTGTATTTTTATAAAGAGCAGTGAACCATATTTGCTTGCGGGCCTTGATTTCCCAACTCTGTAGCAGATCATTCCTATTTAGGCTTTCTTATTTTAAAATATAATTTCCCGTTATTTCTTGTTTAACAGCATCTGATAAACTTGATTTATAGTGTTTTTAAAATCATTTATCATACAACGTATTTTAAATTCCTTTGTTATTTATTCTTTGTCCCATTGGCTACTTATAAATTTATTTCCTAATTTTCAATCATCTAGAGATTTTCAAGTGTTTTATTCTTTTTTTAAAAAAATCTAGTTAAATTTTATTATACTCTGATACCATATTCAACATGATTTCAGTTATTTGAAATGATACAGCATATCAATATGAATTTGTGGAATTTTTGTATACCTTAATCAGATTTGCATTCTGAAGTGATTATGTGCTGCATTTTGTATGTGTCTACAAAGTCTATTTTATAATTATGTTCAATTTTCTATATCATTACTTTTTTTTGCTTGTCAATCACTTACTAAAAGTATTGTAATAAAATATCCCATTGTGAGTAAAGATTTGTCTATTCTTATATATGTTCAGTCAATTTTATATTTACATATTTTAGGGTCATTATATCAGTTTTCCCAAATTTGGAATAATTACATCTTCCTGGCAGATTTATTCTTTTATCTTTATGAAATGTCCCTTTTTCTGGATTAATAATTCTTGTCTTAAAAATCAATCTTGCCTAATATTTACATAGCTATACTTATTTTGAATAATATTTGCAGGGTATAACTTTTCCATCTTTTGTTTTTAATATATCTGTTTTACTGTATTTAAGATATCATGTATTAAGCAGTGTATTTTTTATTATGTTTTATCAAAGGTTTTCAATTTTATCTTTTAATAGAATGTTTATTGCATTGATGTTTAATTATAAAACTGACAAATTGAGGTCCTAACTTGCCAATTCAATATCGGCTTTCCGTTTTATTATTTTATTCTATTTTTATTTCAATTTTCTTCTCTAGTAGTTTATAAATTGAATATTGTAGGACTTTCAGTAGTTTTCATACAGAAAATACCACGAGTCACTGATAGTCTAATGTAAGTGCTTTTACATCTCAGAGAGTGCAAAGATCTTACAATGCTTTAAATCCATTTATTTCTCATCATATTATAAATTTTGCCTGTTGTTTATTTAAATTTGGGCATGTTTGGGACATTACATGATCTATTATTGCAATTTTTAAATAATCAACAGTAATGGCGATTTGCTAGTATATTTCATTTTCATTTCTTCCTTCCTGAATCTCGAGACTGCCATCTGACACTATTTTTCTTTTTTCTGCTGGAAAACCATTAGTATTTCATTTAGTATGTGAGTACTATTGCCAGTTTTTGACAGGTTATTTTCTTGGTAATAGAATTATTAATTTGCAGTTTTCTTTTGTCATAGTATAGTTACTCCATATTCTTCTTGATTCCACTATATCTGTGAGACACCTGTTGTCTATAGTATTTTTATTGTCTTTATTCTATGGCAGTGTTTAAGATTTCCTCTTGGTTGTCTATGGTTTTCAGCAATTTTACTATGCTATGTGTGGTTTTCTTTTTCTCATAAGACATTTGAGTAATTGATATTCTTGGAACAGTGTCTTCAATTTTTGCCAGCTTTGGAAACTCTAAGATTGTCTTTTCAAAAATTGTTTCCACTCTATTTTTTCTTTTATCTAATATTTTAATTATGCATGTTTGACTTACTAATCTATGTTTCAAAAAAATTCTTTATTTTGTCTTTTTATGTTTGAGTTTCTGTTGAAATATTTTCTTCTTACTATTTCAGAATTTTTCTCATATGTTTCTTTTCTATAGGTCAATATATCTATTGCCTTTTTAACACATTCAAAGAGCATACCTCCTATTTTTCAGCCAAGTCTTATACGTCTTGTGTGTTTTCGTTTGTTAGTTTCCATAGTATGTTGGAAATTAGGTATAAGTCTGTCTATAAAGATCACTCTAAGTCAATCCATTATTTAATGATTCAAACATGGGTTTCTTTGCCTATGAAGGTGGTCTTATCCTGGTTGCTCTTACTCCAACATGTGATTTTAAGGGTCCAAAATGAAAGCATTGCGACATTTACTACAGTCTCCATTTTTTGAGAGGTCCTGAATTTCCATTTTACTTTCATTCCTAATGAGTTTGATAAATGCCCAGCTTATTAGTTGAGCTCATAAACCACAGCTTTTAAAATGAAAATACTTCAAAGAAAAAGTAATGCCTAGTTCTGGGCTTACATCTCAGAGCTTTATTTATTTCCTGGGTTTTTGGACCATCAAGAATTTGCTGCTTATGCTATCCCTGATACCCATAGACAGACACATTAATTTATTTAAAATTTAGTTTTCCAGATTTTCCAGTTATTCTAAGTAAAAGAGATGGTCTAAAAATGCTACTTATTGGCCAGTTGCAGTGGCTCACACCTGCAATCCCAGCACTTTGGGAGGTTGAGGCGGGAGGATCACTTGAGGTCAGGAGTTTGAGACTAGCATGGCCAACATGCTGAAACCTCATCTCTACTTAAAAAATACAAAAATTAGCCAGGCGTGGTGGCATGCGTCTGTAATTCCAGCTACTCAGGATGCTGAGGCAGGAGAATCGCTTGAATCCGGGAAGTGGCGGTTGTAGTGAGCCAAGATGGTGCCACTGCACTCTAGCCTGGGTGACAAAGCAAGGCTCCAACTCAATTAAAAAAAAAAAAATGCCACTCATCTATTGATGGAAGTAAACATTTGGCTTCCAATTTTCTACAAAATTAATTACAGAAAGACCCAAAAGCACTTTGTTACTCAATGATGTGAAGAAAATACTGGTCTTCATGTTTAAACAAGAGTATATATCACATGCTTGTAAGAACAAAAGCAGCTAAAGCCATCTACAACTTTTTCAGGTCAATTTTCTGTGTGTGTGTTTATGTAGGTATGTATGAATGTATGCAGTTACATGAGATGCTGTAGTTTTTATATCCAATGAATTCCAGAAGTGAAGATGTGTGCTATATTTTCAGAGGTTAGAATTTGATATGGATCTCTTCCATTTATTTTGTCAAATATAGTATAACAACAATGGAAGAAGAAAATAAAAATAATAACTTCTTCAAATAATTTATAAGAATAAAACTTTCCTAATAATGTCTTGGTCTGAATAATTTAAGGAAACTGTTTTCTTCTCATATATGACAAACAACCACCCCTAAAATCATAAAATACAAGTAGAATTAATTTGGATGTGACTTTGCATTACATATACAGGTATTAGTTCAATATTACGTAAGTATTACTGTTAATGTGACTGCATATTTATTCGCAGATTTGAGAACCCTGGAATTCCACCTGGCATGATATTATAAGGAAGAAAAATTTCTGACACCTTGAACTTGCTATATAGTGTTATACTCATATTCATTCTAGTATTTTGAAATTGAATTAATCAGCAGATTATTATATTCTCATTGAATAAGAAGATACCGTTGAGGGTTAAGAATTTGAAACTGTTTTACAAAACAACAACAACAAAATATAGTTATAACATAGCATAGAAGCATATATTTTAAAAATTTAAAGCAAATTATTTGAAAAAAATTATGTTTACAAATTAAAGTCACTCTCACAGGCTTCAAGACTATACATAGATCCTCCTCTGCCATGCATTAGAAGATAAGGACACTGTGTACTAAATAACTTTTCCCTATAGTGGTGAAATTGGCTTAAGAATTAGGTAATTTTAAACTGAATTTCAGTTTAGATTTATTTTAAAACAAACGTGGTTCACAGGAGAAGGTATTTTTTTTTGGTCACTGAGGCTAACAGACAATAAATAGTTTATTGCCTCAAAGAACTGCTAACAAAGCAAAGATACTTATCTCTTTCTTTACTTCTTTCAATCATTCTATAGTTTTTACATGTGATGATATCCTTCTTTCTCTGTTTGAAGAACTAGCCGTGATACACAGATGAGAGAGAGAAAGAGAGAGAGAGAGAATTAATTGATAGATAGTTAGAAATGCAAATCCTCTAGTTCAAAAAGTGCTAGAAGTGGGTCCAAGTTTCTACAAAGTAGCTTCAATATCTAACTGCTTAAGATACTCCTTTAAACAGCTATGAATAAACATATAAAGCTAATAATTCTCTTAAAGTTCTGATGAGCTTAGTTTACTAAAAGTGCTTGCCTCATTTTGAAATAAGAAACAAAAATGCAACTTTTAAAAAATTTTTGGTCATTTCTTAATAGCATAATAGTTTTTATGAAAAAAAGCAATTTCTTTTTTCTTTATTTTTTTATTTTTTATTTTATTTTTTTGAGGTGGAATCTCACTCTGTCGCCCAGGCTGGAGTACAGTGGCATGATTTTGGCTCACTGCAACCTCCGCTTCCCAGATTAAAGTGATTCTTGTGCCTCAGCCTCCCAAGTAGCTGGAACTACAGGTTACCACCACCACACCCAGCTAATTTTTGTATTTTTTGTAGAGATGGGGTTTCACCATGTTGACCAAACTGGTCTCAAACTCTTGACCTCAAGTGATCTGGCTGCCTCGGCCTCCCAAAATGCTGGGATTACAGACATGAGCCACTGTGCTCGGCCAGTAATTTCATTTCAAATACAATTTTTAGTCAAAACCAAGTCTTTGGATTAGCCAAGGAATATCTGCATATCACTATAAATCCACACAAACTTTTTCATGCTGGGGCTTTTTTGAACAGCTGCTTTTTGACCCTGTTGAATAATTTCTATAATGTTGGCTATACACAAGATACATTTCATGTGACTATAGAAAGAAAAAAGTATACCTCTAGATATGAAAACAATTTGAATTAGGTGTTGAAAAGTTGTAATTATCAGTCAACCATTACTCATTTTAAAAGAGTTTCTTCAGAACTCATCATGTTTTAGCTATTTTGGAAATATAATATCTTTATTTTTCCCTTAGGGATTTTTATAAGCAACCAAAAAAAGAGCTATAATCCAATATAACTTTTAAACATACTACCAGCAACACGGAAATACACAAAAACATTTTCAATATGGGGCTTTCAGTTGAGAGATAAGTGACAGGTATGTGTACGTGATATGGTTAGGCTTTGTGTTTCTGCTCAAATCTCATCTTCAATTGTAATCCTCAGGTGTTGAGCAAGAAGACCCGGTGGGAGGTGGTTAGATCATGGAGGCAATTCCCCCCCGTCCTGTTCTCATGATAGTGAGTGAGTTCTCATGAGCTATGATGGTTTTATAAGTGTTTGACAGCTCCTTTCTTGTTTGCTTCTTCTCTCTCCTGCCATCCTTTGAAGAGGTGCCTCTCACCATGATTTGAAGTCTCCAAAGGTTCTCCCGAGGCATGCAGAACTATGACTGAATTAAACTTCTCTCTTTAAAAAAAAAAAAAATTACCTAATCTCAGGCAGTTCTTTATAACATTGTGGAATCAAATTAATGCAGTAAATTGGTACTGGTAGAGTGGGGTACTGCTATAACAATGCCCGAAAATGTGGAAGCGGCTTTGGAACTGGGTAACAGGCAGAAGTTTAAACAGTTTGGAGGGCTCAAAGGAAGACAGGAAGATGTGGGAATGTTTGGAGTCTCCTAGAGACTTGTTGAATAGTTTTGGCCAAAATGTTGATGGTGATGTGGACAATGAAGCCCAGGATGAGGTGGTTTCATTTGGAGGTGAGTAACTTACTGAGAACTGGAGCAAAGGTCATTCTTTAGCAAAGAGACTGGCAGCATTTTGTCCCTGACCTAGAGATCTGTGGAACATTAAACTTGAGAGAGATGATCTGAAATTGGAACTTCTGTTTAAAAGGGAAGCAGAGGCTGGGTGCGGTGGCTCATGCCTGTAATCCCAGCATTTTGGGAGGCCGAGGCGGGCAGATCACGAGGTCAGGAGATCGAGACCATCCTGGCTAACACGGTGAAACCCCGTCTCTACTAAAAATACAAAAAATTAGCCGGGTGTGGCGGCAGGCGCCTGTAGTCCCAGCTACTCAGGAGGCTGAGGCAGGAGAATGGCGTGAACCCAGGAAGCAGAGCTTACAGTGAGCCAACATCACGCCACTGCACTCCAGCCTGGGCAACAGAGCAAGACTCTGTCTCAAAAAAAAAAAAAAAAAAGGAAAGAAAAGGGAAGCAGAGCATAAGAGTTTGGAAAATTTGCAGCCTGATGATGTGATAGAACTTGTAACTGGGATTAGTTTCCTGATAGGAGTCCCTAGAGAGCTAGCTTTGCCCTTCACCATGAGAGGGTGCAGTGAGAAAATAGCTATCTTTGAACCGGGAAGCAGGCCCTTACCAGACATGGACTCTGCCAGTGCCTTGATATTGGACTTCCCAGCCTCACAAACCATGAGAAATAAATGTTTGTTGATTTAAAAAAAAAAAAAAGAAAAGAAAGAAAAAGAAACACCAATTTTCTGGGGAGAAATTTAAGCAGGCTGAAGAAGTTTGCATAAGTGATGAGGACCCAAATGTTAATTGCCAAGACAATGGGGAAAATGTCTCCTGCACATGTCAGAAGTCTTCTTGGCAGCCCCTCCCATCACAAGACTAGAAGCCTAGGAGAAAAAAATGATTTTGTGGGTCAGGCTCGGGGCTTTGCTGCCCTGCATTGCAGCCATTGCTAAAAGGGGCCAAGGTACAACTTGGTCCTTTGCTTTAGAGGGTGAAAACCCTAAGCCTGGGAGGCTTCCATGTTGTGTTGAGCCTGTGGGTGCACAGAAGCCAAGAACTGAGGTTTGAGAACCTTCACCCATATTTCAGAGGATGTATGGAAACACCTGGATGTCCAGATAGAAGTCTATTGCAGGGGCAAAGCCCTCATGGAGGACCTCTGCTAGGGCAGTGCAGAAGGGAAATGTAGGGTCAGAGCCCCCAACACAGAATCCCCACTGGGGCACTGCTTAGTGGAGCTATGAGAAGAGGGCCACCATCCTCCAGACTCCAGAATTGTAGATCCACCAACAGCTTGCATTGTGCACCTGGAAAAGGTGCAGACACTCAAAGCCAGCCCATGAAAGCAGCTGGGATGAGGGCTATACCATGCAAAGCCACAGGGGTGGAGCTGCCTAAGATGGTGGGAGCCCAACCCTTAGATCATTGTGACCTAGATGTGAGACATGGAGTCAAAGGAAATCATTTTGGGGCTTTAAGATTTGATGAACACCCTGCTGGATTTTGAACTTGCATGGGACCTGTAGTCTCTTTGTTTTGGCCAATTTCTCCCATTTGGGATGGGAGCATTTATCCATGCCTATACTCCCATTGTACCTAGGAAGTAACTAGCTTGCTTTTGATTTTCCAGGCTTATAGGTGGATGGGACTTGCTTTGTCTTGAATTCGATGTCACTTGGACTTTTGAGTTAATGATGAAATGAGTTAAGACTTTGGGGCACTGTTGGGAAGGCATGAATGGTTTAAATTGTGAAAAGACATGAGATTGGGAGGGGTCAGGGGTGTAATAATATGGTTAGGATTTGTGTCCTCACTCAAATATCATCTTGAGTTGTAATCTTCAGGCATTGAGGGAGAGACCTGGTGGCAGGTGATTAGATCATTGTGATCTAGTCATGGAGCTGGTTCCCTTTATGCTGTTCTCATGATAGTGAGTGAGTTCTCACAAGATGTGATGGTTTTACAAGTATTTGATAGTTCCCCTCTCATTCACTTCTTCTCTCTCCTGCTACTCTGTGAAGAGCTGCCTTCCACCATGGTTGTAAGTTTCCTGAGGCCTCCCTAGCCATGCAGAACTGTGAGTCAATTAAACCTCTTTTCTTTATAAATTACCAGTCTTGGGCAGTTTTTTTATAACAGTGTAAAATTGGATTGATACAGTATGTCTGATTACATTATTTATATCTTTAAATTATAAGACAAATATGATCTACATTTTCTGAGTTGAAAGAGCAGAAATAGAAAATAAGTATCAGTCTAACAGGTTATGAATGATATAATCATGTTCTAAAAGCACTGCTAGGTATCTGCTTGTTATACCATGAATATGTATACCAAAATATGGAAATAGAACAAAAACTTGCTAGTATTATAAGATTACAAATAAAATTAAATGCATTACAATAACTATCACTTGGAAATGTTTTAAAACTCAAAGTGTTTGATGTCTATAGAAAACATTATGTAAAGTAAATAACGTAGAAAACTGGGCAGTGATCACTGAGCAGTGATAAAGCCGTTTGAATTGAGTCTGTTTCAGCCTATAAGATGTTACATTAGTTATTTTGTAGGACAGACTCTAGGTTAGCCTCCAATTATTTTCATCCAGTGGTATTCATGCATTTATGTAACTCCTTCTCTTTGAATATGAATGAGGTTTCTCTCTTACTTCTATCTAATAGAACATGGCAAAAGCCATTCTATGTCACTCCCATAATTACATTGCACTATATGACAAGAATATGGTATATGGTATATTGCTATCATGAATATGTTATATGACTGCTTCTTTTTTTTTTTTTTTTTTTTTTGAGATGGAGTCTTGCTCTGTGGCATGCAGTGGCACAATCTCGGCTCACTGCAAGCTCTGCCTCCTGGGTTCATGCCATTCTCCTGCCCCAGCCTCCTGAGTAGCTGGGACTACAGGTGCCTACCACCACGCCCGGCTAATTTTTTGTATTTTTAGTAGAGATGGGGTTTCACCATGTTAGCCAGGATAGCCTCAATCTCCTGACCTCGTGATCCACCTGCCTCAGCCTCCCAAAGTGGTGGGATTACAGGCATGAACCACTGTACCCAGCCATGACTGCTTCTTGACCTACTAAAGCTAGAGAATTTCCTTGCCGGCTTGATGGTGTAAGTGGCTTTGTTGTAGGAGACCATTAGGAACTACAGGTGGCCTTTAGGAATTTTGGGTGGCTTCTAGGACCTGAGGGTGACCTCTAGCTACAAAGAGAAAAAATCCAGCCTACAGTTATAAGAAAATAGATTCTGCCAAGAACCTGGGTGATAACTGCTGTACAACATTGCCTTACTTAGACAATAACCTAAATGAACGTGGAAGCAGATTCCTTTCCAGTTCCCCAGTCATAACTCCAGATGAGACCACCACCTGGCCAATGCCTTGAATGCAGATTTGCAAGACTGAGCAGAGAACCCAAGTAAGCCATGCGTCGACTTCTGACCCCACAGAAACTGTGAGATAATACATATGTGTTCATTTAAGCAGCTTAGTTTGTGGTAATTTTTTTTTTTTTTTTTGAGATGGAGTCTTGCATTGTCACCCAGGCTGGAGTGCAGTGGCACAATCTCAGCTCACTGCACGCTGTACCTCCCAGGTTCACGCCATTCTCCTGCCTCAACCTCCTGAGTACCTGGGACTACAGGCACCAACCACCATGCCCAGCTAATTTTTTTGTATTTTTAGTAGAGATAGGGTTTCACTGTGTTAGCCAGGATGGTCTGGATCTCCTGACCTCGTGATCTGCCCGTCTTGGCCTCCTAAAGTGCTGGGATTACAGGCATGAGCCACCACGCCTGGCTGGTAATTTGTTATGAAGCAATATAAAACTAATACAACCATCTTATCTAATAGTAAAAGCTAAAGAAAACAAAAACACAAAAAATTAGATTTAAAAAATGATGTGTTACAAGAAAACAACTAATATAACAGTCTTACTTATCAGTTCTATTTCTAACACATCCTGTATTTGTAACCCTTAATTCCAATAGCATATAATAAATGTTTAATTTTACTTTCCATGTATAATTTATGATTATACTGACATCTATTTCAAGAATATGAAGATTTTTTTTTGTAATTTTAAGCATTCAGTTGACCTCATTTATATGAGAAAAAAAAGAAATAACCCAATCTATCTTTTTAAACAATATTGGAAACATAAGCTTAATTTTTCAGACTTTCAAAGGAAATCTGTTTTATGTCATTTTTATTTTAGAGAAAAAGAAGATATCAAAGAGAAAAAAAGAATGTTTACTTAGTGATCAGCAATTTAAAAAGTTAAAAATAAAAAAAAATCCAAGTATACTATATCAGTAATATTCTTATAAAATATAGCCTGTTGAATTGTTCAGAGTAACTATAATTAAAACCTATAATCTTATACTCAGTGAAGGAATCCCTTACTTACAGATATTGTTTTCCAACATGTAATTAAAACCATGATAAGTCACAAACATAATAATGTCATACATATATGTCTATACATCACTATTAGCAGGGCATTCCACTCGCAGGGTAGGCGTCTGAAATCTAGATTCAAACTGCTTAGCTCTCTGCTGATGCCTCTCACTAGCTATATGACCTTTGGTAAGGTTCTTAACCTCTGTTAAGCATTTGTAAAACAAGTATAGTGTTTGTTTCTGCATTTGTAAAACAAGTATAATGCTATTAATAGCATAGGTTTGTTGTCAGGATTAAAGGCATATAATAAATATTCATAAAACAGAAAAATATCTGGTATATTTTAAATGTGTAATGTTAACAATTATTCTGTCTAATATTATTTATTAATTAAAATCAGTTGCTCTAATGGTTTACAAAAATTACAAGGAAACTCCTATTCTTAGAAATCTAAACATGCATGAATCATTTTGTTATTTTTAAATAAAAGGAGAAAATGTTTGCACTTATCCTTACTTAGTTCCTCAGAATTTATTCCTGCAAATAAATGGTAAATCTAATATACACCATATTTTCAAATTTGATGCATATAAGCAAGTTCCCTTAAAATTATCCATCAATTTCTAACTTCCAGAATAATGTATGAGGATGTTCTATACTTCCCCATGTACTTGGTGCTTACTTTTTTTACTTCTCAAATTATGTAGATATTGAGTTTTGCTTCATTGTTGTTTTACTAGACTGTTTCATAATTATAAAAATTTATTTTAAAATCTTCATTAGACGTCTCTTCTTTATTGAATTAATACTATTTACTTATTTTTGCAATTTGCTTTTAGTGTCATATCTTAACTTGTTTCAAAAAAAGGCATTTTATATACTTTATTAGCCCATTGTCACTCACATATAGTTGAGGGATAAATTATTTATATGCCACCTGAGTTTAAAATTTTTGTACTAAAATATTTTAAACTTAATATTTAACACATTTTGCCTATTTTTCGTATTTCTATCTTTGCAAAATATAAAGTTACTTCCAACTTCCCATATTTATTTTGATCTCTTACATATTTTTATATTTAAATATTTAATGTCTTTATGTATTTGTTTAATAAGCTGATGTTCTTTAATGTACACACAAAAGGTAAAGTCATAAGTGTTTTAGAAGATAACTCAGAAGACTAACATGGAAAAGACTGATGTAGGAAATATTCCATAAAGAGGTCACAAATGCTTGAAAAGTAAAAATGAACAACATTAAATGTAAGAAATCTTTGAAAGATATTATTAAGAAAGTGAAAAAATCTTAGACAAGCCGCAGCATGGAAGATGCTCACAAAACAATCTCTGATAGCTTTGTATTTGGCATACATGGAGAACTTCATTACATCAATAACAACAAATGTAAGGGGAAAATCCATGAATGTGGAGAAGTTCTGTTTAAAGAAAAATAATTAATGACTTGAGATTACATGAATGTACGTAGGAGTATCAGTAACTTAGGGTGTTATCAATGAAATAATTTTAAAACCTGTGAAGTACTGAAAGAGTGAACATCAGCTGTACTAATGAAAAAAAAGGAGCCCTGCCTTTAATTAGCCTGAGAGAACAGACACAGATAAAACACAATTAATAAAGAAAAAAATTTCTCCCAATATGGTGCATTAGTTGTAAAATACCATGGGAATTCCTTCTTTGAGTGATAACTTCTTTCATACCAATGATGTCCCAGAGCCACTTTGCTATTTTTGTACATTGCTAGAAAAACCCAGCAGGTAAATTGTCTACACCTCATAACATCACCCAATTTTTAATAATTACCCTCTTCTAATTCTGCCTTGGAAAGAGAATTCAGTCTAGTCTGTTTCTCTTAGACTCTGTTTGGACTTTATCAGCACAAGCCCATATACCTTATGAAAGACACTTCTCTCCCACTCTTGTGAGGCAGCAATCTATAGTTCCACAAAGTACCTACCTTAGTTACATCAAATAAATAAATCTGACCCTGTCAAAGTAAGTCTTATGTCTAGTGTTCTTTGGCTGATTAGGCTTTAGAAATATGGTAGAATACAAACATGATGCCTCTTAAAGAGGTAAGAAAAAAATTTGCTTTAATACTGAGGAAAAGTGAAAATCACCTGGTGACCATTGAACGAACTCCGGACACAAAAACCCCTTATCTGAGAAATTTAGAAGGGAGCAAAGAACACCAGCAAACAGGCCATCCAAATGCTAAACTCCTCATCTGGAAATTTTAGAAGTAATTAAACTTCCCCAGTATCTCAAGTGGGCATCTGATTCCAGGCCTTTTTTTTTTTTTTTTTTTTTTTTTTAAGACTGAGTTTCACTCTTGCTGTCCAGGCTGGAGTACAATGGCATGATCTTGGCTCACAGCAACTTCTGCCTCCTGGGTTTAAGTGATTCCCCTGCCTCAGCCTCCTGAGTAGCTGGGATTACAGGCATGCACCACCACACCCAGCTAATTTTGTATTTTTAATAGTGACGGTGTTTCTCCATGTTGGTCAGGCTGGTCTCGAACTCCCAACTTCAGGTGATCTGCCTGCCTTGGCCTCACAAAATGCTGGGATTACAGGCGTGAGCAACGGCGCCCGGCTCCAGGCCTCTTTCAACTTTTATAAGTAGCTAAAATTTATATACATCTCTGGAATGCCATGCCAAAACTCATTTTACAACCCTAACCTCCTGCCTGAAAATTCATAAATGTTCGTAAGGAAAATCCACCACCATACCTTAATCCTCCGGCTGAGGTTCCCCGAACCCTCGTGCAGTGTTCTTCCTTTCTAAAAAACTTTCCTTTTTTCAAGCCTATAATGTTGTCAGTAAACTCTTTTTACCAATCCGCGTATGGATCACTTACTAGTTAGACATTATAGATAAAGTTTGAAATAAAAATAGTAATGATGCTGGAAAGGGGTCCCGATCCAGACCCCAAGAACGGGTTCTTGAATCTCACACAAGAAAGAATTCAGGGCAGGTCCGTAAAGTGAAAACAAGTTTATTTAAAAAGTAAGGGAATAAAGAATGACTACTCCATAGGGCTGCTGCTTGCCCATTTCTATGGTTATTTCTTGATGATATGCTAAACATGGGGTGGATTCTTCATACCTCACCTTTTAGACCATACAGGGTAACTTTCTGACGTTGCCATGCCATTTGTAAACTGTCATGGCTCTGGCAGGAGTGTAGTGGTGAGGATGACCAGAGGTCACTCTTGTTGCCACCCTTTTGGTGGATTTTAGCCGGCTTCTTTATTGCAGCCTGTTTTGTCAGCAAGGTCTTTATGATCTGTGTCTTATACTAACCTCGTGTCTCATCCTGTGACTTAGAATGCCGAGCTGTCTAGGAATGCAGCCCAGCAGATCTAGCCTTGTTTTCCCAGTCCCTATTCAAGATGATGTTGCTCTGGTTCAACTGCCTCTGACAGCAATGTCTATCTAAAGAATCAGGTGAAATTGAGCACATAATATCGAAATATCAGTTTTAAAATAATAGCAAATACCAAGAATAATAATAGAACACACTAACTAGTAAATTTAAAAATTATTTTGTTTACAGTTAAATGACTACTCAAGTGACCTATGCTTTTTAAATATATATATACATATTTTTATTTTATAAACATCTAAAAACCAGCATATGCATATTATCTCCTTGTCAGACCTCTGAGCCGAAGCTCAGCCATTGTAACCCCTGTGACCTGCATATATACGTCCAGTTGGCCTGCAGGAGCCAAGATGGACTGCAGGAGCCAAGAAGTCTGGAGCCATCGAAAAACCACAAAGAAATGAAACAGCCAGTTCCTGCTTTAACTAATTAACCCACCTTAGGGCATTCTACCATTATGACTTGTTCCTGCCCTGCCCCAACTGATCAATCGACCCTGTGACATTCTTCTCCTGGACAATGACTCCCATCATCGCTCCACCATGCACCTTGTGACCCCCTCCCCTGCTAACAATAGATAACCACCTTTAACTGTAACTTTCCACTGCCTACCCAAGCCCTATAAAACTGCCCCTCGCTATCTCCCTTCGCTGACTCTCTTTTCAGACTCAGCCAACTTGCACCCAAGTGAATAAACAGCCTTGTTGCTCACACTAAACCTGTTTAGGTGGTCTTCTATACGGACACACATGACACTCCTTTCATATATTCTGAATGAGAATTCAACGAAAACTAGTCTTTTTCTAGATTGTGTGGTTTTATTTATATTGCTTACAATAAAGTAATAAAGTTTGCAAGTATTCAATAATATTAGACTAAAATAATTTAAGGTCTTTTACATTTTTACTTCTAAATAGTGATGCCTATATTAATCAATAATAGAGTGAAAATTAAATGTTCCACGTATTCTGTGTAGTTCTAACATCTAAAAATATGTCTCGGTAGTAATATACTGTAATACTCTTTTTTTTAATAGAATATTTAAAGTAAATACAGAGTCTCATGAAAAAAAACCTGGTATTTGGACATTGAAAGTGGAAATGCATACAAATTTAAGCACTCTTTATTAGAATCTTAAGTCTTGCTCTTCTTTGCTTTCTATGCCCTAAATACCAAGCACTTAGCTGGTAATTAGTACTTTTCCAAGAAAATTGCTTCTTTGCTTCAGATCAATGATCAGCAATAATTAAAACAGCTAAAACACTAGAAAAACAGGCTAGAAAATAGAAAGACATGGTAACTAAATCCGGTTTTTAAGCTGTTAATTAAAATAGGCAAAGACACAAGTAAAAAAACTAAATCCCTCAATCACTATAAATAATTCCATTTTTTGTGTCATTGAACACTTTCTTACCAAAATTTAGAATTTATTTATTATTCTTAAGTTTTTGCAATGAGATCTAACAAAACAAATGATAGAGGGGTGAATTTTGCTTTGATTTGCTTCATCAAGGAAGAGTTAAATAACTAACATTAAAAAATGAATGCCATTCACGAGGTAATCTAGGTATAGGGTACCCATTCCAAATAGAGGAAATAACATGATTAAAGATATAAAGACTACAAAGCAGAGGTCAACTTGGGGATCATCAAGGTATTCAACTGGGGGAAAATTACTCGAGAAAATTTTCAAAAGCTATTACAAAGTTACTTTACTTTTTCTTTTGTTCATTTACTCATATAAAAAATATTTTTTGTTAGGCATAGGTCAGTTCCTGAAATACAATAATAAGCAAAACAGAATCAGCCCCACCCTTTGAGAGAAAAATGTGGACTAATAATTTTGTAAATATATAATTATAAATTCATATACAGGCCACAGATGAAAGAATATGAAACTATTAGACTTTTTAACAAGGCATTTATTAAAACATTGAGTTAGGATGCTAAGTGGTACTTACAAGTTGTAACTAAAGAGTTCTTATGTACCCGAGAATCATCTTAAAAAAAAAAAGCATATAATATGCTGCTCAAGATTTTTAAAAATGTACTGCTGAAGCAACATCGTTGTCTGGGGTAAATACCTGGGATTCGTCGTCTGGCATAGAGAAGAGTAACAAAAGGGACACATGTGGGTGCGTTAAGGAGTGGAAAGCTTAATAGGCAGAATAAAGGATAGAGTAGAGCAGCTCTCTCTCTTGTGAGAGAGAGGCATCCAAAAAGAAAACAGTCGGCCTGCAAAGGACCACAGCAGGTTTTATAGGCAGGCTTGAGGAGGTGGTGTGTGATTTACATAGAGCCCACAGCTTGGTTCCACCAGGTATGACATTTACATAGCGAGCAGGGAAGGCTGGTCGCCCCACCCTAATCTTATTATGCAAATGGGCTTTCTACTTGGCTAGTGCCATCTCGTCTGCTCCTTACTGTACATGTGGCTGGCAAAGAGAATGGAAGACGGAGCTGCCATTTTGATCATGCCTAGTCACAAGTAGCCTATAGGCACAACTGTTGGCATTTGCCTGTGCAAGCTTCTAACTTAATTGTCATGTCTGCAGTTCGATTTTACCATCTGCTGTTTGTTAGCAAAGGAAATTATTTGGGGGGTGCTTTTCATTAAAAGGAAACCTTACCAAGGGATCCTGTACCCTTACTATCTGCCTAAGTAGTTTCTTAACTCCTGTATCAAGGCAATAAATGATCACTGGAAATGATATTATCTTCCAAATCAAACTGAAATATTTTAAAAGAATAAAAATGTGAAAGAATAAAACTTTTTCAAATCTTGTTTTGGTTATATTATTTATTTAAGTAGAGAACAAAACTGCTACAGGGGACTAGTCCATCTAATTTTTTATTATATTTATTATTCAGCAATAATCTTGGTAGAAATTGCTAGAATAAGAAGTGTCCAGCACTAATTGATATCCACACTTATGATTTGATATTTCTATTAATTCATACACTTTCTTAAGATATGTAAGAAGAACATTTTGAATACAAGGTTTTACACATGAGATTTAATAATATCCCATGATTCTACGTTTATATATTTTTTTGTAAACATCTGTGACAGAGTAAAGTAGCTCTGCAGGAAAAAACAAATAAATTTTAAAAGACATAATATAGCATTTGCTAATTCTTTGGAGTAGCAATTCTCCCACAATAGCCAATTCCAATATATCAAATGTTGTTACTGAACATGGACTTTAGAAGAAATGTGGACAAAGAGCTCTGACAAGCCATATAAGCTGGTTGGAGAAAATAATGGTTTCATCTTTAATGATGTATCTTGACATAGTGGATTCATTTGTGTGCCCAATTTTTTCTAAACCTCTTGCAGAAATTACAATATTTGGAAAACTGTATTTAAGTAATATAAAAGATGATATACAGTACAAGACTCCATTCTAGGATCTCTTTTTTTCTCTTAATTCTCCATCTTATTTTCAAGGGACAATATGTTTACATAAATAGTGAGTTTGTGATTATTTTTCCTTGCAAAATAAAACAAATAACACTGAAAGTCAGTGCACACAAAACAAGGTTGCAGAGTTTTGGCAAGCCACACAACTTTTTGGCTTTCTTCCTATAAAGGATAATATTGAGCTATATTGTTAATTCTTTCTGGCATCAAGTCTATAGATTTTAGCTTTGAAAATACTGTCTGGTACTGTTAAGCTAAAATGTCACAACCCAATATATCACAGTTATTCTTGGATGGAAATTGTTTCTAGTGATAATGACAAAAATAATCAAAAGAACCAAGTTGAATAAAAAGAAACATGACCAATATCATTACATATTTTTAAGAGGTATCAGAATTCAGAGATTAAGAATATCAGAAGTGAGGCTGCAGGGGAATAGTTTACTGGTCAATATGTTATCAATGTTTAACAAATATGCTGGGATAGGGCTCAAGGGAATTAGGAATCATTGTCATTATCCCTCTAAGTCTAGTAACAAATCAGAAAGGAAAGAATATATATACATATAAAATATCACAAAGAAAGGATAAATGGTTAAGCTGATGAATACCCCATTTATCCTAATGTGATTATTATGCATTTTATGCCTGTATCAAAATATCTCATGTACCCCATAAATACATACACCTACTATTTGCCCAGAAAAATAAATAAAAATAAACAAGTAAAAAAAACCTTTTCAGCAAAACCCCAAGGGTATGATATATTAACCAGAATCTACCTACAAAGAAAAAGAGAAAAAACAAAACAAAACAAAACAAATGGGAAGTGAAATTACTATTTTGGGAGGTGGAAAAAATGAATTGTGGATGTTTCTTATTCACTAATCGAAGCTATAGTTAAGTAAGGTAAAAATTTTGCCATAGTTCATAGAACAATTGGATTGCTCGTAGAGAAAAGACAGCAGGACATCAGGGTGTAGTAGAAGAGGATAATTTCTGAAGGTTAAAAAAAAAGCATAGATTATATTAAACATTCAAAAAGAAAATATTCACAAGTTTTATAGGCTGATGAAAAATAAATAACAATGAAGGGAAGACCATTCTAGTAACATCTGGGTATCTGAAACTTGAGGTCTTCTCCTCCTTGTTAATGATCTTCATCCTCATAGTACTTTTTTTTTTTTCTTTGAGCCATAAACTCTGTGTTGCAGCCCCCCCCCCCCTTTTTTTTTTTTTTTGAGACGGAGTCTCGCTGTCTCCCAGGCTGAAGTGCAGTGGCGCGATCTAGGCTCCCGGCAAGCTCCGCCCCCCGGGTTCATGCCATTCTCCTGCCTCAGCCTCCCGAGTACGTGGGGCTACAGGCGCCCCCCACCAAGCCCGGCTAATTTTTGTGTGTGTGTTTTTAGTAGAGACGGGGTTTCACCGTGTTCTCCAGGATGGTCTTGATCTCCTGAGCTCGTGATCCGCCCGCCTCGGCCTCCGAAAGTGCTGTGATTACAGGCGTGAGCCACCGCGCCCGTGTGCTGCCGCTTTTTGTCCTGAATCTGAACAGCTCTCTGCCTAGCTTGGGATATCATCATCTACTCAATCTCTCTTTTTTTCCCTGCTATCTAAACTCAGAATCTCTGTTCTTGAAATTTGTTTTAACCTGAGTTCTTAACTGCTCGTCAGTTTAGCAGTCTTATGTGTGACTCAGTTTAGCAGTCTCATGTGTGACTTAGAATTTCCCTTTGTCTGGAGTTCATTCCCTCAAAAAAAGAAAAGAAAAGAAAAAGACTCAGTAGAAAGAAAACAAGGCTTTCTCCCTGAGAACAATTATATCTGACTAGAATCAAAAGGAGATACAGGTGGATTGGAAGCAGACCACAGCCAAACAGATGGAAATTCATTTGCAGGAGTATCCTTATATTTTCATAGATCTTCTTGACATGCCAAATTTACTTTTTCCTTCTCTTAAAATGTTTGATTTTGGAAATCAAAGTACAAATTTTGCAACTAAAGAATTGAGCCGACTTACATTTTCATTTTCTTTTATAACATGATTAAAATCAGGATTCCTGTGAATCCTAAAGATCTGAGAGACAGGTCTCAGTTAATTTAGTAAGTTTATTTTGCCAAGGTTGAGGACACGTGCCTTTGATACAGCCTCAGGAGGCTCTGATGACATGAGCCCAAAGCGGACAGAGCACAGCTTGGTTTTATACATTTTAGGGAGACATGAAACATCAATCAACATATGTATGATGAACATTGCCTGATTCCAAATTCTAAATGTTAGATGCACAGAGAGACACAATGGAATGGCCTATTCCTAAGAATTATCCTGACATTATAACATGCATCTGTACCATAAGAAGTTCAAATGCTAATCGCATACTCACTCATTTTATTTATCTGTGAAGAGAGAAAGGGAACACTCTCTGGCAGCATTAATTTTTCTCCTTGAAAAATTCCAAATTTATTTTTCACGTTTCACATGCAACATTAACATAATGACAAGATACAAATGTATACTTTCTTTGCATAGAGCTCTGTTAATATTTTCTTGTGTTTTAATGGTGCTTTAACTTCTAACTACAGGCAGATTCTACTAAGGTGGCATTAAATGAACCATTCTTATCAATGGGAGTTTTGATTCAAGTTCTTTTGGTACACAGCAGAAAGCGACTAAATATGGTAAAAATAAGCAAATGTTGCACAGATGCTCATAGCTGACTTCTTGGTTTCCAACTTATTAAATGGGCTTTTTGCAAACCTATAGATCGTTATTCATGCAGATTTTCTATCGAGGGTGCTTCAATAGAGACTGCCTATTCTGAGTTAATGAGAAAAGTCCTAATTAAGCTAGCCATATGTTCAATTGCATTTATAAATGGAAAAAATAGCCCTTTTTGCTGCTGATACTACCATTGTTGTCATCTCCTGCTGCTTTGGGTGTCACTGAAGCAGTTACTGTTTCAACAGTCTCCTCTATACTCCAGTGTGTTCATTCCAGACCTGCACTCTGTTTCATGAGATATTCTTGGCACGCACAGCTGAATGCCTGCAAAGCTTGCTTATGAAAATATCTTTCTGAAGATCTATGTCTGTATTGAATGCAACTATGTCTTCAATTTTGCCGTGGGGATATAGATCTAGCACTGCTGCCAAAACATATTCTTTCTTTTGAAGCATTTAATCTATTCTGTAGCACATGGAGAGCCCAGGAGTTAGGATTGCCCTACACAGCCCTTGTCCCTTTTGCCATGATATTTAGGTTTTGTTTTTGGCCTTTTCTTCTGTGCAGGTGCAAAGCATTTGTTTGAACTTATATCTTCGCTTGAAGTCAGGTAAATAAGCTAACTGTAAAAGCTGCATTACCTTGAGCCTAAAACTGCTTAGAGAAACCTATTTTTTTTTCCAACTACCTATACCTAAATATTTGAAAACTGTAGAACTAAAACTTCTAAATTCTTGATGATATCAGAACAATGTTTAATAGTATAATACTATTTCTTTATTCTACATTCTTAATTTATGTGATAAGCATATGTAGTGCTCCTACTGCGCCCTCTATGTTTTCTGTGGAATAAAAAAAAAATAGCATCCATTAGCAGAGATCTCATAGCCATGAAAATCAGTGGTTTTTGTGAATGTGTGTATAGGTTCAGTGAATCCATGTTAATTGTAAAAGGATTGGGATAATTCTGATGGCTTGTCTAAAGAAAAAAATGAAAAAAGGCTTATACAAATATAACAATAATGAGATGGGTTTTAAATGTTTCAGCTAATTGTTTCTATTATTTAGTATTAGCCAGAATTTACTCAGATAACTCTATGTACGAGGTACAATTTAATATTACCAATTGTATTGACGAGTAATGAGGTTTCAAAGAATTAAATGACTTATTCCATGGATCCCAGTAAACAAGCCAAGGAAATTGAATTGCAAAATGTCTACTCTTAACAACCACCCTCAAATATATAATTATATTATATTTTCTTTTCTTTTTGTATCTTTATCAAAACAATAAATCTTTCTCAAATTTATTTTGTTAAATGATATAGGATAGAAAAATTTCATTTTTTGTCTTCTGATATTATTTTCCAAAGGAGTGATAGCAACTAATAGACTATCTTTTTCTAGTCACGATACTAGAATCAATAAATAGATTTCAGTTTCTTATAGTCTTAAGTATTTCAATTAAATGATTATATCAACTGAAAATGGTGCATTTATCTTTTTTCAAAATGTATGTCTTATTTCTTTATTAAAAATATATAAAATAATTTCCAAAACAATGTTACATAATAACATATATAGTAAAGTTAGCTCATCCATGACTTTTGAAAATTCTAATTTTTTCTTGATAGACTCGATGTTAGTATTTGAATTAAAATAGATATCCTTTAATGTATTTAGAAAGTTTTCTGTGCACAAAGTAATCAATTTTTTTATCTTAACAGATATTGTAATTTAACAAATTATTATCAAGTTGACAATGTGATATTTTTATTTTGACCTGTCGATATGATACGACCACACAATCTGACTTTCTAAGCTACATGAATGTGTTATCCCTTTAATATACTACATTTGATTTTATACTTAATTCTTTTAATCTATCGCTAGATTTGAATTTAGATATATATTCCTTAAAATGGTTTCCTTGGAATAAGGAAGAAGGAACACTTGCTAATCTTAGCCTACCTCATTTCAACTATTTGACTGCTATTTGGAATCAATTAATAATAGAAAATAGTTTCAAGCCTTCCTAGATTTTTATTTTTCCTCTCATACCATATTTTTCAATATTTGTAATACCAAATAATTAAGGTTGCATTAGATTTTAACACATGATCACACACATGAACATATATAGTATATATAGATGCTACGTGTGTAAAATATTAATTATAAAGGAAATGGAAGGGCACATTTATGAGTGTAGACTTTTTGAAACTTCTAGTTTCCATTGGTTCCCCAGGAAACAGACTCCATAACAGAGATTTGAGTGTAGGAAGACTACTTGGGAATGTTTTAGAGATTAACACCATTAAAAGTGTGGGATATGATGAGGTTTCTCTTCAAATAATCTGATAAATCTTTTATTCTTTAATTCATAGTACCCCCTCCCCCATTTTTCACCTTTTTTTCTCCTTTTTTCCTTCTTGCCTTTGTTAAATGCCCAGGCACACCACAATACCAAGTGTTATCAATACCAGCTCACATTCCTTTCCTTATTTTTTTAAAAAACTAATTTTTGGCTCATTGCAGACACCACTTCCCCTTTCCCTCCACTTTCTTTTACGTGCCCATCCTGTCTAAAAAATATCAAATGTTTAGCCAACCAAAATTAGTTTCAATTCTACAACCTGACCCTGACCAATTAAAAAAAAAAAGAATACAGAGACAAGACTTGAGTCAAAAATAAAGGCTCTCGTGCCCCTTTGTTCAAGTGTGCTCTCATGGCAACTGGACAAAGAAGCACCCCCTGCACAAAAATAAAATTACTTTACTAAAAATCCTTTGTTTAAATATTCAATTTCCTTAAAATTTTGAGCGTTATTCCTAACAAAAGGATGTGAAAGAAATTAGATTAGGCAGAATGAGAAATTGAAACAAAGTGCGGTTCTAACAAAGGCAGTAGCAAATCTTACAATTCTGCCTAGATTTTGATGCTGCAATGGTCCTTCATCACTGTCCTTCTTTAGTGCAAGAGGGCCCGGTCTATACATAACTTGGCATTGACCAGTCATTGTGGAATGCTTCTGGTTAGGGACCATGGTGAAACAGGAAATTTTCCCTGACCCCTTCACAGGAATTGTGGAGGGGGTGACTTGTTTACTCAGCCGGCAGCTCTCAACCCTTCGAGGGAGGGGAAGCACGCAGGTGAGTGGGTGCAGGGGCCGGGATAAGTGCTTCTGGGCTCTGGCAGGAGCAGAACTCTGTGAGGCCCCAGAGCAGCATCTAGGGGGGTACCCGCGACTCCCAGAGTCCCAGAAGGCGTGTGTTACAGTGCGCTCTTTTATCTTTACCATCCGCAGACGACTTGTTCAACAGTGCAGTGTGACAGCCCTCTGTCTGTATCCTGAGCTCTTACTGGGCACCCAGGAAGAATCAGGTCGCACAGACAAATTGAGGATGGTAAATGCAGGGGATTTTATTGCCAATGAAAAGTGGCGCTCAGTGGGATGGAGAGCTGGAAAGGATGGAGCAGGAAGATGGTCTCCCACAATCAAACCATCCCTCAGTAGTCAAGCTGCTTTTCGCCCATGTCAAGCTGCTTCTTCTCTTGTCTTCTTCTCTGCCACTCCACTGCCAGTGGAGCCTGGGGTTTTTATGGGTACGGGGTGGGGGGCAAGGAGGGCCAGGGTGGTTTTTGGAAAAGGCAACATGTGAGCGGGAAAACAGGAATGCATGTTCTCACTTTGGGCCGCGGGGTAGAGGCTTGAGGGTGGGACCTCACCAGGGGCTACCCTCTTCTACCCAGTATTTCCCTGCTTCCTGTCCATATCAATGGTGGAGGTAAATTTTTTCTTTTCGAGGCAATTCCTGAAAGCATTTAACCACGAACACTCCTAGCAGCTGGGTCAATGAGCTGTAAAGTTTGGAAGGAAGAATCCCGATGACTACCACAGCCTCCACTGCAACTTCTTATGCTTTTCAGTTGTTCCTTCACAAAGTATTTACTGAACAATAACTATTTACGAGGCGTTTCTCTGCGTACTAAAGATATAGCCTTTAAGAAAAAGACAAAAATTCCTGACTCTTTGAAGTTTACATTCTAATGAATAAGAGAAATATCCATAGGCAGGGGATGCAGCATTTGTTACTTTCCAGGCCTCATAGTATTTTACACATTTAAAATATCCACATAGATATTAGTAGATATTACCTACCTACACATTTAAACTTAACAAAGAACATATGAGTTAAGAACTAATATGATCTCTTATGTTAATTTTCCAGTTAAACATTGCTTCTTTGAAAATTTAATTCATTAAATTATAGTGATTTTATTTTATATTTGCAAAAACATGTGTAAGGTAAATGGTGATATTTAGGCCAAAAATCTCCATGGACATTTATCTCTATTCTAAAGGAATATATTACCTGATTGTTATTCCTGGTAATAGTACCTCGTACATTCATGACCTGATAACTCTTGACAAAAATATTTTCATGTGAAGTTTATATTTAAACCAAATTCATTACAATATTCTACCAATAAGTCTATTGATTCTCTTTTTTCATGATTCATGTTCACTACTTTGACAATATTTTGATATTCTATTATGTACAAATGGAGAATATCTAAAGAGAATAATATGAAGCCCACTGTAAAGAAATTTACAGTGAACTTTTTTGGAGGATGTATCATCTGAGTTAGAAGATTGTACACAGAGCCTAGAAATCACTTATTTGGAAAAGAGAGAACTTCAGCCTTTATTCCACAAACCAAGCCATAAATAGTTGATAGAATAACAATAATTACACAAGTTTTAGCAATTCAAGAAACACTCTAGTTCAATTTTTCACTTCTAGGAGGGACTGCTATTAGAACACGACAAAAGTATCACTGATTAATGAAACTGTATTCCCTTTGCTATATTCCTGAGCATGTTCTAATAAGGGTGATCCACCAACCTTTCCGAATATAATTTATTTGATTATTTTATTATGGACATCTATTGCCTGGGGTTTTATTAATTTCATTTCTTTTCACAGATTGATGTTAGAGATGATTTAAAACATGTAAAACTGAATTCAACCAGTTCATGCAGTGCACTCAGAATTTCTTTCTTTCTCAAAAGAGTTTGAATTTACAGAAATGCTGAAATTATTTGTTAATATGTAATATTGCCATGTCCTTTGATAATACTGGGTATGGATTGAGTTAGTAATTCAAAAAACAATTTATGTCACAGATTGCAATGAGTGTATAGTGTATGTAAAATAATTTAGTAGAACTAATTGTATATTGTTATTAAAATAATACTGGCACAATGATTAATCTCAAAACAAACTGAAAAAGTAAATAGTTGCAGTCCAATATAGAACCTTGACACCATGAAATAAACATCCAGACACATGAAAACAATTAACCATGTAATTCTTCAGTATTATTATCACAGATTGATGGGATACTCAGGGCAATTGCTTATCAACAAACACCTGATTATGTCTCTTGAATCAGGAACCAGGCTATATAAAATTGTTCATGGAGTCATTTAATGTAAGAACTGAACAGTCTGTAGGAATATTTATGCTATTTAATATTATACTATGTACTAGAAATATTTAAAAATGTGTTATTGGAATACGGTGTCAGAAATATAAATCTCCATTTACAAATTAATGGTGTCTACATATAAGATAAAATCTAATCAGACATTACTTTGGAAAACATTACATAACAAATTGTATTTTAAAAATGACTAAAACCAAGTAACCAGCAATAAGCCATCTTTATGAGAATAATTTTAGTAAGTTTAGAAACCAATAAATTACAAAAATTGTATAATTGAGAACTTTCCTTTTTGGAAAATTAAGATAATAAAATGAATGTTTGTGAAGTCTTAAATAAAGAACAAACATCTAATCTATATTTTAGTTTTAAAAAATGTCAATATCTGAAAGGTTTCATAATTATATAAATATTAAAGTTATATATATCTTTATCACTAAAGAAAATAAAACATATACAACACTTAATTCATTTAAAACCATTATAAGATTAACTTTTGTTCTCTTTTAAAACGTATGGGAACCTTTAAATGCCTGAGTTTAGAAATGCCTATTTTGACTGAATAATATCACAGTTTGCAACAAAACCATACTTTTTCCTGTTAAAATATTGTTTAAATATAATTATTATGAATTTCAAAAGTGTGCAGAAACTTTAACAAGTATAATGTAATCAAGATTTTAAATGCTTAGCTAAAGCTGACCTTTAAATATGTATTCTAATCAATAATGAAATTTTATTTAGCACCCTGAAACAGTACTCTGAATGACATTATAGAGTAATAAGATAGAGTGCATTTGAACAAGTAAACTTTCAAGCATGGCAATACATTTTAAAAATTATAATGTCAATAGAGAAGAATATAAAATATGCATGTAAATAATATTTATGATAAAATAGTAGATTTTAGTTGTGACTCAGAATTGAGTTTAATTAAAGTAAATATTTTAAATGTATAGTTCTTTTTAACAAATAGTAATGTGGAAGTTATATTAGGAAAACCCAATTCAAAATGTTAGGTTTCAAAATCACAATTCTACTTTTAACATTTAACTAAATATGAAAAGTATAATTGCAATGGTGGGACAAACTGGGGAGAAAACTAATGTTTTGTTTGTTAGCTTCAATAATGTCACCATGTTTTTGGGTGAAGATAATATACAAAGCATAGCAATAAATATAATCAACTATAATTTCATTCTCTTGAGATAATCCCCATTAATATGTGCATTTGTTGATATGTATATTTCAATTATATGCTGTTTATGTTGGGCCATTGGATTGGTTGTTAGAAATACTATTATTTCCCGAACAATACTGTTTTAGCCTAGTTCCCACAGAGATGGCTTCCAATAAGATGCAACGTAATTCCCTCCCCATTATTCAGTCAGCATGACACAGTTGAGATTCTGTTATTCCAGGCAGTACTGATCTTTATATGTGTTTTTCAGAATTGTGATGTATTTCCAACAATTCAAAATTTTCTGCTGGACTTTTACCTGTTTCTGCAACCATTTTTTTAAAAGAAGCATTGTGCAACATTAAAATGTCTTTTATATTTCTAATACTCCTTTCTTTTTTTGGAGGAGATACAAAATTATCACGTCTCAACATTTTGTGAGGCACTATGAGTCCAAAATATTCCACCAAATGAAAACTAAGACAGAAAGAGAGTTAATAGAGAAATGAAAGACATAAGATACATTTCATAGTGAAATCAAGAGAGCACTCTAGAGTATTTATTCACTGGCCGAGAGCAATTCCAGTATGCAGAGTTAATATCATTCAATGAATGAGAACATACAGTGGAAAGTACCAGGCTGATTCTCTTTAGTTAATAGTGCATGACAGCACTCACAGCATGATACAAACAATATTGCACTATAAATTTTATATATATATATGTGTGTATGTAATTAAATTGAAGATATATTTTAGGTAGAAATAGATTTGGACTAAATTGGTAATGATAGGGAGAATATTATGTAGGAAACGTATGAATGTATTTATATATAGGTATATATTGTATACACTGTTTTAAATATTTCACTTTCATTTATTATTTTTTCATATTATGCCTTCAATATATCATGTGATAATTTGCTTATCATGTTGTATTGATATGCCATATTAATCTTGCAAAGCGTCTATTAATAAGCATTTACTGTTTCCAATTTTTCAGTGTTATAAGACGGTGAAATGCAAGCATGCATCTCCAGATTTTTTAAACTGTTTTATTAACTTAGAATAGTCAAAATAAAAAAATCCATACATTATGGAGTCTAGATGAATGAATTATCACATAGTGAACATACTGAGGTAGCTACTCTCTAGATCAATAAATTTATTACTCCCCATCCTCCTGCCTAAGATAAACACTTTTAATTTTTAACTTTATGTTATAGTTTTGTTTATTTTTAACCCTGACATAAGTAAAATCACACTGCATAATTTTTTATATCTTGCTTCTGTTGCTTAATAACACATTTTGGGATTTTTTTTTCCTGTTGCAAGTAGTCATAGTTAATTCATTTTCATTACTATATAGTGTTCCACTGTAGGACTTTACCAAATAGATTTCCAACTTTATTTTACTGAATTGGGTGATTTCAATTTGGAACTATTTTGAATACTACTGCTTGACCTCTTTTGTACATGTCTTTGGGGCCACAAAATTTGTTGAATAAATATTAAGGAGAGAAATAATAGATGTTAGAATTTACATAAGCTCAATGTCAATAGGTAACTACCAACATTTATCCAAAATATTTGTACCAATTTGCATCCCATTATAACTAGGAAATTATTGATTTTTCCATAAATTTAACATCACTTGATAATTCTGGGCTATTTAATTTTAGTCATTCCGATAGATGAATATTAATTTTTTTGTGATTTTAAATCACATTTCCTTAATGATTGCAGATACTGAGTAACTTTTCCAATATTAATTCACTGTTTGTAAATTCTCTTTTGTGAGATATTCTTGCCTTTTGAACATTGTGCTCGTGGATTGCTTGAAAATATTTTTTTTCCTTGATTTGCCTTTTCCCTCTCTATTTAATAGTCCCATTTGGTGAACAGAAAGTCTTAATATTACCGTCATACAAGTTTATCCACCTTTTCCTTAATGATACGTGCTTTTTAATTCTGTGAGGGAAATTTTTGCCTACTTAAGGGAGTGAGATAGTTTCTCATGTTACTGCCTGGAAACCATATTGTTTCATCTTTAATGTCTACCCTTACAATTAACTTGCAATTGATTTTGGGGGGTTATGAAGGGATGCCATGGGAGAACATCAAGAGCACAGTTTATCCTCCCAGGAACCTGTTTCAAATGACAAAGTCCCTCAAGAATGAAACACCAATCGATTATGTCCTCTTGCTGATCTTTCCACAGTAATTCTCTTCACATTGTCAGCGTTTTTGAAGTATAAGTATTTTTGAGGTTATGCTTTATGTTTTATATAATCTAATTTTTCCCTAGAAAATTTGATCCAATTATATATCTGCTATTATTAGAAGTAAACTTTCTGTTTTGTTTTTAATACTTTTTTTTTTTTAGATGGAGTCTTGTTCTGTCACCAGGCTGGAGTGCAGTGGCGTGATCTTGGCTCCCTGCAACCTCTGCCTCCCGGGTTCACGCCATTCTCCTGCCTCAGCCTCCCGAGTAGCTGGGACGACAGGCGCCCGCCACCATACCCGGCTAATTGTTGTATTTTTAGTAGAGACAGGGTTTCACCATGTTGGCCAGGATGATCTCGATCTCTTGACCTTGTGATCCGCCCGCCCCGACCTCAAAATGCTAGGATTACAGGTGTGAGCGACCGCGCCCGGCCATTTTTAATACTTTTTAAATAAACTTTGGATTTACTGGGTATGTTTTAATTCTTTGATTGATTGTTTTCTTATCAAAGAAAGTTTTCAGGATTCCTTTTTCCCTTTTTATGATGGTCTTTTCTAGTTTCAAATTTTAATAACTCTCAGCTTGTATTAAGATAGATAGGAAATTTTTAATGTTTTGTTTTTGTTACAATTTTCTTTTAATTTTAGCGAATATTGTCATTGGAATTTCTTTTTTCCTGACTATTTTAAGCCTCAATTTAACAATATCAGGTATCTAGATTCTTGGTTATTTCATTCTTGTAGAGGAAGTGATATGTTACTTATTCGTTAAAATTATGTGAGTTCTCTAAGAAGCGATGAGCATGTCTGTTTAACTTTCTTATCTTAAGGTTAAGGAAAAGCATACATTTATTTTATTCCAAAACTACAATGCCAAAACACGTTGGGAATATGCTGACATAAACTATCTCATAGAAGAAACCTTGACAGAGAGTTGTACCTTGAGACAAAAGCTTCATTCTTATTGTTCTTGGGGCAAGACCTTCTTTCTATTATTTTCAGAAACACCAGCACTGGAAGACAGCAGGGAGAAAAATGTTTGTTTTCCCCCATTAATTATCAATATCGTGTTGTTCAAAAGGGATTGAATGGAGAGACCTCCATCCACTCCATCAATATTTTATCATTTTGTTTATTTTGTACTATGCAGACATAATTGAGAGTACTCACCCCTTCACTCCACTCTTTCAGTGCTACCTTCATTTCTGACTCCTGGAGTTTCGCGCTCAAGAGAATCAATTAGGTTTTGCTGAGTACATATTTATTTTCCTTCTCAGTGTGTTTTTACTTCTTAATCAACAAATTACAGTGAGTTGCCTTTTCCTTTAGCCTGCTTTCACACACTGCTTTGCAGAAACTCCTTGAGATTTTTCATGTGTAAATGTTTTTATTTCCGAGTTTTCGGGGCAAATATTGACATGAATAAAATATGTAAATATATTTTTGTAAAAATCCTGAAGTCTGAACAACAAATACATAGCTTTGTTTCCAACAATTTTATTTCATTTGGTTCAAAGTCTGCTAAACTGCTTTAGAAATTAGACTCTGCTGAGAGTTTATTTTTCATAATCTTCCAAAATAAAAAAGAACTTGGTGATGGGATTTTTTAAAAAGCCACCATTGTATGCTAAACTCACATTGTGCTACAGTGCTACATAGGAAATGTTAACATAATTAAGAATTTTAAATTAGGAAAATTTAAATAGGATTCTACTAAAGGAAAAACATGAAAAAACATACACGTAGATAACGTGTAATACAAGGTTAATATAAATGTCACATAGATTTATACAAATATTTTTCCATACAAAAGGCTGAGTGGGAGAGAGATTGATGATTGCCATTAGCAGTAGCAATGGAAGGAAAAGCTTAAGAAAGGCTTTTGGTAGAAAAAACGGTTTGAGCAATGCTACCGAGATGTGAAAGTGCACAGCACATATGTTGGAAAATACCTAAAGCAAAGGGTATGCAAAAGAGAAAAAAGCACTAGCTGAAAAAGATGACAAACTGATTTTTTAAAGGGGCCAAGCTTGAAAGACATGTAAAAAGAATTGATATTGCATGCCAGAAAGGGGAATTATTGGAGGATTTTGATCGGAGGAGAGTGAGTTCTCAATGTGTGTGTGTATGTGCGTGTCTCTGTGTGTGTAACTCTGGTTACATTGTGGAGGGTAGAAACCTATATACTTTCTAACTTTTTAAGCTTTGTTTTTATTTTTGCTACAAATAGATGCCTTAAAAATCCGGAACTCTCTTAGTCACTGTCCTATACTCAGTCCCCAGCATGATGTCTTTTTCATTGTAACTTTAGTGCAGATGCATTAGTTGTGTTCAAAGAGAAACTTTAGACAAATTTAACTTAAAAGTTTATTTGAGCAATTCATGAGTCAAGCAGCACTCAAATCAGAAGAGGTTCAGAGAGGTCTCCTAGTGGACAGTGAATATTTATAGACAGAGCACTGAAATAATGTACAGAAATAGCTTTATTGGTTGCAGCTAAGTGTTTGTCCTATTTGGACATGGCCTAATCATTTGGAAGCCTGTGATTGGCTGAAGTTCGACTGCTTATGATTGAGTGAGAACTGGCTGTCTGTAATTTAAAAATATGCCCCTAGTTAGGTTCAGTTTGTCTATGTACTAAGTAAGACTGTAGTTTATTATGTAAGAACTCGAAGTATGGAGACAGTCTTAGGCCAATGGCCTCCTGCTTATTTAATTTAACAGGTGAGGTAATGAATAAAATAATTGGATGGATGAAGACAATTAAGAGACAAGACAATTACAATTATACTTATGTCAGAAAAACTTAGGTCTCTGGTCCTTGGGAGTGAATACAATTAAAAACATTGAGAATGAATATGAGAAATAAAATGAATAAATATTTCAGAGGTAAAATTAGCAGAAATGGGTGACCAACTGGTTACTTTTTACCCATTATTTTATATGTTCAGGGCTGACATTTAGTTTTCTAGTCTGGGTAAAATTAAGATAGCTTTATCTCCTTTCTCTTTGTTTCTCCTGATAATATTCTTAATCCTTATCCAATACTAACTTGAATAATGGTGATGCTACTGATATAAAATGAATACAAAAAGAAGTATATTTTCAGTGGAAGAAAATAATATATCTTGGTAGGAATATATTGAATTGAATAACCAGCAACATATCTGGTTGGAGTTTCCCCTCCAGGTGTTGAAAAGAAATAAAGGGCACCTTTAAATTGAGGATCAATCTTCATGGGATAATTAATTGAAGTTGCAGGAATAGAGTATTGAGGAGAGAAAGAGTATTGAGGAAGAGTGGGTACAGATCTCGTTCATTTATTCATGCAGTTATAAACTTTGTAATGGAATATAACTGACACTGAATATCTAACACTGAATAAGTAGCTGGATATTCAAAGGTTATTAATCCCAGTCCTTACCCTCACATGTATTATGATAAACATACTTAATAGAATATAAAATAACCTATTATAGTCATATTTCAAGTGTATTCTTTATCTAATGAAATAGTCTGCTTTGCAAATTCAAGAAATCTTTCTATAGAAATTTGTTGGCAACCTTTTTTTTTAAAGAACAAAGTAGTAAATATTTTTCATTTGTAGACCGTATAGTTTGTCACAACTACTTGACTGTCAGTGTAGCATCAAAGCAGCCAGAAACAATAGTTAAAAAAAAAGAATGATTGTGTTCCAATAAGACACTATTTACAAAAACAAGACAATGAGATGGATTTTGCCAGCAAGTCTTAGTTCGCCAGCCCCTAATGCAGAAATTGATGACTGGGCTGCATCTGGAAGAATGACTAAGAGTTTCCCAAGCATGAAGTGTTAAGTTCAGATATAATACTCTTTTTTTGTCTCCTGTTATAGTAATTTCCATGTAAGAAGAGTTATTATTTATTTACTGATCTACTGTCAATGAAAAGAAAAATGTATTTCCCATAATAGATACTCAATAAATATTTGTTAAATAATTATTTTACCATTCAGGTTGGTCTTTGTACCAGGCAGATAATAGTATTTGCAGAAGATTCCAACTATCTTACTTTTAAAAATTTTACTCAATAATAGGTGTTAAATGTTATCAAATATCTCTTTTATCTCTCCTGAGAAAATAATTTATTTTATCTTATAAAGCTCTAAGGTAAACCACTCTTACCTTCCTCAGATTAATTCCTCTTAAGCATGTGTGGAGGCTTAAAAAAATACAACCACTTTGTCCCTACTATCATCAAAATGCGAAGTCTATGCCCCAATGCTTGAATATGGAAGGCTTGGAATTACTTTGACAAGTAAGTAACAGCAGAACTGGCATTTTAAAACTTCCAAGCGTAGGTCATAAAATGGCATGTAGCTTCTGCCTTTGCAGCAGGGACACTAGTATTTGAATTCCTGAACTATGATATGAGAAGGTCAAGCACACTGAGCTTACTTTGTAAGAGAGGCCATGTGGAGGTCTTCCAATTGACAGTTTCAGCAATGTTCCTGGTGACGGTCAGCATCAATGGCCAACCATATATGTAAGTCATCTTGTATGGCCAATACAGTTGGGATTTCAGGTGACCGCAACCCTAGGTTGCACTTCAGCTCTAACCACAGGGGAGACAAATGGGTATTGCCCAGTTAAGCCCTTCCTGAAATTCTGATCCACAAAACGAGAAAAAAATTAAGCTTATGCTTTAAGCCACTAAGTTTTGTTGTAATAAGTTTTACAGCGATAGTAACTGAGTGATAAATGTATATTATTTTTCAATATCCTGTTGTGTTTGGTTTGAGCTGAACTAAAAAAGTATATATTTATGTTTTAATTTTAACCAATTTTGCTATCAGAGTTATATAGAAACATTTGGATACTTTCTGTATTAAATCTTCTGTAATTCTAATACCTTAAAGTTTTGAAAAGACTTACAATAAAGCCATATGGATATAGATCTTTGCAATAGAGCATAGCGTACATACAATGAAAATATTAATTTATATGCAAGGCAACACACTAAAAACTTTACACAAATTATTTTTTAATTCATGCAACAAAAATCATTATAAGGTAGTGTTATCATGCCAATTTTAAAGATGCTGGAACTATGGCATAACAATTGGCCAAGGACACATAGTGAGTACAAAAACCCAAAAATCATGATTTCAATGAACATGACTCTAGATAGTATACATAAGTGTTCAATTTCTTTGGTGATTATTGGCAATCCAGTCAAGTTAAATTTTGCATATATATTACTCACGTCAGTTTCCCCAAAACATGGTTTATATCAGCTAGTTATAAAATTTGCTTATAGATATAAAATATGCCCAATTACTTTAAGTTCACTTAAAGACATATCTCTATTTTTAATTTATTAGGCTTGACAGATATTTGCATATCACATCATTATTTTATATAATAAACCTCTGTATCATCTTGTGTATATAAAAATTATATGAATTTATATATAGTGAAAGATATTTATCTATAATAAAATAAGTTTTACATATTTGTAATAAAATAACTTGCATATGTTTTACATATATGAGTATAGGTGTGCATGTGTGTGTATAGCTTTCCCACTCTCCCAGAAAGAGGTTTTGAATCTTCTCTCTCCACGAATCTCTAATTCAACTTTTACTACCCTCATGCTCTGCTGAAAAGCTTGATTCATTTGAGGGGAGAAATGAAGAGAGTAATTTACTTTTTTTTTATCATGGTAAGAATGCATAAAATAAATCTAACTTCTTAACAATCTTTTAAGTACACAGTATTGTTAACTACAGGCACAATGTTGTATAGCAGATCTCTAGAACTTATTCATCTTGTATAACAGAAACTTTATGCCTGTTCAACAGCAACTCAACTCCCATTTTCTCCTACCCCCATCCCCTGGCAACACCATTCTAGTCTCTGTTTCTATGAGTTTGACTAATTTAGATTCCTCATATAAGTAGGAATATGTAGTATTTCTCCTACTATGTCTGACATATTTTACTTAGCATAATGTGTTTCGTATTCATCCATATTGTCTCATATGGCAAGATGACCTTATTTTAAAAGCTGAATAACATTTTATTATATAAAACGAATGTGGTGATTCCTCTGTAATGCATGAAGTGAAGGTTTTTAAAGACACATATATAAAAGGTGTTTCTTGGAGTGCTACTGAGCTGCATGTTGATAATAATGTAATTTTAGTGAATTTATGTGGTGACAAATCTCTAATGCTTATAGTAAAGTGCTTAAAGTGCTTAAATATATATATTTCTAAGAGTGCAAAAAAATCCATTATATATATATGCACCACATTTTCTTTATCTATTCAAGCATTGATTGACAGTTGGGTTTTTTTTTTCATACCAGAGCTATTATTGATAATGAAATAATTATTAAAAATGTGAAAATGCATATATACAAAATCTTATATATAATATGATAATTCTAAGAGCATAAAAAATTCATTTTATATATCTGCACCATATTTTCTTTATCCATTCGTCCATTGATAGACAGTTGGGTTGTTTTTTTCATAACAAGGCTATTTATGAATAATGCTGCAAAGAATATGGCAGTGCAGATGTCTTTTCAAGATCCTGATTTTGATTATTTTGGCTATACACCCAGAAGTGGGATTACTTGATCATATGGTAGCTCTATTTTTAATTTTTTTAGAAACTTCCATACTATTTTCAATAGTAGTTGTACTACTTTACATTCCCAGCAACAGTGTAGAAGTTTTTCCATTTTTCTCCATTCTTGTCAACACACAGACACACACATATATTACATATGTGTGTGTATATATCCATATATATAATAGCCATCTTAACAGATGCATGATGGTATCTCATTGTGATTTTGATTTTAATTTTCCTTAAAATTAGAGAGATTGAACATTTTTAAAAAAATAGATGTAGAGATTTTTAAATTTTATTTTATTTTAGATTCGGGGGTATATATGCAGGTTTGTTACATGTGTACTCATTGTTTAGCTTTTGCTTGTAAGTGACAACATGCAACATTTGATTTTGTTTCTGAGTTATTTCTCTTAGGATAATGACCTCCATGCTGCTGAGAAGGGCATGATTTTATTTTTTATAGCTGCATAATATTCCATTATGTATATATGCCTCATTTTCTTTATCTAATCAACCACTGATGGACACTTAAGTTGAGTCTATAACTTTGCAATAGTGCAAAAAGGACTTTGTAACTAATGCTGCAATAAACATATGGGTGCAAGTGTATTTTTCGTAAATAATTTATTTTCCTTTGGGTAGATACCCAGTAGTGGGATTGCTGGGTTGAATGGTAGTTCTATTTTTAGTTCTTTAGGAAATCTCCATACTGTTCTCTATAGGAGTTGAACTAATTTACATTCCCACCAACATTGTATAAGCATTCCTTTTTATTCACATCTTCACCAAGATATATTGAATAACTTCATATACTTGTTGTAAATCTGTCTCTCTTTTTTTGAGAAATGTCTATTCAAGTCCTTTATCAATGTTTTAATTATGATTTTTTTTTGAATTGTAAAACTTCCATATATATTTGGATATTAACCTGTTCTCAGATACATGATTTGCAAACATTTTCTCCCAGTACATCGACTGCCATTTAATTCTGTTGTTTCATTTGCATGCATATTATTTTTAGTATGATGTAGTTCTGCTCGTCTATTTTTGCTTTTTTGGTGATGATTTCAGAGTCAGATCCAAGAAAGCTTTACCTGGACCAATGTAATAAAAGTTTTTCTCCTATATTTTCCTGTAGGAATTTCAGTTGTAGGTCTTAGGTACAAACCTACGATTAATTTTGAGTTGATTTTTGTTCATGTGTAAGATAATGTTCTAATGTCATTCTTTTTTTTTTTTTTTTTTTTTTTTTTGACGGAGTCTCGCGTTGTCTCCCAGGCTGGAGTGCAGTGGCGCGATATGGGCTCACTGGAAGCTCCGCCTCCCTGGTTCACGCCATTCTCCTGCCTCAGCCTCCAGAGTAGCTGGGACTGCAGGCGCCCGCCACCGCGCCCGGCGAAGTTTTTTGTTTTTTTTTTTTTTGTATCTTTAGTAGAGACGGAGTTTCACCGTGGTCTTGATCTCCTGAGCTCTCGACCCGCCTGCCTCGGCCCCCAAAGTGCTGGGATTACAGGCATGAGCCACCGCGCCCGGCCTCTGATGTCATTCTTAAACATGTGGGTATCTAGTTTTCCCAAAACTATTTGTTTTAGAAACAATTATTTCTCCATTGTGTATTCTTGGCACGTATGTTAAAGATCAGTTCATCATATATGGGTGAAAATATATGACATGGGCTCTCTATTCTGTTCCATTGCTTTATATACCTTTTTCAATGCTAATACTATAAAGTTTTATTTATTGTAGCAATGTAATATATATTTTGAAATCATAAAGCCTGATGCCTCTACCTTTTTTTTTTTCTTTCTCAAAATTGATTTGGCTATTCAGGGTCTTTTGTGGTTCCGTATGAATTTTAGGATTTTTTTCTCTTTCTGAAAAAAAAGCCACTGGAATTTTACCAAAACATATGAAATGCAGCAAAAGCAATACTAAGAGAGAAGTTTATAGTGATAATTAACCCCTAAATTATTTTAAAAGCATACATTAAAAAGGAAAGATCTTAAATAAACAACTTAAGGTTAGCTCCAAGGAACAAGAAAAAGAAGAACCAGTTAGACCAAGGTTAGCAGGAGAGAAATAATAAAAATTGCAGCAGAAATTTTTTTAAAAGACAGAATGTAGAAACAATGGAAAAAATAAAACAGTAAGAGATGGTTTTGAAAATATATACAAAATTGACAAATACTTACCCAGAGTAAGAATAACAGAGTAGACTCAAATAAATAATATCAGAAATAAAAGAGGAGACTTGGTGACTAATACCACAGAAATATAAAAATTATGAAATAAAATTAATATTTATATGCCAACAAACTGGATAACCTAGAATAAAATGATAAATTTTTAGAAATACACAACCTAACAATACTGCATCTTGAAGAAACAGAAAATTTTTAAAGTACAATATAGAATAAGAAAATGAATCAGTAATAAAAACTCTCCCATCAAAGAAAACCCCAAAATCAAATGGCTTTTCTGGTGAATTCTACCAAAAAAATTAAATAATTAATACCAATATTTCTCAAACTCTTTAATAATTGAAGATGAGGGAACACTTTCAAATTCATTTTCTGAAGCCAGAATTACTCTGATTCCAAACCAGACTAGGACACTATGAGAAAATAAAATTACAAGACAATATCCCTTATGCATATACATCCAAAAATCCTGAACAAATACTAGCAAACCTAATTCAAAAGCATATTAAAAGGATCATAGAGTAAGATCATCTATGATTTATCCCGGAATTGTAAGGAAGTTTCAACATACACAAATTAGTTAATGTAATATACCACATGAACAGAATGAAGGATAAAAATTATATGATTATCACAATAGATGCAGAAAAAGCATTTGACAAAATTCAACACTGTCTCACAATAAAAATTCTCAACAAAGTAGTTATAAAATAAATTTATCTCTATATAATAAAAGCCATATATGAAAAACACACAGTTGGTATCACATTAATGGTGAATATCTGAAATCATTAAGATTGAAAAGAAGGTAAGGGAGTCCACTCTCATCATTTCTATTCGTCATAGAATTAGGAGTCTAATAGCCAGAGCAATTAATCAAGAAAAATAAATAAAAGACATTCAAATTGGAAAAGAAGAAATTAATTATCTCTCTTTCCAGGAGGATTGATATTATATGTAAGGAACTCTGAATACTCCAATAAAAAACTATTAGATCTAAAAGAAAATTCAGTAAAGTTTCAGGATACAAAATCAACATAAAAATTTAGTTTTATTTCTGTACAGTAACAATGAACTATCCACAGAGAAAATAAAGAAAAAAATAACGTTTATAAAAGCATGAGAAAAATAAAATTTATTTATTTATTTATTTTTGAGATGCAGTCTCGCTCTGTCGCCCAGGCTGGAGTGCAGTGGCAAGATCTCAGCTCACTTTGTAGATGTGATTAAATTGGAGATTTTGAGATGGGGAGATTATCCTATAGCCTCTGGGCAGGCACGATCTATATATTAACACAAGGGTCCTCATAAAGGAATGAGGAGAGTAGGAGAGTCGGAATGAAATGTGGTGATGGAAGCATCCATCAGATTAATGTGACCACAGAAAGGAAACCACAAATCCGTGAAAGAGGCAAGCTTCTTGGTTCTTGGAAGGCAAATCTATTTATTCTCCCTTAGCGACTCCAGAAGGAAGGTAGCTCTGTCAATATCTTGATTTTAGCCTAGTGAGATACATTTTGAACTTCTGACTTCCAGAACCATAGCATAATAAGTGTATAGTCTTTGGGCCACTAAGTTCAAGGTAACTGGGTATAGCATCAATGGGAAACTGAGACTAGGCAAACTTCTCTATTCCTCAAAGGAGATATTTAAACCACCTGCTTTTTCTTCAAACGTTTACCTCCTTTCTTACCCTTAGCACAAAATTTACATCCTACTTCGTAAAAAAATAAAAAATAAAAAATTAACCAGAAAAACCCTTCAACTTGCTGCAGGTAACCCTGTCTTCACACTCAATTTTCATAGGCAAGTCATACACAAGTATTGTAGACATTTCCATTAATGAAAATGAAGAAAAGTAACCTCATTAAACAGATAATATAGAATCAATGCAAGTAAGTGAAAATCTGTTCCTTCTAGCCTTCAGCCAACAGGAGATGTAGGATGTTAGTGCTATACTCACACACACACACACACACACACAAAAGAATTTGGTAAGAAAAGCAAGTTTTAGAGCTAAAATGAGAGCTTTACTTTGGACACGTTGCCCAACTGTCATCTGAATATCATATTTACAACAATAAGATATTGGAGTTGAATAAGTCAAGGTTAAAAGTAATCTAGTCCAAGTATCTCATGTTTTGTTTAATGTAAGAAGCATAACCTATAAAAATTAAATGACTTGGCCTAGGTAGATATACATATAAGTGGCAAAATCAGGACTGGATTTTAAGTCATCTGACAATAATTGCTTTCATTTACATGCTAATGACTCTATATAAAATATTTTTTCTTGAAACACCTCTAAAAATCCCAAAGGCAATGTATTAATTTATTAAACACTTTAATTCCTAGCCTGAAATGATAGTTTAACACTTTGTTCTGTATTGTTAGAACCTGCCATTCAAAAAATTATGAATTTAATTCATTGAAAAATTCCTTATTATTTTCTCTTTACATAAAGAATTCTTGTCATTCCCATTTTAAAAGGCAGATAACTTATCATTATGCACTACATATTGCCAACAATGAGGCTCACAACTTTTGCTCTTTTTCAACAACTATAATTTTCTATAATGATGTTATACATTCTCTATTGTTTGAGTCTTTCAATATCAATAGGCAACTGAATATGCATCTCAGACTACATAACAGGCACATGACCATTGTAATCTTTACTTGCACAATATTTATGTGTGACTCAAATGCCAATAATACTGTAGTCTTCCTAAACTCTATATTTATGTTATAAAGTTTGTGCTTATACTTGTAAATAGCAACCAAACGTACTGAGAGACAACCACATTACAGCTAAAATTGTGTATCTAACTTCATCCTACCTCCTTGCAATAAGCACATACACATAATTATGTGAAAGTAGAATTTAAATCAGTAAAAAAAATACTTCTAGAATAATTTTGGATGAAATATAAAAATAAATAATATAAAAAGTAGATGGACTATAACTCATCTAATTATTTACTCCGAATGCTTCCAACTTCATATATATTATTCTACATCTTCATAATCTATTATGTTTTGACATCCTCATAGTGTCACAGCTACTTACACTATTGTGACATTGATGTCAGAGATACTTTAGTTACTAAAGAACAATTTTTATTTGTATTTGTTCAATGCCTCAAAACTGTCTAATTAAACAATTGACAACTGCCTTTCTTGAACTCTTAGCCATTAATTATAAATTGATAAATAAATTTGATATACTTGAATAGTATATTAGGAATAGTAGGAATGGCAATGCACATGGACTTTTCAGACATCATAAAACAGATTATTTGTATATTTAAATATTATTAATGCTATTGTATCAATACTAATGTTTTTAAAATATTAACTTTTTTGTTATTCATTATATCATGCCTTGTAACATTCATAGTCTCTAAGGCTTAGGTAAATTTGCTATATGTTATCATTTTTATCACTAACTTGGATTCTTCTTTGAAGCCTGGACATTGTGACATGGTCCACATTGACTCAAATCTTAGGCAGAGGCCTCTAACATTTAAAAAATTTACTTGATATGAAATACAAACCTTTGGTAGTTGACTTAAATAAAGATTTTAATTTTACACAAAGTAGAATTTTCCAGAATTTAGGTGCATTGTAACATTTATATAGCATGTGATACCTAGCATATAATCCTATCATGATTATATATAGATGATCTATTAGCATTGTTAAAAATGTACAGGTTTCTCATTAGTATTTTATAATAATTAGTCAGGGCTATTATAATTAGAAAAGGTTTAATTTCCTATGAGATGAGAAATTACATATGCATATTTAACTCTCATCTTTTAGGTTATTTGTCTAATTTGTCATTTAAATATGCTGTTACACCTTCTTTCTAATTTATTATTGTGTAATGTCCATCAACATGAACCAGATGGTGGACTCTCCTCCCATCTTCTTATTTTATATGAGCAACTAATACTAATAATTACTTTCTATTATTTGTGTTGCTCTTGATGTTTGGAGTACTGCTTTAAATAACACAAGTTTCTGTTCACTCTTTTATGATCTGTACAAAGTAACTGATTTATACCAGTAATCCTAAGAAGACACACCTGAAAAATATAATAAAATACTAAACCCATAAACTACCATACTACTAATAATTAGAACCATAAAAATATAAATATTATATTACTGTTTGTAGCTAACTTTATTCATCACAATTAATATTAATCTTTATGTTTCCATTAATCATCACTATATACTTATGTCATTATCAAGGTTGAGCTTATTGTGATAAATCCTTATTATATTGTTGATGTAGTTGCTGTTTGCTTCAGATAAAATGGTCATAGCTTCAACTATGGGTAAACCTTTAGCTAGCTTCTTTGTTGTTTTATGACTATGTTGCAATTAAAGCATAGCACAAACTCTAAAGGCAGACAGACAGAATTTCTATCCTATCCCTGCTAGCTCTGTAATCTTAGACAAGTTATTTACTCTCTCCGTGCTCATCTGTAAAATGAAGGAAATAATGGTTCCAACCTCACAATGTTATGATGAGAATTGAAGAATTTAATCCCTGTGAAGCAACTGAAACAGTTCTTACTAAACACTATAATTAAACTTTTAATAATTAGTATTAAACTTTTAATAATTATTAGCTATCACCACTATAGTTTTGTTGTTGCTATTATTATATTATTTTATTATTAGACATAAAAGAGTATTCTAGTAACACCTTTATTTTCTATTTTAATATGTGGAACCAATACTTCCCCAAGCATTTTGGATTATTTTTAGTGTTAGTTTCTTATTAGATGCACAAATCTAGGAGTAGCAGGGTGTAGGATGGCATAGAGTTTTGGTGGGCAAGAGTGCTGCTGTTGATGTTGAGCCAGTCTTTGTAAAGAAAATGTCTCTTATTTGGAGTTATGAGATTTCATTGACCTTTTCAGTGTAATTTTATGGCAATGTCCTTTAACATTTTAAGCAGGTTTATGGATATACAATTCATACCATATAATTCATTCATTTAAAGTGTACAATTTAATGGGTTTTAGTATGTTCATAGAGTAGTGAAACCACCACCAAAGTCTATTTCAGAACATTTTCATCTTATCACAAAGAAATTCTGTAACCATTAACAGTCACTCTCAAGCTGACCCCTCAAATCTGCCCATCCCGAGACAACAACAAATCTACTTTTTGTTTCTACATATTTTCCTATTTTGGACATTTTATATGATACACTCATATAATACATGACTTATTTCACTTGGCATAATGTTTGCACGGTTTATCCATGTTGTAGCATGTATTATTGCTTTATTCCTATTTATTTCAGCAAAAAAATTTACTCTGTGGATATCCCATATTTTTTACACCCTTTCATCACTAGATAGACATTTGGGTTGTCTACACTTATTGGCTTTTATGAATAGTTCTGCTATGAACATCCAGTATCTTGTTTGTAGTGTCTACATTCAGAGCAGCACTAACTTAATAACAAAAATTTCCAAGCGTAAATTATCTTAATGAGTAACTCAAAAATCAAATGTAGCATTTAGAAGAATAAGAAAATTTACTGAAATAAAACAAATGAGCTATCATGGAAGGACATTACCAAAAGAAGTGACAACTATAATAGAGAATGTCATCAGCAGCTGAACAATTATGCAAACAAAAAAAAAAAAGAAAAAGGAAACAACAACCACTACTAGAGTATTTGGATAAGACAATTTGAGCTAAAGTTATATAGACAATTCACCATAGTTACCACTTCTAAAATCAGGGCAATAATAAGATAATTTTGGAGCTCAAATTAATTATGTATATGCATATAATTTATACTCATTGTTAGTACTTTTAGGAATATTTAATGGTTGCTTTTATATTAAAAAATATAACAGTAACATGTCTAAAACTTACACTTCTTGAAAAGGTATCTTACTACAGGGAGAGTTCTTAAGCTCTGAATAATGGAAATAAATTCCAGTGGTTCATGTCATAACTGGGCATGTAGCAGCAATGCTGATACGGTTTGGCTGTGTCCTCACCCAAAACTCATTGTAATCCTCAGAATCCCAAAGTGTCAAGGAAGAGACCTGGTGGGAGGTGATTAAATCATGGGGGCAGTTTCCTCCATGCTGTTCTTGTGATAGTGAGAGAGATCTAGTGGTTTTATAAGGCAGTTTTCCCTGCTCTTACTCACACTCCCTCCTGCCGCCTTGTGAAGAAGGTGCCTGTTTCCTCTTCTGCTATGATTATTGTTTCCTGAGGCCTCTCTAGCCATGTGGAACTGTAAGTCAATTAAACTACTTTCCTTTATAAATTACCCAGTCTTGGACACTTCTTTATAGCAGTGTGAGAATGAACTAATACAGGAAATTGGCACCATGGAGAGTGGGGTACTACTATAGAGATACCCAAAAACGTAGAAGCGGTATTAGAAGTCGGTAACAGGCAGCAGTTGGAACTGTTTGGGGGAGCTCAAAAGAAGACAAGATTTGGGAAGGTTTGGAACTTTTTAGAGACTTCTTGAATGATTTTGACCAAAATGCTGATCATATTATAGATAATGAAGCCCAAGCTGAGGTGGTATCAGATGGTGATGAGGAACTTCTGGGAAACTGGAGCAAAGGCCATTCTTGCTATGCTTTAGTAAAGGGACTAGCAGCATTTTGCCCCTGGCCTAGAGATCTGTGGAAGTTTGACCTTGAGAAAGATGATATGAAATTGGAACTTATGTTTAAAAGGGAAGTAGAGCATAAAAGTTTGAAAAATTTGCAGACTTGATGAGGTGATAGAAAAGAAAAAAAAACATTTTCTGGGAAGAAATTCAAGCAAGATGCAGAAATTTGTGTAAGTGACAAGAAGCCAAATGTTAATCATGAAGACAATGGGGAAAATATCTCCATGGCATGCCACAGATATTGGGGTTAGACCCTCTCATCACAGGCCCAGAGGCTTAGGAGGGAAAATGGTTTTATGGGGCAGTCCCAGGGCCCCCCTGCTCTGTGCAGCCTCAGGACTTGGTGCCTTGTGTCCCAGCTGCTTCAGCTCCAGCCATGGCTAAAAGGAGTCAAGGTACAGCTCAAGCTATTCCTTCAGAGGGTGCAAACCCCAAGCCTTGGCAGCTTTCACATGGCATTAGGCCTGTTAGTACACAAGAAACAACTGAAGTTTGGGAACCTCTGCATAGATTTCAGAGGATGTACAAAAATGCCTGCATGTCCAGGAAGAAGTTTGTTGCAGGAGTGGAGACCTCATGGAGAACCTCCTCTAGGAAACGTGGGTTTGGAGGCCCCACACAGAGTCCCCACTGGGGCACTGCCTAGTGGAGCTGTGAGGAGAGGGCTACTGTCCTCCAAACCCCAGAATGGTAGATGCACTGACAGCTTGAACTGTGCACCTGGAAAAGCCACATACACTCAACACCAGCCAGTGAAGGTAGCGAGGACGGGGGCTGTACCCTGCAAAGCCACAGGCACAGAGCTGCTCAAGAACACGGAGCCCACCCTTTGCATCAACGTGACCTGGATATGAGACATGGAGTCAAAGAAGATAATTTTGGAGCTTTAAGATTTATTGACTGCCCTGATGGATTTCAGACTTGCACAGAGCTGTTATTCCTTTGTTTTGATCAATTTCTCCCATTTGGAATGGTAGCATTTATCCAATTCCTGTACCTCCATTGTATCTTGGAAGTAACTAACTTGCTTTTGATTTTATAGGCTCCTAGGCAGAAGGGACTTACCTTGTTTCAGATGGTACTTTGGACTTGGACTTTTGGGTTAATATTGGAATGCATTAAGACTTTGGGGGACTGTTGGAAAAGCATGATTGTATTTTGAAATGTGAGAATATGAGATTTGGGAGGGACCAGGTGCAGAATGATATGGGTTGGCTGTGTCCCCACCCAAATCTCATCTTGAATTGTAATCTGCATAATTCCCACATGTCTAGGAAGAGACCTGGTGGAAGGTGATTGGATCATGGGACGGTTCTCCTATGCTGTTCTTCTGATAGTAAGTGAATATAAAACCACAAGTTCTGGTGGTTTTATAAGGCAGTTTTTCCTGCTCTTGCTCACACTCTCTCCTGCCACGTTGTGAAGGTGCCTGCTTCCCCTTCTGCCACAATCGTAAGTTTCCTTAGGCCTCCCTAGCAATGCAGAACTATGAGTCAATTAAACCTCTTTCCTTTATAAGTTACCCAGTCTCAGGCAGTTCTTTATAGCAGTGTGAGAATGGACTAATATAAATGGCAAGGTGAATAAAATGATGGTTATTTTATATTTACAACTTCCATAGGAAGTAACTATCTACTTAGCGTTTACCATCAAGTTTGAAGAGAATGCTTTGTTAGCTAAATGTCAAAGTGTCTCCTGAAAATATTTTAGTAATATTTTTAAAATAGTATCAAAGTATAGTAAGTTATGCAACACTATAATCTCACACTGTTTTTTGTTAGTCTAAAGGCAGTTTATTCTCTTTAATACATATTTGAAGAAAAATTATGTCAATACATGATTATAACTAAAGCAGAGAAATATAGATGCTATTCACATATTTTGTATTTCCATTCAATTTTTAACATATATTTATTATCATTTTTTAGGTTGATAACCTTTCTGTTGAAATAATTCTCCTTCCTACTTACTGTAGGAACATTCTGTATTATTACATACTTATTTCACCTGGAGTTGAAATATGGATAGTGATCACATATTCCTAAACAATTTACGAAATGAATTTTATACTTTACATTAAAGCATCATTTGTAACATTGTGTTTAGAATAATAATATTAAATATAGAATAACTTGGTCAACATTTTCGTGGTTTTAAGACATTGGTTCTTTTTAAACTTTTCTACCTTTCTTAGGCATACTTATTCATACACCATATTTTAATTTGAAAATGCCAAATAAACATGGCTTATTATTATAGTGGAGAAAAGTGACTTTTAAACAGAGCTTCAAGCAGAAGACAAGAAGTTCATTCACATTTTAAAATATTGTTGTTAACTTCTTTAACTGGTATGTTACCAAAAATTTGTAATTGTATTTTATGCTTATACAACTATAAAGAATACCTCATTTTCCAAGTGAAGTTAGATTAGTATAGTATAGCCAGGGTTTTAATTCTGATTTGTCAAAGATATGAAACACATTTTTTAATAATAAAAATATCAACTTTGAACACATGCCTTACTAATATTCATGTTTCATATCACATTTTGTCAACCAATGTGATTTTAATACCATTATTCTGCAATTTGACATTATTAAGGAGTTATCATTTGAGAATTTTTGTCATCTAGTTGATATTGTTTTAGTTTTAGTCAATAGCACCAGAAGCCTCTTTTTAGAGTGGCAATATATTACTCTACAGTGGACATCTATAGTAGAATGAAGAATGGCTGAGATCACTCATAAAACAGCCTTATGTTGTTCATGAGGGAATGAGTTGAAATGGTAGTGTAAGCCTTGAGGGCAATGTTGTAGATATCAATTTTAAAGTATGTTCTGCTTCTAATAAATAGTAACTGCATCATAGATTGGTCTTTTCACTCATAATTTTTGAACTCTTGTCCTGTTAGTCATTATGTAATTTATTGATCTAAGAAAGGTATTCATGAAAGAACATTAATTCTTTAAAAATTACTAGCATACCCACCCTTCCTACACAAATGCAGAGTAAGTCAACCAAAGACCACAGCATTATCCAGTTTAATCTCTCATTTCATCCTTCCATCTTGCCTATATTCATCTAAGTAGGATCTTTAGTTACCATCAGAAAATATCACCATAAGAAATTAAGAAGCACTTATTTCCTACACTATATGTCAAATATAGATGTCAGGATTGATAAATAGATTTATAAGCCATTTCATTTCAGGAATGCCTTACCATACTGATTAATAACTATCTCCCAGTTATATAAGGCCAGAAAGCCAAACTTAAACTCTATGCTAGTGACTGAAAATAATTATTGTTTACTGAAGGATGGGAATGAAAGATTAAAATAAGAAGAAGATACGAACAACAACTAAAGTCTGATTTAGTGTAAGATTTTCTGACTTTAATTAAAATGAAGCAAATATGATTATTAGAAAATGTATTATATGAATTAAAAAATACTTGAGAATAAGTTGCCTCATATCCTATAATAAAAATCCTAAGCATACTACTATATAAGGTGAGTATATTATGTTGCAGCTATATATAAAATTTTCAACTTGTCCTTACTAATTAACTGATAGCGGGACTTACCAGTGTGAGAAAGTTGCAACAATCTCCTTGTCTTTGTGTTTCAGCTAGTGCTTGTCACACATTTCAACATTTAGCCTAGATTGCCTATCTAATTTTTGCTTTGGGATTCTAAGAAATTTGATTTTCAGCTTTAATCTTTTAAATATATCAATTTGCTATGGCATTTTAGTTTTTTTAAAAAAATTTAAATGGGTGAGGTAGCAATTTTGTTTTTAAATTTAATCAAAATTTATTAAATGCAACAGAAATTACATCATTTATATTTTTTATAGAGTATAAGTGGTTTTATAGAGTATAAGTGGTTTTAACCACTTATACTCATGACAAAAATTTTAGATGCAAGGTTAAAAATATGTAAGGGGATATATATATATGTATATATATATATATGTTGGTTTTTGAACAGATAGATAGATAGATAGAGATATATATGGAGAATATTAAAGCAAAGAATTTTGAAAGGAATGGATTAAAAGTCGTTACACATTTTTAAACTTCTTAGCCAGGAGTTCTTAATTGGAAATGAAGGTGGGAGTGTACCTTAGGAATTTATGTGCAATATGTTAGTTTAGGTGAATTTTTTCAAATTATTCTTTTATGAGTAATTATTGTGAGGTTTTTGAGCCAATGAGTGAGCCAAAGTAGTGTGAAATCAGATCACTATATATCTCTACAGCACTGAGCTCAACCAAATTTCACTGTCTTTCCAAAGTAACAATATTATAAAAATAAAATTTAACAATCTAAATTTGTGGGAATTTGTCTCTATAAAAAATATAAAATAATCATATAAGAAATATTTTTGGTTTTTTAAAAAGGTGGGAAAAACAGTCACTTCCCTTCACGTCATTTGATGTCTCACTAAAGTGTAATCCATGAGTCGTGGTTTAAAAAACTATTTCTAGGCTGAGCAAGGTGGCTCACGCCTATAACCCCAGGACTTTGGGAGGCCAAGGCGATCGGATCACTTGAGGTCAGGAGTTTGAGACCAGCCTGGCCAACATGGTGAAACCCTGTCTCTACTAAAAATACAAAAACATGAGACAGGCATGGTGCTGTGCACCTGTAATCCCAGCTATTCAGGAGGCTGAGGCATGAAAAATGCTTAAACCATAGAGGTGGAGGTTGTAGTGAGTCGAGATCATGCCACTGCACTCCAGCCTGGGTAACAGAGCAAGATTCCATTTCAAAAAGAAAAAAAAAAAAAAAAAAAAAAAAAACAGAATAAAAACAAAAAAAAAATTCTAAAAAAAAAGAAGTTATTTATTTTCAACCATTTAGGATCAATTAAGTTTAGTAGCCTTAGCTTTTTATTTTTCCTAGAGTTGTTTTTCCATAAATTCTTTTTTTGTTTGCTTGTTTTTCCATAAATTCTTATACTTCATATCTGTTTTAAGTTTCTAGCATATTATTATTTTTTCTTTTATTATTATCCTTTAAACATTGGTTTAGAAAAGAGAATGGCAACAATTAATTAATTTGATAGGGTATTAACAGGGCATTAATTAAAATGAAGAATCCACAGCTGAGCTCTCAAGTACTTTTTTAGGAAGGCTTCATATATGTTAAAATGCAGTATATTTCTACACTTGTGCTACCTACACATGCCTTATTATTGGCTCAAAAATGGGGTGTGTACATGTGGCTTTTGTTTGTATAATATGATTTGTTTGTGTAATTTTTTTTGCTAAAAGTAATTATGTGGAATACGAACAGGAAGGAAAACCCATTATGTACACTCCATTTTTTCTTACAGTAGTTTTCAAAGATAAATTTGTCATTGAATCTGCTTTGGATTTGGGCTTCTGTATAATATTTTATTTGAAAAAAGATTCCTGTGACAAAAACTTAATTTTTTCATGTTTAATTTATATGGGTACATAGTAGGTGTATATATTTGATATAAGAGGTTTGATAGAGGCTTAAGGTGTGCAATAATCACATCAGGGTAATTGAGGAATCCATCACCTTAAGCCTTTATCATTTGTTTGTGTTGAGAACACACCAATTCCACTCTTTTAATCATTTAAAAATATGCAATATGTTATTTTTGACTGCATTCACCCTGTTGCACAAATACTAGGCCTTATTTATTCTATTTTTGCACCCATTAACCATTCCCAGTTTTTTTCCCTACTCTCTACTACTCCTTCCAACCTCTGATCACCACTGTTCTACTGTCTTTCTCCATGCATTCAATTGTTTTTAATTTTTAGCTCCCACATATGAGAACATGTGAACTTTCTCTTTGCATGCTCTTATTTCACTTAACATAATCATTTCTAGTTCCATCACTGTTGTTGCAGATAACAGGATCTCATTCTTTATGGCTCAGTCTAATGGAATCATGTTCCATTTTGTATATATATTACATTTTATTTATCCACTCACTTGTTGATAGACACTTAGGTTGATTCCAAACATTGGCTATTGTGAACAGTGATGCAATATACACAGGAGTGCAGATACCTCTCTAATATACTCCTTTCCTTTCTATTGGATATATACATGGCAGTGGGACTGCTGAATCATATGGTAGTTCTATTTTTTAATTTTTATTCTGTTCTCCATAGTGCTTTACTAATTTACACTTCCACCAACAATGTATGAGGATTCCACTTTCTCCATATCCTTGCAGCCTTTGTTATTGCCTGTCTTTTGGATAAAAGCCATTTTAACTGAAGTGAGATAATATCTCTATCTCATTGTGGTTTTGATTTGCATTTCTCTGATGATTAATGATAATGAGCATTAGTTCGTATATCTGTTGGCCATGTGTACGCTTGTGACGAAAATTTTGAAACATATCTGATTTACTACCTTTGGCATAAAATGTTGATTGTACCACTTAGTATGTTACTAATATATATCACAGGACTGACTTCTCTAAATGTTTGTTTCCTTACCTTGAAGGTAGGTATAGTAATGCCTGCCCCACTTCCTCTAGGGTTTGATGGAAAGAAAAAGCTGGTGAATTTAAGAGGATTATGTAAAACAGTAGTGAAAATAACAAATGAAAATGGAATATCGAGACTCATTACAACTGCTAATAATACTAAATATATACTTTTCAAACATTAAGGGATACTTTTGTATTTCAAGGTTCTGAGATTTTTGAGCATTGCCTGTTCATCATATTTAATATTTTTATGTTGCAATTTTTTTGAGTTCAAACTTCACCGCTAATTTCTCTGAACAGAATAGTCTGTCTTTACGCAGAAATACCCTCGTGTCCTTGTAAAAATATTCGTTTTCTGTACCATAAGACGACCTTTTAGCTATCATTTCTTAAGATATTGAGACTAAATTTTAAATTTTATTCTGATGGTAGCTGCAAAAAGCTAAAAAATATATATATATTTTTAGTTTTGTTTACTAAAATATTCTTAGAAATCATTGGTCATCCAAATAAAAATAGACGTGCATGCATATGTGGTCATGTGTATTCCTTTGAATCAGAATAAGAAAAAAAAGCTCATTATTAAGTATACAATAATTAAAATTCAGAAATTTTTTTAAAGCTTCTTTTTGTGAAGTTATATGCTGCCACAGGATAGACATCAGGTCTTTCTCTATTAAAAACTTCATAGTTCTGTTAATTATCTTAGTACAGTATCAGTAATATTTATACTTAAATTCACTGAGGAAAGGTAATGTTTGTAAAGGGAGACTATTTCCGAATATTTGTGTAAATTTCTGTAATTTTGCCTACTAATAGACAAGCTGTGGAAAAACTAATGGTTTATTTCTGCCACTAAGAGACAATTTTTTTTAAATGTATTATTTGGCAGGAATATGTGTTAGTCCCAAAGAGCAGAAGAGGGTATGTATTAGAAATGAATTTATTTACAATCCACAGAAAACGTTTCTACTATGTGATTTTGTCTATTGAAATGTTCCATAAGAAGTGCATGTTTGGGTAATATGTATGACTAAGAGTTAATCATATATTCTAAAGCAAAATATAAACCAATGAAAATAATACAAAATACATTATAAAATAAAGGCTTAGTGACAATATGATTTATTTAAATGGCACCTTGGAACCTGATATTCTCTTAAACATAGAAAGCAGTGTCTGCCTCATAATAGATTTATTTAGATGAGTTAGTGGGTGCAGCGCACCAGCATGGCACGTTTATACACATGTAACTAACCTGCACATTGTGCACATGTACCCTAAAACTTAAAGTATAATAATAATAATTAAAAACATTAAAAAAAGAAATTATATTGTTGTAACCACTAAAATGTTGTTCATGAAATTACAGAGAAATTTAATTTCAAATTCAGATTTTCATGATTTTGTCCAGTAGACCTATGTAATCTTAAAGACACAAAAACAAGTTAAGACCACTACAGCTATTTAAAAACAACGAATACAACCACAGTCTATTAAGCAAAATGGTCATGTCAATTCTTTCTAGAGTTTTCCATCCTCATACCATGACTCAATAGATCTCTTAGGTCTAATTCAAAAAGAGAAAATTCAAACAAGCTAAAGTTTCTTGATTCTTGAATTACTTTCTGGATTTGTTTTCAGAATAAAGTACTCACAAAGCATTATATTCAAATGTTTTCAGTGATGTTAACTGGTAATTATTACTTGCTGGATAAATAGCTGAACAAAATGTTAGTATTTTTAATCTTAAGTGGACAACTCGAGGAAGAAGAGACCCAGAATTTTTCAAGCCCGGTATGGTGGCTAACACCTGTAATCCCAACACCGTGGGAGGCTGAGGCAGGTGGATCACCTGAGGTCAGGCATTCGAGACCAGCCTGGCCAACATGGCAAAACCCCCTTTCTACTCAAAATACAAAAATTAGTTGGGTGTGGTGGCACATGCCTGTAATCCCAGCTACCTGGGAGGCTGAGACAGGAGAATCGCTTGAACCTGGGAGGTGGAGGTTGCAGTGAGCCGAGATCATGCCACTGAACTCCAGCCTGTGCAACAGAGTGAAACTCTGTCCCTCCACCAAAAAAATAATAATTCTTCAGTGTTTCTTGAGTTAGAAAGAACAGCTATAGTGTTGTACTTTCTTTCTATAAAATAACAATATATGCCCTCATTTGGAAAAATATAATTTAAGATAAATAAAAGTACTAAAAGTATTTTTGTAACAGATAGCACAAATTTATTATAATTTTCGAGATGAAAATAAATTGAATAAGGCAAGGAAAACACAAACTCGTCTGCTTTATGTTCCCCACATAAAGAAGACTCAATATACAATGATTAATACCAGAAGACTCAATATGCAATAATTAAAATTAGTAAATCATCAGGATGATTAATTGCATTAATCATGAACTAGCTTTAAATAGTTAGCCCAATAAATAAATCTTCCCTAACTCCCAAGTGAATTACACAGCAATTTCAAGAGTTTATCTTATACATTAATGGAGATTCACCTACACTAAGACCTGAGACTTACAGGTCCAATGGGAAAAGATATATTTATAGCAACAAAATAAACTTATCCAAAGATATTACATAAAGTAACATAAACAAAATGCATACATATTTAAGATTTTATTTTGTACCATAGTCAATAGTCATTGAAAAAAGTATTTAAAATATTGCTTTTATGCTAAAATTATATTTCTAGTGGTTCCTGATATTGCCATAGGCTTACAAATAGCAAAACAGATAGTAGCTCATTTATATACAACCTATTATGTACCTTTTCCCTAAATTTCTATCAAACACAACATAGAACACCATGGAATGGAGGAAAATGTTCCTAGTTTTCCTGCAGGATAGTCCACTTTGGTCAAACATGTATCTTCCCTAAATGATGTCTACTCAGAGCCTCATTTGTCTTCTCTAGTCATCTGTAATATATTATTAGAAGTCATTTGGGTAGATTTAAATCTGTACATAAAAGAGTAAGCAGTAGGAAAACAAATGAAAGGTCAATAAAACAATACCACAAATATGACTTTCATTCATTCATTCCAAAGATATTTATTTATAATTTTCCTTGGAGAAAAACAGCCAGATGAATAGCACAAAGGCCATAGTTGCAGCTTAGAACACAGTCTCAGGAGTGACAGTCATTAATCATATGAGGAAAATTGGCATATGATGCTAAGTGTGGTAAAGATATATTTTTAAAAGCCACAGTTGCTCACGCCTGTAATCCCAGCACATTGGGAGGCCGAGGTGGGTGGATCATCTGAGGTCAGGAATTCAAGAACAGCCTGACTAACATGATGAAACCCCATCTCTACTAAAAATACAAAAAAAAAAAAAAAAAAATAGCCAAGCGTGGTGGTGCATGCTTGGAGTCCCAGCTATGCCAGATGGATGCTGACGCAGGAGAATCGCTTGAACCCAGGAGGCGGAGGTTGCAGTGAGCCAAGATTTTGCCACTGTACTCCAGCCTGGAAAAAAAAAAAAAAAAGCCACAATCCACTGTCCCGCAGTCGAGTCTTTGACTTGAGTTTGAATAGGAGTTGGAAAGAGGTCAGAGGGAACAGCACGTTCAAAATCCTGAGATATCAAGTAGCATAGAATGACTGAAGCACTGGAAACACTTGTTTGTCTAGAAAAAATAAATATAGATAAAGAGGAGTCTGCAGAGTTAGGCAGTGGGTGTGTCATGTAAGGTTTTGTGGGACTTTGGCCTTTGTTTTAAAAACCATGGAATGCTAATGACAGGAATTAAGCACACTGGGAGGTCGAAGATGACATGGTCAGATTTACACTTTGCAAATAACAGTTTAGATGTGGGTGCAGGGACATTAGTTCATAGTTATTATTAGTTTTCTAGATGAGAGATGATATTAGTTTGGAAGATGTTGTTAACTGAAAAAATAGTGCTGAACAGTAGATGGAATGTAGAGAAATTAAAGACTTAAAGAACTAAATCTTAAAATAATTTTTTGTAAGTTAAATATAAAACATTGTTTAGCAAGATATATCAAGAAGGACTTGATTTCTACCACAAGCAAATAAACTGGGTCACCTAAAGAGAAGACATGAAGGAAGACACAGTCAGGCAAGGAAAAATAATAAATCTGTCTTTCATTTTCGTATTAAAAAAGAGATGCCTGTAGTCATCCAATACAAATTCAAATAGTCAACTAAATATGTAGACTGTGAGGTAATAAAGTGTTGACTCTTGCTTATTTCTCTTTTGTGAACTGTAAAGAGAAGTATTGACTTGCTGGTCCCCTCAAAAATCTATAAGCTACATTCCAATAGTGTGAGGCAGGTTCTTCTAATCACAGAGTGAGGAATCAGCCATTTTGATTTGTTAAGAGACAGCAACTTCCTGAGATGTTTATTTATTTTTGAGCACATAACGTGGTGGTTGGCATTTACTCTTGGTTTTCATAATTCATGTTGATTTTAAAAGTAGTAAGGAATCTGATTAAAAAACCTACATGTTGTTTTTCAAGCTTGACCATAGGGAATTACAAAGGCTTTACCTGGCAGTCCTCATGGGGAAAAGCTGCCCTCTTCACATCAGACTTGGTGCACAGCACTGAGTGTACCCCAGGCTTTGAAGGGAGCTGCAGTCAAGGACTGGGGCCCTTCTGGCTAGTCATGAGCTTGTGCATGTTTGCATTCATATTTGCATTCCTGGCCCAGAGTCCTTCATTCTGCTGGCAGAAGTCTTCAGGCACCTCTGCCAAGGCCTGCTTATGGAGATAGGAGGGGGAAAACATGAGGACACTTTTCCCCACTGTGACTCAGTACCCAGTACCTCTGCTATCCCAGCCCTAACCCCAGTCTTTCATCCCACTCCAGGGTCCATAAAACTGATGGAGCCTTTTGTTTGGGTTTCCCTGAATATTAAGATGACCCATGTATCTATACTGATCCATGTGACCCTCAACTAGAGTCGAGTTCCCTGGGGGGAAATAAAACAGGGAGGGATCAGCACTTTCTCCAGTTTTATCCTTTTGCTTACACCTTCATAGTAACGTATCAAAGGCTTCACTGTTACTTTTATTTTGGTTCCTTATAGCTTTAGTAGACTACTCTGATATCTGGCAACTCGGCCCTTTCTCTAGTTCAGCTGAGTTGCTCGCAAATAACTTACCTATACTTTTTACCATAGTTTATGTTTTATAATCAGATTAAGTTAAATATGAATTTGTAACTCCATAGTACATGGAATCATAAATGAGAAGGAAGACAGTCCAATATACAATCTATACTGAATTTTTAAAGCAACTGTTTTGTTTTGGAAGACAGCTGCATTTGGGGGCAATATATGTTATTCTACATGAAAATTAAGATCCTATATGTACATTAAAATTGACACTTAAGGAAAAGTATTTATGAATTATTTTCTTGTAAAATTTCTTTGGGCACCAAGTTTACTGTGCATTCTAGATTGAGCTTTATTCATTTTCAGGTAGTTGGTTGTTTATTCAGTGAAATTTTATTTTACTTGTATGACTTAACTCTGTTAAAGACATTTATTCTGAAAATTAGAGAATCACAGGAAAGCCTGTTGTTTAAAATGGATGATTGATCCTGGCTCATCATTTTCCTTGTCAACATTTGGCTTTTCCTCTCTGGCTTCTTGGAAAATCTAATTTGTGTGCTGCATGGGATTGGTTCTATTACAATATTTTTACTGAGTTTCTCTTTTTCAGTTATCATTTGTCTTGTAGTTGTTATGATTGCAGTTTTCACTGATTTTTTTCCTCTTCTTTGTGTTCTGTTATGTATTTCCCCAAGGCAGTGAGTCATTCTGGGAGTGTTAGGTAATTTGTTTTGTTCAGCAGATTTCTTGCCATGCATGTACTGTGCATTTAGCTTCCTTCAACTCTCCTTCCAAATGTTGCTTTCTTCTAGTAATCACTTTCACCTTTTTCAGTTCATTGCATGATGTAGGAGGCTGAGATTTTTGCTGTGTTTTATTATTGTTATGTTCCAAGTGTATAGGAGAGTCCTTAACACATACTATGTGTTCATTAAATACATTTTGAGGTAATGAATTAAAGTAGGACTCGTCTTCCAATTTTCAATGTTGTCTTGTTAGGGGTGGCTTGTCAAGATTCTTACAATTACTTTAGTCCAAACTTTTAAATGTTTCCATTTGTGCTACTGCCCATTGTAGTTTTCTAAATGCACTAAAGCTTTTTGTGCTTTTGTTTTTAAATCATATGGAAGAAATTTCAATTATGATTTTAATTTTGAATTAACGAGTTGAAATTAAAAACGTAGTAGAATCAAATAGCTTTTTACATAATATCATGAAATATACAGAATAATTTCTAACATGGTTCATTGCTCCATAATTTTGTTCCTTCTCTAAAGCCTGATTATTTCAATAGAATTGAAAATCTCACACAAAATACCACTGAAATAGCAAAAACACCCATTCATTTACAAAGGATCAACCAAACAAAATAAATTTTCCTTTAAAAGTTGGCTAAAACGTGTAAATGTATGAATTCATATATGGATATAAACAAAATATACCTTTTAAATATATTCTATAGTTTAGATAAATATGATGTATTTATATGCGTATCCTAAAAAAGAAAGAGTTGCCTCTTTTATTAATATTTGTTGCTATAAACCAGGAGAAACATTGTTCTTTTCACCTTTGATTTTTTTAAGTTGAAATGGCAGAACCAGATACACTCTCTATTTGAACTGCTATGTGTCAGTCTGGCCAGGACTTAATCCTCTGTGCTCTATAGTTGGAACCAATTAATGGATAGCCATAAAGGTGTTTGTTGGGTAAATTGCCCTTAACGATTGATAATGCTTTCACAGGTTAAACACAAGAGACCTCAACTACAAAGATTTGTTATAAAAATAGGGTAACCAGATTCCACGAAACATGTGATTATTTTAAAACCAATAGAAATGATCAAAATGTTAATTCACAGGACTGATATTGGGTAGAGAGACACAGATGAAGAAAAATAAATAAATAAATAAATAAATAAACTATATGGTATGCTGGATAATGAGAAATACTCTGGAGAGAAATTTAAGGAATAGTTTGAGTTCCTGAGTTTGAAAGTGTATGTTTGGAGGAAAAGTTGATTCTTAAAAGGGTGGTCGTTGAAAATTTCGATGTAAGGGTCCTTTCTGAGCAAAAAATTAAAGAAAGTGAATGAATTACTCATGTATACTTCTGGAAATATAATGTTATAAGCAGGGCTGGCTACATAATTTGTTGAGTGAGTGAAAAATGAAAGTGGGGGGGCTCTTGTTCAAAAGTAGGAAAGTAACTTCTTCCTTTCTCCCATATCTGTCACAACTTGTCATGAATTTTTAAAATTTACTATTTAATTACAGAATTCTATGGGCATGGGATGCTTATTGGGCAAGTATAGACCTTCAGGGGTCACTGGGGCCCAGCTTCATGACTTTGTGCACTCACTCTCCCCGTTTCTGCATCCAAGTCCCCACTGGAAGCAAAGAATTACAGTGACACTGAGTGTGGGCAGAAAAGTGTATCGTTGAGAATTTACTTGCACGAAAAAGGGAGAAGGTAGGATCTCATGTAAACCAAGACCCCCAGCCCATAACATTGCTCCATTTTCCTACTGGACTTTTTATAAAACACAAATTCAAAGACAAAATTACTGACAATTTCAATAGAGGGACTATAAAGCATTAAACTAAAAGTCGGTAGTCCTCTTTTAAATGTGGGTTTGTGTGGGATTGCCCTGGATACCAACCCATTAATCTATCCTTGGTTACAGAAAGAGAAAATATCAAGTACAAAAGCCAGGAACTGGGACTGTGCTAGAGTTTTTAGACCCACACACAACAGAGTGAGCAAAATAGAGTAATAAGAAGAAACAAGTTAGAAGTCTAAGACAGATTCAGATTGTTTAAGGCTTTATTGGAAAGTTTTCGAATTTTATTTTCAGTGAAACAGACAGTGAGAAGTGATGACATTTTGAACCAGAGTTGTAGTGGTGAGAAATGATTTGCTTCTAGATATATTTTGAAAGTAGATATCACAGGTTTTCCTAACAAATTGCATGTGGCATATAAAAGAAAGAGGGGAGCCACGGATAATTCCAAGGTTTTTGTCTTCAGGGATATTAAAGTTAACATTCACAGAGTTTAAGAAGATCATAGTAGACAGGTCATAGGGAATGTGAATCAGGTATTTGGTTTTAGACAGGTAAACATTTGAAACTTTTTAGTAATGGAAGTAGAGATAAATATTTGCTGAACTGATAATTCATCAACTATTGAACTTGAGTCTGGAGATGAAGAGAAATGTCTGCATTGGAAATATGAAGTTGGGAGCCATCAACATTGTGCATAGATGATATTTAAAGCTATGCTTGAATGACTTTATCAGGCAAATAAGTGAATTTAGAGGAGAGATACAGGGATTGAACCCTGGGATACCACAATAATATATAGGAACCTGAGAAGGCACAAGGAAGGATACTAAAAGGGCAAGTGAGATAAGCGGAATAAAACACAATATGGAAGCCAGCTGAAGAAAGTATTTCTAGAATAAAAGAGTAGTCAGCTGTGTCAAATACTACTGATAAATACTTCAAGGACTTACACTTGACCATCAGACATAGCAACATTGATGATATTAATAAACTTAGCAAGAGCATTTTCTGTGGGACAGTTAGGGGAAAGCACTAACGAGAGGCCCAGGAAAAAAAGAAAAAGAAAAATGGGAGAGAGTTGAGTTTAGACTACTTTATATAGAGAAGTTTTGTTGTGAGCAGAAACAGAATTGGGGAGTAGCTAGCAGAGAATGCTGGTCATATCACATGTTCCCATTTAGCAAATCTTAATGTTGACTCATAACACCTATGGGCAGAGGACATGCCTTACACTTCTTACATATCACTTGGCACTGATTACAAATAGCAACTTAAGTGAGATGTACAGTATTGGGCCTATAGAGATGAAGATTGGCAAGTGAAGTTTCAGGTGCCCAACTGTTTAATTTTACTGTGATAATTTTTATTGTATTTTATTCACTTATTAAAACTGTTTTCCAAATGGAGTTGGGTTTACGAGTATAATTTCATGTGTCACAGAAATTATATTTGTATATAGCAATGCGTAAACACCAATGATACTAGCTGTGCTTTTATTAGCCTTTTGTAATGTGGTATATTATAGAGATAATACATAAAATTATGTGGGTAACATCATTCAGGTGTGTAAATTAACAAGGGGTAAGTGATGCTTTTACAAGCCAGCCACCCTCCTCCTCCAGGAAAACATCAACAATTAAGACAAAAAAAAAATGGCCAGAAATTTGTAGAAATCAAGGATTTCCAGCAGTAGTCCTGTGGTTCAAAGTCTCTAGTTTTAGGACACAAAGAATACTGCAAAGAAAATTCCACCTAGGTGCTCAGTTAATCTGTGCCAAAATGGCAGGATATCTGATATGGTGAGCATAGAGGACGTGTTTTAGAGCAGTACAATTGGACCACAATGACTGCAAGAACCAATGCTTTTCATATTGTTTCAGTGTGGTTTTGGAGACTGAGTGAGAAACAATATTTTGCCATTGACATCGAAACCTATAATTTAACAGACCAGAAAAAGGTCTGAGCTGATATGCAAACCGTGGAAAATTAATAGTTCATTTTAATCAGTTTGTGAAGTTTCCTCAAGCTACATTGAAGATGACGTTTGAATGGTTCCATTTTACTAATGTTGAATGTTAGAATACATTTATATTAACAACAAATAGACAAGAATTAAGTCATACTAGCATATTCAAGTTACTTGTGTATCCTAGCAACACAAACTAATCTAGGCAGTAATGATAAATAACCAAACTATAAGGAACAAACCAGTTATTTTCTCTGTGCCTCAGTTTCCATATTTGAAAAATAATTGATAATTTCTAAAATGCTTTTTACCTCATATATTATAATTCACAAGATTACTCTCAAGATGATGGATTTGTGTAATGCAAGATATATTTTGAATAATAGAAGATGACTAGATTTGGTATATAATCCAATAAATTGGTAGGACAAAGGAAGTGTTACAGAGAAATTTTTGAAATTTAAAGGTTTGTAAAATGAGAGCAGATATAAGTAAAGAGAGGCAGACAGGCAGACAGACAGACACTAGTTATTCCAGAGAGCACTGTGGGGTCTGAAACTGAAAAATAAACAATTGTCAAAAGAGCTAAACCTAGAAACTACATTTGGTCTAATTGTTTTATAGAGAATAAAGGGGACAAAGAAATGTATCGGCAGCAGGCAGCTACTTCCACAAAAAATTGTAATATTGAGGAAGAATGAGGATTTCAAATGAAAATAAGTAGTTCCAACTCATCATGTTCCATTTTATTTATAATGTAAAGTGTTCATTACAAGTAAACATGCTGAATGTTCTTCAAACCTGCCTAATTTACCCTTAATTAATATACCAAAAAAGAAACCAAGGTGAGAGAAAGGGTGTGATTTATCATGTATTCTGCTTATAGAGCTACCTGGCAAGGATATTTGGGAGGGATTTAAAACTCCTTTCCATCATATTTCAATTAAGAGAGAAGCTTCTGGAGTGACACTTTATTTCCTCACTTAGTTTTTACCTGAGAAGGAATTCTAACTGAAAAGTCTAGGAGAAAAACTAGGCATGTGTAACTCGGAGTAAGTCTTCCCAGCAAAAGCCTGCATTCCCATCACTTCTTAGCCATTTTCAGACTTAACAGTACAGGTACTGTCTTTGTGGCTAGACTTAAAATTGAACATTTGCCTTTGAGTAACTAAAGTTTGCAATATTTATGAAAACTAAGGCTTAATTATAAAAAATTATTAATAAAGAAAGCAATACTTTTACCTCCATTTGTCTAACTTTCATAATTATCTGTCCTTTGTTCTAATACCAGGCAGAGAAAAGGTATGTTACTTATCAGCAGCCGTGCTAAAACTTCAAACTGTGCCTTCCCCTTTCTTGATTCACGATCTAGTGTGGAGTGAGCTCTTCTGGACTAATAACTTCAGTGGGCCCAATGGGTCTCAATTCCCCATGAAGGTCTCTGCAGGTTTTGCTTCAAAGAAGAAAATGCATACTTAACCCTGTGTTTAACCATCTTTTAATCCCACTCAGTAGGCTCAATTGTACATTGCTTTCTCCCTCAGCTCACCAGCATGAAACAAAACAGAAGCTGTAGAGAAAGGATATCTAAAAGAGCATTGTTACTTGTCTGGCCTTCTGGTTATCTCAGTCATCTATGATATCTTTCTTCACCTAGTATTAATAAACCTTAATTTCTGCTTCAATTGCAGTGGCCCAAGGGATTATAATAGACCCAGCCTGAGGATGTTTGTTTTTAAAGGGGCAGTTTGGGATAAAAATTTATTTCAGAGGGGTATATAACTTAGTCTGGGAGTGTCAAGGGAAGATTATTTAATGATAATAATACATAAATGAAGGCCTGATTTATAAAGAAGAAATATAAGAGTTGTTTTTCCAGGAAGAAATGATGAGGTGGAGTCAAGAGATGGTATGATCAAGGAGCATAGAGAAGTCTACAATAGCCAAAGTCCCGAGAAATACAAGAAGCATGGCACAATGTGAGGCTTGAGAGGTTATAAAGCAAATGCTGGCTAACCATGTAGAAGATGAGGGGTGTAGTTGCTGGTGAAAGTTGCAAATGTGTTTGAAATCACTCTTGGTTTAGTGGGAAAAAGGTTAATAGATAAACCACTATAAATACACTTTGAAGGACAGGTACAATTTCTAAAAATATCTATACCCTTTTCTTCTTGGTTTCCAGTGCTCTGTAATTTTAAATAAGCTTCTTTGTCTAGATTGATAGCGTATCCTCATCTATAAAACGCTGATCTACGACAGAGACTTCTAATCTTTAAATAATGAGTTTTAGTGACCCGTGAATCTAATTTGAAAGGTGCTATAGCATCGCAACACAGTACAGTATTATGATCTAGTTTAAAATATTCAGGATCATTATGCCTTTAAAACATTCTTAAGAATTAGGTTGATTATACATGAGCATTTTCTGAGTGAGTCCAAGAATGTAAATGATTGCTTAGATGGTTAACTCTAGCTTGAATTATTTCAGCAAAGATGGACCAAAGGCAAGTGATGAAAAGTTTAAAATTTATCAACTTCTATAGGCAGCTGTCAGTTCAGTTTATATTCTTTGGATAATGGACATTTTAAGTGAATTATGTTGCTTTAACATTCCAAGCTGATTTGGAATATTTCCAGAACTTCTCCATTATTCTAAACATATAGTGCAACCCTCTCTAGAATTCAAGAGCTGTCACCTTTATATTTCCAGTCAGAAATGAATTGCAGAGTAGCATAGTCCTACATCATAGAAATATTTGAATTTCATTTCCCTAAAGGACAAATGTTTCACCAATTGAATATGACAAATAATGAGATTCTGGTTTTTAATGTACATATGCATGTAATTTCTATTGCCTTATGAGTATCTTTCAAATCGACTCTGATCCTTATTGCTAACAAGGTTGCATACTTTCATTTAATAAATACAATGATAAATATATAGCCAACAATATCACCAGTCTTATTTCTTCATTTTTCAGTACTTTCTGTGGATGAAGACTAAGTTTTGCATTATGGTCTGCATTAAAGTGAATTATGGTACATCTTTCAGCATTAGCATATAGTCTTCATTTTTGAGTCTTAGTATCAAAATATAAATGCCTCAGAGACTTTTCTTGAACCAGTACCTTCTATCTTCCATTGTTATTCCCTTGTACCCACAAATAAATCCTTGTGCCGAAATAGCATTGGCACAAGCTAAGAAATAACTATTTTATACCTATCTTCAGCAGAAAAACACCATTTACAATTACTTATATACTAAAATACATGTTATTATTTTTCAAAGTGGCAACTTTGGCAAGGATTTGCAACTTGCATATCCTAATCATTTGCAACTTGCATATCCTAATCATCTTAATTGAGTGTTAATATCTATACTGATTGATTCCTCAAATAACTGTTCCATGGCTTTTTTTTTTTTTTAAGAGCAAGCCAGGGAACAGACTAACTTCACTCTGTGATACAATATCTCTCTAGAACTCTACTTAGTAACAGAGATTAGTCATCACTAATACGTGGGCTATAATAACACTTGTGATCATTATCCTTCATCTATTAGCCCCCACAGCTCACTTCCAGATACCAGTAAATATAGCTCTAGCCATTAAAGTCAACACTCAACCTTCTCTTCCCACACATCTGTGATCCATGCCTCTCAGATTTTTCTCCTGATGCTGCTTAATGGAATGCATGTGCCTTTGCAGCACATACCTAATAAAAGTGCTTTAGTGACAAAATGCTTTCAACCAGGGTTACTACTTTGCTGAAAGGACACAAAGAAAAGATCTTTTAAATATGAAAAATAGGTCACTTCTCCTTCCAGATCACTTCAGTGGTCCCATGAGAAATGCCACATGAGCACATTTGTTGTTCTGCTAATATTAACTTTTGGCTATAATTAGGTAGTTCTCCTCAGTTTTCCTGAATACTCTATATGTACTCCCACCTACAGAATCTAGTTTTGACTGAGTGCTCCATTCTTAACAAGTTTGAGTGAACTCTTTGTAATGTCTCCCAGCTCAACTCTTTAAGACCTAATTTAGAAATCAGTATTTTACAGACTTTTAAAAAGTTCTCTCACACAATTTTGCTTTACTGACATTTACAAGTCATTTGAGTATATATCACGAATAATTACATGCTATTAATTTTGGAGTATTTACTCACTTGTTTGAAGTTTGCTAATTGGTTTGCATGATTAGTCCATGGGTGTTTTGAAAAAGAAAACAAGCCAAGTTTATAACTGTTCAGTACTTTAATATTTCAGTCAGTTAAACTTCACTCATGACCTGTTCAGTATTTAATCAGGTCATGATGTTTTAAGGTTTCTAAACAATACTAACAGAGGAACCACATGGCTTGTGAGGGTTAGTTTTTTGAAAAGCATTCATTTACATTTTCAGCCTCAGATGTAATTTATCTAAGCAATGTTGGAATAAGCCATTGTGGTTTCTTTTTATATGTAGAGAAAGGTGCAAGTAGTGATTAATGCTATTTATATGGTTCAGTCCATATTTAAAAAGTAACTGGTCAGAAGCCTTTCCAGAGATAAATATTAATTTTGAAAACAAGTTGAGCCTGTAAAAAGTGTTATTTTCCTATTGTGGACTTATGTAATTTTTTTTTAGAAGTGCATAAAACACACACAGGGGCATGTACTATATGTAATGATTAATTATTGCATAGCTTCTCTAACCGTAATAACATTCAGATAGTTTACACACAAAAAAATCAGTACTATATTTGGAGAAAAACAGTGGTTTTGTTTAAATGTTGTAAAACATAAGGAACTATGAATTTGGCATTTTCTGTCTTACACGATTTAACCCATTTATGCCTGAGGTTGCAGTTTTTTGAATTTTTGCAATTAGACCTTGGTGATGACCTTGAGCAGTAGGATATAAATAACTCCCACATGCTTAGCGTTCCAATAATGGAACACTAGACTAAATGGAAGACTCTTTTTAGTAATATCTGACAAAGTAAAGTCAGAAATTAAAATTTTAGCCTTAAAAGGAACCTCTAGAAGTCACTTACATCATATCCAAAGTTTAATTTGTGACGTTAATGCAGGTAATATGAGAAAGTGACAGAAGACATAACAGAGTATTAGCCTTGTAGGGGCAAAAGGGAATGTTCCCCTTTGCCCTCTGAAGGATCTCTGAAATTCAGCTGGCAAAAGGCAGATTAATTGGAGAAAAGGCATTAAATTTATTTAAAATGTATCCATAGGAGCCTTCGAAATCAAGACCCAAAAATACAGGGGAAATTGACCATTTTTTTTATTAGTTTCAACAAAGTATGGAAAGCCATGTAGAAATATGACTGGACAAACTGAGTATGGTATAATGTTAATAGACTGAGTTGGGAAACCCAGCAAAGCCTGTGTGTCTACATTCTTCTTGACCTCTCTAAGCACTTCCTTCTGGATGTGAGGCAAGGTCCTCTCTGGAATAGGAATCTTATGAACTGTGGTCAAACAAGGTTGGTCAGATAATTTGTTTATGGTCAGTTTTTAAGCAGAATTGGATGGAAAGTTGGAATGAAATTTTTAGGCTTTATGGCTGGCTTTGGGGTAAAAGGGCTCCAGTTCCTATGACCCACACTGGGGAAGAGGGACTCTAGATTCTATGGCTGGCCTCTAGGGAGAATGGAACTGGAAGAGAGGAGGGCACAGAGGGCAGAGAAAATTTTGCTTCTGAGGCCTTCATTTGTGGGTATTGTTTTCTGAGCCTCAACATCCTTCAAATGACTAGGGAGGCAATGAGAGAAAAAGTGAAGACAAAAAGTCTCGCATGATACCCCAAATGAAGACAGAATAAAGGGTTAGCAATTAAGGAAAACATCAGCATACCATAATGTAGGAAAAGAAAAAAAAAACAAGTTTTTTTATGAAACCATACACACAAATAATAATAAATATTGTCAAAAATAGAATACGCTGAAATAAAAATCAACAAGAGGTATGTGACAGTACACAAAATACCTGCAACTCTATTGCATTTCATGAAAGTTTCCATTTGATTTCACAATTCAAATATTTGTATGATCATGCACACACACACACACACACTATAACAAACTTTGTAGGAAAAATCAGAGACTGCTGTTATTAATTTTGTATTTGCAAATTGGCATAGCAGTAATGACAATTTAAAATTAAAGTGGGAGATTTGAATGGATGTATTTTGAAATCATAACTTTGTATGGAAAAGATTTAGGACATATATATATATGTATATATACACACACACACATATATATACGTCCTAAATCTTATATATATATGTAAACAATGACATAATATATGATGATAACTTTTAAGAAAACTTGATAGCACACCAGTAAGGAACTTGGTAAAGATTTAGGACATACAAACATACATATATGTCCTAATCTTATATATAAAATCTCCACACGTACAAGTGGTTTTTTCTTAAGCTTAAATATAAACTAATAAGTATACATACCCTTCTCTGGAGAAAGAAAATCATTTAATTTTTCTGGATAAAGATAATATGGTAAAAATGAACATAAACATATATTACATAATCAGTTGTAAGTCCTTTTCAGCTTTTATGAACAACAGTCTCAGCTTGAGGCTTAGAAGAATAGTCCAGTAGACAATCCTTGAAAGAAGCTGTTTCCTTAATTGACACCAGATGGCACTATGGAACTTTTCCATTTCTTTAAGAGGGCAAGCAGAAATAAAAAAGATGAAGTACAGTGAAAAACTATTCTTGAGTAAAATGTGTCTCTCATTTCTGTTTTGTGAGGTCAACTGGCATTATTGTTTAATACACAGCACAGAAATATGCCGGTCTAACTTCTTTACAACTCTATAAAGTATAGGTAAATATATAAACAAGAATCAGTTTCCCTGAGAATTCCAGAAAACCTCAAGTTTAACGCATTTTCTGGAAAATAATTTACTATCTTATGCATTTTATGCCCACTTTATGGACCTTGTAGAGAGTCTTCAGCTTACTACAATCACAACAATTTATTAGTGCACACTTTCCTAGTACCATGGTTATGTAGCTCAACTGGCCCTAACTTAGCTACTTACTAATTTTCAGGTTTCATCAGTATATTTCAGTTATCACTTCCTTCCTACATACAAAGGATATAAAGACAAACTGAGACCTCTTACAGTTTATTCTTACTACTAATTCCATTTCTTTCTCAAATATATACATACCATATTTTTTTTAAGACTTAAGGGTCAGGCTATGTTGCCCAGACTGGCCTTGAACTCCTAAACTCATGCAGTCCTCCCACCTCAGCCTCTCGAGTAGCCAAGACCACAGACACCTGCCACCACATCTGGTTCATCTTACTTTTTTAAATAAATGTTTATATTTTGTGTTTTTAATTGTTTTTCTATAGTGAAGGTGATATGAATATACAGTATTTGGCTTTCAATTGTTTTGGAGAAAGCACTCCAATTTATGATATTTTACAAATAATAAAACATGATTCATATTTTTTAAAGTACAGTTTTCTTCTGTCCTCATTCCCTTTTTTTTGTTTTACAGCTTCTCTTTGGTGCCTTTTTTCAAACAGAAATGACTCAGGGCATAGTGGTACAAAAATCCATTTAGAGTGCTATGCCATGCATTTAAATATTAATATTTAATTAGAAACATCCATTCTGTGCAAAGCCAAATAATATACAACATTTTCATTTTGCTGGAATGCAATTTTGTCATTATATTTATGCAAAAGTTTATCAACTTCAGGGCTTCAAGAAGTTAAAAATGACTATATTTTTAAGACATAGTTTAGCAAAGTTTAAGGCTCAAATATAATCTTTAACATAAACTTTTAGAATTACTTTCGTATGTTTTACAAAGAAATAACATTATGTATTGCTTCAGAAAATGCCATGAATTTTATAGGACCATTCTAAGCCACTATTTAAAGTTAAATAGTTAAAACAATATTACCATTATCAAATGTATAATTATAAATTAACCAAATAAAAGATGTCAAATATGTATCCATTCACATGTAATAGAAATCTGAGCAACACATAAATATATTTGATTTTTACTTGTGTGACTTAAAAAGTAAAAGCCATAAACATCTGTGAACCATAAGGAGACACTATAAAATTGTTTCCTTTTCTTTTGACATTCTACAAATAGGGTCCCATAATGAGACCTCTTTAACATAAAGGAAAAAAGGCATATGCTTATATGGATGTTTTGGTAGAATTGACTAAAGGTTACACAAGAAATAAGTTAATGGACTGAAGTTTATAGCTGTGTGTATAACTGTCAAATCTTTCTGTAAATTACCTTTCTCTTCTGCTGGCTGGAATGCAAAAATTCAACAAACTGTTAATAAAAATGGAAAGGTCATATGTAAATATCAAAGATCTTGAAAATGAACCAGAAAAGATGATAGTTTGCAGAAAAATATCATTTCATATTCTGTTTCATTGTATTCTAAATGTGATTTGGGTTGCAAAGTGTGTTTCCAAGAAAAAAAAAACAGTAGGAAAAGTTTCTATTAAAAAGAGATTAGTTTCCCATCTGAAAAGAGAACTTTGAGTACTAATTGGCTGTTGGTTTCTGCAACTTCAGAAGAATTGCAAACAATTAAACGCTTTGATATTTTCTCTGATTAAGCAAACTCTTAATAGGGCCTCATGGAATTATTCCAGAAACACTGAGAGAACACAGTCTGTGTAGGGTGTGTGCATGCGATGGGAGGTTCATCGCTTAGGGCCTAGGAGGCTCATCTTTTGTCTGCAGCCAGACATCTCATGATCTAGCATTCTCTGGTCTGTTCTCAACCTTGCAAAGAATTACGGGCTAAAAGAATCGGAGCAACAGAAACTACTCTTTTCTGCCCTATTCCATTTATCCAAAGACTGAATAGTTCTTTTAAAGCCAATGTGAAAGTTGTAGTCTCATAAAGGGAATGCATTTAGCCTAGGGAGAAGCTGAGTTTGAACGCATGCTGCTTTTGATGAAGCCATGCATGATGCCTCTTGATCTTCTATGTCTGTATTTTAAGGGCTGTTTTGATGCCTGAAAGAATGGTTGGCAGAAGGGCAAAGTATGGGTTTGGTCCCCTGAATAGGTTCTTGAAAGAGCAATTTCCTTCCCCCTTTCTTGCTATAGTTTCTTTTAGCAGTGTCTAAACTCTTATATTATTGAACAGAATCAACACAGGAATCAAGTCTTACTACAAATATGAAGTGTAAGTAGCATTGATTGCAAGTAATATATTTTAGCTGAGGGGATAATGAATATGCATGATTTAGGTGGATACACAGTTCTCCTTAAGTGTTCTCAATTATTCACCAACAGAAATGAGTGAATGGATGAAATTATTTAGGCCAATGTTTCATGTTTTTTTTTAATTATCTAAATTGTTCACCAAAAACAGTGAGTGAATGGATGAGTTTATTTCACTGGAAACATAGTGATTAAGAAAAGATTTCCAAATAACTTTGTAATGTTCACATAGTATTTAAATAAATATGCTTCTTTTATTAACTAAAAGCTTGGAAATGTGCTTAACAACAAGAGAAAAACCCAAAAAGAATCCAAATGTATACACAAGGAGGATTTTGAATTTCTAGAAAACTTCCTTCTGGAATATGTTATTTACCATATCTAAATAACATAGTTTTATTGTCAGATTTAAACTAAAAGATCTTTCAGTTTAAACCTTTCTGTTTCTTTCTAATCACTTTTCAATTACACAATGAAAACCAATTTAGTTGGATACTTAGCCTAATTGGTATGCTTCTACTCTTTGACCTCCAAGGCTCCACTTATGTATTCTATGCAATATGCTTGTACAATTACCTACCTATTTAGAATGCACATTCGCCATGATTTTGTACAGGACTGTCTGGTTCAATCACTGTTAAGTGCTCTTCACTCATTTTTCCTTTTAGGAGAGTAGGGTTCAAGGCATTGTTTCTAAATTCTAGGATCAAAAAAAAAAAAAAGCAAAAAACTATAACTTCTTGTTAATAGGAAAGAGCAAGCCTGAGTCAATAAAATATGTCATAAAGCAATTTATCTACATCGTTATGCCTATAGATGTGATTAAAACATTAGACAAAGTGATAGAACCAGAAGTTGACAAATAATTAGTCAATTGAATATATTAATACAATATATCAAACTTGGTGAATTAAATATTTTGTAACGATGGAGTAGATTTTTGTTTATGCCTGTGTTTATGTCTGAATGTGTATGTCTCTCTAGGCATTCAAGTTCTTTTGTGTCAAGTCCATACAATTTCTTCCAATATAATGCAATAAGCTTAAAGTTTATAAATTACCAATTTTACACCATATGTGTTTGCACCTATGTATATGAAAAAAATTCAAATATGTTATAGCTTTAAAATCAAAATAGATTTCATAGGAATCCTAGTCTTAATTGTCCAAAAGCTTTCATGAAAATAAACAAATTTATTGTTACTTAATGGAAGTCTTGAGAATCAAATTTTCTCAGTAAAGTGCAGGATGATAAGTAGCATCTCATTATGTTGAAAGACATAATTTACAAAAACCTAATATTTGGTTTTATAATTTAAATTTTTAAAACTTTTTTGATAACTATTATTTAAATTATTTATTAGCAAATAAAACAGAATAAACATCTTTTCAACAAAAATAGTTGATCCCATTAAAAAAGTATAATATATATTATATACATATATATTTATTATATGTATATATATTTATTATATGTATATCTTCGTTTATATGTATATATACACTTCTGTTATATATATATAAACTTCTGTTATATATATAAACTTCTGTTTTATATATATATATATATAAACTTCTGTTTTATATATATATATATATATATACTTCTGTTTTATATATATATATATATATAAAACTTCTGTTGATGCATTTCCCTTCAAAAGCATAAAACATCTTATATCTGGTAAAAAAACCCTGTGAATGTAAGAAATGTGGTAAAGCCTTTAGTTTTTCTATTTCCCTTGAAATATGGAAAGACCCAGTGGAGAAAAGCCTTATGAATGTAAACAAGCGGTAAGGCTTGTAGTTGTTTCAGTTTCATATAAAGACATGAAATAATTAATTTTTGAGAAATCTATATATATATGTGTATATATATTCTTACTGTCTTTATGTATTTATTCTTACTGGCTTTATATATATATTCTTACTGGCTTATATATATTTTATATATTATATATGTAAATTATATATCAAATTTTGATTATCTGTCACCCATTATATATAATATATGATATATAATATACATAATCATATATCATATATTATATTGTTATATTATATATTACATTATTTTACAAAATATATAATATACCTAATGATACATATATAATGGGTAACACATAATCAAAATTTGATATATAATATATATTATATAATGTGTGACAATCAAAATTTGATATATATATCATATATTATATATAATGGGTGACAGACAATCATTATATAGATGTAATGTATATAATGAGTTGATATATATATAATATATATAATGAGTGAGATATTCAAAATTTGACACGTAAATAAAGCCAGTAAGAACATTCCGATGTAACGCCTAAGGTTCTTGCGTAGCCACGCCAAAGAATTGGTGTGGTGGCTGACCGTGGCAAGTGATAGAGACATGGACCGACAGAGAGAAAAAGCTGTAGGCTTTATTGAGCAGAATGAAAGTCCAAAGCTTCCACAGCGTGGAATGGGTCCCGAATGGTAGCCAGAGTTGGATTATGTGATTGCCTTTTAAACTCTTTAAGGCGGGAAATATGTGTGGCGAGAAGATGTTACCAGAGAGAGAAACAAAGGCAATTAACCATTTGTGACATGTCTTAGATCTTGAGGAAAGCCGGAATTGCATCTTAGGTTTTATCCACTTTATGACCTTGCAGTGGCATGGCAGAAGAGACAGGATCTTACAGGACTTTACAAAGTATGTTTACAAGGAATTGGAATTGGGAGGACACATAAGGTCTGCTGGTCACAGGAAAATGGGCAGTTAACATTACTTTAAACTTTAGTTTTGAGGGAGAGGGAAGGGAGAAAGGGAGAGGGAAGGGAGAGAGGGAGAGAAGGATACAGGGATGCTTACAGCAAAGTTTTCGCTGTTTATAGCTTTCTTGGGGAAGAAAATACATGCACAAATCCTGCTATTAGGAATATTTTAAGCATATATCTTCAATATTATTCATCCAGGATCAAAGTAAGTCCTGATGCAGGAAATGAGTGAGCTTCACAGCTTTCTGAGCCCCTACTCGACCCAGGAAGCCCAACTGGAACCTCCTCTCACCAACAATGAACAAAATCTCATTTTTCAATTGCCCATCAATCACAGAACAATCAAACAACTACACAAAAATGAAAATTACCTACATATTAGAAATACATTTCAATTCACCTAGAGATCCAATACACTTTTAAATGAATAGAGAAGACTTTTGTTAACTGACTTAAGGAAAAAAACTCTACCTACTAAACTCTGTATACCGTGGCTTATAGAAAATCTACCAAATTCTCACCTCATGATTTTGTGCAAAACAAATGAAAATCAAAATATAGAGTCTCTCTTTAACAATGAACCACTCATAAATAGAATTTATTTATAACTAGTATAACATTTCATTTATGTGCATTTTTTTAGTATTATACAATAATTAATTGGCATCAAGCTTTCCAATTTACATATATTTATAGAATTCCTTACCAGTGGATTGGCACAACGACTTTTGAATTCATTGCTATAATCGAAAATTTTCCTGTATTTTTCACTCTACTGGGGTTTTAACTGAGTGTGTTTATATTTATAAAGTCCATCTCCAGTGTGGCTTATCATGTATCTTTGAATGAATATCAGAGAGATGAAGGTATTCCCACACTCCAATATTAATAGGGCTTTTCTCAGAAATTAGTTATTTCACGTCTTCAAATGGAACTGAAACAACTAAAGGCCTTACCACATGTTTGCATTCATAAGACTTTTCTCCACTGGCTCTTTCCATGTTTTCCAGGGAAACAGAAAAACTGAAGGCTTTACCACATTTCTTACATTCACAGGGTCTTCTACCAGATATAAGAACTTTCATGCTTTTGAAGGGAAATGGAACAACTGAAGTCTTTACCATATTTCTTAGATTCATAGGAAGAACCTGATATTTATTAAAGCTTTGCTACTGAAGGTCATTTTACATACTTTACATCAACCTCATTCTTTCATTCACACATTTAACTAAAAAGGGGAAATTTTTCTATTTCTATGGTCTCTATTTAGAAGAAACATTTTCTCTCCTGTGCTACGAGAGAAATAACTTCTCCTCAGTAAAAGAAACTATAATTTTACAGTGTGGTAAGTGTACTCTAGAGGACACATAAATTGTTTTTAAAACATATGTTAAGGGTTGGCTTGAAACCTAAACAGGGTTAGCATTTCCCCACTGTTTTGCAGATGTATAAACTGAGCCGAGTGGCTCTGTACATAATTACTGAAGATATTTTGGGAGATAGAGAAGTCATTCAACTTCCAGAGATCTTTTTTGTTTTTTCATCTGTAGAATGATGTGCCTGGGTTCAACTCTAAGCTTTCTTGAAATTTACCCTTTTGTCATGTTTTGATTTGTCCTAAATTTTATCTAACTGGTGAACCTCAGGAATCAGAACTTCTGCTTCATAAGATAATGTGCTCATTATTAAGCTCTATTTTTCTTCCCAGATGCATCCAATCTCTTTGTCTGGACTAACTTTGTTCCTTCAACATCTATTTCATGGTTTTACCTTTTTAACAGTTATTTTGTGTTACATCTACATGGTATACTTATGATCCCTTTACTTGTTTATACTTCAATTTTATTTATTTTGAGATTATTTAAGATAGAACAATATTATAATTGAGATCGCCTAGGTTCTAGAATCAAAGTAAATCTGGGTTCAAATTTCAAGATCGTCCCTTACAAGCATTGTGAGCTTGGGGAAAATTGCTTAATTTTTGTAGGGCTGTAGAATGGGGCTACTGTAGTATGTCAAAGGGTATCATTAAGTTTTAAAATTAGTAACTGTTATTAACATTCCACTAGCATTTGAAATGATATTCTTTATTAATAATATAAATTAGTTACCAAGTAGTAAACTAACTGAAGAGATTTAGCTACTAACTCCATTTAGAAGTCTTTTTACATAAAATCAGAATTATATAAATGAATATTTCAATATATAGCAAAAGAAAAAAGTTAATCTTGTTGATTAACAAATATTTTTTCTATGATCCTGTAATTTAGGGCTCTCCAACCTCCAGATCACAGGCCAGTACCAGTCCACGAACTGCTAGGAACTGGGCAGCACAGCAGGAGGTGAGTGACCAGCAAGGGAGCATTACCTCCTGAGCTCCACCTCCTGTCAAATCAGCAGTGTCTTTAGATTCTCATAGGAGTGCGAACCCTATTGTGAGCTGCACATGCAAGAGATCTAGGTTGTGTGCTCCTTATGAGAATCTAATGCCTGATGATCTGAGGTGGAACACTCCCCAAGGTTGGGGACCACTGCTATAATTATATTTCTCAGTCTCTTAGAGTTGTGTTTCTACCACAAAGTTCCAAGTTGATTTTTGGTAATTGCATGTATTTGTGGAATACAGAGTGATATATCGATACATATATACAATGTGTTATGATCAAATCAGGGTAATTATCATACTCAGTACCCCAAATAGTCATTTCTTTGTGTTGGAAACAATAAAAATTTTCTTTTCTAGCTATTGGAAATTAGGTAATAAAATTTTTAAACTATATTCACCCTACAGTGCTATAGAATAGAATACTCCTATCTAGTTGTCATTTTGTATTCGTTAATCCTTCTCTCCTATGCTTCCCTTCCCCCTACATTTTCTAGCCTCTAATAATGAAAATTCTATTTTCTACTTCTAAGAACTCAACTTTTTTTAACTCCTTCATATAAGTGAAAACATGTGTTTCTTCTATCTTTCCCTCTTTAGTTCCATATGTGTGAATGAATGAATGAAGTTGATACAAACTATGTAAAATGACCTTCAGTAGTAAAGCTTTAATAAATATCAGGTTCTTCCTGAATATATATATTATACACTCTGGTTATTAATCCTTTGTCAGATGGGTAATTTGCAGATATTTTCTTTCATTCTATTCTGTGTGTTGTCCCTTCAATTTGTTGATTGCTTCCTTTTCTGTGCAGAAGCTTTTTAACTTTATGTGATACCATTTGTCTATTTTGGCTTTGGTTGCTGTGCTTGTGGGGTATTTTTTCCCAGACCAATGTCCTGGAAATTTTCTTCAAAGTTTTCTTATAGGAGTTTCATGGTTTGGGGACTTCGATTTAAATCTTTAATCCATTTTGATTTTATTTTTGTATATGACCAGAGATAGGGGTCTACTTTCATTCTTCCTTATATGGATATAGTTTTCCCAGCACCATTTATCGAAGAGATTATCTTTTCCCCAGTGTATATTTTTGGCATTTTTATATAAAAATGACTTCACTGTAGGTGTGTGGATTTGTTTCTGGGTTCTCTATTCTGTTCCATTGGTCTGTATGTCTGTTTCTAAGCCAAGCCTATGCTCTGAGAATTGTCTTACGGTTTTCTTCTTTCCCTTTCCTTTTTCCTTTCCCTTTACCTTTCTTCTTTCCTTTCCTTTCTTTCTTCTTTCTTTTTTTCCACCCTCCCTTCCTTTCTGCCTTCCTTTCTTTCATTTTTGTTGTTTTGGTTACTTCTTTCCTTTTCTTTCTTTTTTCTTGCAAGTATTTGTCCAGTCAAATGGATTTCTAGCCTAGGCATGTGCAGGTTGGCGTACAGCCAAAGACTCACATAGAACCCTATGCAAATTATGAAATTCCTTCTCTACCTGGATCTCTCCTCTCTGGAATTGTACCCTGTAAATTCTAGTCAATTCAGCTTCCCTGAACTCAAATTTCTGTCTCTTTAATTCAGTGAGCATGCCAGGTTCTATTTCCCTATATCATGTACTGAAAATTGGCTCCAGGCAGAAAGTCTTGGCAATGGTAGAGCTCAATTCAGTATACTCCTTATTTTAGAAAATACTATTCCAGTGCTGCTTATTACCTGATATCTGCAAATTGTTCTTTTTTAACTATTTTTTCAAATTGACACACACAAATTTTATATATTTATGGTGTACAATATGAAGATGTAGTTCATGTGTATATTATAGAATGGCTAAATGAAACAAATATCATACGTATTACCTCAAATACTGGTAATATTTTGGTGTGTGAGAAAACTTAAAATTTACCCTTAGTGTGTGTGTGTATATATATTTTTTATTTTTATTTATTTATTTTTTTAAAGACTAATTCTTGCTCTATATCGCCCAGGCTGGAGTGCAATGGCGCAATCTCAGCTCACGGCAACCTCTGCCTCCCTGGTTCAAGCAATACTATTGCCTCAGCCTCCCAAGTAGCTGAGAATACAGGCACCCTCTACCATGCTCAGCTAATTTTTGTATTTTTAATAGAGATGAGGTTTCACCGTGCTGGCCAGGCTGGTCTCGAGCTCCTGACCTCAAGTGATCCACCCACCTCGCCTCCCAAAATGCTGGGGTTACAGGTATGAGCCACTGCACATGGCCAGTATATATGTTTTTTTTTTTTCCCCACATACTTTATCAAGTTTTCCAGGCATTTATGTCAGAAAACTAGTTCCAGACCCTGATACTTTCTTATGAACATAAGTGGAAGGGCTATATATCAATTTAATAATATTGCTCTTACAAAATAATTTTTTCCTCAGGCTCAAATATGACAACTCTCTACTTGAAACATGAAAATGGCTAATTCCTGTATAAAAAGATCTAAATGTATTAGTTGAGTTTACAATGCCCCTCAAAATCTGGTTCATTCTTACTTCTCCTGTTTTCGTTCTTACCGCTTCCCTCTTAAATTGACCCTATATGGAACCCCTTGGAGGTCACCAAGTACATCTGTGGCTTTTTCTCTTTGTAAAGCTAATTTTAATTTTATTTAATTTTGTAACATTTATCGTTTTTCAAAACTCCCTTCAGATTTTCTTCTCTCAACATCTGCACTCTCTACAAGATACAAATTTATTATATGCATAAAACATCCTGTATTTACAATAATGGACTTTCCATAACACTACAAAGATATTGAGAGAAATATTGTCATGTATCACTGTTTGCCAAGTTCCCTGCGCAGTGGCTTTCAAATAGCATCCTATTTCTTTTATTTAACTACACAAATGTCTTCAGTTAGATTGTGGGAATACTAAAGAAGGTCAATCAAATTTTAAGATTGACGATTCTCAGAGTTGAAACTCATGAATTCTGATAGGAGGTGGGTCTAGAAGATTTTCTCAGTTAACTATTACTGTATATATTTTACAAATACAGAAGTTAGTGGATTAAAGAGTAGCAATTTTATTATTTTTCATGATTCTGTGAGGATTTTGTGTGCCATAGTAAACTAAGCAACTTGGCTTCCTGGAATGTCCATAAATGGCTCATTTACGCAGCTAGTTGTTGGTGCAGACAGTTAGATGGAGTCTCAACTGGGGCTGTCAAATGAAACACCTCTGTCCTTAACTGCTTGGCCTCTATATGTGGTTTGAGCTTCTCCCAGATTGATGACTGAGTTCTAAGAGGCATGAAGTGAAAACTGGCAGTCCTTTTAAGGCTACAATGGAAAGTCCCATACTGTGACACATTTCATTATCAAGACCAATCATAAGGCCTGCACAGATTCAAGAGCAGATGAAATAATGTCCACCTGTTGCTGTGAGAAATGTATATATGGACACAGTGGGAGGAAATTGTTGGAGGTCATGGTGAGAGAGTAGTTACCACAGGGAGCTGGAAGAAATTCTGTTCTGTTTGATGTTTCTTTGTACTCTTCTTTCAGTGTGGATTTTTGGTTTGTTTGTTTGTTGGCAGGTACGGGGTTAGAGTGTAGAAAGACCCAGAACCAGGAATGTTTACAGCTTACATGAGTCTTTATTCCTGTTGTGGCAGCCACACCATCACTTCTTATCTATTTGAAATACATGTATCTCTTTTTTGGGTACAAAATTTGGATAAGCTTCATATTCTCAGAGGTTACCGCAGATCTCTATTGGTAATATTATTTTCCTGATTTATTTTTGTTAACCATCCTTTGCTCTAATCTCGTAAGTTTTAAGAATGTTATTTGCCATTGTTCATCACAAGATAGACCTTTACCAAAAAATATCAAAATGAACTTACATGAAAATAAACACAGTTTCAAAAGTATATTTGACATTGTGAAAAAGCTAAAAATGTTATGATTTTTAAAGCTTGTGATTTAGTTCTTTCCAACATCTCCAGTATTCAACTGTAATAGGAAAGTACTATTTATTTTTTGTTTTTAAAAATAAAATTAATAAAATTGGAAATATTGAATAACTACAAACATTTTTACTCCAGTTTAATTTAAAAATGTGATAACATATTCCCCAAAAATTGCTTTTCTAAACAAAGCTATCAAAAATACCATATTCATTTTATCTTTCTCTGTTTGGCTTATTTCACTTAACATAATGTCCTCCAGGGTCATCCATGTTTCCATAAATGATAGGATTTCATTATTTTTCATGCCTGAATAATATTCCACATTTTCTTTATCCATTTATCCATTGATGGGCACTTATACTGATTCCACACCTTGACCACTGGGAATAATGCTACAATAAATATAGAGGTGCAGATATCTCTTCAATATACTGATTTCTTTTCCTTTGGATATATACCGGGAAGTAAAATTGCTGGATCACATGATAGCTCTAGTTTTAGGTTTTGAGGAATCTTTACATTATTTCCATTATAGCTCTACTAATTTACATTCACAGCAACAGTGTGTAAGATTTCCCTTTTCTCTGCATCCTTGCCAGCATTTGTTATTTTTGTTAACAACTATTCTAACTAGAGTGATATCATATCTCATTGTGGTTTTGATTTACATTTCTCTGATAATTAGTGATGTTGAGCATGTTTTCATACATTTGTCTGTTATTTGTATGTCTTCTTTTGAGAAATGTCTACTCCAATTCTTGGCCTGTTTTTTAAACAGATTTGTTTTGTTGTTGCTTTTTCACTATTAAATTGTTTGGGTTTCTCGTCCATTCTGAATGTTAGTCCCATGTTGGACAAATAATTTGCAAATATTTTTCCATTCTATGGGTTGCTCTTTATTCTGTTGATAGGTCCCTTGCTGTGCAGAGGCTTTTTATTTTTATATAGTCCAATTTGTCTATTTTTGCTTTTGTTGTATATACTTTTAGTCTAACATAAAATCTTTGCCTAGACCAATGTCCTGAAATATTTCCCCTATGTTTTATTCTAGTAGTTTTATAGTTTTGGGTTTTATCTTTAAGCCTGTAAGTCCATTTGGGTTTTTATTTTTATATGGTGAGAGAGAGAAGTCTAGTTTTATTCTTCTGCATATAGATATCCAGTTTTCACAAAACCATTTATTTAAGAGGCTGTCCTTTCCACAAAGTATGTTTTTGATGTCTTTATCAAAAATCAGTTGGCTATAAATAAGTGGATTTATTTCTATGTTATCAATTCTACTCCATTGGTCTATGGGTATGTTTTTATAACAATATGCTGTTTTGTTTACTGTAGCTTTTTATTAGGTTGGTGCAAAGGTAACTGTGGTTTTTATTATTACTTTTAATGGCAAAAAATGCAATTACTTTTGCACTAATCTAATAGTATATTTTGAAGTGAGATAGTTTGATGTCTCCAGTTATATTCTTTTTTCTTAGTATTGCTTTGGATATTTGGATTCTTTTGTGGTTTTCTACAAATTGTAGAAATTTTCCTATTTCTATGAATAATTTCATTAGTACTTAGTATCGCATTGTGGTTTTGATTTGCATTTCCCTGATGATTAGTGATGTTAAGTATTTTTTCATGTTTGTTGGTCATTTGTGTTTCTTCTTTTGAGAATTGTCCATTCGTGTTCTTAGCCCACTTTTTGACGGGATTGTTTGTTTATTTTTCTTGCTGATTTGTTTGAGTTTGTTGCAGATTCTGGATTAGTCCTTTTTCAGATGTACAGATTGTGAAGATTTTCTCCCACTCTGTGGGTTGCCTATTTACTCTGCTGACTGCTCCTTTTGCTGTACAAAAGCACGTTAGTTTAATTAAGTCTCAGCTATTTATCTTTGCTTTTATCGCATTTGCTTTTGGGTTCTTGGTCATGAAATCCTTGCCTAAGCCAATATCTAGAAGAGGATTTCCAATGTTATCTTCTACAATTTTTATAGTTTTGGGTCTTAGATTTAAGTACTTGACCCATTTTGAGTTGATTTTGTATAAAGTGAGAGATGAGGATCCAGTTTCATTCTCCTACATGTGGCTTGCCAATTATCCCACCACCATTTGTTGAATGAGTTTTCCTTTCCCCACTTTATGTTTTTGTTTTCTTTGTCAAAGATCAGTTGGTTGTAAGTATTTGGGTTTATTTCTGGCTTCTTTATTCTGTTCCATTGGTCTATGTGCCTGTTTTTATGCCAGTGCCATGCTGTTTTGGTGACTATGGCCTTATAGTATAGTTTGAAATCAGGTAATGTGATGCCTACAGATTTGTTCCTTTTAGTTAGTCTTGCTTTAGCTATGTGGGCTTTTTGATGTTGTTGTTGTTGTTCTATATAAACTTTAGAATGCTTTTTACTAATTCTGTGTAAAATGATGGTGGTATTTTGATGGGAATTGCATTGAATTCGTAAGTTGTTTTTGGCAGTATGGTCATTTTCACAATATTGTTTCTACCTGTCCATGAGTATGGGATGTGTTTCCATTCATTCGTGTCATCTGTGATTTCTTTCTGCAGTGTTTTGTAGTTTTCCTTATAGAGGTCTTCCACCTCCTTGGTTAGTTACATTCCTAAATAGTTTTATTTTTTTTCAGCTGTTGTAAAAGGAGTTGAGTTCTCCACTTGATTCTCAACCTGGTCGCTGTTGTTGTGTAGAAGAGCTACTGATTTGTGTACATTAATTTTGTGCCCGGAAAATTTGCTGAATTCTTTTATCAGTTCTAGAGCTTTCTGGAGGAGTCTTTAGGGTTTTCTAGGTAAACAATCATATCTTCAGCAAACAGTGACAGTTTGACTTTCTCCTTACCAATTTGGAGGAGAGGTAAGAGTGGGCATCTTTGTCTTGTTCCAGTTTTTAGAGAGAATGCTTTTAACTTTTCCCCATGCAGTATTATGTTGGCTGTGGGCTTGTCTAAGATGACTTACATTACATTGATTTATGTCCCTTGTATGCTAATTTTGCTGAGAGTTTTAATCATAAGGGGATGCTGGATTTTGTAAGGTGCTTTTTCTGCATCTATTGAGATGATCATGTGATTTTTGTTTTTGATTCTGTGTATGTGATGTATCACATTAATTGACTTGTGTATGTTAAACTATCCCTGCATCCCTGGTATGAAACCCACTTGATCATGGTGGCTTACCTTTGGATATGTTGTTGGATTTGGTTAGCTAGAATTTTGTTAACAATTTTAGCATCTATATTCATCAGAGATATTGGTCTATAGTTTTCTTTTTTGGTTATGTCCTTTCCTGGTTTTTGTATTGGATAATACTGGCTTCATAGAATGATTTAAGGAGGGTTCCCTCTTTCTCTATCTTGTGGAATAGTGTCAATAGAGTTGGTACCAATACTTCTTTGAATTTCTGGTAGAATTCCGCTGTGAATCCAACTGGTCCTTGACTTTTATTTGTTGGTAATTTTTTTATTACCATTTCAATGTCACTGCTTGTTATTGGTCTGTTCAGAGTATCTAATTCTTCCTGATTTAAGTTAAGGAAGGTTGTATCCTTCCAGGAATTTATCCATCTCTTCTAGGTTTTCTAGTTTATGTGCATAAACCTGTTCATAGTAGCCTTGAATGATCTTTTGTATTTCTGTGGTGTCAGTTGTAATATCTACCATTAAGTTTCTAATTGAGCTTATTTGTATTTTCTCTTTTTTTTTTTCTTGGTTAATCTTGCTAATGGTCTATCAATTTTATTCATCTTTTCAAAGAACCAGGTTTTTTCCATATCTTTTATATTTTTTTTCCCAATTCCATTTAGTTTTGCTCTGATCATGCTTATTTCCTTCCTCCTGTTGACTTTGGGTTTTGTTTGTTCTTGTTTCTTTAGTTCCTTGAGGTTTGACCTTAGATTATCTGTTTGTGCTCTTTCCATCTTTTTGATATAGGTGTTTAGGTCTATGAAATTTCCTCTTAGCACTGCCTTTGCTGTATGCCAGAAATTTTGATAGGTTGTGTCACTATTGTCTTTCAGTTTGAATAATTTTTAAATTTCCATTTTGATTTCATTTTTGATGCAATGATTATTCAAGAGCAGGTTATTTAATTTCTATGTATTTGCATGGTTCTGAAGGTTCTTTTTGGAGTTGATTTCCAGTTTTATCCCACTGTGGTTTGAGAGAGTGCCTGATAGAATTTCAATTTTCTTGAATTTATTGAGACTTGATTTGTGAACTATCATATGGACTATCTTGAAGACAGTTACATGTGCTGTTGAATGGAATGCATATTCTGTGGTTTTTGGGTAGAATATTCTGAAAATATCTGTCAAGTCCATTTGTTCCAGGGCATAATTTAAATCCATTCTTTCTGTTTTGACTTTCTGTCTTGATGACATGTTTAGTGCTGTCGGTGAAGTATTGATATTCCCCACTATTTTTATGTTGCTGTCTATCTCATTTCTTAGGTCCATTAGTAATTGTTTTATAAATTTTGGAGCTCCAGAGTTAGATGCATATCTATTTAGAATTGTGATATTTTCCTGTTGGACAGGGCCTTTTACCATTATATAATGGCCCTCTTTGTCTTTTTTAACTGCTGTTGCTTTAAAGTTTGTTTTGTCTGATATAAGAATAGCTACTCCTGCTCACTTTTGTTGTCCATTTGCATGGAATTTCTTTTTCCATCACTTTGCCTTTTAAGTGTATTTGAGTCATTATGTATTAGGTGTGTCTCTTGAAAGCAGCAGATAATTGGTTGGTAAATTCTTATCCATTCTGCAATTCTGTATCTTTTAAGTGGACCATTTAGGCCATTTACATTCAACATTAGTATTGAGATGTGAGGTAGCAATTTATTCATCATGCTGTTTTTGCCTGTATACCTTGTTTTTTTGTTTGTTTTTTAAATTGTATTTTTCTTTTATATGTTCTGTGAGATTTATGCTTGAAAGAGGTTGTCTTTTGGTGTGTTTCCAGGATTTGTTTCAAGATTTAGAGCTTTTAGGAGTCCTTGTAGTGCTGGCTTGGTAGTGGCAAATTCTCCCAGCATTTGTTTGTCTGAAAAAGGTGTATGTGTCCTCATATATGATACTTATTTTACGGGAAACAAAATTCTTGGCTGATAATTGTTTTGTTTGAGGAGGCTGAAGATTGAGCCCCAGCCTCTTCTAGCTTGTGGGGTTTCTGCTGAGAAATCTGTTATTAATCAGGTAGGATTTCCTTTACAAGTTACTTGGTGCTTTTGCCTCACAGCTGTTAAGATTCCTTCATCTTAACTTTAGAAAACCTGACAACAATGTGCCTAGGTGACAATCCTTTTGTGACGAATTTTCCAGGTGTTCTTTGAGCTTCTTGTATTTGGATGACTACTTCTCTAGCAAGGCTGGAAAAGGTTTCCTCAATTATTCCCTCAAATATATTTTCCACACTTTTAGATTTCTCTTCTTCCTTAGAATGCAGATTATTCTTAGGTTTGGTCATTTAACATAATCCCAGACTTCTTGGAGGCTTTGTTCACATTTTCTTATTCATTTTTCTTTCTCCTTGTTGCATTTGGTTAACTCAAAAACCTTATCTTCATGCTCTGAAGTTCTTTCTTCTGCTTGTTTGATTCTATTGCTGAGACTTTCCAGAGCATTTTCCATTTCTGTAACTGTGCCTACTGTTTCCTGAAGTTTTTATTGTTTTTTATTTATGCTATTATTTCATTGAATATTTCTCCCTTCATTTCTTGTATCATATTGTTTTTTTTTATTTCCTTACATTGAGCTTTGCCTTTCTCTGGCGCCTCCCTGATTAGCTTAATAACTAACCTTCTGAATTCTTTTTCAGGTAGATCAGGGATTTCTTCTTGGTTTGGATCAATTGCTGGTGAGCTAGTGTGATATTTTGGAGGTTTTAAAGAACCTTGTTTTGTCATATTACAAGAGTTGGTTTTCTGGTTCCTTCTCATTTGGATAGGTTCTATCAGAGGTACAGTCTAGGGCTCAAGGCTGTAGTTCAGTTCCTTTTGTCCCATGGGGTGTTTCCTTGATGTAGTACTCTCCCCCTTTTCCTGGGGATGTGGCTTCCTGAGAGCTGAGCTGTAGTGATTGTTATCTCTCTTCTGGGTCTAGCCACCCAGCAAGTCTACCAGACACCGGGTTGGTACTGGGGACTGTCTGCACAGAGTCCTTTGATATGAACCATCTGTAGGTCTCTCAAATGTGGATACCAGCACCTGCTCTGGAGATGGTGGCAGGGGGGTGAAAGGGACTATGTGAGGGTCCTTAGCTTTGGTTAATTAGTGTACTATTTTTGTGCTAGTTGGCCTCCTGCTAGGAGGTGGCACTTTCAAAAGAGTATCAGCTGTGGTAGTATGGGGAGGAAGAGGTGGTGGGCAGGGCCCTATAACTCCCAAGAATATATGCTCTTTGTCTTCAGTTACCAGGGTGGTTAGGGAACGACCATTACGTGAGGGCAGGGCTAGGCAGCCTGAGCTCAGACTCCACTTGGGTGGGTCTTCCTGCGGCTGCTGTGGGAAATGGGGGTGAGGTTCCCAGGTCAAAGGAGTTATGTTCCTAGGAGGATTATGGCTGTCTCTGCTGTGTAATGCAGGTTGTCAGGGAAATGGGGGAAAGCTGGCAGTCACAGGCCTCACCCAGATCCCATGCAACCCAAAGGGCCAGTCTCATTCCCAACCATGCCTCCATCAGAAGCACCCAGACTGTTTCCAGGCAGTGGGTGAGCAGGGCTGAGAACTTTTCCCAGGCTACCCACCTGGGGCTTTCCTTCTGTCCCCACCTGTGGAGTCTGCACACTGGATTCATTTTCTCTCCCAAGTTCTGGCCAGGAGACTTCTTGAGTGGTTCAAATTGTTACAAAGTTTAGCTGGAGGTTTCCTTCTCCCTGTGGCCTTTTCCCAGTGCCTCCGGCAACCCTCTTGAAGGACCCTGTGAGGTGAGGCAGGAATGGTTTGCTAGGGGACCCAGTGAGCCCACAGGGATTTTCCTGTTGCGTCCACTACCTCCGTATTTTGCTCAGCTCTCTAAATTGACTCAATTCTAGGTAAGGTCAGAATCTTCTCCTTATGTAATTAGACCTTCAGGTTCCCCATTAGGGTTGTATGTTCAGGGGTGGAGATCTCCCTTTCTCACTTTCAAAGTTTGGGTATTTACAATATTTCAGGCATCTCCCGGGTCCTGTAGGAGTAATCCGCTTCCTTTAGAGGATCTGCAGGTTATCTTGGTTTTCCTAATGTGTTCCTGCAGTCACTCTGGAGCAAAAGTTCACAATGCGAATCTCTACATGTTATTCTGCCCGTCCAAGTGGGAGCTGCAAGTTAGTCCTGCCTCTCGTCAACCATGATCTCCAGGCTCTCTTCTGGTAGAATGTTTTAATTTCTTGCTTTTTTATTATTTTTATGTATATATTATCATTGCCTTATGGCTACAATGAAGCTTACAAAAACATATTTTAACTAGTCATTTTAAACTAATAAAACTTAGCTGAGATAAAAAAAAAAAAAAAGGAGGAACTAGAAAAAAAGAGCCGAGAGAAAACTAAAAACTCTATACTTTAATTCCTTCCCACTTTTGGACCTTTTGTAGTCTCTACATTTTGGTTTATTGTCTATCTCTCAACAAATTGTTGTAGTTATTATTGTTTTTGATAGGTTAGCCTTTTAGTCTTTGAACGAAAGATATCTTTGGTTTATCCATTGCAATTACAGTGTTAGAGTATTCTGTATTGTCTCTCTACTGGCTTTTATCAGTGCATTTTATACAACCAAATGATTTCTTATTGTATATTAACGTCTTTTTATTCTGATTGAAGAATTCTCTTTAGCGTTAATTTTAAAACAGGTCTAGTGTTTATGAATTTTCACAGCTTTTGTTTGTCTAGAGGTAGTCTTTATTTCTCCTTCATGCTTGAAAGATAACCTTGCTTTGCTGGATACAGTATTTTACTAAAAAGTTTTTTTTTTCCCTTCACATTTTGATTATGCCATTCCATTCTCTTCTAGCCTATAAAGTTTCTGCTGAGAAGTCTGCTGCAAAATGTATCATAGCTCCTTTATATGTTAGTTGCTTCTTTTTTTATTGATGCTTTTAGAATATTTCCTTTGTCCTTGACTTTTGGTAGTTAGCTTATAATATGTCTTGAGGTAGTTTTTATTTGGGTGGGATCTTCTTAGTGTTCTTTGACCTTCTTGTACCTGGATATTCATAACTTTATGTTTGGAAAGTTCTCTGTTATTTCTTTGAATAAACCTTCTACCCCAATTTCTTCCTCTACATCTTCTTCAAGGATAATATCCCTTAAATTTGCCCTTTTGTGGTTATATTCTACATCTCATGGGCGTTTTTCATTGTTCTTTTTCTATTTTTTCCTTTCTGACTGTGTATTTTCAAAAAGCCTGCATTTACACTCACTTTTATTTTCTTCTCCTTGATCAATTTTTCTGTTGAAACCCATTTTTTAGTTTGTCAATTGAATTTATTAGCTCTAGATTTTTTACCTGATTCCGAAAAATTATTTCAATCTTTCTATTAAAGTTCTCTGATAGAATTCTGAATTTTTCTCTGTGTTTTCTTGAAGCTCATTGAGCTTCCTCAAGACAGTTATTTTGAATTCCCTAGCTGAGAAGTCATAAATCTCTATCACTCCAGAATTGGTCACTGATGCCTTATTTAGTCTGTTTGGTGAGGTCATGTTTTACTGGATATTCTTAAAGTTTATGGACATTCATCAATGTCTGGGCATTTTATACCAGTCTTCGCCGTCTGGCCTTGTTTGTATCCATCTTTCTTGAGAGAACTGATATTTTGGCCCTCATGGAGGTGCTTTCTTGCATAGATAGTTGTTCAATTTGTGTTCTTCTGGTGGTTGGAACTGTCACTCGATGGTTATATCTAGCCAGCTTGCTCCATCTTCCTCATTTCATTTGCTCTTGCTTTTTGAGTTCCTGGAGTTGCAGGGTTAGGTTATTTATTTGAAATATTTCTGCTTTTCTGATGGAGGTATTTATTGCTGTAAACTTACCCCTTAGTACTGCTTTTGCTGTATCCTATCGGTTGTAGTATGCTGTGTTTTTATTTTCATTTGTTTCAAAAATTTTTTTATTACTTTCTTAACTTCTTTATTAATCCATTGGTCATTCAAGGGCATGTTGTTTAACTTCCCTGTACTTGTATAATTTCAAATTTTTTTATCTGTATTGATTTCTAATTTTATTCCATTTTGGTCTTAATCTTGTTGCGTGAGAGATGTCTTTCCTGTCATTCTGTAATTATATTTCTCAGACTTTTGAAGTTATGTTTCTAGCACCAACGTTCCAACTTTATTTTTTTCTGTAGCTATTCTTTTAATTGCATGTGCTCAATGCATATAAGGAAATGCATAAAATTTGAACTATATGAAATAAGCCTTTAGTCTAATATATTTTGGGGAAAGACACTATTCTGTAATATGCGATAACCTCAATATATCTAGAATGGTTTTAGATTCATTTTAAATGACTTCATCTTGATTCCTAAGGCCACACCACCACTCCTAATCTTTAGCTGCTATGGTATTGGAAGAATTATGAGCATTGATTGTAGCTGAGAAATAAACTAGCAATGCAAGGCCCATGAGGTTTTATCCTATCTCTCTTTTTAGATTTTTTTTTTGATCAGGCAAAATACTTCTCTCTCCATACTTTAGAAAATGGATTTGTGTAATGAAGCTGGTGGAATCATTCTTTCTAAAGCTCTTAGATCAGATGATGATAGAATATTGATGGTGACTATTTTGGAGGTTTGATTTAAATATGTCTGGAGAATTTAAAATTAATTGCTGACAACATAAAAGGAAGTAGGGTAGGGTGATATGACTTTGGACATTTTTTCTTGTTATTGTTTCAGTATAGCACAGCAGCATATGTGCTATTTTATGTGGAAGTAGAAATGTTAGAATAATAACACAAATAGCAGAAACGTATTCTTCCATTTAGATTTAGATCCCTGGCATTACATGCTTTGAAAACTAGAGGTGAGACAAAAATCAACCTGTTGATCTCTTTTGTTTTTTTAACCACGTAATCTAGGGACAATAAAACCAAAAGATAAGTTGACCCAACTTCATACTACACACTTTTGGCTGTGCCATGTCTCTACTATATTTAGCAGCAATCTTGAGGCAGAGCAATTGTTATGGCAAGACAAAAAGATGGGAGGAAAAAATGTAATCTATTTTTATTTTGTCCCCTAAATATTAGAGAAATCATCAGGTAAATTTATATAAAACTTCTTTTGACATTCTAGAAACAGAATCTCCTAAGGCCTGAAATTATCTCAGATTTTGTTTTATAGATAAAGTTCATGATTACATAGCTAGGTAATTATGATGGTAATAATAATATTCATATTTTTCTATTGTCTATTCACTCTTATACCAACTATCGAAGGTTCAATGACTATGGATTTACCTATTGTTCTTTTGGCTCAGCTGCAAACTGGGATTTCTAACCATAAAGGCCACAAGAAAGAATCCATAAGGAAATCTTTCTTTCATCCTCATCTCATCTCTACCAGTACCAAGCTGGTAGAATGTGGACCGGTTATTATTATTATTACTTGCATGGACAAAAGGCTTGAGGTTGCAAAGAAAACTGTCCTCACTAGCTGACAGAAAATAAAGCAACCACAGTTTCTAAGATTCAATCAATTCAATAAGATGAATAAAAATATTTGTCTATTTTTTCAAGTTATTGAGAACTTGAGTTTATATTAAAATTGGCAGGAGCACACTAAAACCTTGGTTACTCAAGCTTATTTACACTATGTGCATAAGGGTAGAGATGAGAACACAGAGATAAAAGAAGGTTGACGTAGAGTTGGATTTAGAGATAATAAAGCAAAACAGCAATTATTACAGTTTAGCTATTGATACTTGGTTTGGTTTTATTTGCTGTTTTGCTACAAGGTACTATTTGGGTAACCTCACATTTGTCCTATATTGGGAAATATTGGCATACATAGCAACATGGAAGACTGCCTTAAGAGTATCCCCAAATTCCTTGGGAGTACTCTAGACAAAGGACAATAACATTCTGATAAAAATTACCATATCATTATGAAATTTATCTCTACCACTTCTATCCTCCAATATATCTACATGGGAGATTTCCAGACTATTATTATTGTGTTTATAATATACTTTTTAATTATTTATTGATTAAATATTTTTTATTAATTATATAATTCATTATACAATGAATTATATAATCAAATGATTATTAATTAATTAATTAAATATTTTTCTTTTAATAGACAGCTAACTGAGTTAGGGCACAATAATACACTCTGTGTATTATTCAAGGTACTCCAGAGAAACAATATTAATAGGATATTAATATTAATATTGCAGTATATACATGTATATCTTATTAATATTATTATTATTGTTATATATATGTCCTATTAATATTGTTAATATGAATACAGAAAGAGTTAATAGGAATACAGAAAGAGATTCATTGAGGGATTGACTTACATCATTATGGAGGTTGAGAAGTTCCACCATCTTCCTTCTCCAAACTGTAAGTTGAGGAAAGCCAGTGGTGTAGTTCAAGTCCAAACCTGAAGACCTGAGAACCAGGGAAGCCAATGGTGTAAGCACCAGTCCAAGTACAAATGCCCAAGAAACAAGATGGCTGATATCTGATGCTATGAGAAGATGGGTTCCTCAGCCCAAGCAAAGAGCATATTCACCTTTCCTTTACTGTGATGTTTAATTTTATATGTCAACTTGACTGGGCTAAGAAGTGACCAGATAGCTAGTGAAAACTTACGTATTAGTGTGTCTTTGAGGGTGTTTCCAGAAGAGATGAGCATTAGAATGAGTAGACTAAGTAAACAAGACCTTCCTCACCAATGTGGGTGGGCATCATATAATCCCTTGATGGTTCAAATATAACAGAAAGCAGAGAAAACTGTGCTCTTGGTTTAACTGAACTAGATCACCAGCTTGCAGATGGCAAGTGACAAATTTCTCAGCCTTCATAATTGTGTGAGTCAATCTAAGAGTAATTCCTTTTTTATCTATCTATCTATCTATCCATCCACCTATTTATAATCTATCTATATTCTATTGGTTTTGCTTTTTACAAAGAACCCTAATACAGATTTTGATACTCAGAGTAGTTCTAGGGCAAAAAAAATTAAGAATAAGTTTTCTGAATTGTGTCTAGGGTTTCTGGAATTGGCTCTCTAATCTCATTTGGTCTAAAGACAATCAAAAGTCTATTTTTAGTAGAAAAAAAGGTACAGTTAGTTCGTGGCATGAACCTTTTTATCGAGTTATGCCACATCTGCATTGAATACTCCTAATCAACCACTTGTAAGAAGCAAAAAGCTAAGTGACATTTATATACTACTTTTGAGTATTTTTTAAAAGCTAAGAAATACAATGGCATTGTTTGGTTACTCTTAATGTTGCTGGACAAAGTGGTAAAAGATCAATGAGCTCAGGAATTCAAATTCTCAGTTCAAGCATGGCATAAATGACCTAAGTCACAAGGGTGTCCAATCTCTTGGCTTCCCTGGGCCATTTTGCAAACAGAATTGTCTTGGGCCACACATAAAATACACTAACTCTAATGATTGCTGATGAGATTTCTTAAATCACAAAACAAATCTCATAAAGTTTTAAGAAAGTTTATAAATTTGTGTTGGGCTGCATTCAAAGCCATCCTGGGCCACATGCAGGCTGCAGCAGTATGTGGGTTAGACAGGCTTGACCTAAGAGCTTCCAAGTATGCCTTGAAAGATATCCTTCCCTCTTGTAGTCTGTCACAGGGTTAAAATTGCTGAAAATCAACCACAGGACATCATCTCATGATTGGCTGAATTACAGTGCAAGCTGAACACCCAGACTTGCAGGTTGCCTAATGTTAGAGTGAGGACATTTATTGGAAAACAATGTATTCCTGTAAGCTGGTGTATTAGTTTGTTTTTGCATCACTATTAAAGAGTATCTGGGACTGGGTAATTTATAAAGAAAAGAGGTTTAATGGGCTCATGGTTCTGTAGGCTGTACAGGAAGCATGATATTGACATCTGCTCCTGGTGAGGACCTCAGGGAGATTAACAATCATAGCAGAAGTGAAGCAAGAGAAGGCACATCACATGGCGAGGGCAGGAGCAACGGGGTGATGGTCGGGAGGTCCCAGACTTTTAAACAACCAGATTTTGTGTGAACTAGCTGTGTGAGAACTCACTTATCTCCAAGGGAATGGTGTCAAACCATTCTTGAGGTATTCACCACCTTGATCCAACCACTTCCCATCAGGCCTCACCTCTAACATTGGTAATTACTTTTCTACATGAGATTTAGAACAGACAGATATCTAAACCTTATGGTTGGGAAAGGTACATATGGGAAGACCCTGATGAGGCTGGTGACATTGATTTCCTAAATTGTGATAAGATTTTATTAGAGTGTTTTTTGTTTGTTATTTATTTATTTATTTATTTATTTATTTATTTTTTGCCAGTGGGAGAGGTATCTCGACCTCCAGTAGAAGCAGACTCTTATCTTCAGCAGAAGCCATCACTAGTTGTAGCAGCCTCCCCACAACATTGGTATCTGCCCTTCCATCTCCTTTGGAGGAAATAACCCTGAATTGCCTGAGAAATGATATTGACCTCTTCTAAAGCAATTGTCATGCAAGACAATGTTAATTCTCCTCAGGACTTACCCGAACTATCCCTCTTTGCTTATATACCTACAACTACACTTCATTCCTAGTAGGATACTAATGGTGAAGTACAAAGTGTGTCCTATGAGGTGTGCTACACTCCAAAAGAAGTACTTATATTTCCTAAATTAGACAAGCAGAAATCCAAGGAACATATATGAAACTGGATCTTAAGGGCACAGGATAATGGTGGGAAAGATTATAAATTTGGATCAGGTTATATTTATTCATATATGCTCACTAGGCAGAGATTCTGCATTCAATGTTACCGCTCTCGAAATTAGGACAGTAACAGTTTGGGTGTTTGGCTAAAACATAGATCAAAATATGGCCTACCATGAGTGAATTGGAAATGCTTAATATCCTCTGCTTTAACATAAAATAAAGGATCCTAAGGCTTAGGGAATTTGGAATTTTAAAGTGGGTTTATCTTGAGACGGAGTCTTGCTCTCTCTCCTAGTCTGGAGTGTAGTGGTGCGATCTCGGCTCACTGCAAGCTCCGCCGCCAGGGTTCACGCCATTCTCCTGCCTCAGCCTCCCGAGGAGCTGAGACTACAGGCGCCCGCCACCACGCCCGGCTAATTTTTTTGTGTTTTTAGTGGAGATGGGGTTTCACCGTATTAGCCAGGATGGTCTCTATCTCCTGACCTTGTGATCCGCCCGCTTAGGCCTCCCAAAGTGCTGGGATTACAGGCGTGAGCCACCGTGCCTGGCCGGATTTATCATTTAACACCTACTCTCCCACATTGAAAAGGTACAGAAAGAATAACTTTCACCACTACCTTGAGAAATAAATATGTGAGGGGAGCTTAAAAGCTCTGTGATTCCTTTTCTCTGTAGGCCACAATTTGTAGTGGGAACCACAGCCACTCAATAGAAAAACCTAAATGAGATGAGAATAATTGGATCCTGGGATGGCAAGGGCAACATGATGACAACTGCCAACTAAAAGGTGGGTGTAGTTACCATAATGGACAGCAGAGTCAAAGAAGCAATCAGAACAGTCTGTGCAGATCCATGGCTTTAGCTAATTAATCATGGTGTTCCTAAAAGAGAATTAGGAAGAAAGGCTACTGAATTCTCACTTGATCTGTATAAACAGAAAACTTCTAGATTATGTGAACAAAATTCTAACTCAAACCATAAAAACAAAGACATAAAAACAAAGGCCCTCAATTAATTCTCAGACTTGAGTTAGTTTCCAGAACCGGAACCGGAACTCACTAAATAAAAGGGAGGCTGGGTTCCATTGAGATGGGTCCCCAGTACACTATCAAAAATTTGTACCCTGAATTTTTCTTCCAACCTTCCCCAAAAGGAATTATGGCCTTTTACCAGAGGAGCTGTGCATTAGGAAATAAAATATTCAGACCTTTGGACACTACTGGACACTGACTCTGAACTGACATTGATCGCAGGAGACCCAAAACATCACTGTGGCTTCCAGTCAGAGGAGGGGCTTATGGAGGTCAAGTGATCCATGGAGTTTTAGCTCTGGTGCATTTCAGAATGGGTCTTGTGAATCTGTTAACCCATCTTGTGATTACTTCCCCAGTTCCAGAATGAAAAATTGGAATAGACATACTTTGCAGCTGTAAGAATTCCCACATAGGTTCCCTGACCTGTGGAGGGAGGGCTATTAAGGTGAGACAGACCAAATGGAAGCCATTAAAACTGCCTCTACCTAGCAAAATCATAAATCAAATGCAATATATCATTACTGAAGGGATTGCAGAGGTTAGTGCCACCATCAAGGACTTGAAAGATGCAAGAGTGGTGATTCCCACCACATCCTTATTCAAATCTCCTATTTGGCCTCTGTGGAAGAAATAGACCTTGGAGAATAACAGTGGATTACCATTAGTTTATCTAAGTGATGATTTCCATTGTAGCTGCTATACCACATGTGATTTCATTGCTTGAACAAATTAACACAGTCCTTGGGATCTGAGATGCAGCTATTGATCTGGAAAATGTTTTTCTCCATCTCTGTCCTTAAGACCAACCAGAGTTTGCTTTCAGCTGACAAGGCCAGCAACATACTTTCACTGTCCTACCTCAGGGGCATATGAACTCTCCAGCCCTGTGTCATAATTTAGTTCACAGGGATCTTCGCTGCTTTTTCCTTCTGCAAGATATTACACTGGTCAGTTACATTGATGAGATTATCCTGATTAGGTCTAGTGACTGAGAAGTAGCAACTATTCCAGACATATTGTGAGGGCATTTGCTTGTCAGAGGGTAGGAAATTAACCCAACTTAAAATTAAGAGCCTTCTACCTCAGTGAAATGTCTAGGGGTTCAGAGGTATGGAGCATATTGTGATAGTTTTTCTGAAGTGAAGGATAAGTTGTGGAATCTGTTCCTCTTACAACCAAGAAAGAATCACAAAGCCTAATAGGTCTATGTGGATTTTGAATGCAATATATTCCTAACTTGAGTTATTACGACTCATTGACTAAATGACCTGAAAAGCTACTGTCTTTGAGTGAAGCCCCAAAAAAAAGTCAGCTCTCCAACCAGTCCAGGTTGCTATCAAGCCTCTCTGCCACTTGTGCCATTTGAACCAGCCATTCCAATAGTGCTTAAGGTGGCAGTGGCAGATAGGGATTTGAAGCCTGTGACAGGCTCTCATAGGTGAATGGTAGTACAGGTCTTCAGCATTTGGAGCGAGGTCCTGGTATCACCTGCAGATAACTACTGTTCTTTTGAGAGACAGCTTTTGTTAGGTAAAAATATCACCTTGTTATTGTCTTTTATTTAGAAATTAAGTATAATTTAAAAAGATGTGTATGGGTGCCGAACTGACAAGGTGTATACCAGTGAGGGTTAATGTGTCAACTTAAGTGGGATAAGCAATGCCCAGGTAGCTGATAAAACATTATTTCTAGATGTGTCTGTGAGGATGTTTTAGAAAGAGGTTAGCTTTTGACTTGGTAGGCGGAGTAAAGAAGATTGCCCTTACCAATGTAGGTGAGCATCATACAATCTATTAAGGGCCCAAATAGAACAGAAAGGCAGAGGAGGGAAAATGTGCTCTTTGTGTTTGAGCTGGGACAAGCATCCTCTCCTGCCTTTGGAATTCAGTTCTCCTGGTTCATGGGCCTTCAAACTCACACTAAGACTTGCACTATTGGCCATCTAGTTCTCAGGTCATCAGACTGGACTGAATTAAACCACGATAACTCCCGATTCCTGGTTCTGCAGCTTGCAGATTACAGATTGTGAGACTTCTCAACCTCTATAATCATGTAAGCTAATTCCTACAGTAAATTTCTGTGTGTGTGTGTGTGTGTGTGTGTGTGTGCATGAACATATGTTTTTAGTTATGTAAAAGTGGTATTGCATCATTAATAGAAACTTTTTTAAAATAAAAAGAACAAGAAACATAAGTTATAAGTTTATTTTACTTTAATGGATATTTTTATCTGATCACACATACATTTTATTCATTCTGACAAAGACACTATTTAGCCAAACTTTAGTGAGGCTCCTGAACTTCTTCCTAAGCCCAACTGTGTTCTTCCTTGTAAGATATAGTTTTAGCAAACAATCCTACTATGTTAATTTAGCAAGAACCCCCAACCTTTAATACTTGATCATCTTTTACATCTAATCAGTTTTTTCATCCTCTACTATCCCCCACATTATGTCTGATTATTCTGAACTATCTTCAGCAAAAATCTGGTTAGGTTGGCTTAGCCAGAATTCCCATTACCCCCGATGTCTCATTTTAGTAATTTCCCATTCACTAACCATACACTACTTTTTGGTTATAAATTCCGGCATATCCATGCTGTATTTAAAGCTGAGCTCAATCTCTCTTCCTGAGTGCAAAATCATATTGCAGTGGTCTGTACACCTATTGCAATGATCTTGAATAGAGTCTTCCTGACGATGCTTTACCAAGTATCAATGAATAATGCTTTTGTTAACAGTTCTCTTTCTCTAGAGAATTGTAACTAATACATTCACATTTTTTTGTTCTCTTTTGGCTTTAGATAATGCTCATTTGCACTAGTAAGTGTGATCTTTTTGATGTACAGTCTACCAATTCAAGTACTAATCCATCTTGAAACACCTCACAGACACACCTAGAAATAAGGTTTTACCAGCTATCTGGGCATCACTTAGCCCAGTCAAATTGACACAAAATTAACCATCACACTATGAAATTTACTTTGTACCCCCCATTATTTGTTTAATCCTTAGTACACAGAAGGCATTCAAAATATGACGGTAAATGAAGAGTACTATCATTTTGACCCTCACATTTTCTATCTAATAAGTGTTTTCACTACATGCCTATAAAACCAAATATTTTAATGCAAATAATATTAACATTGATGAGTTTTCTTTCAGAAATATTTTTGCAGTAAACTCTATTGAACATTTTTAAACTCTTAATTTATTTTCCTTGAAATATAGATCATTTTACTTTGCTTTTTTAGTTTTTCTGAGAACAATGGTTTTATTTTCAGATTTTAAAAAATTTTGAGCACTAATATTTCTATTTAGTTATTTATCAATTATGCTCTCAGCCATTTTTAAGTTTCCTTTTAGGACCATTATTTTGTGCCATTTTTCCAAGCCCAACAATGTCAAAAATGTTTTATTACTTTTTCAATAATATCAGTTTTTATAATTGACAAATACCAATGCCTATTGATGTTTTATAAAGGTTCATTTTATTTGGGATCAGGTAAAAATTATCCACTAAAGTAAAGCAAAGTTATGTTTCTGGTACTTCTTCTTTAAAGTTTGTATTAATAATGTGATATCACTTTTATTTAACTAAAAACATTCTTCATCTCTTTTTCAATGAATGGTACTGCCCATGCATCCAGTTATATAGACAATAAGCAGCAGGCATCATCCTTCCTACTTTCTTCCAGTTAAAATCCCCATATCTTGTCCATCACTAAATCTTTTAGAAATTACCTCCAAAATACATTTGAGTTAAGCCCACCCATTAAAGCTCTACTTCGACACTTAATTACCCAACCTGTTTTGCAAAATTATCCTAATAGGCCACTTTCAGTCTCCTCCTCTAATCTATTCACTTTATGCTGAACCCCAAATCTTTTTTCTTCTCCCAAATTCAAGTTGATTTTCCCGCAACTTAAAATATTCTGAGATATCATTTGGTATCAATCATATCTGAACTGCTACACGTTGTGGAATATGAAAAGAAAAAGCTAAATAAAATGCATTGTTGAGATTCATGTCACATTGCTGTTAAGAATCATTTTCACTTTTTTTCTGATGACTCAAGAAATAATTTTGTTTCAAACCTCAATATCATTAATAGATGTGTGTATTGTTTGTTTACATATTGGTCTTTCTAACTATGAGTTCAAACATGACAACTATTTTTGTTAACACAAGGATAAAACATAACTGATACTATGTATCTATTGTCAGGCATTTCTTCTGTCAGCTACACCAATATTAAAAAAAAAACAACTTTTTTTAGTGATTTCCTCTTTGACCGCTGACATCTTTCTGTGTGTACTATTATTACCTTAATATTCTTTTGATATTTTCAGAATATGTAGTAAAGTCATTTATCCTTGATATTGGTGATGTACTTCTTACTCTTTTTCAAGATAAATGTGGCTATAGATTTATTAAACTTATAGGTCTTCACAAAAACTGCTTTTGGTTTTATTGATTTTTTTCTATTGGTTTTCTGTTTTCAATATGATTGAGGTTTAATTGACATTTGTATTGTGTAGATGCACATGAAATTTTAATAAATAATACAAAGAGGTCCTGTGTATAATCTGCTCATCTTTCCCCAATGATAAAAGTTTACAAAACTATAGTACAATATCAAATCTGGGATATTGACTTTCATATCATCCATTTATCTTATCCAGGTTTCCTTTTTTTTACTTTTACACGTGTGTGTGTGAGAGAGAGAGAGAGAGTTGTGGTGTGCGTGTGTATGTGTGTGTGTGTGTGTAGATATTCAAATCTATACAACCTTATTATATGTGTAGGTTCATGCATGCGGCACCACAATCATGATACTGAAGAGTTCCAGCACCATAAGGATTAAGGATTCCTCCTGTTGTCCTTTTATAATACTCTCTCTCTCTCTTTCCAAACTTACCCCCTTCCTAACTCCTTAGCACCACTAATCAGTTCCCTTCTAAAACTATCATTTTCAAAATGTTATATGACTGGAATCATTGAAATTGGCTCTTTTTACTCAGTATAATTTTTTTATTCATGAAAGTTGCTGTATTTCAATATTTCATTGCTGAATACTATTCTATGGTATATACAGTATTTACCAAATTTTGTTTAGCCATTCACCATTGAAGAATAGCTGAACTGTTCTGAGTTTGGAGCTAGTATGAGGAAAGCTGCTCTGAATAGATTTTTAATGTGAAAATAAGGGTTAATTTATCTGAGATGAATGTCCAAGTGCATTTTATTCCTGGTACTGGTGATTGTATCTTCTCTCTCTTTTTTCCTTAAATTTTTGGTCAGTCTTGCTAGAATGTCATTGATTTAAAAAAAAAAATAACTTTTTGTTTCATTGAATTTCTCTACTATTTTTCTATTTTCAATTTCATTGATTTCTGCTTGTATCTTATTATCTACTTCCTTATGGTTGCTTTGAGTTTATTTTACTGTTCTTTTACTAATTTCCTGATGTAGGAACTTAGATTTTTAGAGTCTAAGACTTTATGTGTTTATAATGTAAACACTTAATGCTATAAATTTCTCTCTTGGCACTGCTTTAGCTGTATCCCATATATTTTAATTTGCTATATGTTCATTTTTATTAAGTTCTATGTGCATTTTTAATATATTTTAAGAATTACTCTTAGACACATCTGTTTTTAGAAATCGCTTTTTTAATTTACACATTTAAATAAATTTTTCTGTTATTTTTCTGTTACTGATGTTTAGTTGCATTCCATATGGTCAGAGAATAGATTCTGTATAACATTAGTAATTTTACTTTTGCTGACACTTGTATGACTCAGGATATACCCTATTTTGGTGAATATTCCATAGGCACCTAAAAATGTGTATTTTTCTTTTGTTGTGTGAAGTGTTTTATTCATATCAGTTAGATCCTGGTGATTGATTATGTTCTTCGGAACATCTATGCAGTGAATGATTTTCTGTCTAGTAGTTCTGTCAGTTGCTTAGGGTGACTAATGTAGTCTCCAACTCTAATTATGGATTCGTCTATTTCCTTTTTAGCTCTATCAGTTTTGCTTCAAATATTGAACACTTGTCTTTGCCTGAAAATGTCTTTCTTTCCTGTTCTTTCGAAAATGATAGTTTAGCCAGATATAGGATTTATAGTTGACAGGATCTTTGTTTGAGCTCCTAAAAGACATTTTGCCACTTTCTTCTGGCTTTCATGGTTTAAAATGAGAAATGTGCTATCACCAGGATTGGTTTTCCCCCACAGATGAAGTATTATTTCTCTCTGGCTGTCTACAAAATTTTTTTCTTTGTTTTTAAATTTTTTAAGATTAATTTGTTTGTTGGGATGAATCTTTATCGGGTTTGAATTTTGCTCAGACTCTTGGTTCTGTAGGTTTGTTTTTGTTAAAAATTTGAGAAATTTTCAGTGATTCTTTGAATATTTTTTCAAATCAATTCTCTTTCTTATTATGAAACCTATGTAATATAAATGTTGGAATTTTGTTATTATCCCACAGGCCACTGAGGCTATATTCTTTTTTTTCTTTATCTTTTTTAGTTACTGTTTTCTCTATAATTCAGATTGGGTGAATTCTATTGATTTGTTCTCAAGTTCACTGATTCTATCCTATTCAATCTCCATTTTATTGTTACTATCCAGAGAGTTGTTTCTTATTAAACTTATTTCTTTTATTGCATTTTTCAGTCCTACTATTTCCATCACATTGCTGACATTTTCAGTTTTTTTCATTTGTTTTAAGTGGGTGTGTGATTAATTGATGCATTTCTGTAATGGTTAGTTTAAAATACCTGTCACGTAATTTCAATATCTGTTTCTTCTTTGTCCTCTTGTCTACTGTTTTTTCTTATTCAAGTTGTGATTTTCATGGTTCTTGGTATGATGGATGATTTTCAATTACATTACAGACAATTTGCATATTATGTTAAAAGACTCTGGGTCCTAATTAAATCTCTTATTTTAACAGACATCCATCCTGTTTGTTTAGAATTAAAGTCCTAGCCTACTTGGTGGGATGTGGTTCTAAATAGTTTAATTTTTAGATATTTTTATGGTATTCTTTTTGTCTCTTTGACTTACCTCTTGACACTAATATTGCCACTGGTCTCTACCAGTGCTGCCTGAAGAAGCAGAAGTGTTTTTCTAGGCCAGGTTACTGAGTGTCTTTCAGTAGGAGAGGGGAGTTGCAGGCCTATGGGGATAAAGAGGATTCTCTAGCTTAGTGTTTGTTGTGGTAGAATCACCTTTGCCTATAGAGAACCAAGAACATTTCCTCATGGGTGCTTATTGTTGCAGAATCACCTACTACTGGTACTTCTACATTCTAGTCTTTGCTGTAGGAGGGGTTTATTTGGCTTGTAGAGGCAAAGAGATTTCCAGAACCAGGCTGTTTGTTGTAGGATCCTTTCCCTGCCTTTGGGTGATGAAGAACACTTCCTGGGTCAGGCACTTACTATGTGGAAGAACTCTCTCAGGCACTCCTTGCTACAGCACTGTTTATGGGTAGGAGAGAAATAAGCTTACTTGAACTGCTTTCTGTTGATAGGTTGGTGGTTGGGAAAGATCCGGTCAAGATCCCCTACTTCTACTTAGTGGGAAGATATAAGATTGTGTGGTGCTACATTCTTCTTCCGTTCATGGAGTGTCAACCCAGTTTACTTTATTCCTAGTACTTTTCGGATTCAACTTTGTTTGCCTCTTTCTTTATTTGCAGTATTTATAATGTTACTTAGTGGAGAGGAGAATTGAGCATTATATCTATGCTATCATGTCTGATCTGTAAGTTTATTGATTTTTACTCTGAAATTTATTATTTCTTTCCTTTGACTTATTTTCAGAATAATCTGATTGTCTGCTTTCTTAAGATGGAAGCTGAGATTATTAATATGATACCTTTCTCATCTTCTAATATAGATATTCAATGCTGCTATGGTTTCAATTGTTGTGTCCCCTTCAAAATTTATGTTGAAATTTAATCCCTAGTGCAACAGTAGTAAGTAATGGGAACTTTAAGACGTAATTAGGCCATGAGAGTTCTGGTCTCATATGTGGAATCAGTGCATTATTAAAAAAATGCCTGGGAGAGCTATCCAGACCTCCTTTGTTGCCCTTCCATACTGTCTACCACATGAGGACACAGTATTCACCTCCTTTCAAAGACATAACAACAAGGAGCTATCTTGGAAACAGAAAGCGGTCCTCTCCAGATATTAGATCAACTGGCTCTTTGAGATTTTTCATAGTTCTGGAATTCTCAGCTTCCAGAACTGTGAAAAAATTCTGTTGTTTATAAATAACACATTTTATGATATTTTGTTATTGCAGCACAAATGGATAAAGACAAGTCTTAAAAAGTCTCTCTTATTTGCAGCTTTAGTGTTATCCCACAAATATTGATAGGTGTTTTTGTTTTCTTTTATCTCATATTTACCTTGTAAATTCCTTTTTGGTATACCCTTTGGTAAGGATTATTTAGAATTGTGTTAGTTTCCAAAGATCTGTGTATTTTATAAATATTGTTGAGTTATTCATTTCTAGTTTAATTACATGGGTGTCAGATAACATGCTTTGTATGACTTGAATACTTTTCAATTTATTGAGACTTGTTTTACTACTCAAAGTGTTGTCTATCTTGATAAATGCTTTTTGTGCACTTGAAAATATGAATTCTGCTGTTACTGAGTAAAGTGTTACATAAATGTCAATGGGTCTAGTTGATTGATGATGTTAAAATCCTGATTCTTGTTGATTTTGTTTACTTGTTCTACAAATAAATGAAAGAAGGATATTAAAAATTTTAACAATACTTGGGGATTTGTCAGTTTTCCTTGCAATTCTATTGTTGCTTCATCTATTTTGCATCTCTGATATTAGATACACTAAATTTCAGAATTACATGTCCTTTTGATAAACTAACTCCTTTGTCATCGTAAAATAAGATTCTTATTTTCTGGTAATACACTTTGCTAGAAATCTACTGTCATCACCTGACATGTGAGTCAGCAAAAAAAAGAAAGAAAAAAAGCTACTTTGTCAGATAGACAAGTGTTAGTATCATGTTTCCTTTTAGCTAATTTATGTCTTTATATTTAAATTATGTTCCTTGTAAGAAACATAGGGCTCCATCAAATATGGCAATCTATGTCTTTCAATTGATTCCTTTAGACCATTTGTATTTAATGTGATTACTGATAAAAGTAGCTTTAGGTATGTCATCTTGCTATTTATTTTCTTTTGAAATATCTATATTTTGCCTCCATTTTAAAGGATTACACCATTACATATATATAATTCAAAATTGATATTTCTTATTTTTTAATAGTCAAAAAATCATCTTAATGTCATTCATCATTAATTTTTCTGGTGAGGTCAACTGTGCCTCAGTATTTTCATTTACCATATGTAAGATATCTTTTCCTTATGAATAATGTTATGAATTTATCTTTAGTTTTCACAGTTTGAAATGATGTAACTCTATATGTTGTTTTACATACCTATCCTTTTTGAGGGCTCCTGAGCTTCTTGGATTCAGATTGATGTATTTTTTTAATTTTTAGAAAAATTTCAGTGATTTAGTTAATTTTTTCTATAGCTCTTTCTTTTTTTATCTCTGGTCACAGGCATTTTATACTGCTTAACATTTTCTCATTAATATTGGATTCTCTGTGTATTCTTTTATTTCACTCATCTTTTTTTCTATTTGTTTTATATTTTAGTTTGATTACTTCTATTGATTTTTCTAAGTCTATTGATTTTTTCTACTGCAAAATTTATTCTACTGTTAAGACTATCTACATAAATCTTAATTTTTGATACATTTTGTTTTTACCAATTTTATTTTTAGCATACTCTTTTTATATTAAAATATGGAACTGTAAAATAATAGCATTTTTACATCTCTGCTGCAAATTCCCATAACTTGATAAATACTGATCACCATTTCCACTAGATGTTTCTATATTTATATAATTGTTATTTTAAAGCTCCTCCCTTATAATGCCACAAGTTTAACCATTTCTGGATCTGCTTTTGTTGTCTCTCTCTCACTCTTTTTTTTTCTCTTTAGCATGAGTTACATTTTTTTGCTCCTTTACATGTCTTATTGATTCAAATTGCATGCTGGGTGTTTTGCATCAAATAACAATAGAGACTGAGGTAAGCAATATTTACTTTCAGAAAAAGGTATGCTCCTTCATGTGTCTTGATTTTTATTGTAATATTGGTGGTGATGGACAAGAATATGTTAGTCTAAAGAGGGCTGGGTTCAATCATTGTTGCATCTTTGTGTGACTCATTTCACCACTGGCTCCACAAAGTTTAAGAACAAGATCAAAATTTTTTCTTCTTGGACTATGTGCTATGATCACTAGTATAATTCCAGTGCTATTTTGTGATTTACAGCTAAGCCACCAGTGTTATGAACTATAGTATATCTGTGTATGCTCTACACTATATCTGCTAACCTTCTGGACCACTGGAAGTTCTCGTTGCTCTCAGTCATGTCCCAGGAATTCTTTACAGGTTGAGAGCTTTCTTGTCTCTGGAAAAGCCTTAGAGGTATGTCTCAGATTTATTGTTCACATACAGCACTTGGGAACATGTTGATTTCTCTCAGCTTTCTTGTTTTTTCACCTCATTTTCAGTACCAGGTAAGCCAGTAAATTGAGACCTCTTATGTCCCAGACATCACTTTTCCTACCTCAATCTCTGGAATGCCGGACTAAAGGAATGTCAATAGAAGACGGTGGATGGGTAAAAGTGAACTACTTGATCAGGGCTCTTCTAACATCTAGTATGTCACAATCACAAACACACTTAAAAATTTTTGAAATGGTAATCCCAGCACTTTGGGCAGCTGAGGCGGGAGGATCACTTGAGACCACGAGTTGGAAACCAGCCTCGGCAACATAGTGGGACCCTATCTCTCTTTAAAAAAAAAAAAAAAAAAATTAGTTAACCAGGCCTGATGGCACATGCCTGTAGTACCAGCTACTGGAGAGGCCGGGAGGTGGAGGGGGCTGAGGTGGAAGGATGGCTTGAGCCTGGAAGGTTGAGGCTACAGTGAGTCATGAGTGCACACCACTACACTCCAGCCTGGGCAACAGAGTGAGATACTGTGTAAAAAGAAAAAAGAAAAGGAGGGGAAAGGAAAGAAAATGAAGGAAAAGAAGAAAAGAAAAAAGAAAGAGAAGAAGAAAGGAAGAAAGAAAGAAATTGTTGAAATATTGGTTGTTTAGTTATTTAACTCCACTTTTGGGTCTACGTTAGATTATTTCTTCTCTTGCTGTCCTGCTGGGCATGAAAACAGCCATGAATCTCTTATTTTTTATGGAGAGTCCATTCTATTCTAGAATTTAGTGAGGAAACTGTAAACTCAGTTTGCACATGGGTTCAGGAAAACTATGACTCATTAGCTTACTTGTCTTGCTTTGGTTGTAAGGATGAATGTTATTATCTCTTTTGACTTTCTTCGTCCTGTGTGAAACAGCAACCCCAAATTCCAAGATACATTTAAATTCATTTAGGGTTCTGAAATCTAAGATTCAAAATCTACTTTTCAGAAGTGAATTTTGACCATATACTTGATATTCAGGAAGATATAGACAACTATAACTTTGAATTCATAGTTGTATCTTTAAAAAATAACCCAGAACATTCTATGCTTACTATATGAGTCAAAATGATACTTTTAAAACATGAGTTAGATCATATTACACCTCTGTACAAAATATTCCAGTAGTATCTTGTTTCACTCGGAGGAAAATTTAAAGGCCTTACAATGGCTTAAAACTTTTTAAAATGTGAACTCTATTTCTTGCCCATTTCTTTAAATTCATTTAAAATCACTCTTCTATAGGTTTGCACTGATAAAACCAATATTCTTGATATTCCTCAAATACACCCAAAACACGCCCTCCCCAACCTCCCCGCCCAACACACACACTGCCACTGCAAATGGCACTTGCGTTTCAGTTTTCTCTACCTGGAATGTTCTTCCCTCAGATAACTGCATGTCTCTCACTTTTGCCTCCTTCACGTTTCCGTTCAAAAAATTTTTTTTTCAACAAGGTATCTTGCTTTGTCCATTCTACTTAAAATAGTAATGACCCAACCTTGTAATTTTATCCCTTTTATTTGCTTTATTTTTTCCCCAGAGAACTTATCAGAATTTAAAAGATTACCTACGTTACTTGTTTGTGTGGTTATTATCTGTTTCTCCATAATAGAATGTAAGTTCATTTAAGGTAGGATTCTTTTAAAAAATATAATTAATTTATTTATTTATTTTGAGATGGAGTCTCGCTCTGTCACCCAGGCTGGAGTGCAGTGGAGCGATCTCGGCTCACTGCAACCTCTGGCCCCTGGTTTCAAGCTATTATCCTAAAGTAAGGTTCTTTTTTCTTTTGATAAGTGTTCTTTCTACTTTCCAAATCAATAACTTAACAAAAGGAAGGAAGAAAACAATGCAGTAAAGAACTGAAGAAAAGAAAAACAGAACAAGGGTGGAAAGAGGCAATAAAAGAAGAAAGGAATAAGGAAGGAAGGAAAAAACGGAAAAACACTGGGATCACAATTACAGAGAGAGAAAAAATAAATAAGCTATAAAGCTTAATATCCTTGGACCTAAATTTTTCAACATATGGGATGCTACTTGTAAATATATTTAAAACTTTCTCAGGTTCATATTTTATCTTTTTATCATTTTATATAGAAGAGAGTATGGAGTTAAGTGAGTACTGTTGTTGATGTTGTATTTATTTGATTGATCAATTTTCTGGAAACAGAATCTGAAATGAAGACTTTCACAAAGTACAGAAGAGGAATGTAGGAGACATAGCTGTAAGAAATTAGGGAAGAGGCGCAGCGCAGTGGTTCACGCCTGTAATCCCAGCACTTTAGGAGGCCACGGTGGGCAGATCATGAGTTCTGGAGTTCGAGACCATCATGGCCAACATAGTGAAACTCCGTCTCTACCACAAATACAAAATTAGCCGGGCATGGTGGTGCACGCCTGTAGTCCCAGCTGCTCGAGAGGCTGAGGCAGGAGAATCGCTTGAACCTGGGAGGCAGAGGTTGTGGTGAGCTGAGATCAAGCCACTGCACTCCAGCCTGGGCAACAGGGTGAGACTCCCTCTAAAAAAAAAAAAAAGGAAGAAGAAGAAGAAAAAAAGAAAGCACTTAGGGAAGAAAACATTGGCCAGAAGCTACTTAACAATGCAGTTGCAATGGAGGCGCACTGGGGGATGATTCTTTGCATTCCCCATCTAGACATTAATCATTAATGAAGGCCGACCCTGGGAGGAGTAATAACATTGTTTTAAGCAGATCCTCATCCTGAGGATGAGGGCAATTCTAAATGGATGAAGTTATAATTGAACAGCAGTTGATATCTACTTTGACTAGGAGGTACATGTGTCTACCTTCCAGAGGATATGTGAGCAGAGCAACACAGTATCTGCCACACTGTGTTTTATTTTTTGTACCTTTCTGGAGTCTTATGCTCTGGGACAATGGTAATACTCAAATACACAAATAATCTGGAATGCTTATTAAAAAATACATATTTTGGCTACCCATAGATTTATCAGAAATTCATAATTTCAAGATAAAGAATCTCATTCTTAATCTACATCCCAAACTATGCTGACATCAGTGACAAGTGGTTCACATGGAAGGAAGACTCATCTCTATTGTGAACTCGTTGTGTATCTTATTATTCTTGTTTCTCCATTTTTGGTTACGTAACTACTTATTTAGAAGCATTTATTTTGATGACTAATTCGTGTATCAGTAGTAATACATCACCCAATGTTAATTAACAAAAACATTTCATTATTGGTGTAGAAATCATTTTAGAGTCAAACTCATTTTTTTCATTCAGAAGTAAAAATGCAGCCTGTTTTATCTTTATAAGTAGAATACATTAGTAGTAGAATATTAGAAAGGTTAAATAATGTTACTTTTCTGTCATAAATGGTAAAACATCACCCTGACCAATATGCCCTCCTACCCCAGGCCTTCTGCAAATGCAATAAAATCTCATTGATTATTAGAAGCAATAACTATTTTTAGCAGTATGTTTGTGAATGTCATTTCTTCTAACTGCTCACTCAGTATCTTATCAGAAGATGTTTGTGAAATGTGAATAGCTAAAATATAAGACTTACTTTTGAAGAAGAGATGTAATTTCATATGGTGTGTATGTGTTTTTTTTCTTGCTGAAGCAGTTAGCAGCTGCAGCAGGTATCATTGCAGAGATGAGTAGATACTTAGAAAAGCTTAGAGGCCCTTAGGGCATATTTTTATTCTAGGTCTTAGGTTGCAAAAGCAACTAATAGACAATATCAGGGGATAAATGCAAAAGTTGCATTCCCAACCTGAGTTGAAAACAGAGCGTATTTATTTTTTATCTTGAAAAACATTTTAGAAAGCCTGAAATCTGAGCCTGGCTTCAGAGGTTAACTGACCCCATTTGAACTTCTTTTATCTTCTATTCTACTCTCTCTTTGCATCTCACATAGAGAAGATTGGTACTAAGCATCATTCCCTAATTTATAACAGGCCAGTTGAAGTACATTGAGACCATGCTAAGACCATAAAAATGATGGGTATATTCAAATCTACCCCCAAAGGCTGAGGGAGCTGAGATGCTGAAGAAAGATGCTGAAAAAAAGCCAGTTTCTCAGAAATACATATTTAATAGGGACTTATGAACAGAAATGATATCTTGGGTGGTTGTGATACGGTGGATTTCGCAATCTCCTCTAGAGAATGTCCTTTAGATAGCAAGCATTTAGGGTAAAGACAAGTGCAGCTAGTTACATCTCAGACTTCCATGCTGTGACTTGTTACTTCCGGGGAAAAAGACCTTGCTTCAGAACACCGTGATACGCAGGAGTCAAACATTGGGCATTGTGATGGTTTTCCTCAAGATGGTGGCGTAGTCACTCGTGCCATGCAGCAGGCAGGCTGTTTTCCTGCGCTATTCAATAAGTGATTATTTGTTCTTAATTATTGCCTCAACAGGACAAAAGTAAAATAAAATAACAACGATAAGAAACCCTGTGACTTTTTGTAACCAGAACACACTCATCATTCTTATAATTAAATCTTCAAATTGTTTGTTCTCAATTTGTACCACTGCAAAGTTTTTCACTATATTTTTCTCCTCTTAAATATATTGTCTTGGCAACATCATATGTCTATTATAATAACATCGACCTTCATCTGTAGCTTTAATCTATAATTCTCTACTCAAACATTCCTTTAATTTCTCATTAAATTATTCATTTTTTCAGCAGACATTTATTTGGCACCAAATAAATATGTATATTGGACAAGTATGTTGTTTGCTCTCATGTAACTTACAATGTAAAGGAAAAGACGAAAAATATGGGTACATTTATTTTTATGTTTAATATGTTGATATGGACTGAATATATTTTTGTCCTCCAGAAATTGAAATATTGAAGCCCTAATTCTCAATGTGAGGGTATTTGGATATAGGATGTTAGGGAGGTAATTAGGATTAGAAGAAGTCACGAGGAGCGAGGTTCCCATGATAGAATTAGGTGATAGAATTTGTTGGATAAACTCCAGATATTTTGTGGAGTTAAAGACAAAATGAAGTGCTCATGGATTTATAAGGGTAAGAGAAAGGGTTCTCCAAAACAATACATGCATTTGTGACTGGATAAACTATATGAATTATGACAGAGTTTTCTAAAGGGGCAATATTCTCAGACTAAAAGAGGAGCATGTTTTGAAAATGTCACAACAAGGCTTTTGGGCTCACGTTAAGTTGGAGGTGTCTGTTAAACTTCTAAGATCAGATATCAAGTGGGCAGTTCAATGTGCAAGCTGAAAATTTATAGAAAAGTCTATATGGAAGATCCAGAATAAAATTATAGATTATAAGCATAGACTTATAGGTTGAAATTTATTATAGATCAGAGTTGTTTTTAAATCCAAGAGCCTGAATGAATGCTCCCTGGAAATCATATAGATACAATAATAAAATCAAGCCTCAAATGGACCTCATTTTATAGATCAGGAACGAAGAAAGAGCTAACATAGAGAAAGAACAATTGGTGAGGTATAAAAATCAAGGTAGTGTAAGGTAATTGAAGACAAAATAAAATAAAATTATCAATTTTTCCAAATATATCTGAGGGTTCAAAAATTTGAAAAGGAACTCATTATTGAATTTTGAAAGGTAGAAATCAAGGAGGATGTAAAAGAAGAGCCTCAATGCAGTTGTAGGAACAAAACTGAGGGAAAATTTGTTTAAGGATTTGTGAAGTAAGAAGCAGGTACAACCAAATGTGGATAACTTTTTCAACCCATTTTGCTATGAAGCAAATCAGAGATATAGAATGGTAAACTTAGGAAAATACAGAGTTGAGGAAGGAATTTCTAAAGTTAAAAATACTAAAGTATATGTCTACAATAACATAAATTATCTAGAAGAGAAATGAAGATAAAAGAGATAGTAGAAAAATAACAAGAAAAGAAATTCAGAAACCACAAGAAGGCAAAAGAAAAGAACGTATCCAAACCCAAGCCACTGAACTACAAGAGTGTCAGGGACAAAAGTATAACCTTCATATACAATGTCTTCAGGGAAATGGGTTGTGAGAAAAAGCCACAGTCAAGTTATAATAAGAGGTAAAGATGGAGGGAAGACAAAAAATATTGAGTATATGGACAAATTTGTTATAGGGAATTTGTATGAAATTATTGAATTGAATGTACAGGATAGTTAACCAGTGTGAGTCCAGTGTGAGTCTCTGGATGTGACTAAGGTAAACAGATAAATGAATTATTGTAGGGTTCCATGGAAATATACAAATATATTAAAAGTATATTCTAGGTAATTCACAAGTACAGATATTTAGGTTATATATATTGATTATAGCATTATATATTCTTAAGTGATACTTAACTCTTTTATGAGGCCTTTATAAGCCTTTTCTAGCTGTGTTTTATGTATTACATGTTCCTATATCACATCTGAAAATCTCCATTCTGTTCATTATCCTGTCTTTTGTTGTTGTTGTTGCTGTTTTTTTCATTTTCTGTTCATGTGTGTTTTTCTCCCACTACATTTTTTTAGGGCAGAAACTGTGTCTCATATATCTTTAGCTTCTACATGCATATATTGGTGCTTACGGAAGACACAAAAGGCCCTAGAAGTATATTAGTTAAGGACATTAGTTGATGTTGAAATATTAAGTTTTAAACACACAGAGAAGAAAATAGTCATGTAATTCAGGAGCATTGTAATGAGATTTTCTTTGTAGGTTTCTTAATATGTAATACGAAGCATAAACATTTTTAATTCCCATGAACTTGGGACCCTATTGGAGGGTTGAGCTGGAAGTACTGCTTTATCAAAGGGATTTGTTCTCATGGCAGAATCACGTTAGAATTTCTCCAATCTTTTTTTATGCCTAAAAAAGAAACAACAACCTATTTGTATGCAGAGAAACTTGAAACCCACTAGGTGTCTCAATCAGAGAAAATTTAACACAGGGAATTGGTTACATGGGTGACTGAAGACCAGAGGAACTCAATGTATGAGGAAGTAAGTAAGAGATTAGAAACAGCAGGAAGCACTACCACTCCTAGGACTGGAGGGACACATGAAAGAAGTGATATTATGTGAGCCCTGAAGCTTCTCTATAGCAGAGGCAAACCTCAGCAGGATCTAAGACCACAGAGAAAAGGGCTATTTTGCAGGAGCTAGAATCACAAGGAAGAAACAGCTGATACCAGTGAGGCCACTGGAAACAAATTCTGGGAGCACAGAAATAATCTTGCTTCTTCTCTACACTTGACCTCTGTTCTTACAGTTCCTCCCACTGCTAGAGGGCAAAGGGGCTTGGATAAGGTTGTTCCTAAAATATTAAGCAAAGAAAGAAGGGAAAATATAAAAATGTATTTAAGATAAAATATCTGCAAATTGCAGATATATGTTCTAAGATCAGGGGTATGCAAAGATAAATCTCTCAAATATATTTTACTAAATAATATAAAGTGATCACAAAACATTTACAATTGTGTTCTTACAATGGAACAATTTGGCTGAAACTGCTATAGGCAATGGACTCATTTGGAAGCGTTGCCCATTTACTCATGTATTTATTTGTATTGACAAAAATCTATGACTAAATTTTTAGTTCTTCATTTGGTTCATACATTATAAGAAAAATCCATTCTTCTTATCTGATTTAGAAATAATAGTGTTAAGATGGTAGAGTTCACTGATTTTGAAAGCCTAGGAAGAAATCGATTGAACAATATTTCTAGTCTCAGATCAGTGTTGTATGCCATTTTTAGTTTGAAATTACCCATTTGATTCTGCTACAGGAAAATGATGTTAGACAATTTAAGTAATAGCAATCAAAATTAATGAACATGCTTTCATTAAATTCACACGTACTGAAAATATTGTCATTGAAATCACTTTTCCCCACACAAAAAGAATATTTTATTTTGAGTGTTTTCTTTCTAATAATTTTCACTTTAAATGCCATAGAATAGGCCAAGATAACTTCAGTATATTTTACCAATAATTTCCTAATTGGGAATTGGGTTTGAGTCCATTTTTCTTTCATAAGAGGATACATATCTTTCAAAACAGAAGAGGGAAGTATCTTTAATGAAAACCCATCACAGATAACTTACATTTGATTAATATTGTTGATATTAGTGGATCTTTTTCCTCTAAACCTAGCAGTTTTTTTGGCAAATCAAACATTATTTTTCTGTCTCTGAATAAAAAATAAGTCAGGTTAGTAAAGAACAGTCACAGAAATCATATAAACTACTAAATCAAGATGGACCTAAGCTTTCAGCCCCTTCTTGGGTTACTTAATCAGAATTTTTTAGGCAAAGTCACAATGGGCCTGCAGGGAGTGACAGGGGCCTAGTTCAAATAGAAGAAATACCCTAAACAGTAGCCTAGAAGGAAGAGAAAGCACATCTTATAGAGAAGCCCATAAATCTATGCATATAAAATATTAAGTTTGAATGCTAACAAAATAAAATATAAAGCCAGAGTGTTCATAAGGACGACTTAGATCATGAAAGTGCTGAAATTTGGTACTCTTAGAGTGATGGAATTTCATTGAATTTTTGTAATGAAGAGACATGATCAAATTTTAATTTTAAAATATCTTCCTGCTTTAGTGTTGAGAAAACATTGATAGGAATATTGCAATAGATTGAAGGCAGAGAGAGCAATTCAAATGCTGCTGCAATTATCCTTGAAAGATGATAGTAGTTCTTGAGCTACTTATAGGTAGAGGGATTAGAGAGAACTGGGCTGATTTAAAAGCCACAAGGAAGAAAGCAGTGAAAAGCCATTGGTTAGATGGAACATTTGAATTAGAAAAAAGGGTTAAAGATGATAATAATTTCTGACTTCCAGACTTATTTTTACTTAGTTTTGTGCCTCAGTATGTTCAATAAGGTTAATGGCATTTTGTAAGCCTACATTTTCGGGGGTCAATTAAACAGTCTTTCCAAACATAACCGCCAGGTATTTTTTTTTCTCCAATAAGTAGGATGTAGAATCATAAAATTAGAAGTGACCTTAAATGTCATTTATTTCAGTGTTCCAAATGAGATGGCTAATTTTATGTGTCAACTTAGCTAGATAAGGGTTTGGACAATACCAATCTAGATGTTGAGGTGAAGGTATTTTGCTTCAGAAGTGATTAAAATTAAAATTAGTAGACATCGAATAAAGCACATTGCCCTTCATGATGTGGGTGGGCCTCAATTAAATTAGAGGAAATGCTTGAGAAAAGACTGTGGTTTCCAGAAACCAAATCAAACGAAAACAAAACTGCTTCCAAGCTGCAACATAGAGTTTATACCTGAGTTTCAAGCCCTTTGAATAAAGACTGCAACATCAATTATTACCTGAATCTTCAAACTGCTAACTTCACAACTGCATGAGACAATTTTTAAAAATAAATATTTCTCTCTGTCTCAAATCTCTTCTGTTGGTTCTGTTTCTCTGGAGAATTCTGACTAATACATCAACTAATATGAAAATCTTTGCTACAACATTTCTGTTAGAAAGCCTAGCTATTTCTACTTGAAATATTACTGTGAAGTAGATTTAGTTTCATCAGAAATATTTTTTCCTTTGGACGGGGAGACATTTTGGTTGTTTGAAAATTCTTTTTCTTTTTTTTTTTTTTAATTTAAGTGAAAGGGTAAAAATTCTATTTCCTTTAACTGCCTTTTACAAATTAGTTGTTTTTGGTGGAATGGGAAGAAAGATTGTGTATTGTGTGGTTACTTTTTGGTATGTAAAATGAGAAAATTGACAGCATCTCTTATTACATATAACATTAATGAGAGGGTCAAATAGGAAGAAACATGTTTGAATTACTTAGCATTTTTACAAAACTTTACAATATTAGGTTTAGTTATCATTACCATATTCTCTTCTGAACTATTATAAAGTTTATAAAAACTGATTATTATTGAACATCTATGATGTAGTAACACTGGTGATTTACATTATTAGTGATGAATATGAGTTTCATTCTACAAGTTATTTGAGAATTTTTAGGTGTTTTCTATAAACGTTAATTCTATTCCAAATGCTGATTTTTTAATTGGCAGTTCATCTTCCCTTGCACTACATCTTAGTTCATGAAAGTTTACATAATTTCACAAAACTGGATATTTAGAGCAATGGGTAACAAAACCTGGTGTTTTGTCAATACAGAGATTGCTCATCAGACCCTACTCTTCTGTGTCAATTGTCAATTCATTTTTTTAAGGCTGCTTCAATGCCAGTGACTTTCATGGCAATTATAAAGCTTCTCTCAGGTGCCCTGAAATTCACTTTGCTACTCTTCTTCCACCATGACTAAGAGAAAACATGGTGAGCTGCCTAAGACCTGTACGCCTAGATGTGTTGAGTTTTTCTTACTGTAAAACATGATAGTTTTTCACCTATCTGTAGGAGAGGGAACATTTGTTCTTTCTTGAATGCCTCAAATCTATAAGGGAGAATTCTCATTCTCTGCCCCTGCTGTGCCCTGCCTCTCGCAATCATTTGGCTCAACTACTGGAAAAAAAGCAGGGTGTGCAATTGACCTAATATAGGGTGCCCTACTTTCTTTTTGTCCCTTCATATTCTCTAATCCCATGGAGTAGACATAGATGATATAGAAATAGAAATAGAGATATAAAAAGAAAAAAAGATATAAAATGAAACATATTAAAAAAAGAAAAATAGATATAGATATAGGTGATGTGTAGGTGGAATTTCTTCCACTCACTGACTGTTGGCCCTTGATGTCCTCTTCTGCTTTTTACCCACTGTAAATTCCATTGTCAATCATTACAGATCCTCTCTTGCTTAAGCCCACACCAAGAGTCTTTTGCCCCATGGGTTTTACAACTTGGCTAAATCCTAAATTCTGTCTACTCTGTTTTTTTTTTTTTTGGTCAGTTCCACAAGGCCAGAGGGAAAATACAAAACCACATGTGTGTGTGTGTATTGGTTCTTAATGCTTCCTGGCTCTTAAGCAATACTTTGCTAATTCTCTCTCCCACTATGAAGAATCACTATTTCACTCCTTTTCTTCTCTAGCCAGTCAGTCCCTATGTTCTTTCACTTTTTTTATCCTCAGCTTTGCATTTTACTAGGAGAATTAAAAGAAATGCCAGAGACTCCTATTATAATTTCTATGTACCTATCTGCCCAAATAACTACAAGCACTTTCTTTGTGTCTAGTTACCTATAATTCTATCTAAATCCCATCCCTTTATTTGGGCATTAGATCCTATACCTTGAAATCATATATAATCTGTCATATTCCTCTCCAACAAGTTAATGTCAGACATGGGATTGTATCTTTGGTGATGTAATCAAGCTTCATGGCTTTAAATACGACCTACATATTGTGAAGTCCCCAGTTTTTTCTCCAGCAACAATCCTATATCCTGTATTTCACCATTCTTGACGTTTCCACTTGGATATCTAATGTACACCTCAAACTCAACATAGCCAAGAGGTAATTTTTGCTCTTTATCCTGAAACCTGCTCTATCAATAACCTTTCTCCAATCGGTTGGTATCAATTTCATCTTTCTACTTGTTTGGAATAAACAGTAAACATTTTGAAGTCATTTCTGTTTATTTTATATTCTGTGTCAAATATATCAGAAAATATTTGCTCAACATTCAAAATACGTACCAAATACAATCAGTTCTCATTTCTCAATCACTGCCATGCTGGTTCTCCCTTGGATCAGTGCAAATTGCCTTTTAATAGTTTCCCGTGCCCCCATGCTTGGCCCCTTATAGTCTGCTCTTAATTATTCAACCAGAGTAAGTGGATAATTCACTCCCCTGTAGAATATCTTACAATGGCTCCTCATTCCGCAAATGCTGAAGTCATTGAAATGGCCTATAAGATTCTTCTACAGTTTGCCCATTACCTCTGAATTCATCATCTACTTCTCATCCATTGCTTACTCATCTCCAACTATACTAGCTTCCTTCCTGTAACCACAGTATACTAAGAATACTTTCATCTTAATGCATTTTCTCTAGCTATTTTCTCTGACTGACCCACTCTTCCCCTAGGTATTCACTTGGCTAACTCCATCACTTTCTTTAACTCTTGGTTTAAATTGCATCTTCCCAATTAGGTCTAATCCCGCCTGCCCTACTTAATACTACACATTTCCTTCCCCCACACACCATGTTAAATCTCCTTTAGCCTGCTCCTATCTCCATTTTTAAAAATATATAATTTACTTCTCTACTATGGTAACTTGTGACTTTCATCCCTTACTTCTATATTAAAAGATAGAAACAGATAGGACAGATATCTGTGCTACTTTGTTCAGTTGATATATTCTAAATAATGGGAATAAAATCTGGAGCGTAGTAGGTGGTAATAAATGAATATTAATTAAATAATCTAGGGGTGAAGCCTATTATTTTTCTTTAGTGTTCCTAAGGATGTATCTGTTTAAAGTTTAAACATTTTTTTTCTTTTTGTTCTCCGGCATTCTACCCCAAAATCATAGAGATCATTAAGTCTAAATTGATTGAGATAAGGTCAGGTGTATAAAGAAAAATATCTTAAAATTGTCAGTTCTTACATAAAATGTTAATCAGCAGTTGTTTACTTGCTTTTTAACTTAGCTCTCAGAACACTTTGAAGATTGTGTTAGTAACAACATTTTATATAAGAAGAAAAAGCCATTTAGAAAATTAAGTAATATACCCAAGTTCATAGAACAAGATGGTGACATAGTTACTTTTTGAGCTGATGTATTTTTAATTTTATTCCCTCCATGTCACACAGAGAACCATGATCATGTTCCACTTTTATTTCTTATCTCTATTTAAATGCCCTGCTTCTCCATATGTTTTCTACTTTCTTATCACTCTAATCACTTTCTTTAGGCTATAATTAAGCCAATGATTACAGGCTGCCCAGTACCCCCTGGGCCCCCAAAATCAAAGTGCATTTATATATCAAGTCTTAGGTTCACTTCGAATGTATAAATATGGAAATACGTGTCACAGGTTTACACCTTTTGAAAAAAACAGTTGTTAATTTACAATACCATAATAACATAGTGGTATTAGTGTTTGCCATGACACAGTTAGTGTACTTAACTCTCTATATGGTGAATGGGAGAAAATATTAAAACATGTATTTGTTCCTGGGTTGCTTCCTTGCATTTCTCCTTTATGCTCCTCTTCCATTCCATTTTCTTCCATGACTTTCTTCTTTTCATATTTGTAAAACCCCCACTAATTATGAGATATATTACTAGGTACTAGAAAGCACAAATATAAAGACAGGCATAATCAAAGCATTCAGAGTCCAAATTGGAGTGATATCTGTGTACAACAGATTGTGATACATTCTTCTTTAAATGCTGTAACGAAAATATATACAAGTAGGGGAAAATAGGTTTTATTAGCATCTCATTATTTTTTCTAAGTATGTTTTTGTGTGTGCTTACCTAAAGCAATTACTTTCAGATAAAAATCACTTTGTTGGCTGTGCGTCGTGACTCACTCCTGTAATCCCAGCACATTGGGAGGCTGAGGCAGGTGGATTGCTTGAGCCCAGGAGTTTGAGACCAGCCCGGGCAACACGGTGAAACCCCATCTCTAACAGAAATACAAAAAATTAGCCGGGCATAGTGGCAGATGCCTGTAGTCCCAGCTACTCAGGAGACTGAGGTGTGAGGATTGCTTGAGTCTAACAGGCAGAAGTTCCAGTGAACCAAGATGGCGTCACTGCACTCCAGCCTGGGCAACAGAGTAAGACCCTATCTCAAAAAAAAAAAAAAAAAGAAAGAAAGAAAAATAAAAAAGAAAAAGAAAAAAGAAAAGTCACTTCGTTAAAAAAAATTCTACTTCTGTTAAAGTGTTGTTATTGTAATGAAAAGATACAGGAATTACTTGCACACATTCCATGAGGTTCTAAAGTTTTTATTTAAATAATACTGAAAATATTTTCATAGTAATTTAGTTTCAACCTTCAAGAAAAATGATCTCCAGAAAATGATCATATTGTAAAGCTTTTTGCAGGCTTAAACTGGAACAATTTTGAGGACAATTTAGCATTAAGCTAAACGACGCTTTAAATAGTAGTAGCATACCTTTTTAATTTAATGGCTCTACAGCTTCAATCACCAAAACTTAGCCAAATTCTGTTTCAAATTGAAAACCACAAAAGAGTGTTAAATCTAAGAGAGTTTGAAACCAGATAAAACCTAGATGAAATTTTATTCCACATATTGTCACACTTGTTTGGTTGAGTCAAATTCAATATTATTGTGAATGTCAGGAGGAACTTGGCATCAGTGCTGCAAATATTTTGTTTGACAATATGTATTTAAACAACTGAGTCAACAGAGCCGCATCTGTGCATCTTTCTACTAACAAGGGACCCGAAGTTTGCATTCCAGGCATTGAAGCTAGCAAAGACCAATGTAGCAAGTCCTGCGAAGGGTGAAAAGTATTCATTCATTATTCTGAAGGCAATGCTTCCTATCAATATGTGGAAAGAAATAAAAGTAAATTCACAGAATTACATAGAAATTGATGTAGAAAAGAAATTATTATATAGTAATCATTAAGCATCTTTTGAATTCCTTTTTTGGCTTGAGAATTTTATCCTATTATGATTCACACCTATCAATGTAGAAACCAAAACTTACCTTTCTAATTAGCAGATATATGCAAGTCTATGATTCAGAAATGAAAAAGCAGAGGTACACAAAATTCATTCTTTCTTTAGGCATTGGAGATATCAAGCTTTAGGGGGAATAGTAGTGTCAGGGTTTCTACTATCCAGCCCCCTGACTCACCTATAATACCCATGATGTGTTTGATGAGCTTCCCAATGCAGAATGGCAGCAGCAGTAGCTTCTTCCTTAAGGCAATCTCTATGCTGTTCTATGTGCTTTTCCTGGTTGAGTAACTTACTCATGAGTTACTTCTGGTACTTTTTGAGAGTCTGTGAGGTATGACATATCATTTAATAAATATAATGCCTAATTCCATTCTGATGTTTGAAACCAGGAACTCTGTGTAATGGCACGAATTATCATATAATGGTTCAACTTTTCCATGACTCTTGACAATCTCAATTTTTTAACTTACCGTTTCTGTCATAAAATTCTAGACAAGCACACCAGCCCACACCCACATACATACTCACACACAACTCTCATTTAGGTTTTGGTTTTCTCTTTTATCATGAAGACTTCTGAGACCAGATGGAGGAAAGCATACAGAGAAGCTTGCAATACCACAATAGATTCATAGTAATCAACCTTTAAATGTTGAAATTTATGTATTTCCAATGCATTTTTATCTACACTTAACTTTAAATATCTCCATCTCCCTCTTCTAGGATCTTAACTCTCATGAAAGCCTTTGTCACTGTTAGCAACTCTACCTTTTACAAAACAGTTTAATCCCTTTACTTTCCTGACATGTAAACTGAATTTTCATACTGTATCTCCATTTTTTTTCTTCTCCGTCTCACCTCTAATTCCCAATACTCAAACTATCTAAAAAAAAATGTTGAGAAGTTTCAATGCATCTTAGACTCAAAATCCCCAGATCTGGATTGTCTATCACTTCAAAAGCATCTGCTTTCCTTCTCTTCTCCTGCCCACCCATTCTTTTGATGGTTTCTCCTATATTAGGGAGTAGCAGCACCATCTATTTAATCTAAAACCCAGAAATTCAGAGTCTATGTCTCTTCCTTCCCCCTCAATTCTAACATTCCATCAATCACCAGTTTTACCAATTCTACCACTGCTTACATGTCTCCATAATTCATTTTCTTTGTTCTTCTTTGATATACACAACGGTGATTAGTTCAAGACATCAGGTCTTACCTATATTACTGCAAAAGGTCTACCAAACTAGATATTATCCCCATTCTTTTATACTTTCCCATCCATTCTCTAGAGTGCAGCCAAAAAAATAAGCCTAAAGCATCAATATCTTGCCCTATATGAGTTCTTTCTAAAGATTCTAGTTTAGATAATATCTAATCTTTTCTTTTTTCATGGCCTATCTGATCCCAGACAACCTCTCTAGGCATAAAATCCCCTAAAGCTCTCTTGCATGCTGAGATGCAAGCAGGAGGAGATTGATAAATTTCTGGAAAGCACCCTGCTTCTCTTATGCCTAGAGGCTTAGCATATTACTAACTACTACTCATACTCCAGCTTATAGAGTAAATATGCTTTTTTAAGGAAGTGATTTATAATGTACTAAAAACAGTAGATGTATTTTCTAAGTCTTCCCATAAAAACTGGCATATTATTCATATATTTATTATAATAAATCATAATGATTATTTAGTTATATATAGTTTTTTAAGAATATTGAAAGCCTTGTGAAAGCAGATAATTTTTTAAAATTTCTCAACATTTTCCCTCAAAGTCTAGCAGTATAAAACTAAATGAATAACAGATAATTGATACAAATCTGTGAAACAAATTGTAATGGTTAATTTTATATGTCAGCTTGACTGGGTTCAGGGATGCTCAAATAGCTGGTAAAATATTATTTCTGAGTGTGTCTGTGAGGGGGTTTCTGAAAGAATATAGCATTTAAATCAGTGGACTAAGTAAAGAAGATCTACCATCACCAGTGTGGGCAGGCATCATCCAATCCCTTGTGAGCCTAAATAGAACAAAATGACAGAAGAAAGATGAATTCTCTCTCCCCTTGAGTTGGAACATCCATCTTTTTCTGTGCTTGGACATGGGTGCTCGTGGTTCTCAGGACTTCAGACTCTGGGATTTGGTCCAGTGCCTTTCCCACCAATACCCTCCCATCACTTCTTAGGATTTCAGCTTTGGACTAGGGGTTACAACAGGAATAACCCTGGTTCTCAGTCCTTCAGACTTGGATGAGTCCCTCCATGGCCTCCATAATCAAGTGGGCACATTTCTGTAATAAGCTTTTTCTGACATATATGTATGTACTAGTCCATTTTTCATGCACTGAAAAAGATACCGAAGACTAGATAATTTTTAAAGAAAAAGAGGGTAAATAGACTCACAGTTCCAAGTGGCTGGCAGTCCTCATAATCGTGGAAGAAGGTGAAAGGCACGTCTTACATTGGCATTAGTCAAGAGAGACAATGAGAACCAAGTGAATGGGGCTTCCCCTTATAAGACCATCAGATCTCCTGAGACTTATTTACAACCAGCAGTGAATCATTAGAGAACAGTATGGGGGTAACAGTTCCCATGATTCAATTATCTCCCACCAGGACCCTCCCACAACACATGGGAGCTATAATTCAAGATGAGACTTGGGTGGGGACACAGCCAAACCATATCAATCTATATGAGTGAGAGTGTGTGTGCTTGTGTGTGTGTATATATATGTATATATACATATACATATATATACACACAGATATACATATATATGTGTGTGTATATATATATACACACACAGATATCCTATTTATTCTGTTTCTCTGGAGAACCCAAACACATAAATACTATTCATTCTAACACATAAATATTATTCATTCTATATGTAGATTCATTATAGATTCATTTTTTACAATGTGTATACAAACACACACATACATACACAACAATTTTGGGGAGTATATTTGAAGTTCAATAAATTATACTTACTCAAATACACAATTTGAGAAACGTTATTTTTTTTCTGAGAAATTACCATCACAAGTAAAATAACAAAAAATGTCATCAACTTCAAAAGTTGCCTCTTGTCCCTTTGAAATTCATCTGTTTCTTAACCTCTGTCCCAAGAAACCACTATCTGCTTTTTGCTACCATGTATTGATTTGCATTTTCTAGAATTTATATCAACAGAATCACACATTATGTAGTTTCTAGTCTAATTTATTTAACTTAGCATAATACTTTTGAGATTCAAGTTATTGTGTGTGTAAGCAATCTGTTTTCTTTTATGTTGAATAATATTCCATTGTAAGGATATACCACAGGTTGTTTATTTACATTCTGGTCATAGACACTGGGTTTATTTCCAGTCTTTGACTATTATAAGTAGAGTTGCTATGAACGATCACTAGACAACTTTTTATATTTCTCCTGGGGACATACTTAATTGTGTTGCTCTGATTAATAAAGTAGGTTTACCATTTCACATGTGTACCTTTCTCTCAGCAATGTTTTGAAATGGCTATTGTAGAGGTCTTGAACATCTCCATTCAATTTGTTTGTATTTTTTATTGCTATTTGTATATTTTGATATTACTGTAAAAGGGTTTTTAGAAATTAATTTCATTGAAATAATGACTGGAAATAATAGCTCTCTTGAGGTGGAAGCCATGAGCTGAGAAAAGCAAAATAATCACACATAAGGGCCTGCATCACAGATGCTTGAAAGCAGCCTCAAGAGCACGAACTGCCAACTCAAATTTTCTTAGTAAAAAGTAACCTCTCATCATTTAAAAATGAAAAATAGTTCCTTGGAGTAGTGTTTTGAACATCTGTACTATGTATTAAATTTGAATAAGTATCCATTTTATTTACTCATTTAAAAAATATCGGCCGGGCGCGGTGGCTCATGCCTGTAATCCCAGCACTTTGGGAGGCCAAGGCAGGCAGATCATGAGGTCAGGAGATTGAGACCATCCTGGATAACACGGTGAAACCCCGGTCTCTACTAAAAATACAAAAAATTAGCTGGGCATGGTGGCGGGCGCCTGTAGTCCCAGCTACTCGGGAGGCTGAGGCAGGAGAATGGCATGAATCCAGGAGGCAGAGCTTGTAGTGAGCCGAGATTGCACCATTGCACTCCAGCCTGGGCCACAGAGAGAGACTCCCTCTCAAAAAAAAAAAAAAAAAAAAAAATCTGCTCACCAGATGTCAGCATGAAGGTGGAACAGAAATTTCCAGTGCTCATTCCTGCAACAGGAACATCAGTTTGAACAACTATTCGTGCACAAAAACACAGTCATAATCGCTAAGAAAACCAGATGATAGATGACAAGACCTGGCTGTACCACAGAAATAAGAGAAGAGTCATTGAAGAGGATAGGAAGGGCAGTTTTACCTTACTCATGTTCCCTCCTCCAAATTCAGACACAATGTGGAGAGATATACTGTCTGATTGGGGAAAGGAGAGGAAAGTAAGCACCAGACTTTGGCTTGGACTCCAATACTAGGCCTGCCCCAGTAAAGCCCAGGACCAGGCAGGTCCCTAAGGCCCCAAACCCCAAACTCCTACCCTCAGCCTGAGCCATCATACCTGCCCTGGTGCCGGGCTGGATTCTGCAATCCCAGGCTCCAGGCCTGCCTGGCAAACTCAGTCTCCAGGACCACCCACCTCAGGCCAACCCCAGCATCTTCAGGCTCCCAACTGGCAGGGCACCTGCTTGGCCCCTGTAGCTTTTGGCTACAGGCCCACCCCAGGGTCTGACCAGCCCCACAGATTCTGGCTCCAGGTCTGCCGTGTATACTCTATCTCTAGGTGCACGCTAGATAGAATCAGGCCCACCCTGCCAGCCTAAAATTCAACACCATACCTAACACTAGGCTTGCCTCTGCCTCCCTAATTATAAGACTGACACCCGGCCAGGCGTGGTGGCTCACACCTGCAATCCCAGCACTTTGGGAGGCCAAGGTGGGCAGATCACAAGTTCAGGAGATCGAGACCATCTTAGCTAACACAGTGAAACCCTGTCTCTACTAAAAATACAAAAAGTTAGCCGGGCGTGGTGGCGGGCGCCTGCAGTCCCAGCTACTCGGGAGGCTGAGGCAGGAGAATGGCTTGAACCCACTAGGAAGAGGTTGCAGTGAGTCAAGATCGCGCCACTGCACTCCAGCCTGGGCAACAGAGCGAGACTCCGTCTCAAAAAAAAAAATGAAATAAAAAAGAAAAAAGACTGACACCCACAGACACAGACTTGCCAGCCCCTGCAAATATAGGTTATAGGATGCCCAGTACCAGGTCAGCCCCTGGGGCCCCTGGCTCTATGCCCACCTCAGGCTCCAGACCAGGATAATCCACACAACCCCAGGCTTTAGGCCTATGCCAGCACCAGGTCAGCACCCTGGCCTCAAGCACCATGCTGGCAGCCAAGACATAAGCTTCAGGCCTGTCCCTGTGGATCCAGCTTCCACAGCAGCATACCAGCCCCCATGAACCCAAGACCCAGATCAGTGCACACAATCCCAGGGTCCAGATGGGAAGATATAGGCTCTATGCCTGTCCCAGCATAAGACCAGTAAACCCAGAATGGACTTAACATCTGGGTCCACTGGGACATGCCTGGAGGCTGAGTCCACTGGGGCTGGGCTGGTGCTAGAGTGGGCTTGAAACCTGAGTCTATAGGACAGGGCTGTGTCCTGCTATAGTCCGTATGTCCTGGATAGGGTCTAGCCCAATAAACCCCAAAGCCAATCTGGCCTCTTTGGACCAAGGCTCCAGTACCCCCCTAGAAGGCACAGGCTCTATGCCAATTCCCATGGGCCCATGACCCAGGTATACCCTGCAGACTCAGGCTTCAGGCTGATACTAGCACTAAGCCAGCCCCAGTGAACTCAGCTTTCGGGCATGTCCCAATGAACCCAGATGTCAGGTCCATCCTGATGCCTGGCCAACTGCTGCACAATCAGGGTCAAGATCCACCCCAGAGTCCCATCAGTCCTTGTGAACCCAGCCTTCAGGCCCACCCCTACCAATACAGCATCTACTGATACAGATATAGACACAGAGCCTAGAGATACAGACATAAACATAGATAAAGATACAGATTACAGACACAGATGCAGATGCAGTTCCCACCAATACATGCTCCAGGCCCACCCTCACTTTCCTTTTAAGCACACACATGGACTGATAGTAAGAGGCTGGATAAAGATATTTTATGTAAATGGAAACCACAAGAGAGAAGAGGTAGCTGTACTTATATCAGATAAAATAGATTTCAAGTCAAAAACTGTAAAAAGAGACAAACGCCAATTCATTAAAAGGATATAACAATTATAAAAGTACATGAATCCAAAATTAGAGAACCTAAATATATAAAGCAAATATTAATACATAAAAGGAAGACATAGATTATAATAAAATAATAATGGGACTTACATACTCCACCATTGGCAATAGGTAAATTATCCCGACAGAATATCAACAAGAAAACATTGGATTTAAACTATAGTTTAGACCAAATAAATCTAACAGGCATATACCAAACATTCCATGCAACTTCAGTAGAATACTCACTTATTCTTTGCAAATACACACAGAACACTTTCCAGGATATATCATATGTTAGTCCACAAAACAAGTTTTAACATATTAAAAGGAATTAAATCACATCAAGAAAATGGTATGAAACTAGAAATCAATAACAGGAGAAAGATTGGAAAATTCACTCATATATGAAAATTAAACACTATGCTCCTGAATAATTAATGAGTGAAATAAATTAAAAGAAAAATTTAAAAATATTTTTGGGAAAACAAAATTAAATATATAGCAAAACTTATGGGATGCTTATAGCTATACATGCTTACATCAAAACAGAAGAAAAATCAAACAAACAGCTTCATGCATGCATCAAGGAACTAGAAAAAGAGCAAGCTAAGCCCAGAGTTAGTAGTCTCAGCTTTTTGTTTATAGCAACACAAGAACAGGCTAATATAGGTGCCAAGAACACAAAGTAGGGAAAATACAGTGTCTTCCATAAATGATATTGGGAAAACTGAATATTCACATGCAGAAGAATGAAATTAGACTCTTAACTCACAGCATGTGCAAAAACCTACTCAAAGTGAATTAAAGTAAATGTAAAGCTTGAATTGTAAAATTAATACGAGAAAACAGGGAAAAATCTTGAAGACATTGTTGTTCAGCAAGTGGTATTACCCAAACTGAAAGCCATTTCATGGCAAACGAAATAGTCAACAGATAGAAAAGACATCTTAATAAATGAGAGAAAATATTACCAAATAATACATCAATAAGGTGCTAATATTCAAAATATGTAAGGAACTCAACGAGCTAAACAGCAAGAAAACAAATAATCAGATTTTAAAATGAGCAAGAGATTGAACAGATGTTTTTTAAAAAGGAAACATATAAATGGTTACAAGTTATATTTAAAAAATGCTCAGCATCACTAATTATCAGGAAAATGTAAGTTAAAATCACAATGAGATATCACTTTACTTCTGTTAAAATAATTATTATCAAAAATATGAAAAATAACAAGCAAGGGTGTGGAGAAAAGGGAATCTCGAGCAACATTAGTGGCAATGTAAATTAGTACAGGCATTATAGAGAACAACATGCATGTTCCTCAAAAATTAATAATAAGGCTGGGTGTGGTGGCAGCCACCATGGCCAACATGGTGAAACCTCGACTCTACTAAAAATAAAAAACAAAAAAATTAGCTGGGCGTGGTGAGACCAGCCTGGCCAACGTGGTGAAACCTCGACTCTACTAAAAATACAAAAAATTAGCTGGGCATGGTGGCAGGTGCCTGTAATCCCAGATACCTGGGAGGCTGAGGCAGGAGAACTGCTTGAAGCCGGAAGGCAGAGGTTGCAGTGAGCAAAGATCGCGCCACGGCACTACAGACTGGGCAACAGAGCGAGACTGTGTTAAAAAAATAATAATAACAATAGAACTGCCATGTGATCCAGCAATCCTACTACTGTGTGTATACCTAAAATAAATGAAATCAGTATGTGGAAAAGATATCGATGTTCCCATGTTTCTTGTAGCACTTTTCACAATGGCCAAGATATAAAGCTATCTAAGTCCATTAAGGATGAATGAATAAGGAAAATGTAACATATGTCCACAATGGAATTCTAGTCAGCCTTTAAAACGAAGGAAGTCCTGTTATTTGCAATAACATGGATAAACCTGGGGAAGTTTATGTTAATTGAAATAAAACAGACGCAAAAAAAATATTGCATGATCTCGCTTCTATATTAAATCTGAAAAAGTTGAACTCATAGAAGCAGAAAATAGTAGCCCACCCAGGGCTGGTAGGCACTGTGGGGAGAGAAGGTTTACAAAGCTGTGGATCAAAGGATAGAAAATTTCCATTAAATAAAAGGAAAACATTCAAAAAATCTATTGCACAACATGGTGACTACAGTTCATAACAATATTCTTGAAATTGCTAAGATATTTTAAGTGTTTTATCATAAAAATAATAAGCTTGTGAGATAATGCATATATTAATTAGCTCAATTTAGCCATCCTACAATGTGTATAAACATTTCAAAACATCATGTCATATATGATAGATACAATTTTCATGCCAATTAAAAATATATAAATTCATTAAAAACATGTTTGTGCAGGCAACTTATGGAATTAGATTTTAGTGTTTTTCATATGAATCTAAATGAATTATTTAAATAATGCATTTGTCTTCTCATAATTTTAAACATAAAAATTTTGTCTGTTATCAGGACAAAGCTGTGATTCCTCTTTGAGATAATTTTAATTTTAGAATGTCATTCTCAGCCAGTCTCAGTAGCTCATGCCTGTAATCCAAGCAGTTTAGGAGGCTGAGGTGGGCAGATCACCTGAGGTCGGGGGTTCGAGACTAGCCTGACCAACATGAAGAAACCCCGTCTCTACTAAAAATACAAAAATTTAGTCAGGAGTGTTGGCGCATGCCTGTAATTCCAGCTACTCCGGAGGCTGAGGCAGGAGAATCGCTAGAACCCGGGAGGCAGAAGTTGCAGTAAGCTGCGCGAGAGCGCACCATTGCACTCCAGCCTGGGCAACAAAAGCGAAACTCTGTCTCAAAAAAAAAAAAAAAAAAAAAAAAGTCATTCTGTCTCCAGCAAGAAGGTTAGTCAATAAATTATAATTACAATTTTAAAAATTATTTGCATGTTTCTTTATCTTAATATGATAAAAACTAGGGTTTAGTGACTTCCAAAATCTTTTTAGTTATTAGTGTCATACTAAAGAAAAGAAAATTGTTTCTCCTAGTTTAGTTTTTTTTTTCACAGTTTCCATTAACAAATTGAAATGTGTACTTTTTGAAGAAAAAAAAATCCTCTTTTGAAGTACAAATTTTGAAGTGTTTGTTTAACCAAAAATTCCATTTATTTCTCCTCAAACCACCTAGGTTTTTTCTCACAGCAGATCAAGATTAAATATATTTGGGGCAGTTTTTTCTTAGAAGATATATAGAAAATATCGGACATACCTATATTTTGTATAGGATAAATACAAAATGTAACAAACACTAGGTAAACTCAGGGTAAACCCAATTCACATAGAATATTGACTAGCACACAAAAATGACAGAAGAAAGCAGACACTGTAGATATTTGCATTTACTTTTAAATTGTAATTCTAGTTATTTCAGATTTCTCCCACAATGTGGCTACTTTGTCAAAAATCAATTTAATGGTGAAAAAGCGTGATTCATTGCATATAGTAATAGAGTTTCCTTTCCTTGCTTATCATCCTTCCTTCTCTTATTTCTTCTCTTCCCTCCTTTCTTTTCCTCTCTTTCAAAATATTAATATTTAGGGGCTTGCACATGCTAGGATGCAATGTTGATTAGAGAATTAAAATGCTTTTCAGTTCCTTCAAATCTTAAAACACAATCTCAGTCTAGGAATAAAATGACCAACGACTTATAATCATGAGAAGTGCAATCTTTAAGTATAGGCTTTTGCCCATCTCGCTGCTTGAGCCTGTGGAAGATTGACAATTGTTGAGAGATAATTCTCCATAGGTCAGTTGTTTTCTGTACATCCTGAAAGTTTCAAGATGTACAGTCAAGATGTACAGAAAGACTGCCTTTTATAAGTACTATCAAAAGACGTGTTCAACAAACCAACTTGGAAAATACTCGTTTTTATTTTCAGTATAGTACAAGCAATGTTTTCCTCTGAAAAAAGAAGAAATTTGTTTGCAAATATTTGCTTGGAGAGGCTTGTTTGCAGCCCTCTATTGAAAAAAAAGTGATTTTCTAGTTCAAAATTTCTCACCACACGTGTTACAAACTCCCTATGTTCTCAGCATCCATATAGGTCCATGGGACTGAGGGGACTGGTACAAACATAAAATCCGTGGTGCCTTCTAGCCATAGGTAATCAAGTTACCTTTTTCTGAGCCCAGGGTCTTGTGTCTTCTGACAGCATTCATGAATCTCAGAGCTTTCATTAGTTTCTTATCGGCTTGTATCTAACAATAGACTTGGTTCACTTTCTCTGCCTTTTGCTATTCTCATGTACCCCCTTCTTGCAAATCCTGATTTCTGACCACCAAGGGCCAGAGATATAGAGATATGTGGGTAGAAGAAGAAAGTAAAATAAATTTCTTAGTTAATGGCTATTGAAATTATATTGTCTAGTGTTGTCAGGTGTTTGAAATTGATCCCTATACTGACACTGTGCATTTATGAGGTCTTCAGAGTTTTTATCCCCCAAACAATGAAATTTCTGATTTGCAATTTCCTTGACATGATAAAGCGTAGGTCTGGCTAGCCAATAGCTACTTCTTCAGGCCATAGGAACTTGGAATCAGCTTGCCCATCCAGCTGATCCTGTTGAGTTAAACATCAATTCTCTGTTTCATTCATGGACATAATATGCTACAAACACTACTTGCCCAGCAAAAGCTTGAAAACACATACAGGCTTAGATGTGACAACTTATATTCCACCTCAGAGAAACTATATAGACAGGTTTGTGCCGTCTTGGTTTATCAAGAGTGGCAGTGGCACAAAACCCAGGACACTGTGCTTCTAAACCTTCATGAGACCTTTATTCTTTGTTTCCTCTGGAAAATCCTGATCTCCTGACTTGAAATTAATAGGATAATACATCTTTTCCTCCCATATTGAGTGAAGGTAATGTAAAGTACACAAAACTCATTTGATTTTATTTACAGAAAAATACTTGTCTCAAATTCTGACTCCTGAAAATTTATATTCTGAAATATAAGTTAGAGAGTTTGCAAAAAAAATGAGACATTGTAACTCACCTGTACTGCCATGTTTTACAACAAGTTCTGCATGCTGGATTTTGATTCTGACTTCTATTTTCTTGGGCCATAAGTTGAAACTAAGTTGAAAATAGTTCTAATTATTAAATTCATAACATTTGTTTTAGCTAATAATACATTAACACAATGTTCTGTATTATAATCACAAGGGCTATTATTTTAAGAAATTAAGTAATTTTTCCCTCTCTACTTTGCTCCCAGCCTTTTATAAATACAAAGTAAAAGTGAGATAAATGATCAAAAAGAGGGCAATAAGTGAAAAATAGAAAACAACAACACATTTGAATATTTGAGAGTCTGTATTCTGATGATATTGTTACCAAAACACCAGGGATTTGGCCTAGGTCCTGCTGCTCACTGCACAGTAAGCCAATCACTGCGATGACAAGTATTGCCAAGGAAGAGGGCTTTAATTAGGTGCTACAGCCAAGGAGATCGAGCTCAGTCTTACATCCATCTCCCTGATGGGCCAAAACTAGGGGTTTAAATAGCAGGGAAGAAATGTAACAATGTGTAAGAAAGTAGAAACTAGGGAGGGGGCAAGGAAGCAATAAGGATGAATGAGGGGTCCGGGATCTCACGGATGTGGTGATCTGGTGAGTTTCAGTTCTTGGATAATTTATTTTTCTCCTTCCTTTCTTCCTTCTTTCCTTCCTTCCTTCCTTCCTTCCTTGCTGCCCAAAGGTCCTTTCCTGAGGAAGGAACTCAGATAAAACAAATACAAGTTTCAAGATTTAAGACTAGAAAGGTCAATTTCTATGTTTATCTGAAAGAACAGTCGATGGGGCTATTGGGTTAGCTTCGATATCACTGCTTCTGGCTACAGAGTAATTTAAAAAAATATATCCTGTAGTGTTTGTAAAGCTTTAGCATTGGCCACAGGAGCTAATTCAGAAAGAAAACTAGATGAAGCTTTGATCAAATTTGAATGCTATTGGAAATCAATAATCAACAGAACAATACAAAAATACAGAGAACTTTATTAGCTCTTATTAAGATTATAGTTACGTTTCTTCCAAGCCTCAGGGTATATGCTTAGTTTGATTTTAGATTAATTTTCTTTTAAAGCATTACACATGTATCTAAGTGAGTTTTAATTTAAAATTAATCAGTGAGGCAAACCATTATTAGGATTTTTCTAGGGAGCTGACACCAGGTTGAATGTTAAAGGAACTAGATGTTATTAAGTTCATTTCTCTCTGATAATATATCATAGCAAAACTTGAGGATAAATACACTGGAATCTGAGACAGATTACTTGAATGTGAACACTAGCGGTCCATAGTCCACATGTTATCTTCTTAAACTTTCCCATAAGGCTATATTATTTAGGTTCAGTCAGGTTAATAGAATGAAAGGCTTTAACATAGGGATTAGAGTTTACAGAAAAGAAAAGAAGATGTAGGGAAACAAAGGTCAGCCAGGTAATCAACAAAGGCCAAGAAATGCAGCCAGAAAATCAAGGTGGTTTAAGACCTTAGCCAAAACTACTGGAGCACGTGATTGTCAAAGGAACCTGCTGAGATCTTCAGAAATAGCCTGCCTGTTTCTGTTAACAGCATCAAAGCAGGTGAGAGATAAGCAATTTCAAGCTTTGTGTATCTTATATTTGTCAACACATCCGACCATAACCCCCTTCAGGAATTGCATAATTTATTCCTATTCCTCTTGCCAAATTATAACATTAGTTTGCCTTATAATATTCTAATTTTTAAAAAACAATTTTCTAACTTTCATTTTCAGTTCAAGAGTACATGTGCAGGTTTGTAACATAGGTAAACTTGTGTCATGAGGGCTTATTTTACAGAGTATTTCATCACCCAGGTATTAAGCCTAGTACTCATTAGTCATTTTTCCTGATCCTTTCTCCATTTCCACCCTCCACCCTCCGATAGGCCCCATGGTATGTTGTTCCCCTCTGTGTGTTCATGTGTTCTCATCATTTAGCTCCACTTATAAGTGACAACATGTGTTATTTGGTTTTCCGTTCCTGTGTTAGTTTGCTAAGGATAATGGCCTCCAGCTGCATCCATGTCCCTGCAAAGGACATAATTTCATTCTTTTTATGGCTGAATGGTATTCCATAGTGTATTTTTTTTTTAATTTATTCACCCATTTTTTTATTATTATACTTTAAGTTTTAGTGTACATGTGCACATTGTGCAGGTTAGTTACATACGTATATGTGTGCCATGCTGGTGTGCTGCACCCACTAACTCGTCATCTAGCATTAAGTATATCTCCCAGTGCTATCCCTCCCACCTCCCCCCACCCCACAACAGTCCCTAGAGTGTGATGTTCCCCTTCCTGTGTCCATGTGATCTCATTGTTCAATTCCCACCTATGAGTGAAAATATGCGATGTTTGGTTTTTTGTTCTTGCGATAGTTTACTGAGAATGATGGTTTCCAATTTCATCCATGCACCTACAAAGGACATAAACTCATCATTTTTTATGGCTGCATAGTATTCCATGGTGTATATGTGCCACATTTTCTTAATCCAGTCTATCATTGTTGGACATTTGGGTTGGTTCCAAGTCTTTGCTATTGTGAATAATGCCGCAATAAACATACATGTGCATGTGTCTTTATAGCAGCATGATTTATAGTCCTTTGGGTATATACCCAGTAATGGGATGGCTGGGTCAAATGGTATTTCTAGTTCTAGATCCCTGAGGAATCGCCACACTGACTTCCACAATGGTTGAACTAGTTTACAGTCCCACCAACAGTGTAAAAGTGTTCCTATTTCTCCACATCCTCTCCAGCACCTGTTGTTTCCTGACTTTTTAATGATTGCCATTCTAACTGGTGTGAGATGCTATCTCATTGTGGTTTTGATTTGCATTTCTCTGATGGCCAGTGATGATGAGCATTTTTTCATGTGTCTTTTGGCTGCATAAATGTCTTCTTTTGAGAAGTGTCTGTTCATATCCTTTGCCCACTTGTTGATGGGGTTGTTTGCTTTTTTCTTATAAATTTGTTTGAGTTCATTGTAGATTCTGGATATTAGCCCTTTATCAGATGAGTGTATTGCAAAAATTTTCTCCTATTCTGTAGGTTGCCTGTTCACTCTGATGGTAGTTTCTTTTGCTGTACAGAAGCTCTTTGGTTTAATTAGATCCCATTTGTCAATTTTGTCTTTTGTTGCCATTGCTTTTGGTGTTTTAGACATGAAGTCCTTGCCCATGCCTATGTCCTGAATGGTAATGCCTAGGTTTTCTTCTAGGGTTTTTATGGTTTTAGGTCTAACGTTTAAGTCTTTGATCCATCTTGAATTGATTTTTGTATAAGGTGTAAGGAAGGCATCCAGTTTCAGCTTTCTACATATGGCTAGCCAGTTTTCCCAGCACCATTTATTAAATAGGGAATCCTTTCCCCATTGCTTGTTTTTCTCAGGTTTGTCAAAGATCAGATAGTTGTAGATATGCGGCGTTATTTCTGAGGGCTCTGTTCTGTTCCATTGATCTATATCTCTGTTTTGGTACCAGTACCATGCTGTTTTGGTTACTGTAGCCTTGTAGTATAGTTTGACGTCAGGTAGTGTGATGCCTCCAGCTTTGTTCTGTTGGCTTAGGATTGACTTGGCGATGCGGGCTCTTTTTTGGTTCCATATGAACTTTAAAGTAGTTTTTTCCAATTCTGTGAAGAAAGGCATTGGTAGCTTGATGGGGATGACATTGAATCTGTAAATTACCTTGGGCAGTATGGCCATTTTCATGATATTGATTCTTCCTACCCATGAGCATGGAATGTTCTTCCATTTGTTTGTATCCTCTTTTATTTCCTTGAGCAGTGGTTTATAGTTCTCCTTGAAGAGGTCCTTCACATCCATTGTAAGTTGGATTCCTAGGTATTTTATTCTCTTTGAAGCAATTGTGAATGGGAGTTCACTCATGATTTCGCTCTCTGTTTGTCTGTTGTTGGTGTATAGGAATGCTTGTGATTTTTGCACATTGATTTTGTATCCTGAGACTTTGCTGAAGTTGCTTATCAGCTTAAGGGGATTTTGGGCTGAGACAATGGGGTTTTCTAGATATACAATCATGTCATCTGCAAACAGGGACAATTTGACTTCCTCTTTTCCTAATTGAATACCCTTTATTTCCTTCTCCTGCCTAATTGCCCTGGCCAGAACTTCCAACACTATGTTGAATAGGAGTGGTGAGAGAGGGCTTCCCTGTCTTGTGCCAGTTTTCAAAGGGAATGCTTCCAGTTTTTGCCCATTCAGTATGATATTGGCTGTGGGTTTGTCATAGATAGCTCTTATTATTTTGAAATATGTCCCATCAGTACCTAATTCATTGAGAGTTTTTAGCATGAAAGGTTGTTGAATTTTGTCAAAGGCCTTTTCTGCATCTATTGAGATAATCATATGGTTTTTGTCTTTGGCTCTGTTTATATGCTGGATTACATTTATTGATTTGCGTATATTGAACCAGCCTTGCATCCCAGGGATGAAGCCCACTTGATTATGGTGGATAAGCTTTTTGATGTGCTGCTGGATTCGTTTTGCCAGTATTTTATTGAGGATTTTTGCATCAATGTTCATCAAAGATATTGGTCTAAAATTCTCTTTTTTGGTTGTGTCTCTGCCCGGCTTTGGTATCAGAATGATGCTGGCCTCATAAAATGAGTTAGGGAGGATTCCCTCTTTTTCTATTGATTGGAATAGTTTCAGAAGGAATGGTACCAGTTCCTCCTTGTACCTCTGGTAGAATTCGGCTGTGAATCCATCCGGTCCTGGACTCTTTTTGGTTGGTAAGCTATTGATTATTGCCACAATTTCAGATCCTGTTATTGGTCTATTCAGAGATTCAACTTCTTCCTGGTTTAGTCTTGGGAGAGTGTATGTGTCGAGGAATTTATCCATTTCTTCTAGATTTTCTAGTTTATTTGCGTAGAGGTGTTTATAGTATTCTCTGATGGTAGTTTGTATTTCTGTGGGATTGGTGGTGATATCCCCTTTATCATTTTTTATTGCGTCTATTTGATATTTGTACCACACTTTCTTTATATGACATTCGAATTAGTTATCATACAGGGGGATGGATTCTCATAAACATGGTTTAACATTTCTTCTCTGCATTGTAAAGGACACCATTGGGAATAATGCCAACTTAACAACAATTCAGAACAACTTCTGTGGGGTAGAAATTGTTATCATCCATTTAACAGAGGAGCACATTAAAGCTTATGGAGTTTAGGTAACTTGTCTAAAAATGTAGGTCCAAAATGTAAGACAGTATTCAAATTCAGGATAAACTGAAAAAAGTGCAAGTGCCTATATGGCAGCTCCAGAGATTCTAATTTTATTGCTCTTGGTTGGCATTCATGTAATTTGATTCCTATGAAAACCTTCCAGGGTATTTGAATGTACAAGCAGACATGAGAAACACTGAAATAAATCAGACTCGTATTCACTCATGATTTTTAAATTGTGGATTATGGAATACTCGTGGGAATAAGTTTTCTCTTTATAGGCCTGTAACATTTTTAAAAATCCAAATTTGGCCAGGCACGGTGGCTCACGCCTGCAATCCCAGCACTTTGGGAGGCCAAGGCAGGTGGATCACGAGGTCAGGAGTTCAAGACTAGCCCGGCAAAGATGGTGAAACCCCGTCTCTACTAAAAATACAAAAATTAGCCGAGCATGGTGGCAGGCGCCTGTAATCCCAGCTGCTCAGGAGGCTGGGCCAGAGAATTGCTTGAACCCGAGAGGCGGAGGTTGCAGTGAGCCGAGATCGTGCCACTGCACTGTAGGCTGGGTGACAGAGTGAGACTCTGTCTCAAAAAAAAAAAAAAAAATCCACATTCACTCTTTTTCCTACAAGTGAACTGTACATAATTCTATGAATTATTATTGTTAAAATTAATATTATTTTACTTTCCATATCCTAAAGCTACTTCATGAAACATATGTAAATATTATTAAGGATTTCTTACATTTGTTAATCACACACTATAGTTAGAGCACTGCTAAGAAAATAAGACAAGTATTCTATCTTGAATTTAACATTGTGTGCAGTTGCAAAACTCGTATTGCAACTTTATATAATGAAACTGTTAAAGTGCTCAACATCTCCTCAGAGGGTGAAAAATTTCTGGGAAAATTCTCAATTAAGTGGGAAATGTTATTTTTGATTTTAATTGTTTTTTAAACAGTATTTTCTTGCTATTTATAAAAATACATGTGCAATTACTTAAAATCATTACTGACAAAAAGTAAGTAACCAATAAAGTTTTTTTAAAGTATGAGAAAAAGACAAAATGTGTTTACTAAAATATATGTGCCTTGTTTTTGGCCTGGTTTCATAATAGCGCAACTCTAATACACATATAGTTTTAGATAAACTATATCATTGCTTTTTTTTCTATACGTCCATCTGTACTATATTTCATCAAATTGGTTATAAGACATATCATATGTATGAATCACTAAGAAAGAAAAACCACTGCTAAGAAAACTATTGTGCAAGCTTTATTATCATTTAGAATGTTTATTTTGTAACTGTGGACAAACTGTTTAATTTTCTTTAGATATAGATTCTTATGTTTTGAAAAATAAAGAGATGACTGAAATAAATTAGTTTTAATGATAGATCTTACAACCATCTACCAACACAGGTTTCTCCACCACTTCTGGGTATATGGAAGATGAGGATCCTCATCCCCAGGCAGTGGGTCATAGCCATGTTCATAGACCTAAAAATAACATGGAAACAGAACTAGAGTGTGTAATTTCTACATTGAAGCAATAACAAGCTCATACATGATTCTCTACTTTCTCCCTTTCTCTGCCATGGCAATGGGGAAAGCAGCTTTATACAGCAATGTTGGAAGCACAGATTTAAAACAACTTGGGCTATTGATTCACCACAGAGTAGACACTTGTCCTGAAAAGTGAGTTAGACTTTAAAAAAATTCACAAGTGAGAAATAAATTTTTATTGCACTAGAATACTGACATTCTATTTCTGCAGCCAGATAAAATCTATCCTGGCCAATGCAGAAATTAGTATAAAAATGGGGCAAAGACATGGAAAACCTAAAATCTGTGGCTAGGCAGTGAGTGGTGAAGGGACCAACATGAGAGTTGCAAAGATGACAATCATGTTACACAGTGGCAAAAACATTCATAAAATTACTATGTATACATGAGAACTGCACATCATTTTGAATAAAATAGTAATGTACTTTGGTTGTTTTCCATGATGTTTTTGCAAGGTGTTAGCAGAATGAAATGAGCTTTGTAAAGAACTGGCTGTTTTGCCTACAAACTTGAGAAGAAGAAGAAAAGAAAGTGTCCATAAGTTCATGGGCTTGCAGAATTAGAAAAGGCAACTGCTCTTACATTCTAGACAGAAAGCAATAAATTTGAGAAAACACATAAGAAGGAAACAGGTAATGAAAACTTTCAAGTGAACAAATCTCCCTATGACACAGAAAAGGTGAAAGGAGTTGTGCCCAGTAAGTGTTTAAAATATAATACAATAATTCCGGGCAATGAATGAACTAAGGAGATAGACTTCAGTAAAACTACAATAACTCCAATGTTGCCTGTATCATATCAATGAGCAAAAGACATTGAGGAAATAAAGCAAATAAGTACAAGTGATCTGAGAGTCCTTGTACTAGTTGCCAAAGAAATAAAAAAGCTGGACTCAGTGGATAATCATGAGATACCTAAAATAGCAATAGTACACTAAGTCATATTTAAGCAGGTCATAGATTAAGAAAGTTGGCCAGTCTGCCAAGGAGAGTATATTTCTCAATGTCTACTTCACATTGTTCAGTGAAGAAAACAGAAAATAAAGAAATCTCCCCAGACAATGAAGCCAGCAGCCCCAGAGGAAAACAAGGAAGCTACTCAACAGAGAACAAAATCAAGGCCTAACCATGGGACAGTCTCTCCCTAGAATAGAACTTTTGGTGCACATAGGACTTCAGAATGCTAAGAACCAGTAGCTGTCTTTTCTTTATATGGTCTCTTCCTGAATAGGTAACTGAATTATGGAATATGGAGCATTGGGGATAGATAGTTTTTCTTTTTAATTTGATTTTTTAATTTTATTATTTTTAATTTAATATTTGTTCTCAGGTTAAGAATGACTATGTTGGTCAGGCACAGTGGCTCATGCCTGTAATCCTAGCACTTTGGGAGGCTGAGGTGGGCAGATTGTCTGAGCTCAGGAGTTCGAGACCAGCCTGGACAACATGGTAAAACCCTGTCTCTACTAAAATACAAAAACTACCCAGGCATGGCATCATGCATCTGTAGTCCCAGCTACTTGGGAGGCTGAGGCAGGAGAATTGCTTGAACCTGGGAGGCGGAGGTTGCAGTGAGCCGAGATCCAGCCACTGCACCACTCCAGCCTGAGTGACAGAGCAAGACTCTGTCTCAAAAAAAAAAAAAAAAAAAAAAAAGAATGACTATAGAGTGACTATGTTTAAAAAAAAAAGTTACTTGGTGTTTGAGATAAATCTTGATAGTGAGTGGGATTTGGGGCTTGCCTTCTTTAGGGAAAGTTGTATTAATTAATTTAGCATGAATCAAATATTTGATGATCAGTGAGTAGCCTGGGATAAACATTATTAGTGTTAACCAATACTGGGTCCACTTCCACCTCCTCACATTAAAGGCATCGCATCCTAGACTGCCTGTACTTGAATGGGCCCATGATTATCTCTAGCCACTAATGCACTGTAAATTCATGACTGTGGGATCCTCCATTTTCTTTCTTCTTCACTTCTCCAGTGACTGAGGAGATAAACTCAGATAAAATAAAATCACAAGATAAGAAAATTCCAAATTTCTGAGTTCCAGAAGAATATTTATGAATCATTATGATGAACAAACATTTATTTTCATAAGCTATAACAATTTGGAGACTGTTTCTCTAGTGTAATCTGGACAATCCTAAAAATATTAAACTATTGGATTTTTTTAAATATAGGGTGTGATTTTGTGAATCATTTTTGTCTCAGAATAATCAATATCTTTGGTTTAGTATACAATATTGTTGTGTGACATCAAGATGATAATGATGCTGCAAAGCGACTATCACCTTTTTCATAAATTTTACAGGTGATTGCTTGCTATCTTACAGAAAATTATCAACAGCTGATTTTTGAGTAAGTTCAGTCCATACACTAACAATGATCGCTATACAAATCCTGCTGCCTAGATGAGAGTGATTTTAAAGCACTATCAATTGAAAACAATACATCTTAATTTCAGATATGTTGAAAACAGTTTATCTTTAAACTGAGGAGATACAATGTGTCTTGTAAAATTTGTTTTTTTGTAGAGTGACACTCTCTTAAGAAGTTATTGGATACTATTCTCTAATAAAACTAAAAAGTTGAAAGTCAAAAGAAAATAAAATGAACTCAACAAATTGGCTCATCAAGTATATAATTTAAGGGAAACCCAGAAAATGATGTGGAATATGTTTAAAGAATAGCCCATACTGGATAGTAAAGCTTGTGGTAGATATAGACAATAAAATACAATAAATAAACAAATCTCCCACACACATGCTTGCAAACACACACACACACAACTAAGAATTCACAAAATATTTGATTTTATGCATATTTTGAATAAACATAAAAATTCTTATAAAAAAGTTGAAAGTTCTACAAGTGAAAAAGAAAGAAATAATAATAATAAACAAGAATAAAATATAGAGTTTATCTTGACTCTGTAACATTTGCTTAATTATAAAAATAAGAATTCTATATTTATTGAAAAATTAAAATAGTAATATTATTGTATAGAAAGAATAGAAAGTGGACAAATGGGATTTATGGAGGAGGGCCAAAATCTCACATATAAGAGGGAAGTGTAAATGGATAATGATTGAATTTGATTAAAGCAAGGAAGAATACATAGGCAAATAAGCCAGATACATGAAAATAACTATCAGAAAAAAATTATGGAATAATGTAATGTAAATAATATAAATGATTCCTTCTAGAAACAGTAGTAAGATGGGAAGGGGTTTTAGGAAATTCAATTTTCACAGTCACTTCATCATTGACAGTTGATGTTTCAACTGTAAACATGTATCACATTACTAATATTGAAGCTTTTATTGAAAATAATTTGGCATTTACATATTTATATTTATATGAGCATGCTCATTAATGATAGACTAATGACCACCAAATATCTGACATTCCACTGAATAGTCAGAAGTAGGTACCCTTTCCTAAATGAACTCTGCTTCTTGATCCACACCAAAGATTAAAAGTGAAATTTCTTGGGTTAAAGAATAATATTTGTTTACACTAGAAATAGTGAAAATGTTTTAGGGAGCCTGGATATGTTATCCCCCTTGCTGAATTATATTTGTCTTCTCAGCGAAATATGGGATCAAAGCTGTTCTAACACCTGCTTTTTTGTAAATAATATTTTATTGTTGGAACATAGCTACACTTTTATTCAGCTGTTGTCTATGGCTACTTCGAGTCTGCAGTGGCAGAACTGACTAGTTGTGACATATTCTTGCGTCCCCAGGTCTAAAATATTTACCATTTGTCACTCTACAGAAAAAAATTGGCCAATCCTGCCTTAAAGTGTGTTGAGAATTGTTCTGGCAGGCAATTAAGTTATCAACCAGTCAAGATTGATTTTTATTCTCTGTTCTATGTCCCTTTCATCCCTAGTTCCATAACGTTGCCTTTGGGTCATGGTCCTTAAACTTCTAAGAAGTGGCTTTTACAGAGTCTTAACCAAATATTTGGAAATATCCAATGAGGTCTCAGGTCTCTCTACGCTGATTAGGCTGGCACTCCAACATGTCCCTGATATACTTAACCTACTGGAATCTTGCTTTTCCTGTGTGTGTAGCCCCATCCTCAACCAAGTACTTGCAGGAAAGCCACATGTAGACTTTTGGGACTGCCTTCTTTGTTACTCTATCCTTCCGCTAAATTTCTCACAAATTCTAGCCAACTCAGGAGATAGAAAATGTATTTGCCTTTGGGGAACACAAAACATCTGGCATGCCCTACTTGGTCTCTACTTCCCTTCACCATGGCTAAAAATGACTCCAGAAGAAAGTTGGTGTCAATATGGGAAGAAGCTGGTGCTTTTTTTGAAGTCCTGCGTGGTCTGTGTCTAGTATCTGAAAACAGTTGTCTTACTGTGCCCAGTTTTACCGATTTAGGCAGAAGAGTATATCTAGTACCAGTTACTCTGCCATGGCTAAAATGAAAGAAATAGACAAGAAAAATTTTACTTGTAGTTATTGGCAATGGTACAATTTCAGGCTTTGGTATAAGTTAAAAATAACTTAGGAAAGTGTCAGTAATCATTAATCCATGTACTATTCTAAACCTGCATGATCTGAGGTAGAACTCTGCTACCAGGTCACATGCTGCTCCTCAGCCCTATAGGAATGGGCTTTTTGAAACACAGACAAGCTCAACTACAGTCCTAAGACACAGATTCAAAAGGAAGAAAGCCTTTGATATTTCTTTGATGTTTCTTGTCCCATCACGTGTAAGCTCACCAGCTCAGACTCCTGCTCCTTGACTTCTGGCTATGCAGATTTGTTACTGACTATGGTTTCTCTCTAATACTTTTTACGTTTTATTACAGTTCTCTCTTTCTGTCTCTCTCCCTCTCCATCTCTGACTCTTACTTCACTTTGATCTCACCCAGACACTTTATCATTATTAGCTTCCAAATATGCATCACTTTTAAGTAATACTAATATTAATCCAATAAAATGCTGAAAATAATAATACTGATAGACAACAATTTTATGAAACTGTGGAAAGTGTATACTTGTCAAGACCTTCGTTTGCATATATATATATATATGGTGTGTATATATATATGTGTATATATGTATATATATATGTGTATATATTTGTGTATATATATACATATGTGTATACATATGTATATATATACACACACCATATATATATATACACCATATATACACCATAAATATACACCATATTATATATGGTGTGTATATATATATACATATGTATACACATACGTGTATATATATACACAAATATATACACATATATACATATATACACATATATATATGGTGTATATATATATATGGTGTGTATATATATATATAAGGTATATATATATATATAAATATATATACGAGTATAAGGAAAATAGACAATTTCTCCAGAAATTTAGAGTGTATAATGGTATTATGAAGTGGCCTTTAGTGAGTGTGAAAATTCTTTGAAATTCTCTGGTGTAACAAAAAAATAAATAAATGTTTCTTTCCACTCTATGATATCAATATTTAATGTAATGCAAAATGTTTTAAATTACAAGTTATGTCAATTAGCTTCCTTTGTGCACTACTCAGGAGTATTTCAATTACAAGTAAATAACAGTAATAGTGATATAACTGAATACAATTTACTAGATTTTTTTCCCTTACAAGAGAAATTGGAAGAAATTTAGGAATAGTGAGGGTTCTCAATGATTTCATAAAGGAAAAGACTCCACATTTCTGCTGTGTAATCCTTATTCTGTAGGTTTCTTAACTTATGGTTGCAGACAGCTTATTAAACTCTAGTATGTATATTTGTCCTAGGTAAGAAAAAAAAGTAAAGTATTGACACTGACCACATTGTTTTCCCATGAAGTCCCTCAAGACATAATCTCACATTTTTTCGACTTGAGGCTTTTCACATGGCTGCCCCTAATATACATCAGCATAGGGGAGTGGAAGTGGAATTGGGTATTTTCACCACGAATGTCTCAAGAAAAATTAATGTTCTTGAAAGATGAACCATGTTTTTTTTGTGGCTTCCTAAACCCCCAGCTTAGTCATGGTCCATTATGAAAACAAGGAAATTGCACATAAAAATGTATTTTGATGTATCTTTTAGCACATCTTTTGCATATACTACATATTCTTAAGACATTTTCTTGGTACATATGCTGACATGCTTAGCTTCTTTTTATCTATCAGCTCCTCCCTAACAGCTACACACACACACACGCACACACACACACGTGCACACACAAACACTATACTAGCTCTTTATATAGAAAAAGTTAGGTAACTACAGACAATGTCCAATCATGACTGGTAAGCTGATTGTTCACAATAAATTTCTTTTCTTGTATCTTCTGTAGAGATTCACATAACTAACAATCTTCATATTACATATTCACAAGAGTTGTTAGCCTCTTTTCTCAGAAAAAAAATAGGCAGAGTATAGGTGAAATGAACTGGCATATACTTACCAGTATAAAGGTTTTTTTCCCATTTGAAAAAGCATATTCTTATTGAAGCAAGTAGAAATGTTTCTTTGTAGTTTATTACATATCTGTACATATTTTAAAGGAAGATATTTTACTTTACAAACTAAATCAATTAATTTCTGTGATCTGGAACTTTAAAAAAAAAACCCAAACTTTGCATTATTACTGGTAGTGAACAACACATCTCACAATTATTATAATACAGCTATGAAAATCTCTTTTTTATTCTGTATTATAGACAAATTTTATGGAAGACTTTTACTCTTCTTTTAGAAACTTGATTGAAATAAGTTATATATTAATTTTTAAAATTTGTTCATTAGTTTATAATGCAGGAAAAACATTTTAGGAGTAATCATAGGTGTAGCATGATCCATTTATGTCCTTAAAATTTAGAATGAGCAGTAAAGTCTTAGATAATTGTTTTTAATACTAATGATATGAGTAATATTATTACTCATAATAATGTTGATATTCTTAAGGATTTTTGCATTCTATAATAACAATGATTTGAAGACTGTGGTGACTTAGTGTATTAATATTTATGTATGGTAATCCATTATAAAAGGATTGTACAAAACACGTACCATACTAAAAGAATATTTTAATTAAATTAAATTTCTATGTATTCTCTTCTCAAGCTTGTTATTCTACTGCCTAGAGGAAGCTCTCAGTGACAATGACCACTGTGTTGCAGACATTCCTTGATGTTGGATAATAAAATCCCTGTGGACAAGCTATACATTTGCCTAGTGCCAACACATTCTTGGCAGCTAGAGTTCTCATATGATAAATGTTGCAATTAAAGCTGTGGAGTTGTGCATAAAATAACCTTCCTCAATCTTGCTTCAAATTAATCTGAAAACCATTAAAAAATAGAAAACTATGAAGTAGAATTTTCAAAGAAGCAAAGTGTATAATTTTACATAACTGATAGGTTATTAATATTAATAAACTTTCTTTTACCAAAAAGGAAATGTTATTTTGTGAGATCCCAAAAAGAGAAATAATGAAAGATTAACTAGAATAGTTTAATCTGTTGATAAGACTATCTTATTTTAAAGTACATGTTTTTAAAGAAAAACATTTATTTCTTTTTTATATTAGTGTTGATTATTTTTGGAATCGGAAAAATGACATTAAAGGCAATATTTATTTATAACTTACATTATATTATTTGAACTTTAATTCCAATATATGGACATATTTTTAATTTTACATATAAGTGTAAACACATACAATATTTTAATTTCCATCCATCTTTTCTTTTTTAAATTTGTTCTGCTCTCCTGTCTTCTTCCTTATCACCACCAATCAGCTCCACCTGTTTCCAGTATTATTCATTACCTACTGATGAATCTTTTCATCTTTTCCTGGTATTCATACAATACACAAATGTATATATGAATGCACGGGTCTATATGCACCCATACATACATACACATGAATAAGGAGATTCATTTGTTAGTATTTCTTTGCTTTATTTTTTTTCCAAACTTTTATTTTAGATTCAGAGAGCACATGTGCAGGTTTGTTTCCTGGGTATGTTTCATAATGCTGTGACCTGGGATATGAAGGATCCCATCACTGAGGTACTGAACATAATACCCAATAGTTAATTTTTTGATCCTTGCCTCTCTCCATACTTCTCCACTCAAGTAGTTCTCAATTTCTATTGCTGCCTTCTTTATTTCCATGAGGGCCCAGTTTCACTCTGATCATAGTTATTTCTTTTCTGCTTCTAGATTTGGGGTTTAGTTTGTTCTCGATTTTCTGTTTCCTGTAGGAGTGATGTTAGATCATTAATTTGAAATCTTTCTAACTTTCTGATGTAGGTATCTAGTGCTACAAACTTTCCTTTTAAGGTTGCTTTAGCTGCATGGTAGAGATTTTGGTCTGTTGAGTCTCTCTGTTTCCATTTACTTCAAAGAAGTTTTTTTTATTTCTACCTTAATTTCATTGTTTACCCAAAAGTCATTCAGGAACAAGTTGTTTAATTTCCATGTAATTATTTCGTTTACAGACCTTCTTGATTTTGATTTCTATTTTTAGTCCACTATGGTCCAAGAGGATGGTTGGTGTGATTTTAATTTTTTTTCTCATTTACTGAGACTTGCTTTATGGCTGAGTGTATGGTCAATCTTGGAGTATGTTCCATATGTGGAAGAAAAGATGTATATTCAGTGGTTGATGGGTGGAGTATTCTGTAGGTATTAGGTCAAATTGGTCAAGTATCAAGTTTAAGTCCATAATTTGTTAGTTTTCTGCCTTGATAATCTGTCTAACTTTCTAATGCTATTAGGGGAGTGTTGAAGTCCCCCACTATTATTGTGTGGCTAAGTCTCTTTGTAGGTGTAGACGTACTTGTTTCATGAATCTGGGTGCTCCAATGTTGGATGTGTATATATTTAAGGTAGTTAAATCTTCTTGTTGAATTGAAACCTTTATCATTATATAATGCCCTTCTTTGTTCTTTTTCACTATTGTTGGTTTAAGGTCTGTTTTATCTGATATGAAAGTAAAAACTGATGTTCTTTTTTGTTTTCTGTTTGCATGATAGGACTTTCTCCAACTCTGTACTTTTAGCCTATTGGTGTCATTACCTGTGAGATAAGTCTATTGAAGACAGCAGATAGATGGTTCTTGTTTTAATCCAGCTTGCCACTCTGTGCCTCTTAAGTGAGGGCATTTCAGCTATTTACATTTGAGGTTAATATTGATATGTGAGGTTTTGATCCTATCAAAACAATTTTAGCTGGTTGTTCTGTAGTTTTCATTGCGTGATTTCTTTATAGGGTCTGTGGGCTATATACTCACATAATTTTTGTGGTAGCAAAATTTGTTCACTTCCTTGCTTAGGACTCCCTTAAGGATCTCTTGTAAGGCTAGTCTAGTGGTAACAAATTCCTTTAGTGCTTGCTTTTCTGGAAAAGATTTTATTTCTCCTTTGCTTATGAAGCTTAGTTTGGCAGAATATAAAATTCTCGGTTGGAATTTGGTTGGTTCTTTTGTTTAAGTATGCTGAAAATAGGCCCCTAATCTCTCCTGGCTTATAAGACTCTGTTGAGAACTCTGCTGTTAGCCTGATAGGAATCTATCTGTACATGATCTGTCCATTTTTTCTAGGTATTTTTAAGATTTTTTTCTTTAGCATCGATCATAGACAGTCTGATGACTACAAGCCTTTGTGGGGTTCATTTTGTGTAGTATCTCGCAGGTGTTCTCTGGATTTCTAGGAAAATTAGAAACATTTTATTGAATCATTCCCTCAAGCATATTTTCCAGGTTGTTTACTTTTTCTCCTTCTCTCTCAGAAACACCAATAATTCATAGATTTGATCACTACATAAAACCATACTTCTCAAACATTCATTTTATTTTTTAAATTCTTTTTTCTTTATATTTGACTGGGTTAGTTCAAAAGACTTTCAGTTTTCAGGCTCTGAAATCCTTTCTTCTGCTTGATCTAGTCTATTGATAAAAGTTTCAATTGTACTTTGAAATTCCTTAAGTGAGTTTTTAATCCCATTAGCTCCAATTGATTTCTTTTTAATACATTTATCTCTTCCTTCATTCCAGGAACTGCTTTAGAAGTTTCTTTGTGTTGATTTTCAACCTTGTCTTGGATATAATTGAGCTTCCTTGTAATCTGTGCTTTGAATTCTTTATCTGTCATTTCTCAGTTTTCATTTTGGTTAGACTCTATTGTTCGACAGCTAATGCAATTCTTTAGTGGTGTCTCTACATTCAGATTTTTCACAGTGTCAGAATTCTTATACCGGTTTCTTCTCATCTAGAGATGTCAGCACTTCTAATTATTGTAATTACTTTTGTGTGGATAAAATATTTTTCTTTCTCTGTAATACTATTGGGATTTTTTTCTTTCCTTTTCCCTCTTACCCCATCACTATTGGGTGTGACTGTGACTGCAAAGAATGCTGAGTATGGTCTTTTGGCTTTGCTTCTATAGCCCTATGCACTTATTTCAGCAGGTTTTATATTGGGCTGTGCAGTGTGACCTACAAGCAAAAAGGGGGCACTTCTGGATGAAAGTTGGCTGTGGCCAATGCAGCTAGATATATACCTGATCCTTATTTACCGGGAGAAGCTCTGTTGCCGCAGGCAATGGACTGTTTAGTGGCATGAATAGTGATCTGAGCTCCCTGCTCTGCCTTTGGGGGATGAGGGCCATGATGACTGAAGCTGGACCAGGCAGGTCCGCCTATAGGTCCCCCCATGACAGGCACAAAGACCAGCATCAAGGAAGAATCCAGTGGGTGGCCACCAAGTGCCCTGAGGTGTGCCTAGGAATGGACCTGGGAAATACTCTCAGCCTCAAGTTCTGTACCCTTAGGGGGGATGACCTGAGCTACTAAACCAGGAGAATGGGTGCTCCAGATGCCTGGAGATTTGCCTGGGAATGGAGTAGAGAAGGGCCCCTGCACCAATATCTCTGCACAGAAAGGGTGGGTTAACTGAGGCTGCTGAACCAAGCAAGCAGGTGCTCCACATGCCCAGACATCTGCCTGAACGCAGAACGGAGACAGCCCCAATGCACCATCCTCCTCTAAGCCCAGGAAGGGTGGGATGGCTTAAGCTGCTGTAACAGATGAGTGGGTGCTCTGAATGCCTGGAGATTTGCATGGACATGAAGCAGAGACAGCCTCTCTGCCCCAGGGTCTCTGCACATGAAAAGTGGGGAGCATTAGGCTGCCAATCCAACTTAATGGGTATTCCAAATGCCTGGAGATCTGCCTGGATATGAAGCAGAGAGGGCACCACTGGACCGCAATTTTAGGGAAGCAGGCTGGGGCTCCCAGCAATGGCACACACAGACCAGTTTTAGGTTGCCAAGCTGGACTTGGCTGCAAGTCTTGCTGCCCCGGAGAAATTGCAACTGTAGCAGCTATCCTCCGGCTCCATACTGTGCGCGGGGAGAACCCAATTCCAGCACCTGCTGCTGAGGCACTGCACAATTCTGGCTGTGAAGGTCCTTGCCCCACTCCAGGGTGGGTGCTCTAATCTCTGGCCCGACACTAAAATGCCTATGCAGTCACGCTGTAGAGTTGCCAAAGAATGGCAGATTTTGTACGCACCTGGATTAAAAATGGCGTCCTGCTTTTCGTCCTGTGTCTACGGTAGATGTCTGCAGCTTTTCCCAGTATCTTTTCCTCACAGCATGTCCAAGCCTCTCCCCATTAGTTCCAGGTCTTGGGAGAAACACAATCCTCTCGTTCGTCCAGGGTTGCTCGGATTACTACTGGAAAGGTTCAGCAGAGAGGGAGGCTGTCTTCCTCTCTCACTTCCGAGGGCTTCACTCACTTTTAACAGTCAGATGCCATCATGGGTACTCTTTGCCGGTGTTCTCCCCAGGATCTGGGGTGTCCTTCGTGATTCTGGTGGATTCTCATTTTCCTTGTTGAATTAAAGCTCACAGAATTGATTTTTATGCACTGTTTTGTTATTTCCAAGTGGCTGAAGCATGCTAAAAGCCTCTAATCCATTATATGTTGGGGGCGGGGAAACTAAACTGTTTTAAATTGTTTTTTACAGAAAATGGAATCCTATTATACTCACTTTTCTGTAACTGTCTTATTCAATAGTAGTTTCTGAAAATCTAATTCAATATCATTTTTATATTCTTTTAAAAGATGTATCTATTCCATAGTTCAAATTCACCAGTATATATGACATTATTTCATTCTTTAAATAATTAACCCTTTAAAAGGTTTATGATCTGTTATTTGGGAATATACCATACATATCCATTCCAATGTTGATCTGATTTCTCTTACTGTACAGTTTTAACCATTATGGACAATATTGTAATCAATATCTTTTTGTATTTTGTATGAACATCAAATCTTATATGTTGATGTTTAGCTTTCACTAAATAAATTTCTAGGTGTAGCATGGCTGGATTTAAGTATTTATGTATTTTTTGTTGTTGTCGTTGTTGAGACGGAGTCTCGCTCTGTCGCCCAGGCTGGAGTGCAGTGGCGCAATCTCGGCTCACTGCAAGCTCCGCCTCCTGGGTTCATGCCATTCTCCTGCCTCAGCCTCCCCAGTACCTGGGACTACGGGCGCCCGCCACCGGGCTGGCTAATTTTGTTTTGTATTTTTAGTAGAGACGGGTTTCACCATGTTAGCCAGGATGGTCTCGATTTCCTGACTAAGTGATCTACCTGCCTTGGCGTCCCGAAGTGCTGGGATTACAGGCGTGAGCCACCGTGCCCGGCCTTACGTATTTTTTTTTAATTAAAAGGCATTGTTGTGGTTTCCAAAAGTACTGCAAAACTTTACCTTTCTAACATGCAGTGACATTTATATGTTCCTATCAGTAATAGATGATAACATTTTCTGCCTCATATCCTCTTGAAGATTTTGCTGAGTTGATAGGTGTGAAGCGATATTTCATTATCTTAATTTTAATTTGTGAATAAAATGGTGAACTAGGGTCTACATTTGATACCCATTTTAACTTTTGATATGCTGTAAAATATATCCCTAGACTAAGATCTTTGAGCCTGTTTCCTAATTTAAAAGATATTGGAAAAAAAATAGGCTCCTCCCTTTATAACACTGTTCTGAGGAATCAAATAAGCTAATTTGTACATAATAACTTAATACATTTTGAAGCATTATTTAGATTATAACTAAATACACATGCCCCTAAACTACAAATTACTGTCAAGACTCAGTTCTGAAATCTAGAAAATTAAGGGAAAATAATTCCCTCTTCTTATTCAGTTGCCTACCAGCTGTGAAATATATAGAGAAACTTAAAATCTAAATTTGTGCACAATTGTCTCCATTTTTCTCTTTGTTTCATTGGGATCTTCAGAGTTTCACATTTGTATTGATGGGCAATGTGGTGGCTAATTTTTTGTGTAAACATAAGTGGGCCCCAGGGTGCCCAGACATTTGGTCAAACTTTATTCTAGATGTGTCTTTGAGAGTGTTCAATTTGGCATTTGAGTTCTTTTGATGTGATCCTGGCAGTCTTTGTTGGTGCCCTTAATGCTCAAGGATCATCTTACACATTTTCTGTCTCAGACATGAAGCAGCCCTTTCTCTTAGAAACCTTGTCCCTTTCAGAGGAAATGCTTTTTTGGGAAAATCTGTAAAAGCAGGGTGTTCATAGTTACATATGTGGTCCTTGTTTCCAGCTGGTTTTAACTAATAGAGCTTCAAAATATGTATTTACCAAAAAAAAAAAAAAAATCATATGTGTTTGTGGGAGTGCCTTGACCTCTCTGTGAAGCAACTAGCTGCATGTTTTTACCTTCAGGCTTGAACCTATGCAGGGGCCTTGAACGTTTCCATGTACTGATGAACTTCTTTGGGCTGTTGCCTAAAATACCCAAAGATCAAATATGTTGGTAAACAGTAAAAACTATCTCTGGCCCTAACCTAAATTCCTCAAACTTTTATATAAACTTTATAGGGGACATACGTAGGTACATCTGTTTTCTGTCTGCCCATCGCAAGGGTCACTGTAGCACTCCCTGTGTAAGTTTCCCTTAAGAATCCTTTGGACTGATCTCCCTGGTACTCAGTGCTTCTTTCTTTGGAATTCCAACAATTCCAATCCCATTTTGTGACAGTTTGGGGCAGACTCCTGTGAGAATTCCATGCCAACACTTCTGGGATAACTCCAGCCATGGGTTCAGACAGACAAAACAAAGTTTAAACTTCTATTTCCAATTGGCCTTCAGAATTATGTGACTCCTAATTTATCTCATCATTCTTATATTTCTATTTCTATATTTCCACACAAAAAGAATTTAATTTCTTTTTTCCTTTTTTCACTTGTTTTTAAATTTAAATTTCTTTAAATTTTACTTTAAGTTCTGGGATACATGTACAAAACATGCAGGTTTGTAGGAATGGATAAATTCCTGGACACACACACCCTCCCAAGACTAAACCAGGAAGAAGTAGAATCCCTGAATAGACCAATAACAGGCTCTGAAATTGAGGCAGTAATTAACAGCCTACCAACCAAAAAAAGCCCAGGACCAGACGGATTCACAGCTGAATTCTACCAGAAGTACAAAGAAGAGCTGGTACCATTCCTTCTGAAATTATTCCAAACAACAGAAAAAGGGGGACTCCTTCCTAACTCATTTTATGAGGCCAGCATTATCCTGATACCAAAACCTGGCAGAAACACAACAAAAAAAGAAAATTTCAGGCCAATATCCCTGATGAACATTGATGCAAAAATCCTCAATAAAATACTGACAAACTGAGTCCAGCAGCACATCAAAAAATTTAATTTCTTATTACACAAACCTACTTACTTATTTGTACTACATGCTTAACCTTCTCAAAATGATGACACCATAAATAATCGAATTCATCAAAAAAGAGCAATTATATTAATGTAAATATTGTTTTGAATATGTTTTTATCCCAAGGGTATATTTCGCTAGGATGCACAATCAAATTATTGTGCCTTATTGTCACTTGGAATACTTCCACTATATAACTGTATACATAGTTTCATTTGTTTCAGTTTAAATGATTAGGACTTGCTTCTTTTGAATTTAATTTTATAATCATATAAAGTGTTTATGTGTTTCCAAAATTATATTTACAATATAATGTGCATTCATAGAAGGCTAGGTTCTAATCATATCCCCTCCAATCGATTCCCTTCCTTACCCTATAGGAAATATTTAAAAAATATTATGGTTATCCTTCTATGATTATTTTGAACAAGAAAGCAGATATTTGTATATATGTGAGCTTCTTTGGCTGGCACTTGTTAATTGTTCTGAGCCTCAAAGGAGCGTAAGTAAATAAATGTATTTCAAACTATTATTATGTTTAACTTAAAAATAAACTGGTTATATTTTCTTAACAAAATAAAGAAAAATTTCTCAGTACTGATTTCTTTTTTCAGTACTTTATTGTATGCATTTTCTCTGGTCATTGAACTAGTTCCCTATTTTTGAATATTGAGTTTTTACCAGCTTTCTGCTATGACAAGTAGGTCTACAACAAATACCCTCGTGTATACATCTTTTCATGCTTTTGTCAGTGTACATTTGGAATAGATCCTATAAGTAGACTTGTTAAATGAGAGATACATTTATGTATACTTTAATATTTGAGAAATCATCATTTATTTGACATGTTTATTTGAAATACATAGACCAAATATTTATAACAGCACTATTTATCCTTCAAACACATAATTGAAATAAATTTTATAAGCTTTAGTAAAGAGGTATTATATTAACAATATCAATTATATGAAATTTAATGAATTCCCTTAGGATATATTTGATGTTTATGTTTTGAATTTTTTTTGTTTTTTTGATCATCAAATAAATGACTCTGATAACAATGCCATTTTAACATATTTATTGAAAAGCAGAATATTGTTTGTACTTTTCAAACGAAGACATCACTTGATTGCGAAAAGTAGTTCTTCACCCTGATTCTATTATTATTATTATTATTGTTATTAAGCTGAGGAAAAACTTAAACAAAGACAACACTGTAATTTATAACGGAACTTAAACTATAAAAAGATATTTCTGCATATAAAAGAAGATATAAACATTAGCACTGTGGATAGATTCAAATTTTTGAGACATTTATTCATAGTTTAGAATAGTATACATTGATATATTTTAATTTAATGCCTACTGTCTTTCTTTGAAAATATGCTCATTTTGCTGTGTAGTATCTATCCACAATGGTTCTAAACCACAAAAATAGCAATGCGCAAGCCTGAGTTTCTTTCATTTAATTAAAATCTTTTGCTTATATGCTGAATTAATAACACTGCTTTTAGAAATGTTGGTATAACATTCCTATTGATTAATTTTCTTTCTCAAACCTGAATTCAGGAGTAGAAATACTTCTTGATGGGAAAATAGAGTTAATTAGAAAGCAGTATGAATGCTGGTATAGAAGAATTTATTGTGGTCATATTTGCAAAAAAACGACCTACATTCCTGTAGTTCTAAAAACTGTCACATTAAAAGCAGCTGCAAGAGAATATGCAATTTATAATTTGGTATATGTAACTATTATCTAAAAATTCCTTGAAGATTTAATTTTACATAACTTAAATACGTTTTGTTGATTAAATATACAACCTAGAAATTGAAGTAATATGTATCATTGAAGATTACTACATCCTAATTAAACATAATATTCCTTATTTCAATTAAATTCATAAATTTCAGTTCCATGCATGGTTTTTGAGTCAGATTGCCTGCGTTCAAATCCTGTCTCTGTAATTCTCTAGCTGTATAATCTTGGACCCAATTAAACTTCTAAAACTTCAATTCCTGTTTATTTTGAACTGATATAATAATAAGATTCCTCTCATTTTAATTTGATTAAATGAAAATGAATGATTTCTCTCTGGCAATTAGTGTAAGTTGTGTAGCTATTATTGAACATTTAGTAGGTATCAAACACTACTTAGTGGTTATAGGTATAGATAATGAAGTATATATCTGATAAACTCAAGTATAATTATTTAATTTGGTTACATTTCTTTGTAAGAAACAAAGACTCATTTATGTGGAGGGAATTATCATATTATTATAAATTATAACATTATAATTGATTACAAGAAGAAATAAGGGGAATTTTTAAAATTCAAAATAAAAGGAAATGCAGAATAGGCCTTCCCTGAGGCCAGAGTTTGTTGTACATAGAAGCCAGAGTTCTCCTGCAGGAGAGCTTTATTCCTTTACCTCTTTGAGCTATGGTTGGTCCATATGGCTTACTTACCCAATGGGATTTGAGCAGAAGTGATGTATGCATATTCTAAGTGGAAACTTCGAGTCATTTTATGTTTTGGATAGTACTCTTCTAAAAAGAACAGCATGTTTTAAAGTGGTTTCTGCTTTAGTCTGAATATTTGAATAAAGAAAATTCATGGGGTAGAGCCAAGCAGAATGAAACAAAATCATAGTTGACTTCAATGGCTGGAGCAGTTCCAGAGAACTGCTGCTGACATACATTGTGAGCAAAAAGAACATTGTTGTGGTTAAGCCACTGAGATCATAAGCTGTTTATAATGATATCACAATCCTGCAAAGTTTTTTTGAATTGGAAAATACTGGAATTGTGTTCCGGGTTAGGGCAGAAATTCAGAGGTGATATTGGAACATAGGAAACTTAGGAAACATCTTTCTTGAAATTCTTTTATAACATTATGGATACTCTGACAGGATTCTCTGAAGACAAAATCCATTATTTTTATAAATTTATTTTATTTTCAATTTTTGTGGGTACATAGTGGGTGAATATATTTATGGGGTACATGAGGTTTTTTGATACAGGCATGCAATGTGAAATAAGCCCATCATGAAGAATAGGATATACATCTCTCATGCATTTATCCACTGAGCTACATTATTTTAAAATGTATAGTTAAGTAATTATTGACTATAATCCCCCTATTGTGCTATCAAATAATAGATATTATTCATTTTTTCTAACTATTTTTTGTACTTATTAGCCATCCCCACCTCACTGCTTTTTCCCCACTACCCCTCTCAGCCTCTGATAACCATCCTTCTACTATATCCATGAGTTCAAATGTTTTAATTTTTGGATTCCAAAAATAAATGAGAAAATGTAATGTTTGTCTTTCTGTGCCTGAGTTACTTCGCTTAACATAATCATCTCCAGTTCTATCCATGTTGTTGCAAATGACTGGATCTCATTCTTTTTTATGGCTAAATAGTACTCTATTGAGTATATGTACCACATTTTCTTTATCCATTCATCTGTTGGTGGACACTTAGTTGTTTCCAAATCTTAGCAATTGGAAACAGTGCTGCAGCAAACATAGGGGTGCAGATATCAGTTTGATACACTGATTTTTTTTTCTTGTGGGTATATATCCAGCACTTGGATTGCTAGATCATATGGTATCTCCAGTTTTAGTTTTTGAAGAAACCTCCAAATTGTTCTCCATAGTTGTACTAATTTGCATTCACACCAACAGTGTATGTGGGTTTCCTTTTCTCTATATTCTCACCAGCATTTGTTATCTCCTGTTTTTTGGATATAAGTCACGTTAACAGGGGTGAGATGATACCTCAATGTAGTTTTGATTTGCACTTCTGTAATGGTCAGTGATGTTGAACCCCTTTTTAAATGCCTGTTTGCCATTTGTATGTCTTCTTTTGAAAAATCTTTTACCCATCTTTTGATTGGATTATTAGATTTTTTCCTATACAGTTGTTTGAGCTCCTTATATATTCTAGTTATTAATCCCTTGTCAGATGGGTAGTTTGAAAATATTTTCTCTCATCCTGTGGGGTGTCTCTCCACTTTGTTGATTGTATTCTTTGCTATTCAGAAGCTTTTTAACTTGATATGATCCCATTTGTCCGTTTTTGCTTTGGTTTCCTGTGCTTGTGTGGTATTGCTGAAGAAACTTTTGCCCAGACTAATGTCCTGGACACTTTCTTTAAAATTTTTGTAGAAGTTTTATAGCTTGAGGTCTTAGATTTAAGTCTTTAATTCATTTTGATTTATGTATATGGCAAGAGACAGGGGCACATTCTTCTGCATATGGATGTCCGGTTTTCCGAGAGCCATTTATTGAAGAGACTATCATTTCCCTAGTGGTACATTTGTTGAAAATGAGTATACTGTAGGTGTATGGATTTGTTTCTGGTTTCTCTATTCTGTTACTTTGGTCTATGTGTCTATTTTTTGCCAGTGCCATGTTGTTTTGGTTACTAAAGCTTTGTAGTATAATTTGAAGTCAGGTAATGTAATGTAATTTCTCCAGTTTTGTTCTTTTTGCTTGGGATAGCTTTAGCTATTCTTGGTGCTTTGTGGTTCCACATAAATGTTAGCATAGTTTTCTCTATTTCTGTAAAGAATGTCATTGGTATTTTGATAGGGATTACACTGAATCTGTAGATTGCTTTGGGCAGTATGGGCATTTTAATAATATTGATTCTTCTAATCCATGAACATTGAATTTTTTTCTAGTTTTTTGGTGTTCTCTTCAAAAGTGTTTTATGGTTTCTATTATAGACATCTTTCACTTCTTTGTTGTAATGTATTATAAATATTTTTTAATTATTTGATTTATTATAGAGATCTTTCACTTCTTTGTTTATTTAATTTTCTGTGTGGCTGTTGTAAATAGGATTGCTTTTAAAATTTCTTTTTTGTACTGTTCACTGTTGACATATAGAAATGTCCTGATTTGGGTATGTTTATTTTGTATCCTGCCACTTTACTGAATTTTTATAGTTTTCTTGTGCAGTCATTAGATTTTTTTTCAAATATAAGATCATATTATCTGAAAACAGGGATCATTTGACTTCTTCCTTTTCAACATGGTTACATTTTATATCTTTCTCTTATTTGATGCTCTAGCTAGGACTACTAGTACTATGTTGAATAACAGTAATGACAGTGGGCATTCTTGTCATTCAGTTTTCCCCATTCAGTATGATACTAACCATGGATGTGTCATATATGGCTTTTATTATGTTGAGGTTAAGATGTCTATGTTCTAATCCCTAGAACCTGTGAATATGTTTCCTTACATAGCAGAAGGGACTTTGCAAATGTGATTAAGTTAAGAGACTTGAGATAGGTAGACTACCCTATTTTTGTGGACTCAATTTTATCACAATGCAGTAGACTCACAATCGAAGAGAAATTTTAAAATGTTATAATGCTGTATTTGAAGTTGGAAGAAGGCCATGAACCAAGGAATGCTGATGGACTCTAGAAGGTGAATAAAGCAAAGAAGCTAATTTTTCCTTAGAGTCTCTAGAAGGAATGCAGCCCTGGCCACAATGATATGAGCTCAGTAAGACCAATTTTGTACTTCTGACCTTCAGAACTGTAAGATAATAAATTTGGGCTGTTTTAGTCTGTTAAATTTGTGATAATTTGTCATAGAATCATAGGAAACAAATATGAAATAATATTTTTGTCTTTTTTTGGGGAAATGATTATTGTGGTAGAATACACAAAAAGAAAAATGTACATGTTATCACAAACAAAACAGAAAAAAAGACCAGGACACTGAACATTCCCAACACCATAGAAGATTAATCCATGACTCATATCAACATTTGACCCAATAGATTCAGTTTGCCTTTTTTAACTTTATATAAATGAAATGAGAGTATGTAATATTTTGTCCTAACGTTACATCCCACGTAATGCCTGTAATTTTTTTCCATATGTATCTGTATAGTTGTAGATTATTCAGTGTTCAGTTCTGTATTTTGTAGCTCTGTGTTATGATACAGAAATGTATCAATTTTATTGTTAATATTCATCTAAGTGTTTTTGTTTTTGAAAAGTTAAAAATAGTACTATTGTGAGAACACTTGTCTTTGGGGATCATGTACACATGTATGTTGCATATATGTTTACTGAAATATACTGGAAGTAAAAGAATGTTGCGTTAAAAGATATACACATATTCAACTTCAATAAATTTTGCCAGTGATATATTCAACATAAAAGATGGCTATAAATTCTTTGACACACCTTCTATTTTTAGGAGGGGTATATTATTTCCCGTTCCCGTGAATCTGGGCAGGATCTGTGACTTTCTAAGAATAGAATATGGTAGAATCAATTTGTACCTATTTCTGGGCTGAGGCCCTAAGGCACTGGGTGCTTCTACATCTACTCTGAAAATATTTGCTTATAATTGTATTCCCTTTGGGACTCAGCCACAGTACTTGGAGAAACCCAAGGCATATGGAGAAACCACATGTAGGCACTGTTGTTAACAGCTCCCAGCATCAACTGCTAACTGGCTACTAGCATCCCAATCCTAGTGCTAGACATGTGAGTAAGAAAGTGATCCAGAAAGTAGATCCTCCAGCCCTAGCCAGCCCACTTAACACTATGGAGTTTAGAGGAAAATACTCTAGTCAAAGTTTCCCCAAATTTATGACCCACAAAATAATTTCGTTGGTTTAAGCCACTAAATGATAAGGTAGTTTATTACTTAGTAATATAAAACCGAAACAGAAATTTGGTACATAAAAGTGAAGTACTACACACCAGTAACTTAAGATGTATGACATTGGCTTTCAAGCTAGGCAGTGAGCAGAGGCTGGAAGGGTTTTGGCAAGATTGTGTGTGAAAGCTAGGAGATCCTCAAGAATGCTTAATGACTTGAAAGACAGTAAGAAGATGTTGAATGCTAGAGGAAAGGTATAACTTTCATGTAGTAGGGGCAAATTTGGCAACAATGTCACCTGTGGGAATATGGAAAATATAAAGACTGTCTAATTAAGCAGCCAATTTAGCAGGAGAGATTTTTTAGGAACAACATAGAAAGTGGCATCTGACTTTTACTAGCTGCCTATGATATAACCCAGGGAAAGATAGATAAATTTTAAAAAGAACCGTTGCAATTTTGAGTAGCATTTAGGAGAAATATTAAAAAGCAGAAAATTCTAAATTTGAAAATGAAACTTTCTCATTTCTAGGCTCTTTCCGTAAAAGATTCTTAAAGTATGAAATAACTTTAAGTAAGATTACATCTGTGACTAGACTCTTTTATCCTACATAAATTCCTCAGAATAATTCCAGGCAGATAACTTGTCTCTTTAGTTCACAGATCTTTAGAGCTAAGAATAACTGCCCCTGAGAAATATAATTCATTCCTGAACCTGATTTATATGATGAGATCTTGGAACTTAAGCCTAATCCTGTTCGACTAATGGGTTAAACATTTTAGAGTCTTGGAAATGGGGCATTCTGTATGTGTCAGGAATGTAAATAATTTGTGGCTCAGGTGCAGATTTTATTGGTCTGCATACAGCTACAAATTTTTTCATATTCCTCTTATCTAGCAGTGGGCCCTCTTTCTCTCGATCTGCAATATGTACAGGCTTTATGAGTCCTTTGCCCAGTAGAATGTGTCAGAATTGATGCTATATCAATTTCCAGGGCTAAACCTACTTCTTGTCTCTTGAAATTGTTGACTCTGAGAAGCCAGCTTTCATGACATGAGAACAATGTGTAGGGGCTCCAGTAACAGCCACAGCTCTTCACAGAGTGGTTCTTAGCTTTCTACAATTTTAGATAATTTCATTTTTAAAAAGTCTAATTTTAATGCATTCAAAAACATGATTATGAAACTGGAAACTGTGAGTTCTACATCAGTTTGGTCATAATGAGGTGTAGCAGACACTGCTAATTACTCAATTCCTCAATATTAATTTTATATTCCTTCTTTATAACTTAACCCTGACACTTTCAGGGCAGCAAGAGCTGAACTTAATTTCCAAGGTTTCCTGTTAGTTACAGGGATATGATATGGCTGTGGCCTGTGATATGTAGATGTTAATGGCTGACAAAGAGTTAATAAAAATAATGTCTCATAGAAAAACATGCTGTGTTCATGTATTGGGAGACTTAATATTGACAAAATGAAAATACTACCCAAAGTGATCAGAAGACAAAATGCAGTCTCAATAAAAACCTTGAAATGTTATTTTGTTGTTGTTGTTGCAGATTTAAAAAAGCTGATCTGTAAGAGATCCAGAATACACACTGCAATGTTGAAGAAAAATCAAAATTGGAGGACTAACACTTTCCAATTTCAAAGCTTACTGCAAAGCTACTGTAATATAAACAGTAGGGTGTTGGTGTAATAATAGACATATAGAATAATGGAATAGAATTGAGAGGCCATACATAATCCCATGCCCTATGTTCAATTGATTTTTATCATGGATGCGAAGACCAGCCAATGGGGAAAGGAGAATCTCTTCAACAAATGCTGTTTGATCAACTGTATATCCACATGTAAAATATTGAAGGTGGATGCTGCCTGTCCTACAGTAAACAGACAAATCAACTCAAAATACATCAAACAACTAATTGTAACTGCTAAAACTATACAATTTCATAGAAATTAAATTGGACTTCATAAAAATTAAAAAAATTTGTGTATCAAAGATAATATCGAGGATGTAAGAAGTCAACCTTTGAAATGGAAGAAATATTTGAAAATTATATACCTGATAAGTGTCTAATATCCAGAATACATAAAGAACTCTTACAACTCAACAACAAAAGAACTCTTACAACTTAAAAACAAAAGAGCAGACAATTCAATTTAAAAATGGGTGAAAGACTTGAATAAACATTTCTCCAAAGAAATTATGCAAATGACTAACAAACATATAAAAAGATGCTCAACATCATTATTTAGTAGAATAATGGAAATCAAAACCACAATGAGATACCACTTCACATTCATGGCTATAAATTATTTAATGAAAAATAGCAGTAACCGGCAAAGATGTGAAAAAATAATACCCATCATTATTGCTGATTGGCATGTAAAATGTCGTAGTCTCTTTGGAAAATAGTTTGTTACTGGCTCAAAAAGTTAAACATAGAATTATCTATGAGCCAGAAATTCTATTCCTGTGTATATAGCCCCCCAAAATTGAAAACAGGTATTTAAACAAATACTTGTATGAGTGATTATAACAGCACTATTCTCAATAGCCCAAAGGTAGAAACACATTAAATGTCCATCAGCAGATGAATGGAAAAAAAATGGGTTATAGCCATACAATTGAATTTTAGGTAGTCATAAAAAAGGAGTGAAGTAGGCCAGACGCGGTAGCTCACGCCTGTAATCGCGGCACTTTAGGAGGCCGAGGCGGGCGGATCACGAGGTCAGGAGATTGAGACCATCCTGGTTAACACGGTGAAACGCCCTCTCTACTAAAAATACAAAAAATTAGCTGGGAGTGGTGGCGGGCGCCCGTAGTCCCAGCTACTCGGAGGCTGAGGCAGGAGAATGGCGTGAACCCGGGAGGCGGAGCTTGCAGTGAGCCGAGATCATGCCACTGCACTCCATCCAGCCTGGGCCACAGAGTGAGACTCCGTCAAAAAAAAAAAAAAAAAAAAAAGAAAAAGGAGTGAAGTACTAATACATACCACAATGTGACTCAACCTTAAAGACATTATGCTAAGTGAAATAAGTTAGACACAAAAGACAAAGTATGTAATTCTATATGTATGAAATATCCAGAACAGATGAATGCATAGAGATAGAAAACAGATTAGTATTTTCCATGGGTTGGGAAGTAACCGCTTAATTGGTACAGGGCTTTCTTTTGTGATGGTGAAAATGTTTTAGAACTAGATAGAGATGATGATCGCACAACATTGTGAATGCACTATAAGTTACTGAACTGTACATTTAAAAATAGTGAATTTTATGTAACAAGAGTTTTACCTTGATCTAAAAAGTAATAAGAGGCACATACACAAATATGATTAATATGCCTTAAAGAGACATGCTTTGAGTTTCTTTTTATTTTTTTCCAGTAATGCGTATGCAATGCCTGGAGCTGCAGTAGTCATTTTGAGACCTTGAAAGTCGCTGGGCGCACGGGCTCACGCCTGTTGAAATCAGCATTCAAAACTGAGTGCCTATGTTTATTTTAACATGAAAATGAGTTAACTTTTTTGTAGGTCCTTAGAGACCTACAAAGAGACTTAGACTCCCACACAATAATAATGGGAGACTTTAACACCCCACTGTCAACATTAGACAGATCAACGAGACAGAAAGTTAACAGGGATATCCAGGAATTGAACTCAGCTCTGCACCAAGCGGACCCAATAGACATCTACAGAACTCTCCACCACAAATCAACAGAATACACATTCTTTTCAGCGCCACACCATACCTATTCCAAAATTGACCACATAGTTGGAAGTAAAGCACTCCTTAGCAAATGTAAAAGAACAGAAATTATAACAAACTGTCTCTCAGACCACAGTGCAATCAAACTAGAACTCAGGATTAAGAAACTCACTCAAAACCGCTCAACTACATGGAAACTGAACAACCTGCTCCTGAATGACTACTGGGTACATAACGAAATGAAGGCAGAAATAAAGATGTTCTTTGAAACCAACAAGAAAAAACACACAACATACCATAATCTCTGGGACACATTCAAAGCAGTGTGTAGAGGGAAATTTATAGCACTAAATGCCCACAAGAGAAAGCAGGAAAGATCTAAAATTGACACCCTAGTATCACAATTAAAAGAACCAGAGAAGCAAGAGCAAACACATTCAAAAGCTAGCAGAAGCCAATAAATAACTAAGATCAGAGCAGGACTGAAGGAAATAGAGTCACAAAAAAACCCTTCAAAACATCAATGAATCCAGGAGCTGGTTTTTTTTTAAAAGATCAACAAAATTGATAGATCGCTAGCAATACTAATAAAGAAGAAAAGAGAGAAGAATCAAATAGACACAATAAAAAATGAAAAAGGGGATATCACCACTGATCCGACAGAAATACAAACTACCATCAGAGAATACTATAAACACCTCTACGCAAATAAACTAGAAAATCTAGAAGAAATGGATAAATTCCTTGACACATACACTCTCCCAAGACTAAACCAGGAAGAAGTTGAATCTCTGAATAGACCAATAACAGGCTCTGAAATTGAGGCAATAATTAATAGCCTACTAACCAAAAAAAATCCAGGACCAGATGGATTCACAGCCGAATTCTACCAGAGGTACAAGGAGGAGCCGGTACCATTCCTTCTGAAACTATTCCAATCAATAGAAAAAGAGGGAATCCTCCCTAACTCATTTTATGAGGCCAGCATCATCCTGATACCAAAGCCTGGCAGAGACACAACAAAAAAAGAGAATTTTAGACCAATATCCTTGATGAACATTGATGCAAAAATCCTCAATAAAATACTGGCAAATCAAATCCAGCAGCACATCAAAAACCTTATCCACCATGATCAAGTGGGCTTCATCCCTGGGATGCAAGGCTGGTTCAACATATACAAATCAATAAACGTAATCCAGCATATAAACAGAACCAATGACAAAAACCACATGATCATCTCAATAGATGCAGAAAAGGCCTTTGACAAAATTCAACAGCCCTTCATGCTAAAAACTCAATAAATTAGGTATTAATGGGACGTATCTCAAAATAATAAGAGCTACCTATGAGGAACCCACAGCCAATATCATACTGAATGGGCAAAAACTGGGAGCATTCCCTTTGAAAACTGGCCCAAGATAGGAATGCCCTCTCTCACCACTCCTATTCAAAATAGTGTTGGAAGTTCTGGCCAGGGCAATCAGGCAGGAGAATGAAATAAAGGGTATTCAATTAGGAAAAGAGAAAGTCAAATTGTCCCTGTTTGCAGATGACATGACTGTATATCTAGAAAACCCCATCGTCTCAGCCCAAAATCTCCTTAAACTGATAAGCAACTTCAGGAAAGTCTCAGCATACAAAAATCAATGTGCAAAAATCACAAGCATTCTTATACACCAATAAAAGAAAAACAGAGAGCCAAATCATGAGTGAACTCCCATTCACAATTGCTTCAAAGAGAATAAAATACCTAAGAATCCAACTTACAATGGATGTGAAGGACCTCTTCAAGGAGAACTACAAACCACTGCTCAATGAAATAAAAGAGGATACAAACAAATGGAAGAACATTCCATGCTCATGGGTAGGAAGAATCAATATCGTGAAAATGGCCATACTGCCCAAGGTAATTTATAGATTCCATACCATCCCCATCAAGCTAACAATGACTTTCCTCACAGAATTGGAAAAAACTTTAAAATTCATATGGAACCAAAAAAGAGCCCACATTGCCAAGTCAATCCTAAGCCAAAAGAACAAAGCTGGAGGCATCACGCTACCTGACTTCAAACTATACTACAAGGCTACAGTAACCAAAACAGCATGGTACTGGTACCAAAACAGAGATATAGACCAATGGAACAGAACACAGCCCACAGAAATAATGCCACATGTCTACAACTATCTGATCTTTGAGAAACCTGACAAAAACAAGAAATGGGGAAAAGATTCCCTATTTAATAAATGGTGCTGGGTAAACTGGCTAGCCATATGTAGAAAGCTGAAACTGGATCCCTTCCTTAAACCTTATACAAAAATTAATTCAAGATGGATTAAAGACTTACATGTTAGACCTAAAACCATTAAAACGCTAGAAGAAAACCTAGGCAATACCATTCAGGACATAGGCATGGGCAAGGACTTCATGTCTTAAAACACCAAAAGCAATGGCAACAAAAGCCAAAATTGACAAACGGGATCTAATTAAACTAAAGAGCCTCTGCACAGCAAAAGAAACTACCATCAGAGTGAACAGGCAACCTACAGAATAGGAGAAAATTTTTGCAATACACTCATCTGATAAAGGGCTAATATCCAGAATCTACAATGAACTCAAACAAATTTATAAGAAAAAAGCAAACAACCCCATCAACAAGTGGGCAAAGGATATGAACAGACACTTCTCAAAAGAAGACATTTATGCAGCCAAAAGACACATGAAAAAATGCTCATCATCACTGGCCATCAGAGAAATGCAAATCAAAACCACAATGAGATACCATCTCACACCAGTTAGAATGGTGATCATTAAAAAGTCAGGAAACAACAGGTGCTGGAGAGGATGTGGAGAAATAGGAACACTTTTACACTGTTGGTGGGACTATAAACTAGTTCAACCATTGTGGAAGTCAGTGTGGCGATTTCTCAGGGATCTAGAAGTAGAAATACCATTTGACCCAGCTATCCCATTACTGGGTATATACCCAAAGGATTATAAAACATGCTGCTATAAAGACTCATGCACACATGTGTTTATTGCAGCACTATTCACAATAGCAAAGGCTTGGAACCAATCCAAATGTCCAACAAGGATAGACTGGATTAAGAAAATGTGGCACATATACACCATGGAATACTATACAGCCATAAAAAAGGATGAGTTCATGTCCTTTGTGGGAACATGGATGAAGCTGGAAACCATCATTCTCAGCAAACTATCGCAAGGACTAAAAACCAAACACCGCATGTTCTCACTCATAGGTGGGAATTAAACAATGAGAACACATGGACACAGGAAGGGGAACATCACACACCAGGGACTGTTGTGGGGTGGGGGGAGGGGGGAGGGATGGCATTAGGAGATATACCTAATGTTAAATGACGAGTTAATGGGTGCAGCACACCAGCATGGCACATGTATACCTATGTAACAAACCTGCACGTTGTGCACATGTACCCTAAAGCTTAAAGTAAAAAGAAAAAAAAAATAAAAGAAATACTACCTCCACCGGGTGATGAAGGCAACCAGCGTTTGCATGGATGGTCAGAAATAGATTTGACTTGAAAGGATTAAATAATGTTGAGGTGGTGAGTCAAACCACTTAATTTCCCTAAAAAAAGTTTTATTTCACTCTATTAATATTTTAGGTGTACAAATTTTGGCAATTTAAAACATCTGTCTGTTTTCATACATTTCTATGCTTCTAAGTTGTTTGACATCAAATATTATGTATTTTTTATTGTTCTCTCTCCACATCTATTTGGGGTCACCAGATTTAGCAAATTTAAAATACAGAACATCCCCTTAAATGTGATTTTTAGATAAACAAGAAAAGTAAGTTCTTAGTATAAGCGTGTCCTAAATATTGTAAGGGTCACATATCCTCTGAAAACATATTTGTTGTTTATGTAAAATTCAAATTTAACTGGGCATTTCATATCATATGTGACAATCCTAACTATTGAAGTGCCTGAAATATAACAGGCATTCTGCATTTTTGTTTAGTAAATGAATAAATGAATATGCCATTCCAACCCAAACTCATGTGCTGTCACTGTCCTTGGTATTGCAATGTTAATTTACATTTTTGTGTTTTAGCACTTTCCCCTCTTTTTTCTTCCTCTCTTTTGTGACTCTGTTGTCTCCAATGTCTCTCAAATGATGGTTAATCACCTTACTATTACCTCTTTCAGGACATGTTTCATAACTATTTAAATATATTTTATCGAATATTGTAACACATTATTGTTTATTTAATCCAGGATAATGCCTATAAACTATTTTACCACCTAATGGCTGTATTTTTTAATTTTACTGAATTTTAGAAATATACTTTAATAATATAATTATATAAGAAATATAGAGGCTTTAATGAACTATATAAAATGAGAAAGACATGTATATTAGATTGCCGTGGGATATTTTCATTTTTAGACTCATTTCAGCTCATATAATATGAGAAGGACCAAGCTGAAATTCCAATACTTTTTTATGGTTGCCAGTAGAGTCAACAAAATGCAACTTCCCTGCTTCTACACCCCAATAGCACACAATCCAGTTGGTTTATACCCAAATTAGAACCACCATACCATGTCAGGAAAAGATAAGCACTTTCAATATGCTTGTCATGTCAATTAATCCAGTATCCCATTAATAAGCTACTGATGTGGATTCAATTGCATCACAAGTAACACAACTACCATGTTTTCTGTTAACATCCTTCTAAAGTTTCTTTAAACTAGAATTTTTATTTCCCTGGATGAGGTTTTTATTCAAAACTTTCCTGTGAAAATTTGCTCAACATGGTACTTATTATAAAAATTCTCAGAGGCAAGATGTTTTTATTCTTGTTTTATAGAAAAAGAATCATGGAAACTAGTATTTGTGGGATATTTTTGATACAGAGCTTCAGGAAACGTTGGAAGTGGAGTATTTGTGTTAATTTTGGTCAAAAACACAATGTAAGACAAAATTTGTTATTCAAGATCTTACCTTTGAACAACCTTGGCCAAATATACACAAAGTCAACTAAAGAATCCCGCATATATATTTCATCGTGACATATGAAGGTTCAGGTTATTTTAGAGAACTCTCAACAGTGAAAGGCACCAGAGCCTCAGGCCTAAACCCCTTGAAAATCTTACCGTTGACTCAAGATATAATAGTTTCATCTCAGTAACAGAACCTGAACTATCATGTCTTTTAACTTTTACAAACTCTGGCTCTTCAACAAGTATGTCTTAATATATTTGGCAGTTAGAAGGTGTCTTTTGAAAACAGTCATCTTTTCTCTTCCAGAATAACAAGAGAAAGAAAAAGAAAAGTGTTCAAAAAATGCCCAAATATATTAGGTTTAAAACTCTTCAGTTTTTAAATTTCTTTGTAAAATTTCAGCTGATTTCAAAGTCACAATGTCAGCAAATGTCACAATTAACCCAATCCCAAGGCTTTGATATAGTTCATCAAAATGTTTCTTACATATGGATAGATCCAATGTATTATCTGCTCTAAATACAACTCCTAGAGAAATGTAAACTGGAGAAATTACTTACACGTTTTCTCTGTTACTTAATAAAGCCTATATTTAAATGATTACAACAGATAATAGAGCATAGAAGGCCATAGTAGTGGATGATCCGAAACTTCGCTTCTATTTGTAGCATACAGAAAGCATCAGGTCAATAGTCTAAGATGACTTCTCAGATGAACCTCTCCCCTCCCTACCGCTTTACAAATGAGACACTTTCAGGTTGATTAAAAGGCCGATCACATCAGCAATATGCTTAGAACTAGACTGACTGACAAAAAGATGAGTCAGCTTAAAAAGACAGTTTTATATAGATGCCAAATTTATGCCATTACAGTTTTACTCAGTAAATTTTAATTTACAGTACATTTGCTACTAACCTTCACTTCCACTATTTGTGAAGTTCTGTTGTCCTCTGACTGTTGCCCAGACAACCACAGTGTGCAAAACCTATTACAAAGTACAAACAAAATGCCTGAGTCAGCTTGTGTGTGCAACCATGTGGATGTGCTTCTATAGGTCTATGTCTCTCTGGTTTCCTCCTTTCTAATATAAATACTCAATTTGTTTCTGGATTGCTGTCTCCTTGGGGTGTCAGTGCTCATGCTTGCAGGACGATTACTGTGGGATGGCAAGCAAAGTTTTAAGAGAGAGCAAAACATTAAATCGAACAACTGTAACCAAATTAACTCTTTAGTGATATGTCCCTCTTTTGTGACAACATGTTTTTGGTTAACTGATCTATAAGAAAATGCCAACTCACTTGAGAAGAATTCAAACTGGCTAGACACTAGGGGATGATACAATAAAGCTCCCTGTTTTTTTTTTTTTTTTACTTCCATGTAATGCATCTTCTCCTGATCCCTTGTAAAATACAAAGGTGCATATGCCAGCAAAAACTAATTCTGAAATACTTAGCTCTCCATATGGTAAACCAAATGTAATTGATTTTCACCATTCGTAACTCCCTATCCGCTAGTGTTATGTAAGAAATTGAAAATGCCTTCTCACTACAACAATAACTAGGAAATTTTAATTAAAAATACCAGCAACTTTAATGTGTTCTTTGTTGGCATTTGGTTTTTAATGGGACTTCTCTATTATGTACATTATTACAAAAGGAGAGGGAGTAAACCAAAGAAGCATGAAGATGTCTCTCCTTTTCCTCCTCGTGATGTTTTTCTTTTAGAATTTTAGCCTCCAGGAATTTGAACTCCTAATTGTTAAGTACTGAACTATATATTTCTCCCTTTAGCTTCCTTCTGTCCTGAATAGTTGGATAATTTTATCTCCTACTCAGTATTCAAAGAAATGTAAAACAGAACACCCTCCGCTTTAGTGCCATAGAATGTAATCCTACAGAAAATGTAGTTAAAATGCTTTTAATCAACTGCTAATTGACTGAACTAAGTTTTGCCAGCACTAAAACTAAATCCTAATCTTAACATAGGTATGCATATTAGTCAGGAATCTTTCATTTCCACGGGACATTAACTTATCTCAAATTAGCTTCAGCCTAAATGAGTATTAGTGGGTTTGCATAATCATGAAGAATAAGGATACATTCTGGAAATATTTAAATCAAAGACCTTGATGTCTCCAGGCATTTTACTTTTCTTCTTTTCCTCACATTCTTTTTTCTCTGCATGCGAAATTTCCTTCCTTTCTCTTGCTGAATAGGATGTTCTACTGGTCAACATGCAGAAAAGAGAAGATGGGTAAAACTCTTGATAAAACAGGCAATGCAGTTAACTTCTTCCACTCAAAGTGAGAGAGAGAGATGATAATTAACCTTTGCTGGATTATGTGGCAACTCTGAATCAATCATGGTAGCCACTGGAATAAAGTACTATCATCAGGCCAGCCTAGGTCACTGTATAATAAATAGTATAACAAAGTGAGTGACAGGTTTTTAGAGAAAGTAAATCACAGTGCCATGTAGTAATCATGACAAAGTTAGCACAGAGAATAAATTGCTTAGGGAAAGACACTGCGCAGAAAGACATTTTTGACCTAGTCTAAAATATAAACGGGAGTCTTGTCAAATAAACAGAAAATGGGGAGTGTTCTGAGATAGGGTACCCTCTGCAAAGGCCTGGAGGTGAAAAATCATGGCATATATATATATTTTTTAAATATTTCTTATGATTTACAACACATTGAGAGTGTTGTTTTTATTTTTTTTAGCGATACAATTTGTATAGGAGTGGAAAAGATTTACTTGAAACAATGAACATCAGTGGGACATCACTTACGGTAATGTTACTTAGCTTAATATTTCAATATGCTTCACAATATAATGTCATACAAGTTCTAGCGTTTTACTTAACCCAGTAAACCAGTTTTAGACCTATCACATGCAAATATGAGTGTATTATTTTATATGAGACATGATCTTTCCTTCAAACAGAATGTACAGAAAATGATATTAACATATCATACTAAAATGATTTTTGAAAGTAAACTATTCTTAAAATGTTACTAAATATAATGATAGATATGACTTTAAAAGGAAAATCAGAGAGAAAGAGGCAGATAAGACATGAAAGATATAATCATTCTTGAGAGAGGAAAACATAGTTTGAGATGCAGATTTTTATATAGAGAATCTAAATCTAAAAGTAATTAGAAGGAAAAACTGAAAAGCTTAGAGATGGTTTGCATGTAAGCATGATGCAAAATTCAATTTGCAGCAGTAAATATTACAAACAAGCCAGGCAAAATGAGGCAAGGAGATTTTCTCCCTCAACAAATAAGAAACAAATCAAGCCATATTCCCAGAGGAAATTTCTATTACATCTTCAGTAATTCTGTATACCAAATACCATTTGCTTTTAGATCCACTATAAACCTGATAATTCTATTTGTCCTAGCTGTTATATTTTTCTTTAAATATCCTGAGTGGTTATTATGAAACTTTCCATAAAGACTTTAAGATAAGCTACCAGAAGAATAAGAGAGACTTTAGGGAATGTACATCTTTTTATTTATCTGGTAATATATAATATACCATCTCCAAAATTTCCATAGGAGGCTGCTAAAACATCAAAACCAAATTTGATTGTTACATATTTTGCCTTCTGATTATTTTTGTTGTTGTTTATATTGTTATTTTCCATTGATGTTTATTCTTTAAAATAGATTTTCATGAGCGGCTGAAATGACTGAGTCAATTATGATATTGTTAAATTGCTTTCCAAAAGCATTGTAAAGAATAGTTATGCCATCTTTGGATGTTAAAGCTAAAAAAATTACAAAAATAAAAAGTTACCATTGTGGACTGAATGCTTGTGTTTCCTCCAAATTCATATGTTGAAATCCTAACATCTCATGTGATGGTTTTGAGAGGTGGGACCTTTGGGAAGTGATTAGGTAATAAGGCTGGAGCCATTGTGAATGGGATTATGTCTTTAAAAGAAGACACAAAAGAAAGATGCTCTCTGCTCTCTGCCATGTAAGGAAATGATGAAAAGATGACTATTTGCAAACCAGGGAGCTGACCCTCACCAGACATCAGATCTACCAGCATTGATCTTGGACTTCTCAGCCTCCAGAACTGTGAGAAATACATTTCTGTTGTTGCAACCACCAAGTCATGATATTTTGTTATAGCAGCCAAAACTGGCTAAGACACTTACTAGCCAAGATATTTATTTGAAAAAAAAAAAAGGCAATTGCCTGGTCATATTTAGTTTTTAGGTAGATTGCTTATGGCAATGGGGAGTAGAGAGGTGGATCAGTTATGGGACGAAGTGAAAAAACCACAGGAGGGGGTTGCAAGCATGGCCCCACAGAGAAGTCTTCTTTCTGTAGATGTTCTATAAGGGTTTGCTGAGTGCTGTGCATGCTGAAGACAGTCATCACTGACTTGCAGGGCTTGGGAAGTCTCTCTGTAAGAGGCTTGGATGAGCCTTCATCATTCCAGAAATACTGACTGAACATAAGCTATATAGCAGTAGCTGTGTGAGATGATGGAGACACAAAAGCAAATAACCCTTAGGGGTTGTCCTCAAGTAGCTAAATTTAGTGGAGAACACTGAGATGCAGCCAGTTATTCTTGAAACAACATGTCTTGGATTGGTACAAGCAGGGTTAATTTCCAAAGTTTTGAAAAGGTTTAATTGAACAGTTTTTGCCAGTGCCTTTTTTTTTTCTTTCTTTCTTTTTCTTTTCTGGAGGATCACATTTTCAGAGTTCTTTCTGCTATGCTGGATGTAGAAAATCCAGTTCATTCTTGTATATTTCAAAAACACTAATGACATACATGACATTGACATTAAAAAACAATGTTGTCCTGTATTCTGATTCCATCTTTCTTTGAAGTTCCACAGATCATGACAAAAATGAAATGGAAATGTAGAAGTTCTAAAAGATTATACTCAGCATATACACACTTTTTCCCATAAAGTAAATAATTTGTCAGAAAAAACTCTGAATACATGGTTTATTTCCCAAAAAAGTAAGTAGCTAATATGATGTGATATTACACAATGTAAGGTAAGGAAAGGTTAGGTAAGGTAAAGTAATATAATAATATTTTGTTATTTATCTTGAAAAAGGCAGCATGTGGAGCTTCTGGTGCTCTGATCTGCTGCTTGAGAGTGGCCTGGGGCCTGGATGGGCACATCTGTTTGTGAGGGAACATCTTTCCATGGTCTGGGCTTGAAGTACATGCCTTTGTTCTGTTTAGGCACCTGCATCAGTGGCTCTCAGGCATGCCTCCAGGTTTCTGTATTTCAGGCCCCACGAAGTATGGGTCCGTCCACTGCAGTACAAAGTGGAGAGAGCAGCTACAAGGGTCATGAAGGTAGCTGAATGAACCTGCTGGCCGTGAGGGTGCCCACAGATCACCAGGGACTAGATCCTGTGCAAACTTTCTCTCTCATCTTGCTGTAAGTGAATTCTCTACCACTGGAGGCTGGTGTGCATGTTGTCTGGTTTCAGTGACCTTGAATCATGCTGGGCTTTTCCCTGGTGACACTTACCTGTATTTTAACCTTGGCCGTACTGCCTGGTCACCCAATGAACGGCGAAATTATATATATTTACTTCTTTAAAATAGCTTATAGTGTATTGGACCTGATGTAGTGTACATAAAGTTCCTAGCAGAAGTTCCAATGCATATTAAGAAAATCAATGTGTTAACTAATTTTATTTCCATTATTTCAGACAGAAACATACCTGAGCAGATGCTGCAAAATGTTTAGGAGTAAATATGATATATTAATGCATTAGTGTGGGCTTTTGAGACATTATTAAATTAAAATATCAACTTTAATAATACCTAGATATGCAATCTTTGTGGTTGCTTATTCTCCATTACTTATGTGTAATTGGGCATATATTGGTGATGACCTCATTCATTTATTATGAAGATACATGCAATAATACCCATGAAGTGCCTAATTTGCTTACTTAGTACTTAGTAATCACAAAATTAGTGTTAGCCATTATTATCTACTCTGTTCTAATTCCTTGAGCCTTCTGCATTCTCCCAGTGCTTTCTACTCCTATCATGAAATCTTTTGCTCTGCTAAGAAACGAATCTGTGTCATATGGAATATGAGAAGTACTGGATTATTTTTAAATTTTTTAGAGAGAAGACTCAAATCTGACTTGGAGTTAGACAGCTGAAGTAGTGTATAAATATTCCTTTTCACAAGTGAAGCAAGCATACATAATATTTTGCAATGTGTGCAGGATAGTAAAATACTAAATACTATATTTATAATTAAATTTTAGAATGTGATGGCACATAGTTTCATGATCATTTGATAGAATAATAAGACTACTGGAATAATTAGTCTCTTGTCTCATTGGCTTCTTAAAAGGTATGGTGAGGTTGTTAGATTATGTTCCCATGAAATCAGCTGGCTGCCAATAAGCAACTTTCTGAAGTTTCAGGTGATAATAAATTTTTGTTGTGGAGGGAAGTAAAACAATTTTTGAGCCTTAATAAATTGAAAGTAGAAGAATCTTCCAAATGGTCTTTAAATAAGATAAGAAATTCAAAGCCTGCTGGTGGGTTTATTGTAAAGCATGAATATTTAAGATCAAATCAATATAAAAAGCAAGTATTAACCTGTAGCAATCACAGCACCAGCTTTCCTTCCTTCAGAGAAAGAGAGAAAAGGAATTTTAAATACTTGATGATATGTCAAGCATATTCTTTTAAAATTAATATTGCCACTGTTAGTAGTTGTGATGTTGAGTTTTAATTTTCAAGTTAAAAGAATTTTACTGACTTGGGCTCTTGCCTAATACCTGTAAGATAAATACATCTATATCTAGCCATTTCTCTCTATATATGCAAATAGATAGATATATATGATGATAGATAATCTTTGTAACTATATCTGTCTATCATTTGCATACAGATATTAAGACTGAAATTGAGATTTTTATACAGTTGAAGTTGCCTGTTTTTTTTGTTTTGTTTTGTTTTTTTGAGACAGTCTGACTCTGTCACCCAGGCTGCAGTGCAATGGAATGATCTCAGCTCACTGCAACTTCCACCTCCAGGTTCAAACAATTCTCATGCCTCAGCCTCCTGAGCAGCTGGGATTATAGGCATGTGCCATCACACCTGACTAATTTTTTTTTCTTTTTGCATTTTTAGTAGAGACAAGGTTGCTCCACATTGGCCAGGCTGGTCCCGAACTCCTGGCCGCAAGTGTTCCACCTGTCTCAGCCTCCCAATGTGCTGAGATTATAGGCATGAGCCACTCCACCTGACCCAAAAGTTCAGTCCTAATTTTAATGATTTGTTTTTGTCTAAGTGAAACAAACCTTTCTTCCATGACGATTCGGCCATATGGTTACAGAAAGGGTTGCGTCTTCAATCATCCCCACAAAACTTGCTATATCTGTATGTCAGTATATCTGCATGAATCACATTGTCTAACCTAAATATTAAGGTTCATATATGCTTCTGGATAAGAGCAAAGACTCCTCTTTGTATGACATGCTCCTTCTTTACCTCGTTCTATGAAATAAGAATATTGTTTAATTAATTACCAGAAATATCATCATTGTAAACAATGTGAAGTAATTTATTAGCCTAGTAATACTGATTTTGATTAATTCAGTTCACAAAATCCTAACAATTCTAGAGCCTTGATAAGGTTTGGTTTCATATTGAATTGTAATCCCCATTGCTGGAGGTAGGGCCTGGTGGGAGGTGATTGGATAATGGGGGCGATTTCTCATGGTTTAACGCCACCCCCGCCTTAGTGCTGTTATAAGGATAGTGAGTTCTCATGAGAGGTAGTTGTTTGAAAGTGTGTGGTACCTCTGCCCTCTCTTCCTCCTGCTTGGGCTATGTGAAGTGCTCACTCACCCTTTGCTTCTCTTGTCATTGTAAGTTTCCTGAGGTCTCCCCAGAAGCCAAGCAGATGCTGCCATGCTTCCTGTACAGCCTGCAGAATCATGAGCCAATTAAACCTGTTTTCTTTATAAATTACCCAGGCCCAGGAGTTTCTTTATAGCGATGCATGAATGGACTAATACAAGCATTCAATATGCTTCTGCTTTGAAAATAAAATGAAGTTCAAGTGGAGCTTTGTTAATAGAAATGCTTTGGACTTCACAGAGGTGAACAGCTGTGCATGCCTAGAAGCAGATTGGTGTTCATGTCCTTATAAGTTAAAAAAAAAAAAAAAAAGTCCAGAGGTACAAGCTGAATGCTTTTGTATATTGACTCTTAACTCTCACTTCGCAGAATGAAGACCTTAAATTGTGGATCTCTGCAGATCCACTGCATCAGTTCTTACTTGAATCAACCTTGATTCTCTTATAATAGCTGCAAAAGCTACAATATGCGTTTGTTAAGAATTTGTTTTAGAATCTCGGTTAAATTTGTTTGCTTTATTCTTTTCTGTGAAAAGAATAAATTATCATCACATCCTTTTATCTTGCCTTCCTTTTCCTATAATTTCTTCTTATGTTTTTTTAAAAGGCAAGGAAGCATTAGGATAGTTATTAATTATGACTTTTCCCATGTTTCAAAAAAGGATACCTCTTTATATTAATCACTTCAAAAGAGATCTATGCATGCTCTATAGAGCTTTCAGTCTGTCTCCAGAATCACATACTTAAGTCATAAATCCTACCATCTTAATCTCTGAAGGAAGACAGAATGTATAGGTGTATTACTAAAATTCCTTTTATAGCTGACTTTCCTAGAAATAAATATGGCTGTCTACCCTAAACTTCCATTGCATGTTAATAAGTGTATTCTCTGACTTATCCATTTTAATTTTACAATATACAGTTGACTCCTGAATAATGCGGGGGTTAGGGGAACTGACACCCTGCACAATAAAAAAATCTATATATGACTTTTGACTTCTCAAAAACTTAACTACTAATAATCTACTGTTCACTGGAAGCTTTACCAGTAACATGGACAGCCAATTAACATGTTTCATATGTTTCATGTATTATACACTGTATTCTTACAATAAAGTAAGCTAAAGAATAGAAAATGCTACTGAGAATATCAAAGGAAGAAAAAATATATTTACTGTTTATTAAGTGGAAGTGAATCATCATTAAGGTTTCCATCATAATAGACTTACTGTTCACTAGGCTGAGGTGAATGAGGAAGAGTAGTTGGTCTTATTGTTTCAGGGGTGAAAGAGGTAGAAGAAAATTGGAGTATTAAGTGGACATAGCTTATACCTCAAGGCTCAATTATAGTTGTTTTTGTTGACTGAGAATCTTCCTGTACTTACTGTAGGTTTTATGCAGAAGTCATGGTAGACTTTTATTTGACACTCATTTTTACCAGGCACAACAACTTCAGCACTTCATGAATAAATGATGGATCAGATAAATGATCAACTTTACAATTTGATCTAGCACAATCAATTTATCTAGTACAAATTTAAAATTTGATCTAATACATTTACAATTCATCTATTATAAAGATGAAGCTTCAGAATTATATAACATACAGATCTTGCTAATTCATTTCCCTTTTATTAGAGTAATTGGGAATTTAGATTATAATTGATTTCAAAGATCTGTATTCTCCAGAGTGATCATTTCACTTGCCAATATTTCAAATAGGGCAGTCCTTTTGTTTTATTGTCATTTATACACGTAGACAATTGGAGGAATTTATGAAGGTTAATCAACATTACTGTTCATGTTAACATAATCCAAGATTCTTGGTTTCTTCAATTCTCACAGTAAGTATCACCATCTGGCTTTTTCATCAATTAGGTGCTCTCCTCAGACGTGTTGCTGGAACAATAGAAAGGAGTCTGATTGTGGAAAATATGCTTTTACTCATTCTCTGTGAACTGAGCCTGTTCAACATTGGAAGGTAAGTAGATATCTATATTAATTGAATAATAATTTTATATTACTTATGAAAATCTGAACTTCCAAAGACATCCATTTATACTTTCCCTAATCTTAGAGCATCATAACACATGCTAAAATCATAAATATTTTCTCTTTAATGTGACATGACAGGAATAATTGCAAAAATGCTTAAACTATTCACTGTCCTTTTAAATTATAACTTGACTGATTTTCTGAAAGACCCAGATAAAACAACTACATCAAGTTTAAAGGTATAATACTTTACTGATTAAGTAATGTAACAACAAGACATTGAGAAACCTAAGTATGAATTGAGAATTTATTATTTATTATGATTGATGCTAGAAAATGTATTCTATGCTTTCAGGCATATAACTCAAAATTTAAATTGTTTGCCTCCTGATATGGAATACTATTTATATCAATTTAATATTGTGAGTGTTCATTTTGTTGATTTTGATAAAAACTGTTTTCTAATGATGGCATTTAAAATATTCTGCTTATTTTACATCAATTACCTTAATTACTGGCTTAATTATTGAAAAATTATTTTTAAAAAATTTTAAAATGAAATTTTGGGCTAGAAATTACTTCTGTAAAATTCTATAGAAAGTTTTAATTTAGAAAATGACTTTGTGAGATGTAAAAAATATTATTTTGATTCTATAACCTCAAATTAATTATCTGCATGCTTTTTTTAGAGCATAAGTACTTTTCATTCAAAATGTTAAAACTTTAAATATCTGTTTTCCAGAGTATTGATACATTGAAAATACACTGGAAAGAAATAAGTAAAAATGATTTTATATAATTATATATTTGAGGAGACTTTAAACATATATGTTACATAACACACTTATAATATGGCATTTTCTATCTAAATCACATTCACTTAACTGTTAGCTGACAGGCCAAAAGGTTATAGTTAAATTCATTACTTATACTGTGTGGGGTAGTACTTGGTCTCAGGTAAATAAAAATGAATGAAGCATGAATGCTGGTCTCAAGGTTTTCACAGGCTGTAGTAGTAAGTGCATAGCTGAACTTTATATTATGTTTTTGGCTATTATCAAAGGCCTAATTAAGAAATGTTCAGATAAGACTATTTACATTTTTTTCTAGAAATTTGTCTTAAGAATTGTTACTCATTTTTTTAGTTTATATTATTTATAGTACAAAATCTTGTTAGACTTTATCATCTAGAAAATTGCAATCTTCTAATTATATTGTTTGTTACCCCCTGTTTTATGCTTAGACCTATGTTTTGTTTCCATGTGTTCTGTGGCTTCAAGGGATTTTAAAAGTAATCCTGAGATTCAATTCGTAAATGAATTAGCTTGTTTTTCTAAATCAGTATATCATTTTATTTCTTTAATTTTCTTGTTCCAGTGTCTTAATTTGAGCTTCTGCCAGAAATCCTTTTGGGAAGCAAATAAATAAATATATAGCATGTGATAGTTCAGTTAGATACACACAGCTACCTTACTTTACTTCAGTGTTATACAATGGAAAAATCTGGCTAGAATCAAAAGCACCAACAAATTAGAGATTCTCAGAAAGCACAGAAAAAAAAACTCATACATTCATATTTAGTAAGGACTTACAATATTGCAGGTACAGATAAATATGGCATAATCTCTTATCTCTACGGGCTATTAGCCAAATAAGAGAGAAAGAAGAATGGTTTAAGAGAGAATATTATTGAGACAAGGTATCTATATAAGAATAGAGAGGAAAGGCCTCCCTGAGGAGTTGCTGCCTCTGCTGCACTGTGAATAATAATAGAAGTTAGCTTCATGAGGATGAATAGAAACAGTGTCTTAAGAAGTAAAAATAATATTTCCAAGGTAAGGAATCCTTGGGGAAAAAAAGTGGTAAATAAAGTGCTTCCGAATAATTAAACCAAAATTAGCATTTTTAGAAAGGACAGTGTCTGAAGAGATAAATTTAAATAAAGAATTATGTACATATATGGAAGACCAAGCCAAATGTCACAGTACCAGAAAGTAACATTTGAGAGGGGAAACACTAACCCTCATATTGCACACCTGCATGCATTTCTTGACCCCCAAAACCTTTGTCTAAGTAGCATCTTGCAAAAATGTAAATTATGGCATTACATTTATGAGTTGCTCCTTACCGAAAATTTTCCTGTTCAGAGAGCTTTTCAGTAACTCACCTGATGTTCACTTAGTTGTAACAGAAGTTGTTATGAATAAAATCACAAATATCTGGATCTCTTATACTCTGAGACTTGCTGTTTCTATTTTACAATAATGATGCTATATTGAAAGCAACTTTAAAACCTCAGTGTCTTTCAACAACAAACCTTTATTTCTTGCTCATGATCTGTAGGTCAGTGGCAGTGTTTTTGCCAGACCATGTGGGACATGGGCTGTTCTCATGGTGAATCACAGGCCTTTAAGAGTTCAAGGCGGCCGGGTGCAGTGGCTCACGCCTGTAATCTCAGCAATTTTAAGGCCGAGGGGGGAGGATCACAAGGTCAGGAGATCGAGACCATCCTGGCTAACACGGTGAAACCCCGTCTCCACTAAAAATACAAAAAAAAAAAATTAGCTGGGCGTGGTGGCGGGCGCCTGTAGTCCCAGCTACTCAGGAGGCTGAGGCAGGAGAATGGCATGGCGTGAACCCGGGAGGCGGAGCTTGCAGTGAGCTGAGATTGCGCCACTGCACTCCAGCCTGGGCAACAGACAGAGCGAGACTCCATCTCAAAAAAAAAAAAAAAAGAAAAAAAAGAAAAAAAAAGACTTCAAGGCAACCCCCAAGCATATGTAAATTCTCTGTTTGAACATGAGATATGTCACTTCCATGACATTCATTTAGCCAAAGCAAGCTGTGTGTCGAACATTGACAGGGATAGGAATTACATCCTTCCACAAAGCAAAACAATGGCAGTATAAATATTTGCTGAAAAATATCGAACATTGACAGGGATAGGAATTACATCCTTCCACAAAGCAAAACAATGGCAGTATAAATATTTGCTGAAAAATAATAGGTTGTATCTAAATGACTTTGAATTTAAAAATCTGTAAATTCCAAGAAAACAATAACATGCAGCTAGAGGATACCGAATTGCATACAGGCTGTTCACATACAATGTAAGGTAAAAAGACAATTCAGAAGTATGTTGGAAAATGACAGATCAACTAAAATTCCTAGGTGTTGAAATGAACACCTAGATTCCAATTTCTGTTTCTTGGAAGAAGGTGCTTATAGATAAGCCATAAAGAGAAAAATATTAAACTGTGGTGTATTAGACTGTCCAGAAACCACTCCAAAATAAATATGGAGAAACAGAGCACTGAGAGGAAATGGATAGAAACATGAGGAGATAGAAAGAAGGCACCGTATGTCCAAGCCAGGAAGACACCCTCACTGGAATTAGGGCTCCTTCATCTGCTTTGAAACTGATTTTGTACCTCATTGGGAGGCAAAGCCTTTCTAGTGAGTAGTAAAAGCAGATATTGCTCAAACACTCCTCTGAATCTTTAGAGGAAAGTGCTGGCTGATTGTTGAATAATAGAGGAATATACAGGTTTATATAAAAGTTTTCCAGAGAACCAGAATCAATAGAATGTATACAGATATATAAAAGGGAATTTATTATTGGAATTGGCTCATGCAATTATGGATGCTGTAAAGTCCTACGATGTGCTTTTTGCAAACTGAGAATCAAGAAAGCTGGTGTTATAATTCTGTCTGAGTCTTAAGGCCTGAGAACCAGGGGAGTCAATAGTGTAACTCTTAGTCCCAGGCTGAAGGTCTAAGAACCAGGAACTCCAAAGTTCAAGGGCAGGCGAAGATGAATGTGACAGCTCAAGAAAAGGGCAAATGTGCCCTTCCTCTGCCTTTTTGTTCCGTGTGGGCCCTCAGTGAATTCGAGGATGGACAATCTCATTAGTGGGAGAGGATCTTCTTTCATAATCTCCTGATTTAAATGCTGATCTTTTTCAGAAACATCTTTAAAGACACACCCAGAAATAATGATTTAGCAGCTATCTGGGCATCCCTTAACCCTGTCAAGTCGACACATAAAATTAACCATCACAATGTTAGTCAATTCTAATTTGATAATTACAAATTTGTCCCTTATATTGATTGAGTAACTATCTCCACTTCACTAGTTAGAATAAACTAAAATTTCTGCTGGAATGATATATATGTATATATACATATACATATTTGTATACAACTGTTTTCATTTTCCAGACATTTAAAAAACTACTTTGTTGAGGTATGAGTGACAAACAGAAAGCTGTACATATTCAATGTATATACCTGGATGAGTATATGGATAAGTGTGCAACTGAGAGATCATCATCACTATCACTCAAAGTCCAGATATATTTTTCAAATGGATACTATTTGTAGCCAAATATATCCATGTACCTTTAATAGTAATAACATTTGTGAATAATTAAGAATATTTTCTAAAGTATTTCCTGAAGAATCCAAAAAGAAAATTTGTCACTAGTTTTAATCAGCAATTCCATAGACAGCATTACAACACCATAATATATATTGATTAATGAACAAGTGTAGAGTTGTAAGTATCTTGCCAGCAATTACATAGATGAAGTTATTTTACCCATGCTGAAATGTGTGAACAATTTGACTATAACTTTCATAATATATCTTTTGAATTACTAGTTAAGGGACCATAATAAGAGCTCTTATGTAGAATACTTGTTCTACTAAATTTCTAGGTGTTTATCCTTCTGTAAGGCATTTTAAGCCCTGTAAACCTGTTTCTCTATTTGTGAAATAGCCAAAATGTTAGCAATTGGCTACGTAAGGTTCTTAGAAAAATTAACTGTGACAGCCTATGGCAAGTGCTTACCAAAAAGCTTAGCAAATAATTGTTTAAAATAATGTTGATGGTAAAAGTAAATAATATAGTTTGACTATGTGTCCCCACCCAAATCTCATCTCCACCATGGTAAGATGTGCTTGCTTCCCTTTCACATTCCTCCATGATCATAAGTTTCCTGAGGTCTCATAGTCATGCTTCCTGTTAAGCCTGCAGACCTGTGAGTCAGTTAAAACTCTTTTCTTCATAAATGACCCAGTCTCAGGTAAAAAATGTATATAGCACTGTGAGAACAGACTAATACAGTAAACAAAAAATATCTTTTGAAAGCAGTTGATCTGCAAAGGTGGCATAGGCATTTTAAAAAGGGTATTTCCTAAATGTCCTGAAGCAAATCTTTATGCACAGTCTCTACTTCTATAATTTCGCAGCAGTCTATTGTTTCACCTGGATTTTTTTCTCTCATAACTTTCTGTAATAAAATACTGTTTTATCAGTTTCTATACACTTGTCTTTTAGTATCTTCAACTATATTTGTAACATCATTTTTTAAATATTTATGATGGGTATTTCTTTTTCTATCTGGCTTTATTGAAGTAGAATTAACCCCCAAAAAGTATATACTTAAGGTGTACAACTTGATATTTTGATATACATTGTGAAATAATTACCACAATTGAGCTCTTTAAAATATCTATCATCTCACATCTTTATTATTTTTTCCTTTATTTTCATTTTTGTTTGTTTTTTAGTGAGAACATTTGAGATGTATACTCTTAGCAAATTTCAAGTATATAATGGTGTTGTTAACTATAGTCACATTGCTGTGCATTAGATCCCCAGAAATTATGCATCTTGCATAACTGAAACTTTGTAGCCCTTGGCCAACATCTTCCCATTTCTCCCTCCCATAAAGACTCTGGCAACCACTATTCTACTCTTTGCTTATGTGAATTTAACTATTTTGGATTCCACATATAAATGAAATCATATAGTGTTTGTCTTTCTGTGTTTGGCTTATTTCACTTATTGTCACAAATGCCAGGATTTTGTAAATTTTTAAGGCTAAAAACTATCTTATTATGAAAAATATATATATATATACAGTCATTTGCCGCATAATGACATTTCTGCCAATGACAGTCCCCATATATGACAGTGGTCACGTAAGATTAAAATACCATATTTATACTGTATCCTTTCTATGTTTATATATGTTTAGGTACACAAATAGCATTGCGTTACAGTTGCTTACAATATTCAGTACAGTAACATGTCAAACAGCTTTTTAGCCTAGAAGTAATAGGTTCAACCATATAGCCTATGTACGTAGTAGGCTATACCATCTAGATTATTTAAGTATGCTCTATGGTGTTTGTACAACAAAATTTCCTAATGATGCATTTCTCAGAACGTATCCTTGTTGTTAAGCAACATGTGACTATCTTATTATTAGAATTAGTAGTTGGTGTAACCACTATCATCATCATCATTACTGGTTAATTTGGGTTTAAATTTTTTAATTAATTTTGACTTTTTGTAGGAAATTTTAAATTTTGCAAAAATATTTCAGTGCATTCGTAAACGACTTTTTTTCTGAAAATATTTTTATTTTTATGTATGTTAATAATATATCATTTTCATCTCTAACTTATAATTTGGCCTACTCATCTTTTTAAAATTCTGTAAACTTTTTTTTTTAGTTTCCAACATAAAACACTTAAAGTTACAGTGGCTGAGGGAGAGAGCAGTTACTTTCTTTTCAACATAGACTTTTGGTGGTGAGCACTCCACTACTGGCAATGGAGACTATATCACCACAAACGGCTAACTCCCTATATGTAATGACACCATCATTCTCTACATTTGAGGCAAAAGGAATCCTTAAGCCCTAAACATAATATCCACTTTTCCAACAGCAAGATAAAGTTTTGAACCTTCTCGTTAAAGCCATTTCCTGAAAGTTATACATACCCTGCCTTATCTTACCATCCAACCACAGCTGTTAGAGAGGTCAGGACAGACAATCCCTGTTGAAGTGGGAAGGTAATGCACTCAGCTAAAAATAATTGCTCTATTATTAAAGAAGAATGGAGAGTGTAAACAACTAGATGATATAGGAGTTAAGAAGGAATTACTTAGGCAGACAGCAAGGGCATGGGAATACTTGGTAAGGCCTTTCTTTTTAATGAAAAATAGCTCCAAATCATTTTTTAGCAAAGAGCAGCCTGCAAGCTGGGAGCTTGCATGAGTGAATGCTGGCAGGAACCAAGGACTAGACGTTTTCAAGATGGCGGCTCCATCTTCCCTTCTCTTTGTTAGCCAAGTGTACAGTAAGAAGCAGACAAGATGGCACCAATCAACTGGAAAGTCCACTTGCATAATAAGATTAGGGCAGGACAACCAGCCTTCCCCAAGCACTATGTAGACTTCATGCCTGATGGAACAAATCTGTGAGCCCTGTGTAATCAGATACTGCCTTATCCAGCTTGCCTTTAAAATCTGCAGAGATTCACAGCCTCCCACTTTTTCAGAGGTTTCTCTCTCATGCAAGGAGCTTCTCTCTTCTCTCATTTCTTCTATTAAACTTTCCACTCCTTAACCCACCCACATGTGTCTCTGTCCTGAATTCTTTCTCAACCATGAGAAAGAACCAGGGTATATACCCCAGACAGTGTAGCCGCTTCATAGAGAGTAAACAACAACTAGCTAGTTTTTTGGGAACAACTAGCAGTTTTTTCCAAAGTCACCTGCAAAGTTCGTTTATGCATTGTTACATTTTCTATGTTCTAGCTGATTAATTTATTAATCTTTATTATTCTATTTCTTCATTTTCTTTAAGAGATGTTGGACCTCTCAGCTGAAACCCTATAAGCCAGAAGAGACTGGAGGATCTATATTCAATGTTTTTAAAGAAAAAGATTTTCCAAGATTTTTTATATCAAGCCAAACTAAGCTTCCTAAGCAAAGGATAAATAAGATTATTTTCAAATAAGCAAATGTTGGGGGAGTTCGTTACCACCAGATCTGCCTTACAAGAGATCTTTAAAGGAGTACTAAATATAGAAAGAAAAACCATTATCAGCTAATACGAAAGCACATTTAAATACACAGACCAGTCACACTATAAAGCAACCACACAAACAAGCCAGCATAATAACCAGCTAACAACACAATGACAGTATCAAATCCACACACATCAATATGGACTTTGAATGTAAATGAAATGAAGTCCCCAGTAAAACTACACAGAATAGCAAGCTGGATAAAATAGCAAGACCCAAAAGTACTCTGCCTGTAATTCAGGCTCTTTGGGAGGCCAAGGTGAGAGGATTGCTTGAGGTCAGGAGTTCAAGACCAGCTGGGCAACATAGTGAGTGAGACCCTGTCTCTACAAAAATAAAAAATAAAATTAGCTGGGTATAGTGGCATGCACTGGTTGTAGCAGCTACCTGGAAGGCCAAGGCAGGAAGATTGCTTGAACCCAGGAGCTTGAGCCTGCAGTGACCCATATCACGCCATTGCACTCCAGCCTGCGACACAGTGTAAGAACCTGTCTCTTAAAAAAATAAAGAAAAAAACAACACAACATACATTCTCCTCATTACCTCATGGCACACACTCTAAAATTGACTACATAATTGGATATAAAACAATCCTTAGAAAATACAAAAAAAAACCCCACAAAATCATATCAGACACACTCTTGGACCACAGCTCAATAAAATAGAAGTCAAGACTAAGAAAATTGCTTAAAACCATGCAATTACGAGGAAATTAAACACACTCATGATTGACTTTTTGGTAAATAATGAAATTAAGGCAGAAATCAAGAATTTTTTTAATCTAATGAGAACAAAGATATAACACACCAGAAACTCTCAGAGGCAGCTAAGGCAGTGTTAAGGGGGAAACTCATAACACTAAATACCCACATTAAAAAGCTAGAAAGATGTCAAATTAACAACCTAACATCACAACAGAAAGAATTAGAGAAGCAAGAACAAATCAACCCCAAAACTAGCAGAAGACAAAAAATAACCAAAATCAGAGCTGAGCTGAAAGAATTGAGACACAAAAATCCATTCAAAAGATCAATGAATCAAGGAGTTGTTTTTTTGAAAAAAGTAATAAGCGAAACAGGCCACTAGCTAGAATAATAATAAGGAAAAGAGAGAATAGCCAAATAAATACAATTAGAAATGAAGGAGATAATACCATTGATCCCACAAAAATTAAAATAACCATCAGAAGCTACTGCAAACGCGTCTACAAATACACCTCTATGCACACAAACTAGAAAACTTAAAAGAGATGAATCAATTCCTGGATGCATACACTGTTCCAAAACTGAACCAGGAAAAAAATAATTCACTGAACAGATTAATAATAGGTTCTCTTTTAAATTATAATGTTGGCTTTTAAGTTTTTTCTTTTTAAAGTTTTTATAACAAATCAATTAGGACTAGGCTTTACTCTGGTATAGAGTTTTTCTTTTCATGTGTACTATTTTATTTTATTTTTATTTAAAATAGGTAAGTACCTTAAATACTTCCATAAATGCAAATATTTCTTTTTTTTTCTTTTTTTTTTTTTTTTTTTTGAGACGGAGTCTTACTCTGTCGCCCAGGCTGGAATGCAAATATTTCTTAGGGTAATAGGCTAGTTCTAGTGAGTTACTAAGTAAAATTTTAGTTGTAAGGAGTGGGACAAAGTAAGGAAAGGAGCACAGGGTTGCATATAAGCTCCCCACCACAGCACTGTTCACATACACTTGTTACCCAGCACATAGCTTCTTCTTTGAATGCATGAAACATTTTATAATATGATAATAAAAAATAATGAGCCATAAAACTGTCTAGAATGACATCTTTATATTTCTGTCTGTGATCTATCTATCTATCTATCTATTATCTATCATCTGTTATGGGTTGAATTGTGTGCCCCAAAAAATTATGTTGAAGTCCCAACTCTCAACACTTAAAATGTGATAGTAATTGGAAATAGGATTATTGCAAATGTAAATAGTTAAGATGAGGTCCTATTGGTGTCAGGTGGGACCTTACTCCAATAAGGACATCAGTCGTTATTCTTACAAAAAGAGAGATACATAGAGAGAGCACTGTGTGACAACAGAAGCAGAGATTGAAGTAACACATCTGAAAGCCAAGGAATACCGAAGATTGATGGCCACCAACAGAAGCTAGGAAGAAGCAAGAACAAATTCTACCTGGAGTCTTGGAGGAAGCATGACCCTACTGACATCTTGATTTCAGACTTCTAACTTCTAGAACTGAAACAGAATAAATTTTTGTTGTTTTAAAGCTACCTAGTCTGGAGTTCTTTCTATAGCAGCTCTAGGAAACTAATTACCTCCATCTGTATATGCACCTTTTCATATATCTATTTATAATCATCATTATCTCTACATCTGGACACATAAATCAGTTTGCCTAGGAGCAGATTTTGACAAGAAGTTTAATCTGAAGGTAACTTCTTAGGAAGTGTTCCTGGAAAACAACAAAACTCTGGGAAACTAGGACAGGAATAGAAGTAGTACAAATAAAGGACAATATCAAGCAGTGTCTTTCAGTAGGTAAAGTTGCCCCAATCCCAGAGAGGAAACTTAGTAGCTCACAGCCAGAATCAAGGGGAGTGTTTGTACCACTTCAATTGGTTAGTCATTTTTTAAGGCCTGTGGTGGGAGAGAGAAGGGTGATCACAAATTCCCAGGAAATGTTATCTCTCTACAAAAGTCCAAAGGGTGTTCTATCAGACTCAGGCCAACCTCCAACAAAGAGAAACAGATGCTAGTTGTTGGGAGTGAAAACACGGAGTCAAGTGTGACTAAAATGATGAAAGTAGCTGAGAGGCACTGCTAGAGCAGAGCACTGACAGTAAATACAATAGATATTTAGGTAATTTCTAAAAATGATCACAATGCTTCTTTCAAAATGATTCTTTATATTTCTCCAAATGACTGATCATTTACATTTATCCAAATTTAAGCCCATTGCTGATTTTCAAGAATAAATGTGAATTGCTTTTGTTCTTAATTAAAAACTATTTTCTAGGAAAAAGATTATAAAGTATTATAGATGCTCTTCTATCCTGACTTACTATGAGTCTACTTTACCATGAAATTCAGCCTTTGAATTATTATGAGTGAACCAGTTTGGTGCCTACAACTTAACATTATGATCACAGAAAAAAGAATAAAAGACTCTCACAATAAAAAGTAATCTTTGTGGCATTACTCTTTTAACACACTTTAAAGGTATATCCTCCAGTATGATTTGCTAAAGCTGACTCTCTAGAAATATCTCTCCTAGAATCTCTAGAATCTCTAAAACATCTCTTCTTTAAAATCCACTTTCTCTAAATGGGGTGTTATTTGGTGATTCTATGCTAATTACTAGAAGAAAACTAGAACCAACATAAATACATCTAACAAAAGTGCCCTTCACTAATTTGCATATGATAATGTGAAGAGTGTTCTTGAAGACATTAATATATATGTGTCACTATAGCATATACACATATTTTTCTTTAGTTGTAAACAATAAGATGACTGTCTTTCTAAAAATTTTACTATTTCACCTTTTCTCCTGTTGCAGTGCAACAGACATGTATGAGTGAAAGAAAAAGCATGACATAATAGATGCCAACCATATGTCTCACAAGTACTCAGTGAGAATAAATCTTGTTAAGTCAGCAAACCTTTCTCAGGTGACATTCACAAATTTAAAATTTGATCTTCAGCCATTTTTTAAAAAAAATCCTTGAAACAACCACTAAAACCTTTTCTTTTGAAATCTTACTAAATTAAATATAATTTAACATCTACTTTAGATCATCTATGTGTTTCTTCATTTTTAAAGGATGAAATAAGCAATTAAGCATTTCAATTCAATTTCTCTTCTTCTAAGTTAAACTAAGATAGTGTTCAACTAGATTTTAGCTGGGCAAATATTCTTCCACAAGGAATAGATTAATTCCATAAGTTCAAAAAATCTGATTAGGCTTACAAGCGTGCAACAAAATATAGAAACATTATACCTTTCTTTTGTGTGGGAAAACTCAAGTTGTAAATGTGAAGAACAGATATAATTGTAAGGAGGCAGAATAAGGACATGTTAGTAATACATGTATAATTCATTATACATGAATTTATTATATAAAAATTATATATAAAATTTAAGTTTGTATGCATAAAAATGGAAATTCCTAAAGCAAATATTAGACTTGTCATGTGACAAAAATTTACATGAGTTGTTAGCTAATTTGAAATAATGTTGACGCTTACAAAAAATGAGCCACAAACACATGAAAATTCACACCTAGAGAAGATAAAAGCATTTAGAATGACTAAATTTTTGGTTTATTGGTATCTTTTGCTTCACGCTGAGTTCTTTGTAAACTTTATCAGCAGAAGTCTGTATGTATGGCTTTGTTATATCAAGTGATTTTGAAGGGGAAGAATATTTCTGGTGATTTTCCAGTGACAATCATTTTTAAAAGGTGATTTAATGTGACAGAACTGATTTTTGATATATACAAATTACTTATGCTACATCCTAAAAGGAACTCATTTCTTAAATAATCAGGTAATAATTAATTTTCCTTTGAGAATTGAGAACTAAAAAAAGACCTAGAGATCATATGAAAATGCCTAAAAATGGGCCTCTATCCACCAGTTACTTGTAAAATTGTGAAATTGATTCATCTTGCTTATATGCATAAATGATGTATGTCCTCCTTGGTGTGCACCCGTGTTAATTGACATGGATCTATGATAATGTCCCTGGATTTAAAAAAAAAAAAAACAGCAAAAAAAACAAGGATTTTCCAAAATGTAAATTGCCATTGAATCACTTTTGTATTAATGAGTTTACAATTAGTCTACTTTAACTTTGTTTCTTTTCTGTATAGTTTCTTCAAAGAATGGTGTCAGTAATGTCTAATCTATAATTTAGATTGTAATGCTTCTTCAGTTGCTACAAACTTTAAGTGGAAAGTAAAATTTACAAAGTAGAAAGGTAAACTTCAAGATAATAAAATTATGCAAAATCTCACAACAGCCTGTGAAGCATAAGTATTTATAGAACAGGTTATCTTGACCTGTGTTTTTTTTTAATCTCTCCTTGATTTCTTTCAATTATCTGATAAAATAATATATACTATATAAGTCCATATTATATTGATTAGTTTTATTCTGAAATTTCATTAATGAGAAGTTTTCTTTGAACACAGTTGAGGCAATATATTTTAATGTATCATTTTCTTTTAGAAACCCTTCAAATTCAAATAATTACAAAGTAGTCATATTGGTCATATATCAAAAATTTAAAATATTTTTACTAATGTCAATTATCCTTTGCACAGATAGACTCAGAGGCACAATTTTTTTTTTAAAAAATTGAAATCATAAAATAACAGAGGTAAAATACATGTCAAATTGTAGAATATTTTTCTCTGTAGATAAAAAGATATCCCATTGAGGAAAACTGTGAGTCTAAGAATTAAATGTATTTATTCAAATGCCTTGAATATAAATATTTTACCGTATATAATAATTTTCTATTTTCTCTCAAATAAAATGGTTCTTTTTAATTTTAATATTCATATAATATTAATAATTTTAATTTTGCTGACTCTATGTGCAGATGCCATAAATCAGATTCAGAGGCATTTATATTCAAAAGAAAATTTTATTTTGAGACACAAATAAAATTTATTGCACAAGTAAATAGGCCAGTAGTCACATTATGTCAGAAATAATGAAGACTATGGATTACATGTTTTTTCTACCTCAGGATTAGAAAAATATTCACAAAAGTCTTATGAAACCCATACTAATTCTTAGAGTTGATGAAATTTCCAAAGCAAATTGTACTTAACTGCTGTATCTAAGATAAATGATATGCAATCATTCCACAACTGTAGATCATTTATTTAAATATAAGTTTCCTGATATTAGGTAAGTAGAGAAGAATAAAAAGGTTCATTATTGATCGTTAAATAAAAATATTAAATAATTACTATAATAAAATATTCTAGAAGGTATTGAAGGATAGTAACAATTGGACTTCTATTATTGGTAAGGGTTGCAATCCCTTCTGCTACATCAGCACATTCAATATTAGGCTGTAGAATGTTTATATATTATTTATTTATTATTTTATTATTTAAAATAATTCTACAGGAAGTCCAAGCCAGAGCAATCAGGTAAGAGAATAAAACAAAGAGCATCCAAATTAGAAAAGAGCAAGTCAAACTATCGCTGTTCGCCAATGATACAATCATATACCTAGAAAATTTTAAAGACTCCTCTAAAAGACTTCTAGATTTGATAAATAAATTCAGTAAAGTTTCAGTTTCAGGTTACAAAATTAATGTACCCAAATCTATAGCATTGCTCTGCATCAACAATGATCAATGAGAATCAAATCAAGAACTCAATCCCTAGGGCCAGGCACCATGGCTCAAGCCTGTAATCTCAGCACTTTTGCAGGCTGAGACAGGTAGATCACTTGAGGTCAGCGGTTTGAGACCAGCCTGGCCAACAAGGTGAAACTCCCTCTCTATCAAAAAATACAAAAATTAGCCAGGTGTGGTGATGTGTGCCTGTAGTCCCAGCTACTCAGGACGTTGAGAAATGAAAATGCCTTGAACCCGGAAAGCGGAGGTTGCAGTGAGTCAAGTTCACAAGATTGCACTACTGCACTCCAGGCTGGGTGACAAAGTAAGACCCTGTCCCCCGCCCCACTCCCCGCAAAAAAACAACTCAATCTCTTGTACATTTACAACCTTTTATAACAGCTAAAAATAAAGCAAACTCAAACAAACAAACAAAATCCTAGGAATATACTTTACCAAGGAGGTGAAAAATTTCTTCAAGGAAAACTACAAAGCACTGCTGAAAAAAAGTCATAGATGACACAAACAAATGGAAATACTTCCCATACTCATGGATTGGAAGAATCAATGACCATACTGCCCAAAGCAATCTATAGATTCAATGCAATTCCTATCAAAATACCACATGATTTTTCACATAATTTGAAAAAAAAAAAAAAGCTAAAATTTATTTAGAACCAAACAGGGCCCAAATAGCCAAAGCAATCCTAAGCAAAAAGAAGAATCCTAAGCAAAAAGACCTCCACAATAATGTGGAGGTTTCATATTACTGAACTTCAAATTATACTACAAGGCTATAGTTACCCAAACAGCATGGTACTATTATAAAAGAAGACACATAGACCAATGGAACAGAATAAAGAACTCAGAAATAAAATCAAATACTTAGAGACAACTGATCTTTGACAAAGCATCCAAAACATAAATTAGGGAAAGGACATCGTATTTAACAAATGATGCTGGGAAAACTGGCAAGCCACATATAGAGGAATGAAGCTAGATTCCAATATCTCACCTTATACAAAAATCAACTCAAGATGCATCAAAGACTTAAATGTATTACCTGAAACCACAAAAATTCTAGAAGATAACCTAGGAAAACCTCTTCTGGACATTGGCATAGGGAAAGAGTTTGTAAGACCCCAAAAGCAAATCCAACTAAAACAAAAATAAATGTATGAGACTTCATTAAATTAAAAAGCTTTGGCATAGCAAAAGAAATAATCATCAGACTAAACAGAAAACCCACAGAATAGGAAAAAAAAATTGCAAACTATGCAACTGGCAAAGGATTAATATCCAGAATCTACAGGGAACTCCAACAAATCAGAAAGGAAAAAACAAATAATTCCACAAAATAGTGGACAAATGACATAAATAGACAATTTTCAAAAGAAGATATACAAATGGCCAACAAACATATAAAAAAATGCTTAACATCACTAATCATCAGGGAAATGCAAATTAAAACTACAGTGAGATCCACCTACTCCTGCAAGAGTGGCCGTTATTAAAAAGTCAGAAAACAGTAGATGTTGGCATGGATGTGCTGAAAATGCTACACTTACACACAAGAGGTCGGAATGTAAATTAGTACAACCTCTATGAAAAACAGTACAGAGATTTCTTAAAGAACTAAAAGTAGATTTACCTTTCAATCCAGCAATCTTACTGCTGGGTATCACTGTTAAATATATCAAAAACACACCAGCATGTGTATGATTATTGCAGCACAATTCACAATTGCAAAGATGTGGAACCAAACTAAGTGCCTGTTGACCAATGAGTGTATAAAAAAATGTGGTATATATACACTATGCAACACTATTCAGCCATAAAATAGAACGAAATAATGTCTCTTAGAGCAACTTGGATGGAGGCGGAGGCCATTATTGTAAGTGAAGCAACTCAGAAATAAAAAAAAAAAATTACTGCATGTATTCACTTACAAGTGGGAACTAAGCTATAAGTATCCAAAGGCATACGCAGTGATATAATGGAATCTGGAGATTCAGAAAGGGGAGAGTAAAAGGGGGCTAGGGAAAAAAGCCGCATGTTGAATGGAATGCATACTACTAAGGTGACAGATGCACTAAAATTTCATACTTCACCACTGTGCAATTCATCTACATAACCAAAAACCACTTATGCCCCAAAAGCTATTGAAATTGAAAAAATAAATAAAAAATAATAAATAGTAAAAATAAAATAAAGTAAAATAATTCTCTAAATTACAAAACTTGCCAGTATATCATTAATCCCAAACTATGCAACTATTACTTCAACTAAATACTTTAGCTTTCACAAATGTCTAGAATAAAAAGACAATGAAATTTGGATACATTTTTAAAGTTCCATTTAAATATAAGTCTTTTGAGTCTGTGTTAAAACAGAGTAGAGGGTTTTAATGGTTTAAATAATGAAGAGCCTGGAGCACCTACTGACATTTTGCACAAATCAGAGGAACCTAAAAAGCCTGTGAAATACTGTGAAAAAGGTTACTACAGAATATAACAATTTATATTTCCGGATTGAAAAACAGTTTACTTACTGCAACCAAAAACAGTTGCTTATCTATATCATGTAAATGTCTGATAATTATGCTCAAAACCTGTACTGTTAAAAGTTGAAAGTGTTAAACTTTTACATTTCTTACCAAAATACATTTTATATTCTGTTAAAGCCCGTGTTTGAATTAAAAACTAATAATAATTAGAATCATAAATTAGGGAAAATATATAAATAAGTTTCATACAATGAAGCAATGAAATTCGGAAATAAAGTTAGAAAATATTTTATTAATTAAATTTAATAAAACAGCAAAAAAATTCAGAACTTTAAAAAAATCTGCTCTGTAGTTAGAAATAATTGAGCATTTTCAAATTTGAAATTTTTAAATAATTGTAATAAAATAATAATATTGATATAGCCACACCATTGTACTCTACTTTTATGCCTCTACTTGTTGCAAAACTTTGGTCAATTGAAATTAAAAAATATTTTCCGAAAACTTCTAAATCAAGACATAAAATTCCATACATTGACAACACTCTGCTCTTCCTTATGAATCATTGATAATGACAACAATGGTAATTTCAAGACTTTAAAAATAGTGTATTTTTTCTTGATTTTCTGGAACTGAGCAGATTAGCATCTAAAATTATATACTTTTTCATTTTGGAAAGTTTTCTTCAAGACGTATTTATATGAAAACCTTATTGAACTGTGTACATATGGTGCCAGTGACTTGCTGGGAAAATGGTCTGAAGTATCAGGAAAAAATAAACACAAATTTCTAGGTAATTTCCTCTTATCTATTCTATGGCAAGAAATCCAATTATTTCTGAATAACATAATCAATTAAATCAATTAAATAAATAGATTTAAATTATTTGTCAATAAAAATTTTAATGTATTTAGATAAATCACAATCATTACAGATAATTAAGAATTTGTGTAGGTGAGAATTGAAATGAAACTTGGTAGATTATTTGGATATTGATAGGCAACTTTTTTTGCTAGAGCTAAAAATAAAATTTGGAAATTCTGGAACTGAAGATAATTAAAATTATGTAATAATATATAGCAGAGATATGAACATTTTCCTTCAAAGAAATGTATTTTGTGATGAAAATAGATTGATTATAACAAAAATGGTTGCACATATTAAAAACTAACAAAAAGGAATAATTGAAAAGAAACATACATATGATTGGTAAAACAAAACAGAGTTGTATAGTATAGTCTTTGAAACAAAACTAATGCCTATTTCAAATGGAAAGCTATTGAATTTTCTTATAAATCTGATAAATTACATGAATTATTTATTGTTTGATGACAAAATAATACAATATAATTTTAATTTACTAAATTTATGAAACCTTGATAGTTTTCTAGACAGTGTTTAGAAATCTCTGTGTATTAGCAGTAAGCAACAATAAAATTATCTAAAGATGATCTTCTGAAATAAATTTTTTGACTGTTATAGATTAACTGAATACTCTATTGAAAAATCTCAATATTATATCTAATTCAGAAAAATTTTAATGTCAGTAATGCTAATTCAGCAAGAAGGGAGAGTGAAATCATGGAGAATATTATGCATAACTAAAAGTACCTGTTAGGTTTGGAAGTCACATAGTGGCTGATCAATGAAGTCGTTAGAAGAATTTGCTGTAGTTGTCTGTATTCAATCATGACTGAGACAAGAGTATAGTTTAGCTAGGGATTGTAAGAGAGAAACAGTACAAACAAAACCCAAAAAAGGCAAAAAAAAGAAAAGATAATGTTAATATTTCTAAAAATTTTCAAACTATTTGGAATATTATTAGACATTTACTTAAAAGTTGTTGCTACTATTAATATTACATTCTCTGCAATTCAGTATTAAGAATACTGTAACTTATTTAGAGTATTAAAGATAATTTTATAAAATTCTTATATATAATTTGAGATATGTACTAATATTTATCTTTTTTGACAATCTCTGCCTTTTAACCACTATTTAGATCACTTATATTTAAAGCAATTACTGATATTGTTTGGATAAAATGTACTATCTTTGTAATGTTTCTATTTGTTGTGCATGTTCTTTTGCTTGTTTTATATTTTTCTGCTTTCTCTGGTTTTAATTGAGCATTTTATATAATTCAATATTATCATCTCTTGATATATTATTATTATTCCTTTGAAATTTGGTTTCCCTGAGATTTGCAATATACATTTTATTTTATTTTATTTTATACTTAAAATTCAGGGGTACAAGTGCAGGTTTCTTACACAGGTAAACTTGTGTCATGGAGTTCGTTGTACAGATTATTTTATAACCTAGGTATTAAGCCTAGTCCCCATTAGTTATTTTTCCTGCCACCCTCCACCCTCCAAAAGTCCCTATTGTGTGTTGTTCCCCTCTATGTGTTTATTTGTTCTCATAATTTAGCTTCCACTTACAAGTGAAACATACGGTATTTGGTTTTCTGTTCCTGTGTTAGTTTGCTAAGGATAAATGGCCTCAAGCTCCATCCATATCCCTGCAAAGGACATGATCTCATTATTTTCCATGGCTGCATAGTATTCCATGATGCATATGTGCCAAATTTTCTTCATCTAGTCTATCATTGATGGACTTTTAGGTTTATTTCTTGTCTCTGCTGTTGTGAATAGTACTGCAATGAACATACATGTGCATGTATCTTCATAATATAACAATTTGTATCCCTTTGGGTCAAATGGTATTTCTGCTTTTAGGTCTTCGAATATTCACCATACTGTCTTCCACAATGGTTGAACTAATTTACACTCCTACCAACAGTGTATAAGCATTCCTTTTTCTTCACAACCTTGCCAGGATCTGTTATTTTTTGACTTTTTAAAAATAGCCATTCTGACTAGTGTAAGATGGTATCTCATTGTGGTTTTGATTTTCATTTCTCTAATGATCAGTGATGTTGAGCTTCTTTTCGTACATTTTTTTGCCACATGCTCTTCTTTTGGAAAGTGTCTGTTCATGTCCTTTGCCCACTTTTTAATGGGGTCTTTTGGTTTTTTATTGTAAATTTGCTCAATATACTAATAGAAACTTGATATTAGACCTGTGTTGGCTGCATAATTTGGAAAATGTTTTGACCATTCTATAGGTTGTCTGTTTACTCTGTTGACAGTTTCTTTTGATGTGCAGAAGCTCTTTAGTTTAATTAGATCCTGTTTGTCAATTTTTTCTTTTGTTGCGATTTCTTTTGGCATATTTGTCATGAAATCTGTGCCCGTGACTATATCTTGATGGTATTTCCCAGGTTGTCTTCCAGAGTTGTTTTACTTTTGGGTTTTACATTTAAGTCTTTAATCCATCTTGATTTAATATTTTATATGGTGTAAGGATGGCATTTCAATCATCTGCATATGGTAGCCAGTTATCCCAGCACCATTTATTGAATAGGGAATCCTTTCCCCATTGCTTTTGTCAGGTTTTTCAAAATCCAGATAGTTGTAGGTGTGTAGTCTTATTTCTGGGCTCTCTATTCTGTTCCATTGGTTTATGTGTCTGTTTTTCTACCAGCACCATGCTGTTTTGGTTACTGTTAACCCTTCAGTATAATTTGAAGTCCAGTAGTGTGATGCTTCCAGCTTTGTTTTTTTGCCTAGGATAGCCTTGGCTAATTGGGCTCTTTTTTGATTCCATACAAATTTTAAAATAGTTTTCTGTAGTTCTTTGATGAATGTTGATAATACTTTAATAGGAATAGCATTAAATCTATAAATTGCTTTGAACAGTATGGCCATTTTAATGATATTAGTTATTCCTATTTATGAGCATGAAATATTTTTCCATTTGATTGTGTAATCTCTGATTTCTTTGAGGAGTATTTTGTAGTTCTCCTTGCAGAGATCTTTCCCTGGTGAACTGCATTCCTAAGTATTTTATTGTTTTTATGGCATGCCACATACATTTTAAAAGAATCTAAATCCACCATCAAGAGGCACTATCCTGTTTCACATGTAATGCAGTTGCCTAATAATACAGCACTCTCAATTACTTTCTCTCATTCCAGTTGATACTATGGTCATTCATTTTGTGTATGTTTATGCTATAAGCATCCATTGCATTGTTATCATTCCTTTGCTCAGTTTTTTAGATAAATTATGAAAAAATAAAATAATAATATTTGTATTTGTTCATGTTCTGACACTCTTGTTTTCTTTGTGTAGATCCAAATTTTGGACCTAAACCATTTTATTTCTGCCTGAAGATCTTCTTTTAAAAGGTCTTTCAAGGAAGATCAACAAGAAATTGATTTTTCTAAGTTTTCAGAAAAGAGAACTTCTAAATTTATCTTTCACAACTTTGTTATCAGAAAAGGGAGTTTTTAAATTTCTCTTTCACTTTTGTAACAGCCTTATTAAGATATAATCTACATGCATTTCAGCCTTTTAAACTGTCCAATTTACTAGTGTTTTTTAAACAGAATTGTGCAACTATCCCCAGTATCTGCAACCGTCACCAGTATCTAATTCTAGAAAAAAATTATCACCTTGATTAGAAACCCATACCCATTAACTTCTCCTTCACTCTTCAGTGAAATTTCTACTGAATATAGAATTTTGGTTCACAGATTTTTCCTTTTCTTTCAATATTGTAAATATATCACTCTGTTCTCTTCTTGTTTGCATGCTTTCTACTGAGAAGTTTCCTGTAATCCTTATTTTTATTTCTCTATAGGTAAGGTGTCCTCTGCTCCCTCAATCTACCCCAACCTCCCAAAACCTTTGAGACTCTCTCTTTCTCCTTTATTTTCAGCAGACACAGCAGTGGCAGTGTCACAGAGGAGAGGGTCACCTAATATTCTGATTGGTTCTTGGTGTTTTATTGGAACTGTGTCTTAGAGGTTTGGTCTTCAGAAGTGTTTCTGTTTCTTGTCCCCAAGAGAACCTTCTCACCTTCTGTTCTCTAGTCTCTTAACCACTGCAGTCTATTTATTTGAAGCTCTCTCCTCCGCTAACAATGCTTTTATTCATTTATTTCTCATTAGCTGATGCAGAAAATCTGGATTGGAATGCAGTTCTCTTTTCTCAGGTGTAAAAATTGCCTAACTGCTAATGTCATTACCTATGGAAACAAGGCCTTCTTTAGGGAGAAGAGTCATGATAGGAATGCTTTTCCTCCCCCCATGAGGGTGATGTATTGAGATTTCTAGGGTTTCTAGAATTCTCTCTGCCATAACCTGGTGGAGCTCCTAGAGGGAAAGTCTGCAGGGTGTCCAACCACCAATACTTCAGCGCTAGGGTATTCTCATGTTCACTTCCATACACTCATCCTCCAGCAATTCATCAAGATTATCATATATGATATTCTACCAGCTTTAAGCGTCTAGTGGCTTCTGTCCTAGGTAATCAAATCTTGAGTACACTATCTCTCTCTAGATGCATTTGACACTCAATATTTTGTGGTAGTGGTTTTTTCCTTTTCCCTCAGTTCTCTAATAAAACTAATAAAATTATTGTGTTTGTCTAGCATTTCCTTATTGTAAGGACAGGAGTAATAACTTCCAGGTTCTTTACATGTCAGGGATAAACTTGGAAATCTTCATCACTACCAGTTTTAAAACATTTGGAAAGTTTCTTCTGAAGCTCATGACACTCAAGTACTTTAAATATAGAATGCTTATAATTTTTTGATTGAATGATCTATTGGAGAGAGATAAAACTTGTGTACCCACATTTGTATGCCTGTTTTTACTCCTTGAATTTGTCGTCTCCAATTTTGATTGAATTTTATATAACTCTGTTTGTATTTCAATTTTAGCCTTGTTATACTTTCCTGACTCTGTATCTTAATTTTAAATTAAAAATATCTACGCACATTAATTAGTCTTCATGATACTCACAGGAAGAACATTCATGTCAGAGAACTCACATGCTATTGATTACTCAGCTTATAGATTGACTGCACGTAGGGTACCTGTAGTTTCATGAATTGTTGCTGGGGTAGTAAAGTCATGTTAACTACATGCTAGTTACGTTCAAGAAATTTCCTATATATGAGGAAGATATTATTATATCTGGCTTGAAAAATAAAATCAACCATTTATTGAAGACAGTATCTTTTGTACATTGTGTCTTCTTAGCAGCTTGTCAAAAATTAGATGACCTTATATTACTGGGTTTACTTCTGGTTCCTCTATTCTGTCCCACTGTCCTATATATCTATTTTTAAGCCAATAATGTGTTGTTTTGATTACTATAGCTGTGTAATATAATTTGGAATCAGGAAGTGTCATGCCTCCAACTTTGTTTTTCATTCCCAAGATTGTTTGGGCTAGTCAGTATCTTCTGTGGTTCCATTTAATTTTTTTTCAATTTATTTGAAAAATTAAACTGTTGATAGGGATTGCATTAAATCTGTATGTTGTTTTGAGCAATAGGAACATTTTAACAATATTAATTATTTTAATTCACAAATATGAGATATCTTTTTATTAATTTGTGTCTTTAAATTTCTTTTATCAATGCTTATAGTTTCCATGCTTTGTATTGTACATAGCTTTCACTTCACTTCTTTGTTTTAATTTATCTCTTAGTGTTTTATTCTTTCTAATGCTATTTTAAATGGGATTGTTTTCTTGATTTATTTTTCAAATAGATTTTTGTAGGTGTAAATAAAAGCAACTAATTTTGTATGTTGGTTTGGTATCCTGCTATTCTGATGAATTCATTTATTTGTGTAACAACTTTTTTGTGTGGAGTCTTTAGGGTTTTCTACACATTTGTAAACAGGGTTAATTTTACTTTTTCCTTTCTGATTTGTATCCCCTTTATTTCTTCTTCTTGTCTGATTGCTCTTGCTGTTACTTCCCTAACTATGTTAAATAGAATAGCATGGGCATCTTTGCCACGGCCCAGACTTTAGAGAAAAAGCTTTCAGTTTTTTTCTATTGATTACTATGATAGCTGTGGGTTTTTCATAAACAATCTTTATTAGGTTGAAGACAAATTCCTCCTATACTTGTTTTTTTGAGAATGTTTATCATTAAAGGATGCTAAACTTTGTCAAATGCTTTCTCTGCATCAGTTATGATCATCATGTGGCTTAAAAAAATCTTTCATTCTGTTAAAATGGCACATCACATTGATTGTGTATTTTAAACCACCCTTGTATCTCAGGAATAAATCCTATTTGGTTTTAGTGTATACTTTTTTGATATGTTGTTGAACTTTATTTGCTAGTATTTTATTGAGAATTTTTGCATATACGTTAATCAGAGATACTGACCCATAGTTTTCTTTACTTGCGATACCTTTGTCAGGCTTTGTTATCCAAATAGTGCTGGCTGAGTTTGGAAGCATTCAGTCTATTTCTACTTTTTGGAAGTGTTTAAGACGGTTTGATATTAATTTTTCTATTAATGTTTGATAGACTTCAGCTATGAAGCCATCTGGTACTGGAATTTTCTTTGATGGAAGGTTTTTGATTACTACTTCAATCTCTATTTGCTATTGGTTTGTTTAAGCTTTCTATTTCTTCTTGATTTATTCTTTGTAGATTGTATATTTCCAGTAATTCATCCATTTCCCCTAGGTTATCCAATTTATTGTCATATAATTGTTCATAATAGTCCTTTGTGACTTTTTATGTTTTTCCATCTTTTAAATAGGAATAATGGCAATATATATTTTATAAGGTTGTTTTAAAAATTTAAAAATTTCTATAAAAAAGCTTGAACCATAGCAAATATTACCTGTTACTTTTATGGCTTATTAAAGTGCTTCTTTCATAATAGGTGCTCATTTGCTACATGTTAGTTAATTAGCTGATGCCATAGATTAAACTGTAATAATCAAAATGATTAAAAGAGACAGACAGACTGTAGATAGAAATGAGCAAGATAATAATTAAAAGTAATAAAATGATTGTTTTTGGCTTAGATATGTGGAAAAATCTAATGTTCTACTTGATTGCTAAAAATAAATCAAGTGTACCCATGGTTTTTACATAGGTAAAGAACATTAAAATGTTTTAAAATAATACTGACTTTGAGATTACAATTATGTATTTGTCTATATAGATACATATGGTATATACCATGTATATATTCATCTGTGAGTATCATAATATATTTTAAATCAATATGAAAAGTAGAATGCCTACCGCAATCTATGATCACAACTGTCAGAAAAATCATGTCAACCATTTATTGTCTGAAAGAATTAAGCTTATTTAGACTCATACATATTTTCATAAATGGCGTACATTCTGGAACTAATAAAGAAAAAATACAATAATTAAATTTAGACTCAAAGTGAAGCAAAACTTTCACAATTTGAGATACCAGTGTTGATTATGCTGGCCTACAGTGAGCAGCTACTCAGTTTTCAGTCAAAGGAGAGAAGACTGTTGGTTATCTGATTCCATTTGTTTATTTAAAAAATTGATAATAAAAAGTAAAGCTAAATTTCCTCAAATGTGGAGCAATAGTTTCTTGTTGCTCCTGTACTAAACGGAACAGGTAGTTAATAGGCAAATGACTTTCTGCCCTCAGTGTTAGAATTATATTTCCTGTTTTCACTCTCGTGCATATGAATTTCTCCTTTCTAGTTTTAATAGTGTGGGATATTTTTGCAACTTTTAGTCTACTACACCCATATCATTCCCAACAGACTTTCTTATTCTGTATATAATAGGTAGCATTCTAATCAGTGAAGAGTTCATTTTTTTTCAATTCATTAATATGGCAAATGTGTTCTGCCTGTAACTCTCTTTAGTGAAATGTTGGTATTTGAAAATGAGAAAAAATTTAAATGACCTTCCAGCTCAGTAGACAGCCTCCCAAGCTGATGTGCTAGAAAAATTTGATAGCTAGCATAGTTCTTCCATTTGTGGGCTACCTAGGCTTCTCAGGCAATAGACAGGAAATTAGGACACAATTAAATGAATATGTGGAGACAATTTAAAGTTGAAAATGGAAAATCTCAATGGATAAGCACTGGCTTAAAATTGGCAGGTCAATACTAGAAAAAAACGAAATTTGAGGTAATGCATTAGGGAACAGCATATAAGTAATATGTATAACATATAAAATTTATATATTATATATATTACTTTTTTAATCTATGAAACATGTAGAATTATATTTATTTTACTTCTCTCTCAGGTTATTAAAGACAATTAAGAATTTCGATAATAAGTAAAAGAATTTGGTTATTAGTATATTATTATGTATGTGTGTGAGATGTAATAAACGGTAAATGTCATGTGAGCTATGAACTATTTTCATGGGACAGAATTCCATGTACACATGATTTTATGTACAATTTTAGCAAGACTGTGGATCATTTGAAGCCTATTTCTGAAGCCTCATTGGTCCCAAAAAGCCTAAGTTAAGAAATCTCACAAAAACTGTAGCGTGTGGCTAAGAACCTCACCTCCTTATCTATTATCCGCTCTTTGAACAACTGTGCTGTGTAGGCAGAGTAGAACTTTTTTTTTTTTTTTTTTTTTTTTTTTTGGTTAGTAAGTATATTTTAGCATTTTGCTGGCTGAAAATACCCAACATTATCATGTCAAGTAGGGCTGTTTAAGCACTGGCTTTTCTTTCAAGGTATGTACCTATGATTCAATGCCCTAACTTTTCACTAAAATAATAACTGAATGAGTCACAAGCTATTCAAGGGCAAAAGACTCTCTCTCATTCTCAACATACAGAGTATGGTATACAAAAAGTCACCTTCAAATGGAGGATAAATGGAGGGTCACCATATACATGCAAAGTCATCCACCAATGCAGTTATTTTTAACAAAAAATGAATAATAATTTTACCAAAAAATGAAGAATATTTTTGGGCAGTTGGGGTAGTAGTGAGAAGGGGGAACATGTCTATAGGATCAGGTTAATCCCTGTATAGATAAAAACTGAGAAACGCGTGTGACTGAAAATCTGTATAAAACTTCTAAGTCCATTGTAACACATAGGACAGGAAAAAAAAACAGTAATTTCAAGGCAGACATTCATTATGATCTCATCATCTCTATCCTGCACTATTTTCTAAAATTTCTTAAATTGTCTACCTGCCTTCAGGGAGGAAATTGAGGCTTAGAAAATATGAGATATTCATCCAAAGTCACACATTTATTCTGAGCAAAGAGGGGGTCCTTAGAGTTTTATCAGATATTTCAAAAAAATACAGGAATTCTGTGGATGTATATCCATTACTGAATATGGATTTAGAGTAAATTGCTATAAAACAATAGTAGCTTTTTAACAGATTTGAGAAATATCTTTGACAAACATTGATCTTCCCTCTTTCCCTCATCCCTCAGTAATGGCTATCTCCATTCAGAACTACTCCAATAGACTCATCATTGTGTCAGAAGAAAATAAAAGGATGTTGCCTAATGGCAATGAAATATAACAAAATTTAATAGGAAATTGAAAATATCCTTATGAACAAATGTAAGATTTTAGTTAAAAAGGCATGTTGTTGTTGGCATTACAATATTTTATATTTTTTCTATGAAGAAAATATTCCTTTTGATTTGTGACCAAAACAAAACATTAACTGAAGAGCAGTCTTGGACCCACACTTAGATATTTCAGACAGTTTCCTTTAACTTCTGTTATGTTGAAAACTTTTAGAAACTATTTTTATAGATCAAATGAGGACCACTTTGAAAAGCTCAGCTTGATTAAGAACAGACAACACACATTTAGAGAATAAAAGGAATCACTCACTACTTTTGTGAAATTCTTCAGGGACTTCACTCCAGGTAGACAAATGTGGGAAAGGAGTTAAAGAGGATTTTAAACTTAGATGTTTGGAAAGCCTTTGACAAAATTCTTTACAGTCATGTAAGATCAGTGGAAAGGATCAATGAAACTAATAGTAAATTGGCTCACTATTCCGAACAATGATTTATGGAAAGGAAACAATGATACTAAAAATAGGTTTTTGTGTCCAAACCAATTTTTAAAATTCTGCCTCTTCATAGGTCAGAAAAAAATGTACAACTTTCTAAAAAAAGTAAAGTAGATTTTTGTTTGATATGTGTTTAAGCATATATTTTACAATAAATGAAATAAAGTGAAAGTTTATATAACATTTAGCTGATGGCAAATAGTGTGTGTAATCACATTTGGGATTTAGGTTTTTAAAATGGTAGCAGATTTTAGGTAAAATATCTTAAGAATATATTGATACATACACAGAAAATATTAAACAAGTACTAAGAATTGGTCACTCAAAACCTCATATTTAACATCATCGCAAGAACTTTCATTACTTATTTTACTATAATTTCAATACCATGAATACAATTCCCTTTGTTGTTTGAGACAAAAGAAAGTCATCTGATTTTAACAATAATAAGAAATCGAGAGCCAAGTCACAGGGATTCTGTCTGTCTGGTTTAATGGTTTTACTGCAACAAACATAACAGTACCATACCAGAAAGTAATTCCTCAATAAATCTCTGAATAAATAAATAAGTGATCAAACAAACAGGATGAAATAGCACTACAATTGGAATGAATCATTGAAATATCAATCCCTGGCATTAGAGATTAATTGGCTTTACCATTTGCTCTCTCTCTACCTATTTCATATTAATATTACATAATCATTTATATTAGGATGATTCAGTTGTGGAAGACAAAAAAGCACAAACAAAAAAAAAATACTATTCTATTTTTAAGCACCCCTTCACAAGAAGGAAGGAGAGTGCTCACTGGCCAGGGACCAACTCACAACAGCTCCTTATACAACAAAATAACCACATTTTTTTTAAAAAATGAATAAACCTTTCAAGAGTTATTTTTGGATAAGCAGTGGAGTAAAGGCCTCCAAATTCTCAGACAGAGACTATGAGACATGTGTCACTCAGAAGGGTATGGAAAAATAAACCTTCACATTTTAAGTACAAAAAAAATGGTTATTTGGAGGACTACTAATAATATATGTCTGAAAAAAGTCACAGCTATGCGCCACTTTATATATCACTGAGGAAATATAAAAAAATTTGAGTCTTTGTCCAGGATAGTAAATATTGAAATTCTATAAAGGAGTTTCAGTATTTAACCAGTAAGTAAATCATTAAAGACTCCTCTTTTTTGTGATGAGATTTTAGAATGTTATATATTTTGTAATGAGAGTGTTACAATTGAAATTATGATGTAATAAAGATAATTCATGTTAAATGCTTTTGTATCTTAGCATACTAGGTATTTTACAGAGTATTTCATGTGCCTTCCCTCATTACTCCTCAAAAAACTCTGTGCAACTATTCCTTTTATTATTCACATGCAACACCTAAACACAAACTGAGCAAGTAAGGTTTGGAAAGGAGATTTATTTTCAACTCCTAACTATGAGCCTATGTTTTTACCCTCTATGCTATACTACATTGACATTTCCTGTTAAAAAGTTAGAGGAAATTAGCACAAAGATCATACCAGCTATATGTGGACTGGTGTAAGCTACACATTTTGATGGACTCTTAAAAGATTCTAATGAAGGATAATATTGCCTTCAAATAGTTATAGCTTTTAAGCGACTTCAAACTATAATGCACATCAGAGGGATTCAGATGAATGGAGAAATCATGATGAAACTTGTGTTCCTACAAAGGTAAAACTACTAGAACAATAATAATGAGCTGGTACATTACATTTCCTGGGAGTCTTAGGGGGAAAAAAACCTCAAAATATAATGTCAACTTTGTTTCGAACTGAGAGTATGAACTTCTGTTTTCCATTCAATTTTTTATTTTTATTTGCTATTATTTTTGACACTAATTATTACATATGCTGTCTCTATTTTCCATTTATTTGTCTTTTTTTATTTTCCACAAAGTTAAATACAATTAAAGTCACATTAATGTAGACGGATGGTATTACTTTAAGATCCTTTCTCTTATTGTCCAGTACAATGATAGAACTGTAGTATCCTCACATAGAAGGGCGTTCTTTCCTCTACCCATCCCAAATACTAAAAGGAACTAGGAAACAGGAGGTAAGATATCAGAGCCAGCTTAAGAAAGAAAGAAAGAAGGAAAGAAAGAAAGAAAGAAAGAAAGAAAGAAAGAAAGAAAGAAAGAAAGAAGGAAGGAAGGAAGGAAGGAAGGAAGGAAGGAAGGAAGGAAGGAAAGAAGGAAGGAAGGAAGGAGGGAAGGAAGGAAGGAAAGGGAAAGAAAGAAAGAAAGAAAGAAAGAAAGAAAGAAAGAAAGAAAGAAAGAAAGAAAGAAGGAAAGAAAGCTTTAACTGTAAAGTTTATCTGCAAAGATATTCTTTTATTTCCAGGTCTCTCTCACAGGCATTATTTCTACCCCCAGTAAAAAGAGGTAGGCATCTAGAATATTTGTTTGCTCATTCATTGATTCATTCACTCATTTTAGTCAAAATGTATTTATTGAGTGGTGATATATGCTTTGCACTATACTAGGTGCTAGGCAGAAAAATGATAGGCAAAAATACATTCACTTTAGGCTCTTTTCATATTTCTAGATGCCTTTAATTATCAGTAGGACTCAAGCAGGATGGTTGGCTTGATATTTGCTGATGCCCATAACAGCATCCCTCAAAAGACATAGTACGCAGTGAAAAAATACAGTTAGTGAGTTCAAAAAGATCTGTTTTTTCTTTTTTTCTTGTGTCTATGTGGTAACTTACCACATGGCCTTAAGAAAAATTTCTAGCTATGCCAGGCTCCAATTTTCTTGCCTCTGAAATAGACATAATTATTATGCCATTTTGTGAATAGTCAGATAAATCATATATATCAAACTTTTTACTTTAATATTACACAGAAGGCAGTGGACAAATGCCTTCACTCAATCCCTCACTCACCTATTTAACAACTATCTCCTAAGTGCCTACGAAGTGCAAGGCACTGTGCTGGCTCTGAACATAAGCAAGTAGGGTGTAAAGATGTGGCATCTGCTCTCTCAGACTCACAGTCAAGTTAAGGAAACAGAGACTCATCATATAACTGCCTCATAAATCATGTTATTCAGATCGTCCTCTATGCTAGTGATTATTTAAGATGTTAGATAGATTAGGAGATAAGGAGTCTACAGGAGAGAAATATGGATTAAGGAAGGTTTTTTAGGAAATGATACGTAATTTGTGACTAAAATACAAGAAATGTGGGGTTATAGCAGATAAAATGTATATATGAAAAGAAATGATGCAGAACATTTTTGTCTCTTAGGTAGCACAGTAATTTTCTATTGCTGCTGTGATAAATTACCACATATTTAGTGGCTTAAAACAACACAGATTTATTATCTTACCATTTTGTAGTTCAGAAGTCTGATGCATCTCTTGCTGTGTTCGAATGTCAAGTGTTGGCAGGAGTGCATTCCTTTCTGGAGGCATTCAGAAAGAGAATTCATTTTTTGTTTTTCTAGCTCCTGGAGGCTGTCCTTGGCTTTCCTTGACTTTTCTTAGCATTCATTTCCCTCTCACCTGCAAAGTCAGCAATGTCAGGTCTACTCTTTCTGATTCTGCCCTTTCTTTGATTCTCCCTTCGGATTACTTTTTCCACTGTTAACAAGCCTTGTGATTATATTGGGCCCACCAGAGCAATCTAGAATAATCTCATTTATTTTAAGGTCAACTAATTAGCAACTTTAATTTTATTTGCAACCTTAATTTCTCTTTGCCATGAAAGGTAACATGAACACGATAAACATGAGTTCTACTGATTTAGATGCAGACATCTTTGGCAGGGGTTGAGGGGAGGAGGAACTATTCTTAAAATTTTAAAAATCCCTGTAACTGTAGTCTAAATAGATTGCAGGAAAAGCACCCTGGACATGGAGTAACTAATTATCAGGCTGTTGCAGTGGTACAAAAAAGGTGATGGTGGCTTGCTCTATGGGAGGAAGTGAAGTAAAAAAAATACAATAAGAGGTTTGGGAAGAGTCAGTTTTGATAATTGAGTTACAGGTGGTGGCTACTGACAGAAAAGAGAGTGTTAAGTATGAATCCCAGGTTTCTGAAACTAGCAGTTGGATGGGAGAAATTTTCATTTTTGAGATACTGACCACTGAAATGCATCTTCTTTTTGGAGAGAATATAGTAAATCCAAATTTGCATGTGTTAAATTGGATGAACCAAATAGATACAATAAAAATGTTATTTGACAATGAAATATGCAGATGTGGAACTTTATTAGTCAGGTTTCTCTAGAGGGACAGAACTAATAGGACAGATGGATAGATAAAGGGGAGTTTATTAAGGAGCATTAACTCACACGATCACAAGGTCACACAATAGGCCCTCTGCAAGCTGAGGAGCAAGGAAGCCAGTTCGAGTCCCAAAGCTGGAGAACTTGGAGTCCGATGTTTGAGGACATCCAGCAAAGGAGAAGCATCCAGCAAAGGAGAAAGATGTAGGCTGGGAGGCTAAGCCTGTCTAATCTCTCCACGTTCTTCTGTCTGCTTTTTATTCTGACCATGCTGGCAGCTGATTAGCTGGTGCCCACCCAGACTGAGGGTGGGTCTGCCTCTCCCAGTCCACTGACTCAAATATTCATCTCTTTTGACAAAAACCTCACAGACACACCTCAGAACACTATTTTGCACGCTTCAATCCAATCAAGTTGAAACCTCAGTATTAAACATCACAGAAACCAAGGATATTAATATGAAAGTTGTCAACATAATGATAATAAACTAAATCTCAAAAATAAATCTGTTCACCTGCAAAGAAGGTAGAGAGTTGAAAGCCGAGAACACGTAGATGCTCTAAATATCTAACAACACTTAAATCATGGGGAGAAGAGTATGAACTTTGAAAAAAGACAGTAATAAGTTGCATATGTATAGGAGAAAGCCAGAAAATGAATATTTAAAAGAGGGAAGACTGCTAAGAGTATAAAATGTTTCAAAGCTCAAGGTAGATGAAGAAAGAAAAATTTGCTGAAAAGGATTTTTTTGGGTAAATTCTACTTACTCTTCCTGTGAGCCAAATGCAATGCTAAATATTAGTTACAAAAAGATGAAAAGAGCATTAAAACCTGACTTAATAAACTCACATGCTAGTGAAAGCAAATCCACCTAAATGTTTATTTTGAACATAAGGTGACAACTGAGATGAAGTTGTACTCATAGGATGCTGTGAGAGTGCAAAAGAGAAGACATGTAGCAAAGGCTAAAGAGGAAACCCACCATGGTTTTTGAAATATTATACAATTTAGGTCAGATGAAGAAAATTATTTCAAGACCAAAGGACCATCATAGGTAAATACATATGAAGAAACTGTGACTGAATTTAAATTGTCAGGAGTTACATTTTCAGATTGACAGAGGTAGGTCACAGTATATAGGACTTCATTCTGAAAGCCACAGAGCTTAAAACTTAATCTTACATGATGGAGAACAACTGACAGATTGTAAAAGTTGCTGTGAAATGAATTAGTGCAGGTATAAAGTGTGGATGGCTTTGAGAAAGTCCATTGTAGTAAGTGGATGTAGGAGGCTCTTGGTATAATCCTAACACAATAATATGAGAGATTTTAAAAGAAAGAAACAGAATCTAGAAATTTTCACAACATAAAAACCAGCAGGATGTGATTAATTGCATTTGGAGAGAAGGAGAAAAGAGATTTAATGTGGCTCTGAATTTTCTGGTTTGGGCAACAAGGTAGAAGATATTAACATTAAATGGAGAGGAAATGAAGGAGGAAGTCAAGGTTATTATGGAGTGAAAAATGAGGACAACTATACAAATGTTCAGTTTAACATTCCTTTGGATTCAGGAATGTTAAAGACAAGTTAGCAATGTCCTGCAAACATGTAGACATCTGTTTCAAGGGAGACAACAGGGTTTGTGACAGGAATAAAAGAGATCCCCCCTGCCAGAATATATATGGCAGGAGAAGAATAATGGGCCGGGTATGGAAACTTTCATGAACACCAGTGTTCAAATAACTGTTGGAGGAAGAAGTAGAAAAAGGCAAGCAGCAAATGGTCAGAGAAACTGGAAGAGGATCAGCAAGAAACGGTGTTTTAAACAGCCCAAGTAGGAAAGAGTTTCAGAAGGAGAGAGAAAGTGATCAGCACTCCTTGAAGAGATATGAGGAGGAGAGACAAAAGAGGTACACAATTCTAAAGCATACTTCTTCTGTCATCCCTATGAGGACCTGAATAGAAAAATGATTTAAATGCTTAATTTGACTGTAAAACAAAACACAATCAAAATACAACAATGACAACAACAAAAACTCTTGGGAAACTCATTATTTTTTAACTAGTAAGTGTTCCAATTATAATAAACAAGCATCTAAGTTGTCAGAAGAGCATCAAGTGTACCATTTGCCAACATTGTATGAGAATAAAAGGATATGGCCCAGGAGACCTGATCAAGTGTTTGCAGAGAATGAGGAAGTTAATGAAGCAAAGGCAGTGGGAGTCTTTTACCTAGATCTCAGCAAGACATTTGATAAATTGTTATATAAGATGCAACAAAGAGAAAAACAAGGATTTTGAATCAATGCTGTAACAAGCTAGGAAAAAAGATGAGTGGATGTGGAGATTTCCAGCAAATGTTAGTAAATTGTGTTTGAAAGAGGAAGCAGCAGGGTTCCTTTGAGCTCAATGCTATTATGCATTCCACTTAATGCCCATAAAACAATTGTGAGAAAAGAACCACAATCAATGTTGGCACTAATTTGAGCCCTTGTTGGCAGCATCAACAGTTGTGATTGACTGTCTAAATTAATTCCAATTAGACTGTGATTCTGTAGACCAGATCATCTTAAATTATAATATTGTGCTTTTTATTTTAAATAGCATTATGGATCCATAATGTAACATAATCAATAACTGTTCTCATTTAATAAACAACTAGAGAACAATGATATGCTTATAAAAATTATAACAGAAGCAAGTATTGAATATGGTTGTCATGTCCTGGGAGTTTGATTCTGGAGAAAGCAAAGGAATCAACTTAAAAGACTATTTCTCAATTTCTCAAAAGTGAATAGGATAAAGGCTGGGGAAATAATTCAAGTAATCATTATCTAATGAATTTAAGCTGGTAAGAAAAATATGTGTAAAAGCCAGAAGGATGGAAACCAGAAAAACCAGATAAGAGAGGCTAGAGAATTTCCATGAGGATTAGTGAAATTTTAAACTCAAATATTTGTGTTCTAAGATCAGTGTCCTTTTCAATACTTTTTATTTATTATCTAAATTTACATCTTAACACATTTTGTATTATTATATTTTAACATTTTAAAATAACACTTTTTTGTCCTTGTCTGAATTAAACTGTGTAAAGTATCCCTCAAACCTGTTCCTGCCATCATCTTCCACAAATCTGTAAGTAGTATTACATACCCCCAATAGATTAAAATATTTTCAATGTCTTCATTTTATTTTTTCCAAAGCTCAAATCCAGTAACTCCACTCATACATTTATTTATTCATTATTTAATGAAAGTCTAGTTTGCACTAGGCACTATTCAAGATCTTGGGAATTCAGCAACCAAAAAATAAATGTCTAAAGTCCTGGGTTTATATTCTAGTTAAAAAGAAAACAGTAAACACACAGACACAAACACATAAAATATGGCTGGTGCTAATAAGCACTATGATAAATAGATTTGAAAGACTAATATAAAAATATTTTTGATTGGGATGAGATTTTATAGTGGCAAGAACAGGCCTCTTGCTGAAGTTATACTTGAGCAGGGACCTGTGTGCAGTGAGGGAGTAAGTTATATGGATATCTGAATTAAGAACTTTCCAGACAGAAGTTAAACCTACAAAGGCACTGAGGCAGGAATGTACCTTGTCAGCCAGAAAAACAGCGAGGAGGCCATTGTGGCTGGAAGTGAACATGGTGGGAAATGGAATCAGAAAAACATTGATGAGTGAAGTGGAAAAGCAGATTCATGTAAAATTTTGTGGGGCATGATTAGAGATAAAGACTTTGGATTTTATTGCAAAAAGAGAAGATGTTGAATGTTTTTCAGCAGAAAAGTGATATGATTTAAAATATTGCTTTGAAGAACCTTCTCCAGCTACTGTATGACAAATTAACTCTAGATGGGCAAGTGTAGAGATAGGGAGTCCAGTTTAGGCATAACAGTGTTAATAATTTGTGTGGCTTTCCATCAGCTTTACACTCAACGTATATCTTTTACTCTTACTTTTTATCAGAATTTCCACAGCTACTACTTTGGTCAAAGTCACCATTAATCTCTCACCTGAAATAAAAATCAAATACCTTAGGGAGGTACAAAAGGATATGGTTCCTTGGTTAAAACTCTTATGTCTTTATATTTGTTAGTGTATTTGACAGGAAACAAGGAGATTCCTGAATCAAAGAACAGGTTGATATCTACTCACAGAGCACCTTAGCTCTGGTTGCCTCTACATCAATTATACAAGGGTCTAATGTCACTTGTACATGCAAATGGGGTTTGCACCACAGGAGAGGAGTCCCAAAATTGTGATACTGAAACCTGTACATAGAATGGCTGACACATTTGTTTCTCCTCAGCTCCAGAGAAAGGAAGGGATACTTTGCAGTGTAAATGCACTTATCTGTGAAGAGCAGGGAAAGTCTGCACCTTACCGCTCTGAAAGGTAAGTATGTGACAGAGGAGAGACAAGAGATAATATCTCTTTGGAGTCCTCTGGGACTGCTGTTCAAATGTCCTTTAACTCAGATATCAGTACTCTTTGTTCAGAAAGCCCCAACCATGCAGAAATGTGAAAATATTCATTGAGGTTTGTTTCCTGCCCAAATCTTTAATTGTCTTTCCTGTATTTCCCCATCATTCACTATGCTGCAGCAACAACTGCTGTGCAGTCCCTCCTATGTGAGAGCCTTTGCCATTGTTGCCCATTGCTGAAATGTCGTCTCCCTCAGATCTTGTGGCTTTCTCCCTGATTTCATTCAGATCTCAGCTCAAAGGCAACTCCACAGAGAAATCATCACTGCTCACCCTATGCAGCAAAGCTTCCTCAGAGACACACTTTCCAACCCTACTATATGTTATCTCTACCTGAAATTTTATTGTGCATTTTGTTTATTTTCTCCTACTCAAACAATTAAGTTCTAGTGTAAATGGATTCTACCATCTTAGTCATATCAATATTCCCATCACATAGAAATAGTAATGTATGGAATAGTGAGCTTCAATATGTGAGTGTCTATCTTGTGTTGCACAATTGAGCAGGAGATGTATCTTATTTTTTAAACAAATTCTTACCACACCTTTATCAATCTGTGGTTGTATAACTCGACACAATCAAGAAAATGAATGCTTAAGTTAATGCTCCCAAGCAAAATGGCTAGCATGTAAAAAGCAGGCTATTACTTAGTTCTGTTAGGTAGTGGTCTTCTCCGTTAACGTTATTTATACCTCTAAAAAATATACTCAGATATATAGCTAGACACCTATCTCTACCTATCTCTATTATATGTCTTTATCATATAGAAATATTAAAATCTCTACTACATTGGTATCAATCTCTATATAGATAAGCAATTATATAATATATATGAGGTCTTCATATAGATACTCTCTTGAAACTTCTTTTTACTTATCCGAATTTCCTGTATCATTATTAGTGAATATGTAAAATAAAACAACTATAGAGTAATCACTTCTGTGAAATGTAATTTAATAGACCTTTTTCTTTGAAATTTGAGTTGTTTGTCTTCCACAAATATTTATCTATGGTTTTGTTTCACCCAGTGACATGAAGTTCTGAAATAAATAAACTTGGCTATAAATTTATGCTCCCAAACAACTTTTGAATTTTGATTTTTTTTTCCATTTTGATTTGACTTAGGGCAAAAGCATCAATCAACAACCATGGTCATGCCAATCTGGTTGATGGCTATATTTCTCATTTTAATTAATAGTTTGGCATTATAATTTCATGCAGCCTTGAGTATATTATTCAGATTTCTGTCTGTCTTGGGCCTGGGTGGAGAGGAAAATTTTATTTACTGTGATAGAGGACAAACACGAGGGAGAAGAAGATACATTTGACAGACGCCATGGTGGTATTAGCCTGGGACATGTTAATTTTGAGATGCCAGCTGGGTAGTTAGTGAATACATAGAAAATGTAGTTAGCTATATAATTCTAGAGTTAATGAGAAATATGGACTAAACTACATAGTTGTTAATTGCACACATGTTAAAGACATGGTAATCAATAAAATTACCCAAGAGAATACATAGAATAAAAAGATAAATTCTGTTACTGAAGTTTTGGAACAGTAATATTTATAATATGAATAGAGGAATAGATACCACCAAGGACGAATAACAGGAGTGGCCTGAAAAATAGGCAGAGACACTGAAAGTGTGATTTCACAACACCCAAGAGAATGGACAATTTCAATGTCAGTGGAGTATCTGATAGTGTAAAATATAGAGTCAAATAAGATAAAGATGCAAAGGTGTTTAATGATCTCTGCAGCAATGATATTCTTGACCATAACCTTAAACACAACCTTTTCAGTGGATTGGATGAGACAGATGCCAGCCTGCAACAAGTTCTGGAGTATATTGGAGGTAAAAAAATAGACACAGTAATTATAGGCAATTTTTTTCAAAAAGTTGTCTGTGAAGAAAGAGACTAATTGAGAGAAGAAGAACCTTGGAATGGTAGAAGAAATGGGATCCAAAGTAAAGTGAATTTTAAAAGGAACATTCTTTCTATTCTAATAGGAAAGGAGAATAAAAGCACACGAGTACAGAGTAATAGAGACAATGGTCTGGAGCATCTGAAAAGCAGAACAGTATATACTGTAGAGCCTGCAGGCTAGATTCTATTACACTGTAAACTTTGCATAAGATTATATAAGCTTTTCCCTTAACCTTCAGTCAAGTAAAACTCCAAGATATTTATGCATGAACAGCTCATAAAAATCATATCCTTGTATAGTTTATTTTCTGAATGTCTATGTTGTGTAATATAAGAAACATAATCACCTGTCGTCAGTCAAAATTGGATTTCCACTCTTACTCCAGAATTTACAGTTTGTATCTTCCATCCTGATATTAAGCTTACTTGAAAATTGAAATCGTATTATCTACACCAGTGGCTGTCAAACTGTTTTGGTAAAGGGCCAGATAATAAATATTTTAAGGTTTGCTGGTCATATGTTTAGTTGTACGTATTCAATTTCACCATCATAGCATGACAGCAGTCATAGACAATACAAAGTAATGGGCAAGATGGCAGTCCAATAAAACTGTATTTACAAGAAGATAGCAAGCTGAATTTAGACTGGGGCAGCATTTTGTCAATCCCTGACCTACAAAATGGTAGTTAAAATGAGATTGAACATACATAATCTACAGAATGGTGTTAAGCACATCATAGAATTTCTGGAAATATTAGATATTTTAATGTGTTTCACAGTGTTTGGGCTTTTCATTTCCTTAAGAAAAGGAAATAAAGGATGGAATTAATATTTTAGAGCTGATTATTTTTGGCAGCACATTTATATTTATGATGCAAATGTGTTTCAGGTGTGCTGTAAGTTCATTTGTTAATCTCCTCAGAATAATCAAATGCTATTTTTAACAACTAATATTCATCTAAAGCAGTTAGAATTAGATATGACAATGAATGGGTTGTACATATCATATGAACTATCTGAATTCATTCTTATTTTTGTGCATTAATGTTTATTCACGGCATCAACACCAGAAAACTCTCCTTATTGACTATACAATGCGACAAGAACCTTCACTTCCTGTTAAATCATCTCATTTGACCTGATTATGTCTTCAGTTGTGAGTTGTTTCCATTAGCGAATGTGTTTGTTTTGCCCAAAAATGTAAAATAGATTTTTATTTTTATTTAATTACCTTTTATTTTTGTACAATGTATTCAGTAATATAGATAGAATGTCTGCTTATTTTCTTAACTATTTTTGTTGGTATCATTTTAACTAGTATTATGTTAACTATATATTAAATATGTTTATACTGTATATGTATATAGTATTGTGTTAAAAATATGAAAGTAAATATGATTTTTTTTTTTTGGAGAGGGAGTCTCCTCTGTCACCCAGACTGGAGTGCAATGGCACGATCTCGGCTCACTGCAACCTCTGCCTCCCAGCTTCAAGTGATTCTTCCGCCTTAGCCTCCAGAGGAGCTGGGATTACAGGCACATACCACCATGCCAGGCTAATTTTTAAATTTTTGAAGAAATGGGGTTTCATCATCTTGGCCAGGCTGGTCTTGAACTCCTGACCTCAGATGATCCACCCTGCTCTGCCTCCCAAAGTGTTGAGATTACCGGTGTGAGCCACCGCACCAGGCCAGTTGATTTTTAAGATATCATTATTTCCAACTTTTTACTTGAATGAATGATTGATTATTGGCCTTTCTTTATAATAATTTACCAGAGTGTTATTCTGTATGAAATTTTATGATGATAAGTATTTAACTTCACAAATTAAAATTGGTAATTTCTAAAAAAAAATTATAAAGTAAATAAAGATAATTTAGTCATTTATAGATTATGGATATAGTAATAATCATATTACTATTACCAAATCTATTTAATCATTAGTGAAGACATGGCATCTTCTTCACACAGTGATGTAAGTTCATCTAAGGAAAGATTGATATGTCTAGTCCCAGTTCTCCATTTAATTTGGAGAATTTAGGCACATGATTTAAGAGAAATAGTTTCCAGTTTGCTCAACTGTAGAAGGAAGAATTGATAATATATGTGTTACTGTTTAGGCTGAGCTCTGGAGCTACTTCAGAGATTTCTCACAACTCAGTGGGAGCTACCATTGGAAGGGAATGTTAATGAAGGAGGTTGAGCTCATTTCACCCCTCTACAGTGTCTCAGATTAAAATACGACCTCTTATCCCACTTTCCATGTTAGGCGTCACTTCTTCCAAAGAAATACTTCTATTGAAAACAATTGTTTGAAAACCATTCCCCTCAATGACTATGTTGGACTCTTCTGCCTCTCAAATGTTTGATTCTGTCTTTTTTCCTTTCTTTCTTTTTTTTTGAGACAGAATCTTGCTCTGTTGCTCAGGCTGGAGAGCAATGGCACAATCACGGCTCACTGCAGCCTTCACCTCCCGGGTTCAAGCAATTCTCCTGTTTCAGCCTCCTGAGTAGCTGAGACTACAGGCACGTGCCACCACACCAAGCTAATTTTTGTATTTTGAGTAGAGATGGAGTTTCGCCATGTTGGCCAATCTGGTCTCGAACTCCTGACATCAGGTGATCTGCCTGCCTCGGCCTCCCAAAGTGCTGGGATTACAGGCATGAGCCACAGCATTGGGCCGTGATTCCATCTTAATTATTCTGTCTTAATTTATATGTTATTTTAGGAATTAAAAAAAATACTCATGCAATCTATTATGCTGTGCTAGCTGAAACCTCTCGTATCCCTGTCTACAAAATGTGGTTGTTTGCCTCTGTACATCATGTTCTTATGTAGGTCACCTGGAACCAGTGCATTGCTCCCAATCCTTCACTCCCAATTTGTGAACCATCCTTCTCCATGACACTGATGTCTACGCAAGCTCATCACTCACTTTGGAGTGTCCTCCGAAGCTGGCAAAATTATGAGATTACATATCCAAATTAGTATAATACTATTTTCCTTGCTTAAAATACATATTAATTTATGTAAAAATGTTTACCTTATATATGAACTATGTTACAAAACATACATAGCAGAACTTTTAAAGAATTGAACTATTGATAAAATAATACTTTAAAGAACTCCGTTCTAAAATTAGTGAATTTTTAGGAAAAAATATATACTTAGAGCAAGTTATATTTTAATATTTTAAGTGAATCTATATTTCTAAGATACTTTTAATAACTTGAAAATTATGGGTCATATTTCCTGTTGGAACTGACCAGATTATGATTTACTTTGTGAATTAGCAGATGATAGGCTAATATAGCACATATAAAAAATGTCAGTCCTGCTTTTTCCTGTTTGTTCACTTGTGCATATGTACCTAGAACTCTTTGATCCAGAATATTTTTGAAATTTTTTCTCTTGTCCATAGTACAAGGATTTTTTTAGTTAAAATTAGAAATAGCCATGAATCTCAATATATTAAAAGTAAATAGAAAAGTAAGAGCATCTTTGTCTGCTCTCCCCTTATGTACTTGTCATGTTTTTGAACTACATTCAGTGCATTTTTGAAGCATAATTTCTTTTTTTTAACAAATACATTAACATTTTAGCACTTTGTCACGACACTTTGGTTTTTGGTACCCTGGAGAAGGTGAGGACCTTGCTTTTGCATCCTATACTTCATTGCTTTCTACCATTACACATCTCTTTAATGTTTTATTTTATACGTTCTTTTACATGTGTGAAAATCTGAAGAGTAGTTATTTTGTCATGATCGCTTTTATAGTTCGTAGGTATTTGGTGAATGCATCAGAAAGAATAATAGATCAATATACACATCAGGTAAATTATGTAATTTTTATAGCATAAGTATTTGGTGTCCTCGTTTCAATTTTTTCCAGGCTTTGGCAGTATGACCATGTTTTCTGGAATACAATATGATAGACTAAGTGTTCATTCATACATGTGATTAGCTGACCCAAATCATTTTCACACTAGTTCCTGTCAAGAGGTGTTGCATTGGCTCAAGTCTCTATTGGGTTGAAGACATTAGTGGCTTTCTATTCAGGCTCATGGGCTAGTAGGTTTCTGAATTTTCACAAGCAGATTTAAGCCCTAACAAAACTTAGCTGCTTACTGGATGAAGCCTATTTATTTTCATGTAGTGATCATAAAGAGTTGGTGTACTTAATGCATTCATTTCATGACAATATTCTTAAACATTGTACCAGACAAGACTTATTGAAAGAATCTTCCAAAGAAATAGTATTTTTGGTTAATTTCCTACAAGAAAAATAATCTGTCATTTCATACACTGTGTAATAACAATAACCAATATTTATTTGCTGTTTAGTATGCCAGATTATGAGTTAACTTTATCTCAATTAATTCTCAGAACAATCCCAATATGTAAGTCCCATTATTATTTCTATTTTAATGATTAAAATCACCACCATCACCACGAACACCTCAAAAACCTGTGGTTTCTAACCTCTATTCCCTGATCTTTGCCAAGGGAGCTGCTGAAACTAAAGTATATGTTAGGATTTTCCCAAGTTTAACACAAGAAATACCACTTCAGACCCTCATTTTTTACTTGCCATGATTGCATATTTAAATAATGTTGATAACACTAACTAGTTGATCCAATGTGCATCAACCTGAGGGAAAACTGCTTTATCCTTAAGTCCTGGCAGGAGAGACCAGTTGAAGTTCTCTTAGGCCACAACCCAACTTGTTTGTGTTGCTATCATAATTGCTGCTGTTTTAATTTTACAGTCATCTTATAACATGTAATTGGTTGCATTTCCTTCTCTTTGTGATCTTTGCTAGAAATGTCAATGTGAGTTTTCATCTCATACCAAAAAAAAAAGATAGGAATTAAGACATGCATTTTATTATTCAAACATCCTCTCTATGGTTCACTTCATTTTCCTTAACCTTTTTTTTTGCTTCTAATTGATGTCCTAATTTCTTATTTTATCTTGCATTAAATATATTTCTCAAATAGCATTAAACATGGTTTGGAATATCACATGAGTGATATATAATATCACAAGTGATATGACATATATATGTCATATATAATATCACGAGTGATATCACATGAGTGATACATATAACTGTAAAAACAATCATGACAAAATATCTACTCTTCAGATTCTCACACATGTAAAAGAACATCTAAACTAAAAACATTAAAGAGGTGTGTGCAATAGTAGGAAGCAATGGTAGGAAGCAATATATATATATATATATATATATATATATAGGTTTTTTGTACCCTCTAGAAGATGAGGACCTTGCTTTTGCATCCCATACCTCATTGCTTCCTACCATTACATACACCTCTTTAATGTTTTTATTTTAGATGTTCTTTTACATGTGTGAGAATCTGAAGAGTAGATATTTTGTCACGATTGTTTTTACAGTTATATATATAATACTTTTATATATATATAATCACATAGCTCTCTGAAGATTTTAGAATAAAATCCTATTTGACATCTGCCTTATTGACATATGATCGCTATGTTTTCACAGTTTTCCCATGAAAATTGTAATCTAAAATACTAGCTATTATAGCAAATATTAAATTTTTAAAATATATTACAATAGGCTGTAAGTCATTTTAAATTTTCTAAATATTGGATTCTGGCTCTGATTTCCATATTTTTCAATACTACCTCAACAAATACCAATAAACCTTTATTGCCTTTTTTTCTGATTATAAAACTAGTGAATATTCTTCAGCAAAAATTAGGTAAATAATGGAAAGTATAAAGAACAATGGAAAAATAATTTATTGTACCACTACTTAACTTGATTTTTTTCTGAGTGTGTGCATATATGTGCACTGTTTTCTTTCTAAATCTCTAGTGTTTTAAAACACTAGCACTTCACGAATCATCAATCCTAAAATTGTGAACTGACACTAGTTTTTCATTACAAATAACGGTTTATCTTCCCATCATATTTCTACTTTGGAAATGTCCAACACCTCAAATCAAGTGGGAGGAAAGATGGGTGATGGCAGGGAGGAGGTTGTGCACTTTTAACAAAGGATCTTCTATGTAATTTTCTCTTACAAATAAAACACTGTGTCTTCTGGAATTTTGCAAGAAAGGCATTTAGCCCAGTCAGCACTGCTGTAAATTTCTAAACATCAGCTAGACAGAATTGAATTCAATCTTTTATGTGCCTTGGGATACATCCAACGCATTTCTTATTTTCCTCAGAAATCCTGCTGACTTGGAGCAGGTGTGTCTTAAAATAACAAAAACTCATCAAGGCATGATTGTTATCGTTCTGATGGCTTCATCTTAACTCCTTCCTGTTGTGCACACCTGGCCACATGAGCACCTGTGCATGCAACAGGGAATCCCACAGAAAGGTTCTCTTTTTATTGTTGTTATGGAGATAAAAAGGGATTCCGGTATTAACAACTGATGATGGACATTGACTGTAGAATTGAGCTGAAAGGAGAAGTTTTCATATTCAGGGGTCCACCTGTGAATGGTTTGTCACTGCTTTCTTCAGTTAAGTTTCTTTGCAGAATAACAGGAATAGATTCCTCAGTATACAGAGAGCTCATATGCCCTGTTCTTATCACTAATTGAATAATAATTTTTCTTTTAATTGAAACACACAGATATCTGTTCAGTATCAACACCAAAGTTGTTACTGACCATGGCTTACATTGCCATTCTCGTTTTGATTTAGGTAAGCAGTTTTCTGTAATTTTTTTAGTCATGACAAAATATGATTAAATACTAAGCAACTCTTAAAAGTAAAGTAAATCTTTTATTTACTCAATATAATTTTGTAACGTGTATTTTTTCTTTGTAAAGAAAACATATCTAAATTATGCCAAAAACATTACAAAAACAAAATATTTTATAATTGTGTTATTACATAAAAGAACTTAGCGTACTGCAGCCATGTGCTATGTGTCACTAAGTATCATAGATTGATTAAAGTAGGGTATTAGTGTACTTGGTTAATAAATAATACAAAAGGAAAAAGGAATAAATTCAAATAATTTTATTTCTAGATATTGTCCATTATTAAACTTTTTTAGCAATCTATTATTCAGTATTTCCCACTTCCCTGTTAAATCTAAATGAAATTGAGCTTCTTTTATTTTTCAGAATATTACACAAGTTATATATGAATACTTTCTAGGCTGAATATTTCTTATATTCCAATCACTTAATCTCAATTTGCATTCATTGATGTGTGTGTGTGTGCATGCAGGCATGCACACATGTGTTCACATGTGTTGAGTAAATTTATGTATTTTATAGGCATGTGTATTGACAACATACAGTCACAAATCATTTCAATCCAATCAAACCACTTTGCGCATTAGAGTAATTAGTTTAACTAAATTATCATATTACAGTGAAATATCAAATAAAATTTAGACATACATAATAAACACTAAAATAAACGTGCTTCGGTGTCATAAAGGATGAATCACTAGAAGGATTGGAATAGCCTCCTACTGGGAACTAGTAGTTCCCAGTATCTATTGTTCCCATGTTTATTTCCATGTGTACTCAATGTTTAGCTCCCACTTATAAGTGAGAACATGCAGTATTTGGCTTTCTGTTACTCTGTTAATTCATTTAGAATAATAGCCTCCAGCTGCATCTTTGTTGCTGCAGAAGGATATAACTTCATTCTTTTTTTATTTTTAAGTGGATATATTACTTTACATTTCTACCAGCAATGGTTGAGAGTTTCAGTTCTTCACAAATTGTCAACACTTGTTATTGTCAGTCTTTGTAATTTTAGTCAACCTAACGGGTATATTGTAGTATTTCATTATGATTTTAATAATGTTGATTAATTATGTCTAATGGCACTCAACATCTTTTTTGCATTGGCCATTAATACGGCTTGTCATTTGGAGTATCTAGAAAAAACTTTTTCCTTTACATTTGCAAATGTATTTATTGTTTTATCTTATTTTATTGAGATATAAGAAGTGTTCATTTATTTGTCAATACAAGTCAGTTGTCAGATTTATGTTTCACATTTTCAAAAATTTTATCTTTTACCTTTATGTTTTCTTAAAAATAATTTTTGAGAAACAAAAATTTGTTTTTAAAAATGTTGACTATGACTATTTTATTAATTTTTATTTTATTGTTTCCACTTTGTATCTTATTTAAGAAATCTTTAACTCAATTTTGATTTCATCAATAGTCTATAGTTTTACCTCTTATATTTAGTTCTGTGATCCATTGTAACTTAATTTGCATACATTGTAAGTAAAGGTCTAAATTCATAGTTTTTTTTTTTACAAAGATATCAAGTTATTTCAGCACCATAGGTTGAAACATCTTTTTCTTATTAAATGACTTTATCATTTTTGTCAAAATTTAATTGACCATTGTTTGTATTTATTTAGTAGACTCTTTTTCTGTTTCATTGATTGGTATATCTACCCTTAAGCCACTCTCTTGATTAATGTAACTTTACATAGTAAATCTTGAACTTAAGAACGTATGTTAAGTTTTTTTCATAACTTAGAGAAAATTAGAAAACCTAACATTAAACTCCCACCTGGACGATGACAGATGCCTAGATGTTGTTTCATAGATAATCAGGTATGCCATATTCTACCTCACATATTTACTGAACCTCAGTGTCCTCAGTAGAAATTTGTGTTTGTGATTCCTGTGATAGAGTCTACTGATTTTCTCTAACACTAGGACATATATAGAAATGTGATAAATTGACCATTTTTCTTGTTACATGTCTTGTTGTTGCCTCACAAAGAGTGGGATCAAGTCCCATCTAAAATTTGATTTAGATGTTAAAAATGAAAATGCCACTTATGCATCAAGAATATTAAAAGTTTTATTATTCAAATCATGGGGCTTTCTGTGAAGAGTAGGCAGACTCCCAAACTGATCTGAAATACAGCTTGAGACCTGAAAGTGGTGCAAATTGTTAAGGAATAGGTCTGTGGTGAGGTTTCCTCCTCCAGGTGAGGCCTCACATGATTTGAACTTCCCTCCAGCACCAAAGGAGTGAGATACCAGACTATCTTATCATCTTGCCCATATGTGAAACAAAGAGGGGCAGAGAGAGAAGTGTAGCTTGAAAGCTATCAGCAGTTAAATATGTAAATGGAGACAGACTCTTTATCATAGTTACAATTGAAACTAATTCCAATCTGTTAACAACTTAAAAATTAGAGTCTAGGTTTGTCTAACGTGGAGTAGTACAATGAAAGCTTTAAAAAGGAAGAAAAAATGGAGCTGATCATCACTTTTCATAATATGTGGTTCTCATAATTTAGAGGAGATCCTTAGAGCTATTGTTTTCAAATGTATGTTTTGTTGGACAACTGAATAGAAAGCATTTTTTTTAATAGTAAGTACCTTGATCTTGAATCAGGGTATTTGTGTTGTTGTTTGAGATTTACTACAAATAATCTATGTAACCTTGATCATAGGATGCATTCTTTATATGAAAGCGTATTACTTGAGGGACAGCTCTACAAAGTCAGCAAAAGTTTAAACTTATTACAAGTTAATGATTTTATGTCCAATTCATAGATATAAATAAAGCTTTGAAAAAAAATGAAAAGAAAATTGAAACATTTTCTTTGATTATTTTAAGAAATACTCCAGTGAATAATTTCAAGCAAACACAGCATGATTATTTAGAAAGCAGGGCATAGAATACAGCAGTTAATTATGGGCAGGTTAAACTTTCATTAACCATGGGTAAAAAACAGTAGAAATTATTTTCTGTGCTATTTTAAAGAAATACATCAAGAAAGATGATCTAATTAGGAATAATCAAAATTGATTCATCAGAGGGGGAAAGATTGTGATTTAAACTTTGCTAAATTATTTATATTAGGAGATATAGAAAGATGGCAATTTTCATTTGGGGGTATTTAAAATGTTCTGAAAAAGCTAGAGTAAAAATCTGCTCAAATAAAAATGAGAAAAAGTGGTTAGGAATAAGATAGTAAGACTAGGTTTTCAGTTTTCTTCATTGCCACCCAGAACATTTGAATTATTTAATTGCTAAAAAGTATGCAAAATGCCAGCATTCTACCAAAGTTTTTAGAATTAATGGCATCACATTTAGCAGCCTTAAATCCCTTAGTTGATTTCCTAGTGCACAAAATTGTAATAAGAAAAATATATTATAATAAACTTGGAACAAGACACAAAATAGAAAATGTTACTGAGCAATGATGGAAATATACTCAATTGGTGTTAATTTCTTTGCCTCTCTCTAACTACTTCCACACTCATTATCATGCCCCAAGCATTATAACTATCAAAATCACTTCTTTAGAGAGTGTGTAGTATAGAAAATTATGATATTTTGTGATACATTCCTCACGTGCACATGTTCCCTAGAACTTAAAGTAATATATATGTATATATGCATGTGTATATATGTATATATATGTGTGTGTATATATATGTATATATATGTATGTGGGTATATATATATATTCTCTTCTTGTGTTAGTTCTTGCAGCATGGAAGTTTGTTTTTTTTTTTAAATGCTAGGATACAGTATAATGCATACCTTGGAGGCAAAAGCAGTATAGATTTATGCTCTATCAAATAAAAATATCAAGGTTAAAAATAAGCTACCATGTTGGGTTACTCTAGTCTGTCAGTCCTATCTACAGGAAACTGAATTGAAGGGGGAAGAAACAATTATAAAAAGTGAGACTTGCAGTGGATGTGTAATAAAAATTGTGGTGCTACTTCTTTCTGAGAAAAGTATAAGTGTAATAATGGAGGCATTCCAGAGAGAGCAAGGTGTTTTCTTCAAGAACAATATAGATGCTAGTTATGGGCAATGTAATGATTAAAGGGGCCTGTTTAATGTCAATATTTCATTTGAAATGCAGTGAATAATGAGCTAATTGCCCCAGTGAGTGGAATTGCTGTTTAATTCTCTCACAGGAGGGAGAAAAGAAGTGGATATAAATAAAATAGGAAAACAATTGTAGCTCAGAAACGCTAAGTATAAGTTTCCTCCAGAGGCCCCTCTTTCTTACCTGAGAACCTAAAGCTATTGGTGTTGAGTTCACCATGGGAACGCCTTCATAAAGTGTAATGAATACTCATTAATAGTTCTTATGGGGATGTTCATCTGCTTAGGATTTAAGAAAACAATGGAGGTAATCACTAGGAATTCATAGGAGATTGTTTCCTCAATTCATTACCTGTCATTTTCTTCATAATTACAAAATCATCTCTGCAATGCAGTTTAGTTACGTGGATTTCTGATGATCAGATAAAACACTGAAAACTTCAATATAGAGGCCTGAAAACCCAGAGGAAATTTGATTGTTTTTTCCTTTTCTGTTTTTCTCTTTTAAATAGATACTTGCATCGTAAGAAAAAATCCTGAACTGGAGGTTATTTCGCTATTTCAAAATCAAAATAATTAAGAAACCCTTATTATAAGAATACTTATTGTTTTTAATAACTATAATAGCTTAAATTTATTGATTACTTGCTACATGTTTATACTCTTCTGAGACTTTTAAGCCTCACAACAGCCTCATAGAATAGGTGATGTTTTTATCCTCTTATACAGGTAAGTAAACTAGGATACAAATAAATTATCTTCCAAACAAGTTTATGAGTGGCAAATACTGAATTTAAATTCTTTAATGACTTTACTTGTTCTCTACTCTACTGAAAGATTATTAAATATTAATAATAAAATAATGTTTTAATATGGAAATAGACTGCTTCAGTTTGTTGTGTTAAATAACATATCAAAACTTTTAAGATTAAGATTAGTGTCACATTAAAAATTACTTCCTTTTCATTTGGATAATAATAAGCTGTGTTTAGTTAAAATATAGAGAAATCAACTACCTAAACTCACAATCAGTAGTGCCAGCCCCTGTTTATATATAAACACAGTAGAAAAAAATGTGGTGTGCTTTCTTAGTATTATTCTTATATGTTAGTTAACATATTAATATTACAATGAGAATTGCTTGAATTATGAGAGTACATCTACTTAAAACTATCTAGAGAGGCAAACATCACATAGAAACTCTACAATTGTTTTTAAATCTGTTCCTCTTTCAATTTAACATGCATAAACTGTAAGCCAAGGACTTTGCTTCAATTAATTTTTTAAGTGATGATGAAATCAAATTGGGTTACCTCTTGTGGTAGTTTTAAAGTATATCCAAAAATTCTTTGGTATCCTTCCTTTTAAAATGTGGACACAAAGTCCAGCTTGAATGTAGGCTGGACTTTGTGTCTCTAAGTAAATATAATATGGCAAAAATGATATTGTATGATTGTCAAGAGTAGAATATAAATGGCATTGATGCTGCTGTTCCTTCTTCTCATTCATGATTGCTCACAGTGGGGGCCTGTTACCAAGTAATGAAGACACTCAACCCTGAGGAAGACCCATATGGGACTAAACTGTTGGTAGGTTGAGGGTCTTACCAATAGCCAGCAAAAACCTGCCAGCCATGTCAGTGAGCCACCTTGGAAGCAGATCTTCAGCCTTCATCATGTTTGTTATCTCAGCTAACAATTCAATTTAACTGCAACTTTAAGAGAGACACTGAGACAGAACTTCCCAGTTAAGCTGCTCCTGATTCTCTAAGCTACAGTAACTATGAGCTACTATGTACTTACTGTGGTTTCAGCCTCTATGTTTATGAATATTTCTTTTATTCAGCTATTAATAATTGGTACATTTCTGCTCTCAGCTATATAATAGTTTTCTAAAATTTTATCAGCAGGTATTCTGATACATATTATTTTAATTTTTTTAACTTTTAAGTTCAGGGTAAAAGTGCAGGTTTATTACATAGGTTACCTGTGTCATGGAGGTTTGTTACACAGATTATTTCATCACACAGATATTAAGCCTAGTACCCATTAGTTATTTTTCCTGATCCTCTTCTGCCCCCCACTCTTGATCCTCTCCACTCAAGTAGATCCCAGTGTCTGTTGTTCCCTTCTTTGTGTTCATAAATTGTCATCATTTAACTCCCACTTACAAGTGAGAACATGTAGTATTTGGCTTTCTGTTCCTGTGTTAGCTTGCTAAGAAGAATGACCTCCCGCTCCATCCATGTCCCTGCAAAGGACATGATCTTGTTATTTTTTATGGCTGCATAGTATTCCACCGTGTGTATATACCACACTTTCTTTATCCAGTCTATCACTGATGGGCATTTAGGTTGATTTCATGTCTTTGCTATTGTGAACAGTGCTGCAGTGAACGTTTGTGTGCATGTGTCTTTATAATAGAATGACTTATATTCCTTTGAATATATACGCAGTAATGGAATTGCTGGATTAAGTGGTATTTCTAAATTATTATTTATGCCAACTGATTTTAAGTATTGTATAGTTGATGACTACTGGTTGTATAATTTTGCATTGTTCAAGTGCTTAGCGTATAGGTTTTATAATTCCCATATTTGCAACATGTCATGGTTTTATTCATTATTTATGTTTCATTTAAAAGTATTCCTTTGCTATGCAGAAATTTTAAGTTTGATGCTGCCCCAATTGTTTATTTTTCCTTCTGTTGTTTGTGCTTTTGGTGTCATATCATAGCCAAGACCAATGTCAAAGATATTTTCTCCTGTGTTATAGGAATTTTATAGTTTCAGGTCTTACTGTTTTGAGTTCATTTTTGTGTGTTGCATAGGAGTTTTATTTCACTGTTGTGTAAGATAAGAGTTTAATTTCAGTATGTAAGATAGAAGTTCAATTTAATTTTCTGTGTTGTGTAAGATAAGAGTTTAATTTCATTTTATTCTGTTTCATTGGCCTGTGTGGATGTTTTATGTCAAAACCATACTGCTGTTATTACTATAGCTTTGTAATATAATTTGAAATTAAGAAGTGTAATGCCTCCAACTTTGTTTTCCTTTCTCAAGATTGTTTTATCTATTTGGGATCTTTTGGGATTCCATATACATTTTAAGATTCTGTTTTCTTTATTTCTGTGAAAAATGCAATTGGAATTTTAACAGGGATTGCATTGAATCTGTATATTACTTTGGGTAATATGGACATTCTGACAATATTAACTCTCCGAATTCATGAACACAACAGATCTTTCCATTTATTTGTAACTTCTTCAATTTCTTTCATCAAAGTTTCATATTTTTCAGTGAACATATTTTTCACCTCATTGGTTAAATTTATTCCTATATATTTTATTATATTTGATGTTATTGTAAATGATTATTCTCTTAATTTTTTGGATAGCTTCTTATTGTATAGAAACACAACTGATTTTTTGTATGTTGCTTTTGTATCCTGCAACTTTACTGAATTCATTTATTAGTTTTAACAATTTTTAGGGACTATATAGGGTTTCCTATATATAATGTTATGTTGTCTGCAAATGGAGTCAGTTTACTTTATCGTCTCTAATTTCAATATTTATTTTTCTTACCTAATTGCTTTGATTAGGACTTTCAGCACTACGTTGAAGAGAAGTGGTGAGAATGTACACCCCTGTCTTGTTCCTGATCTCAGAGGAAAAGCTTTTAGCTTCTCACTATTGACAATAATATTGGCTGTGGGCTTGCCAAACATGACCTTTCTCATACTGAGGTACATTCATTCCATACCTAATTTGTTGAGAATTTTTATCTTGAAAAGATGTTAAATTTTGTCAAGTACATTTTCTGCGTCTTTTGGGATGATTATATGATTCTTATCCTTTATTTTGCTAATGTGGTATGTCACATTTATTGATTTGCATACATTGTAACATCCTTTCATCATAGGGATGGAAGAAAATATTTGCAAGCCATGTATCTAATAAGGTGTTAATATCCAAAACATACAAGGAACTCATACAACTTAATAGCAAAAAACCCAAATAACCCAACTAAAAATTGAGCAAAGGACCTGAACAGAAGTTTTTCCACAGGAAAAAAATACAAATGGCCTAAGTTATATGAAAAGGTGCTCAACGTCACTAATCACCAGGAAATGAAAATCAAAATCACAATGAAATATATTTTATTATGGCTAATATAAAAAGTCAAATATTACAAATGTAAAAAATGTGGAGAAGAGGGAGCCCTTGTATGCTGTTGGTGGAAATGTAAATTAGTATAGCCATTAAGAAAAAAAAAAAAAAAACACAATGGAGGATCCTTAAAAAGTTAAAAATAGGCCGGGTGTGATGTCTGTAATCCCAGTACTTTGGGAGGCCGAGGAGGGCAGATCACGAGGTCAGGAGATTGAGACCATCCTGGCTAACAGGGTGAAACCGGTCTCTACTAAAAATACAAAAAAAAAAAAAAATTAGCCAGGCATGGTGGCAGGTGGCTGTGGTCCCAGCTACTCGGGAAGCTGAGGCAGGAGAATGGCGTGAACCTGGGAGGCGGAGCTTGTAGTGAGCCTAGATCAAGCCACTGTCCCCCAGCCTGGACAACAGAGGCACGACTCCATCAAAAAAAAAAAAAAAAGTTAAAAATAGGACTGTCATATGAGCCATCAATCCTCTGTTGGATATGTTTGCCCAAAGGAAATGAAACAAATATGTCAGAGAGATGTCTTCACCCCATATCCATTGCAGGATTATTCACTCTAGTCAAGATATGGAAACAATCTAAATAACTATAAACAGATGAATGTCTAAAGAAATGTAAGACATAGACAAACACACACAGTGGAACATTATTTAGCCTTAGAAAAGAAGAAAATTCTGTCATTTGGTGCAACATGGATGAACCTGGAGAACATTATGTTGCGTGTAATAAGCCAGGCCCAGAAAGACAAATACTGCATGATCTCATATGAAGCTCATACAGAAAGTACAAAGTATAGATAGAAAATGCTTGTGGTGGGAGAAATAGAGAGATATCTAAAGCATACAAAATTTTAAAAGGTAACTATGTAGGCAATGGGAATATTATGGGAATATTAATTAGCTTGATTTTTCTTTTTCATTCTTTTTTTTTTTTTTTTTGTGAGACAGAGTCTCCCTCTGTCACCCAAGCTGGAGAGCAGTGGCATGATCTCGGCTCACTGCAATCTCTGCCTCCTGGGTTCAAGTGATTCTTGTGCCTCAGCCTCCCGAGTAGCTGAAATTACAGGTGTGCGCCACCAGTCTTAGCTAATTTTTTTTTTTTGGAGAGGTGGGGTTTTGTTATCTTTTGTTATGTTGGCCAAGTTGGTCTCTAACTTCTCACCTCAGGTGATCTGCACATCTCGGCCTCCCAAAGTGCTGAGATTAGAGGTGTGAGCCACCATGCACCACCGCTTAGCTTGATTGTGGTATTTATTTCACAATGTGTAGGTATATTAAATCACACTGTACACCTTCAATATATACAATGTTCTTTTGTCCATCATTTCTTAATAAATCAGGAAAAAATTGATATCATTAAGTAAACGAGTTTAATTAAAAGATGGTAAATAATTACTGCTTTAAAATACAAATAAAATATACCTAAAAATCATCCTCATTTATTTTATATTTTGTTTTCCATAATGCTATGGACTTTTAAGATTATTCTTTAGAAAACTAGAATACTTGAGTTTCACATAAATCTATTTGGTTCCCAGGCTGGTGAATGGCTATAACCAGCGCTGACACAAATTTCCATTATATTCTTTGGTCAAAGCAGTAAGTGGCCTGCTAAAATTAGAGAAGATATAGATTCCATCCAGCTCTGGGTAAATTGGAAGGTAACACTGCAAAAAAGCATGTGGCTTGGGAACTATTATATCTGTCTTTATTAAAACAATTTGCCAAATTATACTCATAAAACTTTGAATGATGTAAGAACCATAATGTGTAAATTAAGAAGAATAAGAGATGCCATCCCAATATTATCTATTTTTAAATGAAACAGAAATGTGTTTCATGCCAACTTTTTCCCTGAAATATTTAAGTTGTTATATGAGCTTTGATAGTAAGGAGTTATTTGCATATTTTATTATATAAGTAATTTAAAATGTATAAGAAATAAAATGATACTAGGTAAATATTAACATTTAATTTTGAAATAAATACTATACATATTAAATTGAATACTTAAACATTTATAATTAATCTTAATAATTTGGAATTTTTCGTAGAAATGATTGAGGATAGCCAGGGATCTGATATTGCAAATTATTCTCATATGAAACAATGTTATGCTTAAGTTATATGAAAAAAGAAAGCAAAATTTTAATTTTCAGCTAAAATGTAACAGACAAACCCTCTCTGACCTTCTTATTAAAACAGAAAATAATTAATAACAGACCAGAAACAAAAAAAAATATGTAAATTATGTGTCTCATAACATTATTAAAACTGTGTCACCAAATAGATAATTTCTCTGGGTTAATTATTAGCTTAATAGTTTAAAAGGCATAGTTTCTGTGTTCCAGCTTCACTTTCAATCTGTGCTAATTAACCCTCTTAAATAATTTGAGGCTACTTCCATCATACTTTAAATGGTAAAAATAATTCTTAGCAAGTACATGTAAAGCTTTATGTGCATGCACGTATTTTCACAGACAACAATAAAATAGTATGATTATCTTTAGAAGAAAGATTTCCATACTATGAGTTTTATTTTTTTAAATCTGTACTCAGTATTTTCTCAGAGAGTTGAGCATAAACCCTTCTGTAGGGTTACACTATAACCTCGTAAACCCTGGTTGTTTTGTAGAAGCATCATGTACTAACACATCTCTGGTAGATCTGAGTGAATAATTTTTACTTATTGTTGTGGGAAGTCAGGGACCCTGAATGAAGGGACCAGCTGAAGCCATGGCAGAAGAACATAAATTGTGAAGGTTTCATAGACATTTATTAGTTCCCCAAATTAATACTTTTATAATTTCTTACACCTGTCTTTACTGCAATCTCTGAACATAAATTGTGAATATTTCATGGACACTTATCACTTCCCCAATCAATATTCTTGTGATTTCCTATGCCTCTCTTTACTTTAATCTCTTAATCTCATCATCTTCATAAACTGAGGATGTATGTCGCCTCAGGACCCTGTGATGATTGTGTTAACTGCACAAATCGTTTAAACAATATGAAATCTGGGCACCTTGAAAAAAGAACAGGATAACAGCAATGTTCAGGGAACAAGGGAGATAACCGTTAGGTCTGGCTACCTGAGAGCCTGGCAGAACAGAGCTACATTTCTCTTCTTACAAAAGCAAATAGGAGAAATATCGCTGAATTCTTTTTCTCAGCAAGGAACATCCCTGAGAAAGAGAATGCATTCCTAGGGGGAGGTCTCTAAAATGGCCGCTCTGGTGGCGTCTGTCTTTTACGCTCCCAGATAATGGATGAAATAAGCCCCAGTCTCCCGTAGCGCTCCCAGGCCTATTAGGATGAGGAAATTCCCACCTAATAAATTTTGGTCAGACTGGTTGTCTGCTCTCAAACCCTGTCTCCTGATAAGATGTTATCAATGACAATGTGTGCCCGAAACTTCATTAGCAATTTTAATTTCGCCCCAGTCCTGTGGTCCTGTGATCTCGCCCTGCCTCCATTTGCCTTGTAATATTTTATTACCTTGTGAAGCATGTGATCTCTGTGACCCACACCCTATTTGTACACTCCCTCCCCTTTTGAAAATCACTAATAAAAACTTGCTGGTTTTGCAGCTTGGGGGCATCACGGAACCTGCTGATGTGTGATGTCTCCCCCGGACACCCAGCTTTAAAATTTCTCTCTTTTGTACTCTTTCCCTTTATTTCTCAGACTGGCCGACACTTAGGAAAAATAGAAAAGGACCCACGTTGAATTATCGGGGGCAGTTTCCCCCGATAATTCTCGGCTAATTCTCAGAGAGTTGAGCATAAACCCTTCTGTAGGGATACACTATAACCTCTTAAACCCTGGTTGTTTTGTAGAAGCATCATGTACTAACACATCTCTGGTAGATCTGAGTGAATAATTTTTACTTATAATAATTAGCAAAGTGCATGAATGTGCATACATGTATGTATGAGATGGCTGCATGCACATGTGTGTGTTTGTGTTCTGTGTGGGTTTTAATCCCATACTTCCCATTTCACTGTATTCAGGCCAGTTTAATAAACTAATGGGCTAGGTACTTAATTTCAGATTTCTCAGGAAAAGGACAATCAAGAGTCAAGACTCATCATTATTCTTACTCATTATTTTTATCATTAAAATTTGTATCTCTGTGGCTACTTTTTAAGACAAAAGTTTGATTAACAGTTAGCCATGTTAATTTTTAAATAGCAGAGTAATGTTATTAATTACTGCTACCTGAATGTATCCTCATTAAAGTCATATTTTGAAGCCTAAATCTCCAACATAATGATGTTTGGAGGTGGAGCTTTGAGAGGTCCATGAGGACACTGGATGGAGCCCTTCTGAATTATTATTTTTTAGCAATCTGAACTGACTAAGACAAGTACTTAGCAATTTAGTGTTTAGAATAAAAAACTCTCAAAATAAAGAAGTTAATATGACATATTACTAGCATGGACAACAATTCAGAATAAATATATGGAACTAGACAGTGAAACAAGTGACTGAAGAAAAAGCCTAATTAAAGGCTCTTGGGATTAATTTCTTGAGAAATTACCATAATGTAGAAAACTACTAGATGTTCATTTGAAAACTGATGAAAATATTCTAATTGAAATTAACAAATATTGCTTGACGATTTTAAAATTTTAGATAGCTAAATTATAATCACAAAATTTGAAATAAAGATTGGTTAAATCTTTCAAAGTTTCTCCATCCCCCATAGAGTTTCTGAAAGTCAATTTATCAATTCACATATTTTTCTTCACCATTTCATCTTGATAATGTCAATTTTTACATTTTCACATTTTCCCTTTGATTTGGTTCCTTACTTTTAACCTTCCATTTTCAAGTGCTCTTCATTTTGAGAAGCACAGCAGCATCAAAAAACAACAGGGAGGAAGTTTCCTAGGCAGCAATGAAAAGCATCATGGTAATGAAAGGGATAATTGTGGCTCCCTGCCTTTACTATAATTGAAAATTGAGTATAGAGCCTTTTTCATTTAACTTTATTGCTTGAGTTCAAACCACTGTATAGAAAAGAAAGCAACAGTAGAGTAATTTTTCTAATGTTACTTTCCTGTCCATACAACAATTTGAAACCTAGCATTAAAGTTAAACGGAAGAGGCAATTAAATTCATTCAATTACAGCTCTATGAAAGAAGTATAATTATCAGTTTCATTATTAGAAATGCATTGCTTGCCAAATATTTGCTTACTAACCTGGCTATTGATTTTCTTTATCAGATTGAAAACAGGTAAGCACTGGAGAGAATGGTCCAGTTATTTAACTTATACCAATTTCCAGAGAAAACTCTGTTACAGTATGGTAATTATAGTAGCTGGAATAATGATTTTTGAGTGCTGAATGAGCATTGTGCCTTCTATGGATATTAGGTGAATTTTATCAAATGGCATCTTTCTGTTAAAGTGTCATTAAAAACACTAATAATGCTATTTCAGAGGATAAACATGATATAATCTAGTGAAATGAGCACCATGATATATGTCAGTAATCTTCATTTTAATACTCTCTAAAACTTACTGCACTCTTTGAAAATAAAACGTCAAGTTTTAAATGTAAGTCAGATACCCTGGGTTTGAACCCCTTATAACTTCTTTTTAGCCCTATAATCTTGTGTAAACTCTTTAACCTGTTGGTGCATCATTACTAAAGTATGTACAAAATTGTTTTTAAAATATATTTAAAATTATAGACTATCACTTTTGTTAAACATTAAAAAATGGGACTGGCTATATTTCACACTTGAAATAACTAAAAATATACAAAATGTATTAAATCAATTATTCCATGCAATGGATATGAAAAGGCAGTACTCTTAGGCAACAAAAGTCTTAAACAGCAAAAGGCAGTAGTCCCTGAGAGATAGAAATAAAATAAAATGAGCACTATGATTATTCAAGCTTTCACCCTTGAGAGAATTTCTTGTCTTTGGCACAGGGAGAGGAGTCTTTGAGTAGCCCCATTGAATTGAGAAGATAAAGCTTAGTGTTTGAGAGGTTAAGGCTGCTAGGATTCACAGAGTAGAACACGAAGAAAAGAGAGCTGCACAGAGAGACAGTGCTGGAATTCTGCACAGAGTTTTGTATGAGTCTTCAGAAAAATACTGATCAGCAGTGCTCTTCCTGAACAGGAGTACGCTCCCTTCCTGTAAAGGACATAGACTAGTTCTTGTTACCACCCACCACAGTGGAAATTCTCACAATTTATGGGGCATCCAAAATTTTTTTCCTCAATAGTGAGATAAAATTATCCTCCACTAAACGCTACTCTTGCCCCACCCAACAAAGCTTAAAACCGAGAAGTGAGACTGGGCTCAGTGGCTCAAGCCTGTAATCCCAGCACTTTGGGAGGCCCAGGCGGATGGATCAGCTGAGGTCGGGAGGTCAAGACCAGCCTGACAAACATGGAGAAACCCCATCTTTACTAAAAATAGAAATTAGCCAGGCGTGGTGGCGCATGCCTGTAGTCCCAGCTGCTCTGGAGGCCGAGGCAGCAGAATCGCTTGAACCCGGGAGGTGGACGTTGCGGTGAGCTGAGATTGCACCATTGCACTCCAGCCTGGGCAATAAGAGTGAAACTCCATCTCAAAAAAATAACCAAGAAGTGAAATAATCAAATTGAGTTTAAATCACATAGCTGTATTCCAGACCAAAAAAACTCAAGTATGGCTGGGTGTAGTGGCTCACGCCTGTAATTCCAGCACTTTGGGAGGCTGAGGTGGGAGGATTGCTTAAGCTCAGGAGTTCAAAACCATCCTGGGTAACATAGCAAAACCACTTCTCTACAAAAAACAAAAAACAAAAATTAGCTGGGTATGGTGGCGTGTGCCTGTAATCCCAGGTACTCAGCAGGCTGAGGTGAGATGATCGCTTGAGCCCAGGAGGTTAAGGCTGCAGTGAGTCAAGATCATGCCATTGCACTTCTGCCTGGGTGACAGAGTGAGACCCTGTCTCAAAAAACAAATAAATAAATAAATAATATATAAAACAAAAAAAAACACTCAAGTATATGTATAACAATGCAAAATACTTAGCACCCAACAAGATAGATTGCAAAGTCTGGCATAAAGTAAAAAAGTTACTAGCCATGCAATAAAGATACAAAGTGACAACTCAAAATGGGTCCAGAAATAAAATAAATGATGAATTAGTTAATAAGGGCATTAAAAAAATTATAAAACTATGTTATATATGTTCAAGAAGCTAGAAGAAAAGAATTGATGATGTTAAGTAGTGACATGGAACATGTGAAATAAACCAAAGTAATCTCTAGAAGTGCAAAGTATGAGATGAAAAATACACAGGATGAGATTAACAGTAGATTAGATATTACATAAGAAAAGAGTAGTGAATTTAAAGAAGTAACAATAAAAACAACCCAAAATTAAACACGGAAAGAAAACTACTTTAAAAAAAGAACAAAACATAAGTTATTTGGACAATGCCAAGTGGCCTGATATATTTAATTAGAGTCCCTAAACAAGGGGGGAACAAAAAACCTTTTTTAAAAAAAAAAAAAGTCTAAAAATAACCCAAATTTGTTGAAACTATAAACACACATATCAAAAAGTTATTAAGCACAAACACAAGGAACATAGAAGAAATATACATGACCACATTGCTTACAACCAGTAAAAAGAGAGGAAAGCGTAAAAGCAAACAAAGGTAAAAAACATGACATACAGAGAAAAAAAGATAAAAATAGCAACAAATCTTCATGTAACAATGCAACCAGAAGACAGTTGTAAAATTTGAAAATATTTCAAATCACTGGCTGTCCTCACTTTTGACACCAATTTCAAGTGTGGGAGTCCCCAAGATGACCCTCAATTTTGATAATTTACATAGTGGACTCAAAACTCACAGAGAGCTCTTGTACTTAACATAGTCATGGTTTATTACAGCAACAGCAACAACAACAACAACAAAAAGATGAAAATAAAAGAAGAGATGCATGGGGAAGAGTCCAGGAAAGTTCCACACATGGAATTGTCCTCTCCCAGAGAATTTGCATACAATGCTACCTTTCCTGTCAATGTTGTGTTACAATGAACATGAAGAGTATTGCCAACCAAGAAAGCTCCCCAGCTCATTGGTGTCTAAAGACTTTACTGAAACTTGATCATGGGGACATGGTTAACTGCTCACATGGATTACTTCAAGTCACAGCCCCTCCAGAGATCAAACTGATACTGCATAAACTACAGCTCCCACCATAAATTACATTGTCAGAATAATGGGCATTGCCCAATGCTCCCAGCTAAACAAAGACAGTTTTCAGCAGGATGTTCCAAAGGTTTAGATGCTACTTTTCATGAGTGGAGATCAAAAACTAGATTTCTTCTTGGGCAAGAAAAAGTTCTTTGGTATACAACAATGATCGAGATTTCTAAAATACATCAATCCAGAATTCTATATCAATGAAAATATCTTTCAAACACAAAAGCAGGAACTTTTTCAGACACAAAAAAGAAAGAAATTTAATAATTCTAGTCCCAAGAATAAGAAATGTTCAGTGCAATTCTACAGGCAGAGAGAAAATTATGCAAGATGAAAGTCTGTATCTACAAAAGTAGTGAAGAGCACCAGAGCTGGTAGCTATAGGAGTGATAATTTTTTTTCTTATTATTTAAATCCCTATGAAAGATCATTGATTTTTTAAATTAAAATAATAAAAATGTATTATGGGGTTTATAACATATGTATAAAAGTGCACAACAACCATAGCACAAAGGCTAAGAGAAGAGAAATAAAGTATACTATTGTTCCCCCAACAAAGCTTAAAAACACAAAGTCAAAAGACCAAACCTTATATGACATACAATTCTCATATTTTACATGAATTACTATAATATCACTTGATGGGAGACTTTAAAAAGTTTGAAATGTGGAGCATAAATCCTAATGCAGCTACTAAAACAACACCTTTAAGAGTTACAGCAGATAAGCTAAGAAAAATAAAATACCCAGTCTAAAATAAATAATAAATTTATATAAAAATAATAACTTTCTCAAAATATTTTTTAGGATTAAACAAAATGATGCATTTGAAGTACTCAGCCGGGTCCCTTCTTACTACATTGTAAATGCTCAATTTGTTATTTTTAGTTACTCATTTTAAGTAAATTCTATCACTTCTAACCTTCAGCTCACTCTTCTAAGAAAAGGAAGCAGTCCCAGTGTATATCTCCAAGGTCAATCACAATTGAAGTATTTTACTGTTGTTGCTATGTTGCTTTTTTTTTTTTGAGGGAGGGGGGTGGACAGAGTCTTGCTCTGGTTTGAGGTTTGAGGTTAGCTCACTGCAACCTCCACCTCCTGGGTTCAAGCAATTCCCACACCTCAGCCTCCAAATAGCTGGGACTACAGGTGCGTGTCACCACCCCTGGCTAATTTTTGTATTTTTAGTAGAGATGAGGTTTCACCATGTTGGCCAGGCTGTTCTCAAACTCCTGGCCTCAGGCGATCCACCCCTTGGCCTCCCAAAGTGCTAAATGCCTTTTACCAACATCAGGATTCATTTCACCCTATGTACATTTATATTTATATCACATGGCAAACTTCTTAATTTTACTCCCGTTAATTTAGACATATAAATACTTTGTTAGATGATATTTGGTAGATCTCAGAATAATTGGGAAGATAAAACTCATGTTCAAAAAATTGGCCCAAATTTAGAAGTTTTAGATGGCAGGGAACACAGACAAAGTCACCTAAAGAAAACATTCTGTGGAAGCCCCTGCCTCTGCAGATGCTAATGTCATTTTGAACATCACTGACTCCCATTGCTGAATACAGCTTATGCTGCTATTGTATTTCCACTAGAAGGACTAGTTCTCAAATCTGCTTCTTTAAATTGCTTGTTCCAGGTTAAAAATCCTGAGTAGGATCAGCAGATTGAGTCTGTCATTTGTCTGTAGCTCTCTGGAATTTGCGCTGGTGCGTGAATGTGGGTGTGTGGTTAGAACAAACAAGTAGACTTCCTAGCTGTTGTATTAGATGATAGCTTTTATGTTTCATCAGTCCTCATTTTGTGTAGAATCACTGCAAAATTCAGAAAGTTTACAAATTTTGGAACCCATAGTAAAATCTATTACAAGATTCAATTCATTTTAATCTGTTTCCACCCCCAAATCTAATATATTCCTTTTCCTGTAATACTTCTGAAATAAAAATAAAATTTATTGTCCATAACATATTGCCACACTCAACCCAACATATGCTTACTCCCCTTACCCAAAGGAAAAATACCCAAAGTATCATCAAAGGACCCAATAGCATGTCCAGGTACATGCCCCATATTTCTTGGTGACATACTTATCTATTTCTGTTTAAAGAAAAGAAATTACCTCAAGTATGTAATATATACACGAAACTAAAGAGAAGATGATCTATGAGTGTCAAAAAGTCCTCATTTCTGCAGTTGATTACAAACCTATAGCCTTGCTTTATGGTGCTGAACCTCTCACCCCTTTCTACATTCTCTTTGTTTTCAAGCAACACCCAGGTGGCCTAAGTTTTTCACGTAATACAGTGACTGAAACTTTCATTGCTGAGATAACTGATATCTTTTTGTTAGGGTCTCTGTATAAAGGCGAATTATTTCCATGACATTTTGCACTAGTCATTGGTAGAATAAAGGAAGACCTCAAGACGTTCCCTTTTCTCCTCTTCATACTTCTTACGGCCAGTGTTACAGTCCTACGCTGTCCCTGATTTTAGCCAGACTTGCTCCTGAGACAATGGTAACACCCTCTTCTAGTTTTTCTTTTTCATGCGTATTTAAGAGATGAAAGTACCAAAAGAACTAGGTAGAATCTTCTCTTCTAAATTAAAAGGAATCCTATTGTCTCCTATTTGAAACATTACCCTTCTAATTGCTAAAACATTTAACTCTATAGCACCCCTAGATGCTGGAAGAGGAGGTAATAATTTTGGAAAGAAATCACTGGAGAAAATCATAAAATGTATCAGCTACATTTCTGCTCCATTATGTACCTATAGTATTTGGGATATGAAAAAAACAGCACCAGTTTGTCCAGAGCATGCAATTCATTCTTCAAGATGTCATCCCAAACTTTGAAGGAATCTTAAATGTAACATTTCTCTTTTTTCATGATTTGGCATCATCTGAGTGAATTAGAACATGAATTAAGCAGTGCATTCCATGGGCATAAGCTATTGCCTTACTTTGTTCACTGCAGAGTTACTATTTTTAAGTAGTGCTGCTGTGTGGGATATCATAATATATGTAAAATATCCTACACTTAACAACATGATAGAATTAAAAAGCCTCTTTATGATGGCATGGGTCCAAAGCGATCAACTATCTCTTCTTTGTAGAGGAATATGATATTCTATCAGCTGCTTTGCTTTGGTCACTGCTGCTGGACTATTAAGTAACTTTAAAACAATAACCAGTTTCACCTTGGATAAGGCAGGGGATGCCGTCCACCTCACACGATCTCCACCTCTGTCAATATATACATGTAGTTAATGATTTCATTGGGTAAAATTGAGCTAGCTGTGGAAAAAATGGCTAACTTGAATCCACAGGAAGGCCATTTTTCCCTCTTTATTGGGGAATTTTTAGTAATCATTCAAATAGGTAAATACTATCCTACTCTGTATTTATGCCAAATGGTAATTTTTAAGTATGTCTTTCCCAAAACTGTTTGTGTCAACCAATCATCCTCTTACCTCTTTACTTACATGTAGAATTTCTTGAAGGAATCAGAAAGCCAGTAGGTCAAACCCTTCATTTGATGAAGATACCTAGGCTGAATACTCAGGAAATTTCAAAGCAAGATGCTTGGTATTCTGTTGGATCCAATTGCCATACTCCATTATTTTAACCAGTGGAAAGTAGCAAGTAGTGGTCTTTGGTTCTCCAGAAATTAATGTCAATATCTGGGAAACATTAAGGTATTTTCTTTTCATAGTGCAATGTGAAATTGATAAATAGCCATAAGTCATTATGCTGGATCTGAGAATTGAGTAAGAAACCATGATTGTCTGCCACAGTGGCTCAAAGCCAGATCTAACCCTCTTACCTGATTCTTTTCTTGTTGTTTATTATAAATAAGTATGACCTTGTAAGACATCTATTTTATTCTAATTGACTACAAGACCAATTAGCTCAAAACAAAAGTCAATGTGAATCGTAATTTGAATTTACCATTCTGTCTCTATTGCTTATTATGGTAATTATTTCAATCGTACCTCTGGCAGTTAAGTGTTATTACTTTCCTTCTAACACCTTAGGATTCTCTTTCATGCTTATTGAAATCCTTGGCCTAAAATATTTCTCAATATGATGTTGACGTAACCTTCCCCAATATATTTCTTAAGGTCCTGATAAAAAGTTGTCCACTTTTTCTCTTGGGGCTTTTCATCATTTTTATTATGTGCATTAGCATGACTATTGCTAATAGTTAGAAATATTATAATTTACAATATATTTATACATATGTAATCCACATATATTATTTATATAGACATATACAATATATACTATTTAATTCTCACAATAGACCCAGGAGAAAAGTAACTTTATTAACTCATTTTATAAAGAAGAAATGCAATGACTTGCAAAAACTTATAAATTTCAGAAAAGAATGTACATGTCACATATGTTAAAATCACTCCAGCATTCCCATCCTCCATACTCTTTGTATTCTTTCCTTTGCTAATATTAAAGAATGTTTGGCGTCTCAACTTAATTTGCTCAGCACCATAGGTGAATTGGGTTTCAGTCAACCAACCAAGCAGGGAAGAAAGCAATTAAAACTGCTCCCAGCTATTCCAGTTCGCTCATTAGGAAAAACAAAAACAAACAAACAAACAAAAACCCTCTGAGTCCATGAATCTCAACCATTGAGGCACACTATAGTTACTTGTGAGGCTTGTAAAAATTATTAATGCCCAAGTCACACTCCAAATCAATTAAATTAAGGTCTCTTGGGTGGATACCCAAGCATAGATTTTGAAAAATTTTCTGGAAAGGGAGATACCGCCTAATCAACTAGGTAATAAACGGTTACTTGTAAGGGATAAGAGGATGAGTTGAAGTGTATGGTTGTATCACATCTTCTGAAATTCTCAAATACATGATTCTAAGGATCTCATTCCTTCTCACTTTTTCCCTGAGCATGTCCTAACTGTTAAAGTAAGCATCTGGCAAGACTGTGAGTGCAATCAATGCTATCCACCCAATCAGTGGGAACAAACTGTGCATTTGGGTTTTGGTTAATCAGCCCTATGGCTGTGACAGATAGAGGTCTATTTAGCACAGATAGAGATTATCTCAAGGATTTATCACACAATATTTTCAAGGCTGTGTTATCTTTTATAAATGGCCACTCTGACCCATGGTCTTTGAATTACTAGCACACTTTATTCTCTATGGCAACAGACATGTGTTTCCCAGAGTCTCATCTTTAATAGACACTTCAGTAAAGTGTCCCACTGCTAGGTACCCATTAGCAATAATTTATTTTTCTATTTTGTGACTACATGCCATGGAATGACTATACCTTTTAATACTGAAGGGGATTTTACTGCCTTTATCACCAACTAAGCCAAATAATCAAGCTCTTTCTCCCCCATATTCCTGAAGTTTTGTCATCTACAGACCCACTACATACATCTTTCTACCCATGTTGTAAAAGTTAGAAAGAGCTTTTCATTAAGTAGATTGTTTCTTAAGTATTATGGCTTCCTAAAGTTTTCTCTCAATCCGCATTTCTAATGCAACTCTTTCATTTTAACTTTCATAACTTTACCCCTTTATATGTATTCAGTTCTTCTTCTTATAAATTGTCTATTCCACTGAATTACTAGTTAGCTTGTGAAAATAAGATAAACGTCTAATTTTTTGTATCTATATCTCAGATAGTTTCTGCTGTATGATTTTGCAGGTAAAAATGTTTGGCAGTTGTGGCAGCATTTATTCAAAGCTGGGTCTGCTGAGAATGAATAAATATTAGGATGTAAATGGACTAAATAGAGAGTAGAAATGTCCATGTAACAAAGGAAAACAAAATGGACATTTTATACAATCAATAAATGCTAATAGAAAATGTGAAATAACAATGGTAAAACACCCAATTAATTATTTATGTGGGTGTGTTTATGAGATACCACTCAGAAGGAATTACAGGTTTTTAAGAACATAAAAATAATCACCTGGGCAAATAGTTGCCAGATGAAGCACTCAAAAACTATTGCTCTTCTGAGACTAGAGTATTTTGTGGGGCAATTGAGACTTTTTCTGGATTTTGGTAATAATAGTAATAATTATTTATTTTTCTTTCCCTTTTTTTCCTTTTCTTTCCCTTCCATTTTCTTTATTTCCTATTTGCATATACCCCTCTATTTTTTTATTTTCAAACTTACCGTGAGAGTTCACAGTTTCTCCTTGGTCGCTTAAAGGCTAGATCTAAATTTAAATAGTAAATATTTCTTAAGGAATCTAGAACTGCCATCAGGTTCTTTAGCAGACTGGGTATCTCCAGGAATGACATTTTTGGGGTAAAATAAATAAATAAACATATAAATAGTGCTTAATCACCTAGAAAGATATATTTAATATATGAAGTGATTGTCTTTAATGCATGTTGTGCAATTGAAACTGACAATATTATTAAAGCATCCTATTTTGGACTTTTTTTTAGTTTGCAAAGTAAATGACAATCACAAATATTATTATAAAACTCTGGAAAGCACACAAGAAAGTTATCTTTACTGCTGTTTTACAGATGAATGTATTTAGTGCCAAGGAATTAAAAATTTGTACCTAAATCAAGCAAATGTTAAGTGGCTAGAGGAACATTTGGTAGAAGTTTTTCTCAAGCCAGATTCAGGCTCTGCCTCCATAGTACTAAACAGATTCATGGGCACATGGCCATTTGTCCAAGTGCTGGTGAAAATGACAGGCAGTTTAAGAATAGTTGTAGGAAAAGGGAGAATAGCTCAGAGAAAATACTCCTAAAATTTTGCCTGTTGGCTTTTCTATGGAAGAGTAGAAGTTTCTTTTTTTTTCTCTCCAGTGGAATACCCCCAGTAGAAAAAAATAAAAATCGTTGTGTATTGAATACATAATAAGCCAATGCTGTCTTTAATACTTTTCAGGAAGGGAAATATAAAACAAGACAAAATATTTGAATACTAAAACAAAAATAGAAAAAAAGTAGAAAATATGTTAGCCTTCTTTCATGTTGCTTTAGTCTGTCTTCTTTTATGTATACATAGTCTATATCATTTTGGTTATTGTGGTTATAATTTCTCTTTCTGTATTTTTGTTCTAGCTAATTTAGTTGTTATTTTTAGTTGGCAGTAAGCTTTAATAAGCTATTTGATCATTCTTGCTTTTCATGTCTGTAGAAGATTTGTTTTATTTATTGTTACAATGTTTTGAATCAAGTTTTGCCTGGAAAATCTTTTAAGGCTAATGAGTCATAATATTTTTGTTGGGCTATTATACATAGATGAAACATTTCCTTGATCCTACATTCACTACTCAAAGTTCTTTCCTTCAATTATTTATAAATATTAATTCATCATTTTACTATATCTGGAGATGCTGTTAGGAAGTTTGCCGTAAATCTGATTTTTGTTCTTTTAAAAGTGATTTCCTATTTCTTTGTTTTTCTTTGACATAAATTTTATCATGTTTTCTATATTCTGACTACTTTTAATTTGAAAACTGTTATCTTTCTTTAATTCTTGAAAGTGTGTATTCATTAATATGTCAAATGTTGTGTCTCCTTTTTAAAAACCATTTTCCCTATTTGGGAATATGTATAACCCTCCTCAGTATTTTTATCCTATATTTAATATCATTTCATCATTTTCTGCTACTTTTTGGTGGAAACGTGCTTCAATCTGATTTTTCAGTTACTCACTTTTTTTCAGTGTATTAATCCTGAAAATTTTTATTTATCTATATCTTTATCCATTAATACAGAAAGATAATTTCCAATGCTGTATAATTTAAACACGACAGTTCTACTTAGATTTTTTTCTATTTCCCAATCTTATTTTATTGTGATAAAATCTTCTTTTTTAACTTAAATGCATTGATTTTTTTGTTGTTTTAAGTTATCATCTGTTAGTTACAGTATTTCAACTTCAGATGGACTTCATTGTACAGTTTTTTCTTCAGGCATTATATTTTGTGGTGTCTAGTATTTTGGTGTGAGCTCATATTGCCCTTGGGGAAATCGACTATTTTGTAGATAGTGATATAGGACATATTTTGAAGCCTAAATTCTGATCTGTGTCTGCCTTAGTGAATTTAAAGACATAGAAAGCAGAGAGGCATAGGCATCACTCCCACAAGACAGACATTTGGTTGCCACTCTACCAAGTAACCCTTCAGGTTAGATTTCACCTTCGGCATTTAGAAGCAGCAGTTTCATTTCCAATCTACCAACCCTTAGAGATTAGAGTGAGAGTGATAGCAATAATTCCTGAAGGCAGCTAGACATTCCACATATATTTTCATCAACTCTTCCCCCACAAAAGGGATGCCTGACATGACATTGACTGGGCTTGCAATTTGGGCTTTAAGATCATGATTTATTTTTCTCTTTTTCCTTGTAACATTACTTAAATGTTGCATCTCTACATAGAGAAGGGTTTACTGGAGTTACTACCATCCCTGCATCCCATAAACTTCCCTCCTGAAATTTTTTCTCTGTTATTCAAAATGGTGTAGCTCAGTGGCATATATTGGAACCCTTGATTTACTTTGCATAGCCAATGTTTGTGATGCTCTCTTCTTAATAGAACGCTATCAAACTAGGGTTCTTCCATGAGCATTACAAAACTAGCAAAGGCTTTGAAATAGAAACTTCTCAGTTATATTCCTATCTGCAAGTAATATGCTGTCCTTCTTAGAAGAGAGGAAGCACTACAATCTGCAGGCCCAGCCCTACGTTTTGCAGAGTTAATGGCAGGAGTAAAAATGGAGGCACGGAGACATATCTAAAGATTTAACATTTATAAACAAAGCTAACAAAGGCTGTTAAATGACATATCTTCTATCCTCTTTCCTTGAACATTTACATATAAATGTGTAAAGCTTTTTTAAGTAGCTTTAATAGCTAAATGCTATTTTAAATAGCTTTAAAGTTAAAAATGTAAAATAAGGCTGAATTTTAAAAATTTTGTGCACATATGAGTGTTTTGCTGTTTTGCTGGTGATGTTTGAATGGATAATAAAATAAAAACATAATAAATTCATAAAATCGTATGCTTTTATTCTGTGCATATTATTTTTTCTTGCTTTTATTTTATGTCAGAAATTGGGTACATTAAAGATCAAATACTTTATAATCAATGGAAAGTGATGATGCAAAAATATAAAAATATAAATCTATTCAAAGAAGACAAATATTTAATTATTTAAAAAGAAGCAAATTAGAATGTTGAGATCAAAATATTACAAATGTTTAGATGTTCTCAAAGTGATTTTACTCCAAAAATTTAAAAGATTATGTTAGAATTAAAATCAAAATATAATTATAGTAGTTCCAACTTTCAAGGAAACTACATAAACTAAATTTTTACCTATTTTTGAAAGTTTAAAGAAATCTTATTGAATATTTAAAAAATAAAATTATTAACAATACTGGATCAATATCTCTCTGGCTGACAGTGTAAAGAGATTTGGCATAATGTTTCACCAATATTTTGTCTAGAAAAAACTATGAATACACATTTAAGATCATGACTTATTGTTATGACTGTTTCTCGGCATCATGTGAAATTGTAAATGTCAAGTTCACTTGTTATTACCCTCTGGAATCATGAATAAAACACAAAGAGAAGGAGGAGGTGGGGAGAGGGAAAGGAAGAATAAAAGATATTTACCACTACTGGAAGATGATTTTAAAGTTATATAAGTGCATTAATTTGTCTTTTTATGATATAAGTTCTTTCACTCAATCCTTCCTACACTCTGAAACAGTGTGCATCATCTGAATTAAGAGTAACATAATTCAAATAACTTCATAGGTTTTGGGAGAGTCACCCTGTATTAGTCTGTTCTCACACTGCTAATAAAGACATACCTGAGACTTGGTAATTTATAAAGCAAAAAGGTTTAATTGACTCACAGTTCCACATGGCTGGGGAGGCCTCACAATCGTGGTGGAAGGTGAAGGAGGCACAAAGTCATGTCTTACATAGCAGCAGGTAAGAGAGCATGTGCAGGGGAACTCCCCTTTATAAAACCATCAGATCTTGTGAGACTTATTCACTATCATGAAAACAGCATGGTAAAGACATGCCCCCATGATTCAATTACCCCCCACCAGATCCCTCCCATGACATGTGGGAATTATGGGAGCTACAACTGAAGATGATATTCGTGTGGACACAGCCAAACCATATCACACCCTTTTATTTGACAATACAGGGATAGAGCTAGGAAGAATTATTTCACTGAGGCCTACTCATTGTTACTGATGAGAGCAGCTGTTTAGAGTCTTAAGTGTTTTCTGTACCAGATATAAGCTCCAGATTCCGAGTTAAAAAAAAAAGTTAAACATTTGTTTTTTAATATATTTATTTTTATTTCTTTGTAATAAGTGGAGACTTCTAAGAAACCCAATCCTCTTGTCTAAATCTAAAGACAATACTGAAAAACAATTTTTTTCAAATATCAGTTGCAACCTGAAACATTTATAACAATGCTCAGCACATGCTAGCTGACTAATAGATCTTTTTGAATGAATGTTATTATTATCATCCTGTGATTTTAGGTATAATGCTTAATAGATATACTAATTATTTCTCATTCTGATCTGAAATTTTGCTAATTAGTATTCATGCAATTTTATGATGAGAGATAATTCTCTCTGGATCTCTCACATATTTGAATGTTTTACACACAGAAGCACTGACTGCCTTTTTTGTGACTATCTTCACAGAAATGTTTGTGCAGCAATCAGCCTTAAAAAATAGTGTCTCCCTCTGAAGCAGAAAGCTAGTTTACTTATTTTCCAGTTTTAATAAAGGTAATATCTTCCTCTGGAGCAAAGGTAGGCATGCTAACTTACATTATAAAATATTCAATTACATAGTATCAGTTTCCCTTGCCTGTAATACAGCCTACTGCCTGTATAGCTATCATCTAGTCCTCTTCATGTTTTTCTGTGAGTATTGGAGTTTAGGGAACCAGCACAAGAAAAATCTGATGCTCTGGTTACTGCTATTGCTGTGAGTAATAAATTTCTTTGACTCTGACTCTAGAGTCTCATTTTTACTGCCAGCATTCACGAAACTGTGACATAAATAGATAGCTGGAAAGTAGTGTAAGATCTCAGACCAGGTACAGCTTTCCTGGTAAACACAGGATCATGATGCTGATAGAGACATGGCTTTAGCAAGAGGAAAGGTAAGGTCATCACATGCTGAATAATGGAACTTGAGAGGAACCCATGAGGATCATTATAGAAAAAGCTAACAAAATTGTGTAGTCAACTGAGTATAAAGGGTCCTTCACTTAATTGCCAGTTAACGAGTTTTGTGACCATTGGGTAATCAAATATACATTTTTTAAATACATACATATATTTGATGTTGTCAGTAATAAAATGACAACAAATTCAATTAAAAATAGGTAAAATATTTGAAGACATACTTCCCAATACAAGATAAATGGATGTCCAATAAGCAACTGAAAATGTATTCAATAATTCATCATTAGTAAAATGCAAATTAAAACCACAATGAAATACTACTATTGAAACAACGAGATACTTCTAAACACTCACTATAATGTTTAAGATTAAAAGACTGAAAATACCTAGTATTGACATTTTAATTAGTTGTCTGTGGGAATATAAAAGACCACAATCACTTTAGAAAATAGCCTGGAAATTTCTTATAAACATACACGTAACATGTAACCCACTAATTCTATTCCTAGTTATTTGCCCAAAAAAATTCAAAAATATGTCAATACAAATACTTGTACAAAATGTTTAAGACAGCTTTCTTGAAAAATATCCAGAAATTGGAAACCTCCCAAATGTGCATCAATAGATAAAAAGATAAACAGATTGTGTTATATCAAAACTTGATTTACTGCCCAAAAATAATCAGGAATGAACTACTGATTCACTAACACAGATGAATCTGAAAAATATTATGCTGAGTGAAAAATGCCAATTGCAACAGAGTACTCCCTGGATGATTCCATTTATATGTAATTCTAAGAAAGGCAAAATTAATCTGTAGTGGCAAAATATAGACCAGTGGTTACCTGAAACTGGCAATGTGAGGGACTTACTACAGAGAAACATGAAAGAACATTTCAGGATGACACAAATGTTCTATATCTTGATTGTGGTGGCATATATTTGTCAATATCAATTGAACTTTTATGTTTAGATCATGTGTGTTTGAATGTATGTAGATTATCTTCGAAGCTTTTATTTTTAAAATTGAATGAGTTTATGTCAATAAAATGAATGGTCCAAGAAAAAAATGGCGATTTAGAAAGAGTGCATAATTTTTTTCAATAATTTTTAAAATATACTTTGCTTTTCACTCTAAATACTTAATCAAAACACTTAGAAGAATCAAAGGGCTGTTGTTATTTAGGCAAAAAGAGCAGAATTGTGTTATACAAAGAATCTCTTGAAAAGTACAGTGCATATAAGAAACAAAAATAAATAAAATAGTGAGAATACCAAGGTATACATTTTCATGTTTTGTATTTAATATCTGTTTCCTTCTATGAAACTAAAACTGTCTAAGGTCAGGTAACTTTTTTCTTATTTGTTGCTAGTGCTTGGCACACTGCTTGACTTACAGTAGGAAATCAAATCGTCATCTGTCACCTGAATGGCTATGTCAGTATCTAATTTTATTTCTTTTAGACCAAAAACTATTTCTTGGTGTTACAGGCAGAGGCTCTTTTTAGACCAATTTTATAAAATCGTGTCAGTTACATTGTCCAAATTTACCTTCATTATGTGTAGGCATTGGCTGCTGCTAAGACCATTTATGGGTCACCATAGAAGTCCACAGGCACCGGCCCCTCTCACAGAGCTGCGACTCTGTATTTGACCATTACTCAGTAGGGTTACAAAGCCATGGAAAACAAATTCAACAACTGGCTCTCAGACAAGGCTTGCCCTGGAGAGAGAAAGAAGATATGAACGTCAACAATTTATAGTGAATATAATTACATTGCACATAACTAGAGTTGATGCTATTATGGAAGAAATGACACAGCAGTGAGGTTTTTCCATCATTTTATATCTTGCCACCCTCTTATCAGCGCTCATTTCACTTTTCACTAGTTATAAAATTGACAGCATTTGCTGCAGTTTGTACAGCTTTTCAGGATAGACAATTTTGAGATAGTTTTCCTGAGTGCCTGGTTGAGTTAGCACAGAAGAAATACAGTATAAATAATATGTTCAGATTTGACAAATTATCAAAAGTACCGAATAGATTTGCCCTGTGATCAAAAAGTAGCCCAAAATTGTGGGTTAAGTGAGGAAATACAGAGGAAATGAAAAGAATAATTTTTTCAGCCAACCTAAGAAAATAGAACAAAAATTTAATTCTTTGCTAATATGTATCTATATGTGTGTACATATGAAAAGGATTAAATTTTCTTAGGTGGATTGAAATAATTGTTTTTTCCATTTCCTTTATTTCATCTTTTGTCCCACAATTTGAGGCTTCTTTTGGTCACAGTGTAAATAGATTTGGAACTTTTGATAACTTGTCAAATCTGAACATATTATAGTTATATGTAATATATATGACTGTATTATTATATATGATTATATTCATATACAAGTAATATATATGGCTACCGAATATATATTTTATATATATGACTATATAATACAGGAGCTTTATATATATATACTGAATATATATAATATATAATATTGAATCAATGTATAATAATAAATACAACTGAAGGGGTTCATCTTGAAACTTAATTGAGTTATATCTGTATCATGTCATCTTCTTGCATTTGGAACTGAACTGGTAAACTAGGATTTAACCACCCTGATCCAGGGACTCAAATTTGAGAATGCAGCTTCCTAAGATGAAAGTAATCTCTTTCAATGGCTCTGATAGGGGAATGATACCACTTTTAACAGTCAGTTTTTCATCCATTGTCACATCTCACTTAAATCACTTAGATTCTCTAAACAAGTGTTTGAGGTTTATTTTAGAATGTTTCTAAAACACTTCAATTTCCATTGGACTTATCATCTCCTGGCGTGGATAACAAAGCAATGAGGGCAAGGCAGGCAGCCAGCAAAACTGGAAAGCAGGAAATGTGCATTGTTGCTGTCACCAGTCTCTACGCTCACAGGCTGTATATCACATTAATGATATGTGTTCATCTCCCGCACAGCCTAACGCCCCAAATTACTCAGCTTATCACACCTTCAAAACCTGCTATGAGCAGAGTTGCTGAAGAAATTCTGTAGGCATGCATGACTATTCAACTTACACATGCTGTACTTCTTAGAACTTATTTGCACTTAAGGAATGTAGATTGCAGCTGAAGAAATAAGGTTAGAATGTATGATTTCAGACATCAGTGAATTTACAAATTTCTGACAAAATCATGAATGTGGCTGCCTAAATCAATTCATTATTAAAGAGTGATTTTCCATGAAAATAAGACTTCTAAGAAATGACTCCAATTGTATAATCTTCATACTATGCATACATTCTGGGACAGATGACCCAGATATTAACCTCATTTTTAGGAGCTCCATTTCATTTACATAAATCATTTGATACATTAAGCTGATTTAAAACAAAAGGGGACAGATTTTTATCTTTTGAACATGTTTTTAGCATAAATCTCCATGTTTTAAAAGTATGGAACTTGAATGACTGAACAATATTTTGAAAGAAAAAATGCAATAGTTTTCTTGCAGTATATAGAGATAATGAATAGAATTGCAGACATGGAAAAAAACCTATGAAGTTGGACTGCTTCAGTGAAATTCTGATGGCATAAATTCCTACCGGTAGTGTGGCCTTGGACATGCTATTGTATAAACCATCTGTGCCTCAGCTCCTCATTTGTGAACTCCTTATTTATCCTCTTTAGTAAACTGGAGGTAGCAATAGAATTCGGATCATTGAATTGTTGTGAGAATGAAATGTGTTAATCCATGTGGAATGTGTTACATGTGGGTGATACAAACAAAACATTGAGTTAATGTCAATCCTTATCTTTCCTGGGCAGGATACATTTAATATTGAGTGGAATGGTCATAGCTGCTAGCTCAACTGAGATGATCAATGAAGTATACTTAAATTGAACAGTAAAGTACTTGCATAGTTATCATCTTTTCTAAATACTTACAAAATCGTATGAGATATAACTGCTTTTCATAGGTGTGGAAACTTAGGCTCTTGGAAGCCATGCAACTCAGATAAAGTCACATGCTAATAAGCAGTTAAGTTGTGACTTGAACTTGAAATTTTTAGGCTAGAATGCCTTCTCATAAGCCACAGTTGCTGTCCCTGAAGTATCCTGTCCTGATGAGCTGGGAATGCAGGGGGAATTGTTATGAATGAGAGGCTTCCTCATGGCCTATCAAGGATTTTAATGTACCAAACACACTAGACTTTATTTAGGTATACGCTTGTCCCCCGAGTCTGATGAGATTGCTGTGGCAATCACTGGCTGAGTGTGACCTTAAACCTTCAAAGACCTGTGAGCCAGTTACACACCTTCCATGCTCTGTACTCATAAGAATCACATTTAGATTCTAGCTGCAGCAGAGAAAACTAAGTTAATAAGACATTACTGACCTCAAAATGTATCCAGGAAATTGAGTTAAACTTTGATGTGAAGGTTAAATTGACCTTTAGCAGAACTGTTCTCTAATTTTTCTTATTTCCCTTTTCTCTATATGCCTTGTCTCTATCTACCTTTCCATTTATCATTGTCTAAGGGCATTATTTCATCTTTTTTCTAAGCCTTTCTCTCTTTCATCCTTTTTCTTTCAACCTAAGCTTCACATATCTTATTTCCTTTAAAAATTATATTCTGTGAACTATCTTCCCGTATTTATCTTACACTTTTATATTTCTATTATATCTCATATCCTTGGGAACTTAGTAGGTTTTTAGGAAGACTTGCTTAAGATTTTATAGCTTTAGGGCCTGAGAGGTAGTTGCAGATCATTTAGTTTATTTTTTTTTATTTTACCTATGAAGCCACAAATGTTGAGTAATTTTTTTTAAGTATAAACAGTTTTCCAGGAGATTTATCACATAATTCATTTATATTTCTATAGTTCCACTACTATATATTATTGCACCGATTTCTTTACCATGTTTGGGCCACTTGAAATACCTTGCTTTCAGGATCTGCTTAGTATTTACTATTGTCTGCCTTTATTTTTTATTTTTTTTTGTATTGACATTTTGCAGATTAGGGATCATCTTACTGATATTACTCAATGCTATTCTTTACTAAACAAAGTACTTACAAATTACTTTTTTGTTGATCTTAAAAAGGACATTGTGGTAAAAAGTGAGTTTTTTTTTTAATTAGTAATCTTTATTTTTTATTTCACAGCAAAATTGAGTGGGGAATACAGAGAATTTCCATATATCCATATCCCCATACACATGTACAACCTCTCTCACTACGGATCCTCCACCAGAGTGGCATATCTGTTACAGTGAATGAAACTACATTGTCACAGGGTTATCACCCAAAGTCCGTAGTTCACATTGAGGTTCATTCTTGGTATTGCACATGCATGGTTTTTAACATATGCATGAAGGCATGTATTTGCAAAAGGCAGTATGAAATATTTATTAAACAGAATAGGTTCTTACATCTGTGGTTCTGTGCCTGGTATTAAATTGAGAAAATTCTTCCTGTTGCTTCAAATATTGCTTCTTTTCTTTTTTCTCTTTCTTTTTCTAGTTTTCCCAATAGGGGTATTTGCCATTGTGTAGTTGTTCCATAGTCCTTGAGTGTTTTTCTTTCTATCTTTCTCCTCTTTGCTTTTCAGTTTTAAAAGTTTCTATTGTCATATCCTCAGGCTCAGAGATACTTTCCTCAGCTGTGTCTAGTCTGCTAATGAGTCCACCAAAGGCCTTCTTCATTTCTGTTACAATGTTTTTATCTCTAGCATTTCTTTTAAATTCTTTCTTAGAATTTCCATTTCTCCATTTACAATAGCTGTCATTATTGCATGTTCTCTTTATTTTTCCTACTAAAGCCCTTGCATATTAATGATAGTTTCAGAAAATTCTCGGTTTGATAATTCCAACATTTCTGCCATGTCTGACTCTGGTTATGATATTTGTTTGGTGTCTTGAAACTGTGTTTTCTATCTTTTAATATGCCTTGTAATCTTTTGTTGAAAGATGAACGTGATTTACTGTGTTAAAGTAAGTACAGTAAACAGGTCTTTAAAATTATAATGGTAACATGTTGGGAGAGGGAAATTATTCACTATAGTCCTTAAGTCATATTCTCAAGTTTTTGTGTGGGCTTTTTTTCTTTCTTATCTATATTCTTTATTACATTTATATGGTGTTAAATCTATTAAAAGTATAATACACACAGCAAAAACCTAAACTAAAATAGAATTACGTACATCTCTATTCTTAATAAAGGAAAAATACACCATCCATTTATTTTTGTCTAACTACAGAGAAACTTAACAGTGCTGTGAAAGGATTTAACCAAAAAATTTTATTGATGATGGTAACTGTGGTGATTATGATGGCAGGGGTGTGAAAAAAGAAAGGAGACCTGTGGATAAGTATTAGTTTAACAGATCAAGAACAGAAGGATATTGGGAAAGAAGTTAATAATTTAAGTGGAAAAAATAAATAGTACATATAAATGTTCCATAAAACCTGACATGTTATAAATATTAAAGACCAGTATGGCTTTTATTCGATAAGTTAAAGAAAATAGTGCTGAAAATAACCCTCAAAATATAGGCATGAAAAATATGATTTTGGCCCACAGAGTGTATGCCAAAGATTTTGCATTGGATTATAAGCAGAATCAGAGGCCATTTTGAAGAGTTTTGAAATGGGGAATGAACAAATCCAACTTACTTATTTTTAAAAAAAGACTGCTCCAGGTGCCGTGTGAAAAATGGATGGTGATGGAGAGGAGTCAAATTACCATAGCATTGGAATCTATTTCCATATATGGGAGCAAAATAATTTCCAGCTGGAACCAAGTTTCCTGCAGAAATTTATTCAATGCTCTTCAGAGGGATTTCAGAAAATAACATTTTGTTATTAACAGAATTCTTTATTACTGCAAACAGCAAAAAACTGTGTAAATCTGCAGAAATAAAATGTTCACAAATTGAATGCATTTGCAATTGAAAACCAGAATTGAATTAAGCCTACATTCACCAAAATATAAAATATTTTATATGATAATATGAGTAAACAAATGCTTGATTGTAAGAATACAAAATCTATTTAAATTTCAAGAGTAATGTTTATGAAATTAATCATCTAAGCCACTAGATATTATCCGGGGGCTGTGGATACAGTAACGTAATGATTATATTATGCTCTTATCACTGGAAGAATTGAGGTAAAAAATGGTTAAAAGTAGTTTTGAAAATTGGGTAGGGGAATCAAATTACAGTTTTAAAAATGGAAGTCATATGTGCCAATAATATGAATCAAAACCAGCCATCTTTGATATAGTGTCAGATGTTAAGAAAATTAACATTTGATATCTGTAAATGTTCACTGGCACAATTGTTCACTAACCTGTTTACCCTGTTATCACAGTCAAGACTTAATCTTAGGGATGCTCTATTTATTTTTAGATCAATAAGGACTATGCCTTAGACTAGGTAAAGAAATGAAGAATGTGCCAAAACTATTTCAGGGTTTATTTCACTGAGAAATCTGGTTCCAGTGACTAGTAATTCTGACAAATATTTTTTAAGGTAGTTAACCATATTCCTTATATTCAGTGGTGAATTTACATTGTCAAAGATAGACTGTGGTTTGGCATGTGACAAAGTGATCTTAAACTACTCTTTTTGGTATGTAGATGACGTCAAGTAATTGTGCCATATTTTGTGAGTCCAATAAAAGGAAGATGAAAGGAATGGCCTGGGCCGGGCGCGGTGGCTCACGCCTGTAATCCCAGCACTTTGGGAGGCCGAGGCGGGCGGATCACGAGGTCAGGAGATCGAGACCATCCCGGCTAAAACGGTGAAACCCCGTCTCTACTAAAAATACAAAAAATTAGCCGGGCGTAGTGGTGGGCGCCTGTAGTCCCAGCTACTTGGGAGGCTGAGGCAGGAGAATGGCGTGAACCCGGGAGGCGGAGCTTGCAGTGAGCCGAGATCCCGCCACTGCACTCCAGCCTGGGCGACAGAGCGAGACTCCGTCTCAAAAAAAAAAAAAAAAAAAAAAAAAGAAAAAAGAAAAAGAAAGGAATGGCCTGTTCAAGCATGAATGACTGCCTTTTTTTCTTGACATTTAGATACTGTATTGTTTTTATCAACATTACTTCTGAAATGACTAAATTAAATCATGGTCTAATGGCTATAGGAGTAGCTACTTTCCTACATGGCATATTTTTAATATTTAATATACCATAGCTAATTTAAGTGTATTATAAAATGAAAACAAACAAAAAAAACTTCAAAATAAGCCAACAATAAAATACTAAGTGAGATTTAGTATTTATAAATAAAACTTTCTGCTGGATTTGTGTTTTTAACTTAAATGTCCTCAATTTTATTTTGCATTACATAACCTTTTAATTTAGTAACAGAAGCCTCAGAAACGACTGGTTACACCAAAAAATTGGCATAATGGCGTTATTTTATAGTTGAATGTAAATTCATTCCCAAGTACTTTAATCTTGCTTTTAATTCAGTAGAATTTTTCCTCTGAGGCATTTGCAGTTTGTCAGTTCTTCACTAAAGCAGATATATGTTGCGCAGTATGATATACTTTCCTGACTGGATTTCAAATTAACCTTTTTCTATCAATTCTAAAATGCAATACTTGACCACTAAAGGTACTATTAACACCTCTGAGGTTCAGCGTGTTATTAAACTTAAAGCAAATCAATGAAGTTCATATTAAGATCAGATTAAAGATTTACATTCTGTAAAAGGTTAAGCAAATTTCCATGCTTTTTGATATTTTTAATTTGCATCTTTAATAAGCTGTAGCATCAACAGAGCTGCTGGCTTCATTTGCAGATGTTTCAACACAAAAAAAAACTTGTTTGTTTGCTTGTTTGTTTCCCCACAATGTCAAAATATTCTAGGTCAGAAGTTTAAAGTCTCTGGAGCACCAACATGAGTAAGCCACCAAATTTTAATACTTTAAAGAACTTCAGACTTGATGATGATACTGAAAGGGACTCAGCCCTTTTTGGCCTCATCCCTCTTCCTTTACCTAATACCTCCTTGCCCACTGTTACTGACCTCCCTTGTGTATTTTGACCTAGAAGCAGAAGTCCTATGAGTTTCTGAACATAAAGAAAAGGACTGGACCTTAGCAGAAACTTGAGCATGAACTACTTCAGACCACTAGGGGATTCTTCTGTAACATTTTCTACTGAGTTAGTGCAGCTTTCAAAATTGTCAAGTTTTCCCCTGAGGATAATTTAGACAATGAGGCAATCTGTGCTTTAAATTTTCTTCAGTGGCTAAAAGTACTCCTTTTCTCACTAGGTCTTAAAGGATGCACTTGAATATGGACTTATTTAGGTCACTAGGGCATCCCAGAGCCAATGTGGAGCAGGAGAGTGTTAGAAGAGCATATTAACTCTTCAGACTATTAAGATGCCATTTCATCTGCACAAGTCAATGCACTCTTCAAGCTACCTATTTTCCTTCCACTAGGGAATACTGCAATCAACTGGAATAAACAGTTAAGTAAGTATTTTCTTTTTAAAGACTCTGCCCCAAATGATGAAGATGTGACTTCAAATAGAAGGTCTTAATAAAAAAAGAGTATTGTTTTAGTGATTATATTGGAGGAGATTAGTCAGAGGGCTTCAAGTATATCTATGATAAAGTGCATTTGTGTAAACTGTTCTTCATATTCACCACTAAGCTTTTAGTTTTCAGGCCTGTTTATATTTGACATAACTTTCTTTTTTTAAATGAAATTTTCGAATGTACATTTAAGGCAAACAGAGAAATAATAATCCAAATGGTGTCTTAGAAGCACTATGTTTTTCTATTAATCTTGAAGCAAAAATCAAACTGTAGCACTTGGAGGTTGCTTTGTTTTGAATGTGTCCCCCAAATTTAATGTGTTGTAAACTTAATCCCCATGACAACAGTGTTGAGAAGTGGATCCTAATGGGAGGTGTGTAGGTCACGAGGGCTCCATCCTCATGTATGAAATAATCTCATTATCATGGAAATGAATACATTATCCCAGGAGTGGATTTATTTTAAAAGTGAGTATGACTTCCTCTTGCTCTCTCTCACTCTTACCCTCTTTTGACCTTCCATCTTCCACCATGGAATGACACATAAGAAGGTCCTCACCAGATGCCAGCTCTATGCTGTTGGACTTCCCAGTCTCCAGAACCATGAACCAATAAATTTACATTCTTTATAAATTACCCAGTTTCAGGAATTCTGTTATAGCAGCACAAAAGAACTAAAGCTAAAAGGCAAAATCAAATAACCATGTCAAGATGCACAGTCAAGGAAGTTTCTATTGAGTCCGAATATAATCTGTGCCAGTATCAAATAGTCAATAAATGCTGTCTCACTCTGCACCATTAATTTACATGATCAGGTACAATGTCTACTCTAATATCATTTTTTCGAGCATCATATATTAACTAGACACCAAGGGGTTAAACTGAGTTTGTATGACAAACTGAAAACTAAGTGATCGTGGAAGTTATGGGTCTATAGCTTAAAAATAAGTAAAGAAAAGGTAAACTGTCTAAACTAACTACACACACACACACATGCATATAAATGCACACTTGCAAACATACTTAGAGCCAAAAGCATACTTGTATGTATGGGATAAAAGAAAGTGGTAAAGAAAGAAACATGTTTATGTCACTTTTACCCTTCTCTTAATAATCTTACTGCTTTTGCTGTAAGAATAAAAGTTTGAATTCAGTTTCAGCTGCTTTTTAATCTCTGAAGAACTTTTACGAGAGATTCTTTTGAAAAAAAAAACAGAAAACAAATGCATGTGTCTTTCATTATTTAAAATAATTATATTCATTGAACGACAAAGACATTCTTAAATTGGAAATTATCATGAAGGAAACTCGATATTCTGGAGTTGGCATATCAAATTTGGTATGTGGATGTAGGCATGTGTGATTTTGGGAAAGGGAACACAATGTGGTTAAGGTCTTGGTCTCTGAAACCAAACTACCAGTATTTAAAACTGAGTTCAGTGACTTAGCAGTCCTATGACATAGTCAGTCAATCTGCTATTGTCTCTGTGTTTAAGTTTTCTCGTTTTCAAAGTGATGATAATATAAGACCTGACTAGCTTCAGAACACTTTTGTGAGAATTAAATGACAATTAAATGACTTAATATATGCAAATTATTTAAAACAGTGCTTGCTGCATAAAAATTTCTGGAAGTTATTCAGATATAAAACTGATAGATTAATATTAGTACAAATTCTAAATATTTTCTTATGTTTTATTTCCTTCCTAATAATTCTGATTTCAGTAATACTCTCAGATAATCCTTTAGTACACAATTCAGTTCACGTTTGAAGGCCCATGTAAAGTCTTTCTTGTTTGCTCCAATGCAAAGTAATTTCTCTTTTTCTAAACTTCTCTATCACATATAGACTGCTGCACTTAGTTGCACAATGTCCCTTGCAACATATATCAAGTTTTAAAACCTGCTGTCTATTCATTCTGTCTTCCATAAAATCTTAGTCCCTCTTGCTTCAATGAAAGTCCATTTCTTCTTATACTGAAATTTGTGAAAATGATGAACAGCTGGGCATAATCGTTCATATAATCCTATACTCAAACCTTTATGTCAGTTACCTTGTGATTTTCTTCTCTGTAAACTAACTACAAAACCATAAAGTGTTTCCTGGTCATTGTTTCACCCAAAATCTTTTTACTGCATTGTTCAAATACCAGTCCCCTCTTTCTTTAAAATGCCTTCACTTCTGTTCTCTGGTTCTCTGGGACCACTTTCTCACCTTCTTTCCCAGTATTACAGTAAGTCATCTAGTATTGTTGTGTTCATTGAAGAGATACGGTCTGTTTCACATTCCTATCCAGAAGCAGGACCTTAACTGAATTGCCTGTGGATGATGTGTCCTTACAGGGAAGTAACATTATCACTTCTTTCATTAATATTAATTCTTATAAAAACTCATAATTATTTTTTCCCAAGAAAATTTTAATTTATATCTTGATGATGAGCTGTTACATTAGCCAATAAATATTCAGAAAAATATTATAAAACACATTTTAAATGTTTTTATTAGGAGCATACTATTTATTAAAATGTTGAATTTTTGATAATGGATTGTCCCAAATGCTACTACTTTTCTTCTCCTTGTACAATATGTCTGACATCCATGATATTCTTCCTCTATAATTAAACAGAAGACAATATATACTCAATCTTATTACTGAGCTCCCTCTTGCATGATGATAATTAAATGACCATGGATTTTATGTGTATAAAAACAGTAATTTTGTTTTCATGTTCCACTGAATAATAGTAATTATTATTATTATTAGGAAAAAATGATGGAAAAAATCAGAAAGGTAAAGTCGGGAAATACACGGATACTTAGAATCAACAAATATGATTTAATAAATAGGAGGTTATTTTGGTTTATTTGGCTTTTAATTGAGTTCTTATCTTTATGAACGTATGAGAAAATATTTTCCTTTGAATTTTTTTTTTTTTGTGAGACAGAGTCTTGCTTATCACCCAGGCTAGAATGCAGTGGTGTGATCTCAGCTCACTGCAACCTCCACCTCCTGGATTCAAGCCATTCCCCTGCCTCAGCCTTCTGAGTAGCTGGGATTACAGAAATGCGCGACCACACCCGGCTAATTTTTGTATTTTTAGTAGAGACGGGGTTTCGCTGTTAGCCAGGCTGGTCTCCCACTCCTGACTCAGGTGATCCCCCCACCTCAGCCTCCCAAAGTGCTAGGATCACAGGCGTGAGCCACTGTGCCCTCCCTTTCCTTTGAATTTGGAAAGAACCGTTAAGCCTTGAGGACAAGACATATTTGCACATTTGTATGCCCAGTGACTGAGGTGCAATAAGTTTCAAATTAAGATTAGAAAATGGTCTAGCATATTTCATTTTCTAGTATTAGCACACGTGTCCCAAGGAACGCTTTTTAAAAGGATGTTAATCATTGTCAAACACATTTGACAAGTGCCAGATTAAATACATTTGAACAGGTTTCTTAAAGAATTTATCAGAGCTCAGGATTCGTATCTTTTAAAGGAGATGAAAATATGCATTTTCCAGAAAAACGTAGATGATCATAAACTTTTCTTTCCAGAACAGCTTGTAAAATTAATAAGAGTTTGGGATTTGAAATTTTAAACAAGTATTGTATAAGTAAATTTAATAGGATTTAATATTGCTAGAGAACTTTATACCAGAAATATATTTATTAGGAAAATAAAATAAAAATAAATATGAACAAGCAAAAATAATAATTTGTATTTATTTTGTTTTACATAGTTAAATGATAACTTTTGTTAATATGACGTGTTTTTCATTTTAAAATAGCATATTTAAATGTAAAATGTGCATGCCTTTGAACCTACTAATTCAACTTTTAGGAATGTTTCTCATAGATATGTGTGAATGTTTTTTATACACATGTGTGAAATTATATGTATAATATTTGTTGTAGCATTTTTCACCAATAAGGAAATAATTGGAGCAGTATGAGAGTTTCACAGAATGGAATTAGTATGTGGCTTGAATTTAGGACTAATAAATGATTCAATAAGGTTGCAAGATAGAAAAATAACATAAAATAATGAGTTGTATTTCTACACACTAACAATGACCTGAAAAGGAAATTAGGATAACAATTTAATTTACAATCAAATGAGCTAAAATACCTCAAAATAAACTTAAGTAAGAAGATGAAAGACTGTATATTAAAAACTGCAAAACATTGATGAACGACATTAAATAAGGCACAAACAAATGAAAAACTCCAATGTTCAAGGATTAGAAGACTTAATATTATTAATATTCATTCTACCCAAAGTGATCCATAGATTTAATACAGTCCCTATCAAAATTCCAATGGCATTTTAAAGAAAGTAGAGGCCAGTCACAGAGGCTTACTCCTTTAATCCCAGCACTTTGGGAAGCAGAGGCAGGTGGATCACCTGGGGTCAGGAGTTCGAGACCAGCCTGACCAAAATGGAGAAACCCTATCTCTACCAAAAATACAAAATTAGCCGGGCGTGGTGGCACATGCCTGTAATCCCAGCTACTTGGGAGGCTGAGGCAGGAGAATCCCTTGAACCCGGGAGGCAGAGGTTTGGGTGAGCCGAGATCCCACCATTGCACTCCAGCCTAGGCAATAAGAGCGAAACTCCATCTCAAAAAAAAAAAAAAAAAAAAAGAAAGTAGAAAAGAATTTAAAATCCACAAGAACTGTAAAAAATACAAATAGCCAATCAATCTGGAGAAAGAACAAAGCTGAAATTATCACACTTCCTGATTTCACAGTATATTCAAAAGCTGAAGTACGGTGGCTCACACCTGTAATCCCAGCACTTTGGGAAGCCGAAGCGGGCAGATCACGAGATCAGGAGATTGAGACCTTCTTGGCTAACATGGCAAAACCCTGTCTCTACTAAAAATACAAAAACAAAATTAGCCAGGCGTGGTGGCGGGCGCCTGTATTCCCAGCTACTCGGGAGGCTGATGCAGGAGAATGGCGTGAACCCAGGAGGCGGAGCTTGCAGTGAGCCAAGATCGCGCCACTGCACTCCAGCCTGGGCGACAGAGCGAGACTCCGTCTAAAAAAAAGAAAAAAAAAAAACTAAAGTAATCAAAACAGTAACGTATTAGCATAAAATCAGACCCATAGACCAATGTAATAAAATAGAGAGCACTGAAATAAATCTATGCATATATAGTCAATTGATCTTCAAGAAGTAAGCAAGAATATACAATGAAAAAAGGATAGTGCCTTCAAAAAAGGATGTTTGAAAAGCTGAATATCCACATTTAAAAGAATGAAATCAGACCCTTATATTACACCATACACAAAAATCAGTTCAAAATAAATTAAAAAGTTAAACATAATAGCCCATATTATAAAACTTGTATAATAAACATAGTGGAATAGTTTCGTGACATTGCTCTTGGCAATAATTTTATAAACATGACACTAAAAGCACAGGCAATGAAAACAAAAATAAACAAATAAAATGTCATTAAACTAAAAAAAAAACTTAAAAAAAAAAGAGTGAAAAGGATTCTTATGGAGAAATATTTGCAAACCATGTATCTAATAAGGGATTGATTTCCAAAATGTATAACAAACACATCTCAATAGCAAAACAAGCAAACTAACAAATACCCCTAAATAATCTGATTTAAAAGTGGGCACAGAACTTGAATAGACATTTCTCCAGAGAAGTATATACAGCAAGAATGTAAAAAGATGGCCAACATTACTAACCACAAAATAATACACATCAAAACCACAACGATATATCATCTCACACTTATGAGGCTGGCTACTAATAGAAAAGAAACAAAATATAAGTGTTGGTGAGATTGTGGAAATATTAGAATCCTTGCACACTGCTTGTGGAAATGCAAAATTTTTCACTGCTATGAAAAAGAATATGATGTTTTCTGTTTATATTTTTAAATTAAATATAGATCTGCCATATGATTGTCACTTCTAGGTATTCTTCTAAAGAATTAATGTTAGGATTTTGAAGAGATATTAGCACTCCTATGTTCGCTGCAGCAATATTCAAAATAGCTAAGATCTTCAACCGCCTAAATATTCATTGATAGATACTATATAAAAAAGTAGTATGTACATACAATGAAATACTATTCAGACATGAAAAGGAATTTTTTAATATGCAACAACGTGGATGAACTTTGAGGATATTAAGCTAAGTGAAATAACCAAGTGACAGAAAGACAAATACTGAATGATTCAATTTATATGAGTATCTAAAATATTCAAATTCATAGAATCACAGCGTGGTTTTCAGGGGTTAGGGAGGAAGAACTCTAGAGTTACTAATCAATGAGCATCCATTTTTAATCAAGTAAGATGAATAAGGTCTGGAGATCTGCTGTATAACATTGTACCTGGAGTCCACAATAATGTATTATACACCAAAAATTGTAAGACAGTAGATCTCATTTTAAATGTTTTCACCACAATAAAACAGAATTAAATTTAATTTAATTTTAAAAAATAGTCAAAGGATCAAAATAGAGATTTCTCCAAAGATAATATGTAAATTGTCAATAAGCACATGAAAGATGGTTAATATCACTGTCCAAGAGGCAGATACAATTCAAAGCAACAAGAAACCACTCCATACCCAATAGGATGGCTATAATTAAAACGACAATTTATTCCACATGTGATTGAGGATATGGAGGAATTGGAACCCTCATGGACTGCTTGTGGGAATGTAGAGTGGTGCAGGCTTTATATTAAAAAATAGTCCAGCAGTTTCTCAAAAAATTAAACCTAGAGTTACCATGTGATCCGTCATTCCACTCCAAGATATATAGCTGCATAGTGAAAACATATTTTCACACAGAAACTTATAAATCAATGTTTAAAGCAGCATTATATGTAATAACCAATAGGTTAAAATAGTCCAAATGCCCCTCTACTGATTAATGAATAAATAAAATGTAGTACATCCATACAACAAAATATTATTCATCAAGAAAGATAATTGAAGTACCAATATATACTACAACATGAATTAACCTTAAAAGCGTTGTCCTAAGTGAAGGAAGTCAGTTGAGAAGGGCAACTTCTTGTATAATTCCACTTACACAATGTATTCAGAATAGGCAGTTCTATGAAGACAGATCATAGATTAGTCGTTGCCTAGGGCAGAGAAGGATGGCGACTGATGACTAAGTGGCACAGGATTTGTTTTGGGGATAATAAAATGTCCTATATTTGATTGTGATGATAATGTACAACTTTGTGAAATACAAAAAAAATTGAATTATACATTTTAAATGGGTAAATTGTAGTATATGTGAATTATATCTTAATAAAGCTGTTGAAAAAACAGACTATCTCTATCTATTTCAGTATAGATTCATCAGAGTGCATATCATGTTTGTTCAAAAGCTGGCTTTTTTCGCTTGTGAAGGAAACCAAAATATGCCAACCCAAAATATACTTCTTTGGTATATTTCAAGATGGCTATTCAGAGTTGCTGCAAACACAGGAATAGCCCTGTAAAGCTGTCTTTTGCAGGGATTGGCATCTGCAGAGGAAATCTACATTAGGGAAATAAACAGTGGATACAAATAGGCTTTCTCTGAGGACACCCTTATCTTCCTTTTCTCTATCTAGGAAGGATTAACTCACAGGCAAAAAAAAAACCAAAAGCAAACAAAAAAATCACTACAAGTCAGACACTTTTAAAGGTCTGACAGAAACTTTGATGACAGGCTACCATTTCTTCTCTCTTAGGGAAGCTCAGAGATTACCTGGGAGATTTTCATATGCATAATAAGACATTCTCTGCTCACCTTGTCTTTCGTTCTCTCTCCCTCCCACAACCTGTTGCCATGCTTCAAGCCTGTGTTCCTTTCTGTAGGGTATAAAAATTTCAGTCATCTGACACTTCTTTGAGTCTCATATTTGCAGGACTCCCATGTCCAAGTGCACATTAATAAATTTATCTTTTCCTCCTATTAATCTGCTCATTGTCAGTTCATTTTCAGTGGGCAGAGCAGAAGCGATCCCTCTTTGACCCTGCACTAATATATGTGAAGTCTCTAGTGTGTCTATGTACACGGTTACCCTCTGCTTTGTTACTCAGATAGCTTTCTCACTGATTTTATTTAGGGTTTTCATCAAATAGTCAATGTTACCCTAACAAAGAAGATCTTGAATCATCCTATGTAATACATCACTCTATTTACTTATTCTATTTTATTTTATATCATACTGTGTGTCCATACAATATATACTGTGATTAAGTAAATTGAATAAAAAATAGGAGGTTAATTGGACCAGTAAGGGTCAAAACAAGATAATATAAATTGTATTATACTATGATTTCTTACAAAATTTATTTATCTATGTAGAGTGCTGTATCTAGAATGTACCCCTTTTAGAAAATTTGCCTTCCTGAATTTTATGAAATATTTAAGATCCATGTCAAATATCACTTTTTTCAAATATTTTCTGTTTATTACAGATTGATGCTATATCTTCCTCCTATTAAATTTCAAAATGCAGTTCTATAAACTTATTTTTGTTAAAGTATGTATGTTCAGTCTTATATTGGAGAGTTTTTTTTTCTTCAAGGATGCTATGAAATTATAGACACCTTGAAGGCAAACACTTTGTTTTATGCCCCCGAAAACTGGTCATAGTGGCTGTTGCAGAAATTTGACCATAGTTTTTGCATTGAATTGAATTGACCATCTGGAGAAAAAAACTTTTTTTTTTCTCAGTCTTCCTGTAAAAAGCTCCACCTTTCTAATCCACAGAAACATATATGCTCTAAAGTTAGAGAGTGCTTGCTTTCAATTCTCTTATTAACATTTCCTCTATCATTGGAATTATATGCTGGCCATTTTTCTAATTAATTGCTCTGCTCCAAACAGGTTATCAAACTTATCTTCCCCAGAAAGTCAAATGGTTACATTCTGGGCTTAGTCCCTCAGTTAAGCACCAAGGTGCCTGGGAGACTGGGGCATTATTTCTCTAGGAATTTAATTGTGAAAGGAAATGAAACTCCAGAACTCAAAAGCATCTTCAGGTCAGAAAAGGAAAGACACATCGGGCTGTCTGGCTCCTGGAGACCATTTGAGGAGCAGAGGGAGAAAGATGCATTTTTCTTTAAAAGCAGGGAAAAATCGTTTTTCCTTATCCCTTACCTCTGCAGTGTCTGGATACTCATATAGGAAAAATTCCCATTAGCTTTCACTGTGTCACAATAAAGATAAGTACTTGAACAAGGGGGAGCTGGCACACTTATATACTCAAAGTAATAAGAATTCTGTCTCTGACACAGAAAACATCATGTGCACATCAGAATAATATTAAGAGAGGTCAATATTAAAAACTCAATACCATCTTAATAGGACTTTAAAAATATGTTTTACCTGAAGTTTTTCTGAGCAGAAGTAACATAGGGTCTTATAGTTCTTTCCCTAGTTTACTTGCATAACTTTTCCCTTCATTTTATTCAACTCTTTGATTAAATGTTCCTTTCTTTCCTTTCCCTTACACATGAAATGTTTTGATATAATTCATTTATTTATTTTCTGGTTTACCATGAACTTATAACTTGGTTGGTGTGAGGTACAAACAGAATGAGTAGTCACAGGAGAGACAATTTTGAAGACAAGACAAAGTATGTATGCTATACATTACAAATCATCATGTGGTTATATTTTAGAAAACTAAAGTTGGAAGCAATTAAAATAAAATATTGAACCAGGCATTTTTATTTTTCATGCATGTCTTACAAACGATGCTTATAAGACTTAACAGTGCTGTGACAATGAATACAATCATGAAATGGTTCCATTAAATGTTTTAATCACTTCCCATCTTGACTATTGCAATTAACTCCTTTATTGTCTTCTTAAATTCTTACTCTCTGAACATCAGGGGGTCCAAAATGTTGCAGAAAAGAATAGTTCTCTTTCTAATTCTACGGCAAGAAATCTCGGCATTCTTTTGCTTGTATCCTCTTATTAATTCAGTGACAGAGCTGGAAGTTAAATTTGTCTCATTATATGACTTAGAGACATAATGCATTTGCAGAAAAGTTTTAAAAGAGTATAGAAGAGTCATAGCATCAAGGAATGAAAAGAACAAATAATTTTAAAATATAAGAAAAACAAGGAAAGAAATCAATACATATAAGAAACATGCAGTCATGTTCAGAGTTTTAGATAAGAACTGAAAAGGAAACTTTAACTTGGAAAGATAAAAGTGGAATATAGTCTTCATCAGTATGTTCTATTATACCAGACCTTGAGATTTGAAAAATAATAATTTTATAAAAGAAACAAAAAGGATAGTATGATAAAGTATCTTTCTTATAAATTATTATTTTTCAAATGCAGAGGTAAAGGATTTAACATACATTTATAAAAGATCCATCAATATTTGTGAACCCCAGTTTAGCAAAGACTGTGCAGAGTTACAAAAATATATTAAATATTCAGAGCACGCTTTTTATTTTTCTTTTTTATTTTGAGGACATAGACAACAATAGTGAACTTTTACTTACAATTACAGCAGTGGAATTCTTTATTCATCTTTTGATTCCATATGGCATTTACTTTTTCTAATTTTTAATTTCTACATGTCTACACTAAATATGATGCTAATGCACATCTTTGTCATGTGTTCAATGTTATTCTTCACATAAATATTAAACTGATGTTATGACTGTGATTTTAAAGTTGACTTTGCATTTTCTAATGTGTGTACTGTATTATTTAACATTATTTAATTTGTTCGACTTTCAAATTATAAATATCCTTCATTTCCACCAATATTTTCAGTGAGCTGTGTTTAATTGAATATGCACTTAAGTAAAAAAAAATTACTTTTTTATATCATCAAACAGTAAGATAATTGATATTAAAACTTTCTATCTAAATTCAATGTAATAATTCTAAAAAGTTTTGTGTTTACTTATTTGCTTTGTTGTTGACACTTATTATGTGCTCATACCCACATCCTGGTCATTTGTTGCTTTTATTTATTTTTTTAATTTTAGCAAATTTTTTAGAAATACAATTTGATCTTATGTTTTCTTTTCCATGATATGATATTTAAATAGTTATTTGGGTGATGATTAATTTGTTTTTACTATGTCAGAATATATTATTGAGAATTTGCATTTATAAAAGGATTACTAGTTGATTTTTTTTTCTATACAAGAAAAATAGAGCTCATAAAATATCTAATTTTGAAAAGCAGACTGGAGGTTTCAGGGCCTTTTTTGCCTATGATAATCTTGAAGAATATTAGTTGCTTATTTTGAAAACGAGAGTTGAGGTTTCAGGGCTTTTTTGCCTGTGATAATCTTGAAGAATATTAGTTCCTTCCTTTATTCTCCAATGTCTTGTAAAGTACTCAAATCGGTCTTATAACATCTGAAGTAAGGAAAGGGCTCAGTATGATGATCCCCAGCCTGGAGCTATTTATTTAATTATTGATACTTCATAGGTAAATTCTACTTAATCAAGGGGGAAAAAAACGGGAAGAAAAATATTTTATGAGCACGTAATATATGTAAAAGTGCTGCAGGTAATTAACTACATTGCCATGGAGAAGAGAGGGGAAGTCAAGAAAAATATGTCTAAAATAATCATTTAAACATTTGTGGCTGGGCAGGTTTTCATTTGGCCTTCCAGATAACAGCACAATTCTTGTTCAAAATATATTCATTGTTCTCAGCTACATGTCAGTGACTCGCAGTAATAAAAGCTGCCACACAATATGACTTGTGTCATTTTGTGCAAACTAATTTGTGGTCAAAGGAGAGTCACAAAGCATCCACCTGGAATATAATTACTTGGTGATGATTATATAAAGAGTCAGTTAAGGCTGTGTCTTTGCAACCCATAGAGAAATGAAGATTTTATACTTATCAAGCTTATTAGATTGAAGTAAGAAAAAAAATTGAATTGCTTCGGATAGAATTATCTTTTAAGCGATTATGTAGTCTATCTGATCCATGCTCTGTTATACACTGTATTCTAAGAACAAGCACTGTTTGTATAAGTATGAATTTATTTTGCACTTACACAAATTTTTGAGAGACTATTAACAGTCATAATAATGTATAATATTATTTTCCTCCAATTCCAATGTTTTACTTTATAAGGGGTTCTGTTTTTGAAGAAACTGAACCAAAGTAAGGAAGAAAACCTTTTTAATTACAAAATTTTTAATATGAGACTTCTTATATTATTTAATACATGCTAAACAATGTGCATTCTGAATTGCTAAATGAATGTATTATACCTGTAATTTCCTAAACTACTATTTAAGACATACTTTGGTAAATGCTAAGCTAGAGAAATTCAGGATTTACTATTTGGCCCCATATTTTTGCCTGCCTTGAGATTTAAGTTGATTTTTCAGAAGATCTAACCCTGTTAGAGAAGCTGAATATGACCTATCCTAAATTTTTGTTAGGATTTTGAAACATATGATTATCACTTTGCCCTCACTACCATTAATTACAGTGTGCATACACACAAGCAACCGCATTTCTGCTAGTACATAGCCTTCATTCTTGTGAAAAGATAGAGATGATAAAACCAATCAACCAAGAGAACAGACCAGCAAAATATTCAATAGAGAATAACCTACTAATGTAATTCACCATAGGTGCTATGGTAGACAGTGACTGGGTTGTTACTGTAGATTAGGTAATATTTTTGTCTGAGGGGATGATAAAAAGAAGCTAACTATGTGAGGCTTAGGGTGTGTCAGGATCCAAGCAGGCACACAGAAACAGCAATCTTTATTTTAACAGAAATAATTTAATAAAAGGAATTGGTTAAATAGACATGGGTGGATAGTAATGTAACCACCTGATAGGTTCATCTTGCCTGTTGCCCAGTACAGCCAATTTATTAAGACAGGAGAATTGCAGTAGAGAAAGAGTATAATACACATAGAACAGCTAAATGAAAGACCGAGTTTTATTATTTCTCAAATTAGTCTCCCTGAAAATTCAGAGGCCAGAGGTTTTAAAGATAATTCAGCTGTCAGGGTGCTAGGAAATTGGGAGTGCTGACTGGACAGGTCAGGGAAGAAATCACAGGGAGGCAGAGCTTGTCTTCTTGTGCTTAGTTTCTGGGTGGGGGCCACAAGACAGGATGAGCAAGTTTACCAGGGTGGCACCGGCTGGTCCGTCAGAATGCGGGGTCTAAAAAAATATCCGCCACACCAATCTTAGGTTTTACAATAGTTATGTTATCCATAGGAGGAATTAGGGAGATTAGGAATCTCATAACCTCTGCCTGCATGACTCCTGAGCCATAATATCTAATCTTGTAGCTAATTTGTTGGTTTTACAAAGGCAGCCTGGTCCCTAAGCATGAAGGGGCTTGTTTTAGACAAAGGCTGTTATCATCTTTGTTTTAAAGTTAAATTATAAACTGGGCCGAGCATGAAGGCTTACTCCAGTAATCCCAGCACCCTGGGAGGCAGGGGCGGTCCAACTGCTTGAGCCCAGGAGTTTGAGACAGGCATGATGGTGTGTGCCTGTAGTCCCAACTACTCAGAAGGCTGAGGTGGGGGGATCTCTTGAGCCCAAGATGTAGAGGCTAGAGCGAGCCATGAGCAGGCCACTGCACACCAGCCTGGGCAATAGAGTCAGACTGTGTCTCAACAAACAAACAAAAAAAAAAACAAACAAACAACAGAAGACTATAAACTATAAATTCCTCCTATAGTTGGCTCAGCCTAACAGCAGGAATGAACAGGGCAGTTTGGAGGTTAGGAGCAAATGGAGTGGATTAGGTCAGATTTTTTTCACCGTTGTAATTTTTGCAAAGATACTTTCAGTAAAATCATAAAGAAAATATTGAGCTAACACAGAAAATATAATTTCAAAAACACAGCTACCACCCTTAAGGATAGAGGAAACAAGGGAAAAATGGGGACACTCAGAAACTGGAAGCTTGGAGGAAGCACCCACAGAGCTGACAGAGCACTGCATAGCTGGCATTGGTACCATGGGAACTTAGAGGAAGGAACTGTCAGAGCGGGTACTCAGACCTCTAAGGACAAGATGAATGTCTCTAGTACCTCAGAAGGGATCAGTTTTGTATTTCTGCGTAACAAACTACCATGTCCGGAGTTTGTTTCTTCCGGTGGGTTCTTGGTCTCGCTGACTTCAAGAATCAAGCCGCAGACCTTCGTGGTGAGTGTTACAACTCTTAAAGATGGTGTGTCCCGAATTTGTTCCTTCAGATGTGTCCGGGGTTTCTTCCTTCTTGAGGGTTCATGATCTCGCGGACTTCAAGAATGAAGTTGCGGACCTCTGCAACAAGTGTTACAGCTCTTAAAGGTGGGGTGGACCCAAAGAGTGAGCAGCAGGAGGATTTATTGTGAAGAGCAAAAGAACAAAGCTTCCACACCATGGAAGTTGACCGGAGCAGGTTGCTGCTGCTGGCTGGGGTGGCCAGCTTTTAGTCCCTTATTTGACCCCACCCACATTCTGCTGATTGGTCCATTTTACAGAGCACTGGTTGAGTCCATTTTAAAGAGTGCTGATTGGTCCATTTTATAGAGTGCTAATTGGTGTGTTTACAATCCTTTAGTTGGACACAGAGCACTGATTGGTGCATTTTTACAGAGTGCTGATTGGTGCATTCACTATCCTTTAGCTAGACACAGAGCACTGATTGGTGCATTTTTACAGAGTGCTGATTGGTGCGCTTACAATCCTTTAGCTAGACACAGAGCACTGATTGGTGTGTTTACATTTCTCTAGCTAGACAGAAAAGTTCTCCAAGTCCTCACTTGGCCCAGGAAGTCCAGCTCACTTCACTTCTCATGACCATGAACTTGCAGCTTAAAACAACACTCATTTCTTTTCCCACAGTCCTGTAAATCAGAAATCTGGGCAAGCTCATCTACATTTTCTCCTTGGGTTCTCACAAGGCTAAAATTAAAATATACTCCAGCTAGATTCTTATCTGGAGGATCTCGGGAAGAGTCTCTTCGAGTTCATTAATGTTGTTAATAGAACCCAGTTCCTCTGGCTGTGGATCCGAGCCCCCTGTTTTCTTGAAGGCTATAAGCTAGGAACTGCTTTTAGCTTCTAAATATCCCCTTCATTCCTTATCACTGGCCCCCCTCTATCTTTAAGCTGGCAAAGGCGTACCAAACCGTCCTTATTCTTTGAATCCTTTTGATTTCTCCTTCTGCATTCCTCCCTCAGCCACCAGACAGAGGAATTTCCCTGCTTCTAAATATTTCTATTATTTGATTAGGAATGCCCAGAGCATCTTTCCTTTTTAAGATTAACTATGCCATATAACATAACACAATCATAGGAGTAATACCACATTTATGAGTTTATGAACTATAGGGCAGACTCATAGGGGCTGTATTTGTTTTAAAAGGCTGTACGAAAAATACCGAAGTACCAAAACCTGAATAGTTTAAGCTAACAAAAATTTGTTCTTTCACAGTTGTGCACACAAGAACTTCAAAATTTAGTTGTTGGACAATATTTCTGAAGGAAATCAAAATATTTGACCTCAAATGTATTTTTAATGTATTTTGAGATGGCTGCCACAAGTCCAGCAGACTAAAGTAGCCCTGCAAAGCTGCCTTTTGTGGGGGAAATTTGCAACTGTAGAGAATCTACATTAACACAGCAGGCCTTCTCTTGTCTGGATCTATGAGAGATTAACTGAGTCTGACACCTTTAAAAATCTGAAAGAAACATTTACTATAAGTTCTGTGTGGTTTCATCTACATGACAAGACCAATTTGCTAGCCAAGCCTCCTCTTCTCCTCCTCTCATAACTTCTCTTCCCACTATAATCTGGTTTACCATCATAAGCTGTTTTTGCCATGCTCTGAGCCTGTGTATTTTCTATAACCTCAAGATGGCATAGACATTTCTGTACTTAATTGAGGCGTTGGGTCTACTTTCTGAAGGTTATCTTGTAAACCAGTTAAGTAAATTTGTGTACCTTTCTTCCTAATCTGCCCTTTGTGAGTTGTTTTTTCAGCAAGCCATCAGAGCATTTTCAGGAACATTCAGGAACCTACAGTTCTTACTGAAAGTCTCTGAGAATGTAAACAAGTACACCCATTTTTCCAAGAAAAAGAGAATGAGATCTTTTAAATTATTTTTTCTCTTTCCTCCATTTCCCCGCCCACTCCTTCCTACTTAGCCCTTTAGAAATGTAATTATAGCCTTTTATCTCCCTTTCATCAGACACTCCTTACAGAACAAGTTCATCTGACTATGTGCTTAGAAGCTCCAGAGCAAAACCCTCACCCACCAGGAGTTTGCCTTAAGACACAACAATCAATTTACGCCCCAAAATATGCCTGCTACGAAACTCTCTCCTGGAGAATTTCAGCAACTTTTACAACCTAGTTCTGCCCTTGACTCAAAGATACCAACTTGATTCCCTGGTAGGTAAGGCACCAAAGTGAGTACGCAACCTGTACCTGCTCACGTCCTCCTCTTCATTCCACTCATGCCATGTGTCCTTATAAAATTGCCTGCTCTCTGCTCCAAAAGTGAAGCAGTACCCTTAAGACAGAAAGCCTTTACTTCTTCCTCTAAACAGCTAACCAAGGAGGCAAATGATCTCTATAATGAGTATTAAAAAGTACTGCTCAAAGAAATCCAAGAAGACACAAACAAATGGAAAAAACATCCCTTACTAATGGAGAGGAAGAATCAATATCATTAAAATGACCATACTGCCCAAAGCAATTTCCAGATTCAAAATATATATATATAATATATAATATATATGTAGCATATATATACAGCATATATACTCTGTAGCATGTATATACAGCATATATACTCTGTAGCATATATATACAGCATATATACTCTGTAGCATATATATACAGCATATATACTCTGTAGCATATATATACAGCATATATACTCTGTAGCATATATATACAGCATATATACTCTGTAGCATATATATACAGCATATATACTCTGTAGCATATATATACAGCATATATACTCTGTAGTATATATACAGCATATATACTCTGTTGTATATATACAGCATATATACTCTGTTGTATATATATACAGTATATATACTCTGTTGTATATATATACAGTATATATACTCCGTTGTGTATATATACAGTATATATACTCTGTTGTATATATATACAGTATATATACTCTGTTGTGTATATATACAGTATATATACTATATGTACTATACTCAGAGGAATATAAATAATCCTACCATAAAGACACATTCACACAAATGTTCATTGCAGCACTATTTACAATAGTAAAGACATGGAATCAACCTAAATGCCCATCAATGACACATTGGATAAAGAAAATGTGGTACATGTACACCATAAAAAGTACTATGCAGCCATGAAAAAGAACAAGATCATGTCTTCTGCAAGAATATGAATGAAACTGGAGGTTATTATCCTCAACAACTAATGCAGGAATAGAAAAACAAATACTCACATATTCTCACTTATATATGGGAACTAAATGATGAGAAGTTATGAACACAAAGAAGAAAACGACAGACATTGGAGTCTGGGTGTGGACAGTGGAGGGTGGGAGGAGGGAGAGGAGCAGAAAAGATAACTATCTGGTACTGGGCTTAATACCTGAGTGATGAAATAATCTGTACAACAAACTCCCATGATATGAGTTTACCTATATAACAAACCTTCACATGTTCCCCGAACATCAAATAAAAGTTAAAAAATATAAAATTAGAAAAAAATAAAATAAAATAGCTTTTTTAAAAAGTCACTCGCTTTACACCAGACCTCACTCTTGTTAAATCAACTCCACCAGCAGCAATCAACTGAACCTGCATTTCAATTTTAAGAGAGAGTCTGTTTCATAGCTATTCTTAGAGTCTGTTTCTGGAGTTGGTGGAAATCCTTGGTGTTAGGTGGTTTGTAGCTGCACAACTGCAATTTCTGCGTCATCACATGGCTATCTTCCCTCTGTCTGTGTCTTCACTTGATGTTCTCTTCTCTGTGTGTATCATCTGCTGTGTCTTTTTTCCTCTTTTTATGGGGACAGTAGTCAAATTGTATGTATTAAGGTCCCACCTGTGAAAGGAAAATATCTTGGGCCCCCAAAATCACTAAGGAAAACTCAAGCTGGAAACTGCTTAGGGCAAACCTACCTCCCAATCTATTCAAAGTTATTCCTCTGCTCACTGAGATAGATGCTTATCTGATTGCCTCCTTTGGAAAGGCTAATAAGTAACTCAAAAGAGTATGTCTTAACTATCTGTGACCTGGAAGCTCCCTCATGGCTTTGAGTCTTCCTTTCTTTGCTTCAAGCTGTTCCACCTTTCCAGACCAAACCAATGTACTGCTAACATATATTAATAGTTGTCTCATGTCTCCCTAAAATGTATGAAACCAAGCCATGCCCAGACCACCTTGGGCACATAACACAGGACTTCCTGAGGCTGTGTCATGGGTGCATCCTCAACTTTGGCAAAACAAATTTTCTAAATTAACTGAGACCTGTCTCAGATTTTCTGGGTTTGTGGCAGGCCAGGTTTCACTAATGCAGGCCTCCATCACAACTGTTTCAGAACTGACCGAGCGGTTAAGTTAAACATCAAAAGCTGAAAAAGCTAGTGCTCTTATACCAAGGCTGGAATGTAACAAAAGTCTATCAAGAGTTTTGCCTAGGCCTTTTCTGGGCCTTAAAGCATGACAAAATAATAAATGAATTCTTAACAGGATCCATTTAGGATTAAACAAGTTTTAATGGTGGTCTAAAGAGACTCCCTAGGCCTCCACAAACAAGTATATTGGAGGTCTGAAGGAACTCCCCAAACCTGCATGATTTAGCAGGAGACAAGATAATCACCCCACCACTTAGACCCATTTAGATTAAGTAAACATACCTAGGCTCCAAAAGAAGGTCTTCAGGACTCAGACCTTAGTTATAGATTAAAATAAGTTAATCACTTATGTATTTGATGAATGTACACTTAATACATGCAGACATATAGTTTAGAAGGTATATAAGCTCTGGAAAACTTTGTAATTTTGAGTTGGTCTGGCCGTAATTTCTGGGCCTTCTCCCTGTAACTGGTTACAGAAATAAAAACTCTCTTCCTCCCCAGTTCATCTGCATCTCGTTATTGGGCCACGAGAAATAGCAGCTCGATCCTCAGTTTGGTCCAGTAACAGGTTCACAAACCCTATGTCAGAGTGACTTTATTTTAACTGGCATCTTAATTGCATCTACAGGGACTCTATTTCCATATAAGACTATACAGGCACCAGGGATTAGGACTTCTCTATAACTTTTTGGAAGACATAATTCAATATGTCTTCCATATTGAAGACATAATTCAATTCCATAATTCAAGATCATTCCTAAAAATTCTGGCTATTACAGGAAGGAAAAAAGCTGGATTTGTAAATGTGAAAAGAAGCTAGAAATTGGAGGTTAAAAACAACAAACTTAAATTGTTACCAAAACACCAGGTTTTAGGACCACCATTCATATCAGCAACAGCTGATATGAATAGGAGGCCAACACTAATAAGGTATATCTTTTTCTCCAGCTTTCTAGTATCCATATAGTACTTGCTATTGTCAAAAACAAAATAGGGGTCTACCTAGCAAAAGAGAAATGTAGCCTGCATTGGCCCAGGTCAGTCATTACATGGAAAAGCATAGCAGAACACAGAAGGATGGGTTTGGAAAGGAGAAAGAATAATTTAATAACTGGTACAAGGAGAACACCACAAACCAAGCTGAGAGCTAATTGAAAGGCCGAAACATGGGAATCCTTTGGTATGTTTGAGAAACAGAAAAAATCTAATTTTATTTATCTGTAGTAAAAAAGAAAGGCAAAACAGAAAAAAAGGAAAACGATTTACAAAGACATTTCAGTAGTCATAGCAAAGGGTGACTGTACCTTCAATAAGAGTACTCATAGTATTTACCAAGATGGTCTTAACTTCCCCTGAGTTTGACTAAACTTTAGTCACGCTTCTTTCTGACTATAGGTCTCTACTCCCTTTTCTTAAAACACTTACTTTAGAAAACTTGGAATTGCAAATTCTTTTTATGCCTCTTTGAGATGTAAATCATCTACAACTCTGAAATATCTTTTTCAAGGAGTTGAGAGTCATCTTTTGAAATGTAATCATCAAGAAAGATAAGATCCTTGTCTCTCTATGGGAGGGGAAGACCCAAGCTTTGATAAGAGACAATTAGTAAATACAGATGGCTGAGTACCATTAACCTTCTTAAGAATAATGGAAAGCAAACATAATACACCTTTATTCTCATAGTCTTAAATAATGTGTGGTCTGTTTAACTGACCAGGTGCAATTTTTCTTTTACACTGTAGACAAAGAGATATAATGGAATTTGGAATGTTGTTTGGGGGATAGACATGCTAATTTAAAATTACACATGGGGATAAAATGAAATAGAGGAATAAAAGCTATAACCTAGATTTTTGAATTAGACAACTGGATGAATGGCTGTCATTTGCTGTAATGAATAAAACTTAGCAAGTAGATTTAGACAAGATAATCAGCAGTTCTCCATTGCTTATTTTAATTTTGAGATGTTTACTAGCCTTCCAACTGTTTATATCAGATTGACAATTGGATATGTAAATCTTGAATCAGGAGGAGTAGCCAGAGGTGGAGATATAATTTTTGAGTTATCAGAATACAAGAGTATTAGTAGCCTATCCAGGAAGAATGTTTAGATAAAAGAAAAAGCAACACAAGACAGAATACCTGGGGTATTCCTTACAACCAAAGATTCCTAAATAGAAGTTCTATCTTTAATATTATCAGCAAAATTTTCCTCAATTAGATGGGAAGTCCAGAGAGGTATTCTAATAGTTTTAGAACATGGAATCTTGCCCTTGCTCTACGTATTCATTCAAGCTGTCTTCATTCAATATCTGGCAATATACTTTGCTCACAGGAACTCAACAAGAGGTGAGGATATTATGCCTCTTAAATTTGTCCTAATGTTTTTAAATTTATATTAGAGATGGAGTGATTCTTAAATTTTTTAAATCTAGTTTATTTTTACATTAAAATGTCCAATACTTGACATTTAATTAAGAATTTTAATTCATTCATGTTAATGATTAGTTGATGTTAATTAATTATATTTTTTTCCAGATGTTTAAATTCAAAACTGTTACATCAGCCCCTTGTTTTTTCAAGAAATCTTTGAGGGGAAGGGTATCCATACAGCTTTGTCCCTGTAGAAGTTTGATTTGAAAGGTGGGAGGTTGAGGAAGAGGGAATCTGTAATAGAAGAGGCTCTTCAGCACAAACAGGCCTTAGGGGTAATAGTGCTGCTACAACATATTAAAGTAGTGGGAGGTGACAGCGTGCTGGCAGTCCTCACAGCCCTCGCTCACTCTCCGCACCTCCTCTGCCTGGGCTCCCACTTTGGCGGCACTTGAGGAGCCCTTCAGCCCACCGCTGCACTGCGGGAGCCCCTTTCTGGGCTGGCCAAGGCCAGAACCGGCTCCCTCAGCTTGCGGGGAGGTGTGGAGGGAGAGGCACGGGTGGGAACCCGGGCTGCAAGTGGTGCTTGCGGGCCAGCGTGAGTTCTGGGTGGGCGTGGGCTTGGCAGACCCCCGCACTCAGAGCGGCCGGCCAACCCCAGCGGCCTGGGCAGTGAGGGGCTTAGCACCTGGGCCAGCAGCTGCTGTGCTCAATTTCTCACGGGGCCTTAGCTGCCTTACCATGGGGCAGGGCTGGGGACCTGCAGCCCGCCATGCCTGAGCCTCCCCCGCCCTCTGTGGGCTCCTGTGCCGCCCAAGCCTCCCCGATGAATGCCGCCCCCTGCTCCACAGCGCCCAGTCCTATCCACCACCCAGGGGCTGAGGAGTGCGGGTGCACTGGCGCGGGACTGGCAGGCAGCTCCACCTGAAGCCCCCGTGCCGGATCCACTGGGTGAAGTCAGCTGGGCTCTTGAGTCTGGTGGGGACATGGAGAACCTTTATGTCTAGCTAAGGGGTTGTAAATACACCAGTCAGCACTCTGTATCTAGCTCAAGGTTTGTAAACACACCAATCAGCACCCTGTGTCTAGCTCAGGGTTTGTGAATGCACCAGTCCACACTCTATCTAGCTAATCTGGTGGGGACGTGGAGAACCTTTGTGTCTAGCTCAGGGATTGTAAACACACCAATCAGCGCCCTGTCAAAACAGACCACTGGGCTTTACCAATCAGCAGGATGTGGGTGGGGCCAAATAAGAGAATAAAAGCAGGCTGCCCGAGCAAGCAGAGGCAACCCGCTCGGGTCCCCTTCCACACTGTGGGAGCTTTGTTCTTTCTCTCTTTGCAATAATCTTGCTGCTGCTCACTCTTTGGGTTCACACTGCCTTTGTGAGCTGTAACACCCACCACGAAGGTCTGCAGCTTCACTCCTGAAGCCAGCGAGACCACGAATCCACTGGGAGGAATGAACAACTCCAGAAGCGCCGCCTTAAGAAGGCGAACCCACCAGAAGGAAGAAACTCCAAACACATCCGAACATCAGAAGGAGCAAACTCCGGACACACCGCCTTTAAGAAATGTAACACTCACTGCGAGGGTCCACGGCTTCATTCTTGAAGTCAGTGAGACCAAGAACCCACCAATTCCGGACACAGAAGCAGTAAGCAGGGAAAGCATAGATAAGACACATGGGGCACTTATAAAAATCTAAAAAGCTTTTAAGTGTCATTTGAAGTTTGATGGGAGGAATTATCAGCAGAACACAGTCTTAATTCAAAGATTTCATGGATGTGGACCACACAGAAAATGGCACTTTGCTGACCCTGGGAGAGGGTCAAGAGAAAGCTCTGTGTGTCAGCAGGAGAATGCCCTCAACCTCCATCTCCATGATCTTCTTTGTTTTAACTTTGAAAGCTCCACTGAGAGTGCTCACCCCTACTACCCCTGCTGCCCACTTCCTCTGTTCCTATGCATGCTCTGTTGAGTGTTTCTGAACAAACAAAACTTTAGGCTGAGCTTCTTAGAGTCAGCTGATTCTCTCCCTCTTAGTGAAATTTTTTCTAACTGACAGAATTACCATCAGTAATCCAATCGAAAATCTCATCATCAGGATGTTACCAAACTTCAGAGATTTTTACACTCAGTGTATTAGTGTCCATGAATTTTTATCATCTTTCTTCTCTCTATCCTACTACTCACTACTTCTTTCCAAACTCAATTTAGCCACGTGAGTTATGTTGGAAGAATTATGTCTGCTGGACTCAGTTTGAGAAATTGTACCTTCTTTGTGAAGACTAATCTCTGATTTTTAAATCTTGTCCAAATTTCTATCTAAGGGGTCTGGAGAGTCATGACCTACAAACCATAAATTCTCATCATATGGGTTTTAATTAACCAGTATATTGTGACTTACTTTCCAATCTGACTCTGGCGTAACATTAAATGACAAAGAAGAAAGTCAAAATATTTTACCCCAACGTGTTTTTTGGCCATATTTTGAAATGGCCCTGCAAAGCTGTCCTTTGTGGGTGAAAATTTACATCTGTAAAGGATCTCTATTAACATAGCTAGATCTTTTCTTCCAGGCCCTCCCAATCCTGAAGAGATGAATTAAGAGTCTAGAAACTTTTAGAGGTCTGAATAGGAAACATTTGTCATCTATTGTCTCTAAGGGCAGCCATTATAAGATTTCAAAAGAACCTTGGTCTCCACAATCTTTTATCTTAACCTGAACATTTCCTTTCTATTGATCCCAGGTCTTTAGACAAACTCAACCAATTGTCAACCAGAAAATGCTTAAATTTACCTATAGCCTGGAAGCCCCCTCTTTGAGTTGTCCTGCCTTTCTGGACCAAATCAATGTATTCCTTAAATGTGATTTATTGATGTCTCACTCCTCCTAAAATGTACAAAACCAAGCTTCACCCTGACCACCTTGGGCACATGTTCTTAGGACCTTGACTTCAGTGCTGTGTCACTGGCCATGGTAACTTATATTTGGCTCAGAATAAATAGCTTCAAACATTTCACAGAGGCTGATCATGGTGGCTCACACCTGTAATCACAGCACTTTTGGAGGCCAAGGTGGGTGGATCACTGGAGGTCAAGAGTTCAAGACCAGCCTGGCTAAAATGGTGAAACCCCATCTCTATTATATATACAAAAATTAGTCGAGTGTGGTGGTGCATGCCTATAATCCCAGCTACTTGGGAGGCTGAGGCAGAAGAATCACTTGAACCCAGGAGGCAGAGGTTTCAGTGAACCAAGATCTAGCCACTGCACTCCAGCCTGGACAACAGAGCCAGACCCCATCTCATAAAAAAAATTATATATATATATATATATATATATTTATATATATACACACACAAACACACACACACATTTTTGTATTTTATGCTCTCTCTCTCTCTCTATATATATATATGAACAGAGTTTGACTCTTTTCATCAACATTTAACACTGGGCAATAATGAATCTTTGTTTTCCCCTTTGGTCTAAGGAACTATATATTATGAGATTAATGGTGCTCACCCCTCCCCCAATTTATATGTTGAAGTCTTAACCCACAGTACCTTAGAATATGACTGTATTTGGAGATTTGGTTTCTAAGGAGGTTATTTAGGTAAAATGAGATCATATGGGTAGACCCTAAATCATATAACTGGTGTCCTCATAAGAAGAGCAGATTAGAAATAAGATATGCAGAAAGGGAAGACCATGTATGCACCAATGACAGGGTCGCAGAATAAAATCAATCCTGCTGACATCTTTATCTTGGACTTCTGGCCTCCAGAATTATGAGAAAATAAAATTGTGTTATTTAAGCCACACTGTCTTTGGTACTATGTTATGCCAGCCCTAGTAAATTAATACACTATACTACTTGCAGTATGGTGTATCTGCTAAGAATACTCAAGTCATATTGTTTTTTTTCAAATCTTGGTTCTGTCATTTACTCCTTATGTGATTGTGGGATAGTGACTTAATACTTAAATCTTAAGCACTTGTTTTTAAAATTATATAATAGCTGAAACAATCTATGTAAAATTAACAGCATATGTGAGAGCCAAATAAATTTTACCTGTTGTCATTATTATGACTCAACGGTCCCCTCTTATCTGTGGTTACATTTTCCGTGGTTTCAGTTACCCACAGTCAAATGTGGCCCAAAAATGTGAAGTGGAGAATTTTAGAAATAAACAATTAAAAACTTTTAAATTGCCTCCTATTCTCAGTATCATGAGGAAATCTCCTGCCATCCCACCAGGGTTGTGAACCAACCCTTTGTCCAGTGCATTAACACTGTCTACATTAGCCGCTGAGTCGCTGTTTCTGTTATCAGATTGACTGCTGTGGCACCTCGGTGCTTGTTTGACTTAGTCGTTCTATTTTATTATTTGTTATTTTTGCTCTCTTACTGTGCCTAATTTGTAAATTAAACTTCACCATAGGTATGTATGTCTAGAAAAAAACAAAGTATATATAAGATTCAGTTCTATTCATGCTTTCAGGCAACCACTGGGGTTCTTAGAACATATCCTGCACGGATAAAAGGGGACTACTCTACTGTTATTATTTAGTAAAAATAGCTTTTATGAAAACTGAAATGATTACATGCCACAAAATGGATTCTGGCATTCTAAAATTATCAGGTGTCATGTTATTATTAGCTCTATTTTTAATCTTTGCTTCAACTCCAGACAATTAACAAGTATTTTAGTTTCAGTGTGAATTCATCTAATGATAAGATTATGTCACTGAAAAGTGAACGGGAAGAAGAGCAAGGGCAAGTCACTTCTTCCACTTTTAGAAAATGTAACACTTGTATAGAAATCTCCATGACACAGATTAAATTAAAGAGGAAAAAATGATAGCAGGGAACATAGAACACTGATTCACCACTGTGCTGCCAGTGTCCATTACTCTAATCAATAAAACAAGATAGTAGGTCTTAAAAACTGATTTGATTAATTTGAAAAAAAGGTTGTAGGGGGAGAATGTGAGAGAGGACCATGTTGAAGATTCAGATTAAGAATACATTTCTGAAAATTATTTAATATAGAAAACAGGAAAATAATTTTTAAAGGGGCCTCACATATATAGGAAGTATATAGCTGTCACTGCTTGAACGAATATATTATTACACACCAAGGCTCTCAAAATATCTTTCGTGATACAGACAGTTTTTATCCACAACACACATAATCTCTTTTCTTTCATGTTGTTATACTCCACATGTACTCAGTTTTCAGGGCTATGGCAGGATGTTTTTCATATGTTTATTCCAATAAACTTGTTTTGAAGAGAATGGTTTTGGAAGGATAGAAAATAAATATGTTTACTTTACTTGTCTATAGATTTGTATTCATATGGATTTATGCCAGTAATATCATGATGTGACTGGCACAGTAATAACTACCCAAAAATGTCTATGTCGTAAGTTCTGGAAAGTGTAAATATGTTAGATTACATGGCAAAAGAGAATTGGGGTTGCAGATAGAATTGAGATTGCTCTTCAGCTGATCTTGAGATAGAAAAATTATCCTGATTATCTTGAAAAAGAACTCCCTCAATATGATGTAAGCCACATACGTAAACTTACATTTTATAATAGCAGCATTAAAAACATAAGTGGACACGTCTGTTTTAAAGGCAGATAATTTTATCATAAATGTCATAAGAACTAAAAAGAAGTTGCCTCTAAATATGTAGATCAGTGATGCTCAATCAATATAATGTAAGCCACATATGTAAACTTACATTTTATAAAAGCAGCATTAAAAACATAAATTGACTCAAATAAATTAAGACTAAACATATATTTTACCTAGCGCAGTATAGATGTGCCTTTGCTTTACTTATTTTTCCTAAACCATTTTAATTCTTTTTAAAACTCAGGAACATACAGTGACAACATACAGACAAATTCTCTTCCAACATCTACATCATTTCTTTTTCCTAGTTTGATCACTGAGCCACTGGTATGTTCATAATATTCTACTCTTCTCAAGTATACTGGCTCTTGAATTTCCCAATTATTTCACATATATGAAGTATGTCTACTTAGAATTGCAGATCTGAGAGATTAAACACTATTCACTCGAAATAGTTTACGAAATATCTATTATATAGCACATATTGTGGGTAGTAGATAGAACCATCAGTGAACTTAATGGCTATTGTTAATGCTGAAACATAGCACCTTTTTCAATCCAAAAGTAGCTGCATATCTTTTTTTTTTTTAAGAAAGGAACTAGAATTGTCAGGAAAGAAAATCACTAAAGTTGACTTCTGTTGTAGTAAGCACATGTCTTCTTCTTGAGCAGAAGACTGAATGTTAGAAGCTTAATGTTAATCTGTAGGAAAGCAAATTAATGGTTTATTAATCTTATAATATTCAGAATACTCTTCGTGTGGTGTCTGCAGGTACTATTTTAGGGTGAAAAAGACAGTGGTAGAAATAGTAAAGTGCTATTCTAGGAGAATTTTTAACTGGTGAGTACATTATATGTGTATAATAATCAGAATCACTGGTAATGGTAGAATGATCACATGAACAACCTCTATTAATGACTTCTCTGTATCTCCACCCTTTGCCCTGAAATGTTGTAGTCTTCTCCAACTCTGACACTGGTCATAGCCATATAATGCATTTTGTCTAATGGAGTCTTAGCAAACATATAGAAGCTTAAAATAGATGTGTGTGTTTAGGCTTTTCCTGTTGCAAAGTCTGGACTTTCACTTTTGCTCCTCACCACAGCTGCTAGGACATGGCTGGCCTAGTGTATTGTAGGTTGAGGCACATGCCTGTGCACGGAGTTTCTTCAGTTGTCACAGCCAAGGCTATCCTAGACAACCTGACAGCTAGTTTACTGCCAAATCTAGGAAAGTGCACTAAGAGAACAGCGGACAGTATACCTAATAAAACTTTTGTTGATATGCCCAATTTTCCCATTTATGCCTGTAATGGTTAATATTGAGTGTCGACTTGAATGGATTGAAGGATGCAAAGTATTGCTCCTGGATTTGTCTGTGAGGGTGTTGCCAAAGGAGATTAACATTTGAGTCAGTGGACTGGGAAAGGCAAAACCACCCTCAATCTGGATGGGCACCATCTAATCAGCTGCCAGCACAGCCAGAATAAAAGCAGGTGGAAGAACATGAAAAGACGAGAGCAGTTTAATCTTCTGGCCTATGTTTTTCTCCCAGGCTGGATGCTTCCTGCCCTTGAACATAGAACTCCAAGTTCTTCAGCTTTGGGACTCAGACTGGTTTCCTTGCTCCTCGGCTTGCAGACGGCCTATTTTGGGACTTCACCTAGTGACTGTATGAGTCAATACTCCTTAACAAACTCTCTTTCATATATACATCTATCCTATTAGTCCTGTTTCTCTAGAGAACCCTGACTAATACAATGTCCTAAAGTGGTCTCATAAATTTCTTACATGGTAGATAAATATGTGTAATAAAATATGTTGTGTTTTGGGGACCAACCAAGGTTGAAAGGTAGTCACTATCTTTTAGACAGAACCTTCACACCAGTTATAATAAAGGGCAATTCCATTTCTTGCTCACTATTTTCATCTGTTCTTCTAAGTCTGTTTTATATTCTAAAAGACAAAGCTCATGTTCACAATTCACGTTAGAATCCTAAATGGTAAGTAAAATTGGCTGGGTAGGGCTTTCCCGAGAGAACCACATAGAATTATGCCAAGCAGCAAAGAGAGAAGAATGCGGTTCTATCCTTCCAAGAGGTGAGACATCATTCTCCTCAGGCTTAGTCCTGGTTGCGGCTGCTCACACAACAGATAATATGGCACACTCTTTTAGTTATACTTACTGTTTCCAAGTCCTTGCAATTGTTGGTATAAGATTCTGACTTTTAATAGCTGCCAGTGAGTGTACCTCACAACTATATTCAGGATTGTATCACCAGTTTGGTGATGATAATGAGATCTACATGGGGATTTGCAGGGTTAGGCTTGGCCCCCACGCTTCTTGTGGAAGCGGAAACAATTCTTATCCTCTTTCCTTTATAAGCTTTGGATAAATTTTATTATGTCATTTCTAAGCTACTCATTCAAAGAGGAAGAAGAATGTCATCCTGAAAAGCAGAAGAGGACATTATTTATTTAATGTATATAAATAATTACAAGGTGAAAAGAAGTCTTCACTGTCTAAAGAGAAGATGATATATGGCTTCCCATATGTGATGCCACAGTAGCACATGTGAATGTCAAGACATCATTCTAGAACTGTGGCCTATTTTCTCCGCCTTTTACATTTATCACATCTTTAGAGATTAATAGTCTCTGAATTTCAGATTTTAAAAATGTAGTGGCTATAACCATGAATAAAATATGCTGGTGTACAAGTTATTAATCTCTCATGCTCTTCTGGCACTTGAGTGGGGTCTAGCTAAATTTGGATGATAGCGTAAGTCATTCTGTACTACCATTTCTATTTAAAATCCTTTATCACAACTTTTTAAAATGAGCTTTCAGGTTTGTTTGGATAACTGCTCCAGAATTTTAGCAAGTCCATTTCTTTTCTCAGTGCTCTGAACGACTGAAATGGGTAATGAGAAATGTTCACTCTTGAGAAAAAAACAAATTCGCTTTAAAATGTTAAGAAACTGGTATTTATGTCAGATGAGGAGAAGGGTGAGTATCAAATGCAGCAAAATGCAATAAGATGCATTAAGTCAATTTTAATATACAGCAGATGGGGAGCTATAAATTCTAAATAATTTTAGGTGCAGTGCCTGAAGCATAACATGCTCATAGTTTTCCAAGTAAGATTAAATTTTAATAATATTTCCTTGTAAGTATGCTAGAATCAAACTGATTTAGATTCTAGTACTATCACAAAGATAGTCTCAAATTTTCAATTCATTTTTACTTATTGTCAGTTATGAACCGCATATATGAATTTCTGTGTATTTAGTCTCCCTTCCAAGAGCATTTCATTATGTAAAAATAGATATACAATTATAATGCTAAAAGAAATACAGAATTATATGCAAATTTCTTGCATATTTTGAAAATATGATATATTCCTTAATACAAGTTTGGAAATGTAACATAATGATATCTTCCTAAAATGCTGTTTCTTTATGCATTTTTATTTTGAAATATTCTAATTTTCTGTAGCCAAAAGTAACATCTAAACAAAATAAAATTTATAGAAATGCATGAGTTCATGAAAAATTGATTTTTTTTTTTTTTTTGTTTAAAGTAAAATCTATTTTATCAATGAGTTAGGTAATTTTAGTTATACAAATGTGTATTTTTTCAAATTGAAATTGACCTTTTGGGCCGGGCACAGTGTCTCATGCCTGTAATCCCAGCACTTTGAGAGGCCAAGGCGGGCGGATCACCTGAAGTCGGGAGTTCAAGACCAGCCTGGCCAAAATGGAGAAACACCGTCTCTACTAAAAATACAAAATTATCCGGGCGTGGTAGCACATGCCTGTAATCACAGCTACTTGGGAGGCTGAGTCAGGAGAATCTCTTGAAGCCAGGAGGCAGAGGTGGTGAGCTGAGATTGTGTCATTGCATTCCAGCCTGGGCAACAAAAGTGAAACTCCATCTCAAAAAATAAAAATAAGAAAAAAGAAAAGAAAAAAAGAAATTGGCCTTTTGCTGGTTGAGTATGTATTTCTATCCCTCTTAAACACCTTCTGAATAAACTTTCAATCAGCCTTTGGAGTAATCATGCTTTGTTTATTAAAAACAACTGAAATCATCAGATAAAGTAATTTTCCATTCTATTATTGCTTTTATTTAGAAGGTAATAAAGTTCAGAAATGCTATTATAAGAAAATATCCATACCATAGACTTTAATAAAACGACATTCTCATGTGCTCCTACATATTTCAGAACCTCCTGTTTTACTGTCTCTTATTTTCAAACCAACTCTTCTATTTTGTGATGTAGAATTGGGGTTCTGCAAACTACATTTCTTCAGTTCCAGCTGTTAGTTTCCATGAAGCAGGGGTAGTGGCAAGGGACTGGAAATCTATAAGAAGGGACTTGATTCTGTTTGCTTCATTTCCCAACCATGCTCCTTCGAAAGTTCTTTTGTTACAGCAAAAGCATCTAATTTCAGTTTGAGGTTTTCCACATGCTTCCAGAATCAGCCTTATTTCACTCTGTCTTGGAAGCTACCAGATAGCTAGCCAGCTCCCCTTCTTCAGAGGTCTGGCCAGGTCATAGCTCCACAGATGCCTTTTTTGAACATGTGAAATTCCAGCACCTACCTTAATTCGCAGTGCTCTCCGCCCCAGAGAGTTCGGAATCCCTGTTCTGCAGGGCCCCTGCTCCAATCCTTAATAATGAAAACCTTGGCCGGGCGCAGTGTCTCACGCCTGTAATCCCAGCACTTTGGGAGGCCCAGGCTGGCGGATCACCTGAAGTCGGGAGTGCGAGTCCAGCCTGACCAACATGGAGAAACCCCGTCTCTACTAAAAACACAAAATTAGCCCGGCGTGGTGGTGCATGCCTGTAATCCCAGCTACTCGGGAGGCTGAGGCAGGAGAATTGCTTGAACCCGGGATGCAGAGATTGTGGTGAGACGAGATCACGCCATTCCACTCCAGCCTGGGCAACAAGAGTGAAACTCCATCTCAATAATAATAATAATAATAATAATAATAATAATAATAATAATAATAAAAATAATGAAAACCTCTTCCCAGTCTTTCTTCTGTCCTATTTTCTGTAATTACTACCTCTGTAACATTATAGTATACACCTTTTTACCTTTCCAGTTCTCCAATACCTAGTTAACAATTCCTTCACTTTTCTATTAGTATAACTGGAGTGGATTGTGTCTCCTGACTGGATCCTGACTATTATCCCTATGAATCAAGAAATGGAATATGAATGGTATAACTGGGAGTGAGAACATAATGTAATCATGAGTGAACCTTAATGGAAGAAAAATTCATTTTTATAGTTTACTAATATTTGGTCACAAATAAAAACACAAAACAGGTACATTGGCATGCAGCCTTCATGAGGGAAAAGAAAAGCTTTGGAACAATTGGCTTTTTTTTTTTCCAGATTAGACTAGGCTGAAAGAAAGCTTACAGTAAAAGTGTGATGATAGGAATCAAATATAGGATGTAAGTAAAACCGATTTCTGAAGAGAAGGTACAGAAACAAAGAGCCCTTATTATAAACACAACTACATAAGGATTATAATACTTAGGTTCTATCTTTAATCATAGATATGCTTACAATGTGGAGATCTTGAGATTGTTGAGAAAGTACTAAAGTAAACGAGAAGGTAAGAATTAAGACACAATGAGCTGATCATGTATCTAGACCCTATTTCTAGATGTTTCTTTTTTTTTTTTTGAGACGGAGTCTCGCTCTGTCGCCCAGGCTGGAGTGCAGTGGCGCGATCTCAGCTCTCTGCAAGCTCCGCCTCCCGGGTTCACAACATTCTCCTGCCTCAGCATCCCGAGTAGCTGGGTCTACAGGCGCCCGCCACCTCGCCCGGCTAATTTTTTTATTTTTTTATTTTTTTTATTTTTAGTAGAGACTGAGTTTCACCGTGTTAGCCAGAATGGTCTCAATCTCCTGACCTCGTGATCCGCCCGCCTTGGCCTCCCAAAGTGCTGGGATTACAGGCATGAGCCACCGCGCCTTACCAATGTTTCTTTAATATATATTTCAGAGATAAAAAGCATTAACCGATTACTCACAGATTATAGATAATACATTGTAAAATTTAAATTTCTTCTAATCTCAAGAGTTTATAATCTGGATAATAGTATTTGCTTAACTTTTAATGTAACTTGAAATTCAATACTAGCAAAAATTTTAAAAAATCAGTAGCTATCATATATTGAGCATTTTTTTGTAGGCACTCTATTAAGTGCTTTGCATACCTTATTAAATATAGTCTGAGAAACTTAATAAGAAATTTATTATCACTATTTTCAAAGGAGTTTTAGATATATGAAATAACTTACAGAAGACCTCATAGTAATTGACTATTGGAACTGAACGTTTTTTGTTTGTTTTGTTTTATTTATTTATTTATTTATTTATTTATTTTTAAAGACTGCAAAGTTTGTTTTTCAAAATTATTTTAAAACTTATTTTTTAATTATATGGCTAAGGATAAATCAAAAACATTTTGTGATTATTGTAAAATCTATTATCAATAACTCAACTCATTACAGTAAATAAGCAGCTTCTCTGACTGAGTGGTCTCCTATTCGTCCTGATAATCTTAATGTGGACTTGTTTTCAGTGTTCCTCTCTTGCCTAAATGCAAATCCTCTTTCTCATTTCCTAAGGCTTCTTTTCTGTAGCTATTCTAGGAATCCTACTTTTGATTATGTTACCATATTCAGAGAGGTTAGCCAAGAAGAAGAGCTACAGTCTTCTGTGTAATCTAACCAAACAACTAAACTGGGGTCATCCATTCATCTTTTAGGTCCAAGAACTGTAGCAGACCACAAAATATGAAATAAATCTTATTACCATTCCTTTACTTATGTGAGAAATGTTAAACTTAGTGCTTATATCATTCTGTAGATGACAAATACTGTAAAAAATCAATATAGTTGAGGGTGCCAAAGATAGGCTTTATAATTTTGCTTGGAATAGATTTGACTTTGTATTGATAAAAATACTATATCAATTAAATATTAAGTACCTATAAATGCAGGTTATTACATTGGGAACTCTATTAGTCTATTTTCACACTGCTGTAAAGACATACCCTAGACTGGGTAACTTATAAAGGAAAATGGTTTAATTGACTCACAGTTATACATGACTGGGGAGGCCTCAGGAAACTTACAGTCATGGCAGAAGGCAAAGGGGAAGCAAGGACCTTCTTCACATAGCAGCAGAAGAAAGAAGAACAAGGAGCAAAGGAGGAAGAGCCCCTCATAAAACCATCAGATCTCATGAGAACTCACTCACTATCATGAGAACAGCATGAGGAAAACTGCCCTCATGATCCAATTACCTCCCACCAGGTCTGTCTCTAGACAAGTGGGGATTACAGAGATTACAATTCAAAATGAGATTTGAGTGGGGACACAGCAAAATCATATCACTATGCCCCTGTTCCCTCCCAAATCCCATGTCCTCACATTTCAAAACACAGTCATGCCTTTCCAAGTCTCAAAAATTCTTAGCTTATTCCAGCATTAACCCAAAAGTCTGAGTCAAAGTCTCATCTGAAACAGGGCAAGTCCATTCCACCTATGAGCCTGTAAAATCAAAAGCAAGTGAATTACTTCCAAGATATGATGGTACTACAAGCATTGAATAAATGCTCTCATTCAAAATGGAGAATTGGACAAAACAAAGGGGCTACAGGCTCCATGCAAGTCCGAAAACCAGGGGGCAGTCATTAAATAAATAATCTCTTTTGACTCCATGTCTCACATCCATATTACATGATACAAGAAGTGAGCTCCCATGGACTTGGGCATCTGTGCCCCTGTGGCTTTGCAGGGTACAGTCTCCCTTCCAGCTGCTTTCATAGGCTGGTGTTGAGTGTCTGCAGCTTTCCTAATTGCACAGTCTAAGCTGTGGGTGGATCTACCATTCTGGGAACTGGAGAATGGAGTCCTTCTCACAGCTCCACTAGGCAATGACCCAGTGGGGATTCCGTGTATGGGCTCCAGTCCCACATTTCCCTTCCACACTGCCGTAGCAGAGGTTCTCCATGAGGCCCCCACCCCAGTAGCTGACTTCTGCCTAGATATCCGGGCATTTACATACATCCTCTGAAATCTAGGTGGAGGTCCCCAAATCTCAATTCTTGACTTCTGTGCATCCACAGGCCCAAAACCACATGGAAGCCACCAGGGCTTGGGGCTTGCACCCTCTGAAGCAATGACCTGAGCTGTATCTTGGCCCATTTTAGCCATGGTTGGGATGCAGAGCACCAAGTGCCAAGACTGCACAAAGCAGCCGGGCCCTGGGTTGGGCCCACAAAACCATTTTTTCTTCCTCTGCCTCCAGGGCAGAGATGTGATCTTGGCTCACTGCAAGCTCTGCCTCCTGGGTTGATGTCATTCTCCTGCCTCAGCCTCAAAGTAGCTGGGACTACAGGCACCTGCCACCACGCCTGGCTAATTTTTTTGTATTTTTAGTAGAGACGGGGTTTCACTATGTTAGACAGGATGGTCTCGATCTCCTGACCTCATGATGTACCTGCCTCAGCCTCCCCAAGTGCTGGGATTACAGGTGTGAGCCACCTTGCCTGGCCATAACTGAACATTTTTAAGAGCACCCAGATCAACTCTTGAACACTTTGCTGCTTAGAGATTTCTTCTGCCAGAGACTCTAAACAATCTCTCTCAAGTTCAAGTTTTGCAAATCTCTAGGGCAGGGGTCAAATGCCACCAGTCTCTTTGTTAAAGCATAGCAAGAGTGAACTTTGATTCAGTTCCCAATAAGCTTCTTATCTTCATGTGAGACCACCTCAGCCTGGACTTCATTGTTCACATCACTATGAACATTTTGGTCAAAATCATTCAACAAGTCCCTAGGAAGCTCCAAACATTCCCACATCTTCCCATCTTCTTCTGAGCCCTCCAAACTCTTCAAACCTCACCTGTTACTCAGTTCCAAAGTCAATTCCACATTTTCAGGTTATTTTAATAGCAGTGCCCCACTCTCTGTGGTACCAAATTAGTATATTATTCCATTTTCACACTGCTGTAAAGAAATACCCGAGACTGTGCAATTTATAAAGGAAAGAGGCTTAATTGACTCACAGTTACACATGGCTGGGGAAGCCTCAGGAAACTAGTCATGGCAGAAGACAAAGGAGAAACAAGGACCTTTTACACATGGTTGCAGGAGGGAGAAGAGTAAGGAGCAAAAGGGGAAGTGCCCCTAGCAAAACCATCAGATCTTGTGAGAACTCACTCACTATCACAAGAATAGCATAGAGGAACTGCCCCCATGATCAACCTGCCATTAGGTCTTTCCAAAGACTTGTGGGGATTATAAGAATTACAATTCAAGATGAGATTTGGGTGGGGACACAGCCAAATCATATCATGAACTCTGAATTATACAGCAGAAAAATTAACAGTCATGGAGTTAAGTTTACACTCAATACATTAGCTAAAAATGCAAAGTCAATTTTGCCAAATTAAATGCCATAACTTCCCTCAGAGAAACAATCTCTTGATATTACATGTCAGTACATTGATTTTCCTGTTACTATGTGCAAACATGATCTTTTTCACAAAAATAATAATTATATTATTTTTCCTTGCCCATTTTTTTACAGGATCTCTCTCTGTTGCCCAGGCTGCAGTGCAGTGGTGTGATCATAGCTCATGGCAGCCATGACCTCACAGGCTCAGGTGATCCTCCCACCTCAGCTTTGCAAATGTCTGGGACTAGAGGTGCATGCCCCCACACCTGGCTATTTTTTGTTGTTGTTGTATTTTTTTTTTTCTTTTGTAGAGACAGGTTTTCACCATGTTGCCCAGGCTGGTCTCAAACTCCTGTCCTCAAGCTGTCTGCCTGCCTCAGCCTCCTAAAGTGCTGGGATTATAGGCATGCACCATGCCTCACCAACCAGAATATTTTTGATGTTGTGGGTAATCACCCTAAAAGTGAACTGAAATCCCTTTTGTTCATATTTGAGTACACTCAAAGCAATTAACTAGGCTGCCAAATTTTTCTAGCCAAGACAAAGGAAACACACTTCTACTTACACACATGCAAACACACACTCTCACGTATACCAAATACACACATAAGTGGTACTATACAAAAGACATTAGCAATTCTTCAAGTTTCTTTCCTAATTTGAAGTAGACACATCTTAGGAGAGAACACAGACAATAGAATTGTCCAAGTAAACTTAAGGGTACTTCTGTTATTACTACATTTATTACCCTAAAGAGAAGAATAAATATGTTCCTTTCCTCATAATTTGAAAATATAAGAACATGGGCACTTCATGAATTGTGTAGTGTCTTGAACTTGGATTTTCAAAAGTGTTGTATGATTCAATAGTTTTTATTTACAATGATAACATAAGTAAAGAAAAGTAGTAAAATGATTTCAAAATCAGTTTCTCTCAACTATAAGGAGGTGGTTGATGGCCATGTATTTCTCATCAAAGACAGTGACATCAGGCTTTTATACAAAAGACAGGCGATAAGAAATGCTACCAAGGATGTGGAGAAAAGGGAACCCTCATACACTGTTGGTGGGAATGTAAATTAGTACAGCCTCTATGGAGAACAGTATGGAGGTTCCTTGAAAAACTAAAAGTAGAACTACCATATGATACAGCAATGCCACTTCTGGGTATATTCTCAATAGAAAGAAAATAAGTATATCAAAGGGATAGCTGCATGCCCATGTTTATTGCAGCACTATTTACAAAACCAAGATTTTGAAGAACTCTAAGTGTCCATCAGCAGACAAATTGATAAAGAAAATATGGTACATATATACAATAGAGTTCTATTCAGCCATGAAAATACGAGAACCTGTCCTTTGCCACAACAGTGATAGAACAGGAAAATATTATATCAAGTGAAATAAACCAGGCACAGAAATAACATTACATTAAGTGAAATAAACTTCATACATCTTCACTTATTTATGGGAGCTAAAGAAAATTAAAACAATTTAACTCATTCATCAAGATAGAGAGTAGAATGATGATTATCAAAGGCTGAGAAAGGAGATGAGTGAGGATGGTTAATGGGCACAGAAACATGGTTAGATAGAATGAGTAAAATCTAGTATTTGATAGCACAATAAAGTGATTACAGTCAATAATAATTAATTGTACATTTAAAAATAACTAGAAGAGCATAATTGGAAGGTTTGTAATACAAAGAAATGATAAATGGTTAAGGTGATGGATTTCCTTTCTACCCTGATGTGGTTGTTATGTATTATATGTCTATATCAAAATATTTCATGTACCCTCTAAATATATACACCTACCAGGTACTTATAATTTTTTTTAATGATGGTGACATTATCATTATCCATTTTCAGGTGTGTTTTGTTTTCTTTTTTGTTTTTGTTGAATTTACTGTTTTATAAGTGTCTAACCAAACACTATGTTTAATGGGCAATGAAATGCTATATGCAAGCAAAAATAAGCAGTAAAATGATAATCAACTAACACTGCTAACTGTACTTTACCCAGAAACAAGCACTCACACACATCATAAGCTCCTCATGACACCTCTCCCTACCTCCACATTGGGAAGCCTCTTCCCATTGCCTAGAATTCCTTTTGTTTAATTAACGATGTCTTAATTACCTTTCAAAATACAACCTAAGCATATTCTCTGGAAACCATTTTTTTGTTGTTGTTGTTTTTCTGGGCTAAGACTAAAATACTACCTCTTTTGACTACCAGCATGCTTTCTGCATACTGTGATAACAATACTTCACAGCAATTTTTTATTTTTTACTTTTTGAGACAGAGCCTCACTTTGTTGCCCAGGCTGGAGTGCAATGGCAGGATCTCAGCTCACTGCAACCTCTGCCTCCCGAGTTCAAGCGATTCTCCTGCCTCAAGCTACAGAGTAGCTGGGACTACAGGCACCTGGAACCATGTCTGGTTAATTTTTATATTTTTAGTAGAGACGTGGTTTCACCATGTTGGCCAGGTTGATCTCAAACTTCTGACCTCAAGTGGTCCACCTGCCTCAACCTCCCAAAGTGCTGGGACTACAGGCATGAGCCAACGTGCCTGGCCCAGCAATTATTTATGTAACTATCTCTCTCCCTGACCAGTCTTTCTATTTTGTTAGGGAACCTCCAGACCCAGTCCCTATCCATCTTCTCCCCCAGAACCTAGGACACTGCCTTTGTTACATATTGAAAACACTTAAAACATCTGTTAAAAAAGATGAATACATAGAAATGCAAGTAAATGAGAACAATACATAAGCTGCAAAAGATGATTTGAAATACCTTTGCAACTCTTAAGAAACATAATTACATTTTTATGATATCAGAAAGGTGTTAAAATATAATGTATTTTCTGTAGTTTTATAATAGATATATTTATCTCATTTCTTTTCAACATGTTTCATATTTATTTTCAATTTCCTTCCAATAAATTAAATTGACATAAAATAATTTTGCTTTTATTAACTCATGCAATTTGGATCTGATATTACTTAAAAATATTCATTGTAATAAATTTGTATCATTTTCTGCTTTTGGGGAATCAGTGAAAAGGAATTTCAAGTCACTAAACCTCTTTTTCTTGAAAAAAACAAATAGCCAAGGACATATCCTCAGACTGTAGACAATATGAAAGGAGAAAGAACGTACTGCACATGAAATGATTTGAGTCCTAGTTCTGGTTTATTTCATCACTAATAACAAAATTCCGACTGATATCCCATTATGAGTAGTTCTTCTGTGCCGACTTTACATGAAAGACTGTGAGATTAGACCCTGGGGCAGATTGTCTCCAAACCATGCAAGGACACCTGGTGCGCCACAAATAATTTAACTGGCCACATTTTGAGCCTTCTTGCTAATGCTGCAGTATATCATTTTCATGATTCCTGTTACCAGTGAAAGAACTGTGATAGCAGGTTGAAGGTAAAAATCGGGAAGGAAAAAATGTACAAAGAATGACCTAGCCAACATGTTTGCTTCTACAAGAGCTATTTAGATTTTAAAAGTAGGCTCCTCACATTTTAAAAGTAGGCTCTTTGTGCTCAGTTAAACTTGCTCACCTACTGCTCCCCAAGCCTACCTGCCTTCCAAATTCTAACTACCTACCACACAATTTGGTTACTAGACCATGATGTATTCAAACTACTGGCCTTTTCCTTCGACATAGATGTCTAAGAATAAAGAAAAAAAATCTAGGAAATGTTTATTCAGAGCTATTTTTTCCCTGCCTCCTTTTTTTTGTACACTTAACCTAAAGTTATTTTTAATGTGTTTTGTTTACACAAATTAGAAGGTAATGAGTAAATGCAAGTAAAAGAATTTTTGTGCTGGTGAGTTTTTGAGAAGGGGTCCTGACCCTGATCCCACACAGACTCATGGGTAGGATCATAGAATTCCCACACAATTTTTTTTGGATCAGAAAACAGAAGGAAGATTACATAGCTTTTTAAAGTTACCAATAATGCATAAAATCTTTAGAATTCCCTGAACATTGCATTACAACAAAAGGAATATTTGTGTGGGGTGTGTACGCAGAGGCGCTCTTCTCTATTTGAGTTTGTAGAATATGATTTTGTCTTTTAGTCGGATACAAAATTTTTATTTTTTATTCTTTTCTGATTCTCCCATCCAAGCAGTCGGCAGACCCTAGATAATTCTCTAGTCTCAAATCTGGCTTACCCTTATTTTTCCCAATGTCATCATCATGACCCATGAGATTACCTACTCTTTCCTCTTGTGGCCCTAAATCGGCTAAGAGTGTGTCACATATCCAAGTTTTCCCCATCAGGTTCCCAGTGAAAAATACTCACTATTTTTTGCTTATAAAAGGTTCTATGCGTTCTACATAAAATTCTTGCTGCTTGGTATTTTTTTGGCTATATTTTATAATCTGGTCCCTACTAACTTTTCCAGTGCTATTTTCCAAAAGTATCCTTTATATCAAACTAGATTGTGATTAGGTTTAAAATAACCTCTATGTATCCACCTTCATTCTCTTTCATTGGCCAAGTATTCTCTCCTTCTCTCTCTCTCTCTCTTTTTAATCTAGTTATCCTTCAAGATCTAGATCAAATTCAATCTGTTTCACGGTTTTGTCAAATACTGTCTTGTAACTGATTTCTTTTTTCTTTGAACTTTTGCATATTCTCTCTCTCTCTCTCAATCTCGTTATCCTTCAAGATCTAGATCAAGTTCAATCTATTTCATAGTTTCCTCAAACACTGTGAAGGAACTGATTTATTTTTTTAACTCCTACATATACATATCTTTTATCCATTATTGTCATTGTCACCACCATTTTTTACCGTCAATGTTTACCTTTTATCCTCTCTATCATATTATAAATTTTTTCTCAGCAGAAGCTACATTTAGACAACATTTAGTGGGTGGTTCATCTTCAAGTGACTAACCTGGTGTTATGCATGCAGAAATTATTCAATATATCTCATTGAATGAACGAAAGTCAACTAATTTTTTGTTTAACTAATAACAGTTTAAGACTTGCAGAGCTCAGAAACTGATGGAGAAATTTTCTCTTTACATGGCCACTTAAATAAATAGGCGTATCTTTTCCTTGCCTTTCTCCTCTTGAGGCACATCCATGGCCACCAGAGTCAGCAACAGCAGAAGAAGCAGCAGCAGCAGGTTTCCTGTGTTTAACATTGCAGGCAGCAGGTATGATCTTTGGCAAGAAGCCGATTCCAGTAGAGTATAGAGTGGTGCTACTGCGTAGCTGAAACAGATTACCCATCAAAGTATCTTCCCTTTTTTTCCATTTGGCTTTTGTCAGCAATTGGCAAAGCTCCACACAGTAAGAACATGTTAAAAGAAGAGATAAAGTAATGAGAAATAATTTGAAGTGGCTTGTTGCCAACATATGTCTGCATTTGAGGAGAGAAGAAGCTGTTGGACAATATTAGAGAAGCAATTCCAGGCCCAAAATCTAAATGAATATTGCTTGGGAGGATCCATATAATATAGTAAAAATATAAATATTCCCTAAATTACCATTTATTAATGAATGGAGCATATTTTCTAGAAGCCATAATACAGTGGGTTGGTAGCTGAAGAACTGACATATGGAACTGAGAACCATGAACTCACTCTTTCTTTCCCTCTGACAATTCCCTCATTAATGCACAGCCAGGAAACCTGGAAAATGTGTGATTTCACTGAGTTGGAGAGACATGAGAGTACTGTCAGCTGCTGAGCTTTTGTTCCTTTGTTCACCCATATTAAAATGATGGAAGGGAAGTGGGGATGAAGCTTCTTTCTTCCTAAGCCCAATGGTCTAAAGGATTTATTGGACATCTGCTTACCTATTGTTGGTTTTGAAATGTTTCTTCTCATGTTTGAAAGCAGAAACACGTTCGACTATCACATCAGGTATCAAGAATATTAGATAACTAGCCAGTTGCTTCTGTGAGTAAATGATAACTGAAATTGACTGAGAAATCAGGAAAAAAAAAAACCATTAAATACTTCTTTCACAACCGGAGGTTTTTGTTCATAAATAAGATTTCTCACAACTCAAGTTTCCCTTTAAGTCCACATCAGGCAGTCATATTTTGGGACTTCAGTGGGATACTCAGCTCTGTTTTAGGAATTTTAGCAGTAAACTGATTTTTAGTGAGTAAACTGAGACTGATTAAACTGAAAGAGTAATATATAAATTAACCATAGAAACATCAAAACATGGCTGGGCGTGATGGCTCACACCTGTAATCCCAGCACCTTGGGAAGCAGAGGCAGGAGGGACAATTGAGCCTAAGAGTTCAAGACCATCCTAGACAACATAGACCCAGTCTCTACAAAAAAAAAAATTTTTTAATTAGCCACTTTACCAGTAGTCCCAGCTACTCAGCAGGTTGAGGAGGGAGAATACCTAGAGCCCAGGAGTTCAAGGCTGCAGTGAGCCATGATTGCGCCACTGTACTCCAGCCTTGGCAGCAGAGCACAACCTTGTCTCAAAGAAAAAAAAAAAATCAAAACCTCATTAGATATGGCGGTGTCACCCTTTTGATCTGAAAATAAAATAGTCATTATGAGCAGCATCTTTAAATGTCTTTATCTCAGCAAGCAAGGTATTTGCAATCTATGAAAATCTACTTGAAGAGTCATAATAGTAAATAGTTGTACATATATTTATATATTTAAATATATATTCACACATTATATATAAACAATAAATAGTATTATATATAAACAATAAATACTATAAATTGTATGTATAGTTTTGCTATAAATACTAAGGAAAACAAAGAAAAGCAGCCTGTTTATTGCTCTATTTATTTCTTGATCTGGGTCCCTGAGTATGTAACCTTCATTAGAGCAGACATATATTCAAATGGTGATTTCTTTCCACAGTGTAACTACCTGGGTCATCAGCACAGTCAAAAACAATTTGTAATTAGCATTTCAAATGATCTGAGAAATGAAGGCACCAGGTAAATGGGAGTGATTCCTAAGGGACCTTCCTCTTCTCCAGTGAATTGCCTTCCCAATCAATTTCCAAATATTTAAAGAAATATAAATTCATTAATAACTTATTCCCAGTTGTGTCATTTATAGAATGGAGGCCAGATGTAGCAAACAATTTGATCCTTAAAAACTCTACGCATGAAGGCACATGCATGCACAAACACACACACACACACAACACACACACACACCACACACACACACACACACAGAGAGAGAGAGAGAGAGAGAGAAAACACTGTCTTCATATACTGAACAACCTTGTACTCTGGACAGGAAAGGAGAACAATACAGGTAGAAGAGATTTAAATTTTTTTAACTTAAGTTTTAATAGCATCAAGCAATGAAGCATGCAACGCTCCCTGACGGGGCTATAATGAGAGAGATAAAAAATTAAAAGGTAAAAACAGCAGGTGAGAAGACAGGCAAATTGTATAAGTAAAATTTTGGCTTTTTAACCTGTTTCTTTTTTTTTCTATATTTAAACACTCACCCACCTCCCATAACCTTTTTTTCTATGAATTTTGTTCTTATTTGAATGAGGCCATTACCAAGGCTGATTAAATCCAGGGCTACCCTGAAAACCATTGCCCATTTGCTTCTAATTATTTCACCAAAGACTGGTAAAGCCTTCAGTCCAAACATCATTTTATTATAAAGAAAAAAAAATCAGAGGCTGGTCAGGGTGTCCAGAGGCAGAATAAATTATGGTAGAAATCAAGATCTTAATTTAATAATTGAAATCAATATTTAAAAATATTACTCAGAAATTTTTTGAGATTCATTGCCTTCTCATACTGAAGCTAAACCAATATATGCAGGCACAGAGGTTAATTATTGTACACATTATTTTCTAACTAAATTCGTTTAAATTCTATTTTAAACCAATGAATTATTATTTACTTATTTGCTTTTTGCCTATACTTCTCTTTGATTGTGTGAAGTCTTTTATGTTTATCTTATTTTTTCAACTCAATAAACGTATGCCATATCTATTACTATAGTCACCATTAACAGATACAAAAATTGAGACTGAGAGAAGTTATGTGTCTTAACCATAGTTATCTGGCTAGTAAGTTGTTATTGTTGTGTTTGTGTGTAGGTGTGGGTGCATATGGTAAAAGGCATGTAACATAAAATCTATTATTTTAACCATTTATTAATGTACAGTTCACTAGTCTTAAATATATTCACATTGTTGTGAAACAAAACTTTTTCATCTTGCGAAACTAAAATTCTATATCCATTAAACAACTCCTCCTTTTTTTCCTTCCCCCAGTACCTAGTTACCAACATTTTCCTTTCTGTTTCTATGAATTTGACTACTTTAGATACCTTATATAAGTGGAACCCTCCAGTATACATCTTTTTGTGCCTGGCTTATTTTGCTTAACATAATGTCCTCAAGATTTGACCATGCTGTAGCATATGACAGGATCTCTTTTTTTTTGAGACAGTGTAATATTCCGTGACATTTGTGTATCCCACTGTGTTTATCCACCTATCCAAGCATGAATATTTGAGTTGGTTCTACCTCTTGGCAAATATCTCTTTGAGAGCCTGTTTTCAATTCTTTTGGATATATACCCAGAAGTGGATTTACTGCATAATATGGTAGTCCTATTTTTAATTTTGGGGAACCTCCTTACTACTTTCCACAGTGGTTGCATCACTTTACAATTTTACTACCAGTGCACGAGGGTTCTAATTTGCCCACCTTCTCACCAATACTTGTTATTTTCTGGGTTTGGTAGTAGCCATCCTAGTGTGTGTGTGTGTGTGTGTGTGTGTGTGTGTGTGTGTGATTTTTATTGGCATTTCTTTGATTAGTGATATTGAGCATCTTCTCATATGCTTATAGCTGATGCTTTTAACCTTGAACTCAGGCAGTCTGACTCCAGAGCACATATTTTTTGGTACTAAACTGTGCTTTCTGTATGATTCTATTTTTTCCTATTTCTCTAGGTTATTTAGTTTATTGGAAATTTTCAAATATATACTTCCTAATTCTGTATCCTATTTGTAGTCTGTCTTATTTTTTTATCATATTATTAATTATGGAAAATTTTTATTTTAATTATATAAGGAAATAGCTAAACAAGTCATTTAAAATTTTGAGCACCAATAAGTTGCAAGGACCTGGAATTTGTAATGAGTATTTTTCTGTATCCTTTTCTTATTATTTCTAGGAATGTTAACTTATGAAATAATTATCTCTTTTATACACCTTTGTGTTTGGAACCCACAGTTTCCCATTTCTCTTTATGACTATTTACACTGTAAAGACAACAATTATGGAGGATAGATGCAACTAAAATAGGATGATACAGAGCAGACTCACCAAATTCACTCAGTTTCTTCATTTCCTGTGAAGAAGAAATGCCTTCAAGCTAAATATTTGTAGCCATAGTTTATAATTCAGTATATGTGATCATTTCTACTACTATCATCTGAGTAACATGCTGACCAAGAGCTATGGTGTTTATCCTAAATCTATAAATGCCAACTCCAGTTAATTCATTTTTTATTATAAATAAATACATTATCTAGATAACTCTTATGTAAATACATAAAACATGAAAAGGTAAATGAAAACAACTATAATTTTAATTAAAAACTAGATTGAATGTTTTAGAAATATTTAGTAAAAGCCAATTGCTAAAAAGAAAATTAAAATTTGAGCTTAAAAATGCTTGCAAAATTGCAAAACCATATAATGCTATACATAATTGGAAAATATAAAAATGTCAAATTTTTAAAATTAAATTTTTTTTTTATATTTTACATTCTTATTCTACTTTATGAGAATCAAATTCAAATTATGGGTTTGATTTATAAAGGACTTTACTCTGCGCCTCAACATCAAACACTTGACTCCATTTCAAAAGATTATCAAATAAATGCTAACTTATATGTTAATTGAAAGAAAATGAAGCATATATGAATCACTTGTTTTTAAAGTTTTAGTCTTACTTGACTTCTTCTTCTTCTTCTTTTTTTTTTTTTTTGAGACAGAGTCTTGCTCTGTTGCCAGGCTGGAGTGCAGTTGCAAGATCTCAGTTCATAGCAACCTCTGCCTCCCAGGTTCAAGTGATTCTCCTGCCTCAGCCTCCCGAGTAGCTGTGACTACAGGCATGCGCCACCACACCCAGCTAATTTTTGTATTTTTAGTAGGGATGGGGTTTCATTATCTTGGCTAGGATGGTCTTGATCTCTTGACCTCATGATTCACCCACCTCAGCCTCCCAAAGTACTGAGATTACAGGCATGAGCCACCGCGCCCGGCCTTACCTGATTTCTTAATCAACAACCAAATAATTTCACTGCTTGCTTTGGGTGAAAATAAATTTTGCTATAAATGCTGAAGAATCATAGCTTTCTTGGTCTCATTATGCCTCTGTCTCTATTTTTATCTCTTCCTATCTAGATATCTAGATACAGATGTAGATATAATATTTATACCTATATACAAAATGTATTCCATGCATGTGAAAAGGTACTCACTCCATCCGTGCTATTGGAGCTTGACTAATTTGCTTACGAGAAATCACATAAATGACTATTCATTCTTCTTATAGTTAAGGTATAAACTGCAAGGTTTCTATTAATGCAAAATTAAGTTGAAGAGTCAAGCTGGCACTAGCAATGATGTATTCAAATTATATAGTGCAGATGAGTCAGTTCTGATATTACATTAATTAGTTTTAAAAATATCTGAAACCAACTTGAATCTTGGAGTTACAGCATGAGCAAAGGTCAACTGGGTCTTATAGTGAACATCGGTTACCAATTTTTACACAGCGATATATTTTCCTCTAATAAACCTACATGCCTCAGTTTTCTCATCCATGAAATAGCATGAACATAATTCACAGGGATATTTGAATCTTAAATCAGCTAATACATATAAAGGGCTCAGAACATACATTAGTGCACAATAGGCACTATATGTGCTAGATGATTGTTATTTCCATGCTGGAACACAACACACAAAATGTACCTTCACAGATATTCACATCAGATTGTCAACAGAGAAAAAAATAGTGACTGAACAACTTGACTTCTTATGCCTCCAGATATACTGAACTCAAGATCCCACTTCATAGGTATGTACATGTGACAAAAATATGTGCAGTAATTAATATTTTGAGAGAGAGTAAAAATATATTAAAGGAAGAGAGCCTACATTTGTCCTTGTGGTTTGTCATCGTTACAGCTTAAACGAATCACATTTTTACTTCCTTTACCATGAAAAATGGGAAAAGGCACAAGTTTTTAGAGTATTTCTTCTAATATTCTAAAATAAAGCAACTTTAATTTTAAAGTGTCTCATAACACTTCAAAAAATGAGCACTTATTAATCAAAATAATAGGATCAGCTAAATTTCTGTGAACCCCTTTATATACACGTGGAGAAAATGTCAGACTTGTACTGCTTCTCCTCCAATCAGTTCCTTCTACCTTTGTTCTGTGTTGGATCTGAATTAATTTTTATGAAATATTCTCCCAAGTTGGCATTGTCGATGTAGTCTACATAATTTCCCCATGTAAACTTTTGTAATCTTTATTCTAGCTTGGAGTTGCAGATGTTAATTTCTTGTGTTTTTCCCTTCCACAAAGCTATAGTCTCCCAGCAGCAAAGCTCTGAGAATTCCACAATGCTTTTGCTCACATCCTCTTGTCACCATCCTTCCTCATCATTGATACGTCTGTGTCAAACTACCTGCTGAATTCAGGCAAAAACAAAGGGATGGCAATTACTTTGAAAGTTGAAAAGTATTTTAGAAAAACATAAGTGTTAGAAAAATGATTCTTTAAAATTCTTGACAAATGTAGAAAAGAATATTTTTATGAACTGTTTATGAATTTTAGATCTGGGGAGGGGAGTAAATTGGGAAACTTTTAAACTTCATATTACTTAATGGTTGCTGAGAATATTTTTATTCCATGATGCATGTAATAATTATTTATTTATCTGTACCTATTATTTTGTAAGGTTTTCTTTTTCCACCCAAAACATGCAAAGTATCTTGTTTTATTTGAGACTCACTTAACAGGATATTACTTGTAAATATCTTCTCCTTTATTATTGGATAATGTACACATACTCAAATCACTATTTCCTTTATTCATAGAAAGGATTGGGTCTCAGAGGAAGAGAACTGTAATTTGAAAAAGCCTTAGGCTCCTTCCACCTCTGACTCCTATTTCCTAATGAACATACCTAAATTAAAACATTTTATTTCAAATATCTGTGCCCAGTCCTGGACTACTATCATATTTTTAAATAAAAAGAATGTCATAGGTGCCTAAAAGATATAGTTAAATCATATATTATTCATATTACTCAAATTATACTGATCAGGTACTCATCTGTCATATGGTAACTACAGTGGAATGAATGATGTACCCCCAAAATACATATTTATGCTCTAATCCTAGGAACTTGTGAAAATTACCTTATAAGGGAAATAATGTGATCAAACTAAGAATATTTTTAATTTTTTTTATTATACTTTAAGTTCTGGGATACAGGTGCTGAACGTGCAGATTTGTTACATTGGTATACACGTGCCATGGTGGTTTGCTGCACCCATCAACCCATCATCTACATTAGGTATTTCTCCTAATGCTATCCCTCCCTTTGCCCCCTACCCTCCAACGGGCCCCAGTGTGTGATGTTCCCTTCCCTGTGTCCATGTGTTCTCATTGTTGAACTCCCACTTATGAGTAAGAACATACAGTGGTTGGTTTTCTGTTCTCGTGTTAGTTTGCTGAGAATGCTGGTTTCCAGCTTCATCCATGTCCCCGCAAAGGACATTAATTCATCTTTTTTTTTAATCACCTTCTCATCTGTATATTTGTTTTTTCTTTGTTGCTCTAATAAGGCGAAACTTTGTATGGCATTAAGGATCACCACGATATTCAAGGAAAAACTCTTCTCAAGATTCTTATTTTATGAATTTCTTTACAAAAATTTCTTATTTCTTTACAAAAGAAAGCCTGCAACAAAGTTAAACACTTAAGCTTTATTGTGTGAGACAATACCAAGACAACAAGAAAGAAAAGTTGCTTTATCAAGATGGCTTTCATTTCCAAAAAAATCACAGCCTGTTGCTTTCTGGCAGGATGTTTTCTAAAATTACCCTGTACTTTATGAATAAAATAAGCATCTTGAGAAAAAGAGTTTTTCCTTGAATATTGTGGTGAGCCTTAATGCCATACAACGTTTCTCCTTACGAGAGCAACAAAGAAAAACAAATATACAGACGAGAAGGCGATGTGGAGACAAAGAGAGAAATTAGAGTAATGCAACTGCAAGCCCAGGACTGCGGAGACAGCCACCAGAAGCTGGAAGCGATAAGGAATAGATTCTCCCCTAGAGTCCCTGGAGAGAACATGGCCTTGCCAACACCTTGATTTTAACCATTGTGGTGATATTGATTAGGACTTCTGGCCTCTGGAACTACAAGAGAATATATTTCTTCACCAAGTTTGTTGTAATTTGTTACAGCAGTCATAGGAAATGAATACACTGAGTATAATGCAGGAAATATGCAAGCAGACAGAACCACCGGAAGTGAGGAATATGTGCCTGGAGATTGCAATTGACAGTAAGGGTCAGGAACATCCCCATTGGAGGGGCAGCTTTGCCTTCCCTTCATATCTCAATATGCTGCGTGTTAACATGGCTGCTCTGACTCCATCCATTTACCTCAAAATCCTCACTTCTGCTTTTGGTGTACTTCTCATCCTGCCCTTGTTTTCCGGATCTCCTGGGTAAGTGTGTGCTTATTCCCCTATTTATAGGTGAAGATAAAAATCCAGGAACAACATTAGAAAAGATTCCTTTAAGGCTGGATCAAAGGATTTTACAGGTGAGCATTTTTGATGTTTTATTATCCTCTGGTTTGGACCTGGGTGAAATATATTTCTTCACCTGGATTCAAATTCAAGTCCTGCTAATTACCCAATATATGACCTCCAACAATTTAATTAACCTCCAGAGTTGTGGTTTTCTTATCCATAAATTCAAGGTACTATCTCTCTCAACACTTCATTATAAGCATTATAGATCATGTAAGTAAAATGCCAATAAAATAACACTTAGAAAATGACAAGATTTATTGATATTGTTACTCTTCACATTTTGCCCAGCCTTTTTCCGTCTTCACTTGGGCAAATCACGGGGCCTGATATCCTTGTCAATTTGGTTACGTGAGTGGGTATTTGAGGAGAATATTTGGCTGAGAGAGTTTCCTTGCCACTGGCCAGACTCTCAATTCCTCAACATGTTTTTTTTATAGGGAGCAAATTAAAAGGTCACGCTTTATGAGAGAGGCAGTTGCCAGAAACATTGTTTAAACCCCCTTATTATTTTCTATGTAATATTAAGTGATCAACACATATTACTTGCATTGGTTTTCATAGCCTCTGTTAGTTAAGTCCTGTTCTTCAAATTCTTTCAAAACTCTAAGTGAAACTGGAGAAATATCCTTCATTCCTATATTGATCCCGGTTTGAAGAGGGGGTGACAAAGAAGAAGAAGGGGAGGAGGAGGAGGAGGGGGTGGGGAGGAGGAGGAAGAGAAAGACAAGGAGGAAGAGGAGGAAAAGAAACTTCCACAAGCAGATTTCATGGGCAAAATCTTGTCACTGTTTATTTTCTCATTTGGGAACTGAGAAGCTGGCTTCCTCAATCCTCTATTATAAAGTAAGATTAAATCATATTTCATGCCCTGGTTGACACTTAAACAAATTAACTTTTGGGGATGAAATGGCTGCAGTGTTCTGCTTTCCAAGATGAGTTTATCAGTTCATTTCCCCCCCATATGATGGCAGGACTTCCACATGGCCAATGGCTAAATGCTCCAGTCATTGAGGCAAGATTTCCAATAGCCCTCATGACCCGAACTTCTTGCAATCTTATGCCGTGTATTACCATACCAGAGAAATCTTTTTTAAAGACAGTATGAATCTTCTGCTGCCTTTTTCTGAATTTATTTCCGTGCAGTCTAGCTCATGCACACAGTTTCCATTTGGACTATGAATATGAGCCACAGAGAGGTACTTCTGACTCCAAACATCCTCTGGAGTTTCATACCCTTTGTCTGATGACATCTTCTTCAGCTGAGTGTCATCCAAACACCTTAAACATGTCCCATACTAAACTCAAACGTACACAGATAAGTAGCAATTCAGAAGGGATAAGCAAAAAGTTCTCAAAAGAAGACATTTATGCAGCCAACAGACACATGAAAAATGCTAATCACCACTGACCATCAGAGAAATGCAAATCAAAACCACAATAAGATATCATCTCATATCAGTTAGAATGGTGATCATTAAAAAGTCAGGAAACAACAGGTGCTGGAGAGGATCTGGAGAAATAGGAACACTTTTACACTGTTGGTGGGACTGTAAACTAGTTCAACCATTGTGGAAGACAGTTTGGCAATTCCTCAAGGATCTGGAACTAGAAATACCATTTGACTCAGCCATCCCATTACTGGGTATATACCCAAAGGATTATAAATCATGCTGCTATAAAGACACATGCACACATATGTTTATTGTGTCACTCTTCACAATAGCAAAGACTTGAAACCAACCCAAATGTCCATCAATGATAGACTGGATTAAAAAAATGTGGTACATATACACCATGGAATACTATGCAGCCATAAAAAAGGATGAGTTCATGTCCTTTGTAGGGACATGGATGAAACTGGAAGCCATCATTCTCAGCAAACTATCGCAAGGACAGAAAACCAAATACTGCATGTTCTCACTCATAGGTGGGAATTGAACAATGAGAACACTTGGACACAGGAAGGGGAGCATCACACACCAGGGCCTGTTGTGGCATAGGGGGAGGGGGGAGGGAATAGCATTAGGAGATATACCTAATGTTAAATGACAAGTTAATGGGTGCAGCACACCAACATGGCACGTGTATACATATGTAACAAACCTGCACATTGTGCACCTGTACCCTAGAACTTAAAGTATAATAATAAAAAAAAGTGAAAAAAGAAAAAATAATAATAAAAGAAAAAAGAAAAAAGTTCCAGACAGAGAGTATGGAGTAACATCTAAAATTTTCAAAGCGATGAATTTCTGCTGACTTGGTGTGGTTGGAGTCAGCTTCATATGATTAACAATTTTGAAGTAAACCTTAAGAAAAGACAGTAAACTGACAGAAAGTGTTTGATTTTTACCAAGAGATGAATGGTGGGTGCTAAGATCCAGAGGTGGGAATATTCAAAGAATGTTGGTAGCATAGTGAAAGACAAATTTGAATAGAAAACAAAATATGAATTCAAATAGGGTTTATTTAAACAGAATTAAAGCCCCAAATAAGCTTGACAGTCAAAATTCTCCAAGGTTTTGCCATAATTTTTTTAATATGGTACTTTTAAAAGTTTATTTTTTAATTTTTTAGTTTATTTCATTTTACTTTAAGTTCTGGGATACATGTGCTGAACGAACATGCAGGTTTGTTACATAGGTATACATCTGCCATGGTGGTTTGCTGCACCTATCAACCCGTAATTTAGGTTTTAAGCCCTGCATGCATTAGATATTTTTCCTAATACTATCCGTCCCCTTACACCCCACCCCACAACAGTCCCCAGTGTGTGATGTTCCCCTCCATGTTTCCATGTATTCTCATTGTTCAACTCCCACTTATAAGTGAGAACATGCAGTGTTTGGTTTTTTCTTCCTGGGTTAGTTTGCTGAGCATGATGGTTTCCAGCTTCATCCATGCCCCTGCAAAGGACATGAACTCATTCTTTTTTATGGCTGCATGGTATTCCATGGCGTATATGTGCTACATTTTCTTTATCCAGTCTATCATTGATGGGATTTGGGTTGGTTCCAAGTCTTAGCTACTGTAAATAGTGCTACAATAAACATACACGTGCATGTGTCTTTATAGTAAAATGATTTATAATCCTTTGGGTATATACCCAGTAATGGGATTGCTGGGTCAAATGGTGTTTCCGGTTCTAGATCCTTGAGGAATCACCACACTGTCTTCCACAATGGTTGAACTAATTTACACTCTCACCAACAGTGTAAAAGCATTCCTATTTCTCCACATCCATTCCCGCATCTGTTGTTTCCTGGCTTTTTAATGACTGCCATTCTAACTGGCATGAGATGGTATCTCACTGTGGTTTTGATTTGCATTTCTCTAACGACCAGTGGTGATGAGCTTTTTTTCATATGTTTTTTGGCCCCATAAATGTCTTCTTTTGAGAAGTTCATATTCTTTGTCCACTTTTTGATGGGGTTGTGTATTTTTTCTTGTAAATTTGTTTAAGTTCCTTGTAGATTCTGGATATTGGCCCTTTGTCAGATGGATAGATTGCAAAAATTTTCTCCCATTCTGTAGGTTGCCTGTTCATGCTGATGAGAGTTTCTTTTGCTTTGCAGAAGCTCTTTAGTTTAATTAGATCCCATTTGTCAATTTTGGCTTTTGTTGCAATTGCTTTTGGTGTTTTAGTCATGAAGTCTTTTCCCATGCCTATGTTCTGAATCGTATTGCCTAGGTTTTCTTCTAGGTTTTTCATGGTTTTAGATTTTATGTTTAAATCTTTAATCCATTTTGATTTAATTTTTGTATAAAGTGTAAAGAGGGAGGCCAGTTTCTGTTTTCTGCAAATGGCTAGCCAGTTTTCCCATCACTATTTGTTAAATAGAGAATCCTGCACATAATTTTTGTCATCTTCAAAGAAATGTTGGGCATATCCTGTCTTATTTATTTTCTACTTTTATTTGCCTGCTCAAATCTGTGTAAATCTTCCACAATATCACAATGTTTTGTTAAATTTTATCATTTTTAAACTTATGGTTTAATCACATTAATTTTAGATCTCCTGGCTTTCACTGGATGTTGTATGTTTTGTTTGTACTGTTTTTAATAACCTCAAATTCAAAAAGTCCTGCTTATCACAAAGCTGGCTCCTTAGTTAGTTAACACTGAATCTGATTGCATGCAGACCCTTGGTCACTTTAGGCCTTCAGCTTAGAGCTTTGTAATCCATATCTAAAAGGGCTATAATCAGCCACCTCTGTTTGACATATCATCTGCTCATTCTGCACATGTATGGAATTGGAGAAACCTACATGTGTTTTCAAATACACTGTTTCTTTTCTCAGAAAATAACAAATGTCCGAGTAGCTGTATTGCTGAGTTTACAGACTTTGGAGAACCAAGTTCGGGCCTCTGGATATCCAAACACTCAGCAAGCTCACCACTTGACACAATCCCTTTAATCAAGCTTCAGTTAGGTTTTCTAGCACTTCAGTGCTGAATTCAGCTGTATACTTGAGGCTTGATGGCTCTTCCCCAGTTATTTCAGGGATGCCATGACCACTTTGCTCTTGGGAATGTTCAAGAGGTACTGTATACAGAGTTAAGTTTCACAGAGTTAAGACACAGCCTCTGTGTGTCACAATATATCACATTGTTCTGACACTGAATTTGAACCAAACATAGACAATTATATTATGTTTTCATAAGATTTTCAAGGGATTATATAAGCACAAGGCATCTTGACGTAAATAGTTCCCAAATTTGTGATATGTAAAACCATAGATTTCATACTGATTATGTTCAAAGTTGTGTGATTTTTTATTATGCTTACTAGGAATAGCTTTACTACTATACTAAGAAAATTGATCACTTTATAAATATTTTAATAAGGTTTTTAAATTCTACCACATAACAAAGAAAACAGAGAAAATTGACATCAAGTGAACACTTATGTATCTGCTAATAGATATTAAATTTAAGAAACATTGACACTCATATCTTTCTTGTTCAATTCACATTTCTAAATTTATTTTCTGTAACCATGAGTTTCACATATATAATGATATTTAAGTTCATATTCTGCTATAGGCATAAAATTCCAATGACTCATTATAAAAGAATGACATTTTAAGTCTTATTTTCTGTCTTTGAAATATTTGATGGAGATTTAAAGTTTGTCTTTGAAAACTGAAGTTCTGTTAAATCAGCAAGAGCAGTACTCCAGGGCAAGGTAAGGGCAGTGAAGCTTTTCTTAAACTCTCATCTTTTATACTGTCTTTTTAAGCATTTATGTATTTCATTCTAATAGAAAAAAATATAGAAAATTTTATTCAGGAAGTCTACTCTTAATTTGGTGAAGAGAGTATAGAAAAGTATGGGAGTAATAACTCCAAAATTGCATGCGAGTATTAATTTAAAATGCAAATTTACAATTCCTTTAAACAATACCAGCAAGTATTGATTACACCTAAAACAAAATAAAACAATCTAAGATTTACTTTTTAAGTGTAGGCATTATGTAGTTGTACAAATTGAACCCACATGGTTGAAAAATGAGAAGTTTAGAGTTGAAGATTTGTGACTGAAATGACTAATTTTTGTCCTATCAAGCACAGTGACAAAGAATTCAATCCAATTAAGAAACAAAGATGACTGAAAACTACACATACAAATTACAATTGTTATTACTATTAATTATTTTAGAGAAGGGATCTTGTTATGTCACCTAGGCTGGTCTCAAATTCCTGGCCTCAAGCAATCCCTAAGCCTCAGCCCCCTGAGGAGCTGGGATCGCAGAAATGAGCCACCATGCCTGGTTAAAAATACAAAAATGTTGAACCTGAGGTTAAGACTTGTGCAAATGCAGCCTTATTGACTAAACTCCTATTTTTATTATTTAACTGTATACGTGTCTTTATCAATATTCCATCTATGTTTGAAACAGATTATATTGATTCCAAACATGTTCTATAAGGCTTATAGTGTTTATTCTGTTTCCAAGATGAAAAAAACAAATTATTCACTAAGGTAACATTATTTTTATAAAATTCAGTGAATTTTTTGTACTATTAATGCAGATAAGATAAATAGGAATCTTTTCTTCATGGAAGTCATGAAATCCTAAAAGTAATGTTTTGATTGTTTACTTTGGTTTTGTTTTCATTAGTGTTTAAGCACTCACCGAAATAATTAATAATGTATCTTAACTTTCTCATTTGGCAAGAATAAGTTAGCACGTCAGTAAAAAAAACAAAGAAAAGAGGTTTTTTTCAACAATAGGGTTGAAGATAGTAAATATTTTTTATAATGACAATATGCATGTATCAGTACTAAATAACAGCTGAATAAGACCTCATTTCTTCTCTTACATGACAACTATAGTACGTGTTGTGTTGTTTTATTTTAATTTATTGTTCCTTTTTCTAAAAAATACATTTGATATTTTTGCTTCATCTTTCTATGACAATCAGGAAGGAAATAAACCACATGTATCTTTGCTATTCCTTTTGCAAATGTTCTTTGTTCATGATGTGTGATTTCTGGGTTTGCAGGCTGTGAAGGTGGATGAATGTGGATAATGCTTATTATGGCTCTACGCTTCATGTTGCTTACCTAACTTGCGAATGTATTGTGAGGATTAATGCCTATTTAAAGTACCTTACTATTGCACTTTCCATTAGAGAGAATGGTTCATACACATTGCAGAAATCACCCAGTGGAAATAAAATTATACATACACTTAGAATCCTCTGAACTTGCAGTAGGCTAAATTTTAATGAGACAAACATTTTCTACAGCTGTGCTACAGCATTCTTAGTGATCAAAAGGAAGTGTTGAAATGCCATGAAGAAAAGAATTTAAGGGAAAATGTAGGAAGCTTTTCATAATTATAAGTATTAGTCAAATAGCATTTGAGGAGCACTCAGTTATCTGCATTTGGATTCCATAGTCAGTCAACCTTATGAAAGCAGGTTTTTTTTTTTTTAAGTTCATATAGCTAGTTTCCCCAGATAATGCTGTCTTTCCATTATGAACAGCAAATTTAAAAGATTATAAAACTACACTAATAATCAGATACTGTGCCTTTTGGCCCCAGAATTGCCACCTAGTGACTATTAAAAATAAACGAATCTCATATGTAAGAAAGTTAAAGTCCTGAGCAAACTCAGCGCCAATCTGTGTATATTTGCAACTTGCCATTAGGTATACAATAAAACACATTTTCTCAACCCATTACTTTTTATCCCAGGAAAAATATAATTGTTTTATTAATACCAGTTTTTAAAATGATGTAGCCATTTTTATAGAATGAAATGCTAAAGTTAAATGCTCCCACTGTTGTCTGCTTAGTTCCTGGCTATTTGGCTCTTCTCATGGATACGCTAGACCACAACATAGTCCAGCAACTGGAGGGTTAAATTACAGTAAGATAGGGCTTGTCTAGGCACTTCTCCAATGTTATCTAGCTAACTGCATCTATTCTAATTGGTTAGGAGCCCAGGCCTGGAACAAAGTTAACTAATCTGTGGTTGGATTTGATTATTTCGATAGATCCCTGAGTCAAGATGTGACAATTTTATTGCTTTTCCCAAGGTCTCTGGATTTGAAACTAACATATGAAGAGCAGATGATGAACAGAATGAGAATATCTACTAACAGTTGCTCTTGAACTCCCTCAACCCTTGCCTTTTGTACGGCTTGGTTGTTCAACATATTAGTTTACAAACCACAAATCCCACCCTTAACCTGTGATAATTCTAGCTCATTTGTTTCTTAAGTGAGGAAAACTTTTCAAGGCATTTGATGCCATTTGGAATAATTTATATGTGAATGGCTTGATGGTAGTTCCCGCTTCGAGGGCACTTCTCTTGTGAACTACTGAATCATCAGCATGAAGTATAGACGTTAACTCACCATAGGTTTCAACAAATGCTTGAATGACTTAGTGACTATGTCCTATTTTCAATTTTCATTGGCCCAGCATAGTCATAGCAACCTACAGTGAGCATAATAATCATTGATCTCATTCATTTGATTTAATCTTTTTAAAAGTATTTCTGAATGCAATCAAAAATTTACAGCACACAACTACATTGACATATGAATGTTATCTTTGATTAGCTGCTATGTGTTCGATTGCACTGTCCCAAATATTGCTACTTAATTAAAATTGCTTATTGCATTGTTAGAATTGGAAGAGGACTTTGGATTTCTATAAATCAACTCATTTATTTTGTTAATTAATGAGAAAACTGAGATCTAAAGAAGTTAAGCGACTTCTTCAAGGTCTCATAATTATTTAGTAGCTAAACTTGGAAGAGAATTAGGAATGCATTCCAAATCCCTTGATGTTATTTATTATAATATATCTTTATTTTAAATATGGCTATATCAAATAAATATCAAATTAATACAATTGCCTATTTTAATTAATGCTTTTTAAATAAATATCATTAATTAGACTTGGTTACATAACTATCTGGTAAAAATTGCCAGGTCTGTCAGAACCAATTTTATTTTGTTCCACTTTTTTCACAAGTGAGTATTATAATATCTAACATGCACATTACTACTACATATGTGATATGATATCAGTCATGTAATTTTAACAACAAATAATATAATTTTCAGATTACTGCGGTGATAGAAGCTTAAGCATCTTTATAACTCAAAGAGAAAAACAAGCCTGAGCCAATGTTTTATTCTTATCATGCCTAATCTCCTCTGACACATAGATAGATTTCTCCCCAAACAACAATTTATGTCATAATAGCTGCCAAGACAGACTTAATATAATCTCTTTATAGTCTTGATTTATTGTTGCTAATTGTCTTCGCCAAGGTTCTTTAGAAAAGAAAGCCTGCAACAGAGTTAAATACTTAAGCTTTATTGTGTGAGGCAATACCAAGACAACAAGAAAGAAAAAGTGTTTTATGAAGATGACTTTCATTTCCAAAAAATCACAGCCTGTTGCTTTCTGATAGGATGTTTTCTAAAATTACCCTGTAGACTGTTGCCCCATGTCAGAATCTGTCAGAATGAGGATGGAAGAGGAACTAATTTGATGGTTCCTTATCATCTCCTGCTTCCCATTAAATAATTTTCACCCCATAGAGTATTAACTTCTCCACACTTCTAGAATGTACACTTCTGAGTAACTACTGGGGAAGTAAGATCATATATTGTGCAGCGTGGTCTGAGAAATGGGAGAATAAACTCTGGCCTTCACAGATTGGGATTGCAAAGTGCTGTGGAGTTATGGGTACAAAGAGGTCAAGCAGAAGCTAAAACGTTAGCTCCACAGAGGCTAAGAATGCTGATTATCAAAGACAGGGAAATGTGAGTAGAAGGAATGTGGTGGCTGTATTTTGAATAGGTAGGTGAACAAGGACAGATTGGGCCCAGGAGAATCAGGGAAGGAGAATAATTTGGATATGGTACACAGATTAGCTTGAGTAAGGAATTGGTTGTAGTAAGACATATAATCCTTGGTTTCCAAATGAGTAGTCTTGGCTCCTTGATCTACTTATGTATACATAACCACAATTATATATAATAAATAATCTTTACAATAAAAATATTTAGCAGGTTGTTAAAGGAAGAATAACAATTCAATTTTCTTCCATGCTATTGTATTCTACAGAAAATTTAATTTTGGTTTTACAAACATAAGTAGTTAATGAATTGGAAGCCTATTCTTAATTTTCAAAAAGGAGAATATATCTGCCACATCTCCAACACATACAAAGATACATTTTGCAACATAATATTCAAAACAAACAAAATTATGATATATTCTAGTTCAGATTAGATCTTATTCTTAAATATTTTTATTTTTAAACATTAGGTCCTTATCAGTAATCCAGAACCAGTTTTCCCAAGAATTCTCCAAAATTGAATATTTTACATAATTTTCCATAGTAAAAAAACCTCTTCATTTTTTTATTTAATCCTATACTATTGCAAATATACTGGTGAACAAAATATCTATAATTTTAGTGATTTATACAACAGCCCTTGTTATCTGGTTCTGATTCTATCTATAAAAGAGGGCAGAACAAAGCTTCAGGTATTAGATCAAAGGGGTAATACAAAGCAAAAAGTAAACAGGCAAGAAAATAGAAAAAAATAAAATTCTAAGTGTAGGGAATAATCAGGTACTTCCACTTCTCTACTCATGACTTCTAGTGAGCTCTCACACCATCTTAGCAATAAACTGTGAAGACCTTACTTTTCTTACTTTTATTTATTATGTGCTTTATAAATAAAACATTTTTCCAATGTATAATTATAAATATATTTGTATGTATACATAGTTATATAAATATTTTAGCTTCTTCATATCAAAATTAAGGAAATACCGAAAAATAAGGAAAAAAATGAAAGCAATGATTAACCAGAAAACCACTGTGTTAATTTTTTCTCCTAGTCTTTTTATATGTATATATTCACAATAACCTGCAGTGAACTTAAGTTTTCAGTAGATTATTTAATAATTAAATATTCCTGTGCAACCGTAACAGGATATAGAATATTTTTATCCAACTAAAAAGTTTCCTCATATTCTTTTTTAGTGAAATCTACTGCCTCTTCCAGAGAAGACAATTTTTTAATGTCTGTCATTATCGATTAATTTTGAATCTGAGTTCTTCTTTCACTCAACATGTTTTTGGATTTCATTTGTGCTGTTGCATGCACCAGCAGTTCGTTACTTTTTATTGCTGAGAAGTATTAAATTGTATACTATTGCTATGGTTTGAATGTTTGTCTCCTTCCAAATTCATGCTGAATTTAATTACCATTCAAACAGTACTAAGAAATGGGATCTTTAAGAGATGATAGGCCATGAGGGCTCTGCCCTCATAAGTTTATTAATGCTATTATAAAAGGAGTGGCTTCCTTATAAAGGTGTAAGTTCATCCCCCTTTTGCCTCTCTCTTCCCCTCTTTTTGCTCTTCTGCCATGGGATGACACAAGAAGGCCCTTTCCAGAGCTTGGACTTCCCAGCCTCCAGAATCATGAGTGAATACATTTCTATTCATAAAAGGTAACTAGGCTGTGGTATCCTGTTATAACAGCACAAAATGGATTAAGCCAACTATCTTTCTGTGTGTTTATCTTTCTTCTTTTGATAGACCTGTGGGATAATTTATGTAATCTTAAATGAAATTCATATAAATAACTCCTATACTCATAAAATAACTCGTATACTTAATTGAAGCCATGTCCACAGACATAAAAAATCAGCCTAAAATAATTTTTAAACTTAAGTTTCATGTTTCCAAATATGGGTCTTCATTCATCAATTTCTTAAAACAAGAAAGATATGTATGTGTGTGTAAGTGTGTGTGTTTGTGCATGTGTGTGTGTCTTTCCCTTTTAAGAATGAATTAGATATTAGAAATGGAAATTTAACAATTAAAAACCACATTTTTTGTTAGCCTTAAACTTTTTAAAAAATATAAGCATTTTTACTGAGGAAACTTTTCTTCAATTAACAAACTATTAGAGACTTTAATTGATAGAAAATGACAAATTGTTCAGACAATTTGATAATTGATTTTAGTTATGTTCAAATATTTTGGCATCCATTAATTTTGGCCCCTGATCCAGATTCCAGCAATAACATACACAACTTCCTCTTTCCTATGATGACATTCTTTTGATATTTTAAGTTTTTCTTCAATATTGTTTCTATCCACACCAAAATGCTATGGGTTTAGTAATTTCTATCATTATTTATATTTTTATTTAACTATAGAAATCATGGTCTTTTATGACTCAAATAGAAGAAATTTATAGAATTTGACAAGAACAACAGCAATGTGTGTGTGTGTGTATGATGTTCTGTTAGAATTATAGCATGATATACTAACTGTTAGACGTCCCAGGCTGGCTCTCTTGGCTTTCCAGATGTTCTGTATTTGTCACTGTTTCACAAAAACTCATTAGTGTAAATATTTCTGCCATGCTGGATCAAAGCCAGAAGGAAAATGAATATTTGGTTCACTACTATTTGCATCTAAATGTCTCCACAGAAAGAAGATACCCACAATTGTTTTCTACAAGTCACCTTCTATAGAATCTCTCAAACTTAGAGCTGCCATTCAAAGTTGCTACTACTTTTGAGAAACTAATATGTTTAATCTTCCATTGCCAGTAAGTGGAGAGAGAGAAGTACATTTAATGTGAAGTGAGTACAGTGTCAACACTGGGAGAGTATAAGATTGATGTTGTCTGGAGAAGTCCTAACAGTGAGAGAGAGACAGTGAGACTAGTGCAAAGTGATGATCAACCAATAATAGGAAATTCCCGTTATCTGGTGATATCTTCAGTGGCCTGTATGGTCTCTGTCACAACAACTCTTCTCTACTAATGTACCTGAAAATAGTCATAGACAGCACATAAACAAATGAGTGTAACCCTGTTCTAATGACATATTATTAATCAACACAGAAATTTAAATGTCACGTAATTTTAATGTGTCATGAAACTTGCTTTGATATATATAAATATTTATATATATATTTCAAAAGTTATATATATAAAGTTTCAGCTCCAAGTCCAGAGTTAGCCCATGGGGTATAGTTTGCTGACCCTTATTTTATTCCTGTCAGGTTCCAGTTCAAGTTCTTGTTTTCTCGATGAAGCATTCAAACACAATTCTATGACTCACCCTCCACTGAAAAAGTTGAATGGACTGAATGTTTGTGTCCTCTCAAAATTCATATGTGGAAAACTTAACCCCTAATGTTATGATATTAGGAGGTGAGGCCTTTGGTAGAAAATTAGGATTAGATGAGATCATGAGAATGGAATCCTTATTAATGGGATTAATGCTCTTATAAGAGTCTTGAGAGACATTGATTCTCTCTAAGAATACACAAATAGTGGGCAGTTTCCAACCGAGAAAGGACCCTCAACAGACAACAACAATGCTGGCAACCTGATCTTAGACTTCCAGCTTTCAGAACTGTGAAAAATAAATTTCTGTCATTTATAAACCACCCAGTCTATTGTATCTTGCTATATCTATTAGTTTATCCTCATATGGCTAAAAGGAAATATCCAAGACTGAGTAATTTATAAAGGAAAAAGGTTTAATTGACTCACAGTTCTGCATGGTGGGAAAGGCCTTAGGAAACTTACAATCATGGCAGAAGGGAAAGTAGCTTTTTTTACAGGGCAACAGGCAAGAAAGAGAATGAGTCTATAGGAGGAACTGTTAAACACTTATAAAACCGTTAGATCTTGTGAGAACTCATTATCACAAGAACAGCATGGGGGAACCAGCACCCATGATCCAATCACCTCCCACCATGTCCTGCCCTTGACATGTGGGGATTATGAGGATTACAATTTAAAATGAGATTTGGGTGGGGGCACAGAGCCTAACCATATCATTACAGTATCCCTAACTGACTAAGACAAAAAGTAACCACATTTTTTCCTGTTTTATGCTATGTGGTTTTTCTATTTTCATGTATTTTCCTTGACTGTCCTGTATTTTTTATTATATTTTTGTGATCTATGACACTTTCTAGATCATAGAGGTGTGACTAAATTTCTATAATTGGCAGTCCTATGCATTATTCTGCTTATCGGTTCTAACAGCTGAATGCTTGGCACTATTTTAAATATTGGAAAACACAGTATACAACTTTGGATTTTCAGCATCACTTGAAAATTTGGAAAACTTGGTATTGATTCTCATGTAGCAACAATTGGCTGGGGCTTAGTAGCAGCAGTAAATTTGGAAAAAGGCACTTGATTTCATAATTGCCACCGTCTCCTCTACTGCTTATGTGTGGTAGGAGAATTCTTAGATGGCTTCATGGAGCATGGCGGGGATCTGTGAATATAAGGGTACATAATGAGATAGTGACTCCTATGATTACATTACCTGATATAGGACTGTGCTGCTGCAGACAAAAGAGGTATTCTCTTGCTAACCTTGAACCAGTAAACTTCCATGTTGTCAGAGAACCATGTGATGATAAAGGACTCTGGTGGCCTCTATGAGCTGAGAGTGACTTCAGCCAATAGCCAGCAGGGACATAAGTGCCTTAGTCTTACAATTTCAAGGAACCGAATTCTGCAGAGAAACCTGAATACATTTGAAAGATAAGGCTCAGGTTCAGATGAGATTGCAACCCCATCTGTCACCTTGATTTCAAGCCACCCTGAGCAGAGAATCCTGTTAATCTGTGTCTGTAATCCTGAGAAATCCTTGAGATATTAATAGTGTGTCATTCGAACTGCTAAATGTGTGGTCATTTCTTATACATCAATAAAAAGCTAATACACTATTATTTTTCACCAACACAATTCAGTTTTTATTCCTACTTAGCCTGAGAATGCCAAAAAGCTCTATTGCCACAAAGTCTCCTACTTTGCAAACAATGAGAAACTGTGGAAATTAAATATTTTATTTTCACTCATGATTTTTTTCAATATTGGTTATCAAAATAAATTTATTAAAAGTATTCAAAGACCACTTCAAAGTGTAGCTGCCTTCAAAACAGATTTTTGGCCCTCATAACGGACATTGCAGTTTTCAACATTCATAGCACTCATTCTATTTCAAACATTTTTAACAATGCAAACATGAACCATTTCAGTTTCAGCATTACGTGAGACAACAGTACTGATGATCTGTGGTCATAAGAACTTCAATACCCTTGCACATAGTGAACACTTTACTGTTATCGAGTCCTAAACTAAAATTACTATGTGGTAACTTGGATCGATTTAAGGAAAGATGTACAACCAGCTACCTAAGGCCACATAATCCCAGATCTATTGATTTTAAATGCTTTTGGACCAACCTTTCTGTGCTGAATAGTAGAAATACTAGTGGAACCCAGAAAGCTATTAAGTAACAGGCTGTTTCCATGTGAGTAAAATTGATGAATTGTTCTAGACACAGATCTACCTTATATCCCTGTTGATTACCTTTAAGGCAGTGGAAAATAATCAATTGGAAAAGAGGAAATGCATTACCTTTTACTCCAAGTAAGGAGATGGGTGTCCATTTGCTTACTATATAGTTTCCAGCCCTTCCATTCCCAGGTGGGTTACGTGACTCATGTCAGACACTCCTGTTGTGGGCTTTCTGTCTTCCCTAAGAGTAGACCCCACTCTACCCAATTCACCATCTGTGAATCTGATCCTTCTCAGATCTCGTACTTCAGCTCTAAAAGTGCTCCTTTTAGAACACAGCTATGTCTTCGTGCTTCATACATAATAACTATTTGTTGATCCTCTCCCTTAGTACTTCACTTCTACCACTCATATATACTTCCTCTTGATTTTATATCAATGTTCCTCTTAGATGCTGCTAGAATGCTATAGAAATAGAATAATCCATACACAGTATGGTCTAGTCTTTCTTCTGTGTGACTGTCCTTATAAATAACTATATAAAACACTTCCAGTTTTTAGAACACATAGTTTCATTTTGTTGTCCAAAATTCTTCTTTAATGTCTTCTGGAATTTACAAAAGTTAAGTTAATTATTCAGTGAAATATCTGAGATACAAATATGATTAATGGAGAATATACATATAAAATATGAATTACAAATTAAGACTATATCAAAAAAGAACAAATTGCAAATATAAGTCCAACTTTAACTAAAAAACAAAAACCAATCAATAACACTTTTATTTCACAAACATTTTTGTTTCTTGCTTATTCTGTGTCAGGTGCTGTTTTAAGAGCTTCATATAAACTCATTTAACACTTACCATAGCCCTGTGAGTTAGTTGCTGTTATTATCTCTATTGAATGCAAGAAGAAACTAGAGAGCAAAGAGGCTAAGTGACTTGTTCAAGGGCACAAAGGAAGGTAGAAACTGGTTGAGCCAAAATTCATAGTCAGATCATCCAGCTCTAAGCACATTCTTTGAAATACTATACCATGCTGCTTTCATCCTTTTTTCTTCATTTTCCACACTCAAAATTAATAAATAATAATACATTCATACTAATATTTTAAAATATCATCATCATACCCCAAAAGTGAAGTATATACAAAGAAAACCATCTTAAAGCTAATTTAAATAAGTTTCTTATATAACCTTGCCCAAAAGATTGATGAGAAGACCCTAATTTCTTTTTTTTATCATAAAACACCTAAGTGCCTCTACTATGGTGTATTCATATAAAAAGCATATCTATCCTTTTTTGATAATACAGAAGAAGGAGATATATTTCTATGTATACTAAATTCATCTTGAGCAATTTGGGTCAAATAAAGTAAATCTAATTCCAATTAATTGACAGAGAAGAAAATGAGAAAAACCAAACTAGAAGGAATTTTCATAAAGCCTTTATTTATTTTCAAATTATAAACCAATCTGAAATGTCACCCCAGAGTTGTGAAGTAAACTTCAGTTCTAGTACTCATAATTTCTCTGCTCTTTTCCACCTATCTCCATTATCCCATGAATACTTGAAGATAATTCTATTTCCTATTTATAAAATTTATGGAAAAGTCTTACCCAGTATATAATCTCAGATAAAAAATAGAATAACTAAAGCACTCAGTATTTCTCTATGATAACTCTACTGTTTATTAAAGGATTAAAAAGAATAAAAATATACATACAGATATCTACATATATGTATATACGTGCACATCTATGTATAAATACCTAAGCAAAAGAGGCACAGTATATGATATAGTAGTTAAGAAAATGGATTCTGAAACCAAAATGATTTTTAATCTGGCTTTTCCCATTTCCTGCTATGTGAACCCTTGCAAGTGATTTGATTTTGATGGTATTTAATTTTCTAATTTATCAAATGGGTCATAATAAAATAGAACACATATATTGTATGTGATATATGTGAAATATAGTACATAATGCATATACATTGAGGACTCAAGTACAGCAAAGGACAACTTGATTTATTCCTCCCCCTTCTTGTTCAACCTACTTTGGAGACATGTTCTTTTTTGCCCTTTGATAAAATTCAAGGCAAATTCCCTGACTTGTCTTTTGGTTCTCTGTTACTGAAAAGTGTTTCCAGGAATTAAGGTCAATACATAGGCTCATTTTAGTAAAATGTCCAGATCCTTGGAAGTTCAAAACTTTGAAAAGTTAAAGATTCTATCCTGAACTATTTCAATATTAAAGAGCCTCTAGAGAAAGGATCTAAAGTAAGTTTCTTTCCTATTTTCCCCACCATATTCTTCTTTTCTTCTCTCACTGTGATTCCACTAGGACACAGTGGTGAGGTCAGAAAGGGTAATAAATGCATGGATGCTATAAAGAGCAGCCACGGAAGATGGCTTTATTCTGGTTGTAGCACTTTTATATGGTCTTTGGACAATACCTCTCTTTTCATTGAGGGATCCTTCACATGCAATGACAGTCTTTTGGTACATTCTGGTAGGTCACTTAGAAGTATCCTTGCTCAATTTGTTGGGATTCAACTGTATTCCTCTTCTTCTATATTTGGAAAGTTTTTTTGTTGTTGTTGTTTTGTTTGTTTTGTTTTCCAGATGGTGTTTATAACATGTTGGTTAAATAATTTGGGTTCAATACATCTCAATGAGAAGCATGCAACCTTAATCCATGACGCTTGTGAGTGGAGCTATTTTTCAATCTACGTTAATTTTGAATTTAACTGTGTCAAGACAGTCAAGCTAGTTTCTTATCTTTTGAAACAATAGGGAGTGAATCACATACCAAATACTGTTTTCTCTCAATTCCAATGAACATATACAAACACTCTTTATTTTCCCCATGAGTCTTGATATAAGAAGGAAGTTTCTCAATCCCCACTCTAAAAGGGCTTTGGTAAGACCCAAAGCTCATCAACAACTCCCCGTGAATTTCTAGACTCTTTATGATGTTCAAGTCTTTCTTCAACTGAATTTGGGAGAAGATGTAGTTAGCACAGATCACACAACAGATTGTCACACAGTACATTTGAAAATCTTGCTTAGATGGTCTCTTCCTCTTTTTGGAAATTTGTTATAACTTGTCACCTATGCTTTTGCTTGGTAGTTTGTATGTCACTGAACGCCAGCTTGAAATTATTTTCATTGTGATGTCCTACTATATGTTCTTATATTTAAATACACAGAAGTAGTTATATAGAATAGAAATATTAAAGCATTGTTATTCTGAAAAATATAGATTGCATAGGGGAGAAGAAAGGGCTGATAAGGTAGAAAATTATATTATTTGCAATTGGTTTTACTCATTATAAGGAACAACGGTGCATAGATTAGAAGAAAAAATAATGTGTTGCCTCAATTATGAAGATATAACTAATTTCCCCTTATATCAGTCCAAAAATTCGAAGAAGAAATCAGGTAGCTGCTAAATACTGGATGTTTGAATATCCTTGAAAATACATGTGGTCAGTAAGCCAAAAAGATAATTCCATAAAAACTACAAAGCCATTAATTTCTACTATTATTTATCCTATTTTTTTCTCTCTCTTTCCCTACCTTGTCTCCTGTTTGCCTACTTATCTATTTATCTGTCCATTATCTCTTCTATCACTATGTTGGAAGCCATTCATAAAAATAGATAGAACCCACCCACTGGGATAAAATACTCATGTTTATAGCACTATTTAAAGGCTTCTAGAGCTTTACACATATTACCTCATTAATTTTCACAATATCCTGCAAAGTGAGTAGGTGGAAACTATTTCTCATTTTATGGTTGGATAAAGTAAGATACTGCAAACTTACCAAAGAGACACATGTAGGAATAAATACAGGAAATCAAATAAGATATGATTTTAAAATCATATAGATTTTAAATCTATAAATCGTATAGATTAATCGCTTGCCTAATGTTATCTTAGAAGTTAATTTCATGTATTGTGATAGATTCAGAAGTTCTTGAACTATTGTTAAAATTAAAGCTATTATATCTATATTCTTATAGTATGCTAATAAATGGAAAATCTTATCAAATATAATAGATATAGTAATAAAATAGCCATTGATAACACAGATTGGGCACTTATGCTGTGGCAGGGGCTTCTTGCATTATCTAGTTTTACATTCACAGCAACCTTACCATTTTAATTCTCTATTGCACTATAAGAAATTATACTGGGATAATTTGTTATCCCAAAACTTTGCAGCTTAAAGTAACAACCATTTACTCTCTCACACAATTTCTGAGTTCAGAACTCTGGGAGAATCTTAACTGGGTGGTTCTACCTCAGGGTGCAAGGTTTACAAGTTTGCAGTAAACCTGTTGATTGAGGCTGTGGTTTCATATGAAGGTTCAGTTGAGGGAGGATCCATTTCTAAACTAACTCACATTATTAGCATAATTCAGCTTCTGGAAGGTTGCTGGACTGAGGAAAACAGCTCCTTGCTGGCTGTTGGCCAGAGGCCTCTCTCAGTTCCTTGCTATATCTTCATAGACAGCATATCTTTCACCTTTGTGAGATCTTTACAAGTGATTTTACAGTTACCCTCAGCTTTATCTTTAGATCAGGGGTCTCTGGCATTGCTCTAAATTTGATCTTTTCTCAGAAACCATTTCTTATTAGTTTTATTATCAGTTGCCCTCTGGAGACGCTGAGTATTTTCAAAATCAGCAAGTTCTGGCTCCAGTTTGTTCATCAGTCTTTCTTTTACTTTATCCCTCTTTTTTTTTTTTTTTTTTTTTTTTTTTTGAGATGGAGTTTGGCTCTTGTTGCCCAGGCTGGAGTGCAGTGGTATGATGTTGGCTCACTGTAACCTCTGCCTCCTGGGTTCAAGCAATTCTCTGGCCTCAGCCTCCCAAGTAGCTGCGATTATAGGCATGCACCACCCTGCCTGGTTAATTTTGTATTTTTAGCAGAGATGGTGTTTCTCCATGTTGCTCAGGCTGGTGGTCTCGAACTCCTGACCTCAGGTGATCTGCCCACCTTGGCTTCCCAAAGTGCTGCGATTACAGGAGTGAGCCGCCACACCCAGCCTACTTTATTTCTTTAACCTTGCCTGTTGTTATAAGCAACAAGAAGGAAGTAGGTATCACCTTCAATATTCTGGCTGAAAATCTACTTAGCAAATTACCCAGCATTTTAGGTCCATTTTTTATTTTCTACATGTACTAGTTTCTAAGGCTGCCATAGCAAATTACAACAGATCTCTTGGTTTAAAACAATAGAAATTTATTTTTTCATAATCCTGAAGCCTAGAAGTCTGAGATCAAGGTGTTGGTAAGATTGGTTTGGTTTCTTGCAAGGCCCCTTTCCTTGGTCTGTAGATGGCTGTCTTCTTCTGTTATCACCACATAATCCTGCCTCTGTCTGTGTCTGTATCTTAATCTCTTCTTATAAGGACACAAGTCATATTGAATTAGGGGCCACCCATATTACCTATCTTAACCATAAGTACCACTTTAAAGGCCCCATCTCCAAATATGGTCACCTTCTGTGGTATTAGGGGTTAGGGGTTCAACTTCTATCTTTTGCAGGACACAATTCAACCTCAAACACCACATAATTGCAGCAGTAGTATTGATAAACTTCTGCTATTACATAACAAAAATCCTCTTTCCTCCAGTTTTAAATAAGATTTACCTCATTCACCTATAGGCATTACCAATAACCTTATGAAAGAACATTGGGATTCTATTAACGATTTACTTAACACACCTCAGGCATTTTTTGTTTGTTTGTTTTGTTTTTTCACATTCTGTCCTCCAAGTCCACTAAGGAATTCAAAGTTATTCCTACATTTTAGGGTGTTCTTTCAACAACATCTCACTTACAGGTACTGAAATACATACTAAGTATTTATAGCAACATAATACATTGCTCCAACACTCATCAGCTTTAAACAATGCAAATTGATTATCTCACACAATTTCTGAGGGTCAAAACTCTGGGAGAAGTTTTTCTGGGTATTTCTGGTTCAGGATCTCACTGGGTTGCAACCAAGCCATTGACCAGAGATGAACCTTGAAATAGCTTAGAGTTAGACTGGAAATTTCCCTTCCAAATTCAATCAAATGGTTGTTTGTAGATATCAGTTTGGGTAAAACTCATCAATGATAATAAATGTTTTAATAAAATAGCTGTAGGTAATATTGATTAAGCACATTTTCAAGAGCTTGTGCATTGCTTAATTTTACACTCAGAAGAAACTTACCATGTCAATATTATTCCATGCCCATGTTATAGCTAAAGTTATTAAATAAAGGAATTGTGCATGGTTACATAAGCAAAGATGGAAGAACTGAAACTTGAAATCAAATGGTTTTAAATTTTGAAAGCCTCAAATGTAGTTATACTACTTTCCTATTCAAAATGGCTTGATAGGCTGGGTGTGGTGGCTCACGCCTATAATCCCAGCACTTTGGGAGGTCGAGGCAGGTGAATCACCTGAGTTCAGGAGTTTGAGCCCAGCCTCGAACATGGCAAAACACGGTCTCTACTAAAAAAATAAAATAAAAAAATTAAAAAATTAAAAAATTAAAAAAAAATTAGCCGGGCATGGTGGTTCATGCCTGTAGTTTCAGTTACTTGGGAGGCTGAGACACAAGAATCGCTTGAACCCAGAAGGCGGTGGTTGCGGTGAGCTGTCATCACACCACTGCACTCCAGCCTCGGTGACAGAGTGAGGCTCCATCGTGGAGAAAAAAAAAATGCTTGATGGCTTCTACTTTGAAAGAAAATAGGAAAAAAGACATAAAAATAAAAGCAGAAAAAAGGAACATTGCATAAATTAATCATGTATGCAGTAAAATCACTCTAAACCTAACATAATATTTTGTTTAAAAAAGTGATTGTAAAGAAAAATATATGAAACAGAAGAAAATAAAGTTAATAATTTTTTCTACAAACTATCTCCTCTGGATTATAATTTATTATTGTCTTTAATATAAGGTATGGTTGACTTTTTTAAAATAAATATGGCTGTATCCATGGGTTTATTTGTTTTTATAAAAATGTGTGCATATGTACTTTATTAGGTAACATCTGGCTTTGTCTTTAAGAATTTCAGTTTTTAGAGGATTGAAAATATTGGAAAAATATAAGAAAATTAAGTCCAAATTTAAAAGTTATAACCATGTTCTTTGTTGTTGTGTTTGTCTTGAGATGGAGTCTCACACTGTCGCCCAGGCTGGTGTGCGGTGGCACAATCTTGGCTCGCTGCAACCTCCACCTCCCTAGTTCAAGCGATTCTTCTGCCTCAGCCTCCAGACAGAGTACCTAGAATTACAGGTGCCTGGCACCACGCCAGGCTAATTTTTTGTATTTTTCATAGAGGCAGGGTTTCACTATGTTGGCTAGGTTGGTCTCGAACTCCTGACCTCGTGATCCAACCGCCTCACAAAGTGCTGGGATTACAGGCGTGAGCCATCACTTACGGCCCTAAAAGTTACAAACATATTCATAACTTTTTGTTATAAAGAAACAAAATTGATGAGATAGTGCCAGGGTGGAGGGATATGTGTGAGTGTGTATATGATAAAGTAAGAAATAGAAAAAGAAAAAAAATAGAATATTAAAAATATAAGCAATATTGGCTAACCTAGTCTTAACCTAGAGAATGAATTTACAGGGAAGGAGAAAACAAAAACACATATTCTGCCCTTGACCAGCCCTAGGAAAATTATTCTCCATAATCATACTCTTTTAATGTTACTATAACTTTGATTCAAAATTCAGTCTCTTTTACATATATTATTAAGTTATCATTCCTTGTAAATCTTTATTTTGGTTTTTTAAATACACATCGTTTTAAAGAAGTATTGTATTAAGAATTGTTACAAGTATAGTGCAAAGATCCAATCTATCTTCACACCCAATTTCTCCTATTATTAATATCTTAGTAGGACATAGTTTTCACAGTTAATAAATCAATATTAGTACACTATTACTTTCCTTAACTTTATTGAAGTATAACTAACAAATAAAAATTGTATATATTTACGATGTACCACATGATGTTTTGATACATTATGAGGTGATGCCCATAATCAAACTAATTAGTATATCTGCCACCTATACGTGGAATAAAAAGAAGCTGTATTCATATAAATGAGAGTTAGAAAGGCTGTTGCCAGAGGCTGGGGGAGTGAAGAAAATTGGGACATTTTGGTCAAAGGGTACAAACTTTCAGTTACAAGATGAACAAGCTCTGGAGATCTAATCTACAGCATGTTAAGTATAATTTATAAATTATTAGAAATTAAATATTTTATTTTTTCCTCGAGTTTTCCAGTTGCCTATCCAAGTTACCACATTACTTTAAGTCATCATCTCTACAAAGGCTCAGCTTGGTTATGACAGTTTCTTAGACTTCCTGTTTTTTACAAGCTTGATAAATTTGAAGATCATTGGCCAGGTATATTGGCATTTTGTATAATTTTTTGTCTGTTGTTTTTCTTATGATTAGATTTGAATAATGTATTTTTAGGGCAAAGATCATAGAAGTAAAGTGCTATTCTAAACATATCAGGTTATGTCAAGTGTACATGCTATCAATATGACTTGTAACTACTGATCTTTTTAAATATAAACTTTTATTTTAAGTTCAAGGGTATATAAGAGAGTTTGTTACATAGATAAACTCGTGGCATGGGGGTTTGTTGTGCAGATTACTTCGTCACCCAAGTATTATGCCCAGCACACAATAGTTATCTTTTCTGCTCCTCTCCCTTCTCCAACCCTCTACATTCAATTAGACTGCAGTGTCTGTTGTTTCCTTCTTTGGATTTATAAATTTTTATCATGTAGCTCCCACTTATAAGTGAGAATACACAGTATTTAGTTTTCTGTTCCTGTGTTAGTTTGCTAAGGATAATAGCCTGCAACTCCACCCATATTCTCACAAAAGACATGATTTCATTCTTTTTTATGGCTGCATAGTATTCCATTGTGCATATGTACCACATTTTCATAATCCAGTGTGCCTCTGATGGACATTTAGGTTGAGTCTATGCCTTTGCTATTGTGAATAGTGCTACAATGAACATTCGCATGCATGTGTCTTTATGGTAGAATGATATACCTTTCTGTCTTTATGGTAGAGTGATATATATATATATTTCTCTGGGTATATACTCACTAATGGGATTGCTGTGTTGAATGGTAGTTCTGCTTTTAGCTCTTTGAGAAATTGCCATACTGCTTTCCACAGTGGTTGAACTAATTTACATTCCCACCAACAGTGTACACCTGTTCCCTTTTATCTGCAACCTTATCAGCATCTGCTTTTTTTGACTTTTTAATAATAGCCATTCTCATTGGTGTGATAAGTGGTTTTGATTTGCATTTCTCTAATAGTCATATTGAGATTTTTTTCATATACTTCTTGTCCACATATATATCTTCTTTTGAAAAATTGTGTGTTTATATCCTTTGTCCACTTTTTAATGGAGTTGTGATATGGTTTGGCTGTGTCCGCACCCAAATCTCATCTTCAATTGTAGCTCCAATAATTCCCACATGTGGTGAGAGGGACCCAGTGGGAGGTAACTAAATCATGGGAGTGGTTCTTTCCCATGCTGTTCTCTTGATAGTGATTAAGCCTCACAATATCTGATGGTTTTATAAAGGGGAGTTCCCCTACACAAGCTCTCTTGCCTGCTGCCCTGTAAGATGTGACTTCACTCCTCATTCACCTTCAGCCATGATTGTGAGGCCTCCCCAGCCATATGGAACTCTGAGTCAATTAAATTTCTTTTCTTTATAAATTGTCCAGTCTCAGGTATGACTTTATTAGCAGCAGGAGAACAGACTAATACAGTAAATTGGTAACTTACCTTCTAGTGGAAACTACAGACAAACAATTAGACTTTTGTGGTCAAGGAAGACATGTTGTATGACAGAATTATGCACAAATTATTTTGCAAACACTTAGAAGCATCACTAAAGCTGGCCCAGAAATATAAAGACAGCATCTGAGAGGACATTATATCACAGCTGAATCAGGAAAAATTATAGGCAAACATACGAGGCTTGAGTAAATGTTCCAGAGAAAACATCGTGATCATGAACAAAGATTGGAGGGTAAGAGTGTGAGGAATTCAGAATGATACAAGTACCTGAAGGTGGTCAGAGTGCAAGAGGCCAGAAAGATAGGTGGTTGACGGAAGTATGAGTACAATCAATAACAAGGAAGTCAGCCTTATTAAAATGTTTTCTTATTAATTTTTAAGTTATAATTTATAAACATGATTATATATTTGTTTTTACATATTTTACATATGATTTTTAAATTTTTATAATAAGGATTAAATTACTAATTAACTCAGTTAATCAATCAGGTATTTAAGGATGACTTTATTCTACAGTGTGTGTGTGGCTTATTGAATTAATATGGACAAATAATCTTATCATCCAAATTACTTATAAGTCTGTATGAATACTTATAAATATATACATATAAAATATATACACACACTTATGTACATGTCATCATAATTTTGTATGTGTACATGTCATTATAATTATATATGTGTGTATATCTTTAAAAATAAGGAAGTATAATTCCATAATTAAGTGAAGATAATTAAACACTGAAGGAACATTGCAAAATACTAATCTTATATTTGTTAAAATTGTATTTTCACTGTATTCAGAAAAACATCAAGAAGAATGCATTAAAATATTAAAATGGCACAAAATATTTATTGTTGTAGCATCAAAAATGTGTAATCTCAAACTAAACTATGTAACACATTTCAAAAAATAAAATTTAAATGTAGAGCTGAATGAATATGCAACTTTAGTGCTTTTGGTCTCAGAAGGAAAAAGTAAATGATAATACAGTATTCTATAATAATGTAACATAACTCACTTCTAATGAATATTGGAATAAAGACACAGTCTCATTAAAATGATTATAATTTCAGTTAATATTGGCATCAAACTCTTCCTGGACCAAACTGAGGGTCGGGCTGCTATTTCTCACTGCCCAATAACGAGATGCAGATCAACTGGGGAGAAAGAGAGTTTTTATTTCTGTAACCAGTTACAGAGAGAAGGCCTGAAAATTATCTCCTGACCAACTCAAAATTATGAAGTTTTCCAGAGCTTATGTAGCTTCTAAGCTATATTTCTATGCATAAGTGTTCATTCATCTAAAGACATAAGTGATTAACTTCTTTTAACCTATAGCTAAGGTCTGAGTCCTGAAGACCTTCTTCTGGAGCTTCAATACGTATACTTAATCTAAATGGGTCCAGGCACTGGGGTGATTACTCTTGTCTTGTCTCCTGCTAATTCACAAAGGTTTGGGGAGTTCCTGCAGACTCCCAGTAAGCTTGTTTAATCATGCTTTAAGGTTCAGGAAAGGCCTAGGCAAAACTCTTGGTGGGCTCTTGATACATTCTAGCCTTTGTATAAGGGCACTGGCTTTTAATATTTAATTGACCATTCAGTCAGTGCTGAAACATTTGTTATGGAGGGCTGCCTTAGTGAGACCTGGCCTGCCACAAAACAAGATAAAAAATAAGACAATTGAATCATAGTGTCAACCTAAAATATTCAAAAGGATCAGAATTCAGTTTTTTAAAATGTGGTCAAACAAAAAGCTGGAATTAGGCATTTGGAGAAAAGACTCCAGAGAAATGGAGCCAGTGCTCCTAAGTTCTTGCTTATATAGGCAGAAAACAATGAAATTTAATAGGCTTACAACATTGTGTGTACATGGCTGGTTTATGAGTTACAAAAATATAATGAGTTTGGCTTGTTTTCTTTTCTTTATATCTAGTTTTTATTTCCTTTCCAAGTTAGAAGAATGTACTTAATATTCCATTATAAGACAATGTGACAGCCATGAAGTCTTTGAGAAAAGTAGGAGGGCAGTTAATCTACCATGAAGGTGAACAATGAAGAAGGAAGGGATCTTCTATGGTGCCCTTTAGCCATTTACAACATTTTACAAAACAATGTAAGGAAGGAAGAAGACTAATCTATAATCAGGAAGACAAAGGTTATAGCTGCCTAGGTTACAGCTAGCTACCTGTCATACGACTCAGGCTCCATAATCACAATCCTTTAAGGCTCAAAGTAATTTAAAATTTCAACAACTTACATTTCAAATTATTTATTGTCACTATATACATTAAAATGTATTAACATTGAGATTACTCAGTTTAAAATTCGTTATTAACAGGGCCAACATTTTGTATATATCATCGATTAAACGGAAGAGAGAAAGACAGAATAGCTCTGAGTGGCAAAAACACTGTGTTTTTCCCCTGCTTTTCTACCACAACAATCAACACAGACATCTTTTGTTAACAAATGTGTGGGGGATTTTCCCCACACACCAAGCAAGCAGTCAGTTATACAGCAGACACTAATGGAGTTTAATTGTGATAGTATTGATCAGAAGACAGTGGCAGATCCCATAGGTTGGGAGCTCAGTCCCACAAGACTGCCTCCTCTTCTATAACCGATCCCAATCCTCAGGTTGTTTTTCCTAAGCTTCTGACTGACTGCGTATAAATTCAGGTTCTCATGACCCTCTTCTTGGGTTCCATTAATTTGTGAGAGGGACTTGCACAACTCAGGAAAACATTTACTTTCATTTACCGGCTTATGATCCAGACTATTACAAAGGATGCAGATGAAAGAGTTGCGTAAAGCAAGACTGTGGGAAAAGGTGTGCATCTTCTATGCCCTCCATAGGCATTTTCTACTCTCCAGAAATCTTCATGTGTTCACCTATCCTGAAGCTCTCCAAAACCTGTCCTTTGGGGATTTTATGGGTGCTTCGTTACTAGGTGTGATTGATTGAACTAGTGGCCATTAATAATCAACTTAAACTTCAGCCCTCACTTCCCTCCCCAGAAGTTGGAGAGCGGGTATCAAAGTCCCAACCCTGTACTCCTGCCTTTGTCTTTCAGGTGACAAGCCCTTCCTGAAGTTACCTAGAGGCTGCCAAGCATCAGTAAGCTCATTAGCATACAAAAAGACATCATTTTGGATATTCTAAGGATTTTAGGGATTGTATGCCAGGAAACAGAATCAAAGACCAAATATATATTTTAAAATATCACTTTAGCCGAGGCTGAAGGCAGCCATAAAATTAATTTAAAAAATAAAATATAATAAATAAATACATACATTATCTAGAAAATAATGTGTTACAACACATTTTAAAGGTAGTAGTAAAGTGTAAAAAGTTGCTCAAATTTGAAATAGAAAAAACAATTATGATGAGATATTTTCTGATATATCAATTATATAAATAAAACTTTATATTATCCAAGCCTTTAAGGCAATGTTTCCTAACCACCCTGTGTTTCAGAATTTGCCTGGGAGTCTTGAAAAAATATACATCCTGAGCTATACTCCAACTTTGTGAATCAGGTTATCCTGGGTAGCTATCATGCATCTTTAATGTTCTAAAAACCCATCATTTTTCGTTTTCTAAAAGCCCATATTAATTGTTGTAGCATCACAAATGTTGTGTAATCTCAAATTAAACTGTGTAACACATTTCAAAAAATAAAATATAAATGTAGGGCTGAATGAATATGCAACTTTAGTGCTTTAGGTCTCAGAAGGAAAAAGTAAATGATAATACAGTATTCTGTAATAATGTTACATAACTCACTTCTAATGAATATTAGAATAAAGACACAATTTCATTGAAATAATCATAATTTCAGTTAATATTGGCATCAAACTGTTCCTGGACCAAACTGAGGGTCAGGCTGCTATTTCTCACTGCCCAATAACGAGATGCAGATGAACTGGGGAGAAAGAGTTTTTATTTCTGTAACCAGTTACAGAGAGAAGGCCTGAAAATTATCTCCTGACCAACTCAAAATTTCAAAGTTTTCCAGAACTTATGTAGCTTCTAAGCTATATTTGTATGCATAAGTGTGCATTCAGAACTTTAATGTTCTAAAAGCCCATCATTTTTCTGTTGATCAGAACTGAGTCAAGAACCACATTTCTAAGGATACTTTTTCTTATTTCCCAGAGAAGGTACAAAGATATCTAGTGGAAAAACTTCTTCTATAGTTTCAAAAAAGACCTATATGATTGATTTGTTGGTGATAATATTGACAGTGTTGACGGCTGAGATATTTGGATTACATTGTCTTTGTGTGCCCATATGATTCCTCAAGACTTAGCTAATTTTCCACTTACATAGTTACCTATTATAAATAATACAAATTAAGATCATTTAGATTGAAGAAAAATAACTTTCTATTTAATTAAATTCTCTACCTCTGTGTCAACATATATAGTTGTGTCATCATCTTTTTGAACAATTACAGACATGTGTTGTTTAACAATGAGAATGTGTTCTGAGAAATGTGTCCTTAGACAATTTCATGATGGTGGGAACATCATAGGGTGTAGTTATACAAACCTAGGTGGTGTAGCCTACTACATATCTAGGCTATATGGTACAGCCTTTTGCTCCTAAGCTACAAACCTATATAGCATGTTACTCTACTGAATACTGTAGGCAATTATAATACAAAGGTAAGTATTTGTATATCTAAACATACAAAAGGTACACTAAAAATAAAGCATAAAAGACAAAAATGGTATGCTTGAAAGGGGCACTTACTGTGACTGGAGCTTGCAGGACTGAAAGTTGCTCTGGGTAAGTCAGCGAGTTAGTGGTGAGTGAATGTGCAGGCCTAAGACATTATTGTACACTATTGTAGACTTTATGAACACTCTACACTTAGGCTGCACTACATTTTTTTAAAAAACATTTTTATTCAATAATAAATTAAACTTCACCAACTATAACTTTTTTACTTTACAGACTTAAATTATTTTACTTTGACTATTCTGTAATAACACTTCAAACAGAAACACATTATACAAATTTACAAAAATATTTTAATATTCTTATTGTGTAAGCTCATATTCTATTTTTCATTTTCTTAAAGGTTTTGAAATTTTTTTGCTGAAAATTAAGACACAAACACACATATTAGCTTAAGCCTTCAGTGGGTCAGGATCATCAATATTATTCTTTCAAATTCCATGTTTTCACCCACTGGAAGGTCTTCAGGGGCAATAACACCAATGGAGCTATGTCAGCTCTTATAATAACAATAGTTTCTTCCAGAATGCCTCCTGAAACTGTTTTATAGTTAGCTTTTTAAATATTTTTGCAAGACTGGCAATGAATAGGTTTGTTTATACTAGCATCACATCAAACAAGTGAAAAAAATTTGTGTACTATGACATTACAACCACTATGAAGATACTAGCTGATAGAATTTTTTCAGCCCTATTATAGTCCAATGGGACTACCATCATGTATGTGGTCCATTGTTGAATGAAATGTAATTATGTAGTGTATGCATGTATATAATAAGAAATTCTTCATGAGTCTTCTTTTCTGAACTCCAAAACTTTTATTGACACAGTTCACTATGCAACCATTAAGAATATATTGACATTAACGACTGAGATGAAAGCTATATACCATCCCAGCTTTATAATTTTTATTTTCACCAACAACATGAACTGTGGTGGTTGTATATTAGGCTCTGAACTAAGCTATCAAAGAAATATATATATACATAAACTATAGCCACCATATCTTTGCTGTGCTTGCTTTAAATGTTTTATCATTTCTTCAGTTAATCTTCATAGCAATATTGTGAGCCATTTATTATCATCATCACTTTACAGATAGTAAAATTGAAGTTCAAAGGTATACACTAAACAGCTCAAGGTCATTCAATTAGTAACTGGCAGAAATGTGATCCAAAGCAGTCTTTTGTTAAAGCCAATGATATCTTTCATACAATCCTAACTGTGTGACACAACATAGATGGCAGCATATAGTATTAGCATTTTTAAAGATGACTGTAAAACATAAATCTCCAAGGAGCACTGAAACAATCTCACAAAATGTAATTCTACAAAAGGAATGTCTTCCTGGGATAGGAAGAGATAGAGCATCTCAAACACCTAAGATAGGTTGACAGCTTGTCAGGTACCATCACAAAGTATCGTACTCCTGTCTGTAGAATTTATAAAAATGGTTTTTCATTGGTTGTGTGGAAAAAAAGTCATAGAGCTCTGGCCTTGTATTTGCCACATGAGTTGCCTATAAACTGATGGATTGATTTTAATTTGGCCTTGGCAACTTTTGTTACCCTCTGAGGTATTAGTCTTGCTCTGTTCCAGACCTTTTCCTTGAACTCTGCCTTTGGACACTACTCCTCTTCCAAAGATTTGTCCCTGGAGTCCTAGGCAGTCTGTCAGTCATAACTTTGTTGGCCATGAACAATATGGTGTGTCAAACCTTTAGTAATTTTGCCAGTTCTATTTTGTAAGAAAATATACCATAGTTGTCTGGAATGGTAATCTATACTTTAAGAATTTAGTTAGAAAAAATAGAACTCATTCAATGCAAATAATGTTTTTACTAGTAGTAATAATAACTATATTATTAATAATATTGTTTTTATCTAAAAACACTAGGTTTTTGCACATGTGATTCCATATTCTGCTTCACCTACCTAAGCATTGTTAAATGTACGTCTGCTCAGAAATGGATAGGTACTTGAGAAATATTAACCATATTCAAACTAACCAATAAATCTATGTATTAGGAAAGATATTATCAATTTCACAAAGTCTGGTGACATAATAAATTTGCCTAATTTATCTTACAATCATTTCTATTAATGGTAGCATTACATATTTGTATATCTGTATACTAAATTTGATTAGATATGATGAAGTTTCTTTTATTATTTTTTGTGATATTTCTTCTGCTATTCTCTTGCTCATTGTATCACTTGCCTAATCATTTTAACAAATTCCATTCACCTTTATGGTCCAATAAAACATCATTACTCTAAATAGATATATCAAGAAAAAAATTGGGGTTTTATAATTTCCAATTGAAAATATACCTACCATTGTATTGGGGCTGGTATTTTGATACAGAATATTATTATGCACATTAGAAATCTTTAAAATTAAAATAATACAAGGTATTTTTATTTCCTTCTGTAATTATCTCAAAGTGTTATAATTTTTGGCATTATTCGAGAACATTTATTTTAGCATATAAGCAAGTTTCTTAAACAATTACTAAACATAATAATATAAAGGGAATGTTACATTTATCTTAAATGATTAATGGATACAATTGTCAAGAAAATTGTATGACTGTAGTAGTTGTTTTATTCTTTATATGTCATAAAAATGTAGACATTACCTTTAAATTATTTTCCCATAATTCCCAGCAATACAGAAAAAAACCCTCAATCTCCATTTTATTTTGTTTATAAAAGTCAAATTCTAGGAAAAGTGACATCACTCACAAGCATGTGTTCTTAATAAATTAATAATTAGTATCAGAAATTATGCAGATACAATGATTTTACACGGTTCAATATTAATATAGTAACCATTCTTAAAATTTAAGAAATTGAAATACTATGAGAAATAGTATATTTCCACTTCCTCATTTGACATATTTACTATGCACATACTATATTTAAATTTCACCATTCTATTTAAAGTAAACATTGAAAGAGAAAATCTTTACAATATTTTATATCAAAGAAAGACATTGTAATATTTCTCTTTACGAGATGTGTCTATATACTTGGCTGGGAAATATGATGTTTTATATGTCTATTCCTAGTGAATTGGACTTGATTTCTAGCAAGCCTCAACATATCACAAGATGAAATAGTAAGTTCTTCTCAGAAAAGAACACAACAATGAAAAAGGGAGAAAGATTATTGAAACAGTCAAGTATAGAAAATAGATCTTCTGTCATAAAGATCTTGACAGTAAATGTTGAAGCAGTAGAAATCACAAATAATATTGGTTTTTATGTTATACATTCTGAGAATTTTTATAGAGCTCAACTGGATTATAATAAGATAACAGTAAAACTCTTCCTAACATACCGTGTATGTTGTAACTTTGCTTTTGTATGAGTAGTAAAACAAATCTCTCTTGCTCACTCTCACTGGATCTCTCCACAAACACACATGCAAGCACATTTTTGCAATACAGAAATATATTTTACCTATTTTCTTTCTAAATTTTGCCAACCTAAAGTTTTGAAATATAGTGACCCATCTTTAAGATACAGATGATCATAATGAGAGTATTAGATGACTTCATTGTCTTTAACTGTAGATAATCACAACAATGCAAAGCATTTTACATTACATGACAGTGTAAAGCTGTTTATATTCAAGTGCTTAAGCTACAGAACTGAAAATATAAGGAATATAAAATAATACAAACATAGAAATCTGTTTTAATAAATTACTTTTCCTTTATAAAGTATGAAAAACATCTAGGCTTGACCAAAAAAAATTTCCCTTTAAACTCGGTAATCTTTTTTAGATAATGTTATCTTCTATTTCATGACATAGCCCAAGAAATCTACAAATTGATTGATTTCATTGCACATTAGGCTGTAGTTATACATATTTCACATATTTCTTTTTTTTTTTTTTTACTTATTTTGTATTGTATTTTATTTCTTTTTGTTATACTTTAAGTTTTAGGGTACATGTGCACAATGTGCAGGTTTGTTACATATGTATACATGTGTCATGTTGGTGTGCTGCACCCATTAACTCATCATTTAACATTAGGTGTATCTCCTAATGCTATCCCTCCCCCTTCCCCCCACCCCACAACAGGCCCCCGTGTGTGATGTTCCCCTTCCTGTGTTCATGTGTTCTTATTGTTCAATTCCCACCTATGAGTGAGAACATGCGGTGTTTGGTTTTTTGTCCTTGCGATAGTTTGCTGAGAATGATGGTTTCCAGCTTCATCCATGTCCCTACAAAGGACATGAACTCATCATTTTTTATGGCTGCATAGTATTCCATGGTGTATGTGCGCCACATTTTCTTAATCCAGTCTATCATTGTTGGACATTTGGGTTGGTTCCAAGTCTTTGCTATTGTGAATAGTGCCACAATAAACATATGCGTGCATGTGTCTTCATAGCAGCATGTTTTATAATCCTTTGGATATATACCCCGTTGTGGGATGGCTGGGTCAAATGGTATTTCTAGTTCTAGATCCCTGAGGAATCACCACACGTAATCCAGCATATAAACAAAACCAACAACAAAAACCACATGATTATCTCAATAGACGCAGAAAGGCCTTTGACAAAATTCAACAACGCTTCATGCTAAAAACTCTCAATAAATTAGGTATTGATGGGACATATCTCAAAATAATAAGAGCCATCTATGACAAACCCACAGCCAATATCATACTGAATGTGCAAAAACTGGAAACATTCCCTTTGAAAACTGGCACAAGACAGGGATGCCCTCTCTCACCACTCCTATTCAACACAGTGTTGGAAGTTCTGGCCAGGGCAATCAGGCAGGAGAAGGAAATAAACGGTATTCAATTAGAAAAAGAGGAAGTCAAATTGTCCCTGTTTGCAGATGACATGATTGTATATCTAGAAAACTCCATTGTCTCAGCCCAAAACCTCCTTTAGCTGATAAGCAACTTCAGCAAAGTCTCAGGATACAAAATCAATGTGCAAAAATCACATATTTCATTTTTGTTCATTCATAGAAACTTGAAAACATTTATTCACAGTGGTTGATATGTGGAATGTAAAAATATCTATTTAATTCAAATATTTCATGTAAACATTCTACTTTTACTTGAAATTACACAGAAAGCATTCAAATTAGAACCCATTTAATATAAAGTGAAGATTCTCAGACTGTTCAATAACAAGAACCTTTAATCATTCAAGGAATATTCATGAATCATAAGCCTTTTCCAAACATTTTTCTATAGACTTTGACTACATAAATATGGGCAAAACAATATTTCTTTCTTCACAGAGGACCTATGGTAGGCAGCAGCAGGAAAAAAGAACAGTAAATAAATAATCACCAATCTAAATAAGAAAATATAAGGCAAGTGATGATACTTGAATAAATGGTGAAAAAAATGTGGAAGAAAGTATAGACAGTGTAGATAATTTGATCCAGGAATAGGTGTTCTGAAAATGTCCCATCTAAATACAAACAGAAGGAAACAAAGGAACCAACTACATGACTTTCTGGGAGAAGAGTGTTTTAGTTCATGGAAAGAACATATGTAAATGCTTTAAGGCAGGCCAAGGCACGCTTGGAGCCTTGGATCTATAATGAGACCAGCATGGTTGAAGAAAGAGGAGGAGTAATCATAGATGATATCAGAGGGCAGAAAGGGACTGAGAATAGCCTAAAAGCCTTCATAAAACTTGGGATTTTATTCTGCATGCTGTGGGAAGCCATGCAGGGCTTGAAACAGTGGGATAACATAATTGATTCATATTTTTAAAGAATCATTGTGGTTTATGGAAAGAAGAAAACCTGCAAACATAGAAGCAGGAGACATGTTAGACTGCCTTTTTAAGACAAGGTTAGGAAGTATTGTGGCTCTAATTGGATTTGGAGCAGTGGAGATTGTGAGAATGTTTGGATTCTGCATCTATTTGAAAGGTAATGCTGAAAGGATTTGCTAATGAATTGGTTAGAGTGTGAGAGAAAGAATGCAGTCAGGAATGATGTCAAGGTCAAAATTACCTAAACATTATTTTCTTCCTCACAGCAAGTTGATATTAATATTGAGAATTACTTATCCTGACATACTGAGATTTACTCACACATGGGATGAGTATATTCTGTTGTATTTTTCAAAGGTAATTAATATGAAAGAGACAATTGATAGACTAATAGAAATACATGACAATTTTTTTATTTTTTTACCATTTCAGCATTTGTGCAAAAACTATTAACACGAGTTAAACTGATTTTAGAAAACACAAACTGTTTCTGGAAATATACCTCTACAATTTAAATGACAAGTCTTTCTAAAGATGCTTCTTGAGCTCAGGAAGTGTTTGATCAACAGGAACTCTGAGAACTTGAAAACTTTGAACAAGACTTTCTTTCTTTAAATGAATCTAATAGAGAAAAAAATATTCCTTCCGAGTAAAATAGTTTGTTTATATAGAGGACAGCAGCTATCTGGACACCAGATTAACTTATAAATAGTTATATCTATGATGATATTTGTATGTATGTATTTCATGCCTGATGCTCACAAACACAGTATTTATTGATACTGTCTACTGCATGAAAATCTGTGATTAGTGGTGCCTCTCCAGTGGGGAGGGAAAAGGGAGATAGTATTTGTACTGGGGATATACAAATTATGTAAATGTACAGAATACAAGATGGAGAATTGTAGAGAGTAAAGACACATGTTAATCAACAAATGTAATTGTAAAATTAGCAGATGTTAAGGAAAGTACATATCTACTGAGAGCAGGAACTTTTTCTCTCCACTGCCATTTTTTCAGAACTTCACAGAGTACCTAACGCTCTAAATCTTTCAATAACCATTTGTACAATTAGTTAATTATGCCATAAAACTAGAAAATGGGAAATTTTTATGTATCTTTCTAAGGCTTTCTTGAGTCAGGACAAATTCAAAAAATTTCTGCCCAGAGCCTTGCATTTATAGAATATGCCTTCATACTTAGGTGATCAAGTAGTAATACAATACACTGAGCAAATTTTATTTGAAAGATTTATAAGAAATAATAGAAATGAAGAAGCGGAAAAAGGACATATATGATCTGTGACCTTTAGGAATTATAATCTAGTTGAGGAAAGACCCATGTAGCAGGGATAACTTAGTTCACGGCATTCTAGTTTTCCTGTATCAAATCCCCAAATATGGCATTCATTTAACTGTGACTTTATTTATTGCTTTATAACTTCCTCTTTCACATGAATGAGCACTCCATAGAGTGATTAAGCAGAACTTCTTGTTGAAAATTGGATATAAATGACCACTGAAAAAAAAAAAGAGTTCTTAATAGAGAGAAGTGAAAATGAATTCTAGGGGAAAATATAAACAGATGCACAATAATAAGAATGTGAAGAAGTACCAAGAAAACCATGAGTTATCTGTTTTGAGGGGAGTAAGATGTCTCTTCAAATACATGAAAAATAAGAATAGAAAGGGTCATTCAGGCTAGACTTTAGAAAACTATCAGTGTCTAAAAAAGAAGGTTGGGCCTTGGATCATAAGCAGGGTCACAAACTGAAGGGTTTTAAAAAGTGAGAGACATGATCAAGGTTGTATTTCTAAAAGTGATTCTGATGTGGATGGTTTTGATTGATTATAAAGGCAGGTCTTCAAATGTTGAAACAGCAGGAGCCCATTGAGCAAATCCAGTAGTCAGTTCATAAAATCCTGAGTAGGGATAGAAATGAGAATAAAAGGAATTGTGGTGGCTCAAATTGAAGGGAAAAACAAATAAAGAAGTGTTGGAAGTTACATCAAGATTTAGAAGTGTTGGTTGGAAATAACATTAATAAAGATAAGAAAATTAGGAGTCATGTGTGCACATGTGTGTGTGCTTGTATCATCTCTCCATAGAGTCAAGCTGAAAATATAATTATCTTCAAAAACATTTAAGAGAATATGTTTCCAAATGGTTATATAGATTAATGACAGATCTGCCCAACGGCCAATAGAACAATGGGACAATTGGTAATTAACTAAGTTTAAGACTAGGTGACATTGGCTAAAAACCAAAATGCTGAAAGTCAGAGAAATTGAATAGGCATATAAATCCAGAATAGAGAGAAACATGTCAAGCAAGGACTGACCCATGTTAGATACTAACATGGGAGAAGTTGAGAATGTGCTGAGTTAAAAGGTGTGAAACTTTTATGTAGAAGGAATTAAAAGTAGAACCTAAAATAGCAAAAAAAAAAAAAAAAAAAAAATTCATAGGTGATGTGGTCTGACTCCATGTCCTCACCCAAAATCTTCTCTTGAATTGTAATAATCCCCACATGTCAAGGGTGGGACCAGGTGGAGATAATTGAATCATGGGGATGGTTTCCCCCATGCTGTTCTCATGACAGTGAGTGAGTTCTCAAGAGATCGGATGGCCCTATAAGAGGCTTCCCTCTTTGCTCGACACTCATTCTCTCTCCTGCCACACTGTGAAGAGATGCCTTCGCCATGATAGTAAGTTTCCTGAGGCCTCCCCAGCCATGTAAAGCTGTGAGTCAATTAAACCTCTTTTCTTTATAAATTACCCAGTCCTCAACAGTTCTATATAGCAGCATGATAATGGATTAATACATTATAATTTTTATGAATTCTTTTTTATTGTGTTATAGTTACCCCAAGAAGAAAAATATAATAAAAAATAAACATTACTTGAAATCTTTGACTCACTGGTGGGTCAAATAGCTCAAAGCAAATGTTGTACAGCTTCATATCATGATTGCTGTGTTATTTTTCAATCTTCACTTCTCAAAACTGTATTAAACATTTCCCACTTTCATGTGAAGTCTGGTTAGTTGTCTATATAAGAACAATAGTTAGGATCCTCTATTATTAAAAAAAGAATATGAATTTCTCTATATTTTTAATCTGATTTCTAAAAATGGGTAGTGTATATTTAGAAGAGCCTTCTCAAGCCTTTGTCAGAGAAAACTGTATGTTGTATTTTCCTTAGCAAAGGGCTAATTTATAGAGGGGAACAAAACGTGCTAGAGCCTTTTCGAGGGTGAAGGGTGGGACGAGGGTGAGGATCAGGAAAAATAACTAATGGGTACAAGACTTAATAACTGGGTGGTAAAATAATCTGTGTAACAAACCCTATGATACTAGTTTACCTATTTAACAAACCTGCACTTGTACCCTTGAACTTAGATAAAAGTTATAAAAAGGTAGTACTAAAATTTCTAAACAGAATAACAAGATTCTGAGTGACATTTGATGAGGAAGGAGTAATATGATTTGATGAGGCAGTTCTTGAATGACAACATATTTAAGGTATAGATTTCTGAATTGATTGAGAGAATAAAATGATTTGCATTTCTAATTCATTCTTCTTGCTAAAAGTGTCTTGGTCTAACTACATTATATTTATTTTTCTATCATTAATTATATTGGTTTTCAAACCCAGTACAACTTTCTATCTACAAGTGACCCTTAGAAAATGGGTTTGAATTGTGTGTGTCCACTAACACATGGATTTTTTTCCAATAAAGGTTACAAGTGTGCCTGCTCTCCTGCCTCTTCTTTCAGCGCCTCCACCTCTCCTGCCTCTGACACTCCTGAGACAGCAAGACCAACCCCTTCTCTTCCTCCTCCTCTTCAGTTTACAGAAGATGAAGACAAGAAGGATGAAGACCTTTATGATGATCCACTTCTATTTAATAAGTAGTAAATACATTTTATCTTGTGATTTTTCTTTATAACATTTTCTTTTCTTTAGCTTTATTTATTGTAAAAATAAAGTTTATAACACATATAATATAAAAAATATATGTTAATTGACTGTTTAAGTTTTCAGTATGGCTTCCCGTCAACACTAGGCTATGATTAGTTACGTTTTTAAGGAGTCAAAAGTTATACTCACATTTTCAACTGTGCAGGGGGTTGGCACTCCTAATGCTTTGCATTATTCAAGAGTCAACTGTATTTCCTTTAAGGTAATTAACCATATTTCAACATGGTTAGTCATATTAGCTATTCTTCTTTTTGATTTTTAGTACATTAATTGTAAAGATATTCACTTACACATCATAGCTGCTCAGTGAATGGTTGAATGACTTAAGGAATCATTGCATGAATTAAAGATGGCCAATATATCTTCTTGTGAACTTTGTTGGATCAAAGTTGAAGATTATAATTGCTGATGTTTTAACATTCTCAAAAATCTTGTGAGAATTAAAACAGCATTGTTATAAATTTTTATTTCAAATGCTCTTTTAACAAATGTGTTCCCTCTGATTCCTAAAACCACCATGCTGGGAACAAGAGTAAATTTTACTTTTCCTAGTTTATAGGTAAGGTAATTAAAGCTTCTTGGAAAAGTTCCTTGACAGAGTCAAAGGCTAAAACCTGGACAGACTTATCTATATAGAGCATTCCTCACTTCCAGTTTTGCTGTTATTCACCAAACCATGATTATTTCGTGCAATGGAAACATTGAACTGTACAATACTCTTAAATTTCACTTATTCTGAAAGGCATTTACTCATCCCAGCATTCCCTAAATTCAAAGGAGAACTTGAATAACAACCTGGAAGACTCAACTACCTGACCGTTCCAGAGTTGACAATGATTTGGCTGGCTTTCAGCAGACACTTCTCTTTAAGTGTTACTTCACTGAACAAGACACTATATGATAATGCTATTTCACTGACCTTCCCCTGCTTCCTACCACAGGTTTAAATTATCTGCAATTTTTGTGAAAACAGTGCAAACCCCTGTGGATAAGAGCTGAAAAGGAATATCATTTAATGAAAACCAGTGATAACTTGAGGAAAATTGGTTAAGAAAAGTCCAAAGTTTTCAACTTAATTACTTAAATGGAAGAATGAAAATGTTTTCAGATATTTTTTGTTTTGATGTGAATAAATAAATCAATTTAAAATTTAAGTTTTAACAAGTAAATGGTTATACCATCCTATATCCTGTTTAATATGTTATTTTTATGCCGAAGTTCAGCTTAAGTATCATGTAGAGCTATCAATACTGGTGATCTAAAGTTTACCTTTCAGCCGGGTGCAGTAGCTCATGCTTGTAATCCCAGCACTCTGGGAGGCTGAGGCAGGAGGATCATTTGAGGCCAGGAGACTAGCCTGGGCCACATAGTGACACTCCATCTCTAAAAAACAAAACAAAACAAAATAAAATAAAATAAATAAAATAAAATACAGAGAGAACTCAGATCTACATCAAAAAGGAAGAGTACTTGAAAAGAAATGAAGGTAAAATAAAATTTAAAAAAATTTAAAATAACATTTACCTTTTACTGACTTTGATTTAGGAGAAGATTATAGTTCTTCATTAGCAATTGTAAGACAGAGGCAATAGTCTATGTTGGTGAGGGAAACATAAAATTTTGTTTTTTACTCTGAAGATTATTATGGGATTCTCTTTCTCACCTTGCCTCATATTTTCTCTGCCTGTCTCCATCTCTCTCTCTCTCTCTCTCTCAAATGCAGTATTCCTGTTAATTGTGAAGTATCTACAGATACATATTCTCTCTAGGCACACATCTGTAAATATAATTTATTTGTTATACAAAGAAACACATCTCCAAATACATATAGTATTATAACACATAATTTTAGATTCAAGTATGTAAAGCATTTTTCTTAATTTAAAATTGGAATCATTTTCAAAATTAGATTTTAAATATACAGATTGTCCAAATTCAAAGAAACAGCACTCATTCATTTAAAAAATAAATCTTATTTTTGTACTTGGGATTTTTGCTGAGAATTCATTTGTTTATTAAAATATGTTCATTTAGACTGATGATCTAATTACCCTCATAATGAAAAGAACATTTAAACTCAATAAATGTGAGGATATTTTTAAACAACTCCAATTTTTGAATTACCTTGCATACTTTTTTTTTGTATGTGAGAGGAAGTCACATGGCACATCTCATTTTTGTTGCCAGAGCGTATTTTGTAAATACTTGTTACAGCAAATTGATGTCTTATTAGCACTGAAGTTGGTATTGAAATACTGATGAGAGTTAGTGCTAGTAATCAAGTCCTGATATTAGTCACCCAGCACTTCCATACCTGGAGCACTATTATTGTTTATTGAGACATATTTTGGTTCAGTATTAGAACATTTTGGCCCTAGGTATGTTATGGAATATTTAGATTAAACCCAAAACAAATAGTTGATAAAATTTTTAAAAAGTCATATGTCATTTTTTCCTAGAATTAAAATAATTTAAAGGCTACAAGATTGCTGTTTTATTAAATAAAACTATTTAATATTTTAAGTACATTGAAAATAACAGAGGTCTACTTACAGCTTTGAGAATTTGCCTTTTTGTGGGGGAAAAAAAAGCCCCACAAAACAGAATTTAGCTAATTTGTGCCTACCTCAAAACAGGTGAACTCTCAGCTTGGTTAAAATAATGTAAAATTAATATTTCTTTGTTGTCACTGCTTGTTAATTTAGGTTATTAAATGTCTGCTATTCATTAAATTCTAGGTCATTCAAGGTCATTTCAAACTGAAACCCCTTTAGAAAAATCCTGCTTAATTTTTGCTTTCTTATAATTCTTTTATTTTACATTCAGGGGATACATATGTGGATTTGTTATATGGGCATATTATGTGATGTTGAGATTTGGGATACAATTGATCTTGTCACCCACATAGTGGGCATAGTACCAAATAGGTAGTTTTTCAGTCCTCCCTTCCCTTCCCTCCACCCCTCTTTTAGAGTTCCCAGTGTTTATCCTTCCCCTCTTTGTATTCCTGTGTACCTAGTGATTAGCTTCCACTTATAAATGAGAACATGCTATATTTGGTTTTCTGCTTGATTTTATTCTTAAGCTTTATAGTCAGTATATCCCGCCCTTACAAAACCAGTACTTTACCTTAATTCTTCAGTAAATATGAGAACCACTCATAACATGCAACAACAGAGAAGGGAAGCTTTAATATCATTTATGGATTTCTTATTTTTCTATCATTAATTTTTTTCTCTGATAGACTGATTTTTCTTTATCCTCTTATTTTTTAAGCTAAATATATTATCATACTTTCAAAGTGGATAGACATACATTTATAACATATATATTAACATTCATATTGTAACTTTGTCTATTTACTTGTTAAATTTATGTAATATTAAGTAGATAACAACAAGTCTGCTTATACAAGTCATGTCTTTAAAGTAAGTCATTTTTCTTTAATGTAATTTTATTAGTCAATTAAATACTTAAAACATTATACTTTTACAAATAATATGGAAAACATAAGAATGGGGAAGAGGAACTAGTCTTACATCCACTTTAAAGATCATAGGCGTTTTAGGTAAAATGTAATCTTCTTAGCTTGACATCAATAGCCTTTGATAATAATTTCCCATATAACTTTTCAGCCATAACTATGTTTTCAATTTTGTCCCTGCACTCAACATACATGTAATTCCAACTGAAGATAATTATTAAAATCCCCATGCCTTTTACAGCTTTCTTGATTTTTGGAAAGGACCTTTCCTCAGTCCATTATATTCTTTTCACCTCCAGCTAGTGCATTTTCATTCATCTTTCAGCATCCAATTCAAATGCCAACTCTGTGACACCTTTTTGTATTCCTCCAGACAAAAATAATTGTCTTTCTTCTGACCTCTCCTTGTATATTTCATGGAATATGGCAAAGTACTTAATTCCACTGAATTGTAGCTACTGTCTTGCTGTCTTACCAACTAAAACAAGGACATTTTGGGGAATATAAGAATTTAAATTGAATAGTAACCACAAGATAAAAACCCTGGGCATTGCATGATCTTCCTTTTAACTAATTAGAGGCCAAGTATATTGATGAAAAATCATTATATAGAATTTGATAAGACTTTCTTCTAATATTAATTGCTGTTTTATGATTTTTCTTCTGTTTCATAAAATTTTGACGGAAATATATTTCTTATAAATTGCCTTCTTTGTAACTCCCCACTTTTGTTCCTAGAGAAACATGCTGCCCTGGCTAGCTAAAGTGTTTATGAATACAAGAAAATTTTCAAAAAGGGAGTTTGAAATTTAATTCCACAAACTACTATCTGGACTGGAATGCTACATTAAATGTATTATAATTTTGTATTGAGTTATAGGGACGGGGAATGAAAAGGATCCAAGGCCATATGTTGATATTCTTTTGATATGTTAAGAAATAACCTAGTGTTATTTTCTATTTCTTCTTAAATGTTTTTAGAGGTTACTTGGTACAGTGGTCAACAAAACCTTGAAATGTTGATGTTTAAGGGCTGTTGATTGCTGGCAACAAAGAAGTCCAACAGTGCTGGCACCGGAGATAGCGTCTCCACATTTTCTTCCACGATCATCACCTTTGTTCTAAATAGCTCCCACATAGTGTGAACAGAAGTCACATGTTTTAGATTTTCTGCCTTGGCACCCAGGAAACCAGTATGATTGAGTAAACATATTAAACTTCCTCTGCATTTGCAGCCTGAACAGATGTTAAGTACGAACTGATCCACCTACATTCAACCCGAGAGAGTCCACATCCACAGACTGTTTCATTTCCCTTTTTCAATTTACATAGAAGCATATATTCTTTCTGGCATATATAAATGTGCCATTTAAGGCAATCAAAAATGGTTCCACATCTCACTTGATTTCCACAATTGTTGCTGTAACGATGGACTACTGAGGAGAGAAACTTAATTTCTCTGGCAGATCTTCCCACGTTTAAGCAACATGTTCATGGAGAGCCAATATTCAGTAATTACAGCACAATTCCTCACAATTTCACAATTCGCTAACAGTATGCATTTTCACAATGTAAAGCTGATTTTCCTTTAACCAAATAAAACATGAAAAGATAGCTGCAAGCAATGGGCAATCTAGATCATTAGATGATTGATGTACAATTAGAGGACATTGAGACTGGAATAGATTGCAAACATCAGGGAGCTCAAAAAACTTGTAAACTCTACATTTTGAGGAAATATGTTGTTGATGCTTTGCAGCTCTATGCAGCAACCTAACAAATAAAGGCTTAAAATAATTTATCTACGAGTTACTTTGCCATTATTTGCAACTATTTCACATCATACAGCTTCTCTAGGAAGTCCTCAGCTTATTCACCAAAATAGGATTTCTAGTTATAATTCCATTCCTCTGTTTATACTATTTCTCTTGCCTATGAGACAAAGAATCAAAACCAAGTAATCAAAAATGTAGAATATTTTAGTGGTTATATTTAATTTTCTAATGTTGTGAATGCTATCTAATCAAATGAATCATACGATTTAGCAGTCCTTATGAATAAAAAGTTACAGAAGTAATATACCAAGTCTACACATTGTAAGTAATCATATAATCCAAATATTATTTTTATGATAATAAAGGTACTATGTATTGAGCACTTAAATATGCATAAGCACGATGCTAATCTCTTTAGCTATTTCAACAATAAACTGTGTAAATACTGTAACCTACATTCTTTTTGAAGCACAGGTAGTTATAACATGGGTACTCACATTCCGTATTCTTTATAGTAGGGGAAGGTTAAAGAATGTGGCAGAGAGAGAGACACACACACGGAGATATGGAATGTACATGAGAAATATTCAATCTGATAAATTATATAATAAATCTTCACCTAACATATAGTATTATGACAGCAAGGGACTGGCGGATAAAAGGAGCATTTCTATTTAAGTGGCATTGAAACACTGAATTTTAAAATGATACCGGCTTGTTAGGTCAAAAAAGAGAAATCTAAGCTCAAGTAAGGAAATAGCATGTAGAATTTGACAAAGTTATAAAATGTATAATTTTATTTCATGTCAGGGAATACAAAAAAAAAAAAAAAGAAAAGAAAAGAGAATCGGAAAATTCAAAAGTACAACAGACCAAAGGAACAGGCTTGCGGATGGTTAAAAAAAAATACTCCCCCTGGTTTGTGGGCATAGATCTGTGAAAATTTTTACCTGGATGATAGATGTGACAGGATTAAGAACATCTGACAAATGTAACCTGAACTTTCCTATTTCTCTTAGCCCTCCTGCAATTAACTAGGACCATGAAACAAGCCGTAGCCAAACAGCTGTGAGTAGAAATCACGTGTGTCCCTTTGGGTCAGTAGAAAACCCTCCAGCATTCTGTTCCTCTGCCAGGGCAGTGAGGAGATTATGTGTTGAGACTGTGGAACCAGAAGACAAAAGCAACCTCAATGAATTCCCGTGTAGCAGCCAAATCCCCCGAAACTCAGACGGACTAGAGTGATTTTGTGAAAGCAAGAAATAAAATGTTTGATTACTACATCTGCAATGCCAATCCTATCTTGATTAGTACAAATTATCAGAAAGTAGGAGAAACAAGAACACGAGAGTTCTGGCACCATCGTCATTGGTTGTGAAGCAGAACATCATCTGTAACATGCCATCCTGTATGGTAGTGAGGATTTGTTATATTTGCCAATGTTTAGAGCCACAGTAGTGTATTTACATGGGTTCAGTTGGATTAACCAGTACATATTTATTTTCTTTAGATGGATTTAATTTAAGTAACAAGCCTACCAGTGTCATTAAACAAATGGACAAAATGAGCAATGTAACATTTTATGCTTCTTATTGAAAAATGAACAAATATTATTCTAGTAATGAAAGCTCCGAGTGTAATACAATGTCAAGATTGAAGTGGTTCTCTCCTACCATTAAATGGATGAGTTCTAGAAAAGACAAGTGCTGTAAACAAAACACTATTTCCATGGCAACACATACTTCAGCTTTTAGCCTTTCATCACACAAAAAGAATTTTAAAATATTTTTTATTTTCATAGTTTGTAATAACAATGGTGACCTCTACATCCGGTATTTTCTGGAAGCTAGTAATTGGCAATGCCTCAGGCTTTATACTTTTTGGGCAACCTTCTAGGAGAGCTTTACCCAGGTTTCTCATTACTTATAAAAATTCAGTTCATTTTCCAAGGGCAGATACTTAAAGACAAAATTAGCCCAGCCATACATTTTGAAATGCATATTTTAGAAATAAATATTTTAAGTGTCAGATATACCTCTCTTTGAGTCAAACAATTGTACATGCACATATGCTGTGTGTTTGCGTGGGCATATGAAGACATATATATGGTTGTGTATGTGTATATGTAAATTATTTCTTATTAAAATTTCTGGAAGTGATAGTATAAATAGCCAGTGATAAAGCGTGATAAAGTATAAATTGAAGAAATAATATTGTGTCTCTATTGACACACAGCATTATTACTATGAAATTTGCAGATTAAACAAAGCAAGTGAATTATTTGATGGTTCGTGTTGGTTAGGAATTTGGAATGGGATTTAGCTGACTCTTCTGCTTCAGAGTCTTACAAGACTGCAATCAAGGTAGCAGCCAAGACTATGGTCTTACCTGAATCTCAGCTGGGGAAGAATCCTCTTCCACATTCATATGGTTCCTTACAGTACTCATCAAGTACCTGGAAGGCTGTTACCCCGAGGGCCTCAGCTTCCTGCTAGCTGTTAGCTGATGGCCACACTCAACTCTGTAAGCTGTGATCCTCTCCATGTAGCAGCACAACACATGACAATTTATTTCTTCAAAGCCAATGACAGAAAGTCTCCCAGCAAGACCAGTTACAATCTCATGTAATGTAATCATGTTCACATAATCACATGGTCTCATATTTGCCATTTGCTACTGTTAGAGGTAACTCAGTTCCTGCCCACACTTAAGAGCACAAAGGTGTTATTGCCAGAAGGTAGGGATTATAGGAGCCACATTGGAGCCTTACACCACAGAGATTTTCACCTAAGTCCACGTGATTAGAAATTATAGGAAGACAATTTTGTGGATCTCAAAAAATAAATTTTTGCTTATTCAGCATCACAAAATGTAAGTAACTGCTATGTGGCCATTAGAGATTTTGTAAAATTGTGTTACAATTACTATTTATTCCCTTTCTCAAGGAAGAAATTTATAAAAATTTCACTATATACCCAAAATAACTATTTTTTGTATTATTAATTTTTACCTGAGACTATACATTTTTAGAGGCATAAGAAAAGAAATATAGACACACCAATAACCAAAAAGTTCTAGATTCAGATCCTGCCATAATTATTTTTGAAGCTTGTAAAACCTTTTGTAAAGACATATTATGTCTGATTATTAGTTTTACTATGTATAAAATAAATATAACTTGTGCTTGGTATGCTTATTATGGATTTTAAATATTATAAGATTTGAAAAGGCCTGCTTTATAGTAGCATCTACTTAAATGACTGATAAATTATTGAAACAATACTTAATTTATATATTGTTCTCAAAAAAAAAATGAGAAAAGCATGTTCTAAGAGAATACCAAAAGTATAGCTAGACTGTCAGTTGATAAATAAAAGAATATTTAAATTCACATGTTATTAAATTTTCATATACTCATTTGGAAACTCTTTCCTGTTTGGTTAATAATTATTTGAATTTCTTAAACTAGGTGAAAGCCATACCCCAACCTATCAGAAATTAATTAATTTCTGCTAGGGAACGATACAAAGTAATAATATAATCAGAATTATATGTCTATATACTATGCTCAGAAGGAATATATCTCACAGAAATGGCAAAACGATTCTGCCACAGCTGTAAAATTATGTACAGTTTATCTGATTTGACTTTCTTGTGCCACAAAGTAAGAACTTGCAGAAAATATTAATTAAAATACACATAAAGTGTTTTGCTCATGAAAAGAGAAAGTTATATTTTGACATCATTCCAGCTCTGGTTAGGATGTCGGATTCCCTGGAGTAGATGTGGGATTCTGCTTCACTTGAAAAAATACCTAAGCCTGTCTACTTAAGGAGTTACTAAATATAGAGTTTGGAAGTCAGGCTTTTCTGAACTACAGATCACTATGGCAGCTCTATAACTATATCATGGTTCCATAAGTCAGAGGAGTGTCATTTTCAACATTGTCGTATCTCATTTTAGGGGGATACTCTATGTTGACTACTGATAAAACTGCTGATACATTAGTTCTTTTCTGCTTCTGTACATCAGGGATAGCAAATGCTCCTCCAGGTTCATCTTTACTAAGTTGGGAGTGGTTGTGAAGGATGGCTATGACAACCAATTGGAGGTCCGAAGGAGAGCACACCAGCATCAACTCACTCTGCCTGCCGCAGGGAACGATGGTGGCCCATATGCTACAGATCTAACAAATGGCCTCCAAGAGTGGTGAAAGCTGTTTGTGCAGACTCTGGAATAACAAATTACAACTTCCTCATGCTTTCTATTAATCTGGCATTTGAAATGTACTATGGACTGAATCGTGCCCACCTTCCCCAATTCATATGCTGAAGTCCTAACTCCCAACGTGACTGACTTCATCAAAATGGATCTTGGTACAGAGAAGGGAATGCTGCTGTAACAGATACTTAAAATGTGGAAGCAGTTTTGGCACTGGGTAATAAGAGAGGGCAGTAAGAGCTTTGAGGTGCATGCTAGAAAAAACCCACATTGCCAAGGAGGTACTGTTGATGGACATTGGCTATGAATGGTGATTCTGATGAGGGCTCAGAAAGAAAAGAAGATAGAGAGAAAGCCTCCAACTTCTTAATGAAAACATACATAATCATGAATATAATTTTGTTATAAACATGACATTAAAGGTCATTCTTGTGATGTCTCAGATAAAAATGGGAAGAGATTATTGAAAATTGGAGAAAAGGTAATCCTTGTTATAAAGTGGCAAAGAACTTGACTAAAAATGTGTTCTAGTGTTTTGCGAAAAATCAAAATTGTGAACAATGAAATTAGATAGGTAGTTGAGGAGATTTCAAAGCAAAATGTGATGGTGTGGCCTGAATACTTCTAATTGCTTATAGTTAAATGTTAGAAGAGTGAGATTAATTGAGGAAGGTATTGTTAAGGGAAAAATAATCAAATGTAGAAAGATGTAGAAAATTCTCAACCTGAGTGTGTTGCAAAAAAATGAGAAGAGCATGTTCTAAGAGAATACCAAAGGTATAGCTAGACCGTCACTTGATAAAGAGCTTATGTAATAATACAGGCAGAAACACTGCCAGTTTGAATGGACGGGGATGGAGGTAAGATAAAGTGAAGGAAGCCTGAGGGTCTTCTCAGATTCTACAGGACAAGACAACAGAGTTATTTGGCTGTAAACATACACTGTTTTTCAAGACAAGGCAAAAATAACACTGTAGGCAATTCAGAATTATCAGGGTCACCAGCTTAGTTTCAACTGGCCAGATGGCCTCTGCCAGCAGAGCCTTGGGAGGAAGACCTGAGCCTGGCAACAACCCCACTTAGCGCTTTGGGGGCAGAGTCACCACCCCAATTAGTCCAGAAGATGAGTCATTGAGCCAGAGGGAATTATTATTGAACCTTAAGATCTAATGAAATTTGCTTTGCCTGCTTTTGGACTTGCTTGGGAGCTGCTACTCCTTTCTCCATTTCTATTTCTCCCTTTTGGAATGAGAATGTTTATCCTATGCCTGTCCCATCATACTACAAAAGTTAGGTGGTATTTTGGAGCCACATAACTTTTCTAGTTTCACAGGTCTGCAGCTTGAGAGAAATTTTGTTTCATGATGAATCATATCTAAGGTCTCACTCATACCTGATTTAGATGATATTTAGATGAGACTTTACACTTTAGAGCTGATGCTGGAATGAATTAGGATGTGGAAGACTGTTGGAAAAGGTGAATATGTTTTGCATATGAAAAGACTATGAATTTTGGGAGACCAAGAGTGAAATACCATATACTGGTTTGTCTCTACAATTCATAGATTGAATCCCTAATACTCAATGTGACTGCATTTGGAAATAAAGTCTTTAGGAGGCAATTAAAGTTAAATAGGTCATAAGTATGGGCCCTAATTCAAAGGAATTGGTGTCCTTATTAGAAGAGATATCAGAGAGCTCTCTTTTCCCATGCATGCACAAGTAAGAGGTCATCTGAGCACACCAGCAAGATAATGGCTACTGAGAAGCTAAGAGAAGAGGCCATTTTACCTTGTTAGCCTTTGATCTTAAACTTCTCAGCCTCCAGACCTGTGTGAAACACATTTCTATGGTTTAAGCCATCCAGTTTATGGCATTTTTGTTATGATAATATGATTTGTCCAAAAAACGCAGCTTGCTAAGTTAAGAACCTAATCTGACAAATGTTACATACTCTGTGATTCCAACTCTGTGATATTCTGGAAAAGGCCAAACTAGGAGATAGTGGATACTGTGAATGCCTGTATTCCACCTATTGATCCCTCTTCCTCCCCTCCTTTGTCCTTGGTAACCACTGATTGGCAGTCAAACTATTCTGTGCAAATGTGTAATGGCATGTATATAGTTAAATATAGTCAATACATGCCATTATACATTTTTCAAAACCCACAAAATATGCAACCGGAAAGGGGAACCCAAATGTATACCAAGGATTTTAGTTAATATTTCAATATTTTCTCATCAATTTGAACAAATATACCATATGTTAGTGAGGTAGATATATGGGAATTTTCTGAACTTTGCACTCAATTCTTCTACAAACCTACAGCTATTCAAATAATTAAGTTTGTTAATTTAAAAATACAAAGTAACTAGATATTATAAATTCATTTTTTTCATTTAAACAAGAAACAATTATTGAATCCTTACCATGTTGCAGGCCCTGTGATTGGTGCAGGGAAACTAATTTGCTTCATGAATAGTCATGAATTTGCCCAATGGTAAACCATAGCAAAATATAATTCTAAAACAAAGTTATTTGCTCAAAATTCCAAATTTTAAGTCAAATATTATGTTTTCATTTTAGAACAAGGTCTGTTTTTGTTTGTTTGTTTTTCAAAGCTAAGCTTATGTTGTAAATTAGTCCCTGGTTAAGCTTTAACAAATATTATTTTGGCATTATATTTAATTTGAATAGTAGAAATTCCTTTAAAGGCAATATTTCCAAAATGTATTTTTCAATCTCTGTGCCTTTTTGCTCTGCAGATAGTTAAAATAAGTTATTATAATCTAAGAAAAGTAGATCAGAATTGTGCAAACTATTCAATTAAATCAGAAGTTTTATATCTGTGAATTAGAAACCAAGAAAGACTATATTTCTAAGATCATTTAAGTGTGTATTTTTAAAGAAATATAATTTTTGTCAGAGTATCAGTAGAAGTATTTTTAAAAGTTATTTCTGAAGGAAACCAGACATAGTTTATATGATAAAACAAAAAAAGCAATTTTAACTCATTATTCAATTCTCATTTTCAGAAAAGCAGCAGTAACCTAAAATGTTGAAAAAGAATAAGAAACTTAATCTCTAAAGAAAATGTTGTTTTATATAAGTGAAAATGAAAAAGCTGTCTTTGCTTAAAGAGGAAAAAGATTCAGCAGTTATTTAGCTTAAGAAATTTTTACAACCTACATAGTGATATTTTCTAGTGAAAACTGAAAGGGTAAGTAAGTCCTACAGCATCTAAAGTAATACACAAGTCATATTTTTAAACTAAGAATTTAGTTTAAAATGTTCTGCCTGTACACATAAATTTGTCACTAGACAGTGATTCTATGCTGCCAAATGTACATTTGTTTATTTTTAATGATAAACTATGTAAATCTGGCTTCCAAACCACTAAATACTCTCAAGTTCCAAGATTAATTCTAGTGTGTGTGTGTGTGTGTGTGTGTGTGTGTGTGTGTGTGTGTGTGTGCGTTTCATTGGCCACCTTAAAATGCTGGGGTATTACTACTTATATATCTGATAGAGAGGAAGTCTATAGGACACTTTTGTAATATTGACTAAACCTCAAATTAAAGAAGAACCGGTATCAAAATGAAATAGCTCATTACTAGTCATAATAAACAAATCTAAGCCACAAGCTATTTGTATTCAGAAATGTTCTATATCATTTATTCATTTGTATATACTAATTAAGAAAGTAAATTGCTTTAAATTCTTTAAAATACACATCAAATAAAAAGTCAAACTTTAAATAATATCTCTATAGTATATTCTTTCTGAATTTTTTCAAACAGAGCTTATCTTCTTTCAAAAAAATCACCAATATCTGTATCTGATATAAATATGTGTATGTTTACATCTTTTTCTAAGTACATTGTGAGTTCCTAAACACAGAACCTGTATTACTTCTGTATTTTAAATGTTTCTTGAAATATTTCTAACACCTAGAAGGCACTAAAACATATTTTGTTTTTTAAAAAAAAATTGTACTGAGACAAAATTGGGATGTGTCAGGCACATTGAATTATGTGCACTGTGAAGTTACTCTAAATGTGTTGAATGTATTACAGACTTTTAGTGCCTTTCCTAAATTTTAATTGACAGAATACAAACTAGTAGGTTCAATATTAGAAACCTAAAGTATTTCCGAATAATTGGGATATTAAAATAAGAAACAAGATATGATTCATTTTCTTCCTTCTGCAAGATACAGTAAGGTCAGGGTGAGCTGTAGCCTCATCGGTGGAACTTGCTAATGGCAGATCTAAAGAAATCTTAGGATATTCTATAAAGAATTGCTTTGACCTACATAAGTATATTATAATGACCATTGGTGAGATTTTTATAATATTTTAGTCGATTGGATTACTATTCTTTCTTAAGTTTTGAAACAAGGATAATTTGAGTACAAAATATCAGAAGACAAGAGGATGTTTGTTCATGTGTCTTATGGATGTGATATTTTCTCTGTGAAATTTGAAGATGAAAATCAAATTCAATGAGAATTATCAATATCACTAAAATATTACTCAGGGTCTATCGAGATGTGGAAAGTGATACAACTTTTTTTCATGGTGTTTATTTAAATAGAGTAGGCATTGCCTACATGAGCTCTTTTCATGTCGCGTAGAGCAGACCCTGCTCCACTTTTTTCCTCTTACAATTCTTGTTTCTTTCATCTATATTACTGCCTTGGCTGGACATCAAAGTTTTTACCAGTTTAATGCCTTTTCTCCACATTTCAAAATTTTCCATAAATGTTGAGGCAGCGTTACAATTGCAAGGTTCCTATAAATGTATAGCAAATTTAAAACAAAAATGAGAAATATGTAGAGACTCAAGATAATGCATATAGTTCTAAAGAAGCAGTTTAAACCTTTCTCACAAGATAAAACTGCATTTTATTAGTTGGCAAATCTTGATTGCTAAACAATTCTCGGGAGAGAAAGTATCTTTTCTGTTTTGCTATTTAATATTATCATTTTGAACTGCAATTTAATGTGAGTTGCTTCAGTTGCTTTTGCACATAGACGAGGGACAAATTTTAAATAAGAAATCACTCATTGAAGTTTTCCATTGCCTAAATATTGTTAATAAGCAACCCTTATATAGATTGTGGCATAGAATACATTTAAAATTTTCATTATTATTTTAAATACCAATAAAATCTGATGTAGATAAAACTAATTACAGTATAAGCAATATTTGTTGGAATTAATTCTCAGTGAGATTGATATAGTGAATCATTAACAATTTAAAGAACTTTAGGAGTTTTCATCTAACACTTTTTGCCAAAGTTTTAAATAGTTATTTACAATGAATTTTAGGTTGGTTAAGCCAATGATTTACCATGAAACATAAATAATTTTTTGTCTGTTCACAGAAAGCACGCAACCGCATACAAACACACAACCATTACCATGCATACACACACATATGTATATACACACAGCTATATACATATACACACAGAGCCTGACATTGCAAACCATTTCTTGTTTTAAATTTTACTCTAAGTTCTGGAATACGTGTGTAGAACGTGCAGGTTGGTTACATAGGTATACATGTGCCATGGTGATTTGCTGCACCCATCAACCAGTCATCTAGGTTTTAATCCCCAAATGCATTAGGTATTTTTCCTAATAGTCTCCCTCCCCTTGCTCTCCACCCTCCTAAAGGCCCTGGTGTATGATGTTCCCCTCCCTTTGTCCATGTGTTCTCATTGTTCAGCTCCCACATATGAGTGAGAACAAGTGGTTTTTGGTTTTCTGTTCCTAGTTTGCTGAGAATTATGGGCAAATCATTTTTTTTAATTCTTTTTACTTTGTCTTCAACAGTTAGGATATTACTTGGTATATTTTAAATGCTCAATTTTTTTTTGAATTTGTTAGTGAATAAATGAAAGGGGGAATAGATGAACAAAGAAACAGTTTTATAACAAGAGTTCCCTTTTAATTTAGCTCAGACTTCAAAGTACAAAAATTAAAACAACCAGTATACTTTTCTGGGTTAATTTATATGCCATCAAAAATTAAACAAAATCATTAACTGTCTTCCCGTATGACATACATACACATTTAAATAATGGCACTGCTTATTTGACAAATGTTATTAAATTTTTTTCTTGTTTTTCCTATGAGTGATATTAGCTATAAGAAGTAATTATATTTCTACATAAAAACGTTCAGTATTTAGAATGTGCATTAATAGGTACATTATTCAGATTTTGGTAGCAGTGTTGTTTATATTTTAACTGCAAAAAATATATTATTCTTATGAAAAACATGCAGTGTGTTCTACACATATATAATTGTTAGTGAATGACTTTCTAAAAAAACCTAAATGTAATTATATACAATTTAAAAGGAAATTGACATATTAAGGAAAAAGTACATAATTTGCCTATAGCAATTTCTATTGCTGTCACAGGCAGACTGCTTAAGATGCTGGATTGAGGTCATTGTTTTTGTCATCTTCATGCTCCACTGACAAAAATCTGTGCTTTCAGCTTCCTTTTGTAGCAGCCCCAACTCAAGGACTTTCAGGATATGTTTTTCTGAACTGTGCAGGCTTTTTAACTTTTATTTCAACTCAGTAAACACACTAGCAAAACAACTCTCTGAACAATATCAATTTCTTAAACTAACCAGCATGTCATGTGTAAAAAATTGGTGACACTGAAAAGTGAACACACTGATTATAAAAATGCATTGTCAAGACCAATTTTGTGTTAAAAGAATGAATGAAAAGAGAAAGAATTAGTGTTGCCTACAGCTGCAGACCAAAGCAGCTGGCCATTGTAATGCTCTGCTGATGGTCCTTGTCACACGTGAACTTGGAACAAAAAAGACAGACAGACAGACAAGGTTATGCCAATGTTTCAGTGAGAAGCCGTTCACCAGTGAGCATGATCAGAAGAGCAGCAAGTGCATTGCACATTAGTTGCACCTCCCATCTGGCTGTTATTAACACTTGTTCATAATGTTTGTCCAAGCACTTACATTTAGCCCACCTTGTCATCGTTCTGTATCCTCAAAGAACAGAAACATAACTATCCAGCTCAGAGAAAAAGAAAAGGATTTTAAATACTTGCATGACACAAGATGGAGCTGTAGAATGCTGAATCGTGCTGCAATTCTGCAGCAAGGGAAAACTGGAAAAAGGAAGACCCTTAAGAAGTAGAATGAATTTCTGTATATTCCTGGGCAAGTTTGCTTGGCTCTAGTTTCATCTGAAAGATACACTATTGACTTAAATCAATTATATGGGTAAAATATGAATTAGGCAAAAATAAAATGTTGGACATAGATGACATGTAATCAAATACTGTGAATGAAATTACCACTCAGCTAAAAATATAGATTTTGCTTTTACATGCACACCACAGTTAAGAAAACACTTGGTATTCTCTCAAATTGGTAATACAACCACCCTTTTTTTGTGTCCTTTTTGGTACTATTTACAGCAAAGCCTACATAGTTTTTGACTGCTGATTTGGAAACTGTTTTTCCAATTGTTTGAAATGTGATATAACAGAGAAAAGATTTTGCTTCTAGCAACCAAATGATCCAATACAATTACTAATGTTCCTAAATTTCTGTTAATTTTGTGATTTTCTGTTTATTTTGATTAAATTTGATTAAAATATTAATAGTTTAATTAGATGTACACTCTTGTGCAATTTATTTATTCAATTAGGAAACTCTTTCTAGAAGTTTTGCTCCATTAGAGGTCACTATAATTAGAATTCATGGTCTTGATAATATGAACAAAGCACAATTGCTTCCTTGAAAAATACCTGCCATGAGGAGAAATTAAATTTAATAAAATCATATTTTACACTTTTATTTACTTATGATTTATCAAGTTGCTACATTTTTGTTAGGCATAAATTATTAGTCAGTAAAATAATTGCTTAACTTTGAATCCTATAGCTGCTTTCAGCAGAAAAGGTTAGAAAACATTATCTTTGCAAAGTTAGAACAATATTAATGAAGAAATTGACAGCACATTTTCAAGTGGAGAATAAGTCAGCAATTCTATTTTTTTATAGAGCAATATTCTTTCTTTTTCCCAAAGTTCATGTTTGTGAATTAAATGTGCTTGTGATATCTCATCATTAGCAGATTAGAAGTTATGTTTTCTATTTTGTGGGTAACAGTACCTGCTATACTGATTGATTCTAGAATCTTATAAAAGGATGATACATTGTAAGACATCTGTGAACCAAATGTGCAAACACATATGAGAAATATGGTAATGACTACTAATGAAATAATCTTAACCTTTTCATTAGAAATTTACACATAGATATAAAATAAAATATAGTTTTTCCACATGACATCCATTTTACAACTTTCCTTAAGGTATAACTTTAGGTATAATTAATAAAGCTATAAAAACTGTTCATAAACAATTAATGTAAAATAAACTGTATATATTTAAAGTAAATGTTAACATTAGTGAATGTTAATGTATGTATGCATCCTGAATACATCAATGAAATAAGAACAATGAATAATTATATCACTTGCTAAGTGTACTAATAACCTTTTGTAATTCTTCTCTCCTGTCCCTTAGGCAACCAATGATTACTTTTTGTCACTACTATAGGTTAGCCTGCATTTTCTGGAAGTTCATAAAAAAACATAGCATGTACTTTTTTTCTGTTTGCCTTCTTTCACTCAGAATAGACTTTAACTTATATCTATGATATAGTGTGTAATTAATTTGTTCATTTTTATGACTGAGTAATATGTCTCAATACTCGTTGATGGGTATTTAGTTATTTCTCTTGTGGCTCTTAGACAAAAAGCTATTATAAACATTTGAGTACAAGTCTTTATGTGGGCATATATTTTCACTTTTCTTGGAGTATCTCTCCATTCTGGCTGGTAGAGATTTTAGTAATTTAATGAAACAAAATGTGAATATAAATACCTATAAATAATGGTAAAGAATATTACAATGTTAAAAATATTTTATCTTAATGTGAAACCATCTTGAAATTATAGAAAGAGTAACCGAATAAAATTTATTTAATATGTTACTTATTAACAGTAAAATATGTTCTTGCAAATATGAAATGGCCAGTAGAATCCTTTAAAATTCTTAGATTTGTAAAATGTATTGGAGAATTTAAATAGTATTTGCCATTTTAATTTCAAACATTTGCAGTTTTATAACTTTTTGTACAAATCATTAAATATTGAAGATTTACTCATATTCTAGCAACTGTTAAAAATTAGATGATCAATTTTTCTTGTTAATAACACAGAAAAAATAGTCATATCACTCAATATTTGGTTTTTCAAAAGTTTCTATATAATTTTTATTGATTCTAGTTTATCAGTGTGGAAAACAGAAGTCTCACATAAGAATCTAGCCCCCCCCCCGCCGAAAATAATAAAACCTGATTGTAATACTCTTTTAAAACCTATAAATAGTGAAGTCTTTTTAGCTGTTCAAAAATGAATTCCCATGCAGAAGGTGGTAGAATAAAAGTATAACTTCTACCATACAAATCCACTGTCTTTTTAGACTCCTTTAGTCTCAGTAGCTCAGCAGCAGTCCCTCAAACCTGAAATGATTTCTTTTCTTTTTGATCGGGTCCATACGAATACTGTATTTGGGGACTTCAAGCTGGTGTTCACCCTCCCTGACTTTGTTCCTTCAAAGCCAGTCATGGTGCACTTAAATGGGCAGTGCCAGCAGTAGTAGATTGGGGGAGACAGGCTTCAAAAACTACAAAAGTAGTGCCCATTCTGCAAGCATTTCTCCAGGGAGTGGCTGGGATTTTTTTTTGTCCCCCCCAGAACTTGAAAGACCTCTGTTCTTTTTTTCTCTGCCACTCTTAGAAAATTGAGTCAAAAGTTCCCCTGAGAGCTTTGCTGTATTTGTAGTCATTGTATTTTCTCTCTTGGGATTCCGCTACAGCTAGTGATTTTTATTTAGAGAACAGAATAACTCTTCATTGTGTCTGTGTTGTGTGTGGTTGTGTGTGTTTTAATGAAATGAAAGAAAAAGCAAGTTATAAATATGAGAAGAAACTTTCTGAGATATTACCTAATATGTTGGACTGATATTTCAAGAATATAATCAGCAAATAACTGTTAAATATCTAGTCTAAGACAAAGCTGTTATGAGTGCTGGGAGTGAAGCAGGGACTAAAGCATTGTCTTGTTCTCAAAAAGCCCATCTCATTATTATCTTCAGCACCACTGTCATTGGTATTCATAAATACTGAGAGATTTAGTGTGTTAGCAAATGTTTGTCTGTTTGTGTGTATATGTTTTAAGTAAGCCCATAGGAAGAATTCAAGCGTAAAACCATAAGATGAAAGGAAAGCATAATAAATGTAAGATTAGCCAGTACAGATATGTACAAAATAAAAAAGGAAGTCTCTCACTCTTACAATCTTAAGGTCCTTATACAATTTTATATAAATTGCTTTCCTCACTTAATAAAATAAATATCAAGGAAATGTTCCCATGTGATTAAAAAGCCATTTAAACTCCATCAAATAGTTGGACCAGGTACACGTAATAGTTGATGAATATTTAATAGTTTTCTTTCATTTTGATTATTACAAATTGTGCTACAATTATATCCTTGTAGGTAAATTTTGAAGAATATAATATTTTAGGTCAAAGCCATAGAGGCAAAATTGTATCTGTAAAGAAAAATGTCCTTATTCATAATTTTGATTCATATCGTTCATTTATTCATTCAATAAAATAATCATTAAGTATTGGCTAAATGCTAGATATTGCTGTAGCCACTGAAGATACAAAAATAAACAATAGACAATGTCTGCATTTTCATGGTGTTTTAATTCTACTTAGGTTAGATAACAAATAAATAAACAAATGGATACATTATTTATAAAATGGAGATACATGCTATGGAGAAAAAATGAATAATGACAGAATTGCTATTTTATACAGGTGGTTGGGCAAGGTCTGCAAGTAGGTGACATTGGATCTGTCTTGAAGGGAGGGAGAGAAGGAGACATGAAGATGGGTATCTGTGAACACTGAGCTTCAGGGATAAAAAAGAACATCAAGTGCAAAGAATCTGAGCCATACATATGTGTAAAATTTGAAAAAGATGGAGGAGGTCAATACAACCGGGAATAGCTTGCATTGCTGGAGATGGGTAGTCAGCAACGTGAAGGAAGTAATGGGGAATCAGATCATGTAGGGCTGTGTAGGTCACTGTAAGGTAAGGGCTTGTGCTCTGACTGGAAAAGAGTAATGTGATCTGCCTCATATTTTGAAGAAGTGTACAGTACTACTTCAAATGTTAGTGGAAGGTTTTCCCCTAACATTGTGCAAGCTATCCTGTATTTGAATGATCTCTAAGGTTGATTTGTTCATTGATTCCTTTGGGGTTCATCCAAAGAAATATAACCAGAAAACTATATCTATCTATTCATCCATATGTATATGTTATTTATTCCATATGCATGCATTTATATGTATGCATATGTGTATGTCATATATGTGTATATATGTATACATGTTTATGTGTGTGTACATTGAATAGATTTGTGTATCTGTTACACATATACACACATGTTATAAATATGCATGTGTATATTTGCATATATGTGTGTGTATATGTTTGTGTGTGTGTGTGTGTGTATGTATTAGATAGATATATACATCTGTGATTGAGAATTGGCTTATGCAATTGTGGGGGCTGATTAAGAAGGAAAGAGAAGATTAGGAATGTGCTGGAATCCTGCTGGCGCAAGCCGAAATCCTAAGACTGAAATTTGCATCCATTCTTGGTGTCTGATCCTGCAGAAGCAAGGGCCTTTGTCAAGGTAATAAAACATCCACATCAAGCTCAGGAGCTAGGAAAACTGAAGAGAATTCTGGGAGGTTAGATCTATCACAGTTCCTGCAATGGGCCCACAGATCAGGAGCATCACGTGATAACTATAAAATGGCTGCTTCTTTCTTTCTGCCTTCCACAAGAATCTCTTGTGGCCTAACTAACTGGAAACATATAAGAAAGAGAATTCTGATAATGTAGTTTAGTCTATCTACAATGACATATTATAAAACCATCAAGCCAGTGTTATTCATTCATTAATGTACCCATTTGTTTATTTCATACATATTAATTTAAAAATCTATATTTTTTGTCACATACAAATTATTGTCACAGATTGAGGTTTTGGTATGCAAATGCCAAGACAGAGTTTTTAGTGGCAGATATTTACTAATAATCAACTTCTATAACTTTTCCACCAAAGCTTGGTATAAACTGGACTTGGCAGCTTTTTCCACAGCTTAGGGCTTTCCAGATCTTATGATCCAAGCAGTAGGACTACATGCAGCAAAGCCTGGACATGTGACAGAGCACTTTTCTACTCTGAGCTCCTCTCAAAGGTATCTGCTGTCACATCATCTGGCTTCTGAGTCACAACAGTAATCCTTGTTGTGAAGTAATGCTGCTTTCAGAAACCAAACTGGCCTGCCAGGCTTCGTGCTTCGTTTGTTTGTTCACGACTTGCAAGATGGAAGCATTTGTCTTTTACTCTGAGGAGATGTCCTCACATGCCCCTGACCAATAGATCCCTAACATTTTATAGATATGATCAGCCCCTGAAAATGTGCTATAGTTAATTTCCCATCCTCTGGAACTCAGATGTCTTACAAAGGCCTCTTATTTAACCACTTCTTATTCATTCAACCTGATAAATATAATGTCATTAATATAGAAGATCATTGTCATATCTCACAGAGATATGATATCAACAGACTGTGTTATGACTTTGGACAACAGAGTTAACAAAACTCTGCAACAAAATGGTAAGTGTATATTTCTTTCCATGGCACTTAAATGCACATGGTTTCCCATCTCCTTTTTTGATTAGAAAGAAAAAATAAAGGAGACTTTACGAAATCAATGGCCACATACCATATATCTCAAGCTATATTGATCTTCTGTAGCAAAGATACCATATCTGGAATAGCAAATGTAATTAGAGGTACTATGTTATTACTTGGTTGAGCTTATAGTAGTCCACAGTTATCCACTAGAGTCCATATGGTTTTCAGTTTTAACTGGGGCCAGACTGTTGAATTAAATGGAAAAATGTCTTGCAGAACTGGTTCTCTATCATTTCTTTGCCATTTTTTCTGGATTATTCTTATTTCAAAAATCTTTAATAAGAACTTTAAGATCTTCTTGTATACTACCAAAACTCCTATTTTGACTTTATTGAGTTTTATTTAATTTGTACAATAACAGAGAAAACTTCCATCCATGTGATTCATCTCTAACATTATGGCATTTACTTTGTTTAAATTGGTTTTGTTTGTTTGTTTGTTTGTTTTTTTGAGATGGAGTCTTGCTCTGTCACTCAGGCTGGAGTGCGATGTCACAATCTCGGCTCACTGCAACCTCCACCTCCTGGGTTCAAGCGATTCTCCTACTTCAGCCTCCCGAGTAGCTGGGATTACAGGCACCTGCCACCACACCGGGCTAATTTTTTTGTATTTTTAGTAGAGATGGGGTTTCACCATGTTAGCCAGGATGGTCTTGATCTCCTGACCTCGTGATCCGCCCATCTCGGCCTCCTGAAGTGCTGGGATTACAGGCACGAACCACCACACCCAGCCTTAAATCAATTTTTTTATCCCTCACTAGCATTTTAAAGATTTCATAGACCATTTTATAAACATGAAGAATTTTCAAAGTTTTATTACCAGATATTTATCTTGTTTTGCTATTGTAAATAACATATGTTACCTAATTATGTCCACATTTTGGTGATTATCAGTGTATGTGATGGCTATGACAAATTGAAAAAATATAACATAATAAATATCTGACAAGTTAAAATTAAAAATGCTAACAATGCAATAGATAAACATAAGCACTATAAGTACAGGAGCTTTTATATCTGTTTTATTTACTGATATATCCTCAGTACCTACAATAGGACCTGACTCATGATAGTTATTCAATAAGTAACAAGTGAAAGAAGGAATACATTTGCAATTTACTGGAACAATGAATAATATGAACAATAAGTGGCAAATATTTAAACACATGAAGAAATATTAAAACTCATTTTATAAGGTAAATTTAAGTTAAACTGGAGTCATTTAGTGTTTTGTGCCTATAAGATTAGCAATAATCAAAAATTTGAAAACATGTTAGAATGAAAATTACTGTGCTAATAAAGAACCATCATATTTGTGTATATACCTGTGTCCATTGACTTTATTAACCAATGATTGGAAAAATTTTAAATGTCTAAATTTAAATGTCTAATTATATAGATAGGTAGGAAACTGGCTTATTAAATTTGGCCCATTCATTCAATGAAATACTATTTAACCATTAGTGCAAAAAGCATATGTATATGTATATGTATAAGTATATGTATATGTATGTGTATACATGTGTACACATATTTTGGATTTATATCCAAAATGAATTTTTAAGTTAATAAACTACAGTGCAAAATATATGTATATAATTTCCTGTATTGTATAAATATATTAAGTATTAAAAAGTAAATAACTTTAAATATACATAATATAATCCTATACTAACATAACCTCCATCAGTTATTCTAAATAAATAAATGTTTAATTTTCTAAAATATTTTTCTTTCTGACATCATTGAGAAATTACAGTATATTATACAAATGTTGATTTATACTTAAATTATTCAGATATATTTTAATTTAATTTTTAGATATTTGTCATATCAATTCTCTTATACTTTTGCTTACCAAGTGCCAAGAATTTTTTATATACAGTACAAACACAGTCCTTCATATACAATATCAATTAATTCAAACAAATGTAATAATGTTTCTATTATTATTGCTTCTATTTTACAGATGACAAAACTAAGAGACAGAGAATTTGCAAAATTTACCAACCTAAGAAGTCACTTAGTCACTAATAGAATTTGATGCTTTATGCTTTCAACCCAAAAATAGCAACATTTCTATGAGTTTTTAACCTAAGTTTGAGATCATCAGAGTTTTTACCTATTACTGGTTGAACTTTCAAGAGTGTAGCTGATCACCTCCTAAGACTATGGCAGAAGTAACAGGTTGCAAATTCACCATTAATTCTCCTCGATTACAAATTTTCTAGAAAATGTATTATTATCGTTCTCTTTTAAAGCTTTGTCTTGACCTTTATGTATTGTAGTTCATCATGAATCAACTGAAGAAACAGTTGATGCACTCAAATTTCACTTTATTTATGTTTATATTTCTCAGTTAATTTCTAAAAAAAAATCTAATTCTTAAAGAATAGCAATTGTCATTATTCAAATAATTACCAGTTCTTTGAGATTCCTTTCCTAAATTTGACAAGCTCCTGCATTTGGCCATAAGATGGGCTACTAAATGAATCTAAAACTTTAGATAATTCAAAACTAAAGATCACACAAAAAGTTTTATTATGGAATCTAGCATTTGTCTACTTAAAAATGAATAATAAAAAACATTTTGTGAGTAAAACATTTTGATTCAATTATGTTGATGAGCTAAAACCTTGGAAAAGAGGTGAATTTTTTGGTGAGATAAATATCAATCTTTATCTAAAGATTTTTGTCCTATAGTTGGGCACGAATTGGAATTCGTGATTTCATTCAAACTGAAGTTTCACCTATCTGATTTAAAGATTTTGTCAAAAGTAAGTTGTAAAAATTTTGTAACTATTATTGAAGTACATATATGCGTGAGAGGACCAAAATTCCTGAAAAAGCAACTATTCTTTGTCTCAGTCTGCTTAGAAAACACTTAAAACAGTTTACCTTTCTAAATTATTGAGAAAGAATATTCAAATCCCATTGTCAGGAATGTTCGTATTTGATCTAAAATATTGTCCCTGTTTAAAATGAGAAAAATATTTAAATGTTTTATATCTGAAGGGAGATGGAAAACCTACTTTCAAAAAATTTATGTGACTAATTTTAATGAGAGCTGACTATTTAGATAATTTACTTGTACTAAAAGATGAGCATGGTGAAATGTTTTGGCTGTATACATTTATATATTTAGGTATTAACATGTAGCTGTATATTCTAATCACATGTTGCACTTAATAAGCTCTAATGTATATTGTATACAAAATACCATAGTACCTCAATATTGTTGTTGTTGGATACAAACATGTGACAGACTCTCATTAAAAGCAAAAATTGTTTGATAGATATTTCTTCTTTTGATATATTTGACCAGCTATTCATGTATTATAGAAAGACCTGAAGAAAGAGAAACAACACCAAAGTGAAAAAAAAGTAATTTATTTTCTCATCAGAATATTTAACATGATAAATATTTCTTCTATTTGTTATAGGATGACAATACTGATGAAGGAGAGATGAGCGGGCTACACATACTTTGAAGAAATAAAAACTTTTTTTTGTGGGGGTAAATAAAAGAAGTCAAGGCTCATGTCTAAAGTTCTGACTTCTATTACTGGGTAGATGGAATTGCTATCTATTAAGGAGAAGGTTGGATTAGGTATGTGAGGGCGATGGGTTTCAAGAGTCTAGGTTGATCATGCTGTGTTTAAAATGGCTGTGAGAAATTCATTTAAAAATGCAAAGAATGTGCTCATATAGATGAGTCCAAATTAAAGAAGTTGCTTTGCTTTTTTTTTTTTTCCTGGAGATAAAATGTTTTGAGTCATCAGCAGAAATATGGTATGTAAAATAACGGGAAGGGATAAGACTAACTTTAGAGAATTTCAAATGAAAGAAAATATTTCACAGGGTTAAATATGGGAAATTACATCATACAAAGATTGAAGAGGAGGCACTTACAAAAAAAAAAAATGAAACTGAAGAGAAATCACCAGAGAAGTCATTGAAAATTCAAGAGTGAAGTGTCTGGAAACATTCCCTGGGCTCAACTCCACTTTCAGTCCTGGGCTGTGGTAGATACATCTGAGTCACCTCCAACACTAGCATTCTGCCTCTAACATGCTCTGTATGCCTTTCACAGGGTCTCCTTGGATGCCACAGGATATCAGCTGATCATTTTATAATACAGGTTAGGAAAGTAAGCATCGTTGCACTGGGGTAATCTACAACCCACACATAGATCCATCAGCCTCCAGTCTTTCAGATGGGCCAGTCTGGGAGATGTTTACTATACTTCTCAGAGATTCGAGCAAAATTGGGCCACCATTGCTGACTGCGGATAACTAATAGACCCTCACCTTCTTTACTTTTCTCCCCTGCTTCATGCTTTCCATTCCTTCAGTCCTGCCCTTTGAGAACTACCTCCTTCCTAAACTGCCTTGATACAAGCCATTGTCTCAAATTATATGATTTTCAGCAGAACCAAAACTAAAACTGTCACCAAAGGTAAGAAAGCTTTGAGAATGAGGAAGTGATCATTTACTTTAAAGGATACTGAGTGGCCAAATAAGATGAGCCAGAGAATTGACCAATAACTTTGGGGACATGATAGTTTTGATGACACTTAACAGAATAATCAGGCAGAAATCCAAATTTTAATATATTGCAATTGAATTATGAACTGAGAAAATACATAATGCCTGTGTAAACAATTATTTTAATTGTTTAATTGTAATGGATAACAGACAAATGAAGCCATGACAGAAGTTATTGAAAAAGAAGAAGAGGCAAGATGGTCAACTAGATGCAGCCAGGAGGAACATCTCCTGCTGAGGGATTGGGACATCTGGAAGACCATCACACTCAAAGGAGGTCTTCAGAGAGAAGGCATGGAGAGTTGAAAGATGCGGGACACAGATAGTGGGCTAAAGGGGGAGGAAGGTGAGAACTCTGAAAGGAGGCTGCTATGTACCTGGACTCATTCCTGACCACCAGTGACTGGCGGGGAAGGGATGAGTTGAGCAGGTGAAGAGCCACTCACTCTTGCCATAGGCTGTTGAAATCCTGGCTCTTCAAAATAACTTGGTCAGATAAAAACAATAAAAAAAATTAAGAATGAACAAAATCTCCAAGAAATATGGGTTTATGCAGAGATCAAATCTATGACATGTTGGTTTTCTTGAAAGAGATAGAGAGAAAGAAAGCAAGCAAGTTGAAAAACATATTTCAGGATATTGTCCAAAAAAACATCCTCAAACTTGCTAGAGAGGCCATTCTTCAAATTCAGGAAATGCAGAGAATTCTTGGGAAAAACTACACAAGAAGACCATTTCCAAGACAGATAGTCATCAGATTCTCCAAGATCAAAACGAAAGAAAAATGTTAAAGGTGGCTATAGAGAATGGGCATGTCACCTACAATGAGAACCCCATCAGGCTAACAATAGACATGTCAGCAGAAACCCTAACCCAGATGAGATTGGGGGGTCCATATTTGTCATTCTTAAAGAAAATAATTTCCAACCAAGAATATTATATCCAGAAAAACTAAGCTTCATAAGCAAAGAAGAAATAAGATCCCTTTCAGACAAGCTAAGGAAATTTGTTGCCACCAAACTTGCCTTACAAGAGGTCCTTAAATGAGTGCAAAATATGGAAAGGAAAGAACATTATCATCCACTACAAAGACACACTTAGGTACCTAGACCATTGACATATAAAACAATCACATACAAGTCTGCACAATAACCAGCTAACAACAAGATGACAGGATATCCGCACATGTCAATACTAACCTTGAGTATAAACAGGCTTAATGCCCCAGTTAGAAGGCACAATGTAGCAAGTTGGATAAAGAAGCAAGACCCAACATTGTGTTTTGTTCAAGAGACCCATTTCATATGCAATGACATCCATAGGCTCAAAGTAAAGGACTGAAGAAAAACCCACCAAGCAAATGGAAAATAGAAAATACAATGGTCGTTTTTCTAATTTTAGACAAAACAGACTACAAACCAGCAAAGATACAAAAAAAAAGACAAAGAAGGGCATTACATAATGGTAAATAGCTCAACTCAACAATAAGACCTAACTATCCTAAATATTAATATATATGCATCCAACATAGGAGCACCCAAATTCATAAAGCAAGTTCTCAGAGACCTACAAAGAGACTTAGAACCACACAATAAGAGTACAAGACTTCAAGTCCCCACTGACAGTATTTGACATATCATAGAGGCAGAAAACTAACAAAGATAATCAGGACTTAACACTTGACCAAATGCACCTAAAAGACATCTGCAAAACTCCCCACCCGAAACTAACAGAATATGCATTCTTCTCATCTGCACATGGCACATACTCTAAAATTGACCACACAATTGAACATAAGAGTCCTCAGTAAATTAAAAAAATATATACCAACCACACTCTTAAAGCACAGCACAATAAAAATTAAAATTAATACCAAGTAAATGACTCAAACCATGCAATTACATGGAAATGAAACAACCTGCTTCTGAATGACTTTTGAGTAAATCATGAAATTAAGACAGAAATCATGAAAGTCTTTGAAACTAATGAGAACACAGATACAACATACCAGAATCTCTGCAAACAACTAAAGCAATTTTAGGAGGCAAGTTTATAGCACTAAATTTCCACATAAAATAGTGAGAAAGATCTCAAATTAACAACCTAACATCACATCTAGAGGAATTAGAGAAACAAAAACAAACCAACCCCAAAGCTAGCAGAAGACAAGAAATAACCAAAATTAGAGCTGAACTGAAGGAATCCAAGACATAAAAGAAATAAAAAAGATTAATGAATCCACGAGTTTGTTCTTTGAAAGAATTATAAGATAGATAGACCACTAGTTAGACTAATAAAGAAAAAAAAGAGAGACAATCCAAATAAACACAATCAGAAATGACAAAGAGATGTTATCACTGAACTCACAGAAATAATAAAAAAAAAATACCCTTTGTAGACTACTGTAAACACCTCTGTGCTCACAAAATAGAAAACCAAGAAGACATTGACAAATTCGTGGAAACAAACAATCATTCAAGATTCAACCAGGAAGAAATTGAATCCCTGAATGGACCAATAATGAATTCTGAAACTGAATGACTAATAACAAGGATACCAACCAGAAAAAGTCAAGAACCTGACAGATTCACAGCCAAATTCTCCCAGGTGTATAGAGAAGAGCTGGTATCATTCCTACTGAAACTTTTTCAAAAAATTGTTGAGGAGGCACTCTTCTATAACTCATTCTATGATGCCAGCATCATCCTGATACCAAAACCTGGAAGACACAAAATGAAAAAGGAAACTTCAGGCCAATATCCTTGAACATAGATGTGAAAATTATCAACAAAATACTAGCAAACTAAATCCATCAGCACATCAAAAAGCAAATCCACTGTGATCAAAAAGGCTTTATCTCTGGGATGCAAGGTCAGTTCAACACACCTAGATTAATAAGTGTGATTCATCACATAAAGATAACTAAAAATATAAAACACTTGATTATCTCAATAGATGCAGAAAAGGCTTTCAGTAAAGTTCAACATCCCTTCATGTTAAAAACCCTCAAAACTAAGCATTGAAGGAACATACCTCAAAATAAGTAGAGACATTTATGACAAACCCACGGCCAACATCATACTGAATGGGTAAAACTGGAAGCATCCCCCTTGAAAACTGGAATAAGACAAGCATGCCCTATGTCACCACTCCTATTCAACATAGTACTGGAAGCCCTAGCCAGAGCTATCATGCAAGAGAAATAAATAAGAGAAAGAGAAGTCAAACTATCCCTATTTGCAGATTATATGATTGTATACATAGAAAAAGATATGATCCCATGAGAGAGTCACCATTTTATTAGCTTTACTAAAGGTGTTAGAAATACTAATAATCGTATTTGTTTTGCTTCAGTCACAAATTATCACAAGCTCAGTGACTTAAAACAATATGCATTTATAATCTTATAGCTTTGTATATCAGCAATCTATCATTAGTCTCACCGGGTTAAAATCAACCATAATTACCTTTTGCATGTAACCTAACATATTCATAGGGATTAGGAATTAGGAAGGTTACCTCTTTAAGGGTCTTTGGAAGACCATTGATCTCCTTTCCACAATTATTAACCACCACTATTTTTTTTAATTAACAGAATGACTCTCCCAAAAAAATTTTAACAAAGTTTAAAATATCTTAATATTTTGTATAGACTTTCTTTTTGTTAAAAATATTTCCAATTTTACTCTTTGTTCTTTCAGATATATTGTTTTCCAAATTAACAAGATATAATCAAATAATGTGTAAAATGTGAAACATAGAATGGAAGGCTTTACAGATAAACCTCTGTCTGAAAAGAAAGCATTTGACTAAATACTGGCTTTATATAAGAGATTCCAGATAAGACTCTTTAACAAGATTAAGTGTACATATATTCATTGTTGAGAACAGTAGTTTTTGACTAAAACACTAATGCACAGTAAAATAAATTGTAGAAATCTTTGTGTGAATTTTTTTGTCATAATGATCAGAGAATGGTACTGAAAAAATTGTAGGCATGGGCCATTTGGCACCCCATAATAAAAAGATTCCTTCACAATGAAGAATTTTCCAGAATGCATGGAAATTCAAAATGTTCCACTCAAGATCAAAAGGAGTTGATAACCAGTAAGATTTTAAAACATGAATCTGAATGACAGAGTCCAATAATTTAGGATAATATTTTGAAGAAGAATTTAAATAGGTTAAATATATAATATCTTGAATGTATGGAATAATGTATTTTTCACATTTTGTTTACTTAATATATCATGAACATTCAACCTGTTCGGAATATGTTTAATGCACTAGCTTAGCTACAGGAAATACTACAAATATAATTATAAATATTGTAAAGATAAAAATAATTGTATTTAACACATAATATTAAGACAGGTGATCCTTACAAAATTCAAGGATTTCCCTAAATTTCAATTTCATTAATAATGGTTTTTAAATTGTTACTAACACTCTATAGGTTTTTGAAAAAATATATTGTACAATAATAACAAATCTATGTCATTAAAATTACAGGTTAAAATTACATTCTTTTGGGGGGTTGTCTGTATCTTTTTCACCTGATGTTTTTCTGATATCTACAACCTCTCTATAGCCTCATGATTCATGGTTCTTCATGACCACTCCCTGCTCACTTTTGCCTATTCTAAGATTTGCACTTAAGGTTCCTTTTAAGGACCTAACACTGAATATTTTTCTGAGATACGGAGAGGCTTCAATGTAGGTAATATGTTTTCTGTGATAATTTGTCTCTGCTCTGCTCTCTATCATAATAATTACATTTATAATAAGCCCTATATCCAAGAATAGCATATTTTCTCATTTTCTTCATTTCCTTTGTAATTTGTCTTGGCATGATTTCCCTATTTACCTTTTTCCTCTTATTATCCTTTTCTCTCTGCCATATACAAATGTCTCATTGAAATTATTTATTCTAAACAAGTGTTATTCTAGTCGCTATCACTGTAACCTGTTCTTTCTTTTTTGATATATTTAAAATAAATACCACTTAATTTATCCTAATTGCAAAGATTTTATAATAGATAAAGCATTTGACTACTTCATTATCATATATTTTATTTTAGTCATTCATGAGAATTAACATTATTTTATTATAACTAATTTTATTTTATCCTTTATATATAACCATGGTATTAAATTTATTATTTTAGAAATGATGTGTATAGTTACTATTATCTATATATTTCACTACAATTTTTTAAAAGGCAAATAAATATTGGATATTAATTGTGGCAAGGCTCTTTATAAAATTAAGAATTGTGGGGCTACAATATAGTGATTGTTAGAGATCAGAATATTTTGAAAACTACTTAATAATGCAATGAGATTTACAGAATTTTACAAAACAATGAAATTCTATTAGGTTGCAGGGTTTAACTGTAAATAAAAGATTGACTGCCTAGGAATATAATAAGAAAATGTAACATTAAGACATTGTGTTAAGACGTTCTGAATGGTTTGTATTATGTAATAATGTAATAATTATGTATTAACTAATCAATATCTTGTATGCTAGCTATAATGCATAATAATAATATGTATTTATTGGTACGTCTTAAGATTTAGAATCCATCCCAACCATTGTCTCTTTCTATGCTCCCTCTTTCAATCTTTCTCCCTCACTTTCAGAATTAACTACTAAACAAAGATTTATGATAATCATTTTATTTCATTTTCAAAAATGGTTTTATCTAGCTGTATTTTTAGAGTCTAAATTTCTATTGTACTAGCTTCATAATTTATAATGTCAGACTATTAATATACTCTTAATAAGTATATGATAAAGGACTAATGAAATAAGGCATATATTCCTAAATTACATTTTAATTTTTTCTTGTTTTTAAGCTTTGTAAAGATGTTACCATACTATGTGTCATTTTCTGAAATTTGCTTTATTTTGCTCAATTTTATATATCTAATCTTCATTTACTTTTTAATACAGTTTGGTTCACTCTCTTTTTACTCATGTTTATCAACTACCATGTACATGTATCAAGACATATTTATCTATCAGTGAACTATCAAACCATATTTATCTATCCATCACTATTCAAATACCAATCAGTAAGCATTTCTGTGGTTTACATGTTTGGGCTACTCATTATTATTTAGTAATAGAAAAATATCTACTGAGTACCTTATTATATAAGTTTATCTTCTACTTAGCTCTATTAACTCGTTCAGTTAAAGCAATGGAAAATTATTTAAACATCTTCTCTCTGATGTAGTTAGCATTCCGATCAAGAGATTATAATGAACGTTACTGTTTATGAGTGTTCTCACATATGTCCCACATATATCTGTGCACACAGATATTCTGAAAGTTCTTAACATGAGCCACAGATTCCTAAGAATTCATAAACTTCACTATAAAGATAAAATCTACTCTAATGATCAGTTTTCTTAAAAAATCATCTTAGGCTTACTATACTGCTTGTAGCATGTAAAAATATGAGATAACCAAAGCAATCACTTTTTCTTACTAATTTTTATATTTATGTACACTGTAAAATTCCTGGTAACAGAAAAAATATATATGCTTTAAAATTTACTCAGTACTAGATCATAGGTTTTGAGAGAGGGATCAGACTTAAAAGATCAACTGTTTCAAACTCCTCATTTAGTAGATGTAGAACTTGAGTCTCATATATTTTCGAAATTAAGATTAAAATTTGGCTTTAGAATCTAAAAAAGCAATGTTAGAATATTGACTCAGTCACGTATTACAAGGGTCCCCAACCCCCAGTCCATGGACCGGTACCAGCCTGTGGCCTGCTAGGATCTAGGCGGCACAGCAGATGAGTGGCGGGCAAGCAAGCATTACCACCTGAGCTCTTCTTCCTTTGAGATGAGCGGTGGCATTAGATTCTCATAGGAGTGGGAACCCTATTGTGAACTGCACATGTGAGGTATCTAGTTTGTGTGCTTCTTGTGAGAATCCAATGCCTGATGATCTGAGGTTGAATAGTTTCATTCCGAAATCATCCCCTACCCCAACACCTTCCATGGAAAACTTGTCTTTCATGAAACCAGCCCCTGGTGCCAAAAACTTTGGGGATTGATGGTCTTATTAGGTTTATTCTTGGACTATTAATCATTTTCATGTTAGTTTCTTCATATAAAACCTTTGGATATTATTATATTCTTCATAAATTTACGGTAGATGAATAAATAAAATAACTTTTGTAAATAACTAATCACAATGCCTGGGATGACATAAGTATATATCAATATTAGTACTGAAATTATTAATTACTGAATCACTTATAATTACTTCATACTGCATGGAATTATTTTGAGTTATCACAGGAGTATATTTGTAATACAAGAAGCATAAATAGTAAGTTAGGATTACCAATTAAAACCACCTTTTCTCCAAGGACATGAAAAAGACAGATTAAAGAAGTAAATTATTCTTTCAAAAAATATTTTACGTTTATTATTTTTAGATAAATTATTAAATCTGATTTGGGGCAAAATTTTTATCTAATTTTTCTGATGTAAAAAAAGAAAGGATAAACTTAAATTTAAGAATAAATTAATCAGGCAATATTTTAACCAGTAGCATTCCAAAGGTACTTTTTTGTTTTGTTTTCTGATAAAATACTATTCAGTACACTGTATCAGAAATACTGTTCAGTATTTCTGATAAAAGATACTGTTCAGCTGCTGTTTTTCAACGGTGTTTCAAAGTTGACATAGAGATAATTTTCAAAAATCAAGAGACCTCTCGAAAGTGAAACCTCCTAGATAATTATATTGCCCTTCATACATTGAAGCCACTGCCAGAAAAAGTTGCATTGCTCTTGCCGTTTGTATAATGCTTAATATAGATGAAGTCAACAGGTAAATTAATTTAGAAACAACAGGAAGCAAATGGAACTCTGAAGAATTAAAGGCTTCCTCAAGCTCTGTTTCTAGGGTTTCATGAATTACAGGTAAATTTTTAAATAAATTGAAAAAATGAAAGCTCAGAATGAATTTTAAATTCATGAATAGCAAAACATTAAAAGTCCACCAATAACCACTTAAGATTTATATTACACGATTGTGTTGCTACTAAATGAATCTGAATCAAAATTTAAGAATATGTGGTCAACTATAACTCCAACTTCTCCTCTACTGATCTTTAGTCATGAAAACACACCGATTAAAACCCTGTTCCTTAGTAGTTTCCAATCTACTTAATGGCTAGTTTAATTAACTGCATGTCGAAACCAAGTATATAAATTAGACATCATGTTGAAATATAAACCAGCCATACAGCAAAAGAAGATGAAAACTTACTGGAGAAGGAACAATTTAACTAAACATTTTTTAAGTTATGCTGTTTATGAGACTACCCTTTGCTAAAGTTTATCGATTTCAGTTAAATCAAACATTTTCTTATAGTTAACAACATTTGCACCATTGTCCACATACACAACAGAGCAGACTTTGCAGAACTCCAGCAGTTATGCTTAAATAAGATAAGAGGAAAGAAAAGAAACAGCAAAGTTTTAACTAAAGATGATACAGTTGATAGTTAAAAATGCCCAAATTGAACTAAGTTAGCTTATGACCTCCCTCGATGCATTAGCTCTGCTGTTTATGTTAGGAACAAAAAATATATTTATGGAATTGAAGCAAGAAAACAACTTAATGAAACCTTATCTGAAAAAGAGTTCTAGTTCATTGATTCTATACTTACTTTCTATGTGAGTGAATATATGGCAGGACACAGTGCCTAACTATACAGGCAAAAGCAGATAAGGAAAATTGGAAATTGATATTGATTTGACCTCCATTTATTGGCTCAAATTTTATAACCAGCCTCTCTATTCTACTCTCTTATATGTTAGACATTTCAGTGAAAATTTTGCCAATGATTATATAAGCCAAACATGATTCCAAGCTGTAACTCACACCAAAATAATAAAGATTGTGAATGAACTGACTATATTTTATACAAAACAAAATCATATACTTATTTTAGATTTGAAAATATTTGGGCAATAGGTTAATTAGATCTCTTTTGAGTGTTTTGTTTGGGATGTGTGTGCATATGAATATGAGTGTATGTCTTTGTGTGTATCATCAGCTCAGCCTACCTTGAAGAAAAAATATGATAAAGTAAATAAATAAAATAAGACAATGGACAAGATGCCGAGGAGGGCATCAACAAATTTCTACATACAAGTATTTTATAGCTATACTTTGAAATATTTGCTTCTCATATTTATTTTAATGGATGCAAAATTGTTGAGCAAAGCAGTGTTCAAAAGTAGCTAGTATGAAAAAAATAATTTTTGTCTTATATTCCAATTTTTTCCTGTGTAATGATAAACAAGACAGAGTTCTTCAACAAATTTTGTATTTTTTATCTGTACCGACTTCTGATAATATATGTTTCACAGTACAAATGTGATGTGTAAGAGAAAGCAAAATAAACTTTATAGTGCTCTTATAGCTTAGTAAGCCTTTAAATGTGAGTATTTATGTCCATGGTAGTATATTCTTACATGTAAATAATAATGTCAGTTTTATTTATTTTCCCATAAAATATTAAACTCTACACTGACTCAGTGGGCAAGTCAGAATCAATCATTTCAGTTCTCATAATGATCACTAAGCACCAAGTCTATATTCTTTTCCTTCAAGTGTTATTGTATTTACACTATTTCTCAGTGTCGAAACCTGAACCAATACATTACATACCTTCTAATAGCAAACAAATATTAAAAGCGAATGTCTCATTAACTGTTCAAAGATTTATAAATATAGTGCATGTATCATCTGTGTTAAAATAATAATTAAAAGTAAAAATATGTATTATTCTCTGTTATTCTCCTCTAAAAAGCAAAATTACCTAAAAATTTTGTTTTGTTTATGATAAACATTCAATACATGCTGTATGAATGAATAATGCAATCAGAACCGTTTAATGATGAATAATCGAATGAGCTCATTATAGCATTTTGAAATAGCCAATGCAATAGATCATAATTGGTTAGGACTAATAGTTTGTTTTAAATGCAAAACAAAAACATATGTTGATATGGTCAAGGTTTATTCAATATATAAGACTTCAAGTACTATAGTACATTTTTTGTTGTTTATTCAAATTATTTTTGTTATGGAGTAGATAGTACAAGTAGAGGAAGAAAATTTAAAATTCAAGGAAATAAAATTGATAAAAAATATATTTTTTCCTTCTTAAAAAAGATAAGGAGGGAGAGCTTTTTCAGCTTATTGGGTTTTTCATCAATTGGTTTAATATAATTTACATATTTAAAGCTTAGTAATGTTTTTACTAAGTAAATTATATAATACATAACAAATATATATGAAATTAATAAATTTATTATTTATATAGGTAAAAAATTTATAAAATGCCATCAATTACATTTATAAAAGTTTGACATTTTAGAAATTTTACAAATATAAGTTTTTTTCTCAGATTTCATCATCAACTGTTTATATCTATATAACAGTAGTTATAAATGTCAAAAAATATTTGGATAATAATTCACATTTTAATGGCAATGTGTATTGAATTTTTAGTAGTGTGGATTCAGCATATTTTTTCAATAGCATGTCTAGATTATTAACAATTGGTAGATTTATTAAGGATAGTAGTTTCTTTCTTTTAACTTATCTATATTTTGATTATTCAAATCTGAATGATTATGTATTGTCTGTTTTTTAAAAAGGCAAATCAATCAGTTATTGATTTTTTTGAAAAGGCGAATCAATCAGTCACTGAATTTTAGGATTCCAGGAGAATCCATAAACCATCTCTAGAAGCTGTCTATAACATGTAGCAAAATTCACTTTTATATGAATTCTTCCATATATAAATGGAAGTAAATAATTTTGTTTGTTTTCATGTTCAAACATATATAAAATTTGGGGACATATATTTATCTGCTCATTTTCTTTTCCATGATCCACCTAAGATTTTTAAAACACAATAATTTCCTTCTGCATGTATGTGTGAAAGTTTCTATATATATAGATGGATGCATAGAAAGAGATTGATAGCCTTGAACCCGGGAGGCGGAGGCTGCAGTGAGCCAAGGTCATGTCGTTGCACTCCAGCAAGGGCAACAAGAGCGAAACTCCTTCTGAAAAAAAAGAAATAAATAAAAAGAAAGAGGATTGATGTTTCCAGATAAATCTGCTTATTAGACACTCTATGCAAGGCACTTTAATGGGTGTTCCAAAGATTAGACCACTGGTACAAAATGGAGAGTCTTTATCCTTAAAATCTAGATGAAAATGATTTTATCTAGAGTATCAGTTACTCTAGATAATCATGAATATAAAATATTACCATACTTCTTTGCCAATCAGGTTAACAGTAAAATAATTTTCTAAAGTGTTCTTAAGGAAAGTTTTATATTTCTAAGCCAGCAAGCAAGAACATTAATACTGTATTTAGAAATCAACAGAATCTAGCGTACTGTGCCAAAACCCTTTCAAAAATAAATAGAAATGAGATCATTTCAAAAGCTTAGTGCTTAAAACTTTAATAATACTTTTAAATTCAGGAATAAATAAATAAATAAGATTTAGTTGTCATGGAAAAATTTCCCTTGTCAAATATTGATTTTCTCATGCCAATAACAGATTAGAAACTTACATGTACAGGTCTTCCATAAGAATAGGGATCGCAAATATAATTCTTGCAGTGATTTGTGTGCATTTACACAATTTTGGCCCTATGTGATCTCTGAAACATAAATTTTTTTCACCATTCAAAATATGAGAGATTTGAGCTCATTATTCTTTAACGTCTCTTTATTAGTGGTGGCATCTGTAGACCTTAGAGAAATGCCAAAGATACACTGATGCCACAGACACAAATTTGCCTTTTATTTTCATTCATATTTTGCATGAGAAGGTGATGGTGGCAATACATCAAATAGCTCAGCTTTTGTAATTTATAGGGCCCAAAAAAAAGTCTTTGCAATTAAGTGTTTTAGGAATTTAAACACTTCACTTATCTGTGTATTATGTGGCCTAAAAAGAACATTGTAATTAAGATTTTAGTAATTATTATTTCTGTGCTCATTGGAAAGGGACAAGGGAGTGACTAATTTTGGATTTGTTTTGCATTACGTATTGCTAGTCTGTAGCCTGCTCTCCATTTTCCTAATCAGGGGTTGAGGTGGGGAAAACAATATAATTGCTTAATGGAAAGGAAATTATTGAAGCATGTCATAAATGTATTAGCATATTATAGCAACTTTTAAAAAAAAATTTTAGGGAGCAGAAATGTAAGTAAAAATATAAAATATTATCTTTATAAAATATATCCTATAAAAGTAGTATTTTTGATGAATTGCATTTTAAGCTCATGTACACTACATTGATATATAGTAGATAGATTTACGTATAGTAGATATTTAATAAGCATATATTGGATTTATATTCATTTTTAGTCACAAGAGGAATTAATCTAATTTTCTTCTGCTTTTATGAGAAAGCACTGTACTCAAATTTGGGGCATCCCATTTTAAAAAGTGAACAATTATTCCCATTGAATATAAGCTTTTGATGACCTCCACTAGTTTTACAGGATATGTTTCAGTAGATTCTGAGCAGCCATCTAGAAAATCTGAGGAAATTACATATGATGGAGTTTGCCTAAATACTAGATGCTAGAGCTGGAAATACAGCACTCAGAAATAGAAAAGAAAAATGGCCACATTTATTAAATGCTAAATAAATTAGAAAATTTTAAAAAATTAATTTACATTAAAAGATCTACAACAAGCCCCCTTATCTGTGATTTTGCTTTCCACAGTTTCAGTTACCAGCAGCCAATCTTGGTCCAAAAATATTAAGTGAAAAATTCCAGAAACAATTCATAAATTGTAAATTTCACATTGTTCTGAGTAGTGTGATGAAAGTTTGAGCTCTCTGCTCTGGCCCCACTGGGAAGTAAACCATTCTCTTGTTCACAGTATCCATACTGTGTATCCTATCTGCTTATTAATGACTAAGTAACCATCTGGGTCATCAGCTCTAAAAAGCAAAGTATGTAGCTAGTTGGTTTGGTAACCTTCATGGCTTCAGATACCCAACAGGGGTATTGAAATGTATCCCCCTCAGATAAAAAGGAGGGGGAAAACCATTCTCCCTTTTTTAAGGAAGACTTAATTCAGCATCTCTGATTTGTAAGAAACAATCTACAAGGTCAGTTTCTAAAATTTATACTCCTGCTAGTTCTACATTAAACAACATGCAGCTAATGCTCAGCTATGCTTGGGTGTCCAGATTGATTGGTCTTACTGAAAGGATAAATACACTGTGCTACAAAACTCACCATTCTACTTCCTACTGCTTATTCTCAACATGCCAACCATTTAAATGAACCCTTTAAATGTAGACAAGGTGCCACGTCTCTGTTAAAAATTCCTCAATGGTCCGTTTTACTAAAAATAAAACACGAAAATCCATTCTCTGGCTTCTGAGGGTCACAAGATTTTTACCCTCTCCTCATCACTCTGATCTCATCTTCTTCTACCTGTCCCTTCCTCCTTCTACTCTACCATTTGTTCTGTATGGAATCTCCTTGCCCTAATGTGACTGTGTCTTCTGTTTGGATTTTCTCTCCCTCCTCTTTCCTCAGAGTTAGTACCTTTACTTCTAAGACTTGGCTCAAATGTTTCTTGGTACATCCTACGGTGACCACCATATTGAATACTACTGCTGCTACAACCCCACCACTCCTCTTCTTGGCCAATGACTTCTGACTTTCTTTGTCCTTGTCATGCCCTTTCCTTTTTATAGTATTTATCATCTTTTAGTGTTCTGTATAGCTTAATTTTTATAACTATATTTTATTGGCTATTTGACTTCTTCCACTCATGGTTTGTAAGCTCCATAGGGTTTTTTTTTTTTTTCACAGATACATCTCAAGAGCCCAGAACAGTGTGTGGCATACAATAGGCACTCTGTAAATTCATTTATTCAGCTAATAGTACTGAGACTGCTAAGTGTCAGGCACTCATCTATATGCTAAGGCTATGTCAGTGAGTGAAACGGGATAAAACTCTCTGCTCTAATAGACCTACTAGTCTACACAGGTGGAGACAACAATAAACAATCTAAGTAGGGCAAAGTTTATGTGCAGTTTCTGCTAGAAAGGTAGATGTCATGACAGGTCTGTAGACTGAATAGTTATTGAATAATGAATACATAAAAATGAAATAACAATCAGGTCTAAATTCTTGATATGAATCCTTGGGAATGTATTCACAGATATATTTTCCTTAGTAAGATTAATAAAAACAAGAAAATCACAACATAACACAAGATAATGTGTTGAAAACAAAATTAGAAACCAAAAGCTAAGTGATTTCTTTCTAGAAATAATTCAGTGTTAGACTCTAAAAACAGGTCCTATTTTCTGAACATAATCGGATAAAAATAGAAATTCACATTCTATGAGACATAGCTGACATTTCAAATGAAAATGGATAAACTTTAATTGTTTTCATTATCCTAATGACAAATAATAAATGTGAAATATGTTTCATTTAAAGAAATAAAAATATAATAACGTTAACCAATTAAACATGAAAGGGCCATATAAAGAGTAAAATTGCAATTAATAAAATTGTTTCATTAGAAACTTTAGGTACAAAAGAATCCAGGAAGAGTAGTTTCTAAACTTTCCAGCCTTTGAAGAAAAAGAAGGCACACTGGAAAAGAACCTGGGACAGATATTTAGCTATTTAACCAAACATATTCACCATAAACCACATAGACTGTGCTTCAGAAACATTATTTTTGGAGATCATACTGTTAGTACCTACATATAGATATTTGAGTTGCTATATTTTATTTGATATTTTTTATTATACCTGAGCCAGATTCGACTTTCATCAAATAGAGAAGTCTCATGGCACAAACTGATTTTAATATATGTATTTTCCTTGTGAACACTGTAGCATACATAAATTATAGGGGAAAGGCACTACAGAAGGAAGGTGTAAAGTATCAAGCAGGATGAAATCTTCACATGAAAACTAGAATAATAACCACTGATATAAATGTATCATGGAATCTTCTTGTGCACTAAGGTGGTTTTATGCTCTCTTTATGTTTGTTTAAGGATAGAAAATACATGGAAATTTATACCCTCTAGTTGCAATTGCTTACTTAAGAGATACTGAATTGGAAGAAGAAACTACTGGCATGCACTATACCTAATGTATATAATTAGAGCAAAATTGCCATTCTGAAGCTATCGATCTAATTTATTTTTTATAAAAACATAATTTAGAGACAACTTGTGGTAGGCAGAATAATGGCTTTCAAAGGTAGCCACATCCTAATCCCTGGAAACTGTGAATGTATTACCTTACATGGCAAAAGAGACTTTGCAAGTGTGATTAAAGTTAAGGGTTTTGATATGGGAAGACTCCTGGATTATTTGGGTGAGCCTTACCTAATCACATGATTTCATAAAAGAAGACCTTTCCTGACTCAATTTACAGAGAAGTGCAACATAGCTTGTTTTGAAGATGTACGAAGGAGGTCACTAGACAAGGAATGTGGGCAGCCTGTAGAAGTTGCAAAAGCTAATGAAATTGATTCTCTATTTGAGCCTCCAGAAAGAAATGCAACCTTGCTGACACTTTGGTTTTAACCCAGATGATCCATGGCAAACTTCTAACTTACAAAACTAAGATAATGAATTTGTATTGCTTTAAGCCACTAAGTTTTTGGCAATTTGTTACAGCAGCAATCAAAAGCTAACACACAACTACAATCACATTTTTTGCTTGTCTGTTATGTTTTTCCAGTTTATTGTGCATAAACCAGACATGCAAGAATCAGATGATGATGTAGGTAGGTTACATTTAAAAGTGGTCTTCAACTTTTTATTATATTCAAACACAACACTGTTACAAAGTTCTATAATTTTTTGCCTTAACTAAAGTTATGATTTTTACTTGTTTATATGTTTAACTTTGAATTTGCACCCAACTGAATTGAACTAAAACATGCAGAGTGAAATGGAAAAACATATGACATACCAGGCATTTCCAGTATGAGCAAATCATATTTCTGGGATGAATAATTTTTTCTAATTAGAGAAGCTTAAAATGTTAAATTATGATCTTTTAAAAATACATATTTTCTTATTGAACATTTCTAAAAGTAATGGCAGATTTTCTATGTTGTCAGAGTGTACTGAATAAAATTTCATATTTTTCTAAATATAAACAATTGTTTTTGATAAATATTCAGGGCTGGTCTCTCTAGTGAACTACACTCAATAACCCCAAACTCTGTGTTTTCTGATTGTTGGATTTTCATTGTTCATTTTTAGTAATTCCATTCCATAAACTGACATTTTGTAGAGCTGAATGAAGAAAACAAAATGCCAGTAAGTCATGGCAGTAATCTTGATTCTTAAAATGTGTTATATTGTAATGCCATTTGGTATTAGGGCATTTTTACTTCTCCTCTATTACAAGCATAAGTTTCACTTTAGATGGAGAAAAAATATTTCTTACTGTTTTCTTCCAAGTTGTACTTTGCATTAAGTAATTGAAGATTCTGTAAGTCTGATACTTGCAAAACGGATATGCTACTATTCATCAAAAGATGTTGTCACTATACATAAAAATAAACTAATCAATCAATCAAAACCACTTTTGCTGACCTGAATTATCTAAGACATTACATTGTGTGTGTGTGTGTGTGTGTGTGTACATATATGCATCTTTTTGCCTGCTCATTTCAAGAATTATTTAGAAAATGCAAAACTTATAAAATATCTAGTACAATCAATAAGACTATACAAATAAATGGTACATACATTTTGACAAATAAATGGTACATACATTTGATAAATTCTGAGTGTGAAGAGAAGAATTGAGACATATTTCAGAGATCTCTTTATGAATAACTTGAGTTTGAAGAATTACTTAGATATACAGAAAGATATGTTGCTCCCATTTTTGAAAAATGGTTAAGTATACATGACATAAATTTTACCATTTTGTTTATGCTTAACCATCTTAAAATGTACAGTTCTGTGGCACTGAGTATATTAACATTGTTGTACAATCATTATCACCATTCACTTCTAGAATGTTTTCATCTATTTCACCTGAAACTCTGTATTGGTTAATGCTTTCTGTTCTCCCCTCTTCCAAAAACCCTTGGCAACCATCATTCTACTTCCTGTTTCTATGAATTTAGGATGACTCTAGCTATCTCCTATAAGTGGAATAATATAATATCTTTCTTTTTCTGATTACCTTATTTCACTTAGCACAATGATTTGAAAATTAATCCATGTTGTAACATGTTTCAGAATTTTCTTCCTTTATAGGGGCGACTAACATTCTTTTATACATGTGTATGTATGTATATATGAATATATATATAAGTATACACACATACACATACATACACACATATATACACCACGTTTTGTGTATCCATTCATCTGTTGATGAACACTGGACACTTGGGTTGCCTCTACCTTTTGGCTGTTATTAATATGTTGATATGAACATAAGTGTACAAATATCTGTTTCAGTCTCTGTTTTCAATTTTTGGGGTATATATCCCAAAGTGGACTTGCTAGATCACATGGTAATTTTGTTTGACTTTTTGAGGAATTGCCATACAGTTTTCCACAGTGGCAGCAGTATTTTACATTTTTACCAATGATGCACAATTGTTACAATTTCTTCATATTCTTGTCAACACTTGTTATTGTCTTTATAATAATAGCTGTTCTAAGGAAGGGGTGAAGTGGTATCTCACTGTGGTTTGGTTTGTATTTCCCTAGTGATTGGTGAATGTTGAACATATTTTTATGTGCTTATTAGACACTTACATATCGTCTTTGGAAAAATGTCTATTCAGATTTTTTGTCTACTTTTTTGTCAGGTGGTTTGCTTTACTGTTGAATTACAGAATTTTTTATATACTGGATACTAATTCCTTATGAAATATATGATTTGCAAACATTTTCTCACATTCATCAGGTTGTGTTTTGTTCTGTTGATAGTGTCCTTCAATGTGCAAAGTTTTTAATTTAGAATGAGTCCAACTATTCTATTTTGTTGTTGTTGTTTCCTGTGTTTTGATGTCATATCCTAGGAAATCATTGATAAATTCAACACTAGAAGGTTTTCCCCTGTTTTCTTCTAAGAGTTTTATAGTTTTAGCTTTGCCTTTAGAAACTTGTGTTAAGTTTTAGACACCTTAACTTGTGTTAAGTTTTATGTATGTTGTAAGCTAAGAGTCCAACTTCATTGAAAAAAAAGTTGCATATTAATATCTAGCTTTCCTAACACCATTTGTGCAAAAGATTGCTTTTTTCCATGGAGTGCCCTTGACATCCTTGTTAAAAACCATTTGACCATTTATGCAAGGATTTATTTCTGAGATCTCTCATCTATTACATTGATCTATATGTCAGTCTTAATGACAGAATCTTACTGTTTTGATTACTATGATTTTATAGTAAGTTTTGAAATCAGGAAGCATGAGGCTTCTAATCCTTTTCTGTTCAATTTTGTTTTTAGCTATTCAGGACCTCTTGAGATTCCATGTGAATTTTAGATGAATTTTTCTATTGCTACAAAAGATTTTGTTAGGATTTTGACAGAGATTGCAATTGAATCTGTAGATCACTTTGAGACTTTGAGTGGTAAAGACATCTTAGGGTAATTAAGTATTTCAATCCGTGATCATGAGGTTACTTTTCATTAATTTGCATATTTAATTTCTTTCAGTAACATTTTGTAGTTTTAGTGTACAAGTCTTTCTCCTCCTTGGTTAAATTTATTCCTAAGTATTCTATTCTTTTTGACAATATTGTAGCCCTTTAAGAGTTTCTTTTTCCTCTTAAGACAAAGACTAAAATCATTAACATGATTTTAACTTTGAACTTCTCTTTTTTCCTCAAAATTGAACTTGATCTCTTTTTTCTCCAATATAGTGTGTTGCTTCCATCTCACAGGGTCTTTGCATGTGCTATTTCTCTGTAAAATACCTCCTTCCCCACTACTTGCTTATTTCCATTAACTCATATAATTTTCAAATATCCATTTAGATATGATTTTTTCATGGAAACTTTCTCTGACCTCCCTCTCAATGAGGGATCCCTGATTAACACTAAAGCTGTTTGTAATCAGTTCACTTCTCCTTCTTCCTGGGCTTATAGTTGATTTGCACTTATCAGTTTTTTGTAGTTATGTGTGATATAACATTCTTTACTCCTTATTATGATAGTTTAAGAGGCATCATGGACATATGATACCTATGCCAGCCTTTGTTCCCTAAGATGAGTATGACCCCTTTGCTAATGTTAGTCATGTTGAGTAAAGAAAATGAACAACTGTTTTAGTCAAAATGAATTGTGGTTGGATGTCAGTGAAGTACAATCTACATTAACCTAACTAATGCAGAATTTCGTGTCTAGAATTGATGTGCTACCATAACCTAAATGTGTGACCTAAAATATGAGGCAAAGTGGCCAGTTGGTGACCAGAGAAGAAATTACCACAGACTGGAAAAATGGCTACCATGTTAGATAAGAAGACAATATTTGGTGAAATTAGGGCTTGCGGTCACTTGAACAAAGAAATTTCCAGCTCTAGAGGTCAAGTTCAGAAACAGTGATGATGCTACTTGATGAATGCAATTGATGCTTTTGTAATACTGGGAAAAATAGGGACTCAGAAAATAACTGGCCAGTTTGCAAATAAGAAGTAAAAGGAATAAAACATGTTCACAGATTTAGGAACATGTAGGTTTAAAAGGACACAAAATTACAAGGTATGTATATGAGAATATTATACAAGGTATAATATAAGAATATTAATTTGTAGAAATTACAGCGCAATGAATTAATGGAAATACTACTTTTTAACCAAATAATATAGCTTATATTTAGTCAGCCACTAGTATTTTAATGAATCACCTTACATGAAGAAATCTTCAGTTTCCTGTTTAAATGGTGAAGGAAAGATAATAAAGATATCTCCTTCGTTGAAGAATTAAAATCTTAGAGATAAATATAGTTAAAATGTATTTTTATGTAGTTACTTTTGTTATAGAGGGATTTTATCAGTTGCTAAAGCAAATAACTAGATCTAGTAACAGATGTTTCAGTTAACAAGTTTGAATGATTCTTAGTGAAGTGTATCATTTCTTCATAGAGTTACTTGTTAAACTTTGAAGTTATTGCTGTTTGTTTCATCAATATTTTTATTAACCTTTCTCACTTATATAATTACTTACCTATTATGTTTTCTGTGATTTTATAATGCTAAATATCAGCATTGCAGATGTATTGTGAAATGCAAATTTAAAGTTAATTTAACCTTTTAAATAGTAATAGAAAATCAGAAGTCTTTAAAAGAGATGGAAAATTGAAGCTGTGATTTGAATTTCCATTAAACATTTATATCTTCATGAAGTAGGGTTGCTATTGAATGCATGAATATGCATAAAATCTATAGTAAGAAGCAAAAATGGTTAGAATATAAAGTTACACATATATAGAAAATATTCTATATATGTATAAATGTTTCTTGAAAGTGAAACACAAAGAAAAACAAAGGGCTTGAAAAGTCCTAAATATAATAAAAGTTTCCATGTTGGATTTTTATTTTTAAGAAAAAATAATTTGTTTCCAACTCTTCTAATTGAAAAGAAACATTTGCTTTAACATAAAGTGAGTTCAGATAAAATACTAATAATACATTCAGAGGGATGTTTGCAAAAAATATATCTGGAAAAGAAATCTCTTTGCTTTATGATTATTTCTTCTTTCTCTTTGTACTTTGACAAGTTCTAAATGATTTTCCTTGACCTTAAGAGATTTCATTCACACAGATAGGGTAGCTTTTGCTACAATGTGCATGGAATTATTTAGTTATACATATTTGGATCAACATGAACATCCCCAGTGAAACAGATTAATGTGTGTAGTTGAGAAAAATTGTTTTTCTAAGTACAGCTGATTTTTGTAGTTTTGTAGAATTTAATAATCTTACAAGAGGTCATAAGGCCAGAAGCATGGAATAATTCCTCCAAACACAGACAGAAAATCATGACTGAAAAGATAACATTTTTCATATATAACAATATAATGTGCATGATGTTGAAAATAAAGGGAGTGGTCATGTCTAAACTCTGTGATCAAGTACATAAAATCAGACAAACAAAATCAAACCCATACTTGAAAAAAACCTGACATGTACATCAAAGTTGGTGTAGATAATATAAATTGGGACTGTATATTCTCAATTAAGTGGGTGCTTATGGATATAGTTCTAAAAAATAAAAAATAAATAATAAAAAGCTATCTCATAGTCATTTTCCACTATTAAGACATGCAAATAGTTTTAGCATATATATTCACACACTAAAAATTAAAAGTAGGCAAATATTCAGTAAAGTAATTATTTATTAAGCATATACTACGTGTGCTATTTAAAAAAAATTTTAAGTGAATAAAAAATCATCACCTGAATTATGCCCTTATAAATTCTATTTACATACTAATATCTTAAGGTGGAAAATCAGCATGGTCTTTAGCAACCTGAAGGGCCACTGGCTCCAACCAATCAGATTAGACTCTGGCTCACGTAACACAGCCATTGGCTGTGACAACCAGTATAAGCCAACTGGTAAGTAACCCTGCATTTTGTTGACACTGCACACTTAAATAAAAAGACTCAAAACCTAAAACCAGATATCTAAGAAAAAAAATTCCAATAAATAAAATGAATATATCTATATATTTAAAATGAGAGGAAATAGGCTGGCTGGTTGGGTTGCTTTATTTATAGTTGTATTTTGTAGGTCCATAAACAATTTACCTTTTCTTTTTTTTGTCCAAATAGGACATTGGAAGCAGAATTCACACTATTAAATTTATGAAAGTCTGAAACATACATGAGAATGTTGATTTCATCATTTATAATTGGAGACATTTTCTTTTAACTAGTCGATTTATATCTGTAATTCAATATTTCTGTTCCAGGTATTAAGATTTTTGAAAAATCAAAATAGTAAATAAATAAATAAATGCAAATCACTACATAAAGTGGAAGAATCAGGGCACAGAAAGGGATTACTTTGAGAAATGTATTATAAAGACTGTGGAAATGAGAACTTAAGTAGCCGTAGCCTGGAAAGGAACATTCTTCTTTAGAAAATAATACATTAAAAAAAAAGCTGTCAAATAAATATGACTTGGAACCAAAGAAAATATAATAAATAATGGCAAATGCTAGTTTTTATATTTTATTTTATTCTTTATTTTTATGTAAAATATAATCATAGCATTAAGAAAAGGCTCTTTCAGGCATATGCAAATACCCAAGTATAGTTTAGAGTTGATTTACTATACTACCTTCAAGTGAAATCTTGCTGAGAATGTACCCTATTTTTTTAAGATACTTGTGAAGTGCCCTTGCTTCATAAGCATTCATTTATTCACAAGTAACACTGCAGATATCCAATCTCATGTGTTATTTTATTGGTGACATTCTCTGCAGGTGACTAAAAATATTTCTGTACTTGTAGATTGCTTTATTTTAGACAGTTATGTACTAATTAAATGTATCTACACATAGAAATATTAATAGATTATATCAGGCTTTGAGAGAAAAATATTTTATTCTGTGCCAAAAATAGAAATGAAAATTTGTACCTTCAAGCATACCAGTTTCTTATAGTAATAGAAATGAAAACGTATACCTGTTAAGCATACCAGTTCCTTAGCCATGTACTTCAAAGTTGTTATTTTCAAATGAAGAAACTGAGTCTTCAAATTGCATAAGGAGCCAGGCACAGTGGCTCACATCCGTAGTCCCATCACTTTGGGAGGCCTAAGCTGGTGGATCATCCAAGGTCAGGAGTTCAAGACCAGCCTGGCCAACATGGCGAAACACCGCCTCTACTAAAAATACAAAAGTTAGCCAGGCTTAGTGGTGTGCACCTGTAATCCCAGCTACTTTGGAGGCTGAGACAGGAGAATCACTTGAAGCCAGGAGGCAGAGGTTGCAGGGAGCTGAGATTGTTCCACTGCACTCCAGCCTGGGTGACAGAGCAAGACTCTGTCTCAAAAAAAAAATGCTTAAGGAAACATAGCAAAGATTTTTCATTGTTGAGACGTCAGTCCACTCATATCCGCAGACATTAAGTTCAGTGTCTGTTGCACTATTTGGTGTAAAATTTTGGAAGCAGTTTCCATACTTGCTGCTACCCAAAGTGCAATATCAAAAAGCCAACCTGGGCCTGGGCTCTCTTCAAAATATGCCTTACTGACGGCAGCTCCCCATATTCTCTCCAGAGCACACCATAACCTATCTAGCCTATTCGTCCACAACCTTTTGTCCAAATTTTTGAGATTCTACTGTGCCTTTTTCCTCATTTCCCTTGCCTTTTCTAAGGTGTTTAGGCTTGTTTTCTCTTTCCAGTTATAATTTCCCTTTAGCCCTTGTGAAATTTCTAGCTTTTCATAGACTTTTTTCCCTTTGTCTACTATCCTTGTGTGTGTGCGTATACACATGAACTCAGATGTGTCCTCACATGTCTTCATATATACATATATATATTATACACACACATACACACATGAAATCTAAATATATACAGGCTTGTGTGTGTGTTTGTGTTTGTATTTAAATTTTATATTTGGAATTCTTTTCCAAGGAATTTATATATATTTGAATTTATAGGTTACTCACAACAAAAAAGTTCAACTGTATCATTTACTGAAGTTTTTGCAAAAAAATTCTATTTTATAATAATTTTATACATATTTGAAATTTAACATATTGAAATGTATCCTTTTAATCTAATACAGTTGATATTCTTCCTCCCTTAACAAAATACTGCAGTCATTGAGAGCCTTCCTAAAAAATCACATATGGATTATGTTGAGTATCTTGAAAAGTTGGAAAATAGTTAAGTATTTTAACAAGTTTGAAATTTAGATTCTCGTGGTATTTTTTCTATCCCCCAGTTTGTCATCATAGGCAAATAACCAAGTATAATTATTAATTTAAATATTTATATATCATCATATTTGTTTAGTAAGCTACAAGCTTTTCATGGAAGGTCCAGTTGATGTTTTTGATGGCTGAATTAACAAAACTTATTTTCATTTATCCACATATTTATTCCTATAAGAATTATGTTAAAACTTGCTGTTTCTCCAATGAATCAGAAGACTTTTCTTCACGGGTGAACTTAGCTTGTGAATTACTGCTTTCTTTATCATTCAATTAATACACCTTTGTGGGTTGATCTCTTCATTCCCACTTTTTTGATATCTTGATACCCAAATGATTCTCTGTTCCCTTAGTCATGTAGATTGTATCATAATTGTTTCAATAGCTCAAAAGACTCTCATTTCTATGGAGCTGTTATTTCTTTTCATTATTGTTGATTGCTATCCACACACTGATTGACTAGAAAAAAAAATCTTTTTCTAGGGAAGTTTGCATATTCTAACAGCAGTTGAACAGCTGTCTTAGGAAGTAATGTTTCTATATTTCACAGCTTGCAGCCACACTATTAATACCATTTTACTTCTCTAATGGAGGTAATTCTTAAACACCACAAATCCTAATTATTTGAACAGCAGAGGGTCTTAATTCATAACCACTCCTTCTGGAAAAAAAAAGCTTTATACCTTGGCATAGAATGCTTGTGATAGGCCCTCCCCTTTTATCTGACGATGAACATCATTTCTGGAAGTACTGCTCCCTCCCAGGTGATAATTATCCCTGTGAGCACCCTGGCAGCATCCCTGCTGCTTCATGGTGGTGCAGTTAGCAAACTCAAACTATTTAGAGTCTTTCCCCTACCCCCATGTTCAATATTCCCAAATTATCTCATCATTACTTTATTTAGGAGGGGAGATTAAGAATCTGTGAATCTTGCTTATCCTTTTAAACTTTCTGTTCTGAAAGGAAATATTCTACTGGCATGATGTACTTCCATTTCTTTTCCATCAATTGTAGCTCTGAAAAGAGTTGATCCTATTGCTCTAACTTTTTAAATGGTTATACTTTACAAGAGTTCTAAAAAAAGTCTACAAATACAAACAGAATTGCTATTAAATATTATGTATAATACTTCTGTTTACCAGTACAGTTTTTCTCTTTTATGCACCTCATTTAAAACAGTTCAGTATTCTAGTTCTGGATACATGCCTCTATCTAACAATGACTGCACTGTGAGTGTGTGTGTGTCTGTGTGTGTGTGTGTGTGTGTGTGTGTGTCTGGTAAATTGTCATCAATAAATTGTCAAGGACTTAAAATAAGTGTCACTTATTATAAATTTATTAAAAGTTATAGGTAGGGTACATAATAATTATATTATTCATCACCACATCTTAACTAACAGAATGTAGGAACATATTAAATATTCACATTGAATGAATAAATGAATACATAAAAGTACACAAATAAAGAGTATTATCAATCAGAATACTAGGTTGGTGCAAAAGTTATTGCGGTTTTTGACATCACTTTTAATAGCAAAACTACAATTACTTTTGCACCAACTTAAACTATCATCATCCATCTATCTGTGTATCTAAGATCTACCATCTAGTCTTCCTACATATTTATATATTTATATCTAAATATGTGTATGAGCGTGTGTGTTGTGTGTGTATAGCATTTAAACATTTACATTCAAGAATTTTGATAAATTAGAATTCTAAAAAATATGTATTTTCCTGATTATAACTTTACTGTTTTCTGAAGTAAATCGAAAAGGAAAAAGGATACTTGAGAGACACACAGTGGTATTCAAACATCATATATTGAATCAACAAATATTGAATGACTTGATATTGCATAGGAGGATCAATAGGTAAGGGTCTATCAAGGTAGCAAAATGTATGAGAAAGACCTCCAATCCCGGATTCAGAAACTGCAATTTCTATTTCTGAATCTGTCATGACTAAGTATGTGATAATAGGACATTTGCTTTTTATGCCCTTATTGTCTCTGTATTTTTAGTAAAGGACTTGTGTTCTAAATTACCATCCATGCTCTAAATCCACAGAATGCAAGCTGCAAGGTCAGTATTATCAGAGGCAATCCTGAGTTGATTGTCCTTCTCTTGTTCAGTGCCAGAACAGATAAAAAGATGTATTTCTTTATTAGTGAGAAGTCTTTGCACTCCATGTTCCTCTAATAACAGTGGCATCCCAGTTGCCACACAGCCGCTAATAATTAGCTCCTTGATTCATTATAGCCACGAGTTAATGAAAGGATTTGTAGGTGGGGATAAGAAGGTATTTCACAAGTAGTTAAAGGTTTATTGAAGCTCACACTGTGCCAATTATAGCTAATAACTTGTCCCTTTAAGAAAGGTGTGAATGCAACCCTCTATTCAGTGATTATTTGCTAGGACAGTACGATTAGACTGACTTTTCAAATTACTCATGTAACTTACATTATCTAATCACATTTTCATGCTTATATTCCTTGAAATCTGACATATATTTGACTATCCTTACATAATTTCTTCATCTTCAAGACCTCAAATAATATTCATGGCAGGTTTCTGGGATGTGCAGAGGATGGATTTATTATCACTCTTTCTAAGTGTGCTTATCCACTGTTAGTGCATATGATTATTTGACGATTTCAATGCGTTCTCTGAAGATGTCCCTTACAATACGTTTTTAGGATATCCACCCTACAATCCAGTTTTTAGAATAATCTCTTCTGTTATTATGTGCATTTCATTCATGTTCTTGCTATTAAAATGCATAGTGGGGATTATGCATTCAAGAATATGACATTAATGAAACAGTGGTTACCATGGGGAGGTGGGTAAAGAAACGTAGGTCCAAGAAGAAAAAATAGCAGATATACAGGGTGAACAAGTCTAGAAATCTAATGTACAACAGGGCGACTAAAGTGGACAAAACTGCATTCTATTAGGTCATTTTTTGTTAAATAAGTAGATTTTAGCTGCTCTTGTCATCTATCACATGTGAGATGATAGACATATTAATCTGCTTCATTATAATAGCCATTTTAATATCTATGTATTCCATGACAAATACACACAATATATACAATAATATTTATTTTAAAAAAGTGACATTTCAAAATTAATGGGGATTCTTCAAAAAAAGATGATGCTAAGTCATTTATCATATATACCTTATATAAGCTATATATGTATCTGTGTGTATGTGTATATATATATATATATAGAAGTCTCATAATAAAAGGCTAATATTGGATTATAATAAAAACCAAGGAAAGGATGAATATTTAATAGATAAATACATCTCCGGAGAAATACTACTAGTCAAGCACAATATACAGTTGGGCTTGGTCAAAGTAACATCCAGTCTGAGTTTAAACTTTCAAACTAAAGGGATAAAACGTTTGTTGTATAGGCTTATTGCTCTACTATACATACACACAATAAATTTACAATTATTCTTCCCAAAATTATAGTAACTAAATCGTAATTGGAGAATAGTTCAGGAACCATTACATTTGAAGCATAAATACTCTTTCTAGCAAATAAAATAAAGATTCTCCATTTGGTTCAAGTCATCAAAGTGTCTTTTGAACAGTTTCATTTCACCACACAGGAGAGTAAGGGAGAAAATAAATCAAGTGAATTCAAATTTAACAGGCTCAGCTTATTTAAAATTTTGTTTTTAAGCAATATACTTCTAATCAGCTGGGTACAAGGTTTTTTATCCATAAAATCTTAGGTTAAATCTATATGCAATTTGTTATATTTTACACTCTATAACTCAAAAGCAATGCAAAGTATAGTAAGTGTATTTTCTTACGAGAAAATCCATATATTCTATCCTCAAATTGAAATACAATTACTAATAGCGTAAGGTTTTTTTTGTTTTGTTTTGTTTTAATTTAACTTGTTCCTCATTGTTGAACATATAACCACCCTTGGGATTCTTCCCGACTGCTGCATAAATAAAGACTATGGCATTGCGTTAAAGAAAGTGTTTAATTGATGCAAGGCTAGCCATGTCACGTGGGAGACAGCATCATTAGTCAAATCAATTTCATCGAAGCTGGTAGGCTAGGGGTTTCTCAAAGTCAGTTTGGGGAAGGGGTGGGGATGGCTAGGAAATGGGTGCTTGCCACTAATTTTTTGGAGTGCAACCGAAGAGGTGCGTGAAATGGTCCTCCTGTATTCAGAATCATTTCTGGGTGCGGCCAGATGAGCCATTGGTTCCAATGGGTCCTAGAGCCATGGGTGTCAGACATGCCAACAACTCTGAAAAGATTCCTTTACAAGCCATTGTACAATAGTGATGCTATCTGCAGGACCTCCAGAATAATGACTGGCAATCCTTTATGCCTACTGTACATTAACAGAAATCAGGCTCCTCTTCTCCCTCTAGCCTGGTGGTCTCTCATTAGCTTTACAAAGGTTGTGGCTTTTTAGGGAACAGCTATTATTATTTAAACTGTAACTTAAATGTCTTCCAAAGTTATCTTGGCCTAAGCCTAGGAATAATTAAAGCAGCATGAAAGCTAAAAGGAAGAGACAGAAGTTGGCTAGATCAGATCTTTCCTGTTGCCATAATTTTCTCACTGATACCATTTTTGCAAAGGCAGTTTCAACCATGACGATCATATAAAGGAGAAATTCAAGTTTAATGATTTCTGTTTCAATAAAAGTGTATTTTCAATAATAGATCTTTGAGCCCTATTTGATGGTGCACTTTTAATTAAATATTCCAATAAAAACTGTTAGACATCTTACCATTGGACCTTTCCATAGTAAGAACTGATTCATGATTTTGTTAACTTAACCAATCTCCTTCTTTGTCACGTGAACATTTAAAGATCAATTGCATTTTCACACATTTCAGAAGATTCTCTTCTCTGAGTAGTCACACAGTATTCTATTTTAAATTTAATAGAGCATGACAAAATATGAAATTTGCTGATTAAGTATCTGAACACATAGAAGTTAAAGGAAAAAAAATAGAAACCAAAAAAAGTATGATTGAAAATCTAATAACATGGGCTTTTGCATATATGATTTTATAATTCTTTGGTATTAGTAACAGAATCAAAACTGGAACTGCCTTAGGAAAGTAGAATCTCATAAATTAAAAAAATTCAATTATGATTTCAAATCACAGGAAAGGCAGACTATTCCTCAAGAAGAACTAGGAACAAAGGCTTGAGAACCAAAAGAATGTTTTTGTCATTTTTCCTGTCTGGTTTTGTTTTCTCGGTGCCCTCCTTTGCGTCATTAAAGTCAGGTTTTCTCAACAAGAGGTAAGTTTGGCTTCAAATAGCTCCTTTTGCCTCTGAAGAATGACTTGTTAACCATTTCAATTAAAAAACAAAAAAGTTTTGGAGAAGACACTGATTGTTCCAAAATTGTACCTCTGGGCTATAGCAGGGCAGGGATAGAAAGCATGACTTCCCGCGCTTTGAATAGAAGTCTACACATAGATAAAGTATATGTGGCCAATAGCAGTTTTTATAACAAGAATATGATTGGGGGAGAGAGAGGGCCTTCAGAATGAATAATAGATGTGTGCTGTAGTTACTGTTGTATTTAAAGTATTTGAGAGGATTAGATATCCCTCAAGGTAAAGTAAGTTAAAAGCATTAAAAAAAAAAAAGATGCATTTTAGAAGCAGACAAGAGTTCAAATGGTAGCTAGATGTCCAAATGACCTGAGGCAATTCAGGGATCCTCTTCCCTCCGCCCCTCCCCCACCCCCACCCTCACTCACACCTCCACCCAGACGTCACCAGGCCGGAGTGCAGTGGCCCGATCTCAGCTCACTGCAACCTCTGCCTCCCGGGTTCAAGCAATTCTCCTGCCTCAGCCTCCCGAGTAACTGGGACTACAGGTGCCCGCCACGGCGCCCAGATAATTTTTTTGTATTTTTAGTAGAGACCGGGTTTCACCATATTGGCCAGGATGGTCTCCACCTCCTGACCTCGTGATCCGCCGGCCTAGGCTTCCCAAAGTGCTGGGATTACAAGCATGAGCCACCACGCCTGGCCAATTTAGGGATCCTCTTTAACCTCTGCTTCTTTGTATGTAAAGTGAAACATAATGCCACCAAAAGCTTATTAGTGAAAGGAGTAAAAAAAAAAAAAAAAAAAACTTGAGTGACACAAACCAATAACATTTTGAGTTCTCACACATTTGGAGGCAAATAGAAATTTTTATGAAGTTTGCTTTGCTTAATTAGCTAAATAATGACTCAAACCTATAGAACTATGCCGAATGCTTTTCATTATGCCAGAAGGAAAAAAATATCTGAAAAGCACTGACTTGTAAATTAAAAAATGACTTTTAGAGTTGACATCCGACCTTGTTTTCTGCCCACGGCTTATTGGACAGAACTAGTAACTTGGTCCCACTCAATTAAAAGTGGATCTGGAAATATAATTCCTCTTATTCCCAGATTTGGGACTACTGAATGGTGAGTAGAATAATGGTTTTAACACTCCACGTCTCTTTTCACCAAATACTTGGTTCTCACTTTACTCCACATAAAAAAAAGGCAAGTAGCTCTTTCCAATGGAGGCATCGTGGAATCCCCATCTGCTCCTGGCATCATGCATGATGTCATCCAAGATACATGTTGTGCTTCTTGATATCTCTGTCAGAATATTGTTTATATTAGCCTCTTTATCCTAAATACCTATGTAGTTTTTCTTGATTCAGACATTCATAAATTAAATAGATAAATTATGCAGCATGTCCAGGGAACTGTCTAATCTCAGCAAAGACCCCCATTCAGAAAGAAAGATCTGTGTGTCAATTCTGAAATCCACATGGATAGCTATTGTGAGGAGACGTTCAGTACATTTTTCTCTGTGCTGCTTCTTTCCGTTCTCTGGGTAACTCTCTCCCCTTCATTTTTCTACCAATTCTCAGGTAAAGACCCAGCAGAAATCATACCCTTTTTGGAAATTTAGCAGTTTTTTCTTAACTTGCTTCCCGCCCTTAGAAGATTGGGGATCTTGAAAAGTAGAGTTCTCATATTTCTGGTCTTGGTATTTCTGGTACTTTTGTATATTCTTGTCCTAAACATTCACAGATTTTTTTTTTCAGTCTAAGCCATAATTGTGTCTTTAAAACATAGTAGGCTTCCTAGCAATATGATTCAATCAGCCACAAGTACCGACAGCTTCATCCACATTTCGTTTCTATGCACACTTCTTACATTCGTGACAAATCTTTGCTTTTTTGACTCTGTCTGCCTTGCCCTCTTGTCTTAATTATTTGTATTTTAAGCATGTCAAGTTTCTCTGGAGACACCTATTTTTTATTTGTGTTTTCTGAGTCATTTTGTCCAATAGAGAGAATTTACTGGTAGTCAAACCGGAATTGAGTCTTTGATCTGAGACACCTAAATCAAGTCAGAACTCTTAAGAATGCATGCAGCAGGAACGCCCTTGACTTGATCCTTGCGGCAACAGTGAGTCTATTTGGCCTTTGTTGCTCAAAGGTCTTTTCTGTTTGATGCTTTTTATTTCTTGACTACAGATGAGAAGCAGTTACTTCTGCCAAACTTGAAAGTCTCAACATTTCTGGACTCCCTTATTTTGTTTTTATTATATTTATTTCCCCATATTAGCAGAGAATTCTTGCAGTTAACTTGACAAATGTAGTTAAGAGTAACTAATGCAATCAATTAGCTTTCTATTCAACTTCTTCTTCTCAACCTATAAGCTCAATTGGCTTAAAGTCAGTCATTGTCAATATATACCACTTATTATTTAAGTCAGATGCAGGCACCACATGCTTCCACTTCTATTCTGTTGGCCACTAGATTACTGATCACATTGGCAAAGGATAGAGGTTTATATTGGCAGAATCTAGTAAAAAATGACGTAAGTGCACAAAAAGGGAGACTATAAAAAGCTAAAGGCTATGTCTTATATCTATTTAAATAATTTAAAAGCAAAGACACTGTCAATAAAGCTTTAATTACATGATAGAAGACCAATGCTACAGATTTACTTCAAGGTATTATATAGTTGTGCCTCTGGAATGAGCCCAGGCTGGAATGTTTGGGTAGCTAAAATTTTCTTTGGCTACTGGTCCTGATTTTTCTTTACAGGATTTCTTCTTTGATGAACATTTCTTCTGGCATTCAGTTCTAGTCTGAAGGTCAATTATGACTTTTGTGTTATTCTCAGCCACATGAGCTGCTGCTGGAAATCTAATCATGTTTTATACTCTGTCAAAGTCTGTGGATATTTTAAAGTAATTGCTTAATATCACAAAAATAAAAGAAAAAGTTTGACCATATTGAAATTTACCCAGATTTTTCCTTTTTCCCCTTTAGGACATTAGCAGATGATATACATAATGGAAACATTAGAAAATAATTGAGAAAAACTTGATACAAATTTTAATCGCCTCAATTCCATGATAGAGTGATAACTGCTAGTATACATTTGGTGTGTCCTTCCAGCATAACCTCTATCAATATTATTAATGCACAAATGAGATTAAACTTTGGTGTTATTTGTTCTCTTTTTATTCACTTAGCGGTAGACCATAAACATGTTCCTCCATGGCCATTGCCAGTCAATTCCTGACCCTCTACCTGCAGCAGCAGCCACTCTTCTGATTTCGATCACCTAGAGAAATTCCCTGCACCAATAGCTAAAAATTATTTTAGACTTCAAGATAGCCTAGCCAATTCTCGTTCCTGAGGTAGGACAAAGTCAAATCTATAAATATAGCTTTAGTTTTCTCCTACCTAATTAAAACCTTACTAACATTAGAGTTAGGCACTTGATGAACATTCTTTGTGGACAAGTGGACCTGAGAGTCATTAATTGATATACACATGGCTTTGTATTTACTTTGATATTCCTGAAACCATCTACAATGTCACAGACAACATTATTTAAATTAAAGAATTTTAAAAATGACACTTTATATTCTTATCAAAGTGTATAAAAACATTCTGGCACATACTTAATCCATCTAAAGCAGGATATTTTCATATACATTGACATGGAGTAGCAGATAGTGGTTAGAGCATTCTCTATTCTAGTCATATTTCAAAGGAAAACTTAAATTGTATTTTCCTTGAATTGAGTATTAAAAAAGAACAAATGAGTTATCAGGATATTGATGTCATTCTCCTGTTGTAAAAAACTTCATTACTTTGAGTCTGTAATTTCAACCTCTCTGAATATCAGATGCCATATGACAAAAATGGAAAATAGGCCTCATTTATTCTTGTGATTATCCCAGCTCTACAAGCACTGTGTAATGTCTATTACCTACCAGAGTAGTTCTATAGCAATTCATTTTTTAAGAAAGTCTTTGAGGCCAGGCGTGGTGGCTCACGCCTGTAATACCAGCACTTTGGGAGGCGGAGGCGGGTGGATCACGAGGTCAAGAGATAGAGACCATCCTGGCTAACATGGTGAAACCCCGAATCCACTAAAAATACAAAAAAAATAGCCAGGCTGGTGGTGGGCGCCTGTAGTCCCAGCTCCTCAGGAGGCTGAGGCAGGAGAATGGTGTTAACCCGGGAGGCGGAGCTTGTAGTGAGCCGAGATCGCGCCACTGCACTCTAGCCTTGGCGACAGAGCAAGACTCCTTCTCGAAAAATGAAAAAAAAAGAAAGTCTTTGAGGACAAACTAGAGCTTTTAATTTTTCAAAACATTGTACTGGGTTTGATGAATAGACAGATGATAGATAGGTCTTAGTGTATGTTTGTGTGCTTATTTGGTAAAGATTGGTTATTGATTTACTAGCATATGTTTTGGTCTAATGGTCTAATAAAATGTTAATTTAATGATAATTTCTTTCTTATACTTTGAAGAAACATTTCAATGTGATAAATCATCATTAGTTTAATCTTGATATCATGTATAACTTATAGATATTCCAAAGGATATTTGTGCACATTAATGCCCATTTTTAAATGATGATTTAGATTGAATTAATCTCTTTTCACATAAAAGCAAGTGTCACAAATTTACTATCTTAAGATGTTTTCCTATTATTTTATTTATACTGCATTATGTTATTATAAAAGCAGAGAATAGATAATTTTTGCCTTTTCAATAAGTATTTCTTTTGTAAATTCACATAAAATTAATAAACTCTATCAAAAAAGAAACTACTACCTTACGTTTCTTAAAATGATTTTATAGTCTGGTCTCACTGAGCCAAGTAGCTAACAGGATACTGGGATAAAGACATTCACCCTGGGTTTAAGAGCACACTGTGTGTATCGTATCTCGCTTGGGTTTTTGGTCCTATCTTATGAGTTAAGGCATCTTAGGGAGAAATTAAAACCAAAATAGGTCAATTTAAAGGACTTATATGAGTCAAGAAAAATCTATGTAAGAAGCAGCAGGAATCTGCTGCATAACCAATGCTTTTAAATATCAAGAGCACTGACAACTAAAAAAAAAGAGCCTAGAAACATCCCCTGAGCCAGGACTATTGGCTTTTATGGTGCCTGTCTTGTGACACTCTATGTGTTCAAAATTGGAGAATTTTTAAATGTCAAGCTGGTATCTTGATTTATTAACTGATTTTGGTGTTTACTATTAATTTTCTTCCCATGATGAAATCTATTAATATAATTAAATCTACAATGTACCAGTTTTTCTGATCTGTATTACCTAAGCCTTTATTGTGGTTGCCCATACACCGTATTCTTAGAATTAAATCATTTCTAGCTTGAAATACATGCAGTGGCTTCTGTCTGACTGAAACGGACAACAAATAGTAAATGTTGGAGTCAGAATTAAAAATCCCAACAAAACGTCAATATTCATCTTTATTACACCAAATAGTACAAAGCCAGGAACTGATATGCAACCTCCTTAACTCTAGGTCCGATGATGTTTGTACTGGCCCACCTTACTATATAAAAAATTGGCAGTCTTTTTATACAGAATTCCTTTAGAGATGGTCATACTATGAAAATTCAGTTTTTGAGGATTTTACATTATTATTTTGAGAGAGGTTATTGTGATGTATATAGTTCTAGGCTTTAAAGTGTTGCTGCCTAATTCTTCACAGTAAAAATTGATCTATCACTTAATAAAATACTAATTTTCAATAAAATAATTACTTCAGTATTTCCTCAGTATTTAAATATTTTTTCAGCTGCTCACAGATGTCATTAATCACTTATAACTATGTTTGTCAACCAGAGTTTCCTTAGCAGAGCAGCAGAAAAGTTGAAAGTGAGAGAGAGAGATAGTAGCGTCAAGCATGGATGCATTTCATTAATCTGGACTGTCCCCTTTGGCCATGGTATCAGTATCATCGCTGCTCTCTCTATTGCTATCAATCACTTGCTCTCTGGAAGTCTTACCTGATCCTCACACTTTCTGCTTCTCCTTCTTACTATATATTTTCTTTCTTTTATCTCAACTTAAAAATGCCAGAGCACAGATCTATTGAGAATAAAATAATTCTCAGTACGGCTAGAGGAGATATTTCTTAGATAAAAACTATTGATATCTATTCAATACTATAGGCATTTAGAAATTTTTAAAGTAAACAATTATACCATTCCCACTTTTTATATAATCACCCATATATAGGTGAGGATCCAGAGCTGTTTGTAGAATATTGTATGAAACAAAACAAAGTATATCAATTATTTCCCCAAATACCCATTTCACATATACCTCCTTTGCTTACTTGTTAATTTCTACTATAGACTTTTTCAATTTTAACCAGATATATATGTATATATACACTGTAAATTTTTAAAAAGATACAAATAAACTGAATTACAAACAGTTTCTCCTCCATTTTTTTTCTCTATCCAGTTCATCTCCCCTCCAGTGCAATCGTTACTATTTATTTGTGTGGCCTTTCGATCTGTGCATATGTAATTATATTCGTGTAGAGTTATTTAGCATAAAGAGTAGCAAACTATATACAGAGGTTTGAAATTTTCTTCCTTTTGTTTTTTAAAACTCAGTCTGCATGTAGATTGCTTTTTTGGAATATGTTCTTTTAAGAAATAATTATGTTTACTTTCTAGTGGTTACCTTCACAATTATGATTTTGTATAATATTCTTAATAATTTATTTCTTCAATGCCTATTTCCCACTTTGAACCATGAAGAAATCTTCTCCATTCCCTACTTTTTCTCCCCATATTTTCATTCCCTCCCATCTTCTCTTCTCTTCTCTTCAAATTTCTGTATAATATACCTTTTCTACATTGTCAGATTTCCTAGTATTACATTTTGCAATATTACATATTGCCATAAATAATGGTATAATAAATGGTAACATTTATTATAACTTAACACCATACAAATAAATTTATATATTGCTTTACTATCTCTTAGTTAACAGAAACATCCTCTGATAGTTTCTTCAAAGGGACAAATACACTGTACACTTTCAGTTAATATTTCATATTATAAATGGCTTCCATGTTGACAACTGACTTGAGTATCAGCTTGCCTGAATATAGAATTTTGGAGTTATGCCTGATTTTCATGAAAAAGTTGTAGGCACTTTCCCACTATAGTGAAGGAGGTATGGAAAGACAGTCTGTTTTTGTTTTCCCCTACAGATGACTTCATATTTTCATCTAGATAATGAATGAAAATTATTTATTTGTCTTTGAAAGTTATTATCTACACTAGGATATCTACTTGACATATATTTTTTAACATTTTGTGTTAAGTTTTCATGGAATATCTTGTACTGTTAAATCTGTAGATTCAGGTTACTTTTATCCCTATTTTTCTAAAATTTTATCTTTTTTTCTTTTCCCTTATATTGCTTCTCTTTTTCAATAAAATCACTTACACATGTGTTGTCTCTCTCTTGCCTGTCTTCAATAAGCATTACTTTTCCTTAATGCTTTTTCCAGAAAACTTTATATTTAGAATCCTTTTTGATTTACAGAAAAGTCAAATGGCCACCAATGTGGCCAGGGATAGTTTCAATCTCATTTCAAACATATAAATTAAATATTTCACATTAAATCAGGTGCTGTCAGTAAAAGAAGGCAAAACTGAGACAAGGCAAGAGAAAATGTCAGACCATTTTGGTAGAAAAAGAAATTGTAACCATATAACAACCGGCTTTAAACAGGGTATGGAAGGAGAGAGTGTGGATGGTTCAGCATTTTCTCTTGATGTTGGGAGTGCTTAAAGCTGAATGAAATTTTGTTCAATAGATTTAAAAATTCTACATGTTTGTTTTAGCTGAAACTGGCATAGTTATCACTTTGCTGTCATCTGAATCTGCTGTCTTGTGTCATTTCCTGACAAATAACAATACTTGGTTGTTTTTGAATTTCCTAACTTAAAGCACATTGTGAGAAATTATGAAATAAATATTGAAACAAATAAATATATGAAGACCTTTATTGAATAAAACTCACAGTGCAAATTTAAAGAATAACTGTTTTTTTTTTTTTTTTCACCAAAACCAACAGCAGAGGAATAAGCAAAGGAATACGGAAATATCAAGTATGTAGTTGGCTGAAAATGGCCCCAAAATATATCACATTCTAATCCCTGGAACATGTAAACATTCCCTTATTTGAAAAGGGGGTCTTTGCAGATACCATTCATTTCGGGATCTTTAGGCGGAGAGATTATTCTGGATTATTTGGTTGTGCCCAAAATGCCATCACATGTACCTTTATAACAAGGAAGCAGGGAGAGTACACACGCTCAATGCAGAAGATAAGGTGATAAAAAGATAGGGACAAAGGTGATGTGGATGGAAGCCTGGGAATGTCATCAACCACAAAAGGCAAGGAAGAATGAACTAACTAAAGAAAAAAAGAAGAAAGGAAGGGAAGGGGAGGGGAGGGGAGGAGAGGGAAGTGGAGGGGAGGGGGAGCCTCCCGAGTTGGTTAGAGGCCAACACCTCGATTTAACGCAGTGATACTGATTTCGGACTTCTGCCCTCCAAAACTGTGAGAGAGTAAATTTCTCTTGGTTTGAGTCACTCTATGATAATTTATTACTTTTCCTACTATCATAGGAAAGTAATACAAAGTATCTGTTTATTAAAAAATAATCTTGGTAGTACTCATACATGTGAAAGATTTGGAAAATTCAGGTAAAATACAAGTTTCTTTCTTCTTTCAATATTGATTAAAAACAATATTATGTGTTTTCCTTTTAAATCATTGAAGATGCATAACTTGAATCAGTTTAAAGTGTACAAACTTCTTGCATGCAATCTCCACTGAATATATGTGTGTGTATGCACATATGTTCCAAATATGTATGTATATAATATATATAATCTTATAAAAATATGTATCTTATATATATGCTGATATAATGTGTGCCTATGGAAAGAATGTCTTGGTGTTTTTACTAATATTTTTCTTGTTGGCAGAATAGTAATGCGATCTCAGTTGAAAGCCACAGACTAATTGTACAAACTGTGAATATTGCCTTTTCTGAGTCTGTATCTGCAAAAGCAGCATGGAGTTAGCACCATCAACCTCATGGATTACCGTGGGAGTTTTACCAAATAGCAAAGTTAAAATGCATAGCACAGAGCAATACAGTGTTTGAAACATACGAAACACGCAACAAATACTAGAGTCATTTTCCCTTTTCCTGCAAACACACTTAATATATTCCAAAAAGAATTAATCTGGCAGTAGACCAGAATTGTGAAAATTGTTGTTATGAGAAGTAAGATTGCTTCAGTATCCATTTTCCTTATAAATGGCTAAGCTTGGATATTTTGGAGGTTGCATCTAATTTATCATTACTGTGAAGATGTCATGTAACACTGTATAGAAAACTGGCTTCTGTGAGTGCCAGGATGTTATAGTTTCCAATAAAATTACAAAATATTTACTGCATCAGACCAAAGACTGTGTCTGATTTCAATAGTAAGTAAATAAAGACCTGCTCTCAGAGCCTTAAATTATTGTCATCTCTACACAGGCATGTTATTCATTTCCAGACTAAAAGCCCCAACACCGCCCAGTTCCATTGACTGTGAATTTTCTTCTTATTGAATTTTACAATCCAAAGCAAATAACAGGGCTAAAAAGGAACAGTCATGAAATTATTAAAACTCAAGTAGAATTTATTTTAACAACATACATGAAAAGCTCCAAAGTTGAAGTATTAATCAAATTTATAAAATTAAATTAATCATACAGTAAATGTTTTTTAAGCAATATTTCCCTCGGGGGGAAAATTGAATTAATTATAAGGAAGTTTGCTAACAAATGTTTGCTACATGCATAATGTAAAAGCATGATGAGGATTCTATTTTCTACTCAAAATGATGCAATGCCAGTTTTACGGTTGTAAAAAGAGACAGTGCCACAAGTGAGCTCAGGGCTAAATCTGTCTTTGTTGAAACCAGCTCTTGATCTAAGGCTCTAGCTTTTTGTTACACAAAGGAGAAATCATGAACCAACTGTATAAACCACTATTAAAAATGACAATTCCATTTATGTATGGCATACAGACCCTTTCAAAGTAAAACCTGATGACTGAGCTAGTTAGAACAATAAACTGATAGCTTTTTCCTAAATGCAATCACACATTACTGCTCCCAGAATTGCAGATGCGGCATAATCGATACCATTATTTAGCAGTTCCCATAAGTCTGTGTTTTGCACCACATGCCATGAGATCCAAATAGATCAACTATTTAAATGCAAAAAATAATGGCACTAGAAAAAGTACTTGAAGAAAGCTTGATTGAATTTCTTTATATTTTGGAATGAGAAAGGCCATTCTCACTGTAAGTCAAAATTCAATACTTGTAAAAGAAAAGATTGATAAAATTACCTACATAAACAAACAAAAAGAAAACCTATTTGAGCAGTAATGGCAATAAACTGTGTCCCTACTCAATTATCTTCTTTAGCTGCCCATTTTCTGTAACATAAAATAAAAGAAAAATAATATCATTCAAAAATAACTAAACTCCAACTTGGTTATTTCTTATGATATTTGGACTAAACTTTAGTTTTGGTGACCCATTTTCAATTTTTATTCTGCTGTGGATAGCATGGTCATCAATCTGCTGTATGTGTATGTATTTCTGTGTTTACTTTAATCCATTTTTTAGAAAATAATTTTATTTTCTGAGTATGACGGAGAAAGATATTTATTCATTCTTTCTGAATTCCCAGCTCACTCTTCTGTGTGCTTCTTAGTAACACTGGGCCTGAGACACTATACTCTAAATTTCATTTCCCAAAGTCTCTTACCAGATGGTTTTCTTTTCATTTGTATCAATGGAATGAGGGGCAGGAGACGGGGGAGCATGGAGAGGGGCCCTTGAGGGAGACAGCAAAGAGGGAGGAAGTAAAAAAAGAATTTTCTTCCAGTTTTCTAACTTTGCCTGCATTCTTCTAGCAGCAAAAGGCAGTTAGGGTCCAACCCAGTATCTGCCAGCACTCCTAGAACCAGCCATCTGCACTGTGTCAGGGATGTCAGCACCAGCTGCACAGTGACCACACCCCCAACACACCACACACACACACACACACACACACAAAAACACATCTACACAAGAGGTCCAAGCACTTACTATGAAGCGGGAGCCTCAGGAGACCCCTTTCCAGACCTTCAGAGACCAAATGACAATTGTTCAGCCACTGGCTCTAAGCACATAGGTTTTGTGACAGCATATCGTCCCTTAGGTTCCCCAGCATATGGAATAGTAGCTTTTTAAAAGCTATACACATTAGTTCCTATATTTAATTATCGCTGGTGCAATACCAACCACTGCTTCTGGGTTTTTGATTCTTTCTTTCAAAGCCTGTAAGTGGTACCATGATTAGTCCCAGGAATCATATCCTTAAATACAGATTTCTGAAATTAGTTTTGATGATGAATACAGTTAACAGAAAAAGATGATTTTTAGCATGCAGTGGTATCAAAATTACTTAAATTAACACTCGTCAGTCTTTTAGGTTGATATGATTTGGCTGTGTCCCCACCCAAATCACATCTTGAATTGTAATTTGAATTGTAATGCCCATAATGTGTTGAGGGAGGGATGTTGTGGGAGGTGAATAAATCATGGAGTTAGTCCCCCATGCTGTTCTTGTGATAGTAAGTGAGTTCCCACAAGATTCGATGATTTTATAAGGGGCTTCCCCCACTTCGCTATGCATTTCTCTCTCCTGGTGCCATATGAATAAGGATGCGTTTGCTTCTCCTTCTGCCATGATTGTAAGTTTCCTGAGGCCTCCCCAGCCATGCAGAACTGTGAGTCAATTAAACCTCTTTCCTTTATACATTTTCCCAGTTTCACGTATTTCTTCACAGCAGTATGAGAATGGACTAATACATAGGTTATACTATCTAAGATCAGGCAGTTGTTGGCCATTATTGTATTAATACTGACATAAAGAACTGAGGGTGGGAAGCTGGTTTCTGATTATTCCAAGAAGCTTATAGAAATAAACATAAAAGATCAGTGCCTTAAAGTTTTCTTACCAATCACAGATAATTAGAGAGGTACTATTGTGGTCCCAAAATAATCACTTACATCTTATAACGACTGAGGAGATAACAATGAAAATTATACCCCAAATTTAATTATGCTGGTTGAAAATAATTATACAAGTTGAATTCTTACTTTTTAAAGTCACTTCTATGGAATTGTCACTTATTTGGGAGTAAAATGAGAAGGGATGAATTTTGACACTTGTTTGTAATTGAAACCCTTAAATATTAAAATTTCCTTTAGATTGTTTTACCTGTGGAAGCATCATCTCCAGCAGTGGGTAAGGAGACTAATTTTATCTTACTTCATAACTGTAGGCTGTTGCCTTGCATGGGGATGTCATTTCCCCTCAAGACACAAGTTCACCACAGCTTATTGTTCAAGACTTATGATTATAATCATATTTTAGCATGCTTCAGAGATAAGATAAAAATCAGACCCAGAAGATTAGTTTATATTTCAAAATACGGGCAAGATTTGCTAATTTATAAAGGCAACAAAACTGAAAAATATATGTGGGGACTAGGGATACAAGAGAATTAAATCAAGAAAGCCAAAACATATCAATACACTGGGGCAGTATATTAAGTGGAGACACTTTGGTTTCTTGACTGAATATATTAGTTTAAACATGAGGAGTAATTCTACTATTTATTTGGTTGGTTGACTGAAACCTAGCCTTGACAATGTCAAATATTCAATGAGGTTGAGATGATTTGCAGGTTGAGTTCTCTGGAAACAGCAGCCGAAATGAAGTTTTAGTGCAAAGCATTTGTTAATGATCAATGTCTTTGAAAAAGTAGGAGGAGAAACCGGGACCATATAAAGGGAAGAGCTGAAATACAATGCCACCCTAAATAAAAAATCAGTCAAGTTAGTGATGGAGAGCTCAGAAGCAGGGATTTCCATTCTAAATTTTCATGCATTAGACCTAAATAGCTATAGCTTTATAATCCCTCCTCAGTTAGCTGTAGAACATTGGCTGCCTCAGGCAAAACATGACCTTGGGCAAAGCTGTCCCTGACGCAAAGGTAGGTCCTGAAGAAGCTGACAACTGGAGATTTTCTACTGACCACACTTTCTTTAAATAGGCAGCTATTCCTTCTTTGAAGGGGAATCTAGATAGAACATCTGTCTACCACACGATGTCAGAATGTCCTTGACATGATCTGCAGGAAGAAATCTGATGTCTTGGCAAGGTGAAAAGGCTGAGAGGGATTCTTCATGTGTGGTGTCAATATCACCGCGTATTTTCTGAGGACGCAGAGAACACTGGCCTGAAAGACACTAGTCCCATCAACTCTTCAAACAATGGTACATTCAGGGCCTCCCTCATTCTAGTAGTCTATTCAGATGTTTCTATTTGGTTTTATGACTTTTTAAGAACTGGCAACTTAATCTGAAAGCAGTTTTTCACATTATCTCTTTAAATAACAACCACAAGTATTCATCTTTGCCCAAACACAACATTTTATACTATGCTTTTGTTTCTGATGTTGTTTACTGAGATAAAATTCCCTCTGTCTTGTCTGAAATAAAATTCATAGTCACTCTTCAAACTGTTTTTTAACATATTTTGTTTCTTTAAAGCTTTTTAAAATTACTTTTGACAGAATAGATCAGTCCATACCATAGCCTGTAAAACCAACAGATTATATTACTACATTTTGTTTACATATTAAATCTTCTACCACATTAGTTTAATATCCTTGAGAGCATGGACTAAATCTTAGTTATCTTTTTAATTCAGTATTTGAATTATACTGAATTCCCTCACTAATGTTTGCTGAAAAAAAAAAAACATTATGGCAAATGGTTAAGTAATGATACAATTAACTAAAATTAAGAAGTGAAGAAGAGAAGCCTTGTAAAGGACATGGGAAAATGATAACTTGCTCAATTTAAGAGAACTTGAGTTTGAAGGGTCTAAGACAGACCCAGACATAGAGAGATATGTTGATAGGATAATGAATGAAACAATACCTGAATGAATAAATTAATGAATGTGAAATATCCCAATGGAAAGTTGTTAGCCAGCAAAAGCTAGTCCCTTAGTAAAGGAGATCACTTAACAAAGTAATCACATTATTTCGTGACTGACATCACTGTACTTAAGAGAATGGGACTCTGTAGCTTCTTCAAAAGTCTCAGGATCACTTCGTGAATGAAGACTCTCACAATTATTTTCTTAAGCAGTATTATTAAGAAATAATTGATATTCAATAAACCACACATATTTAACATGTATTTAAAGTATACGATTTGACAAATGTTCACATATGCTTACACAATAAAAACCATCACTGCAATCATGAGAAAGTATATATCCAAAAGTTTACCAATGCCCCTGGTAATTCCTCCCTCACACTCTTTTTTACTCCACATCTCCAAAACGCAATTGACCTGTTTTCAGTAACTGCATATTACTGTTTACTTTCCTGAGACTTATAGAATGAATTGATATGGTATGTACTCTTGTATTTTGGTCTGGCGTATTTTACACAGCATAAATATTTTGTGCTTTATCCATCTCAATACATGCGTCAATAATTTATTCATTTAATTGATAAATAGCATCCCATTGTATCGATATAACATAATCATTTATCCATTGGTAAACATTTGGATGTTATTTGGACAATTTGGGTATCTTGGTTATCACTTGAATAGTTATCACTTGGATGTCCATTGAATAAACAATGTATAAATTGGTTATTCATTATCTGGTGATAAACATTTGTGCCATTTCCTTTTTTTTTTTTTCACTTTTTTAGCTTTTACAAAAAAAATTTTGGCTATTGTAAATAAAGCTGAACATTTGGTATAAGTCCTTAAAAGGACATATATTTCCTTTTTCTCTTTCATAAATACCAAGGAGTAGAATTGTTGGGTCAGATGATAGGGCTATATTTAATTTTTTAAGAAGCTGAAGAACATTTTCCAAGAGATTTTACCATTTTACATTTCTATCAACAGTTTATGAAAGTCACAGGGTACACTTTGTCCAAAACTCTTAGAAAATTATATGAATGAAGATCCACGTTAATGTTATATATCCAGTATTGCAGATGTTTTTTCTATTTATCATAATTTTTCTGTTCCTGTCTAAAGCCATTTATGTTTTAATTCCCTTTAAACTTTTCAGCGTTGTTCAGTTATGGTTTACTTTTCTTAGCATTTCCTTGTTTCTATTAAGAGCCATTTTCCCTGTCTTCTATATTACAGATTGGTTCTTTTAAAGTACTTTCCCTTTCTAAGACATGGAAAGCAGTAAGCATGAGCTGAACTTAATGCTTAATCTGACACTTCATGTTTCCAGACAGTTAATCAGGGAATCTTTGAAACAGATTGAATCTCTAAATCTTTTTATTAAAGATGGGACTTTGTTTTTTGTGGCTCCTTAGAGTAACTTCCTTGGATGTCTGCCTGTTTCGTGCCAGTCTTCTTATGTGGCTTTCTTCATGTGTTCTTATTTTTTCTCCGGTACTTCGTTCTACAAAATTTCTTATTGACAGTCATAATTAATCACAAATAAATTTACATTAACAACTAATGACATCTACCAACTGAGAAGCAGCTAGGAATTTAAAAGCTTTACTTACATCCCTACCTTTTTTTTTTTTTTTGGCTAAAATCCTAAATTAACTCTTCTGCCAATAATTCACATTACTATGACATTCTACATTACCATAAATAGTTTAGTTCAGTGAAGTATTTAATGATGAAACACCACACTTTCCTATTCCCTCACTTCAATAAGCTAGCTGTGATTATATCTCCTCTTTAATTTCCTTTTTAGGCTGTATACTGTTTTTTTGTAAATAGCTCTTCTCATATTATTGGTATTATGTCTTTACATGTTTGTTTTCCGTTATTGTGGTGATTATTTTAAAGACAGATCAAGTACTATGAGTCCTTTTATCTTTATACGAGGTACTCAGTTCACATATAATTTTTTCAGATGTCACATTTATATGATTTCTGCTTTCCTGGTTTCAGAACTTATAAGAGCTAGGCATCTAACAGGAAATATTTAAAAATTTATAGATAGATAAATCAATAACAATTTTTTTAGAAATATTAAACAATATCTTTATTGATTCTGAACTAACCTGCCCTCTTATGCCGAACTGACCTTTTTAAAATGATTATTGACAGAGAACATAACCAGGCCATTCTTTTTGTTTTTTATTAGCTAAAAAGGTTTATGATCTCTAGTATTATATGATGATAAATGACAGTCACAAGTTTGTGTTACCATTTATGTATTTCCGGTCTGCATTGCAACATTAAGACACAATAATCTCAAAAATTGGTATTATTTTTTATTATTTCATAATTATAGAAATGTTACACATGCCTCGTACTGTTTTATCTGTACCAGCCTTGTTGGTAGATAAGGGAGGTTGAAAGAGCTACCTACATTTATAACCATTCAGGCTAAGACTTATTCAAAATTTGCCAGAGAGAGAGACACATCCATTAATCATGAAAATCAACAGGGAGGCTATAAAAGTAAGAACATATCTGTGAACAGTAAAAATGCTAAATAATGGAATGGCAGTTAGGTCCTTTTACCTCCCCAGACAATTAAAACCCACTTGTGAAAGCCAAAGCCATCATGGTAGGGTAGAGCAGAGCTTTTAAATATTCAGAGTGGATGTTATACCGGAGCATTCAGAATTGAAGAGACGGATTTGAATGGTAATGCTAATTCTGTTAGTCATGGGCTTAAGAGAGGCAGCACAATGTCATGGAACATAGAAAGGTATTCTTTTCTAGTATGCCTTCACCCTGCTCCAATACATTCTATCATAATAGATGCATTTGATCTAAAATTTCCTCTTTTATATTGCCTTTGTTCCCAAGAGAGTTTATTCTCATTGTTGTCTTCCATTAAGACTGGTTTCATCAGAAAATTGGAAGGCCACTTATGTTAAGGGACTTTGGGAGGATAAACAGATTAGAATGAGACTAGGATAATTGTAATGAATACCCAAGATTCAAAGGAGAAAGAGAGAGACCTACAAGTGGGAGCAAAAAATAGTCAAACTGCACTTACATTATTAAGAAATTGACATAAGACTAACCATAACTTAACCAGATATGAACTTTGCTCTCTAACCCATAAGGCTAACCCAGTCAATTAGCCTATCTTTACCTTTTTTGACTGTATTTTGACTGCAAATTGGTCTCAACAACTGAAAGATAACAGGAGGAGTTTGTATAGCAGAAGAAAATAGGTAAGGCTCTCTTCTTCTGTGTCTTCCCTGCTTCACTTTTTGGATTATGGCAAATGCTACACCCCTGCAGGAATACAGCCTCTGCTAGTGTACCCATTTCAAGGATTCCAACTCTTTTGGAGCTCTAATAACATTATGTCTTCTCTTTGCACTATCAGACTGAGAGTGGCAACTGTTTTCCTGTTGTCACTACTTGAGTGCTTCAACATAAGTTGTTTTTTTGTTTTTTTTTTCCAGAGAGTCTTAATCTGTCACCCAGGTTGGAGTACCATGGTGCAATCTCGGCTCACTGCAACCTCTGCCTCCTGGGTTCAAGAGATTCTCCTGCCTCAGCCTCCCAAGTAGCTGGGATTACAGGCACCCGCCACCACGCCCAGCTAATATTTGTATTTTTTAGTAGAGATGGGGTTTCACCATGTTGGCCAGGCTGGCCTTGAACTCCTGACCTCAAGTGATCCACCTGCCTCAGCCTCCCAAAGTGCTGAGATTACAGGTGTGAGTCTCTGTGCCCAGCCACTTCAGCATCTCTTACTGGTTCCCTTTGGTTCTCTTTGGTTCTCTTTTTGGTTTCCTTCTTTGTGCTCATATCTCTATTGAGAGTCACATTATCAAAACCTTAGATCCTCCATCTGACTACAAAACATTAGCCTCTTCTGTCATTTCTTATTAATATCTTATGTCTGCCAAGTGTCTTTTTTCAACTATCCCGCATGCTGTATTTTCTAGAAAGCTTATAAGTCCCTTTGAACTACAACTTTTTTTAACTCATTTTTTTCTTCAACCATCCCCATCCACTTCCTGTCTCATTTTTACTCTCTCTTCTTCTAATCTCTTATTCTTTATTACTATAGGTCATATATTATTCATTTTATCATAACTCCATGACTCTTTGTCTTACCTGTCTGTGTGACAAATATACTATTTTCTGTTTAAATGTTACGGTAAGTAGTCAGACATGAACAGGGAAGGAGAGTCCCTTGCCCTCAGAAATGCCAGGCAACTGTCAAGTTACGGTCAGGTGGTTGCTTAATTGTCTCAGTAAAGTAATAATTGGTCACAGTCAACACCAGGGAAAGGCAGTCTCCCCATAGATAGAAAACACCTGAGGCCGGGCGTGGTGGCTCATACCTGAAATCCCAGCATTTTGGGAGGCCGAAGCAGGCGGATCACCTGAGGTCGGGAGTTCGAGACCAGCCTGACCTACATGGAGAAACCCCATCTCTACTAAAAATACAAAATTAGCTGGGTGTGATGGCATATGCCTGTAATCCCAGCTACTTGGGAGGCTGAGGCAGGAGAATCGCTTGAATCTGGGAGGAGAAGTTTGCCGTGAGGCGAGATCACGCCATTGCACTCCAGCCTGAGCAACAAGAGAGAAACTGTGTCTCAAAAAAAAAAAAAAAAAAAAAACCTGAGGCTGGTCATCAGCAGCTTCCCGTTAAGGTCTCAGGACTTGGGCAAGTAGGCTCAAGCATGCACAGAAAGAGGTAAAATGGTGGAGTTTAACTGGTACATGACCTGCAAGGAACACTTGACTGGTAAGGGAAGAATGTCTCAAGTGAGCACGCATACAACTTCAGTAAACACATTGTGCTTGTGCCCCCTCCAAGTGCTGGCAGGCCCCTGCATATGTGGACAGCCTACCCCAAGGGAAGAATCATGGGAGAAGTAACACAAGACCCTGGAAGCATGCCAACATATAAAACCCCAAGTCAAAAATCAAAGCATGCACTTGATCTCTCAAGTTATCTCCCTGGCCCTTTCCCAAGCATACTTTACTTCCTTTCATTCCTGCTCTAAAGCTTTTTTTTTTTTTTTTCTGAGACGGAGTCTTGCTCTGTCACCAGGCTGGAGTCCAATGGCGTGATCTCAGCTAACTGCAACCTCTGCCTCCTGGGTTCAAACGATTCTCCTGTCTCAGTCTCCCGAGTAACAGGGACTACAGGTGCACACCACCATGCCCAGCTAATTTTTGTATTTTTAGTAGAGACAGGGTTTCACCATGTTGGCCAGGATGGTCTCGACCTCTTGACTTCAGGTGATCCGCCCACCTCGGCCTCCCAAAGTGCTGGGATTGCAGGCGTGAGCCACCGTGCCCGGCCTATAAAGCTTTTTAATAAACTTCCACTCCTGTTCTAAATGTTGCCTTGGTTTCTCCTTCTGCCTTATGCCTCTTGGTTGAATTCTTTCTATTAAGGAGGCAAGAACTGAGGTTGCAGGAGATTCATACAGATTTAATGCTTCGAACATATTTTGATGCCATATGATTCAGATACATTTCCTGGTTGTAAGATATGTGTACACCTTGCCTTCTTTGGCTGGTAGCATTCAACCCCCGTATGTGTTTTTTTTTTTTTTTTAACTTTTCACTTTCCTGCTTACTAAACAACCCCCAGAACAATTCCTCTTGGCCACAGTGGCTCTGCTTTTCCCGGCTTATCTCTCAGTTTCACCCTGATTGGTGGCTCACAGGGATGAGAAGGATGTTGGAGTCTGCACCGAGTAGACTTGAGATGCCAATGGTCATTTTGGACAAAAGGGTCATGAGAGTGGTAGGGCTAAAGCCAGAGACTGTGCAATGTCTGGAGTTTCCTCTGCTTTTTCCACTAAAATAGACTCTTTTACAAAAACCCACACCACCTATTCTCCTGTTTTTTCTCTGTGTATTCTGAAATGGCCTTGCACACCTGCAGGACCTCTGCTTAGGAGGCAACCTGTCTTTTCTCTAACTTTGCTTTGCATGCCACATGACTTCCTTCTCTGCTGTTGGCTCCTTGCCAGGACAGACACTAATTGGAACCTTGGCTCTACCAGCTCCTTATGACTTACCATGTGCTTTCCATTCCTGTTATGCCCCAGGGCCATGTTTTCCAGTGGATTTTGAACCAATTTTTTTGCCTGCATAAGACCTCACCCTGTGGTCCTTTAACAACCCCATCTCCTTTTTTTTATTTATTTATTTTTTTAGTTAATACTACTTTGTGAGGAGAGGACATTCTGCCTTTGCCATTTGAGCCCTTATCCATGCCCCAAAATCCTCCAGAAGTTTCTCTTTTATGTCAAGAGGGCCAATAAACATTGCCTTCCAGAATCCAAGGGCTGCTGTTTTTGTGAGCATATAAAGGCTTTCCATGAGTATTCCTCTCACTTCCTCCTGCTTCCTCCTGTAGCCTCCATTTCTGTAATTACTTCCACACCCTTCTCAATATGCATCAAGACCTTCAAAGTCATATTTGAAGGGAGCGAAGTCCTGTTCCCTTGCAGCAATTTGCTGAGAAATAGGCTTTCCATCTTAAAGAACATGGGAAATTGGAATGTGAGAAGAGAAGTAATCATTTTTTTGCTAGAATTCTCCAAGTGAGAGTCACTATAATGTCATGGAGACAAGGCTATAGGACAGCCCAAGACTGCAGGTTCAGGAAACCATAGGACAGAGCTGAAGGCTTGTTCTAGGCTAACAAATTACCATTACAACAGAGACAAAGGCAAGGTTAGGTGTACCCAATAAGACCGATTCATTCCAGATACCCCAAGGATAAACAAGCAGATCCCTGTTGATTCCAGGATCTCCTCGATTCTCAAATGGATAATTGTGATGAGATGAGACCAAGGTTAAGGGTATATGATAAGACCAGTTCATGCTGGAACTCTAAGGATGAATGGAGGATGAATGGGGGAATACCTTGTTCAGACTAATAATAGGACAGTAAGAGGTGACACCTTCTTTTCCTTTTTCCTTTTTTTTTTCTTCTCTGTTCTTTTTTTGCAGATAGGTAATTGTGTCTCCATAACACAAGACACACCCCTCAGATGCATCCTCAAGGGAAATGTCTGGTATCTCCAAACCTTAAAACAAAAAATTAGGTTTCCTTTGGAATACTGTTTGGCCCAGAAATGAACTGGGAGAAAATTATAAAACTCAGCCTTAAAAACTATGCAGCCATAAAAAAGGATGAGTTCATGTCATTTGTAGTGACATGGATGAAGCTGGAAACCATCATTTTGAGCAAACTATCACAAGGACAGAAAACCAAACACCACATGTTTTCACTCATAGGTGGGAATTGAACAATGAGAACACTTGGACACAGGGTGGGGAACATCACACACCGGGGCCTGTCGTGGAGTGGGGCTGGGGGGAGGGATAGCATTAGGAGATATACCTAATGTAAATGATAAGTTAATGGGTACAGCACAACATGGCACATGTATACATGTGTACATGCAGTAACAAACCTGCACGTTGTGCACATGTACCCTACAACTTAAAGTAAAATAATAAAAAAAAAATACTCAGCCTTAAAACCCAGTGACCTTACACAGGAAATACTCAAATTAGCCTCCTCATTCTTTTATAGCTGAGATCAGGACAAGGAGGATAAGGCTAAGGAAAAGGAAACATGCAAGGAGAAGAGGCAGGCCCAACTATTGGCTGCTCTGCAAGCTCTCTGGCCTCCTCCAGGTTGTCTTAAGGGCACTCCTCAGGTCACTGCCACTGCTGTGAGAATCCAGGCCACTGGAATGCAAACTGCTACAGTAGGATAAATGTGGAAAAGCCCCACATATCTTGCCCCCTCTGCCACAAGCTTGGCCACTGGAAACTCGACTGTCCTGAGGGCCAAAGGGTCTCTGGACAGAAACTTAATTCCTGATGGCCTTGAGCTACGGGGCTCTCTGCTCGATTAGCTCCCAAATCAGACATCATCATCAACAAGAGAAAGACAAGGGCAACTCTGTAGGTGGCAAGTAAAATTATAAATCTGCCTTGTGGGTTCAAGAGCTATCTACTCTGTGCTAACCTTCTCTAAGCAACCCTCCTCCAAATCCTGTTGGGTCATAGGAGAAAATGGCATCCGCCCTCTCTCCAAAATAAAAGATTCATACTCCTTTGGAGAAAACCATACTTTCAAAATAGGTCCCTGCTTAATATTTGCCCAATCTCTGAATTCATCCTTTTCTCTAACAGCCCTATTTCTCCCAAACAGCTATGTGAATCCTTAACCAAAAACTTAAACCCAGACAGTCCTACCTCATGATTTTAGAAATATCCCACACTTACTTGACATGCCCTAGCAAAAATCTAATAAATTATTTATTTATTTGTAGGGGAATTAATAAAAGAAGTGTTATACAATGTTAAACATTATTGGGTCTACTAAATGTCTTAAGGTCATACACAACTACTATGACTCTTAACTGTACAACTTGCCAGCTTTAAAGCCATTAAAATCTAGGTTAGGCCTGGGGACATACAGAGTTATCCATGCCTCCTAGCTATGCTGGTAAGAGTCAAACCTTAACTGCACTTCTGTCTAGTATCCTAGGCTTCAAACCTAGTACATAAAGATAATTGCTTACTTACCAGGTTTTTCACCAAAATATAAGTTGCTGAGTTAACAGTGTAACATGTACTTGAGACTACTGCAAAAACGGTTTTACATCCAAGGCATATAAGGAAAGTAGAATGTACTTTTGTTAAAAAAGCACAAGAAGGCTTGGGAATGTGGAATTTTGCCTACTTTAAGAGGATACAGGATTATTTTAGGTTGCATAGGATAAAGCTGAAAGTTTAAGCAAGTTATGGAAAGTTTGTGAAATATTAATGTTGTTAAAGATTCTGTATATGAATACATTGGCTAAAATTAAAGGGGTGACATTCAGTTTATCCATAAATTGAACATTGGGATAAATGCACAACACAGTTTTCTTAGAGCATTGTTCTACTCTATAACAGAAAATTGTAAAGGACTATGAAAGGTTTATAAAAATCTTACCTTATGGTCAAACTGATTAAGGCTGGCTAGATTTATCTACAAGGTTTTATTACTAACTGTGTTTGACATCAATAGTACACTAATGCAAAGGTATAATCTGGCTTTCTTTGAGTTTTATTTGTATAAATGTGTTATTGGTTTGTGTTCCAAAATTATGCAAAAGTCCTATAATTCTTACATGACTTAGTATATGTCACCGATAATAATTATAATTTTTATGTTAAATTATTGTGTGCCACAGAGCTAACACATTTTCCTACCTATTGTGTCTTTGGCTGCCCTAAGGCTTTCGGTCTTCCACAGATAATTGTTGTTTTGTTTTAATCCTCTTTAAAAGGTAGTTTTGTAATCAGTCATAGGGTTAAATGTAGTTTCTGATAACTTTGATGATTGTGACATTAGAACAAAAGAAAAAAACTTTCAGGGCTCTCATGTAGATCTGGAAATGTTTATAAATATCAAGCACAACAGAAGTTAACTACGTGGACTGAACTCACAGAAGACTTAAAATATTTCTTGTATGTCTTTTTGCTTAAAATGTTGCTAATTCTTTGTTTCTCAAAGCCAAGAAAACATTTTCTAAGCTATATACAGTTTTTAACAATTGAGTAAAGCATACTCCTATAAACAAAATTTGGAGTATATTTCTCTCTAGTAGATTTCTTCAGAATTTGGAGCGATTCAGGAGTATTCTTAACTTATGGCAATGTAGTTATTTATATAAATACCATATTAATCTTTTTTTTTTTTGGTTAACAGGACAAAGTTGGAGAAACTGGAGCTTTGACTGGAATGGCATGTTTTCAGCTACAAACAGATTCCTTTAAGGAATCAAAGTTGACTTATAGAGTCAATAAAAGACCCTTAGGAAAACTAGCCTTATACTTTGTCTACACAGTTCCTATACAGGGTTTCTGACTTGTGGTAAATAAATAATGACACTTTCAGAACAGGTTCCTGAGTCCCAAGTTATCTTGGGACCTCAATGAAGAGGAATTTTTCTAACTTGTACAGCTATTTGATGGCACAAACCCATGGCTGGGCTTAAGGCTTTAAAAGGTCTTATTTGGGATTCCTTGTGAAGCAAAGTTCCATAAAAGCCAATTTACAAGAGGCAAATAATTATTGTTGCTATGCTTCGTACAAATAATCAGGCCAAGTGTAATAAGGCTACAGCTTATTTTGCAAGCAAATCAGTCTTATCATGATTTGTTGTTAATAAAAATGAGGACTGGAGAGAGAGAAATTATTTTAAGAACTGTGGTACACCTGTTATTAAGTGCTAGACTCATTAATTATTTTTTAGTTTTTGTCTGCAATTTAGACTAATCTTGATTATTTCTTTGAACCAAGCAGTGATCTTTGACTGCACCTCAAAAGAAACAAGAGAGTAATGCAGTGTAATGTAGAAAATTTGAATCAATATTTTAATTCTGGGCACATATTGAAATTGGCTGGCAACCCCATGAACTCAAGTTTTAGCAGGCATAACTATAGCCACCAGCTACCTGGGTATGTCAGCAGTCTTAGAAATTTTTGAAACTGTCTTCACCCTGCTATTTTGTTTTGGCATCTCTACTTTTCCTTTTTGGTCGATGTCTTCTAAATCTAATAACACAATTTATCTCCTCTTGCCTTCAGGCCATCAATCTCCAGATGATCCTCAGTGAGAGATACTATCCTCTCAATATTCACTTTTCTACAGGGGACCCCTATGCTGCCCATTAGTCAGACACAACAGAGGCAAATCCTTCCCTTTTCTCCTTTAGAGCTGTCTAAATACCACTTTCTCCAATGCATGGAGCCACCCTACTCTCACAGTTAGCAAGAGGCCAAGACCCATAGAACAACCATCACATCCCCTCTGTCAGCAGGAAGCAGTTACAGAAGACTGACCTTTGACCATTTTCCCCAAAGAATTGGGGTCTTGGATTCTTGAGCGTGAAAAATGTTAGAGTAGGTAGTTAGTCAGACATGAACAGGGCAGGAGACCCCTCCAAACTGCCACCAAGAATGTCAGGTGACCATCAGGGGATGGTCAGGCAATTATTACACTCTCTTTCTAAAATAATAATTGGTTGCAGTTGGTGCCACAGAAAGGCAGTTTCCCAATAGATAGAAATACCTGAAACTGGTGATCAGCAGCTTCCGGATAAGATCTCAGGAGTTGGCCAGTGGGCTAGAGCATATGCACTAAGAGGCAAAATGCCAGAGTTTGACTGGTAAACTACCTTCTAGGGAGATTCAACTGGTAAGGTAAGAACACGTCAAGTGAGCATGCATATAACTCCAGTAAATGCACTGTGCACACGGCCCCTCCCAAGTGCTGGCAGACCACTGCTCATATGGACAGTCCACCCCAAGGAAAGAATCAGGGGAGAAGTGATTCAAGACCCTGGAAGCATGCCAACATAAAAAACTCCAAGTCAAACATCAAACCATGCACTTGATCTCTCAAGTTGTCCAGTTGGCCCTCTTCCAAATGTACATCACTTCCTATTGTTCCTGCTCTAAAGCTTTTTAATAAACGTTCACTCCTGCTTTAAAACTTGCCTCAGTCTCTTACTCTGTTTTGTGCCCCTCAGTCAAATTCTTTCATGTGAGTAGGCAAGAACTGAAGTTGCTGCATACCTGTATGGATTTGCTGCTACTAACATACGGACAAACTGTTGTGGAAGCAGCATTCAGAAGACACACTCTCAAAAGCTGACTTGGCCTTTTTCTGACTCCATTACTTCAATAAATTGATTAACCTCATGAAACTGTTCTGTTTTCTGTATCAAGGCTGTACTAAAAACAGTGCTGCTTGCCTCACAGGCTTGCTTTGAAGACCAACTAATGTAATGTAAATAAAAATGCCTTGAAAACTTCAAGGTGATATCTGAGCATATGTATTATTATTTTATTTGATCATTTAGGATTCTAAAATAAACCACTTTAGCATCATTTGTAATATATTATAACTATAAATGTTGGAAAATGGTGGCTGGAAAGTTATAATAACATTTTATACATAATTATTTGAAATATAAATAGAGGAACATTTTCTTTTACAAAGAAGGAACACAGACAGGTTGCTGAAATTATGAAGTTTCTTAAATACTCTGATTCCATTGGGATATAATAAATAGAAAATAATTTTAAAAGAATGAAATAAAATCTGATGTGTATATTAACCCCTACACTCATCTCTACCTAAATTTTATCACATTGCATTTCATGTCTGGTCCGCTTCTGACTGAACTGTGTATATTTTTATACTTTTCTTTCTTCAATATTTTAACCAGTTGTCAGTGATGAAGCAGACCAACTTTTAGCAACTTTTGTCAAGAAAAATGCTAACGCTGTTTGCCAAAATGGTCTAGATTTATTTGTAATAATATATGTATCTTCCCCTCATTTCTTTGGAATAAGTCACGTTAGTTTACATTTTTTAACTTCTATTTCAGTATGTGGATTATGAGACAATAAGAAAAGAAGACATCTTGCTTTTTCCTGAATGCACAAGTCTGCCATGTGGAAATATCCTTCAAGGAAATATGACAAGGACTCTATTTTGTTTTATATATATAACTTTATTTATAATATAATTCCACAGAACCCTCTGGTAGAAAAACAATGTCCTCTGAACTTCAACTCAGTATACTTCTACTGATAATCAGATTGCACATTGACATGACCTTGTAATTCCCATTTACTAAGCCATTTCTATTTGAAACAAGAAATGATTTTGCCCTCTTTCTTATCTGAGGTAGTATTAAATAGAGTTTCCCTCAACACGCCCAGTCACTCAATCTCCTTGTTTCAAAATGCAGTATACATAATCAAGTTGAAAACATGTTTACTACAATATATTTAATAAAGAAGAATGGTAACCTTCAGTGAGTATGCATTAAAATGTTATATCTCAGTGCGTTGCAAAAAGCTGAATTTGAAAATTAAGGCTTGTTTATGTAAGAACAGTGATTTTAAAATTCCACTAATGATTTCTCAAATCACTAGCAGTAGGGCTACAATTAGTGGGGGAAAAATGTCCCTAGGCAGTTAAAAACATTGAGCAAAGTTTCAGGCTGGCATTAGCAAAAAATAAAGATGCCACTTCATTGTACTCTTAGTGATATCTTTTTCATATCAAAAGCACAGTTTCAAACTTTGTAACAGAGCAAGTATTCTATTTAGTATTCATTATCTGAAAGAAATAGTGATAATTAACTGTATCCACTGAGATAGCTGCTAATGATATGTGCTGAGACCAGGCTGGTGATGTTGAAATCTATTGAACTAAAGACAGATATTTCTAAAATCCAATTGTGAGCTCTATTTCTTTCTTACAAAAATGTTGATAAGACCTACTATATAAAGGAATTACTAATTACTTGATGGAGAATTGTATATCAGTGATGATTCATTGTTTAAGAAATGACATTTTGTTCTTTAAAATTGTAACTCCATTTCTGAGAATTGTCAAGCTCTCTCTGAGCTTTTGATCTGTAATGATATTGCTAGATAGACTCAAAAATGTATAATCATAATAGCATAGCATTTTTGTTCTATCTTACTTAAACTATTATTTAGAAAGAAATGTCATTGAGATATACAGGTTATGCTCACTTTGCGGTTAAAGAACACAAAATAATATACAAGGGGTATTTGAATGAACCATGGGAAGAATTGAGAGAATGCTGTTATCACTATATTTAATAATTTGTGAAAAAAATATCATACTGAAATAGAATTTTCCATCATCCAGAAATGTTTCCATTCTTTAATAACCATGCCTAAATAAGTTTCTAGTCAATGTTTCATTTAAAATTTTATTTCTTATACAATTAAATATGTCTCAAAAAACCTAGGTCCTTAACATAACTGAATATAAAATAACTATAATTTAACAGATTCTTATTCCTATTACAAAGCCACTCTTAAAGAAAGATGATGCTTTCTTCATGGCGGGGTTAATTTTAGTTATTCAAATTAGTAATTCCTTCTTTTATTAATAAACATTTAGTGAATGTGTACTGTGGTCCATGTATAGTGATATACTCTGGAAATACTAGGATAAATGATTCATAATTCATGCCCTCAGGGGTGTATATTGAATGGAAACACAGACATCCTAGTGTGCCACATCTCCATGCATTTACCAAGAGTGATATGTGAATGCTTAACTGAATTTCATAGTGGCTCTGACATGCAGCCACAAACCAGTGTGGAAAAATATATATCGCTGAGGCAGAAACAAACAAAAGAGCATATTGCTTTCGGTATACACTGGAGGTAATGCCACTTCACATTGATAAAAATTAAATAAAATTAAACATAACAATACATCACCATCACCACAAAAAATACAAAAATTAAAGATTTATTTTCCTAGATTAGCTTTTAGTTTAGATTCCTTAAAATAAACTTTTCTTGTTTATTTTCAAATGGCCCGGTTATGTTTTGATTTGTTTTTCCTTTACTTCGGAATATCATACTAAGCTTGGCTAGATCACTATGTTTTGGTCAATGAGTTCCACTCTGGAAAGTTTTATTGTAACCATTATTGAGAGCTAACAATATAGAAAAGGGGAAAAAAATCCATAGACAAAGATTCCTTACCCTTTTTACTGTTTTTTCTAACTACATGTGGCAAAGCAGAGAATAAGTCAAGGGCTTCTAGTATGTGTGCATATGTTTTTAAATTCTGTCTATACCCTCACAGAGCTACCTTGAATAAATATAAGGCTTTTAAGAACTTAGCTGATGTAATGGATCTATTTGATAATTCTGTGTACTCTCTTGAGTGTGAATAGAAAAAAATAAAACTCTTCATTTTGGAAATATGTCTGCCTTTATTCATATAAAAATGTTGGGCCGGGCGCGGTGGCTCACGCCTGTAATCCCAGCACTTTGGGAGGCCGAGGCGGGCGGATCACGAGGTCAGGAGATCGAGACCATCCCGGCTAAAACGGTGAAACCCCGTCTCTACTAAAAATACAAAAAATTAGCTGGGCGTAGTGGCGGGCGCCTGTAGTCCCAGCTACTCGGGAGGCTGAGGCAGGAGAATGGCGTGAACCCGGGAGGCGGAGCTTGCAGTGAGCCTGGGCGACAGAGCGAGACTCCGTCTCAAAAAAAAAAAAAAATAAATAAATAAATGTTGGTCTACTTTACATATAAATATAAAAAAGTAAACTACATAAGTTTAATGTGAAAGTACAGGCAATATATCTTACTTATTTTGAAATAAAATATTGTTCTTATTTTACTTGTTAATATGCAATAGTAACACTTAGAGGTGAAAAGATTGTACCATTTTTGGAAAATAATTGAACAGAGAAATATAGCTTTGCTTCTTTTCCAATGAATTATAAAAATCAAACATTAAAGTAAAATAAATAATCAAAACTATCTTCCATTTATCTGTTTTTTCCATGTGTTAAAAATGAAATTCTATTAAAATGATATCAATTAAAATGGTAGTATTTTACTGAGTAGAATAACATTATAATGTTCAACATAAATGGAAGAAAAGGATATGTCATTAACAATTCTTTACCTTTTTCTAAAAATACTTAGCCTTTGAGATACTTTGTTATCAGTAAAAAAATTCTCCTGCTTTGCATGCTTAATAAAAAAGCCCGCAAAAATCATAAATGCCTATTATGTTTCAAACATCTTCCTGTTTCTAAACATGTATTATTTCATTTTCTCATCACTTTTATATGTTATGTGATAGATACTATTAGTAGCTCCATTTTGAATGCATGAAATTTAAGTCCTTTTTTTCCTCTCTTCCAATTTCAGATATCCAATTGAGTTCATTCTCTCTTTATTAAGATAATTAACAGATGGTTCATGCCTATAATCCTAGCAATTTGTGGGGCTAAGGTGGGATGTTGACTTGAAGCCAGGAGTTCCACACCAGCCTGGGTAAAAAAGGAGACCTATTTCTACAAAAGGCAAAAAGTTAAAAAAGAAAAAATTAGTCAAGTACAGTGGCACAAGATTAGAGTCCCAGTTACTCAGGAGGCTGAGATGGGAGAATCCTTTGAGTCCAACAGTTGGAGGCTGTAGTGACCTATGATCATGCCACTGTACTCCAACCTGGGAAACAGAGTGAGACTGTGTCAAAAAAAAAAAAAAAAAAAAAAAGATGGTCTGGACATGGTGGCTCACACCTGTTATTGCACTTCGGGAGGCCACGGTGGGTGGATCACCTGAGGTTAGGAGTTTGAAACCAGCCTGGCCAACATGGCGAAACCCAGTGTCTGCTAAAAATACAAAAATTAGCTGAGTGTGGTGGCGCACTCCTCAATCTTGGCTACTCGGGAGGCTGAGGTAGAAGAATTGCTTGAACCTGAGAGGCAGAGATTGCAGTGAGCCGAGTTCGTGCCACTGCACTCCAGCCTTCCCAGGCTGGAGTGAGACTCCATCTAAAAAAAACAAAATAAAATAAAATAAGAGGAGGAAACCAAGCTAAATCCACAGGCAGAAAATGTAACTAACTGTGTATTTGAGAATGAAGATAATGTTCAGATCATGAAATTGGAATAGATCCACTTCAAAACTCTTACTAACATTTGTATGTAAATATGTGACAGGAGTACTGGGCAGAATAGTCTCCCCTGCCCCCCAATTCATGTCCATCTGGAACCTGTGAATGTAATTTTATTTGGAAATAGGGTCTCTGAAGCTGTAATTGAACTAAAATGAGATTGTATGGAATTATTGTGGTTCCTAATCTGGTGAATAGTGTCCTTATAAAAAGACGGATAATTTGAACACAGAGATACACATGGAGAACATGACTTGATGACAGAGGCAGAGATCGGAGTCATGCTGTCACACACCATGAAATGCCAAGGATGATTAGAAATGATGGGAAATGGGGAGAGAGGCATGAGATAAGTTATCTTACTGAGCCCCCAAGAAAGAAGCAATTTTGCCATTATTTCCATCTTGGACTTCTGGCCTCTAAAGTGTTAGAGAATAAAGGTCTGTTGTTTTAAACCACTGTGTGTTGTGGTAATTTATGGCAGCCATATAAAACTAACACAATATGTTACTGTTAAGTTGAAAAGTTGGCGTTTTCTCCATCTGGCCGTTTCATCTGATCTAGATCCAGTTCTTTCCTTGTACATAGATGGTTGTAGCCAAGTTTATTTAAACATGCAAATGATTTTATTTTTATCAATTAAAGCTCTACCCAGGCTATCGTAATGATAAAGTCTTTAAAATTTAATGCAAAGGTAACTTGTCTCCTCTCCACCATTTTGAATCTATTGTAGGCTTGGAATCTTGCTCTAGGGCGTTGGAGAAGTTTACTCCTTTTCTTCAACTCTGCTCTTGTCATGCTTCATGCCTATGCACTATCCAGTTTACAGACACTTCAAGCATTGACGTAGAAAGAAAACACAGAAAAAATAGAAAACTGAATGCATTGTGCTTTATTATTAGGGAAATCTGCACATTAAATGTACGATTATTGGCTCTTTCTATAATGTTGTGTTTTATATGTTAATTAGAGATATTTACCTCCTCTACCTTCACCCCTTGGTGGAAAAATTCAAATGCAATTCATAATGGGAGAGATAATCTGCACCTGGCGTTTTACAACTTAGCCACATGAGCCTTGGTTTCCATGCTTTCTACTTTGCTGGGTCAATTTTCAACTCATGTCAGGACAATTGGGTAGATTCTCTTAAGAAAGCTACAGCCACCTTCCTTCTGCATGGCTCAATTTTGACAAATAGAATACAAGATTTTTGAAACTTTCACTATAGATAAAAACATGGATCGCAGATAGTGACTCTTGTGATTCCCTGATACACTGTTATCCATATCTAATGACCATCTAGCCACTGCCCCTCATAGAGTCCTCATGCTTCCCAAACTCAATAGTGTATATGTTAACATCTTTGAGTCATTACCTCAAAATCCCTGTCTTGTACTTTGGCTTAAAATAAATCGACACAAAACACTGACAAGTTCCTCCATAAATAGAGTCTCTCCTTGACCTTTCTAAATTATTATAGGTGAGTGATTACTAATGCTGAGAGAATCAGTGCTACATTTCCTTAACATGTCATGTGTATGTAGTCAATGTCACACCTTAGATCTGGGGTAGTTGGTACCCAAGGCCTCTGCTGAAACTCTGAGATAACATGAAAATATTATACTAAATATCTTGGTATATAAGAAGTCTAGAATATTGTTTTCCTTGTCCCTTCCTTCTCTCACTCTCAACAAGAAAAGAAAATATTTTTTTAGTTTGAATAACTCATAAAAACTACAGATTTCTATGCACATATAGCATAATTTAACAAAACCTATTTTAAAAATATATAGGCTTTACTCTGCCATCTTCACCTCTGTGAGATGGGCAGTCATATGTGTAGTGTGTAGATGAGGGTGTTTTGTTCTCTTTAGATGATTAAAGTAGATTACTACTTACTTTTGGTACTATCCTAGTTTAAAATGTTTTGTAAACTTTGTGAGATTATTAACTGTGTAGCATTTTATTGTCCTCTTCAAATATTTATAAAATCAAATTATATATGACCTTGGGCCGTACTATTGATTATGCGTGCATTAATGTAGAAAATATCTTGCATCCCTGGTGTCTCACCCACTGCCTGGAACACAGAAGACAAGCAGTAATTGATAACCCAGTGTCAAGAAAGTAGAGAGAGTGAATTTCTTATTCTCTTGAAAGAATTAGAAGTCTTTTGGGATTCTAATGGAATCAGAGACCTATTAGATTAGTCAAAGCTCTTAGCTAATGAGAAATGAATAAATGGAGAGAGGCTCTATTCTAAATCTAGCATGGTATATAGAGAGGCAATGCAAACTAAACCGCCAAGTAAAATATCTTTTATGTTTGATAAATCTATCAAAATTTAGACTTTTTAAATAATAAAGTATGATATCAGGATTCTATGGGGGTTTGACCAGATTCTTTGATGTGAGTATATATCAAATGCTATTGACAAAACACAAAGCTCTTCATATATACATAAATAGGGATGCACCACATGCATTGTGCTTTTGGTTTATGTGACAATCATACCAGTAATAATAATTACAATGAAAGTTCCAGGATATTTTATTCTAGGATGTACTGTTCTGAGAACACTATATAGATAAGCTCACTTAACATTCAGAAAATCAAGGAGTTAGACACACAGTCATTACTCCCATATTACCAGTGAGGAAACTGAGGATCATAGAGGTTATATTTCTCATTCAATGTCAAACAATTTAGAAGGGATGAAGTCAGAATTTGATTTTTTAAATGGCTTCAGTGTTGATGCTGTTACTCACCATACTGTATAGCTTCTCTGAAAATACGTTAAAATCCACAAAGCAAAATTTGACTACCATAAATTTAAAACTGTAAATTAACATTAAACATTTCAATATAAAACAACTTATATATTTCTATATTAGCTAATTGAGAAAACTAAGTTTTCCTTATACAAAGACAAGAAATTTATCTTTATTTGTAATATAGATATATTTATCTGTAAGAAATTTTATTGTTTTTTAAAGAACAAATGGAAAGTAGAAACAACAGAAAAAACAGGCATTGAAAGTAATTCTTAAAAATATATGTTCTTTTTACAGCAGATTGCATTCAAAATTATGTTTATGGAGAAAACTATCTTAGGTTCAATAAATCTGTAAGAAAATATTATAGTAGATATTTCTTTGTAAACCAAAGTAGTTCCTAGTTTATGCAATGCCCTGAAGAGAAATAGAATTAATTACATTAAATAATTATCCTGCTCTGTTTTTCTGATACAACTAAAAAAATTCCTTTTGCCTGTATTTAAATGAAATCAGAACTATGGAAAAGGCCAAAAACAAGAGATATCGTATATTTTATTTTAGTGGAAAATACACAAGAACAAGAACTTGAAAATATGGATTTGTGTGTTTGTTGTGCTTCTGACAGCAGAGTTTCACTACGTTTTTTATAGTCGAGTTTCTCCATCTGGACAGCAAAAGCAATGACCATTTCACCTCTATGTCCCACTCCTATTTAAATATCCCAAAATCAACTAAATATTTAAGATGATGGAGAACACACAGAAGAGCATACTTTTCAAAGTATAAAAAAATCTGAGTTATATATAGGTATATGTGGATGACATTTTTTCTTCTTAGTTTCTCACAGCTCTAAACAAGAAGACTTAGAATTATTGATCACCCTAATGACATGTGAAGAAACTTGTTCTTATTTCGTTGAGTAATCTGAACTTTGCAACAGAAACAAAATTAAGTCAATGATTATCATAAACGTAACTCCAAAACTTAATTGCTGTAATGAATCAGATGCTGAGTAAATTCCAAAACATATTATTTATCTTCTCTTATTCTCATTTATGCTATCCTTTTGTTTCTTTATACATTTACATTTTATTCATTTTATTTTATTTACATATATAAATATATGAAGAAACAAAAGGATAATATAATAAAGGATATATATATGCACACATATTTATATACATTTCATTATGTCTCTTATGGCAGATCTTTAGGAAAAAAGGGTGGTACTTAAAAATATGTTCTAGCATTACATAGAAATGATAGTTAACTACAAAATGTAAATGGGAATTGATTGGTTTATTGGTTTATCTAAAACCTATTGTTTATATGAAAGTGTTTGTTATCTTGTCATGTTGTATAAATATTTGCTCTAATTCACAATCTAATTTTAATGTTAACACTTGGATAAACTGTGAAGTTCTTTGCAAATGCTTGGGGATATGAATGAATGAAGACAATAATTATCCAGATTAGAATAAAAAATAATATGTTCTAAATTTTACATAGGCATGCTTTCCATGTATTCATATTCAAGAATATCTCTTAGAAATACATAAGTACAGTTTTCTATTTTGACTTTGGAATTATTAAAATAGGAGATAATTTAAATAATATATCCAGAAAATTATATGAATCCCAGCCACAGCGTGTGGTTGTAATATCTGTGAATGACATTCTCTGGAACTGTACAGTGCCCAACCTGTGCAGTCATACCTATAATCACTGTATATATAGAAATACTTCAAAAAGAATACCTTAAAAATAAAAAAAGAAAGGAACACTTTGAAAATAAATGATATAGTTGGTCTGTCCATTTTCCATGTATTTTGGCTAATGAGCAGGCTAAGATTCGTATTCTTAAAGAAAAAGTAAGACACGTAGAAAAATAATCATTGAGACTGCTGTTTAATACAGAAGACAGATTGGTGAATGGGGCCAAATAATCAAGCAACAATAATTCCTTTTCAGGTTCCTTCACTATTTTAAATAGGTTGAATAATAATATTTTGATAATTATGAAGATAAATAATTGAAACATAAAAGGTAATTATTGTGGCCAAGGTCATATAACCAGCAAACTGGTGATTACATTGAGGCAAAGGAACTGAAGTTTAAACTTTTCCTATTAATTTCAGACACCACAGTTATTTGACTTTCTGTGCTTCCTGTATGATGGAGCTCCTAGCCATATTTGGGTTGTTCATAGCATCTTATTATATTCCTGCCTCAGGTTTTCATCAAGAGATAAAAGTAATAATAAAAACATCTACCTCAGAAAACTGTTTAGGTAATTGCATGTGCTAACTGTGTAAAGCTCTCAATAGTGCTCGGTACCTAGTAACTGATACCTATAAGCTTACTAATTTCATGTTAATTATAATTATTTTTATTAATGCTGATTTTATGTCATGATATTATGTTTAAGAAATTTTTATTGGATAACAGTGCGATGTTTTATACTAAATTTCAAACTTTTAAATGAAGACTGGAATAAATTTTCTCAAATAATTGTTTCCAGAATATCACAAAAGCTGTCATTTTCCTTTCCTGTGGATGTGAGAACAAAACAGTTGGGAACAGGACAAAATACAAACCATCTGTTTATATCACAATTTAGTTTTCTAGAAGTAGAGAGAGAGTCATAAATGAAATGATCTAATTCAGGAACAAAAACAAGTGCAATATTTCCACTTTTATCTTTTAGTAATATTGAATTTTTATTAATAAAAATTATGCATACAAAATATCTTTTAATCCACAATATACTTTAATTAAAAAACAGACAATGTAGAGATGCCAACCTAGACACTAACATGTGGGTAATTACTTTGAGAACCACCTAAGGGAGAATAAAAATACATTTTTAAAAATCCAACTGCAACAGAAAATGATTATTTGCATGACAACTAAAACATAAATATGTATGATAATTGTGTCAATTAATGTAAATTAAGTAGTGTAAAAAGAAACAATAAAATAAAATTTCTTAGTAATTTGTTTCCTTTAACTTTTCTATAGGGCTACGGAAGGATTCATTGATTTGTACTCACAGTAGAAAAAAGATAAATGTTTTATAGACCTATGAGATTATATCCTGTTCCCTTGGCCCATATACTATGTCCAAAATAACTATCTACAATGATGGAAATCCTCTACATAGGCTTTTTACAATACAATAATCACTTGTGCCTATTGAGCTATTTAAATACTACCAGTGTTTGTAAAAATATCAAATTTCATATTATTTATCTGAATTAATTTAAATTTAAACATGTAGAGCCTTATGTAGTTAGTAGCTACTGTATCAGGTGGCACAGTTTAGAAATATGCAGTCATTGTACATTTTATTCAAAGCATCAGGATGCACAACAGTGGCGAATAGTGATGGCAGTTTCACTAAGTACACTGAAGCATGTACATTTAGTCAGGTGATACTGATGAGACAGCAGAAAACCTATGGCTATTCCTGAAGTTGAGTGAGGGTTGATATGGTGTATTTTAGCAAATTGTACAATAGCTTACCATAATACCCACTGTGGAGTTAGAACATCCAAATAGTTTTTGAATGAAGAATAAATAGAGAAAAATGTCAATTAAAGAAATGATTACATATTTTATCTTCAGTGAGAAAACTATCTTTGTTTGGCAAAAGAAGAATTTAAAAAATCACTTAAATTCTTCTTTTTCCTACACAAAGAGAACATTTTTGTCAGAGTCCAAAGAGTAAAAAAAAAAACAGACAACAAAAGAAGATGAATAAAAATGGGGAAAATAAAATTACAATAATGTTTATTCTTATGGTCTTAAGCAGAAACAGAGGTTATCTGAATAGAAAGTACCTATGAGTAATTCTCAACAGAAGAGGGTAAACCAGGAAAAATATTAGAGTAAATGTACTAGTTTATTCTCATGCTACTATGAAGAAATATCTGAAATCGGGTAATTTATAAAGAAAAAAGGTTTAATTGGCTCACAGTTCCACATGGCTAGGGAGGCCTCAGAAAACTTACAATCATGGTGGAAGTGCGTTTTCTCAGGGCAGCAGGACAGAGTGAGTGCACAGTGAAGGAAGAAATCCCTTATAAAGCCATCAGATCTCACAAGAACCCACTCACTATCATGAGAACATCATTGGGGAAATCTCCCCCATGATTCAATTACCTCCACTTGGTACTGACCTTGACACATGGAAATTATTAAAATTCAAGGTGAGATTTGGGTGGGAACACAGAGCCAAACCATATCAATAAATAAGAAAAAGTTATGGTATGTTGTGAGTATTTACATCAATTTTTTCTTAAAGTTTACCAAAATAAATTTAAATATTGAATGTGTGTATTTGTGTTATTTCCAAATGAAAATGGTGAGCAGTTCTCAACAGAAGAGGGTAAACCAGAAAAAATATTAGAGTAAATATAATTATTGAGTTCAAATTCAATATTTGAATTTCCATATAGAAATGAAACAAATACCAACACATATTCAATATTTGAATTTACTTACATATATATATATATAACATACACACACATATATATGTACACATATTCCATAGATTGTGTATACACACACACACACACACACCAACACATATATTCCATAGATTGGGCTTTCTGTGCTTTACTAGATTCATATAAGATAGTATTTTTGTTTACACATAAACACTTCTATAAAAGTGGAAGAAGATTTAGTAAAAGAGAGAAAAAATATGTAAGAAAAGTATATAATAGGTAGAAAGTAAATGACAAAATAAAATTCCCCCAAGAAACATACATATGTGGGAAAATTCTATCATCAAACTGAAGGCAGCAACAATCTCAAACTACCAGCCATGAATACAAATATAGTAGAATTTAGGCCAACATTAAGAAAGAATATTTTAGGGAAAAATATTCACTACCTCAGTGTTTAAGTTGGGCACTGATTTATCTGAAACTAATGAGAGAGAACCCTTAGTAGATTAACTTCCTGCATTCTTCCCACAATAAATGTATGACACAGAAATTGTCTTTGAAATTAAACAGGGAACATATTTTATGCCATAATTAAAGCAATGTCTGTTTACTTCTCATAAAGAACATGAAGATAAAGAAAAAATTAATTGTGATCCATTTAAAATCTGGTGTCAAATAATGTATGCATTATATAATTCTAGACATGTACATATTGGGATTAAAATACGCTATTTTATCTAGGTTCACAGAGACGTTATCTGTTACACAATTGTCCTTTTCAGACATAGAGAACGTTAGAATAAGATTCTATGTGACACAAATGAAAATTCATTGCCTTGTGCTCTACTGTTTAGTATGTATTTATGAGTTTATTATCTTTAGGGTAAATTTTATATCCATATAATGTTTCTAGCAATATTTTCTGCATTATTTTGGAAATATAAAATATGTGAATCTGAGGGTATGCATTATCTTCTTGTTAAACACAAATTTTATAAAATGTGAGGAAAGCAATTTATCTGTTCAATACAAAACCAGGTCATCAGAAATTGCCAATTATGTAATATCTCTCTGACATATTTTATTGATTTAAAATTCACCTATTTTAGATGTAAGTGTGCATGTTCTTTACTACTCATCAATGTATATAAAAGTTTGAATCATAACACATATAACTTCATGTTTTGCTCTTTGCACAGAGTACATTTGTAATTTTTCTTGTTGTCTTTTATCCAGTTTTTTAATCCTGGCATTTATGGTCTTCTATCTAACCTAATTATCCCCCTTTCTTCCACCTAATGTTATTAGAATCACTGAGATGTCTTCAGTAGAGCATATCTTTTTATTCTTCCTCATTTTTTTACCTCTGCCTGAATGTTCCATTCTACCTGCTCTAGCCAATTTAAATATACCCTGTGGTGTAAAATTTCTCTACTATTGACCCAATAGACTTGATGATTGCTTCTCCATGACACTGTGTCATATACACATATACAGGGTTACTTCCTTAAACATATACAAGATCCTTGAGAGCTTTGTTCTGTTCATCCCAAGCTGAACATAAAGATTTGAACCTTATATAAAGCCAATAAATATTGTAAAAGAATAAAGCATAAGGATATATTTCTACCATGAAGTTGTTTTGAAGATTTCTCAAAATGCCTGGTTACCTGAAATTTCCAGGGCCATTATATTGATATCTATTCCTGCCTGCCTCTATAACAGAGTTTAAAAAGCTCATCACCTCATGTGTTTGGGAAAAGGGTCTGGTCCTGAGAATGGGCTAACTTTTAAGAGAAAGAAATAATCCACAACTTCAAAAATAGGTAGACAAATAAACAGTCATGGTGAAACACTGAAAGAGAGGCATATGCTTCCAGCCTAGAAGATTACTTGCCTGAACCTCTAACTTGCATTTGAAGCTAACTGGCACTTCCATGGACACCCTTATAGTTATTAAGTGTCAGAGCAGATGGTGCGCTCTTTGCATATCCACAATTATATCTAACCCTCTTGGAAGACTTTTTAAATGTTAAACAATAGTAGCAATAAGAATGTGAAAAACAGTAAAAATGAAAGAAAATAATAAAATAATTCTGTGTATTCCACAATCACATTATCTAAATGATTTTAAGTTTATGATTTCTACTTTTGACAGGAAGTTGTGTGTGTCCTTGCTAAACCAATATAATAATTTTAATACTCTTATTTATTTATTGTTTTTTGAGATGGAGTCTTGCTCTGTCACCCAGGCTGGAGTACAGTGGCATGCTCTCAGCTCACTGAAACCTCCGCCTCCCAGGTTCAAGCGATTCTCCAGCCTCAGCCTCCCAAGTAGCTGGAATTACAGGCACATACCACCACGCCTGGCTAATTTTTGTATTTTTAGTAGAGACTGGGTTTCACCATGTTATCTCCCTGACAAAAAATTTCAGAATGTTCTATATTTTTAAAGCAGGTGAAAAGTTTTAAATTGCTATCTTGCCACGTCCTCCTACACATTCACACAATGGAACTCACTTGCCCTTCCTGTGTCCTACGCTTAACTATGCCATGAATAGAAAATATAACAATCTTCGTCTACTCTTAAAGCATCTGTTCTTTTGTTAGTTGCCTACTATGCTGCAAGTAACTCAGCATTTTAGAAAATGCTGTTTGCGTTCATAACTTCGCCCCCTCCATATGGCAAAAAACTGGAGCCAAGGTTGTTTTCATGTTTTGTGGATTCTACTGAGACAGGAATCCCCACACACTTGAAACAAAGTTTAACCTTAAAAATTGTTAAAGAAGAAAAGACACAACATTATCATAGAGGAAAGAGAATCAGAACTCTCAGATGCAATTAAGGGGAGAATACATTTATACAATTTTTATGGAAAGCAATTTAAATAAAGAAATGTTTTTTACATAATCTCGAAAGTGGAAATTTATGCTATACTATTATTTTCTCAGGCTATAATAAAGGTGTGTAAGAATATTTTCTTGTTAAAATACTTAACATGGTTGATATGGTTTGACTGTGTCCCCAAACAAATCTCAACTTGAATTGTAATAATCCCCAAGTCTCAAGGGCAGGGGCAAGTGGGGATAATTAAGTCATGGGGGGCAGTTTTCCCCATACTGCTCTCAAGGTAGTAAATAAGTCTCATGAGAGCTGATTGTTTTATAAATGGGAGTCCTCTCCACAAACTTTCTTGCCTGCCACCAGGTAAGATGTGACTTTGCTCCTCATTTGCCTTCCACCATGATTGTGTGGCCTCCCCAGCTGTGTGGAACCATGAGTCAATTAAATCTCTTTCCTTTATAAATTACCTAGTCTTAGGTATGTCTTTATTATCAGTGTGAGAACAGAGTAATACAATGGTGTTATTTTATTACTTTAAGTTTTTTGGAACAAGCAAGATAAATGCAAATAGTTGATTGGCTAAATGAATGGTAATACAGGCATAAAATGCCATGAAGGTGCATGGTTAGGAAGAACACACATTCTGGAGTCACAGTACTTGGGTTTGAATTCTAGTTTTACTACCTTCTAAATGGGAGACCTCTGATAATATATGTATTTTCTCTGTACTCCTTCTCCTAAAATGAAGAATAGGGACATAATAGTGCTTACTTTCATAGTTTGTTGTTAACCTTAAATAGGTTAACCTTTGTTAATTTTTTGGAATAGTTCTCATCATGTAGTAAGTACTACATTACTGTTAACTTTAATATGTAGCCAAAAATATTAATTTTGTTAAAAAACATATAATAATATTGAAAGATTTTCTGAGTAAAGGAACATGTCTTATTTGGTTGTATCATAAAACCAATCACCTTTGCAGATCTTTCTCCCTTCATTTCAAAAGCAGAAACATAATTGATCAAAAGTATTTCGTGAAAACAACTTTCACAAATTGCTTTAAATGATATGTGATTTATAAATGGAGATGATATGAAAATTTGTAATAAAAGAATTGAAGATATTCAGTGATTCTGGTTTATGGTTATAGAGTGAATTTTAGTATTGCAAGCTCTTTAAACATAAGTGAAAAGATAAAGGCACATTCTGAACATATGGGCAAAGGCCATATGATCTTAATGTCAGAAATAACTGTATCAGAGATCAAATATTACAAATAATGAACCACTTATTCAATTGTTTTGGCATACTACCTAGAAAACTAAAAAATATCTTGAATCTTAATAGTTCAGTAGGTTACCAACAATTCATTGATTTAAAAAATGCAGTTCACAATGTAACAAAAAGCAAACACAAATAATTAAAAACACTAAAACTAAAGGGCTCTTAACCATCTACCAGCATTGTGATCGATTCCTGAATTCAGAGGTGAACTTTCATATAGTTCATATAATTTCATAATTCATGAAACAAACTGTATAAAGGTGATGAATAATTATTTGAGCTCTCCTATGATACTACTTAAGAGTTAATCAGGCCAGGTGCAGTGGCTCATGCCTGTAATCCCAGCACTTTGGGAGGCCAAGGCGGGCAGATCACCTGAGGTCAGGAGTTTGGGACCAGCCTGGCCAACATGGTGAAATCCCATCTCTACTAAAAATACAAAAATTAGCCAGGTGTGGTGGCAAGCACCTGTAATCCTAGCTACTTGGGATGCTGAGGTGGGAGAATTGATTGAAACTAGGAGGAAGAGCTTGCAGTGAGCCAAGATAGCATCACTGCAGTCCAGCCTGGGCAACAGAGTGGGACTTGGTCTCAAAAAAAAAAAAAAAAAAAGAGTCAACCAGTCTCACCACTTTTCTTGCAGTTACATTATTATAACTTATAACCATGGTATTCAAATTGTGGACATTTGACGCTCTTAATATTTCTGAAAGATTGTGTATAAGTATATAAGCCTAACTTTAGTTTCAAAAATTAAAGTAGTAAAACCAGCATAATATTTTGTAATAAACTTTTCAGATCCTAAGGTTTTTGTTGAAACAATAGCCAAGCATTATATCCTCAGGCCAATCTATGATGTTTTCTGCAGAATTCCTAGCTCACTGGATCTTTTTAATTGAGAACTTCTCCACAAATTTTAGTTTATATTTTAAAACATATTTCTGTAAGCAAACTGTATCCTCTGAATCTCCTTCAATCTCTTTCCTCTGAATCATTTTCTAAATTGCTGGTAGAGTAGTTCTCCTAAAACCCAAATATGAACAATGTGACTTTTTTACTGACTACTTGTTTGAATCTCCAATACACAGAGCCTAGGCACTTCATATTCCCTTTTAGTGGTTTTTTCTTCTCCACATACTTATCTTGATCTAAAGTGAAATATACAAGCATACGTTGCAGATATTGCAGGTTTGGTTCTGCATCACAGCAATAAAGTGAATATTTCAATAAAGCGAGTCACACACTTTGGTTTTGGTTTGCCAGTGCATATACATTTTGGTTTTCCAGTGCATATAAATGTTATGTTTACATTATATTGTAGTCTATTAAGTGTGCAATAACATTATGCCTGAAAAAGTATATACATTAATTTAAAAATACTTTATTGCAAAAAAATGCTAATGAACATCTGAACCTTTCCATGAATGTTGTAATCTTTTTGCAGGTAGAGGATTTTGCTTCAATGTTGATGGTTTCTGAATAATTAGGGTGGTGTTTCCTGAAAGTTAAGATGGCTGTAGCAATTTCCCTAAACAAGACAACAATGAAATGTGCTGCAATGATTGACTCTTCCTTTCACAAAAGACATCTCTGTAGCTTGTGATGCTGTTTGATAACATTAAACAAAGTAGAGCTTCTTTCAAAATTGGAGTCAATCCTCTAACAACCCTATGAACTATTTTATCTACTAAGTTTATGGGATATTCTAAATCCTTGGTTTTCATTTCAACAATATTCACAGCCTCTTTGGCAGGAGTAGATTCTATCTCAAAAAACCACTTTGTTTATCCATAGAAAGCAACTCCTCATCAGTACAAGTTTTTTCATGAGATGGCCACAATTGAGTCAGATTTTCAGGTTCCCCTTATAATTCTAGCTCTTTTAATATTTAGAGCTGGGCGCAGTGGCTCATGCCTGTAATCCCAGCACTTTGGGAGTCTGAGGCGGGTGTATCACTTGAGGTCAGGAGTTCGAGACAAGCCTGGCCAACATGGTGAATCCCTGTCTCTGCTAAAATTACAAAAATTAGCCGGGTGTAGTGGCGCATGCCTGTAGTCCCAGCTACCCCAGAGGCTGAGGTAGGGGAATCGCTTGACCTTTGGGGGTGGAGGTTGCAGTGAGCCGAGATTGCACCACTGCACTCCAGCCTGGGCTACAGAGTGAGACTCTGTCAAAAAGAAAAAAAAAAAATTCACCACATCTGCAGTGACTTCCTCCACTGAACTCTTGAAAAAGTAATCAATAAGTGTGGGAATCAACTTCTTCCAAACTTATATTAATTTTGATATTTTGACCACTTCCCATGAATCATAAATTTTTTAGTGGCATCCAGAAAGATGAATCCTTCCCAGAAACTTTTCAATACACTTTGCCCATATCCATCAGAGGAATCACTACCTATAATAGCTATAGTCTTATGAATGTATTTTTTTAAATAATAAGACTGGATAGTCAAAATTACTCCTTGATCTATAGGCTACAGAATGAATATTGTGTTACCAGACATAAAAACAACAATAATCTCCTTGCACATCACTATGAGAGTTCTAGAATTATTATGTACATTGTCAAGGAACACTAATATTTTGAAAGAAATATTTTTTTGTTGTTGTTATTTTCCCTGAGCAGTGGATCTCAACAATGAGATTAAAATATTCAGTGAACCATGCTGTAAACAAATGTGCTGTCATTCAGGCTTTATTGTTTCATTTATACAGCACACAGGCAGAGTAGGTTCAGCATAATTCTTAAGGCCCTCAGGATTTTTCAGAATAATAAATGAGCATTGGCTGCAATTTGAAATCACCAGCTGTATTAGCTCCTAATATGATAGTCAGCTTGTCCTTTGAAGCTTCGAAGACAGGCCTTGAGTTCTCCTCTCCTGCTATGAAGTCCTAGATGGCATCCTCTTCCAATAGAACGCAGTTTTGTCCACAGCAAAAGTCTGTTGTTTAGTGTAGTCACCTTCATCAATTATCTTAACTAGATCTTCTGGATAACTTGTTGTAGCTTCCACATAAGCAATTGCTGCTTAACCTCCTACTTTTATGTTATGGAGGTAGCTTGTTTTGTCAACCTCATTAGTCAATATCTGATACCTTGCAACATTTCTTCTTCAGCTTCCTCGTTCTCTCAGCCTTTATAAAATTGAAGGCAGTTAAAACTTTGGTCCGAATTAGGTTTTGGTCTAAGGGAATGTTATGGCTGGTTTGATCTTCCATCCTGACCATTAAAACTTTCTTAGCTAATAATCAAGCTGAAAATCAAATCAAAAAGTCAATTCTATTTATAATAGCTACAAAAAAAAAAAAACCTGGAAATACTTTGACTCAGGAGGTGAAAGACCTCCACAAGAAAACTACCAAACACTGATGAAAGAAATTTCAGATGATAAAAACAATTGGAAAAACACCCCATATTCATGGATTGAATCAATGTTATGAAAATGACTATACTGCTCAAAGAAATCTACAGATTCAGTGCAATTTCTACCAAAATACCAATGCCATATTTTATAAAATTACTAAAATATTCTAAAATTCATATGGAACCAAAAAAGAGCCCAAATATCCAAAGCAATCCTAAGCAAAAAGAAGAAACCTGGAAGCATCATATTACCTGTCTTCAAATTATAATACAAGGCTATAGTACCCAAAACAATATGGTAAGGGTATAAAAATAGTACATAGGTAAATTGAATGGAAAAGAAAACCCAGAAATAAAGCTGTAAACTTACGGCAAACTGATCTTCAACAAAATTGATGAAAACATACACTAGGGAAAGAAACACTATCCAACAAATGGTGCAGAAAAAATTGAATTGCCATATGCAGAAGAATGAAACTGGACTCTCACTATATACAAAAATCAATTCAAGATGGATTAAAGAGTTTAATGTAAGGCCTGCAACTATAAAATATTAGAAGAAAACCTAGGGAAAACTTCTGGACATTGGCTTTGGCAAATAATTCATGACTAAGACCCCAGAAGCAAATGCAACAGAAATAGACAAATGAGACTTAATTTAACTAGAAAACCTTCTGCTAGTAAAAGAGATAACCAATAGAGTAAACAGACAAGCTGCAGAATGTGAGAAAATATTTTCAAACTATGCATCTGACAAACGACGAATATTCAGATTTTTACAGGACACTCAAACATATTGACAACAACAAAAAACAAATAACCTCATTAAAAAGTAGGCAAAATATATGAACAGACTTTTTTCAAAAGAAGATATAAAAATTGCCAAAAAACATATGAAAACATGCACATCAGAGAAATACAAATTAAAACTACAATGAGATATCATCTTACGCCAGTCAGAGTGGCTATTAGTAAAGAGGCAAAAAATAACAGATGTCGCCAAGGATGCAAATAAAAGGGAATGCTTATACAATATTAGTGGAAATGTAAATTAATGCAACCTCTATGTAAAACAGTATAGAGATTTCTCAAAGAACTAAAAATTGAACTGCAATTTGATCCAGTAATCTTACTACTGAATTTCTACCCTAAGAAAAATAAATCATATCAAATAATATCTGCACTCATATGTTTATCACAGCACTATTCATAATAGCAAAGATATGAAATCAAACTAAATGTTAATCAATAGAAGACTGGATAAAGAAATGTTGTGTGTGTGTGTGTCTATGTGTATATACACATATGTATGTGTATACATATATACGCCCTATGGAATGCTACTCATCCATAAAATGCAATTGAGAGGTGACAGCGTGCTGGCAGTCCTCAGAGCCCTCGCTTGCTCTCTGCACCTCCTCTGCCTGGGCTCCCACTTTGGCGGCACTTGAGGAGCCCTTCAGCCCACCACTGCACTGTGGGAGACCCTTTCTGGGCTGGCCAAGGCTGGAGCCCACTCCCTCAGCTTGCAGGGAGGTGTGGAGGGAGAGGCGCGAGCGGGAACCGGGACTGCTTGCAGCGCTTGCGGGCCAGCTGGAGTTCCGGCTGGGCGTGGGCTTGGCGGGCCCCGCACTCGGAGCAGTCGGCCAGCCCTGCTGGCCCCGGGCAATGAGGGACTTAGCACCCGGGCCAGCAGCTGCGGAGGGTGTACTGGGTCCCCCAGCAGTGCCAGCCCCCAAGGGCTGCGCTCGATTTCTCACTGAGCCTTAGCTGCCTTCCTGTGGGGCAGAGCTCGGGACCTGCAGCCCGCTATGCCTGAGTCTCCCACCCACTCCGTGGGTTCCTGTGCAGCCCGAGCCTCCCCGATGAGCGCCGCCCCCTGCTCCACGGCGCCCAGTCCCATCGACCACCCAAGGGCTGAGGAGTGCGGGCGCACGGCACTGGGACTGGCAGGCAGCTCCACCTGCAGCCCTGGTGTGGGATTCACTGGGTGAAGCCAGCTGGGCTCCTGAGTCTGGTGGGGCCTTGGAGAACCTTTGTGTCCATACTCTGTATCTAACTAATCTGATGGGGACGTGGAGAACCTTTGTGTCTAGCTCAGGGATTGTAAACGCTCCAATCAGCGCCCTGTCAAAACAGACCACTTGGCTCTACCAATCAGCAGGATGTGGGTGGGGCCAGATAAGAGAATAAAAGCAGGCTGCCCAGCCAGCAGTGGCAACCTGCTGGGGTTCCCTTCCACACTGCGGAAGCTTTGTTCTTTCGCTCTTTGCAATAAATCTTGCTACTGCTCACTCTTTGGGTCCACGCTGCTTTTATGAGCTGTAACACTCACCGCGAAGATCTGCAGCTTCACTCCTGAGCCCAGGGAGACCACGAGCCCACCGGGAGGAACGAACAACCCCAGACGCGCGGCCTTAAGAGCTGTAACACTCACCGCGAAGGTCTGCAGCTTCACTCCTGAGCCAGCGAGACCACGAACCCACCAGAAGGAAGAAACTCCGAACACATCTGAACATCAGAAGGGACAGACTCCAGACGCGCCACCTTAAGAGCTGTAACACTCACGGCGAGGGTCCGCGGCTTCATTCTTGAAGTCAGTGAGACCAAGAACCCACCAATTCTGGACACACAATGAGGTATGTCCCTATGGAAGTTAAGATTCATAAGGCAGGGTTTTTTTCTTTTTTTTTTTTTGAGACGGAGTCTCAGTCAGTCGCCCAGGCTGGAGTGCAATGGCGCATCTCCTCTCACTGCAAGCTCCGCCTCCCAGGTTCACGCCATTCTCCTGCCTCAGCCTCAGGAGTAGCTGGGACTACGGGCGCCCGCCACCACGCCCGGCTACCTGTTTGTATTTTTAGTAGAGACGGGATTTCGCCATGTTAGCCCGGATGATCTCGATCTCCTGACCTTGTGATCCGCCCGCCTCGGACTCCCAAAGGGCTGGGATTACAGGCGTCAGCCACAGCGCCCAGCCGTTTTTTGTTTTGTTTTGTTTTGTTTTTTTAAATTTGTTTGCAAAATGCCTTTTATTCTCAGCCATATTTCCATTGCCTAATACATGTTTTCTGAATAAATGCAAGTGGCACATATTGAATGAATAAATGGGCCTTAGCAGAGAGGTTGGCGTAATGGTTAAAAACATCTTGCCTAGAGTCAAAGTGCCTATGCTTGATTCTCTCTTTGTCATTCGTTACCTGTATTTTCCGACCTATTTAGTTCTTTTTTCTGTGCCTCATTTTGCTGTATTATAAAATGCCACGCAGAATGGATATGACAAAATATAGTAATATATAAAGCACTCAAACCTTAAGCTTAACTTTCTTAACTATCAATATATTTCTCATTGTCTTTGTTCAGTACTTTTGCATTTTCATTTTATACATTTGTCTTCTCTCAAGAAGGACAGGGAAGAGATATTCCGTACACACATATGAAGGCTTTTCTATATCTTTTTTCCTTAAGGCTGCTAATATCTTATTATAGAATATTGGTTGTTATGGTGACAGGAAGAAAGGATGAGGAGGGCATTGAAGAAGATGTTTTGATAGTTAAAATTAAAGTTAAACAATTTTAATGATAATTTCCTACTTGGAATTAACATTGTCTAGGAATCAATTTGCTACTAGTTTATACAAAATAAACTATTTTATACCAGTAAATACAAATCATTAAAATCTCCTAATATTTTTGAACCAGATTTGTTTTTCTCTTCTGTACTTTACCCTAAGAATTTACCCTTAGTGGCCATAGGAATAGAGGAAGAAGTTCTGGTTCTGCTATTAAAGAGGCCAGTAAGATTATATTGACGTACAATAGAGCTAACTCAGAATGATGCCATGCAAAGTTTGTTTTTAAAAGTTTTCTATATTATCTGAGGATGGGATCCTGAGGGCCAGGTACTGTGTCATTGCCCTACATGGGCTAATGCATGTCTAGGTATAAGAGACTCATGATCTCTTTAAAGAGTTACCCAGATCTATCTAACAGCTGCTGGGGTCCTCATGAAAGATTTCAGATTGTCTGCTGAATTATCACTTGGTACTTTGTCCAGTGCAGAAACCTCCATGATTAGGGACAAAAAAAAGGCAATTACACAGCTGAGGGACATGTTCTTTCTCATCACTGAAATGAATTATCAGGTGGTAAAATAAAATTGTAAGAATGTGAAGGTAGATGTCTTTTTATTTTGTTTTAAATAAATTGGGGTTGTGCTTACAAAGAAGAATTAAGGGACCCATGAGAAGAGATAGAATAAGTCTATAGACAAAGACCAGACATGTTTTTTTCCTGTTTGAATTGTACCTTAAATTCTTTCAAGAAACATTTTTCTTCTTTGGATTAGAGACCACATTGAAAATATCATAAATTGATGGCTATAAAAGATTTATCTTTTATAGATATATCTTTTGTATCTTTCAGATACAGATATAAATTAGTATCTGGACGTTTTCTATATTACATAGGGTCATTCTAAAACAGTTGCATGTTTTCTGAATTCAGAGCCTTAAGTTAGAAATTTACCACCCTAAAATACTTCCTATCCAAATGTGTTAAAAGAATAATTAATCTGGGAAATTTTAAAAGCCTCCTCAAATAAGATACACTGTATACTGAATACATTTTTAATCAACAAATAAGGTAAAAATGGTGAAGTATGACTTGGTTTTATCAGAGATCCAGAGGGTTTTAGCATATTAATTTGGGATTTGGCTGTCTTCCTATAATTGAACTTGAATATACTCCTCACTTTCATATTTTCTGATTTGATACAGATTACAGAATTTTTGAAATAGTCAATTTAGAAGTCATAATGTATCTGTTAATGTTCAATAATGGTTATAATATAAATAAATATAAGCCTTAATTACATGTGATTGTTAATATTAAGTGTCAACTTGACTGGATTGAAGGGTGCAAAGTATTGTTTCTGGGTGTGTCTGTGAGGGTGTTGCTAGAGGAGATTAACATTTGAGTTAGTGGACTGACAGAGACAGACCCACTCTTAACCTGAGTGGGCACCATCCAGTCAGCTGCCAGAATGGTTAGAAATAGTGGACTGAAGAAGATGGAATGAGCAGACTTACTGAGTCTTCTGGCCCTCATCTTTCTCCTGCCCTCGAACATCAGACTCCAAGTTCTTTGGCTTTTGGACTCTTGGACTTACACCAGTGGTTTGCTAGGGGCTCTCAGGCCGTTGGCCACAGACTGAAGGCTGCACTGTCGGCTTCACTGCTTCTTAGGTTTTGGACTCAGACTGAGCCACTACTGGCTTCCTTGCTCCTCAGCTTGCAGACTGTCTACTTACCACAGGACTTTACCTTGTGATCCTGTGAGTCAATTCTCTTTAATGAACTCCCCTGCATATATACTTATATCCTATTAGTTTTGTCCCTCTAGAGAACCCTGACTAATACACTTTAATACTAAAATTGGGGTATTTTTTTTTCTTTTTATGGTAGTATGGAATTAACAAATAATATACAATTTGAATGATGTTTATATTGTCTTTAACCCACACAGATAATAACATAAGTTTGAAAACTGCAATTGGGCCTACTAAGGTGAGTGAGCTTATCTTAGCTATGCTACATATTGCTTAGCTTTCCTTGTGTGTCTCTGTGAATATGTGTTTTTTTTATTTTAAATTTTTGTGGTAAATAATAGGTGTATATGCTTATTGGGTACATGACATATTTTGATACAGGCATGCAATGCATAATAATCACAACAGCTCAAGCATTTATCTTTGGTATTACAAACAATCCAATTATACCCTTTTATTGATTTTAAATTTATAAATGAATCAGTGTTGACTATAGTCAGCATGCTGTGCTATCAAATACTAGATCTTATTCATTCTTTGTAATTTTTTTTTTATTCATTAAAAGTCTTCACTTCTCTCACAACTTCGCACTAGGCTTCCCCACTTCTGGTAACCATCATTGTACTCTCTATCTCCGTGAGTTCAATCGTTTTAATATTTAGCTCCCACAAAAAAGTGAGAACATGCAAAGTTTGTCTTTCTATGCTTCGTTTATTTCACTTAACATAATGATTTACAGTTCCATCTATGCTGTTGCAAATGACAGAACCTTATACATTTTTATGGCTGAATAATATTCCACTGTGTATGTGTACAACATTTTTTTTTATCCATTGCTCTGTTGATGAACACAGGTTAAATCTAAATCTTGGCTACTGAGGACAGTGCTGCAATAAACATGGAAGTGCTGATATCTCTTTGGTATACTGAATTCCATTCTTGCGGGTATATACCTAAAAGTGGGATTTCTTGGATCATATGGTAGCTCTATTTTGTGTTTTCTGAGGAACCTCCTAACTCTTCTCCATAGTGTGGTACTAATTTACATTCTCACCTACAGTGTAAGAGGGTTTTCTTTTCTCCACACCCTGGCCAGCATTACTTATTGCCTGTCTTTTGGATACAAGCCATTTTAACTGGGATGAGGCTATATCATTGTAGTTTTGATTTGCATTGCGCTGATGATCAGCAGTATTGAGTACCTTCCAATATACCTGTTTGTCATTTGTAGATCTTCTATTGAGAAATCTCTTTTCTGATATTTTGTTCGTTTATTAATCAGATGGTTAGTTTTTTTTCCAATAGAGTTGTTTGAGGTCCTTATATGCTCTGATTATAAATCCTTTGTCAGATGGAGAGTTTGCAAATATCTTCTCTCATTCTGTGGGTTGTCTCTTAACTTTGTTGATTGTTTCCTTTGCTGTGCAGAAGCTTTTTAATTTAATGTTATCCCATTTGCCCATTTTTATTTTGCTTGCCTGTTCTTGTAGGGTATTACTCAGGAAACCTTTGCCCAGTTCAATGTCTTGGAGCATTTCCTATTTTTTTTTTCTTTTAGTATTTTCATAGTTTGAGGTCTTAAATTAAAGTCTTTAATCCATTTTGAGTTGATTTTGTATTTGGCAAGAGATAGGGGTCTAGTTTTATTCTTCTTCATTTGTGTGTTAGGCCATTCTTGCATTTGCATTGCCATAAAGAAATATCTGAGACTGGGTGATTTATAAAGAAAAGAGGTTTAATTGGCTCACAGTTCTGCAAGATTTACTGGAAGCATAGTGCTGGCATCTGCTTGGCTTCTAGGGAGTTCTCAGGAAGCTCACATTAATGGTACAAGGCCAAGGGAAAGCAGGTACATCACATGGCAACAGCAGGAGCAATTGAGAGAGAGAGAGAGAGGAGGGGATGAGGTGCCACACAATTTTAAATGACCAGATCTTATGAGAACTCACTACTACAAAGACAGTACCAAGCCATGAAAGACCTGCCCTGATGATCCAAATACCTCCCACCAGGCCCCATCTCTAGCATTAGGGGTTACAATTCAACACATGATTTAGGTGGGGGCAAATATCCAAACTATGTCAGTATGAATAACCAGTTTTCCAAGTGCCGTTTATTGAAGAGACTTTCATTTCCCCAATGCGTGTTGTTGGCATTTTTTTTGTCAAAAATGAGATACCTGCAGATGCATGAATTTATGTCTTGGTTCTCTATTTTGTGCTGGTCTTCTATATGTCTGTTTATATTCTAGCATCATGCTGCTTAACTTACAATAACTCTGTAGTATAACTTGAATTCAGATTACGTGACTCCTTTAGTTTTATTGTTTTTGCTCAGGATAGCTTTGGCTATTCAGAGTGTTGTTTGATTGCATGTAAATTTTAGGGTTGTATTTTTCTTTTTCTATGAAGAATATCAATGGTATTTTGATAATGATTGCATTTAATCTGTAGATTGCTTTAGGTAGTATGGACATTTTAACAATCCATGAACATAAACCTCTTTCCATTTTTTTGTGTACTATTCAATTTATTTTATCAATGTTTCATAGTTTTTATTGTAGACATGTTTCACTTCTTTGGTTAACTTAATCCCTAGACATTTAATTTTATTTGTAGATATTGTAACTATGATTACTTTATTGATTTCTTTTTCAGATTGTTTGCTGTTGGCATATAGAAATACTACTGATTTTGTAGTTGATTGTGTATCCTGCAACTTTAGTAAAGTTCTTTATCAGTTCTAATAGATTTTTGGTGGAGGCTTTAGGTTTTTCCAAATATAAGATTATATCATCTGCAAACAAGAATAATTTGACTTCTTCCTTTCAAATCTGTATGCTTTTAATTTCTTTCTCTTGTCTGATTGCTCTAGCTGGGACTTCCAATACTATATTGAATAACAGTGATGAAAGTGGAAACCCTCGTCATATTCCAGATCTTAGAGAAAAGGCTCTCAGTTTTACTCAATTCAGTTTGATATCAGCTGTGGGTCTGTCATGCATACCTTTTATTATGTTTAGGTATGTTGCTTCCATATCCAGGTTTTTGAGTGTTTTTATCTGGAAGGGATGTTGAATTTTGTAAAATGCTACATCAGCATCAATTGAAATGATAATATGATTTTTGTCATTCATTCTGTGGATCTGATGTATCACAATGATTGATTTGCATAAGCTGAGCTGCACTTGCATCCATGGGATAAATCCCACTTGGTCATGATAAATAATCTTTGCAATGTGATGTTGAATTTGATTTGTTAATATTTTCTTGCAGATTATTACCTCAACATTCATCAGAAATATTGGTCTGTAGTTTTCTTTTTTTGATGTGTCTTTGTCTGGTTTTGGTATCAGTGTAATACTGGCTTCATTGAATGAGTTTGAAAGTAGCCCCTCTTCCTCTATTTTTGTGGAATAGTTTAGATTGGTCTTAGTTATACTTTAAATGTATAATAAAATTCAGCAATGTAGCCATTGGGTCCTAGGATTTACTATGAAGAGAATTTTTATTATGACTTTGATCTTATTACTTGTTATTTGTCTGTTCAGGTTTTGGATTAATTTATTATTCAATGTTGGTTGGTTTAATTTATCTATTTAATTTATCTTACCCATTTCTTATAGATTTTCCAATTTATTGACACATAGTTGCTTACAGTAGCCTCTAATTATCGTTTGAATATCTGTGGTATTGATCTTAATGTCTCCTTTTTCATTTCTGATTTTGTTTATTTGAGTCTTTCCTCTTTTTTTCTTAGTTTGGCTAAAATGTGTCAGTTTTGTTTACTATCTCAAAAAACAACTTTTTGTTGTATTGATCTTTTGTATTGTTTTCTTCATTTCAATTTCATTTACTTCTGCTCTCATCTTTATTATTTCCTTCCTTGTACTAATTTTCCGTTTGGTTTTCTCTTGCTTTCCTAGTCCTTTTAAGTGCAACATGATATTATTTCTTTGAAGTTTTTCTACTTTTTGATGTTGCTGCTTATTGCTATGAACTTTTTTCTTAGTACCACTTTCACTGTGATTGAGTATAGTGTGTTTCCATTTTTATTTCAAGAAATTTTTCAGTTTTTAAAAAATTTCTTTATTGACCAACTGCTCATTCAAGAGCACACAGTTTAATTTTCCTGTGTTTGTATATTTTAAAAATTTTCTCTTACTGATTTCTAGTTTTATTTCATTGTAGTCAGAGAAAATACTATATACAGTTTCAATTATTTTTAATTTCCAAGTTTTATTTTAAGTTCAGGGGTACAAGTGCAGAATATGCAGGTTTGTCACATAGGTAAATATGTATCATGGTGGTTTGCTGCACATATTATCTCATCAGGTATTAAGCCCAGCATCTATTAGCTAATCTTCCTGATGCTCTTCCTCTTCCCACTTCCCTCCTCCCTCCTCCCACTTCCCACCCACCTACAGGCCCCAGTGTGTGTTATTTTCCCCCATGTGTCCATGTGTTCTCACTATTCAGCTCCCAATGATAAGTGAGAACATGTGGTATTTGATTTTCTGTTCCTGCATTAGTTTTCTGAACATAATGGCTTCCAGCTCCATCCATATCCGTGCAAAGACGTGATCTTTTTCCTTTCTATGGCTGCATTGTATTGCATGGTGTATATGTACCACCTTTTCTTTATCTGGTCTATTGTTAGTGGGCATGTAGGTTGATTCCATGTCTTTGCTATTGTGAATAGTGCTGAAATGAACATACACATGAATGTATCTTTATAACAGAATGATTTATATTCCTTTGGGTGTATACACCATGCAGTATATTTCTCATTTCTCCTGACTGGGTGAGACCTTCCAACTAATGTCTCCAACCACCTCCTACAGGTTCGTTTGGGCTGGCAATAGGACACTACACCCCTAAGATGGAGCTTCCAGAAGAAGGGGCAGGCTGCCTTCTTTGCTGTTTTGTAGCCTTTGCTGATGATACCTCCAGGTATGGGAAAATACTGAGGCAACTAGAGTCTGGAGAGTACCCCCAGCAAACTGCAGCAGCCCTTTGAAAGAGAAATGGGATCAAGGACCCACTTAAAGAAACAGTCTGGCTTCTTTTGGGTAGAGCAGCTGTGCTGGACTGGCTGAGAAGTCTGAATGGCCAAGGTGGCTGCCTGCTCTGCTCCTCAAGCACTCCATCCCAGGAAGAAATTAGAGCTCTGTCAGCCCCATAGAATGTGGGTGGGGGTGGCCGGAAGGACTCACTCCATGAGAAGTTGATCAGGGTTCTGCTTAAAGAGGCAGTTTGACCACTATCTGGCAAAACCGCCGTGCTGCACTACTAGGGATACCCTTCCTCTTCTGAATTCTTTAGACTTTCCAACGCTCACAGGCTACAATGGTTGAGTCAACGAAACAGCAGAAATAATGCCTGCCCCTTCACTTGGGGGCTCCATCTGGTCTCAGGCAGGCTCCATCCTGTTGCAGGTGGCAGGCTGGAATTCCAAGCCAGTGGGTCTTATCTTGTGAGGTGCTATGGAAGTGGGGCCCTCAGAATAACGCTGCGCACCTCACTGGATTCTGCCTCTTTACTATGGGTATGTGCAGACTTCCCACTTTGCTTGAGTTGCAGACATGTTTTTTTGGGATCCCAGGGGCTGAATGTGTAAAGCTCTTGGTTCCCTGTTCATGACTGAGCAGCTGATCTGCCAAGACTCCACACAGCTTTGTGTGTCGAGCCCTTGTGGTGTGGGCTCACAAGGGGATCTCCTGATCCATAGGTTGAAAAGATCCATGGGAGAAGCCTGGTTTCATAGGGTCATACCACTTCCCTTGGCTGAGGGTGGGGATTCTCTTGGCTTCATGTTGCTTCCAGGTGGGCCATTGCCTCACTTGCTTTTCTTTGTTTCCTTGGGTCAAGTTGTTTTCCTAATCAGTTCCAATGTGAGAAACTGGATATTTCAGTTGAAGGTGCTGTATTCATTCACCCCTTTTGTTTCTCTCTGTGAGTGCCGTGGATCACAGCTGCTTCTAATAGGCCATCTTGGCCCCTTATAATTTCAATCTTTAAAAATTGTTTGAGACTTGTGGCTTAATATATGATCTATCATTGAGAATGATTCATGGGCTGAGGAGAATGTGTATTCTGTAGCCATTAGATACAGTTTTTTATAAATATCTATTAGATCTATTTGGTCTATAATTCAGTTTAATATTGATTTTTTGTTGTTGTTGTTGATTTTCTGTCTGGAAGATCTGTTTAATGCTAAAAGTGGGGTGTTGAAGTCTCCAGCTATTATTATACTGGGGTGTATCTCTCTTTTTATGTCTAATAATATTTGCTTTATACATCTGGGTGTTCCAATGTTGGGTACACATATATTTACAATTACTATATCATGTTAATGAATTTAGCAGTTTATCATTATATTATCACCTTATTTGTTGTTTATAGTTTTTGTCCTAAAATATATTTTTTATGTATAGATATAGCTATTTTGACTCTATTTTAGTTTCCATTTGCATGGCATATCTTTTTCCATCATTCTATTGTCGGACTATATGTGTCTTTGTTGGAGAAGTGTATTTCTTGTAGGCAGGGATCATTGGATCTTGTTTTTTTAATCCACTCTGCCACTCTATTATCTTTCAATTGGTGAGTTTACTCCATTGCCATTCAATGTTATTATTGATAAGTAAGAATTTACCACTGCCATTTTTTTTTTTCTGATTGTTTTGTGGTATTCACTTTCTTCTTTGCTTCCTTTCTGTCTTCCTTTTAGTGAAGATAATTTTCTCTGGTGGTATGTTTTAATTTCTTGCTTTTTATTTTTTGTGTATCTGTTGTATCCCTTTGATTTCAGGTTATCATGAAGCTTGAAAATAATATAACCCATTATTTTAAACTGATGTCAACACTAATTGTATAAACAAACAAACAAACAAACAGAAAACTAATAAAAACTCCACATTTTAACTTTATGCCTCCACTTTTTAAGATTATTTTTTTGGCTTCCACTTACATCTTCCTCTACTGTCTATGTCTTGAGAAGTTGTTGTAGTTATTATTTTTTTTCAGCTCATCATTTAGTCTTTCTACTTAAGGTATGAATAGTTTATACACCACACTTACAGTGTTATAATACTCTCTATTTTTCTGTGTCCTCACTAGTGAGGTCACAGATGATTTTTAATGCTCATAAATGTTCTTCTCTTTTAGATTGAAGAACTCCCTTTATTATTTCTGGTAGGACAGGTCTGGAATTGATGAAATTGCTCAGCATTTTTTTTTTGGTCTGGGAAAGTCTTTATTTCTTCTACATGTTTGAGGAAAATTTTTCCTGGATAGTCTGTCCTAGGATAAAAGGTTTTTTTCCTTCAGCACTTAAATATGCCATGCTGCTCTTTCCTGGCCTGTAAAGTTTCCACTGAAAAGCCTTCTACCACACATATTGGGGATCCATTTTATATTATTTTTTTTTCTTTTGCTGCATTTAGGATCCTTTCCTTATGCTTGATTTTTGGGAATTTTATTGTTAAATTCCTTGAGGTAGTCTTCCTTGGGGTAAATCTCCTTGGTGTTCTATAACCTTCTTGTACTTGAATATTGGTATCTTTCTCTAGGTTTGGGAAGTTATCTGTTATTATACCTGTTAATAAACTTTCTACCCCTATCTCTTCCTCTGCCTACTCTCTAAGGCCAATAACTCTTAGATTTGCCCTTTTGAGGTTATTTTCTAGATTCTGTAGGTATTATTCATTCTTTTTTCTTTTGTCTCTGACTGTGTATTTTCAAATAGTCTGTCGTCAAGCTCACTAATTATTTCTTTTCGTTGATCGAATCTGCTATTAAGAGACTGTGATGCATTCTTCAGTATGTCAATTGTATTTTTCAGCTCCAGAATTTCCGGTTGATTCTTTTTAATTATTTAAGTGTCTTTGTTAAATTTATTCAATAGGTTTCTGAATTTCTTCACTGTGTTATCTTGAATTTCAATGAGTTTCTTTATAACTGCTATGTTTAATTATCTGCCTGAAAGGTCACATATCTCTGTCTCTCTGGGATTGGTTCCAGATGCCTCATTTAGTTCATTTGAGGTCATGTTTTCTTGGATAGTTGTGATGCTTCCGGATGTTTGTTGGTGTCTGTGCATTGAAGTGTTAGATTAGATTATTGTAATCTTCACAGTCTGGGCTTGTATGTACCCATCCTTCTTTGGAAGCACTTTGTGTGTTGTAATCTAAGTTTCTGGTCACTGCAGCCATATCTGCATTAGGGGGCACCCAAGCCCATTAATTCTCTGGCTTTTGCAGACTTATAGAGGTACTGCCCTTGTTTTGGATGTGATCAGGAATAATTCTCTGAATTACCAGGCAGAGATTCTTGTTCTTTTTTCTTACTGCCTCCCAAAGAAACAACCTCTCTTCCTCTGCTGAGCTTTGTGGAGTTAGAGGAGGAAAGACAAAAAACCCCTGTGGTCACCTGAAGCCAACACAGCACTGGGTGTCACCCAAGGTCCAGTGTAATCACTATTTGGCTGTTGCCTCTGTTCATGGCCCTAGGGCTATATAATCAACAGGTGGTGGCATCAACCAGCATGTGCCCTCATGAGCTCCCCTGGGGTCCAGGAGGTTTCAGAGATGGTGTCTGAGAGCCAGAGCCTGGAGTCAGAAACTTTTGACATCTATATGTTCTATTATACTGTAGTGAGTTGGCATCTAAATCACAAGACAGAGTCTATTATACTCTTCCCTCCCTTCTCACAGGCAGATAATTCTGTCCCCATGGCCACCACTGCCACATGCCCGTACTGCCAGGCTACCACTGATGTTTACTTCAAGCCCAAGGGCTCTTTTATCAGCTTGTGATGAATGCTACCTGGCCTGAGACTCACCCTGCAGGGCAGTGAGCTCTCCTCTGGCCCAGGGCAGGTCCAGAAATGCTGTCCAAGTGCCAGGGCCTAAAATCAGAGACCCCAAGAGCTCACTTGGTACTCTAACAAGCTGGTGTCTAAGGTGCAAGACAAAGTCTCCTTTATTCTTGTCTCTACTTTTCTCAAGCAGGAGTCTTTCCTTGCAGTCACTGCAGCTGGGAATGTGCTGGGTCACATCTGAAGCCAACATGTCTCAGAGTCATGCCCAAAGCCCATTATATTACCTGCCTACCGCAGCTGATTATTAAGGGATCGTGGGCTCTTTAGTCAGCAGGTAATGAATCCTGCCAGGATTGCTTTCTTTCCATCAAGACAGAATGTTCTCTTTGGCTCAAGGTGTGTCTAGAAATGTCATCAAGGAGCTGGAACCTGGAATCAGGGCCTCATGACTCTGCCTGGTGCTCTATCCTACTGTGGCTGATCTGTTATCCAAGTTGCAAGACCAAAGTCGTCTGCACTCTTCTCTCTCCCTTCAAGAAGAACAAAAAAGTCTCTTTGGGAGCTATGAGCTATGCTACCTGGGGTTAGGATAATGTAGTGAAGCACTCCCTCAGCCACTTCAGCTGGTGTCTCACTAGGTTGCCTTCCCCCCAAGTCTACTGGCTATCAGCCCAGAACAGCACTAGGACATGCCTAGAAGTTGCAGTCTTTGTGGCCTAGATGGGCTTTAAAGTTTATTAGGAACTCCATAGCACTTTAGCCCATGGTGCTGAGGCTTGCCAGAACTCAATTTCTGCTGGATGATTCCTCTCTGGCTATGGCTTGTCTCAGCGTTCCCTCCTTGGGTGTTGGGTGAGTTCTGCCCAGTATCGCTTTTCACTGTGACAGGGCAGCTCTGAGTTCCACTACAATGTTCCATAATTGCTGAGATGTCCCTCCCTCAAGGGCACAGATTCTCTGTGCCACATGGCCACTGTCGGGGATGAGAGAGAGCTATCATTGACAATTCAAAGCTGTCTCTTTTACTCTGTTCAGTGCCTCTTTCAGTGATATGAAGTTAACATTAGATACTGTAATCATGCACCTGATTTTTCGTTCTTATGAGGGTGATTTTTTTGTGTGGATAGTTGTTCAATTTGATGTTCCTGTTGGGAGAACAATCAGAGGAGGCTTCTATTCAGCCATCTTGCTCCACCTCTCCTCTATGTGTTTTGGTTAATATAACAAATTCTGGGTAATTGCCAAGAACAATGATGAATTACATTAAAGAGTGTTGAAAATACATAAAGATAACTTATGTGTATCAAGTTTATATGATGTAATTCCACCCAAGCTGAGATGATATCATTAATGAAGAGCACAGATTCTGTCCTTCAGAATTTGGCTTTGGTAGTCCTATAAAAATTGTAATAAAGACAAAGGTAGGTTCTTATATTTTTTATCTTGAACTTTCCATGTGGGGTGTTATTAACTTTAAGGGTTTTGCATATTTTTCTGATGATGTTTAATAATTTGTCTATACTCTCCAACATTGTATTGCTATGTCTTACCTTTTGTAACTTAGAAAAATTGCAAAAATTAAGGAATACATCATGATGTATATCCCAGGTTTTCTGAACTTTGAATTTACAGTATATATTTTTCAGAGTACCTAGCATTGTCACTAATCAATGCAATTGATTAGAGTAGCACCCGATGGTTTTATATTCAATATTTTCTCAGGTACAAGAAGTTTTGTGTTTTTAAATTCTGGACACAGATGTATAATTTCATGACTATTAGGGTTCTGTACCTCCAGAGAGACAGTTACTGTGAAATTTCAGCAAAGTTTAAGAGTGCCCAGAACTTCTACTATTCTTCGGTATTACTGGTGGCCCAGGGAGGCAATTACCATTTTTGTAATTGAACATGGCAGAGGACAAATACTAGCTCCCTAATTTTAAATGACTATTTTAGATTTTGTATCCCATATTTTCCCTTCTATATTCCTAAGTATAAATATTAGTGAAAATCAAAATAATAGATGTCAGTTATATATTGTTGCAGTAAATATAATGATAGAATGTAAACAGGTTTAATATATTTCACTAAATATGTTAAGATTTTAGAGTTAGATCATGTACAAACCTTAAAGCAATGTCATTATTGCTAAAGTATCCAACATAGTACTTTCATGCAATTTTTGGAAAAATAAGCATGTGTAAGGATCATCTTCATAGTTTTAAGTTAAATCAAATTTTTTTCTCAGTGCTCAAGTCCTTTATACAAATGGAGTACTATTTGTGTATAACCTATGCACATCTTCTCATGTACTTTAAACTATCGCTAGATTTCTTTCTTTCTTTCTATTTTTTTTTTTTTTTTTTTTTTGAGATGGAGTCTCACTCTGTCACCCAGGCTGGAGTGCAGTGGTACGATCTCAGCTCACTTCAACCTCCACCTCCCAAGTTCAAGCGATTCTCTTGCCTCAGCCTCCTAAGTAGCTGGGATTACAGGCATGAGCCACCACACTTGGCCTTAAATCAGAATTTAAAATTAATTCTTTTAAATCTCTAAAATAGTCTAGATAACAATTGGAAACGTTACATTTTTGTGCCACAATTTTTAGTCTAAAATTTTTTTTGGTTGAATTGTCTTGTTAAAACAACAATGATTAATATATACAGCTCTTAGTATCTTTTGATTTTCTCAAGATTTAAGCAGAAAACTATAAAACTTAAGATTATATCAATTGCTTTTTTAGGGATTATTTAAAGTATTTATAGAAGATGATGCCTGTGAAAACATGAAAAATATGCTGAATAATTGAGGCAACTGTCCAGATGTTGAGGTGAGAGGAATACTCTAAGGCACAGAAATGAGCTTAGAGATAAGTTGTTACATGAGAAAAACAGATTATTTTGGGATTAATCTTTGGATAACATCCTCAGTTCTTTATTCAAAAGGAAAGAATCCATAAAAAAGGAATCACGGAGTAAACCAAACAAATACGCCCTACTCTATTGTTCTACAAAACAGTGAGATGATTAAGTAGCCAATAAATCCTTTGGCTATGTTATTAACAACATATAAATATATAGATTATAGGTAATAGGCACTTATGAGACATTAAAATATAATTGAACTATATATATAAAATTTTCTTTGAAAAGTATTTCAATTGTTCATAATTATTGTAATAAAATATAATAATGAAGAATTTTTTACATTAGAGCATTCAAAATAAAAGTTTCTGATACTGCTCAACATAGCCTAATTGATGGTAGCTATAGGTAGGACAAGAAAAAGAGGAAACTATTGAACTTAAACAAGAAGATTTCTGAATACTTACATATCTACCCATTGTTATATATTTAAGCAATATGCAAATCACTTATAAAATTTTGTGCAAATTTACAGGAATTAATAATGTATATTTTTTCATTTGTTTCTGTCTTTAAACATCCACTAAAGACATTGAATAGAACAAATGAGAGCTAACAGATAATTTCCTAAGTAGTCACAGATTAGTGAAAGATGACCCTAACCATTCTTGGCAGACAGCTATGAAAAATCCACAGCCTTCTGTTCATTTCCCTACCCTTTAATCATAAATGAGTGTTTCAAAAGATGAGCTTGATTAAATCAATCTCTTCTGAGCTTATATATGTTAATAAGTTAAACTTTCCTTTCTCTGGTTTGTTTAACTAAAATTAGTATCAAATGCACTGTATTAAATTTTAATTTGGTGGTTAAATTTTATTATGTGGATTTTACTCACAATGCAAAATAATTACATTTGTCTTCATAATCAAACCAAGAGTAGACACAAAAGTTGTGTGTGAGTCCTTCTAAATGTTGAACCTGTTGCTGTCTCCCTTGATTCTGTCACATCTTCTTTGTATACAACCCATGCATTATTAATAATTCACTTTTCTATGTAATAAAAGTAAATTTTAGTTTCTTTTTTTCATAAGCCAAATCTTATACTATTTTTATAAACAATAACCGTATACATGAATTTTAGGAATACATTTTACACACACACACACATCTATATTCACAACAATATGTAGTATTTTCAGTACATTTCAAAAATATTTAAATTGAATGCATATATCTTAATATGATTAAGCATACTTTTGTAAATATGCTCTGTAATATAGGTTGGGAGCTCTTTGTACATGTAAAACACTAGCTTCTCCTCATCATATGGGCTCTAAAATTATAAACACACTGGTCAGCTCAAAAGAGACAGCTCCACTGGAATATCTTTCAAACTCTCTGCAACTTTTTGCTAAAGCCTTAATTTCTTCTAGCCTCTCTCCCCACACACATAAAATTATATCATCTCTAAATTTTGATTAGCTTGTTAAACCAGATTACATTAACATTTTTTATGTGCTTAGATAAAGAATCTTCTCTTAGAATGCATTCACTGAAAGCATTGATTCCTGTTTGTGAACACATGTTCACAATTACATCTCACTGTGTGATGTCTGCACAATCTCAAGTTTCAAAATTATTGTCAGAATTCAAATGTAATCTATCTGTTTTAAAATCTCAGGATCCATTACCTTATACACACAAATATATAAAAAGTAGCATAGTACATGTAAAATAATTCTAGGTAAGTAATCTTGTAATTAAATATTCTAATTGGAAAAATAACATGTGCAACTGTGTATAACACTAAAATTTAAATGTGCAAAATTGTAGATTATACTATTAATCGTGATATCATTTTATCCGTAAATGATCATATAGTAACATCATATATGTCTCTAACCATAAGTGAGTTGACAATATGTTTTTCACGTTGTCATTGCTTGCCACAATTTCTTGTGCTCACACATTTTCAAACAATTAAAACGTGCTATTATTGTCCATGTTATTTCAGTTTGTGAAGAGATAAAAGACAATTACTGCTCTCACACAGAAAAAAAATGCTTTGCATTTATTTGTTTTTGTTCCAAGTCATAAGATTCATTTAGTAATCATAATTTCTAAGGCAAAGCAAAAAATATGCAGAACAGCGCTATTTTCTTCCAAACAGAGATGATATACAAATAAAATAAGAACACTTTGAAACATTCTCCTAAGAGATATCACAGAACATATGCTACATATTCGTGAGTCAGTGGTTTTAATAAATTTCTAGTGCTTTTTAGCCAGTCTGGTTCATTTTAGATGTATTATTCATAGAAATATATTTACAAAATCACATACCTATTTTACTTAAATAAGGAAAAATATAGAGTGTATAATTCAACTGGGGCACATTTACTATTTCTCTTTTCATTTAATATTCTCTTTATTAACCTTTCTCCTTTATTAACCTCCCTTCTTCTCCTCAAAAAAGCCAAAAGTAGTTAATTCCAAAGATTAAGCGCCTGTAGTTCTATGTTGGGATGTTGTTAACAAAACATGCAGAAATTAGCTGATGGTTTGTGAGAAGTCCTAGAGATTCATTGATAAAGTTATATTTTGCTATGCACTTTCTCCTATATATCTATGAAAAATGAGGCTGCAATACAATTTTCCTCTTTAAAACTTAATCGGAAATATTGCTGGAAAAAGGTTAAAAATGTCATATCTTTACATATTTAAAATGATCTGTTCATGCTTTTCTAAGTAACTCAAGATAAGGGTAAATTATTTGTTAGTAATACTTTATTTAAAAATGTACTTTTGCAAGCTACTATAAACATCATTTCTGCATTACTTTTTATGGCTGGGTTGTTAAGAGCAATAAAGACAAATGATAATACCTGCTAAGTTCCTGCTGCATGCCAGGATAATTATATCTATTCTTCACCAAGCTGTCTATGATGGGTATTTGCATTACTGTATAGATGAGGACTAAGAGCCTGAGAGGGTATATTTGTCTTACTCTAGCTCATGAAATTAATACGTGGTAAGGTTCAGGTTAGTCTGAAGTTGAAGTCTATCTTTTTTCTATTAGCAAACCCACACATCCTAAATACTAGTCTATAAAATATATCAAGATGTGTTATTCAGACCTTGGTCCTGACTGATGGGTTGCCCATAAGACAGTTTGGACATGGAATAGGTATATATATCATTATTATAACCTTGGAGAGTTTTTGATTGTATGGATATCTGCATAGTAATAATAAATGGCAAGATTGTTAGAAAAGTGCTTGTATTCTTCAGCTCTAAGTTCTTTATTGTATTGGTTTACATAAACATATAATAAAATAGTTTCTTAAGTAAGACATTCATATTATCCCATGTCTCCCAGATCTCATTTTACTATGGTCCATGGTATTGGATTTAATGTAAAGAGTATATAAATTGATTTTATGATCATGAATTTTCCAGATTTTATTTATGGGCCTAATGTACAATATTTGGAATTACATCAGTTTTACTTTTAATATGTATGTTGTTAAAGTTAGGTTATTTAATATATATGTTATTAAAATATCAATAACTATAATATGTATAAATGCAAGCATAACTGAGGTTTTCTTTTACAGGTCAAAATAAGTTATTGATGTATACTATTCCTGTTTAGATGTGCAGATTCAGTAGCAATATTGAAAAGCATTAATTGCCTACTGGTGTACAGGAAATTTTAGTCCATACCGGGTATAGATAGCTCTTCCTATGAGAATGAGTTGCTACAAATTCCAGGATAAAAAGTCTCAACATAGTCAACTGGTCTCACAAAGAACAGTGCCACTTTACAGGATAAGTGATTTTCTCTGTAGTTGAAAGTTTGACTGTTTAGGGAGATACACCTTAGAAAGGCTTATTGACTGGGAGTAGTGCTCATGCAATAGCCCCTTTTTTCTATCATTCTATGTGGTCACTTTGTTTATATGTGCATCATGCTGTTTCCAGAGTAACTGATGATAATCCATAACCAAAGACTGCTACCCAAGTCATTTAAGTATTTAAAACTTTCACAAGCCTCCACTGGTGACACCTTTCACTACTAAAACGTTGTATTTTTTTTAAATTTCTATATTGATTTGAGAAAAGCATTTTCAGAAATTGCCACTTGTTCTTCCCCACTATGACATGTATTATCCCATAGAGAAAGGACAAATGTGGAGGTTATTCCAACTGCCAAGTATATTAACCATAATTATATATACCAAGTGGTTCTACTCACCCCACATGAACGCTGAGTCAAAATTTAGCCACAACATCATTTATTGCCTAGACTTGATAAGCCACCACTCTAACAAGGGGAGGGGGGTGTCAATGTGATGTTTAGGTACTCTGGCTTTAAATGTCAGCACAGGCTGGGCACAGTGGCTCACGTCTGTAGTGCCAGCACTTTGGGAGGCCAAGGCAGGTTGATTGCTAGAGCCCAGGAGTTCGAGACCAGCTTGGGCAATAAAGCGAGACCCTGTCTCTACAAAACATACAAAAAATTAGTGAGGAGTGGTGACGGGTACCTGTGGTCCCAGCTACTTGGGAGACTGAGGCAGGAGGATGGCTTATGCCCAGGAGGCAGAGGTTACAGTGAGCCCAGATTGCACCATTGCACTCCATCCTGGGAAAGAGCAAGATCCTCTCTCAATAAAAATATAATATAATATAATATAATTATAATATAATATAATATATAATTATAATATAATATAATATAATATAATTATAATATAATATAATATAATATAATTATAATAAATATAATATAATATATAAAAAATAAATATCAGCACAGATCCTGTGTTCAGTAAACTTAAAATGTCCTAGATGGGCCGTGCGCGGTGGCTCACGCGTGTAATCCCAGCACTTTGGAAGGCCGAGGCGGGTGGATCACGAGGTCAGGAGATCCAGATCATCCTGGCTAACACGGTGAAACCCCGTCTCTACTAAAAATACAAAAAATTAGCCGGGCGTGTTGGTGGGCGCCTGTAGTCCCAGCTACTGGGGAGGCTGAGGCAGGAGAATGGCGTGAGCTCGGGAGGCGGAGCTTGCAGTGAGCCAAGATGGCGCCACTGCACTCCAGCCTGGGTGACAGAGCAAGACTCCGTCTCAAAAAAAAAAAAAAAAAAAGTTCTAGGTGGGTTTTTTGTTTGTTTGTTTTTGTTTTTGTTTTCCCCTAGCGCAAAGAGCCGTAAAGTAATTTGGAGAAGTATTGGGGAAATTTTACAGCATATATTTGACTTCTGCTTATTCTGTTTTTGGTTTTTTGTTTTTTGTTTTTCTTTTTTTCTTTTAGAGATGTTAGAGATGGTTAGAGTTGTTAATAAGAGACTTCACTGGCAGCCTTTCGTCCCAGATACGTTATGCTCTAATAATCATCTTTAAAACTCCCTCTGGGTCAGGCAGAGCTTGCAGTGAGCCGAAATCGCGCCACTGCACTCCAGCCTGGGCGACAGAGCGAGACTCCGTCTCAAAAAACAAAACAAAACAAAACAAAAACTCCTGTGGGTCAAGATGCTTTGGCTGCCTCTCTAGCCTTGCCAAGCATTATGGTCATTGAAACCTTCTGCTTTTTGGCATCTGAGCACCTGCATTTAGTTGCTATTACTTGTGGGGAGAGTTGAGGGAGAGACATCATTCTCCATGCATATAAATGACCCAGATCTGTGACCTGCTGTCAGCCCAAGCCTGCAGAGGGAGTCAGTACTAAACTTCTTAGTGGTGCTAAGAAATGGTACTCTTCTCATTGATGCATTTCCAATGGCTAAGGTGAAGAATATATTCTAACTTTACATATTGTATCTAATCTAGCACTGTCTCAGCCTCTTTAGACCTTCCACACCTGTTTCAGTATTCTATTGCTGCACAATAAAATATCATAAAGCATGAGCTTATATTATTTAAACAGTTCCGAGGGCCAGGAACTGGAGAGAATTGATTGAGGTGGTTTAGGCTTGGGGTCTCTTAGAAGTTTGCAGTTAAGATATCAGCTGGATCTGAAGTCAGCAGAAAGCTTTACTGAAAAACTGAGGGATTCACCCCAAGGTAGCTGCCTCACACACCTGGCAAGTTAGTTCTGATGGTGGTCAGAAGGCTTTAGTGCCTCATCATATGGAGCTGTTCATTGTCTTTGAGTATCTTCCTGACATGGCAGCTGGCTTCCACCAAAGTGATCCAAGTGAGTGTGTTTCAGAAGTTACAATGTCTTTTATAATCCAGCCTCGGAAGTCTCATACTATCAGTTATGCCGTATTCTATTGGTCACATAGACCAACCTTGATACGATGTGAGATGAGACTACTCAAGGAGTATAAACACCAAGAGGCAGAGATCATTAGGGGCCATCCCGGAGACTAGGAACCACAATCTGCTTTCTGGACTACAACATTCACATCTCTTCCACATCAAAATTCACTCTCCCCTCAAGTACTCCAAAAGTCTCACTTGAAAGAGTATCAGTTCAAATTCTAGACTTGCATTGTCTAATCATGTCCAATTGTAGAGGAGTTTCCCACTGTGATTCCTTTAATGCAGATCTTCAAGTGCAATTTCTCTCAATCTGAAGTCTTTGAACTATTCCACAATGATGTGTCATGTATATGAGGAGAAATATACTTTGTTTTTTAAAAAGTTTCTTCAACATTTCCTGTGAAAGAAGCAGAGAGATTTCTGCAATCAGTAACTCATTATATTCATTGGAAACTTAAAACAACAACAACAAACAGAAACCATTTGTAAGTAAAATTATTGAAAGTATAAACTGGATTTAAGAGAAAACTCAAGTGAGACATAACAAATGGCTTCCAATATTTAATATGTGGATCATGAGTTAGGATTTCCTATGGGTCATAGAAATAGTACATACGATTCTATAGAATACCTTGGCATGAAGTATGAGAAACACAACAGCAAATAGGTGGTAGAATTTGTAACCCTTCAACTTTGAAACCCTAGGTTTTCATGAATGTGTAACATCAAAAATAATATTAAAGGACCACACTCAATCAAATTGTCAAAATTTGGTTTAGAGTCCTGAGAACTAATGAAATAATGCTTTCATAGTAAATGGAAGATGGTGAAAAAAAGAATTTAAATATAATTCACAGCATTCCATATATGTTTTAACATAGGCTCAGATTATGAAAAAACATTCTAAGTTGTTAGTGCAAGAACGTTCTCATTCGACATTTATAAGCCCTTAAATCACTTTTATGTTCCTGCAATTTTGGTCATTTAATTTCACATTTTTTTTCTCTCCCTCACTGTCTCCTTTGTTTCATTCTTTTTAAAATCTTCCTTCCATGCTTCTCACCTTTCTCCCTCTCTTAGCCATGTTTTTTTCTTTTGTTTTTTTTTCCACGTTTAAGAATTTATTTTACACTCAGTTATATTTATACTTATCAGCCAGTTCAGAAGAGAGCATGAACTTGAAGTCAGAGTAATAGAATTTAATTCTCTATGCAGCCACTTCGAAAGATGTCTTGGGCAATGTATCTTCTAATAGTTCTAAACTCCATTGTCCTAATTTGTAAATTGGAGAATTTTAAAGTACCTAACTCAATTATTTACTAGAAAAGATGTAAAATAATTTATATGAAACTAGCATGTATTCAGATAAATAATAAAGTATTCTTGTTGTTCTATTTTATGACATTTAACAATATCATTTTCCCTGATACTTGCATCCTTCTATAAATCTTTGCCAGGGCAGAATTGTCTGTTTTGTAAGAATATATACTCCTAATAAACACTATGATAGTATAGATTCCTCTGAATCTTATACTAGACTCAGTCTAGAGTCTAGAGCCTTCTGTAGTATGCCTCAGTTTATGAGGTTCATTTTTCTTTTTTGTCTTCATCATGTGAACAATAAAGGTTAATATAAAGGACATAGTTATGGCAGAAGATAGTCCAAATTTGTACAAATGTTATTATAATACTATTTTGAAACAAGTAATTAAACTGCCTACACAGTAAGCTTATGGATCTCAAAGTAATCTTACAGATTAAAGAGACCAAACTTTTATTTATTCAATGTCCTCTGGATAATTTCTCCAAGTACTGTCTGCATTCAAGATGAGACCTACAAACTGTAACATCTAGGAACATAGCTCCTATGCACGTACTCTTTATTAATGGTGATTTATAATGGCAGTAATGTAATCCTCATTACTAACAAAAATATAGTTCAAACAGAAAATTCTGAGGAAGTAGGTTTGTTCAAAATAAATATTAATTGCTTTGACATGTTAAGTTAAATATTTTAAATACATAAAGCCAGGTAGAAAATATTTCACATAAATGCAAGTATTTCTCATAAATATTATAGGACCAAAAGTCATTTCAAGGTGAAATAATATTTATTAACCTGATCAAATAATAATTATTCACTAGGATTTAATTTAAGCTTTATTAGTTTATGACTATCTTTCTTTGTAGATTACTCAAATAGAAATATACATATGTAGTAAAAAATGTGATCTGTTTATTGAAATAATTTTCAATTAACATATAATTGCCAAAGCAGCAAAATTGGTAAATAACAATAGGAGACAAGCATGACAGTTGGTCAAACATATGACTTTTCTGTATTGAATTGGTTATAATTCAGATAGTCAAGGAAGCTTTCTTTGTTATGCATCTCTCATAGCCATCAAGATGGTTCTGGTTCAGCATGCACACTTTGCGTCTTTACTTTCAACACAGATAGATAAACCCCTTCAGTGATCTTCATGACATGCTGTGTGGATCAGCTTTAAACACACACTCCAGGATAATAACTGCCTATTTTTATGCATTATGGGATATCTGATCAACAAGAAGATGCTAATTTTGGAGAGTGTCACAGGTTCTCTTGCAAGGGTTCTTTCTGAGTCCATTTTGTGTTGCTGTAACAGAATTTTGAGACTGAGTAATTTATAAAGAAGAGGAGTTTGTTTGACTGAGAAACTCCAAAAGTACTCTGCCCTGGGTTTAATATTCTGGATGCAACTTGGCACACTAAGCTCCGGGGTTGCAGAACACGCTGTTTTTTGAGGAACGAGAACTCAGCAGGGGTAGTTTCATGCATTTCCTCTTCATCACAGGATGCTGCATTCTCAGTAGATTTCTGCTCAAGAACTGAAAGGAAGAAGGGGAGAGCTGGGTGGCCAAGCCCATCTGGGGACCTGTCTTCCTGTATCTCCTGGAAGCAGGTACTGAAATGAATTTATACATGCAGGAAATTTATTATGAATGCTCTTGGTATCAACATTTTGAAGGAAAATGAAATGAATCGAAGGAGACAATGTGCAGTCCCGCGGTTAAAGCAATTCCTCTGCCAACACTTTGAGAAATTTTGAAGCTAATAGGGCTTTTCAGAGTTTGACCAACTCTCGGGGAGAAGGCTGGGTCTTTATACCCTTGTGTCCAGCAGTCACTGAATGTGGGCTGACTGGGAAAGAGAACATGAACAAAGGGCAGGTGACACTGTTCAGCAAAAACAATTGCTGAATAAGGCTCAGCTCTCAGATGACAACCTTCTGACCAGGCAGAATAATAAATCAGTACTAACTGGGAGGAGGCTTTGCTACCTGACTTGAACAGCAAAGCCTATATGAAGTCCCTTCCTTGCACTACTTAGATCCATTTACTTAGTTTGATTCCTGGGGGCACCTACCTTAATACAGTGATCCTCTTTTTCTGCAGAAAAATTTTAAAAGAAATATTGGTGAAACAACTGGCACACTATATTCCCTGCAGCTGAAACTGCAGGAAACTTTACAGAAGGCAACACATTGTTTTCCTTCTCTACCTCTGTAAATTCCCTTTACTCTTAGCTAGCCACACCTCTGTGATCAAAATGGCTCACCTGGTGGGATGATCAAGACTCATCCTTGAGAGTTTCAATCCTCTGTTTAATATGCCCTTCTCAAGCCATAGGTGCTGTGCTTTTTCATTTACCATCAAAATTGGGCAAGAAAATTGTGCTAGTCCCTTTTGTCTTGCTATAATGCAACACCTGAGGCTGGGTAATTTGTAAAAAAAAGAGGTTCATTTGACTCACAGTTCTGCACATTCTATAAAAATCAAGGCGCCAATATCCACTCTGCCTTTTGTAAGGCCTCGGGAAGCTCTCAATCATGGGGGAAGGCAAAAAGGAAGCAGGCATATCACATAGCAGGAGAGAAAGAGCAAGGGAAAGAGAGAGGAGGAAGTGTCAGGTTCTTTTTAACATCAGTTCTCATGTGAACTAATAGAGCAAAAACTCATTAATTACTCTTGGGAAGCCATCAAACCACCCACACTTCAATGGCCTTAATATCTCTCACCAGACCCCACCTACAAAATTTAGGCTTGCATTTCAGCACGAGATTTGGAGGGGACAAATATTCAAACGGTACCAGTAATTTTTAGGGATGGTTAGCAAATACACTTATCCCTGTCCTACCTCCTCCTAATGATTACAATTAATTAACCAGTTCAGGGTGATGATTCATTGACTTGCTTGCTGAATTCTTGGCACAAGATGCACAAAGTGGCCAAACAGGAGCTATAGGTTAAAATTCAATAGGATTTTCTCTTGCATTGTTTCTTAGTGGAAATGTTCCTCTTTTGAGAAACAGGATTCTTTTTCTACACAGCACAGAGTTATAAAGATAGAATCACAGATTCCTCCAGCAAGTCATGGGAAATGATGGCAAGGGGGACAATTTCTGCATCTGTGCCTTGGTTACTGGACTTATGTATATACATATCAGAATACAGGAATGAATAATGCAATTGATTTAGCATATACACAGCATTCCAAAGAATGGTGACCCTCTTAATAGAACATTGTTACAAAACCCAACACTCAGCTATGCCTTCAATAGGCTGTTCACCACTCTCTTTTGTTGTTCCACTATTTTTATGTTCATGACTCTCTTGACATAATCTTTTTAAATGTAAAATGAGTGCCTTGATCTGATGCAATATCATGGGAGATGCTGTTTTGGTGAATCAAACACTCTATGAGTCTTCAGTGGGGGTTGCTGGTTGACAGATTGCAGGCAAGAAAAACAAACTCAAGTGCAAAGTAAGAAGTGATTTCAGTGAAGATAAATTTCTACACTATTTCAGTGTGGAAAGATTCAAATTTAATCATTTTATCACCAAAAACTGGCTTGTATCTTTGAGGAAAAATGCCATATTAGGAATTCAATGTCCATCTCTCATTCTGGAAGATTCGACACTTGAAAGTGTCAGTAGCTTAATCAGACTTGTCTTATGTAGAGACTATAGCTTTGCCCCTTTGTATTCATACATCTACCTATTATTCCTGCTCTGGGTGGTCAATGACAGAGGTGGGTTGACATAAATTTACTGAGTAAATCTATTTGACAATTTAGTGTCTCTTCCAATGTGGTTGATCCCTGGTAGGCATTTAGATGCAATACAGCTATTACTGTGTTCTGTGACCATTACTGGCCAGTCCTCCCACAAGCTTATATCTAATATTTTCATTTTCTGTCTTCCAATCTTTTTCTTCCAAGCACCTGACCAATAGGTCAAGCGTTTGCAACTGTCTGTGAGTCTGGATGCATTCCAAACTTGTGCTACTTTCTCTTCCACACAAAGTGGATATCAGATGTCCTGCCCAAAGCTCTGTCCTTTGAAGAATTGTCTCTCATCAGGGTATTTCACTGTTATTCCTGAAAGGACCTGTGGCACAGACAACATCTATTTTCAGCTTAATTAATATTGAATTAAATTATTTAATTTAATTTATTTTTAATGTTTTCTGTGACCTAGTGAATATATGTCTGCCGTGCTTTTTTAACCTACATATCTACCATGCTTGGGGTAGAGCTTCTGCTTTCCCAGTAAAGCTGTGTGGACAAAGAGAGACCTGGACCTCTCACCTGCTCTTTTTGGAATAGAGCTTCTGTGTCATGCAACAGGAAAAGAGGAAGAACATGTGTAGCCTTTTTGTGTGTCTGGGGTAGGAGATACCACAGACCTTGATTGAGATCTGAGGGGAGAGGAATACCTGCTTAGAGCCTCTGCATTATTGAGCTGGGTCTGGGGAGCAGGCCACAGCTCATGCCAATGACTGCAGCTTTTTTTTTTAAGACTCAGTAGATTGGGCCAGGCACGGTGGCTCACGCTTGTAATCCCAGCACTTTGGGAGACCTAGGCGGGTGAATCACATGAGGCCAGGAGTTCGAGACCAGCCTGGCCAATATGGTGAAACCCTGTCTCTACTAAACAAACAAAAATTATTCAGGCATGGTGGCGCATACCTGTAGTCCCATCTACTTGGGAGGCTGAGGCAGGAGAATTGCTTGAACCCAGGAGGCGGAGGTTACAGTAAGCCGAGATCCCACAACTTCACTCCAGACTGGGCAACAAAGTGAGACTCTTTCTCAAAAAAAAAAAAAAAAAAAAAAGATTCAGTAGATTTTCTTGAATAAAAATTTCTTTATCTTCTATAGTCCTTTAGGGAAATTTTAAGACTTCAAATGTTTATTTTTAAATAATTTTTATCAGTTATGATTGCTTTGCTTAAGAGAGTGTTTGTGGAGTTCTCACTGCCTTAATTCTAGAAGCTACCTCACCTAAAGTATTTTTTACAGATGTTTAAAAAATCAAATCTGTTTAGAAAAATATGTATACCTAATTATTTTATGTATCTGCAATGAATTTTGGGAATTTCAATAGGAAAATATTTATTGAATAGTTTCTTTGTATAAATTGTGCTGAAAACTCCAGCTAGTGTGTGGCATTTGATGTTAAATTACCACCATGCAGAAGAGAATCCAGACCAGAGTGAAAGTTAAAAGATTATCTTACACAGATCTTAGTCCATATGTAGGAATCAGAGAATGACAGCTTCAGTAGTAGGGAAGTAGATTTTCTATATATAAAGAAAGTTCAGTAACAATCAGGCAGATAATAGAAAATAATTAGCCAAAGTGTGCAACAGAGGAGGCTGGAAGAATGTTATTGAAGAAACAAGAGGGCAAAGATAAAGTACAGTAAGCTTTATAAGGTCAAGATATGAATGAAAGAAAGATAGGAAGCAGAATTTCAGCTGGCTTATGGGAAACAGATGAAGACGAAACTCACAATATTATAAAAATAATGGCTTTTTTAAAACTGACAGGGGATCTGCACCTGATATTGAGTGCCTAGCATTGTTTAAGTGTAAAAGTAAACTGAAAGAAATGTTTCTCATGGATCAGAGACATTTCCTCAAGTTAGGGACTCTGCAGTGTAGATAGAAGGTTAACTTTCCTGAGGGTGGGTGTTTCTATTTGTTTCAAAACTTTAGAGCACAACTTAGGGAAGGCATAAGGTTCAAATAAAATGAACATTCCCTGAAAGAAACAAAATATATCAGAAACGTTTTAAATGAATAAATGTTAATATATGACAAAAATAATATGTCTTGTCTGAGCTGACAGGTTTCAAGGTGGTCAGTTAGCCAAACTGAAAGTGATAATCATGACTTTATTCACTTACTGTACAGAAGAGGTAAACATAGGTGCCAATACCTTATTGGGAAGGAAAAGTTGGCAGAAATATCCAGAGCCTTAATATTTTCATGTTATTTTATAGCATAATTAAAAGTCTATTAATTTATCTGAAGGAATACATTCTATACATAAAAATTTATATATTCTAAAATGTTCAAGTTTCTTATCATAGAAAACATTGGCAACAACCTACATGTCCAACCATGGGGAAATGGTTGAGTAAAGCCTGGTGTGCTTCTTAAAAAATTATATAATAGTTAAAATTTTAAAATGGCAGTTTAAAAATAATACAGTCATTTTTCATTATTATGTTAAATGAATAACAAAAAACTCTGGTTAAATCCAATTTTCCACTCACATTCCACCTATATTTATGCAGCCAAATGAGGCTAGAGGAAAATATACAACCAAGCCGATTTTTCTTAATCTAAATCCCTAACCACAAATCTTTATATTGCCGTGCAATTATACTATACTTTCCTAGTCTGTTCACTTTCTTACTTTACTAGGTTATTTTACACTTTCTTCTCAAATTTCTGATATGTCCTCTCTGTTTTTCTCTAACAGATATCCTTATTTCATCTATGGAAATAAAAGTGGTGACTAAAGACATTTTAATACATGAGCTTACACTAATGATCTACCTGTCTCCAGCATCTCTGCTCATATATTCTATATTTCTTACTTTTAAGTGTAGTTGTCTGTGCCTAATTCCATGAGTAAACCTTCCATGCTCCTATACAAGTCCATCCCTGTCACCTGGTTGCTAAATCAAACCCTTTTACTCTTTCCTACACAAGATATTTTCCCAATAGTTCCCTAATCTCTCTCTTGCGTCATCAAACTGTTCTGTCAAATGAATCATATTCTTTAGTATAAAACCATAATTTTCTTTTTTCTCATATTAAAGAAAGCAAAAAAAAAAAAAAACAGTCATTTATCACATAACTTTTATCTTTTACACATAATTCCTGAAAAGGGTTGCCTTCACTTTCTCTCTTTTCTCTTTTTACCCAATTCCAGTCAGATTTTGAATCATGTCATGATTAAACTAGTTTTCTCAAGGATCTTCATATTATCAAACCCATCATCATCTTATTGGATCTTTTAGTAAATTGGAAACAGTGTAAATAATTACATTAGTTAACATCTACTGCACCACAGAATACTGTCTCCTTTAACTTTTGGCTGTTTTGGTCCATTGCTCTATTTTCCTGAGGGATTCTTTCTATCTCAACCACATTGTAGCATTTAACTAAATCAGAACGTTGTCTCCAAATATTAACTCATCTCTTTCTACCCTCAACAGTTTGGTAATCTCATTCAGTCTCAGTATTCTACTAATAGCACCCCAAATTGCATCACTAGTCAAGATCTCTCCAAAAGAATCAGAGTAATTTATCCAATTGCTTATTCATAATATAATTTGGATCTGTGTCCCTACCCAAATCTCATGCTAAATTGCAATTTCCAGTGTTGGAGGTGGGGCCTGGTGGGAGGTAACTGACTCATGGGGGTGGATTTCTCATGAATTCTTTACCACCATCCCCCTTGGTATTGTCTTGGTGGTGCTGAGTTCTCATGAGTTCTGGTTGTTTAAAAGTGTGTGTCACTTACACCCTTCGTCCTGTTCCTGCAGAATGCCAGCTCCCATTTTTCCTTCCACCATGAATAAAAAGCTCTCGGAAGCCTCCCCAGAAGCAGATACTACCATGCTTCTTATACGTTGTATACATAAAACAGCCTATGGAGTTGTGAGCCAATTAAAATTCTTTTCTTTATAAATAACCCAGTCTCAGATATTTCTTTATAGCAATGTGAGAATGGACTAATACACTCAGCATCTTTGCTTGGCTAGCTAATGCATATTTTATAACTTCCAATGTCCCAAGTCCCAACAAAATTCAATTGTTATATCTAAAATCTAATTATTCATTCTCAGTTAATGACAACTTTCAGTTGTTCAGGCCAAAAAAATTGGAGTCACCCTGAATCTCTCTCCTCTCCTCTCCTCTCCTCTCCTCTCCTCTCCTCTCTTCTCCTCTCCTCTTCTCTCTCTATCTCTGTCTGTCTGTCTGTATTGCACCTTTTAGCCATGCATGAATGAATCTTACTGGATCTACCCTCAAAATATGAAAAAAATTTGTTACCTGATCCAGTTCACTATCAATCCAATGCTTGGATTATTGCATTGCAGTGACTCTTAGCTCATCTCCCTATATTCCTGCCAACAATTCCTATAGTTTGTTCTTAACATAGAAGCCAGAAATATGTTCAAATAATATTAGTTTATATTACTCTTCTGTGAAAAGAGAGAAGTCGTAATAATTTTTCTCACTCTGAATGAAACAAAAGCACTTCCTTATATAGTCCAAGCCCGTAAAGCCCTTTGATTTCTGATTCCTCATAACCCACCTGACCTTCTCGTCTACTAATCTCTCCCTTCATCATTCTTTTCCAGTTACTCTGCTCTCACTCTAGCTTGGGGTTTTTGAAACAGCTATGGACTTCCCAGAGCATACTCTTCCCATAGGTGTTCATACAGCTTATTCTCTCCTCACCTTAAAGTCTTTGCTAACATGAAATTCACACTGAGGGCTTCGTTGACTGACTTAAGGTTGCAACCTTCCTAGTACTGCATATACTCTTCCCTGCTTTATTTTTCTCTGGAATAATTCTCACTATATAGCATAATTCAATTTTGGTGTTTACTTTCAATGACATCCATCTGGAATTTAAGCTTTCTGATGAGTTTATGTTTCTCCAGAGTCATTATAACTTTCTAATATATTATAAAATTCAACTATTAATTTTAATGACTATCTCCCTTTGTACTAGAATATTATCTTCATGATGGCAAGGACTGACATATCCCTGATATCTAGAAGAGGGACTGAAATCGATATTAAATAAACATTTCATGAATTCAAATATATTAACAGAGTGTTTTGAAGTGTTATGCTTTTCTGTACTATCCAATTTTTCTTCCAATGATTAATATAGTGTATATGTATACACACATATACAGAAATTAATATAGTATATATGTATAAAGACATATACAGAAATGTATATGCTTACATATTAATAAACAATTACAGTTCGATTGATCAATAAACAGATCAGTTCTATTTATAAGAAGCTTACAGAGTAGATAAGAGTAGATAAGAAACATAAGCCTGGGATGAAATTACTTCAGTGGTCAGCTCGTTATATAAAATGTAGACAAGAAGAGCTATTAAAATTTACTAAAGGGTGAAGTCACTTTGGCCTTAAAGATAAGGAAGGCTTTAAACCTACTTTGGAATAATTATCAGCATTTTGACAGAAAGATGTGTAATATCATTCCTGGCAAGAAAAACTAAATGTGGAACTTGAGAAAACATCTCTTTCTCAAAATGACATAGGTCATTTATATTATGCTTATCATAATAAATCTCTCACTAGATTTATTGTCTGAGATGGCTCATTTTGGTGCTAGTTTAGAAACAGATTTAGAATAACAAATTGCTCATTGATTGTAGATAGTAATATAGACTAGTATAGGCCATGTTGCATAAATTTATTTATTTATTTATTTTTTGAGACAGAGTTTCATTCTTATTGCCCAGACTAGAGTGGAATGACGTGGTCTCAGCTCACTGCAACCTCCGCTTCCCAGGTTCAAGCAATTCTCCTGCCTCAACCTCCCAAGTAGCTGTGATTACAGGTGTCCACAACCATGCCCTGCTAATTTTTGTATTTCTAGTAGAGACAGGGTTTCACCATGTTGGCCAGGCTGGTCTCGAGCTCCTGACCTCAGGTGATCTGCCTGCCTCGACCTCCCAAAGTGCTGGGATTACAGGTGTGAGCCACTGTGCTTGGCCCTGTGTTGTATACATTTAGAGTAGAAGTGCTGAGTAAATGTTGCATTGGGGTGGGAAGCTGCTAAACATGTAAGTATTAGTTACGATCTCATTATAGTCTCTGGTATGTGGAATCTAAGTTCATAGAAGTAACAACTAACAAAAAGTAAAATGATGCATTTGAAAGAACATGTGTCTAAAGTATTTAGAATGCCTGAGATTAATTACAGTTAAGGGAATAATACTTAAATATATTATTTGAAACTAAAACATCATTGATAAATATATTTTAGGAAAAATTCCATAAAAATGATAATACACCAAAGTATTATACCTTGAGAAAAATAACTCCTGTTGACATAATTTTTATCCTGTTTACTAACTTGCATCATGATTGTAAGAAAGTTTTTCATCTCTTGGGAAAACTGACTGTTATTTAGTACCTTCTATATGTCATTTATGTTCTATCATTTATTTTCTATGTGTCATCCCATTCTATCTTAATGTTTAAAGCATTATTTCTCTGTATGTATAGTATAAAAAGAGTCTCAGGGAGTTGAGAAAGTTGACCGAGATCACATAGCTAGTTGACAGTAATGAGACTGCATGGCCCTGAACCCTGCATTCTTCCATTATTTTTCTTTGACTATAGCTCATGTAGGATTGTTAAAGTGAGCATCATATGGGGTCAGAAGAATCAGGTTTCTGTCTGCACTCTTTTTATTTCTGCCACATTGTTAATCCTTCAATACATCTGTACATCCTTCTCCTTTCTGCCTGGAGTGCTATCACCAACTCAACACTTCTCCTGTGTACATATGACATTTGTTCCTATTTCAACTCAAATCACTCACTCTAGAATGGCTTCACCAAATTCTCAGAGAAGTTCAGATTTTCTTCGTATACGTGCTTATAATATGCTATTTATTTCCTTTTATCCCTTATTATGGTTTGAGATGTTACATTTGTGTGAAACTGATTAATGCCAATCTCCTCCACTAGGCTATAGGAGTAAACACCATGTTTTTACTTACTATTGTGTTCTTAGAGCCACCTATATTGCCTTTCAGTGAGTAAAATCTTGAAAATGTTTGTTGAATATAAAAATATTCTCTGCTTTAGGGAATATTGCTTGAGAACATTTTAGCCAAAATCTCCAGTTCATGGTGTTGTTGTGAGGAAAAAGTAATAATGTATGAAATGTGCTTTTCATCTGTCATATGCTATTTGAATACAAGTTAAATATGCATTCTTAGACTTACAGCCAGACTCTGTCTTAATGGGAACCCACTCTGGCCATATCCTCAGCACCTATAGAGTACTACATGCCACATCAAGCCCCCATTTACATGTTGCCTTTAATTATTTTCTATGCATTTTTTTGCGTTGAATTTACCTCACTGTCTCAATATGCTGCAACAAGAGAGGAAAACTCTCTATTCTTTATTGGAAACAACAATGAAACTACTAAAAAGAGAGGCCCCTGTTGGCATGTGGACATATTGTAAAATGGATGCATAATTATATTCCACATGTCACACTTAATTGAAGAGTAACTTTGAGATTAAGCAATAACTAACTTGGAAAAGCAGAAACTTCAAAAAACTTAAAATGCTGTGGTTTCTGCTTTTTCACTCTTATAACAGACTAGCCTGACTTAAGCAGTCTTGACTGAGGAAAATCTCTTGCGGCTTAAGTAGCTAAAAAAGTAGTTAAGACACTACTGCTATATTTCCGTAAAGGTTAACATTTTGCCTCAGCATATGAACAAATTGGCTCTTCATAGGAGATCTTAACAGAAAGATAAATGGTATTATCTTTGAATTTCAGACTTTGGATTAAATGCTGCAAAACATGTTTCCTCACAAAAATTATAAAAGCACATGGATTAAAAAACCCGGCTTTAATGTCAACAAATAAAAATAATGAGTAAATAAATACTCTTTTAGAGGCTGTATTTTCCCTTTTCACAAATAAGTGTTATTGCAAATATTAGACTCCATGTGAATAATTTTCTTTTCAAATATTTCCATGGACTTCCACTTCCACCTGTGATGAACTAGCACGTAGAACAGCAATACTTCTGCAAAGAACAACTAGAAAACAAAACAAGCAAAATACAAAACAAATATATCACAAATATATCTTCTCTTTAATATCATGAGAGAGATGCTAAAGGTATATGGCACTCTGGGGCCAAAATCATAGACAGAAGAGACACTTATAAAGAATGTATTAATTATAAAAGTTATAATAAAACATTTTATACCACTGTTTTATTAAAATGTTTGTCAACTTCTGTGCAATTTGAGAAAGACATGGAGGTACTGAGTAGAATTTATCTTCTAAGAGGTAGAGAATTATTTTTTAATTATACTTCAAGTTTTAGGGTACATGTGCACAACGTGCAGGTTTGTTACATATGTATACATGTGCTGGTGTGCTGCACCCATTAACTCATCATTTAACATTAGGTATATCTCCTAATGCTATCCCTCCCCTCTCCCCACACCCCACAACAGGCCCCCGTGTGTGATGTTCCCCTTCCTGTGTTCATGTGTTCTCATTGTTCAATTCCCACCTATGAGTGAGAACATGCGGTGTTTGGTTTTTTGTCCTTGCAATAGTTTGCTAAGAATGATGGTTTCCAGCTTCATCCATGTCCCTACAAAGGACATGAACTCATCATTTATTATGGCTGCATAGTATTCCATGGTGTATATGTGCCACATTTTCTTAATCCAGTCTATCATTGTTGGACATTTGGGTTGGTTCCAAGTCTTTGCTATTGTGAATAGTGCCGCAATAAACATACATGTGCATGTGTCTTTATAGCAGCATGTTTTATAATCCTTTGGGTATATACCCAGTAATGGGATTGCTGGGTCAAATGGTATTTCTAGTTCTAGATCCCTGAGGAATCGCCACACTGACTTCCACATTGGTTGAACTAGTTTAAAAGAGTCTTCCATGGTGTTTGGAGACCAAAGCTGAAATTTAGAATAATCAAAGCCTTCCCAGGAGTTAAGGAGTTCAAATAGTAGAGAAAGACAAACTACACAGAAGTAAAGTCAACAACAGGAATACTACTGGGCCAGATATCACTTTTCCAAGCAAACTTATAAACATCTCTCCTTTTGTCAGCTGGTACAATATTAAATTTGCTAGTGGAGAGCCCTGGTGGGACACTGCAGGAAGAAAAGGTTTATCTTCCTGGTTCCAGTATGCCTTTCCTTCTTGCTCCTCTGGTGATTGACAGCCACAATGAAACTAGACTCCTAGTGGTTCTCACTCTCAAGTGTGTTTCAGAGGTGCTGCTGGGGGCAGCTTTCCCATAAGTTTCAGCGTTGCTCTAGTGGGCAGCTTTCTAGCAGTTGTTGTTGGCACATTACTATGAAGTTTCCCAATGAGTCTCCACAGCATTCTGGAAAGCTCTCCATCAAGTCTTACCAGTGCCCCACTGGGCAGTTTCCTGATTTTTATTCCTGGACTGTAGCACTTCAGCAAACTTCTCCATAAAGGGCTGAAGTCACATCCTTTCAAAGGAAGTCTGAAATCTGAGAGTCAATTGGCAAAGGTCTCCCAAGTTTACTCCCTTCCCGGATACCCTGCTCAGTCTTAATGGCTGATCCCTGTATCTACTTTTTTTCTGAAAGTTATTCTTACCTTATTTAAATAGTAGTCATTGGTTAGTGGTCCTTTATGTTAAAATTCTGACATTCAAATTATTGGTGTGATTATTTAAATGCCAGAATTTTACCAGAAAGAACCATTTCCTGACTTTACATTGACTAATACAACCACCTTGTTATTTTCTACCCAGCTTAATATTTTCTTGTCCACATACCTCTTACTTATATGAGGTACTTAGTTGAACCCTATCGGTAGCTTGTCCTACAGTCCCCTCATCTCAATAATCCTGATAACACAAAGCCACATTAATATGTATTCACTGGTAGCAAAAATATATTTAATTATTGATCAGAATTCAGTAGCTCTTCATGAAGGGTTTGGCTACCATGTACTGAAACATACAATTTAAAAATAACTAACAAAAAATGCCTAAGATTGCTAAAATTTCTTCCCAACCAAAGATGCTTTCATTCAGTCATACTAAAAATAGGAGTTTGCTGTTTAGATGTCATTGAATTTTTTTCGAAGTTTGTGTTTTTGTCTTAGTAACATTCTGACAAACAGTTTTTAAGTACAGATGGTTGGCATGTTGGGAGAAACTATAAAACTTTTAATAAAAAAAGTTTAATAATTTAACAGATGATGGAAGAATTCACCCAGTCATAATAAATTTTTAGAAAGTTTCTTAAATGAAAATATGTGCAATAGAGCTTATTCTTATTTTTGTTACAGAAAAAAAATTTAGGAAATTTTTTGTAGTACTTTGCTATATTATTTTCATATTAATCCTTCTCTTAAATTTTGAAGAGCTAGGGTAAAAAAGCATTGGCAGAAAAAGATCATCTTCATTTTTTTTGGCCTCTAAATCCAAGTCTGTTATTTAATTTTTGATTCAAATAAAATTGTCAAAATCCAACAAATACCAATGCATATTTTTCCCACAGTTGAGACTAAATTTTTCTCACCTTGATTACCAATAGAGATTAACCAACTTTTCCCATCTGTGATTTTGTGGTACATGAACCAGAAGCATTTTAGCACGTGATGACATTGTAAGTACCATCAAGCATTATTACCCACACGTTTGCACAGTCACTGCTGCTCATCTAAAACTACAAGTAAGAGAGCTAAAAGCAAACTTTACATATCCCTGTGATGGTAGGATATTGAAAAGCATTTTACAATACACATTTTTGTAATAGGAGCTCAAATAATCAAGCATTACTGAAATATATTGTTAGAGATGATCTAGGGAGAAGGCTATGCAATATCTAGTCACATTTCTTCTTAGATCTTTAAAAAATTAAATGATCTTTAAGACAACTAGAAAGGGCATTTATTCTCACCATACCACTTAAAACCCATCTTCATTTTACTGAGAATATCTAGTTGTGATTTAAGTGTTAGACAACTGGAAGAGAGAACAACCTGCTTCGCATCAAAAGTCAATTACACGCTTCACTCCAATTAACTTTTAGTGGAACTACTTCCGGGAAAATTATAAAGATGACAAAATAATAATGATGCTGGTTTAATTCTTTTATACCTATTTCTAGATTAAAACACATTTCCAATAATACTGACAGGTAAAACAACTTTTCTCCATTTAGAAATGAGTAAACTGAGACTTAGGGCAAATATATGCTTTTGCCAATCATGCCATAACATCAGTGTGTGAAGAAGCCCAGGCCCAAACCAAGGCTTTTTGATGTTTGCAGAATTAAAGGCTTTTAGATCAGAAATTGCAAAGTGCCAAACGTAAGCATAATTTAAAATAACAATCACAACAATAATATTTATTATGACTTTACTGTGTGATAAGGGATATAACAAGTAGTCTATGCATGGTGTAATCTAATTGCCACAAATAATCTATGTCACAGATACTATACACACACCCACACACATACACATACACAAACACACACACACATGCACATGGGTAGGGGGCTGCTATACCTCTCTATTTCTATATCTAATATCTTTCTGACAAACACTTGGAATCTTGTTCCAAGTCGATTAGCCAATAAACAACAGAACAATAGGAAATGAGAAATACATAATATATTAGTGCACATGAAACTATCTCTGTGTAAATTCTATTTTATTAATAAATTTATTGAGTTTTACAAACTACGCAGCCCTAGGTTTTACCCTTTGGTACAAATACCAGATCCAGTAAATACGGCTTTTAATAAAAGCTTTTTGGAATTCATTCTGTGCCTCCTGAGGATCTTACTCAATAAAACATAAAACCATTTGTTTTACTACTTGTTGAATTATTTTCTTCTATGATAGTTCCTGTCATTTATTTGAATTAAATATGTTCTGTATCTCCAAGGATTCCTTCTCCCAGGTACTTAGTATGTAGAACTGTGTATCATTGCTTTTTCTATTACATTCATGGTATCAAAGTACAGTGAGAGCAGTGTACCTGAATGAAGGAGATGGGAGTCCAAAAGTGGCATTTCTTTGTCCATGACATTACTTCAGCAGCTCTATAGTAAATGTACTCAAGTTCAAATTGTCACCTCACCACTTCCTAGCTTCATATCAATGGAAATTTAGTTAATTTAACTATGCCTATAAGTCTTATAGGATTGTTGTGACTTGTAATAATAAATAGAGTAAAACATGGAAAATCGTGAGCACAGTGTTCAACACATAGTATAGCTATTAATAAAATATGTTATTATAATTATGACATTGTGTGCATATAATTTTCTTCATTTATATCTAATAATATTTAGAAATATTACAAAAAAGTATATACTGGAATTACTTCCAAAGAGAATTTGAAAATCTGCCATCATGTACCTTGTTTTTAATGGAAGTAAAAGATAATACCTATTAAATACCTCAGTGCTCTATTATTGCCTTTTGATGTCAATAATCATTTTCAACAAGTGATTTTCAAATATAAATTCTTAGGAACAATTTTTTTGGACAGCTTCCTGTGTTTTCAATAGTCTATACTGTTCACACATTCTACTTCAAAGTCAACTTCAGTAGTCTCATTGGAAGCTCTTTCTCTTCCTCCTCCCTATTGTTCTCCTTCTCCTCCTGTTTCTCACTGATATGGTTAGCTTTGTGTCCCTGCCCAAATCTCAGCTCAAATTGTAATCCCTAGGTGTTTAGGGAGATACTTGGTGGGAATTATAAACTCTTAATAAAAGTTACAGTGGCTTTGTATTCTCAGTATCTAAGATGTTGATGATTTTTTTACATTTATTTATGACATACCTAGATTTTCAAAACTAGAGTAGAAATGTTTAGTATGGAAGAAAAACCAGTAAAAAAGCACAAAGAAGTTATCCGAATAAAATTATTTAAAAGGGAAAGAATAGGGAATTTAACAGTCTGGTAACTAAGCCATTGTTTAATATGAATGCCTGTTCTTGTTTGCTGTTTTGTTTGTTGGTGGAGAATCTAAGATATGAATCAGATGAATCCATACATTTATATAATCTTTATTTAATATTCCAAAAATAAATGCTATGAGCTTTTCTTTAAAATTTCACATCCAGAGTATTGAATTTAAGCTAGTTATAAAGATGCTGGCCTCTTAACAGAAATACACACCTTAAGTGATGAATATTAGTCAAATGAGCATGTAAATTCAAATAAAATGAGAAGATTTTAACTTTGAATAACTTAGTAGATGATGGTGCCCAGGCAAAGAGGAGGAAAAGAGGAGAAGCAGCAGAAGGTGGATAAATAAGAAAGAAGATCAAGAGGAGGATGAGTGTGTTAGTCCATTTTCACACTACTATAAAGACATACCTGAGACTGGGTAATTTATAAAGAAAAGTTTAATTGACTCACAGTTTATTAAGAGTTTATAATTCATTGGCAATAAGTATTCTATATGAATGCACACATACAGAAGACAAATGCAAAGGTATAGTAAGAAATATTCATTCTGCTATGGAAATCACAATTACTATGATGAATAAATGCTTGCGTGGGATTCTAGCAGAGGGAACAGAATGTGTAAACCATTAAGGTAAGGAATGTTCTAGTAGCCTGTAGTCCCAGCACTTTTGGAGGCTGAGGTGGGCAGATTACAAGGTCAAGAGATCGAGACCTTCCTGACCAACATGGTGAAACCCTGTCTCTACTAAAAATACAAAAATTAGATGGGCGTGGTGGCGGGTGCCTGTAATCCCAGCTACTTGGGAGGCTGAGGCATGAGAATAGCTTGAACCCGGGAGGCGGAGGTTGCAGTGAGCCGTGATCGCACCACTGCACTCCAGCCTGGTGACAGAGTGAGACTCAGTCTCAAAAAAAAAAGAAAAAAGAAAAGAAAAAGAAAAAAATGTTCTAATAGCTCAGCTTGTATAATATGTCTGGAAATTTGACTATGAAAAGTATGAAAAGATGAATTCTAAAAACCAAAGCAAGCAGGTAATAGAAATGGAATTCCTCCTTCACCATGCTACAGCTTCTAAGATTTATCCTGAGGATAATTAAAAGTCATCGTTTGATTTTAGATTGATGATATTTAATTATGAATGAGATTATTTAATATCTGCAAAACTTCAGCATAAAAATAAGCCACAGAGGACTGGCAGTGGAAAGCCAGAAATACCACTAAAATTCAGGCTGTAACCAGGTGAAAAATCATGGCCTGAGAAAACTTAATATTGGCAGAAATGGAAAAACAATACATGACATGTATTAATCATATGTATTTATAGATTTTGAAGATATATGAGAGGGGTATGATGGAGAAGTCACGTAAACATATATGTCTCTTTTGCTCAGAGTAAGGGATGGTGGTATCAACCATCACGATTACGATAAATGAGAAGAACAAGTTGGAAACAATACACTATTATGAATTTGATGTTGGAACTGTTGAGTTTTGGGTGCCACTGAAATATTTCTAAATAGCAGGGAGATATTTGGAAAAATAGACCTGGACGTTGGAGAGACATCTGGCCTGAGATGATTAGCTGAAAGTTTCAAAACACAGATTACAAATATTGCCACTGTAGTGAAGTATATCTGCAGAAATCATGCAAAAAGTGAAAAGAGAGTGTAGGATAGAATGCTGGGGAAAGTGTCAGAGAATATTTAAGGAAAATAATCCTCTTCCTCCATACCTCACATCTTAATTATTTAATGTAAATTTTATCTGAGTACAGTTTTTCCTGTAGCAGTATTATCAATAGATAATGAATACCTTCTCTCATACTTTAATAGAACAGAAGGAGACAACATAAGGTAGAGGCAAGGAGCTTTCTCATCTTTTATTTGTCTATCTTTTCACTCTTTTGCAGACAATTAATTAAATAGCACATCTTCTTGTTTTGAGGGTCATGCCATTCATCTAAAACACCTTTTCCATGAATCTAGTAATTAAAATAAAATAAATAGCTATTATGGAATATTCATTCTTGTATAATCATTGTAACATCCCTTAAACTTTATGTTGTCTTTCAGTCTATCAATTTTTACTTTCTTGCTTTGTTCAATACCTAAAGTGACCAAGAACATGAAATGCATAACTTCAACCTCTCTGGTCAAAATACCCAAATCCATTGCCTTCTTGATTTTTTTGTTTTTGTCACTTTGCTGAGCCCAGCCTAAAAGCAATTCCATATTCAGTTATCTCATCTAATTTATAGCTGATTAAGAAATCCTGGGTATAATCACCCAACCTGTCAGTACAATAGCTAGGAAATGTATTATTTCCAGTCTTAACTCTACACTGTCCTCCTCTTTTTTAACAATGCCCTTAACCTCATATCCCTCTCTAAACTTATTTCTCTTCTGTTTCACTTCTCTTGAGAGAGTAGACTCTACTGCCCTCTCTATGTCTCTACTTCCTCCCATGCACTCATAGATCTACAAAGAGTCTGGCTCCAGTCCCATACCTCTAAAGAAACTGCTCTTTATGATTCAGCAATGTCCTGCTGGGGCTGAAGACTTTGATGAGGTTTGATGTACCCATGCTGACAGAGCAAAGGTATCTCTTTTCTGAGATTAGCTATGAGGATACCACTCACTCCTCCTTGGCTAGAAACATGCAGGCCTCTCATAAACCAGACACCATTGAACAGATTTCCTCATTTCACATACATCTTTATCCAATCTACAGCCAAAAACAAATTAAAAAAATGTAGTTTTTGCAAATGGAGCCTACTAAATATTAAGGAAAACTGTTCCAACCATGAGTGTGCAAATTGCAAGAAACATGCAAATCTTTTAAAAAAATCTTTATTTTTACAACCCCAAATGCAAAGACCATGTAATTTTGGATCTGCTTAAGGACATCTTGCATGCCATATGGATAAGCTTACCTTACAGTGATGTCAGCACAGAGAAAAAACAACTGAAACAATAGATTTATTTTTCTCTTCTTTTTTTGCTTTAATCAAGTTGTTTTATTTTTATTTAAATACACATTAGTTTTCAATAATCAATATATCTACCTTAAAAATTTGTTTTGAAAATTAAATGAAATAAAACATTATTATATTTTAGTTTGCAAAGAATTTAAATATGCTTTTTGTTAAAGCACAAAGTGCCAACAAAAACGTCTTATTCAGTCAAAAGGATATACTTTAATTACTACTTTAAAGGGAAAATGAGCAAATTTACTTTAGAGAATAGGATCTAAATATGTCAGCTGAAATGGGAACTTGGGGTAGACAGTTTTAAGAGAGAGTGGTAATGTTTGAAATGAGCACTTTTAAAACATTTAAATAAAATACATTTGGATTACTTACCCGTAATATTTAAAAACACAAAAAAATTAACAATTATGTGTTAGTATTATATTTTTAAATGTTTAATACAAAATGATTATATGTAAAACATGCAAGTTATAAAACTAATTATTTGGTTTATTTTTGAGTTTTATAAGAATGATGTAATTATATAGGTAGTCTCCTAGAACTTCCAACATTCTAATTTTTAAAATCCATCCATGTTATTGGTTCTAGACATAATTCTTTCATTTGCTCTGCTACATATCATGGTAATTTTATCACAATTTATCCATTTGTCATGCAGATAGAATTTGTGTATGTATACATTTTTAAAAATTAAAACAAACAAAACTACTATGTACATTCTTGTACATATCTTTGGGCACACAAATTCAAGAGTTTTTCCAGAGGTTATAGTGAGAAATGGAAATGCTAGTTCACTAGAGAAGTTTTGTTTTATCTGAGACAACACCAAATGGTTTTCCAGTGTTGGTTAATTAATGTACACTGTCATAAGAAATATATTGTGGCCCCCTTTAATCCATATCCTGTCTAACATTTTTGCCAATCAATAAGTAAAATGTAGTTCTCATTTTGTTATTAATTTTTATTTTCCTGCTCCTGTAACAAGCATAATTTTCTGTATATATTGGGTTAGGTACTTAGTCTTCTGAAAAATTTCTGCACATCTTATCTCATTCTCTGTTTTTGTTATTTTAAAAGTTTTAAAAGATTAATCTGTATATTAATCTATGTTCAACTTTCTGTATTCCTATTATCTTCCTCCAAGGAGCTTGTCTTTTCACTTTTGTTATGGTATTTTTCAAATTAACATATGTTTTTAATTTTGTTGTGAAATGTATCGATCTATTTTTAAAAAATAAGAATTTGAGTGACATGCTGGAATTATTTATTTATAATTCTTATTTATTCAGGATACTTTTGTATATTATTAACCATTCTTATTTATTCCGTAAACTTTGGCTATTTTTTGTCATTTGTTCTTCCATTTCCTGTTTGAGTTTCAGCTTGCCACATTTCTCATACAACCTATTGAACATTTATTTGAAATCATAATAAGTCTATAGGCTAGTTTGAAAATAATAGATCCCTATACAATAAAGACAGAAATGTCTTTATTGAATGAACACAAGATAGCTCTCAAATTATTTGTCTTACTTAATGTTTTCAATAAAATGTTACCAATTTCTGCACAGAAATCTTACACATATTTTGTCAAATTTATTCTCAATAACTTAAATCTATTGGTACTGTGAATGGGTCTTATTTAAAATTCCAGTTTTCTAATTTTAGGCTACCATTTTAGAAATAGATCATTTCTCTGTACAAAAATTTAAATATTTATGAATTCATTCATTTTTCTGATTTTTCTTGAGTCACGTTTTTAATTTGGTTTATTTAGGACTTGACAATCTTGCATAGATTTTTAAAAAATATTGGTATACAGTTGCTTGTAATACTTTACTCTCTTAAATAACATCTGACTGTAGCATGCTTTTAGTCCTACTAAGCTGTTAAGGGTGTGCCACTTTCTCTTTCTCTCACTGTTTCTTGATGGTTCTTTTAAAGTATTGTATATTTTGTCTTCAAAGACGCCACACCTTTACTTTTTAAACTGTGTTTGTGTGTGTGCGTGTCATTGTAGATATTGCCCTTCCTTCCTTCTTTCCCCCTTCCCTCTCTTTCTTCCTCCTTTTTTAGTGGAATAAAGCATACAGGGATAAAATGTGTATTTCAGAGGCATTCAATATAATGAAGGATCCTAAATTTAGTACGCTATGTAATTGCCACACAGGCAATGAAATAAGAAAATAACACCTCAGACATGCCCCTTGTGCTCCTGCCAAGAGCCTCTTTGCCCTATTTGAGTTTGTTGAATTCAGGTAGATGTGCCAGCATGAAATTCTTCACCTTGCTGCTGGCCCCTAGGCTCTGTCCCCACAGCAGTACTGCCTTGGCAGCTCACCTCAAGGCAAGTCTTCTGAATTAAACTTGGCTCCCACTGCAGTAGTTTCAGCACATATTTTAGGAAGGGGTACAGTTTTGGTGACCTCTCCTTCATTTGTTAGACCTGTGATGGCTCAAGGAGAGTTTATTCTGCAAGTGCAATTTCCTCAGTGCCATGATGCTATACGCACAGCTATACCGTTTGCTATTAAAGTTAATATTTCAGTCTTAAGGGAGGAAGTACATCATCATTCTTTTAAGGAAGTCCGTAAAGTGGACCACTTAGATTTGGTCTAAGTTGCACCATGTGTTCTTGGGCAAAATGCAAATTACGTTCTTGTACCTCAGCATTCATACCACTAAAATGGAACAATTACAGTAGCTATGACATAGGGCTGCTGTATAGATTAAGTAAAAAACAATTACAACAGTATAATAATATATGGAATGCGGCAATCAATATAACAGTAGTTGCTATTATTATTAAAATAATTTCATTTAAAATATACATTTAAGTTTTTTAGCCCTGGGAAACACTTTTTATAAAAGCAACTTTGATTTAACATAATGTACTGCAGAATGAATGAGCCACTACCACAATTATTTTCTTAATTAATTTTCTGACTAATTCAAAAACACTGTCCTCTTATAAAACTGCTATGGTTGGAATAATTTCTTGTCAATGACAGTTTTAAAATGCTGACATTGACAATCACAATTTGTCATTAAAATGTTAATTTTAGAAAAGTGTCAGAAATTAAAAAGTCAAAGTAATAAATCCATGTCTCCATAAATGACAGTATGGCATAAAATTTTAAGATGCTAGGAATTTTTATTTTATTGTAATCTGATTGCTTTTGAAATGCTTAAAATACACCAAATCCTTTTTATCAGTAAATACATTTAAGATAAAATAAGTTATACTATATTTGCTTAATTTATCTGGAGTTATTCTTATTATGTCATTGAACTTTTTCGAATAAGTATAAGAATTAGGTAAAGCATCAAGTAAGGAATAATAGGACACTTGTTTAACAAAATGATTTGTGAAATATACATTTGAAAATTTGATTTTAAAATTATCTTTCAGTCATAGTGCATGTGTTGTCTGAGTTGGCTTATATAAATACTTCTGAAATTAACTGAGTCAGACACAGTGAATCAACAGTATGCAGATAACTATATTTTTGTGTTCTGAATATTTCCAGATGGTGCTTATTACTGCATGATACACATGATTGTATCTCATACTCCTTGTGTATTTTCTAGGGGTTAATAACAATTGAAAAAATGAATACGAACGATAACATCTTTATTAATTATGAAAATTTAATTCTGCTATTCTCCCTTTATTTGCGGAGATATTACAAAGTACAACATGTCTAAACATTTTATCTCTTCTTATTGCTTATTTCACAGGGTGAAAGGAATTTTTCTGTTATCCTAAAATTTTTAGTAGAAAGGCATATTTAAATCATTTGAGCTCATCCCGTAAACCATCAAACATAATAATTATTGGGCATTATTTATAGAAAACAAATAAACTGTTGTTTTAATAATAGAGCATCTTTCGAGCTGTGATGTTTGATTAACAAGAGGCATTTTGTTTTGGGGGTGTTTATGTGGGTGTGTTTGAACTAAGCATCAAACGTTAGAATTGCATTGATATCACTGACTCTTAAAGCAATTTCATTGTGACTTACAAAATACAGAAGAATCTCAGTTAAGTAACTAGGTAATTGAATCTAGTGGAAATAACCTTTGGCCATAATCTAGATGTAGACATTATGAGTTGCAATTTTTACTACATTTCACAGTAAATTCTCTATTTCATTCATTCATAAATAACCTCATAAAAAAATCCTTCCTCTTTCTTCTAATGAAACAATGTGGTAGAAATGAGAAGAATGAGATTGCAAGAAATAAATGAAGTACCCTGAAAGCAAAGGGGGGCAACTGCCAGTTGTCATTAACTCTATTGGGTTTTTCCCAGGTCTGGGTCAATACTTGTGATAACCAAAATATGTAGATATAGCTACAACATAAGATACGTAACTCAGGTCACCATAATTGATGTATAACTGTAAGGTTTTGCAAATTTAGCTTAATATTTTCAAATGGAAGGTAAACCATAATGTTATTTGGGGACTTCATCATGAATATTGCAAAGTAAAATTTTATCGTTTCGTAAGCAATTACTTTGGTATTCGAGATTTCTTTTCAACATAAAAACATAATAGGGGCCGGGCACAGTGGCTCACTCCTGTAATCCCAGTACTTTGTGAGACCGAGGTGGGAGGATCACCTGAAGTCAGGTGTTTGAGACCAGCTTGGCCAACATGGTGAAACCCTCTCTCTACTAAAAATACAAAAAAAAAAAAAAAATTAGCCAGGCATGGTGGCACATACCTGTAATCCCAACTACTCACGGAGGCTGAGACAGGAGAATCATTTGAACCCAGGAAGCGGAGGTTGCAGTGAGCCGAGATCACACCACTGCACTCCAGCCTGGGTGACATAGTGAGGCTCTCTGTCTCAAAAAATAATAATAATAATAAAATAAGTAAAATAAAAACAATAGGATATACAGCCCTTCTATAATTAAATACAGATTGTATTGATGGCTTACAAACTTTAGCTACTCTAATTTTACTTATATGGAAACTTTTTTTTAGTATTTGAAGAATCTCTCAACTTGACAGGCTTAAGAGAGAGAAACTTTGCCCAACCCAAATGATATGGGAGAGCTAGAAGAATTAAAATCTGACATACGCCCACAAAACTTAGCAACTTTTTCACCTCTTGCTAATTTCCACATTTGTATGTATGTTTAAAAGATACATTACCTATTATAAAACAAATGCAAGAAATTTCCAGGTTGTTATGTAGTTTAAATTATTGTTTCCACATAACTCCTTCAATTTCTGAATAATTAAGTGATATTACTAATTATGGTAGTAATATTTGACCTTAAAACCTATCTATAATAGCAATGTACCAAAAAGAGCTCATGAAAGAAATTCTTCCTTATTCTTTGTCATTGAAGTATATGGATGAGACTAGGAAATTTTAAGGAGATAGATATCTGTAGCAGGTATCCATGATGAAGATACTTACTTATAATCAGTTACAGAATACATGAGAAACTTTAGAAACAAGAAACACAAAAATATCACCTCTTATTCTCAGTGAATAAGTCTCCTTCATATTCTGGGTAATCCAATTGATTGGTTCATTCAGAAGTTAAGAACAAGGAGTCACAGAGTTTCTCAGAGTTTTCAGAGGTTACCAATGTTACAGGATTTGAGATAATAAAATAATAAATTATTTTCTCACTATTAGGCTTTTTCCTAATTAGTGAGCTAATAATACAAATCTGACAGGTGCAAATGTGCTCTCTGATATCTTTCACTAAAGTAAAAATATCCACTTAACCACAGCTAAACACTGGAATTTTTTTAAGTGTAAAAGCAAAATATGATTTATAAGAATCTGCCAAAATAATCATAGTTAACACTTAACCATTTATATGTGAAACTAATAGGTTTCTTTCCTCTAGAAAAGTTATTGTCCAGAGATAAAATTTTTATTGGCAGAATCAATACATATATTTAATTAACACTTCCATTTTGGTTCAAAATTGATATTTATTTTCCAAAACTTATTAAGGTAAAATTTACAAAAAATAGGATTTACTCAATTTAAGAGTATTATTTGGTAAGTTTTAAAAATCGTTTAAAATTACATAGCTTCCACCTTAATGAGATAAAATTTTGCCACTGATGATTTGCTGTCAAATACCTTTTTCCCAACCTTTTTGGAAGTAACCATTTATTTGCTATCTGTAACTAATAGCTTTGCCTCTTAATACTTTTTTATAAATGGAATAAACATTTATATATAGTCTTATGCATTTCACTTATTTTTCTTGTTACAATATTGTTATAACTCGGCCATGTTGTTGATGTATTGATAGCTCATTTCTTCATATTGCTGAAACACATTCCATAATTTGCATATAGCCAATTTCTTAATCCATTCACTATCTGAAACACATCCCATAATTTGCATATAGCCAATTTATTTATCCATTCACGATCTGATGACTTATCACATTATTTTTAGTTCTTGACAAATATAAATAATGCTGCTCTGAGTTTCACATAAACGTCTTTGTGTTAAAATAGCTCTTCATTTATATTGGAAAAAGTCCTACGAATGAGAGTGCTCGACTATATAATAAAGTAAAACTTGTAAATATTAATTTAAAAATACCTAAAAATAAATTTGAGAAGGTAAAATATCTCTACAAGGAAAACTATGAAACACTGATGAAAGAAATCAAAGAAGATACAATAAAGTGGAAAGACATCTCATGTTCATAAATTGAAAGAATTAATACTGGAAAATGACCATACTACCAAAAGGGATCTACAGATGCAATGCAATCCCTGCCAAAATATAAATGACATTCTGCATAGAAATAGCAAAAGAAAAAATTTCTAAAATTTATATGAAATCACAAAAGACCCCAAATAATCAAAGCTGTCACAAGCAAAATGAACAAAACTGAGGGCATTACACTACTACCTGACTTCAAAATATACTACAGAAGTGTACTAACCAAAACCTCCTGCTACTGGCATATGAACAGACACATAGACCAATGGAATGGAATAGAGAACCAATAAATAAATCCACATATTTATAGCCTACCGATCTTCAACAAAGATGCCAAGAACATTCATTGTAGAAAGGACAGTATCTTTAATAAATTTTACTTAGAAAATTGGATATTCATATGCCAAAAAAAATGGAACCAGACTTCTATCTTCCACTATTATACAAAAATCAACTTAAAGTGAATTAAAGACTTTAATGTGAGACATGAAACCATGAAACCACTAGATCAGAAACCATAGACTCAAAAACACAGACTCAAAACTATGAAGCCACATATGGGAAATGCTTTAGGATACTGGTATAGGCAAATATTTTATGAAGAAGACCTTAAAAAACACAGGCAACCAAAGCAAAAATAGACAAATGGACTACATCAAACGCTAAAGTTTTGGCACAGGAAAGAAAACAATAGTGAAGAGACAACCCACAGAATCGGAGAAAATATTTACAAAATATTTATCTGACAAGAGATTAATATCTAGAATACATAAGAAACTCAGACTACTCAACAGCAATAATAATACTAATAATCTAATTTTAAAATAGGCAAAAGACTTGATTAGAAATCTTTTTAAAGAGGACAAACAGGACCAACAGGTGTATAAAAATACTTTTTCTTTTGTTGCTTATGCTTTTGGTGTCATATACAAGAAATCACTGCCAAGACCAATGTCAGGAAGTGTTTACCCAACAGTTTTATACTTTCTAGTCTTAGGTTCAAATATTTAATCAATGTTAGGTTGACTTGTTTTGTGTATGGTGTAAAATAGGGTTGAAGTTCATTGTTATGCTTGGAGATACTGAATTTTCCCAGCACCGTTTGTTGAAGAAATTGTCTTTTTCATATTGTGTGTTAATGGCACCCTTGTTGAAGATCAGTTTGATCATATTTGCATGTGTTTACTTATGGGCACTCTATCTGTTCCACTAGCCTATATGTTTGTCTTAATACCAGTGTCATAATGCTTTAATTAGTGGCTCTTTGTAATATATTTTGAAATCAGGGCATTTGATTCTTCCACCTTTGTTCTTTTCCAAGACTGCTTTGGCTATTTGGAGTCCTTTCTGGTTCTATATGAATTTTAGAATTGCTTTATTTATGTTAAAAAAGTCATTATAATATTGATAGGCATTGCATTGACTCTATATATAGCTTTGAGTAGTGTGAGCATTTTAACAATATCAGTTTTTCCAGTTCATAAACACAGGATATCTTCTATTTATTTGTACCTCTTCCATTTTTCCATCAATGTTTTATAGTTTTCAGTGTGCAGATCTTTTAGCTCCTTAGTTAAGTTTATTCCTAAATGTTTTTTGGTGCTACTGTAAATGAGATTATTAATTCTCATTTGGCTGTTGGTGTATAGAAACACAATGGACTTTTGTATGTTGATTTTGTATCCAGCAACTTTACTGAATTCAGTTCTTAGTTTTAAAAGTTTTTAGGTGGAGCTTTTAGGGTTTTCTATACATATGATCATGTAATCTGCAGAGTAAAATTGACTCCTTTTTCTGATTTAGATGTTATTTTATTTTACATTAATTAATTAATTTTTGCCCAATTGCTATGACTAGAACTTCCAAATCTATATTCAACAGAAGTGGTAAGAATAGGCATCTTTGTCTTGTTCCTGAACATAGAGAAAAACTGTCAGTTTTTCACTGGATTTTATCATGTTGAGCCAAACTCCTTCTATAATTAGTTTGTTGCGAGTTTTTATATAATTTTTGAGTGTTACCATGTATGACTACCCCATATAAAGGATTTAATTTTACTTTTACCCTCTATGTAGTGGAAACTACTATACATATGTCCTATGGCTTTTTTTTACATTAAGGAAATTGTTCATATTAATAAATATAGCTATAGTTCATTTATTTTAACCTCTTTACTTGTATTTACTTATATGTGTGGGACGTGTGTGTGTGTGTGTGTGTGTGTGTGTGTGTGTATTTCACCATACTTTTATCCATTTTAGTGTAGATAACAGGTACAGTTTTATAACTTTTTTCTGAAACATATTGCTAGTATTTGTTATATAATGAATAAATAATCTAAGAATGTAATTGTTGAATTATAGAATACAGCATTTTTAATTCTACTAGTTATTGCCAAAGTGCGAAGTCAATTTACAGTTACTCTACATTTTATGCAACCTCTGATGTTGCTGGAAATTATGATATCATTGAGGGTTCATTTACATTTTTATTATGAATAAGTTGAGTAAATTTTTTTTTTTTTGAGATGGAGTCTCGCTCTGTCATCCAGGCTGAGTGCAGTGGCTCGATCTCGGCTCACTGCAAGCTCCGCCTCCCGGGTTCACGCCATTCTCCTGCCTCAGCCTCCCAAGTAGCTGGGACTACAGGCGCCAGCCACCACGCCCAGCTAATTTTTGTATTTTTAGTAGAGACGGGGTTTCACCGTGTTAGTCAGGATGGTCTTGATCTCCTGGCCTCGTGATCCACCTGCCTTGGCCTCCCAAAGTGCTGGGATTATAGGCGTGAGCCACCATGCCTGGCAAGTTGAATAAATTTTTGTATATTATGAGTTCTTTTTTTTCTCTCTAGTGAAGTGCCATATTAGTTATTTTGCATTTTTGTTAGTTCATTTTTTATTTATTAAAATTACTTTTTCACATGTTTTATATACAAATCATTTCAAATTTTAGATGAAAATGTTTATACCTTTCTCCCAGTATGTGGCTTGACTTTTTATCAACGGCAGATCTTTTATCTTAATGTAAATGAAACAGATATTTTTTACTATTTGCATTTTTTGTCTTCTTGAAGAATGTTTGTCTTACTCCACAGTCATAAAGACATTACTTCATATTACCTTCTAAACATTTTGTAGACTTTATGCTTTAGCCTTTAATCCACCTGGAATTTATTTTTGAGAATGGTATGATATAGAATATCAATTTTATTTTTTCTATATTTTAATTATTTATTCCAGAATAATTTATTAACTATTTAATAATTTTATTCATAATTTGAAGTGCTATCTTTCACAATTCAAGTTCCCATATGTACAAGGAATAATTTTGGATAATCATTCTGTTTCATTTGTCTATTTATCATGGGAAAAGCTTACAAAACCTTTATTACTAACACTTTATGGTAAGTTTTAATAACCACTTTAAAGTCTAGCCATCATGTTTATTTTTAGGAGTGTGTCAGGCATACTCGACTTTGCTCTTCTGTATAAAATTTAGTTTCTGTTCTCTTGATAATTGCTTTTATGCCTCTGTTTAAAATTGCAATTACTCTAAAGATTGTTTTTACAGGTCAGACATTTGATAATACTGAAACTCCTATTTAATAATGTATATTTCTACATTTGCTTATATTTTTAAATCATAAAATGTGTTGCATATTTTCTCTGTAATAGTCTTGCATATACTGAATTATATTTTTCTTAGGCTAGAATACATATATAAACAATTTTATTAGGTCCAACTATTTTAATGCTTTTTTCTCCCAGTTTTCTATGTACACAGTTGTAGCACCTGAAAATAATGAGGATTTATTTACTTCGATTTTAAATTTTCAATATATTGTCTTCTGTTATCACAGTGTATTGGACAAAACTTTAGATGAAATATAAATAGATTTAGTAGTTTGATAGATTATTGTCTCTTTTCAAATCTTAAGAAGTGTTTTTGGCATTTTAATCATTAAGTATATTAATATCTCAGTGGTTTGTAGATGTACTTTATTGCATTATTCTTTCTTTGTTAATAGTTACTATTATGTAAGTTTGTTAAATATTATCAAAATATTTTAATCTTTCCCCTCACCTTCCAAGACAGCAGATTTTGGCATTGTTAGCGTGCCTCTCCTACTTGGAAAGACAGAATAGTGTGTACAGATTCACACTGAATTTTTTTCCAAGAAGCAACACAGGAATTTAGCTGAAAAACTGAAAGAAACCACAGACCCTTTGAAAGAAGTGTCAGGCTGCAGCCTGTACCATGAGCCAGGTGGAAAACTGTAGGTCCTCAGAGTGTGAGAGGTGGAAAAACTGCTTTTGTTATTATACACTCCCACTGGGAAACCTGGCTAGCCAGGCCACGGGGGCAGGCCTTAACCCTACTCATCACTGTAATTTAGAGAGCAGTGGGGAGTATATGAGAAGGTGTGACATTGTGACATACATTGCATGCATTCCCAGTCTCCAACGAGGTTGGAGGGAAGCCATCCCTGATTCTACCTCACAGAAGACCTCCTGGAAGTCTGGTAGCTAACAGAGGTATTGGCCGCATGTTAAGAAGAGCTCGCAACTGAGATTTGCAATATAATCTCGAGTAGGAACAAATTCCCTTGGCCAGAACTGAGGGTCAAGTGGGAACTATGCTGCGGCCCTGAGTGTAGGAGATCAAGGCAGATCAAGAGGGCAGGGTCTGAAAGCTGAGGTTGCTATCTCCATGGGAAGGCTTATGTCAGTTGTGAGTTCTGAGCATAGACTGCCTGAAAACCAGCTAGCTGCTTTACCAAGTGTGTGGGAGCTTGGTGGAGCTTACCACTGCCTGCTACTTCCCACTCCCCATGTAGATTCTTCTGTACAGCAGAGGCAGCTGCACTCCTTAATGGAACATTACCCCAGTGTCCAGAGAACTGCTCTCTGATCCCCACTGGGGCCATTTCTAGCCTGGCATGTGGAGAGTCAGAGCGCAACTTGCCTGACATTGCCTCCACTTGGCTTTGCACCTCCACCTAACCCGGTAGCTTAACACAAAGGACAGAGACTTTTGGGAGCATTATGGTCCTGCTCATTGACTGTGACACCAGAGTACCTCCCCTGCATAACCTAAGGCAAGCACAAATCCCACTGCTACCACTTGGAAGCACCACCTCCTGGCTGGATGCCAACTGACACAGTCCACTACAGCATCTCCAGGTAGAATAACACAATGCCCAGGAAGGAGAAAACTTGTCTGTGACTTCAGCTATCACCATTGCCTGCATCACCCTGGCTAACTGGGAAGTTCTGAGTCTGTCCACATAACGAATTCATTGCTACTACAACTGGTATTTTAGAAAGCCAACACACTAAGCCTATTTATAGAGCTGCCATCCCCATCTGAGCTGGTGCTGGTATCCACTGCTGGGAGATGTGAGGAGAGGTCACATTACTGGATTTCTTGCAGACATTCCCCAACATCAGCTTGGAGTGTGGCAGTTCTTCTGAGTGACTAAATCCAGAGCAGCAGCAGCAGCAGCATTCATAGCAGTCTGGCTTTCATGAACTCCTACTCATAGGGGAAGGAGGAGTACACTACATCAATGGAGCAATCTGTGGGACAAAATAATCCAGATAGCAGGTCTTCAGTCTCAGAACTTTCCACTTATGGGAAGTTTCTATCAGCAGAGACACAGGTGCAGTGCTGGACTGATCAGGGAATGTGTGTGATTCTACTCCAACAGTCAGACAGCCCTAGTGCTCATGAAGGGTCTTGGAGAAGTAGACTTCTTTTCTCCTTCATCCATCACTGCAGACACAGCTGGAGCTTCTTCCACAGAAGCTCAGAATAGGTGCATCTGTATACAGCCTTTCTGGAATATTTCAGGATGACTGCATTTCCACATGAGGAGTGCCCTCTAGGTTCAGGCTTGCATGAGGAGAAGAGTCAAAATTCCTACTTACATGGACATGAACATTCCTGCATATGAAGAGGTGCCTGTCTGTTCGAATAGCCAAAACAGTGGGTCAGGAGTGTGACTGAGAAGTGGAAAACTTTTCTGCTGCACTGGCAAGTGAACTGAGGTGGCTCCCTCTCTTCCTCTTGAAAAGACTTCAGTGTGTTTCACTGAGAGCTCCCCAGCTGCCTCTCACAAGGCTAGGACCTCTGCCAACCACTGGGTATGGCATTTACCCATGAGAGTAAGCCACAGCTGGTTTTTACCCATGGAAACGTCCCCTACTGGCTTGAGGCCTGAGCTGTTCAGCCCAATAAGTAAAATACTGGGGGAAAGTTAAATAAAATGTGCACACCACCAGGGAATGAGATTAGCTTCAAGAGACTTTTGCCACTCCAACCAAACAGGAGACAGTGAACTTGTTCACATACCAAGCACATTGCTGCTACAACCAGCATCTGAGAAAGCCATCATGCAAAGACTCCCTATAACCAAGGACCTCATACAGAGTCTTCAGCACTAAAACCACCAAGAATCAAATTAAACTATAGTAAACTAAACATTAAGGTCACATCCTCAAAAGAAAGACAAAGAAATAGTAATTTTAAAAAGACAGTTAAATAAAAAATAAATTCAAGAATAATTAGAATAGTCTACCCACTACCCAAATGAAAAGAAATAAGAAAAATAACTCTGGCAAATGAAGAAACAGGGTACTATAACACCCCCCAAAAGATCAAGCTAGCTCTCTAGCCATGGTTCCAAACCAAGATGAAATATTTGAAATACCAGGCAAAGAATCCAAAAGACTGATTATTAAACTACCAAGGAGATATAGGAGAAAGGGGGAAAACCAAGATAAAGATATTTGAAAAACAATTCAAAATATGAATAAAAATTTTTCTAAAGAAATAGGTATTTTAAAGAAAAACCAATTAGAACTTCTGAAAATGAAAGACACATTTAGAGAAGTACAAAATACAGTGGAACAATTTAACAATGGACAAGACTAAGTAGAAGGAAGAATTTCAGAGCTCAAAGAAAAGCCCTTTAAATTAACTCAGTCAGACAAAAAGAAAAAATAATTCAAAGAAATAAACAAAGTCTCTAAGAAATACAGGATTATTCTAAAATGGCCAAACCTAAGAATAATTGGTGTTCCTGAGGCAGAAGAGAAGGCACAAAGTTTTGAAAAATTATTTAAAAGAATAATTGAGGAAAAGTTCCCTGTCCTTGCTAGAGATTTAGATGTCTAAATACAAGAAGCTCAAAGAACTCCTGGGAGACTCATTGCAAAAATGATGTCACCAAGGCATGTAGTTATCAAGCTATCTAAAGTCAACATGAAGGCAAGAATTCTAAGAGCAGTGAGACAAAACCATCAGGTAACCTATCAAGAAAAACCTATCAGACTAAGACTTTTTAGACAGAACCTTGCAAGCCAGAAGTCATTGAGATTATATCTTTAGTCTCCTTAAACTGAATAACTGTCAGCTAATCATTTTTTTGGTCCAGAAAAATTGTTTCATAAGTGAAGGAGAAATAAAGTCTTTTTCAGAGAAGCAAATGCTGAGAGAATTTGTCACTACCAGAATAGCTCTACAAGAAATGCTAAAAGGAGTTCTAAATCTTGAAACAAAAGGTAGATATGCACAAGAATAGAAACTCTTGAAAGCATAAAACTCACAGGGCCTATAAAATAATAACACAATAAAGAAAACAAAATATATAGGTAACAACATGATAAATGAAACAGTACTTCACATCTCAATATTAACATTGAATATAAATCGTCTAAATGCTGCACTTACAAGAGACAAATTGACAGAATGGATAAAAAAATCACAAACCAAATATTTGCTGTCTTCAAGAGACTCACCTGACACATAAGGATTCATATAGACTCAAGGTGAAGGGGTGGAAAAATATCTTCCATGCAAATGGAAGTTAAAACAAACAAGAGTAGCTATTCTTAGATGAAACAGACTTAAAGCAACAACAGTAAAAAATAAAGAAGGTAATTATATTATGATAAAAGGACCAATCAAATGAGAAGATATTACACACACACACACACACACACACTCACACAAATATATATATATACACACACACACATGCACCTAACTCTGAAGCTCCCAGATTCATGAAACAATTATTACTAGACCTGAGAAAAAAAATATATCATCACAATAATGGACTTTAACTCTCCAATGAAAGCATTAGACAGATCACTGGGACAAAAAGTCAACAAAGAATTGAACTGCACTCTAGAACAAATGGATCTATCAGATATTTACAGAACATTCTATCCAAGAAATACAGAATATGTATTACTTCTATCAGCAATGGAATATTCTCCAAGACAGATCATATCATGGACCACAAAACAAGTCTCAATAAGTTTTAAAAAATAAAAATTATATCAAGTATCTTCTCAGACTGCAGTGGAACAAAACTAGAAATCAACTCAAAAAAGAATCCTCAAAATAATGCAAATACATGAAAATTAAACAATCTGCTTCTGAATGATTTTTGGGTTAACAGTGAAATCAAAATGGAAATTTAAAAATTTTTTCAAAATGAATGATAATAGTGACACAAGTTATCAAAATCTCTGCTGTGCAGTAAAAGAAGTGCTTAGAGAGAAACTTACAGTGCTAAATACCTATGTCAAAAAGTGTGAAAGATCTGAAATTGAAAACTTAATGTCACATCTCAAGGAACTAGAGAAAAAAGAACAAACCAAACTGAAAGCTAGCAGAGTTAAAGAAATAACAAAGACTAGAGAAGAACTAAATGAAATGGAAACAGCAACAACAACAACAAAACAAACAACACAGCAAAAGTAGGTTGTTTAAGAAGATAAACAAAATCGATGGATCATTAGCCAGATTAACCAAGAAAAAAAGAAAGAAGATTCAAATAAGCTCAAATATAAATGTAAATTGAGAAATTATAATGAACACCACAAAATACAAAAGAGTATTGAAGATAACTCTGAACACCTCTATGCATACAAACTAGAAAATCTAAAGGAAATGGACAAATTACTGGAAACATACAACCTTCCTATCTTGAATTAGGTAGAAATGGAAATCTTGAACAGATCAATAACAAGTGGTGATTTTGAATCAGTAATAAAAAAAACTTCCAACAAAACAGCCTGCAACCAGATGGATTCACAGCTGAATTCTACCAGACAAAGAAACATTAGTACCAATCCTACTGAAATTATTCCAAAAGATTGAGAAAAAGGGAATCCAATCTAATGAAGTATTACCCATTATCTTCATTCTATGAAGTCAATACTACCCATATATCAGAACCAGGAAAGACATAACCAAAAAACAAAACAACAACAACAACAACAAAAACCCCAAAAAACTACAGACCAATATCCCTGATGAACATAAATGCAAAAATCCTCAACAAAATACTAACTGAATTCAACACCACATCAAAAGATAATGTCATAATCGAGTGGACTTTATCTCAGAGATGCAGAGATGGTTTAACATATGCAAATCAGTAAACATAATTTATCACATAAGCAGAATTAAAAACAACAACCATATATATGAATATATATGATCATCTCAATAAAATTTTGCATCTGTTTATGATAAAAACCCTCAACAAACTACGCACAGAAGAAACATACCTGAAAATAATAAAAGCCATATATGACAACCCCATAGCTAACAGCATACTGAAGTGGGAAAAGTTGAAAGCTATTCCTCTAGGAACTGAAAAAAAAAAAAGAAGCTCACTTTCACTACTTCTATTCAATGTAGCACTAGAAGTCGGTCAAATCAGGCAAGAGAAAGAAATAAAGGGCATCCAAATTGGAAAAGAGGAAGTCAAAGTATCTCTGTTTGCCAATGATAGTATCATATTCTTGGAAAACTCTAAGGACTCATCCAAAAGACTTACAGATTTGATTAATAAATTCTGTAGAGTCTCAGGTTGCAAAATCAATGTACACAAATCAGTAGCACTCTTATATACCATCAGCAACCAAGCTGAGAATCAAATCAAGAACTCAATCACTTTTGTAGTAGCTGCAAAAATGTACTTATAAACATGCTTAACCAAAGAGCTGAAATATCTCTACAAGGAGAACTACAAAGCCCTGCTGAAAGAAATCATAGATGACACAAAGACATGGAAACACATCCCGTGCTCATGGATTCGAAGAATTAATATAGTAAAAATAGCTATACTTCCCAAAGCAATCTATAGATTTAATGCAATTTCTATCAAAATACCAACACAATTTTTGACAGAATTAGAAAAAAACAATTCCAAAATTCATATGGAACTGAAAAAAGAGCCTGAATAGACAAAATAAATTTGAGAAAAAAGAAGAAATCTAGAGGTATCACATTACTAGACTTCAAGTTATACTACAAGGCTATACTTACCAAAACAGCATGGTACTGGTAGAAAAGTAGACACACAGACCAATGGAATAGAATAAAGAACCCAGAAATAAAGCCAAATACTTACAACAAATGATCTTCAAAAAATATACAAAAACATAACTTGAAAAAAGGACACCTTATTTAATAAATGGTGTTGTGAAAACTGGATAGCCACATGTAGAAGAATGAAACTGGATTGCTATTTCTCACCATATGTAAATATCAACTCAAGATGGATCAAAGACTTAAATCTAAGACCTAAAGCCATAACAATTCTAGAAGAAAACCTAGGAAAAACTCTTCTAGACATTGGCCTAGACAAAGAATTCATGACTAAGACCCCAAAAGCAAATGCAATAAAACCAAAAATAAATAAATAGGGCCTAATTAAACTAACAGCTTCTGCATAGCAAAGGTAATAATCAACCAAGTAAACTAAAAAACCACAGAATGAAAGAAAATATTTGCAAACTATGCATTCAACCAAAGACTGATATTCAGAATCTATAAGGAACTGAAACAAATCAGCAAAATACAACAAATAATCCCATCAAACAGTGGGCAAATTGCATGAATGGACATCTCTCAAAAGAAGATATACCAATGGCCAAGAAACATATGAAAAAAAATGCTCAACATTAATAATCATCAGAGAAATACAAATTAAAACAACAATCAGGTATCACCCTACCCCAGCCAGAATGACCATTATCAAAAGGTCAAAAAGCAGTAGATGTTGGCATGGACTTTGTGAAAAGGGAACACTTATACACTGATGGTGGGAATGTAGATTAAATACAACCTCTATGGAAAATAGTATGGAAATTTCTTAAGGAACCAGAAGTAGATCTAATATTCCATCCATCTATCCCACTCCTGGATATCTACCCTATTCTCTAGGAACCCTATATTATCTTGGTGAAGAGTTTTTCACTACTGATTCTATTTGTCTAATTATTATAAGCTTGTTCATGTTCTATAGTTCTTTAGTCAGTTTGTTAAATTGTAATTTTATAATAATTCCTCAATGCATTTGATTTATATTTTCAAACTTACTGACTATAGTTACTTATAATGTGTATATTTAAATACAAAGGAAAAGAAGTCATTATATTAAAGAGACACCTGCATGCATATGTTTATTACATCACCATTAGCAATTGTAATGATATGGAACCACCCTAAGTACCCATCAACTGATAAATGAATAAAGAAATGGTGGTGTATATACATCAAGGAATACTACTCAGCCTTAAAGAAGAACAAAATAATGTCATTTGCAGCACCTTGAATGGAGCTGGGGGCCATTATTCTAAGTGAAGTAAGTCAGAAATGGAAAAGCAAATATTGTATGTTCTCACTTAAAAGTAGGCACTAAGCTATGGGTACACAAAGGCATACAGAGTGATATAATTTGGTGACTTAGCTGGGGGAGAGTTGGAAGGAAGTGTGGGATAAAAAAACTACATATTGAGTATAGCACATACTACTCAGGTGATGAGTGCACTGAAATCTCAGACTTTGCCATTATACAATTCATCTATTTCACCAAAAAACCATTCGTACCCCCAAAACTATTGAAATATAGTTGTAATAAAATTAAAATAGGGGAGTGATTATAATAATAGATTTTCTAGTGTTGAAATGTCTTTATATACTTGGAGAAAGTCTATATAGTTAGGATATATTTTTGTATGTATATATTGCTAGATTTTGTTTAATAATTTGTTCATGACTTTAACATCTGTGTTTACTAGTAAATTTAGTTTTAAATGTTTTTTCCCATAATGTCTTCAACGGTTTTGTTACCAGGCAAGCTAGCATCATAAAATATCTTGAGAAAGAAGGTAGGATGTTTTACATGGTTGTTTACACTGCAGAAAAAGAGCTTGTGTACAAATGGAATTATTTATTCTTTAAATACTTAAAAGAATATTCCTGTAAATCTTCTAGGAACTTTATATTTTCTTGGTGAAGAGTTTTTAACTACTGATTCTATTTGTTTAATTATTATAAGCTTGTTCAGGTTCTGTAATTCTTCTTTAGCCAGTTTGTTAAATTGTAATTTTATAATAATTTCTCAATGCATTTTATTTATATTTTCAAATTTTTTGACTATAGTTACTTATAATATGTACATTTACATACAAATTTAGTAGCATCTATGGTTATATTCTCTTTTTTATTCCCAAAAGTTGTATGTTTACCTTCTCTCTTTGTTTCCTTTATCATTTTGTCAGGGGTTTGCGTATATAAGGGTTTGGTAGAGTTTTGGCAGGGGTTTGCCCACTTTTTATTAAATAATTAAATTTTCAATTAATATTTATCACTATATATATTTTATTCCTGTCTAGTTTCTTTGAATATATTCTGAATTAAGCATTTGAACTTTTAAACTTATGTTCAGCTAATTATCTTGTGCCTGTCTTTTATAATGTGAGCATTTAAGGGCATAAATCTCCTTATGCATAATCCTTCATCTGCATCCCGCAAGTTGTAATACCTAGTGCTATTTTTGGCATTCATTTAGAAATCAGTAACAAAATTTGTTACAATTCATTTCTAAAGCAATTACAATGAGTATGCAAATACCTTCTGATTATTGTGAATATGTCTACTTCATTCAATAAACATTTATATTCTTACAATATGATAGATTCTGGAGTTAGTTCTCTCATGATGCTGTTTATTCCTTGTATGATTATTCATTTTTGACTCTGATGCATTGATTTTCTGAGGATCTTAGTTGGTAGAAATAATATCTCAAATGAGGGAAGATTCCCCTGGTGAGGAATTTCACTTCATTTTAGAAAATGACCCACATTATTTCAAAGACTTTAATATAAATTTAAATTTATGAATTGAGATTTTCTTGAAAGAAGAGTGTTATGGACTGAATGTTTGTATACCCCTCAAAAATTCATATTTTGAAATTCTAACTCCCAATGTGACAATATTGGAGGTGTGGCCTTTGGGAGGAAATCAGGTCGTAAGGATGAAGCATTCATGAATGGAATTAATTGCTCTTATAAGAAGAGAAAGGAGAGAGCTTGCTTCCTCTCTCTCTGCTCTCTGCCATGTGAGGACACAAGAACATGGCCCCGGCTCAGTGGCTCATGCCTATAATCCCAGCACTTTCAGAGGCCGAGGCAGTAGGATCACCTGAGGTCAGGAGTTTAAGACCAGCGTGACCAACACAGAGAAACCCCATCTCTACTAAAAATACAAAATTAGCCAGGTGTGGTGGTGCATGCCTGTAATCCCAGCTATTCGGGAGGCTGAGGCAGGAGAATTGCTTGAATCCAGTAGGCGGAGGTTGCAGTGAGCCGAGATTGCATCATTGCACTCCAGCCTGGGCAACAAGAGTGAAACTCTGTCTCAAAAAATAAAATAAAATAAAATAAAAATAAGATGGCCATCTTCAAATTGGGAAGAATGCCCTCACCAGAACCCAAACATGTGGGCACTAAGATCTCAGACTTCCAGCCTCCAGACTGTAATAAATTTTTGATGTTTAAGTCACCCAGTTTATGGTATTTTTGTTATAGCAGCCCAAACTGACTAAGAGAGGTATTGTAATTTTGGGCTGAAATCTACATTTGGATTTGCTATGGCTATTGCTTTTCAATAGAACCTTTACTTCACACTCATTCAGCACTAAATTTTGAGACAAGAGAAACTCCATGAAGTCTGGAAAATTATGAAGAAAGTCAAAAGATTTTCTATATTTATAATTTCTCTTTATACTAAACCTATAGAATTTTGGTTTTCTAAGTTTGAATGGGGGGTAGTTATTAAGCTCACAGTTTTAGGTGAACTTTGAATTTTATATTCTATTCTTAAAATCAAAGAGATTATGAAACGTGATTAACAATTAACAAGGGATTTCAAAGAGTCTTCAAAGTGAAAGCCAGCTTCAATACCTCCTAAACTCTTTGGTTTGTACTTTCACTTAGTTCTTTACCTATCAAGTGTTTCTTATTTACTTTACAGCTCATGAAAACAAGTACAAGATATTACATTCTGGCAGATATATAGTTGTAAACTGTGACATTGTTTCAATATTAAGCTATTTCCTCCTGGATTGAATATTGTATTTAGCCCTTTCCCTGCAGCTGAGCTGCATTTGAGGTCTTTATTCTAAGTAATAGTTATAAAAGTCATGAGGCAAATAGTGTTTCATGGGTAGAATTACACATTCGCAAAGCTTCTAATTCAGACAAAGCAGGAGAGACTCCGTAGCCTTCTCAGATAGTAACAGAGGGACTGTGCTTGGTTGCAAGAAGTATTTCGACATCTAAATTCACCTAAATTAACACTTGTAATTACTGAATGCTCATGGTTTTCTAGTCATTGCTTGCAATTTCACATATAATTTCTGGCATGATTATGAATTCTGTCTATATGTCATTCAGTGACTCATATGATCACCTGTTTCTGTGGTTGTGTCAGCCTTCAGAGCTAAGAGAGATGGTTGCAGCCCTGAAGCTCCCTGATCATTTTTACCCACTTGAGTTGAGCCTTTATAACACTGAATTTATCATATTCTTTCTTCTAACTTCAGTTCAGTTAGAAATAGGCAACCCTTTAGCTCATTATTATCATGATGATTTATTAAAATTCTCCCTCCGTTTTCCAATCTTGCTTCCAAGAGCAGCTTTATTCCAAATAATCCACAGGTCAAAATGTAAATGATGAATTCTCCACTGCTTACTTCGGACTAGCCAGTTGGTCCTGCCTATGCTGCTGACATAGCTTCATGTGCCTTTGAGTCCAACATAAGACAAAACAAATTCCACGTTTGCATCTCTTTGAAACTCCATTGCCTGTGACTACTTGATATGGTTTGGCTGTGTCCTTACCCAAATCTTATCTGAAATTTTAATCTAAATTGTAATCCCCAGGTGTCCAGGGAGGGACCTGGTGGGAGGTGATTGGATCATGGGAACGGATTTCCCCCTTGCTCTTCTTGTGATAGGAGTGAGTTCTCACGAGACCTGATGGTTTTATAAGAGGCTCTTCCCCTTCCCTCCCTCTCTCTCTCTCTCTCTCTCTCTCGCTGCCTTGTGAAGAAGGTGTCTGCTTCCCCTTCATCTTCCGCCATGATTGTTAAATTTCCTGAGGCCTCCTCATCCATATGGAACTGTGAGTCAATTAAACTTCTTTCCTTTATAAATTACCCAGTCTCGGGTATTTCTTTATAGTAGTGTGTAAACAGACCAATACAGTACTCAGTTACTGTATTGAAACAATTTCATGTTGCATGAAATAGAATCGTCTTGGGCTAGTTTAATTTGAAGGACATTTATTAAATGTTTTATGTGGCTTATGGAGAGATTAGAGGGGCCCAAGCCTTGCCTCTCCACAGGGCCTTACTTTTTGATGTGGCTGGGTATTTTTGTTTGTTTGTTTCTTTTTACATGTGGCCAAGGTTCCTCCTCAGAAGCCCCTTTTCCGTGGCTACAGTGCTTGACAAGTTTTATTAATGCCACTCACTCCTTTTAACTTACACCTGGGGAAGTAAAAATTTCCTAATGTCGTTGATTCTGACTTTTTTGATTCTCTGAACACTGCCCACTACTTTATTTAAAAAAGAGCTTTTCTATTAGCCCTTTAAATATTTCACCTATTTTCATCAGGATCTTGACTGATGTAGTAACCATACTTGATTGGTGATTCCTAAACGTGGCTGCTATTAAAGCATTTGGGAATGTTCAAAGTTATACAGATTTTAAAATATCTATTTTTTAAAATTCTGAGCCATACTCTCAGACTAATTAAATCAGGATTTTTTCAACTGGGTTTGGACAAAAATATCATTTTGTTTTCTCCATTATTGCAATGTACAATCAAGCTTTGAGAAAAAGTTGCTCTAAGGTATAAATTTCAAGCAGATTTAGACTCTGTGTATTAACCCTATAGAGAAAACTGAAATATAAATGTTCCCTTTCCTTGTCACTAATTTTGCCCATTAAAGTGGCAGCTTTATTGTCACTTTGAGTAAATATAAATGTATGAATTGATTACAAATGGAGATGTAGAAGAACAGATAGAAAGATTTGGCCTCCTTTGTCGTGGAGTATTGTAGCAAATTATTGGAAAAATTACAATTCAACAGCTTCTATGCTGCACAAAGAAGCAGATATAATATAGACCAGAAATAAGTATTTTTGAGTATTATAACAATGTAGTCACCAATTTTATTTTGTTTGTAGTATTTTTTTTCCAACCGACTCTCATGCTTTATTTTCTGCTGAAAACTTTCTTTAATCATTGTCAGGCTTAGGCAATATTTAACCAACTGGTATTTACATGTGATGAGAAACATGGGTACATTGAATTTAGAAAGTTAAATCTAGCAAACAACCTGACAGACTGTTCAGTCTTTAATAATGTGAGAATAAACAGAATAAATTAAAAGCACACCATATTCTTCTCAGCTTCCTCAGGGGCTTTGTCCAAACAGCTTGAACAACTGCAAAATAATATTCAGGTAATTTCCAAGCATTCTGCTGTTATCATTTATTCTTCTTTGTTTATATTTGGCACAAAATAATTGTACATATTTATGTGGAACAGATTAATTATTTTGATAAATGTATGCAATGTGTAATGATCAAATCAGGGAAATTGGTATATCTGTCACATCCAACCTGTATCATTTCTTTTTGTAACATTCAAAATCCTCTTTTCTTGCTATTTGTGCATATGCCATAAATTACTGTTAATCATATTCTTCCTACAGTGCTGCAGAACAGTAGAACTTATTCCTCCCATAGCTGTAATTTTGTATCCCTAATTAACCTTTCCCTATCCTCTCCCATGTCCCTACAGTTCTCAGTCTCTAGTAACCATAATTTTACTTTCTACTTCCATGAAATCAATTTGTCTTAGCTCTCACATATAAGTGAGAACATGTAGTATTTATCTTTCTTTACTTGATTTATTTCACTTAACATAATGTCCTCTCAGCTCATCCATGTTGCTGAAAATAACAGAGTTTTATTCTTTTATATGGCTGAATAGTATTCTATTGTGTATATATACCACATGTTCTTTACCCATTCATCAGTTGATGGACATTTAAGTTGATTCCACATCTTGGCCATTGCAAAAATGCTGCAATAACCATGGGTGCAGATATCTACATATGTTTTTGATATACTGACTTTTTTTTGTCTTTGGATGAATACTCAGTAGTGAAATTGCTGGATCAAATAATTATTTTTGTTGTTTTTTGAGAAAACCTCATACCGTTTTCATAATGGCTGAAATAATTTTTATTTTTCACTAACGGTGTATAAGAGCTCCCCTTTCCCCATATTCTTGGCAACATTTGTTACTTTTGTCTTTTTTTTTGGGGGGGACGGAGTTTTGCTTTTATTGCCCAGGCTGGAGTGTAATGGTGCAATCTCGGCTCACAGCAACCTCTGCCTCCTGGGTTCAAGCAATTCTCCTGCCTCAGCCTCCAGAATAGCTGGGATTATAGGCATGTGCCACCATGTCTGGCTAATTTTGTATTTTTAGTAGAAACAGGGTTTCTCCATGTTGGTCAGGCTGGTCTCGAACTCCTGACCTCAGGTGATCCACCTGCCTCTGCCTCCCAAAGTGCTGGGATTACAGGTGTGAGCCACAGCGCCCAGCCTTGTCTTCTTGATAATAGTCATTCTAACTGGGATAACATGATAGTCCATTGTGGTTTTGGTTTGCATTTTTCTGATGATTAGAGATGTTGGGCATTTTTTTTTTCATATACTCATTGGCCATTTGTATATCATCTTTTGAGAAATATCTATTCAGAATGTTTGCCCATTTTTAATGGGAATGTTATTATTATTTGCTCTTGAGTTGCTTGAGTCACTTGTATATTCCCAATATTAGTCCCTTGTCAGACGAATACTTTGAAAATATAGTTCTCATTCTACAGGTTGTCTTTGCATTCTGTTGATTGTTACCTTTGCTGGAGAGATGCTTGTTAGTTTGATATATTCCTATTTGTCTATTTTTTTTTTTTTTTGCCTGTGCTTTTGTAGTCTTATCTATAAAATATTTTCCTATATCAATGTTCTGAAGGATTTCTCCTCTGTTTTATTCTAGTTGTTGAATAGTTTTGGGTCTTGAATTTAAGCCTTTAATCGATTTTACATTGATTTTTGTACGTGGTGAGAGATAGGGGTGTAGTTTCATTCTTTTACACATGGATATCCAATTTTCCCAGCACCATGCATTGAAGAAACTGTCCTTTTCCAAATGTATGTTCCTGGAAACTTTGTCAAAAATAAGTTGGCTATAAATATGATATGTGAATTTATTTATAGGTTCTCTGTTCTTTTTAATTGGTCTATTTCTGTTTTTATACCAATACCATGTTATTGTGGTTAATATAGCTTTGTAGTATATTTTGAAGCCAGGTTGTGTAATGCCTTCAGGCTTGTTCTTTTCACTCAGGATTGCTTTAGCATTTTGGAGTCTTTTGTGGTTCCTGTTTTCCATCAGTTTTGGTATGCTGCATTTCTATTTTCATTTGTGTCAATAAGTTTTTTTAAATTTTCTTCTTAATGTCTTAATTGGCCCACTGGTTTCTTTGGAGCATGCTGTTTTATTTCTCTGTATTTGTAGAGTTTAAAAATTCCTCTTGTTGCTGATTTCTTGTTTTATTCCATAGTGTTCTGAAAAGAGACTTGATATGATTTTGATTTTTTAGAATTTTTGAGATTTGTGTGGACTAACATATGGTCTCTTCTGCAAAATGTTCTATGTACTGATGAGAAGAATATGCATTCTGTAGATGCTGGATGGCATGTTCTGTGAATATCTGTTAGGCCTATTTGATCTATAGTTCAGTTTAAGTTCTATGTTTCTTTGTTAATTTTCCATTGAGATGATCTGTCCAATGCTAAAAGTGGGATGTTGAATTCTTCCATTAATATTTTATTGGGGCTGGGCACAGTGGCTTACGCCTGTAATCCCAGCACTTTGGGAGACCGAGGCGGGCAGATCACCTGAGGTCTGGAGTTCAAGACCAGCCTGGCCAACATGGTGAAACCCTATCTCTACTAAAAATATAAAAAAAAAAGAAAAGAAAAAAATATAGCTGGGAGTGGTGGCAGGTGCCTGTAATCCCAGCTTCTCAGGAAGCTGAGGTAGGAGAATCACTTGAACCCGGGAGGTGGAGGTTGCAGTGAGCCTATAACACACCACTGCACCCCAGTCTGGGTAACAGAGCAAGACTCTGTCTGAAAAAAAAGTTTATTGGGTTTGATCTTTCTTGTTAGCCCTAATAATATTTGCTTTATGCCTAGATTCTCTGGTGTTGGGTACGTACATATTTGTAATTGTTATATCCTCTTGGTGAGTTCATTACTTTCTGATTATATAATGAACTTTTTTGTCTCTCATATTTCTTTTTTTTTTTTTTTTTTTTGAGACGGAGTCTCGCTCTGTCGCCCAGGCTGGAGTGCAGTGGCGGGATCTCGGCTCACTGCAAGCTCTCATATTTCATTTTTAATTAAGGTCTATTTTGTCAGATGTCAGTATAGCTATTTTTATACATTTTTAGTTTACATTTGTATAAAGTATCATGTTCCATCTCTTCTCTCTATGATTGTTTTTATAGATGAAGTGAGTGGCTTGTAGGCAGAATATAGTTGGGTCTTGTTTTTTAATTGATTCAGTAAATCTCTATCTTTTAATTGGAGAATTTAAACCATTTTTACTCAACGTTGTTATTGATAGGTGGGACTTATGCCTGTCATATTGTTAGTTCTCCTTCCTTCCTTCCTTCCTTCCATCTGTCCATCCTTCCTTCCATCCTTCCTTCCTCCCTCCCACTTTTTCTTTTTTCTTGCTTTCTCTTTCTTTCTCTTTCCTTCTCTCCTTCCTTCCCTCCTTCCTTCCTTCTTTCCTTCCTTCCTTCCTTCCTTCCGTTCCTCCCTCCCTCCCTCCCTTCCTTTCTTCTTTCCTTCTTTCTTTCTTTTTCTTTCATTCTACTTTTTTTTATTTAATTTTATTTTTAGTCCCAGGGTACATGGGCAGGATGTGCAGGTTTGTTACATAGGTAAACTTCTCCCATCATGGTTTTCCACACCTATCAACCTGTTACCTAGGTATTAAGCCCCACATGCATTAGCCATTTACTCTAATGCTTTCTCTCTCTTTCCTTGTATATCCTTTGTTTCTTTATTCATCTCTTTATATCTAATTTTTCAGTTTGATTTATCTCTGAAGTTAATAGTGTTTGAGTCCTTTCTTTTTCTCATTTGTGTATCTGCTTTACCAGTGAATTTTATATTTTTGTGTGTTTTCATTATAGTAGATATCATCCTTTTGCTACCAGACGTGGCGGCTCTTTTAGAGCTAGCCTAGTGGCAATGAGTTCTCTCCATTTTTGCTTGTACCAGAAAGACTTTTTTTCTCTTATGAAGCATAGCTTTCTGCACATGGTATTTTTGGCTGACAGGTGTTTCCTAACCCCCCTCCCCACCCCCAGGATGATGAATATATCAGCCCATTGTCTTCTGGTTTATAAAGTTTCTGCTGAGAAATCTGATGTTAGTCTGATATGCATTTTCTTATATGTGACTTAACACTTTGCTATTTTTAGAAAATTTTCTTTGTGTATTTGAGGTTTGGCAGTTTGACTTCAATATGCCTGAAAGATGACCATTTGGGTTGAAATTTTTGGATTTATTTGAGCTATCTGTATCTGGATCTCTATTTCTCTCTCAGGACTTAAGTTCTTAGCTATTATTTCATTAAATAGATTTTCTATGTATTTTCTCATCTCTTCACATTCTCGAACATTAAAAAAAGTAAACATTTTTGCACTTAATGGTGTCGCATATGTCATGTAGAATTTCTGTATTCTTTTTATTCCCTTATCCTTTCTTTTTTACTGATCTGACTGTGTTATATCATAAGACCTGTTCTCAACAGATTTTTTTTTTTTTTGCTTTGTTTGGTCTAGTCTACTGAAACTCTCAAGTGCATTTTTATTTGATTTATTGAATTCATCACTTCCAGGATTGTCATTTGGCTTTTCTATATGATATCTGTCTCTTTATTGAATGTCTCATTTAGGTTATGAATTGGTTTCCTGATTTCTTTGCATTGTCTGGCTATATTCTCTGCTATCTGAGTTTCATTAAGATCTTTATTTTGTATTCCCTTTCAAGCATTTTATAAATTTCCTTTCTTCAAGGTATATTAGTAGATAATTTTTGCATTACTTTACAGCTTTCATGTCTTCCTGTTTTTAATGAAGTTTGAGTCCATACGGTTATATCCATGCATCTGATATAATGGTTGATAGTTTTAATTTTATGGATTAGCTTTCATAAGGTATAGTATGGTTTGGCTGTGTTCCCACCCAAATGTCATCTTAAATTTTAGTTCACATAATTCCCACATGTCATGGGAGGGAGTTCGTGAGAGGTAATTTAATCACAGGGGCAGTTACCCTCATGCTGTTTTTGTGATAGCAAGTTCTCATGAGAGCTGATGGTTTCATAAGGGGCTGGTTCCCCTTTTCCTTGACACTTCTCCTTCCTGCCACCATGTGAAGAAGGATATGTTTGTTATCTCTTTCTCCATGATCTTAAGTTTTCTGAGGCCTCCCCAGCCCTGTGGAACTGGAGTTAATTAAACCTCTTTTCTTTATAAATTACCCACTCTCAGGTATGTCTTTATTAGCAGCATGAGAATGGACAAATAGAGTAAATTGGTACTGGGTAGTGGGGCACTACTGAAAAAGGTACCTGAAAATGTGGGAGCTACTTTGGAACTGGGTAGCAAGCAGAGGTTGGAAGAATTGGGAGGGCTCAGAAGAACATAGAAAAATGTGGGAAAATTTGGAACTTCCTAGAGACTTGGTGGACTCAGAAGGCAGGAAGATGTGGGAAAGTTTGGAACCTCCTACAGATTTGTTGAAGGGTTTTGACCAAAATGCTCGTAGTGATATGGACAATAAGGTCCAGGCTGAGGTGGTCTCAGATGGAGATGAGGAACTTGTTGGGAACTATGGAGTAAAGGTCACTCTTGCTATGCACAGAGACTGATGGCATTTTGTACCTGCCCTAGAGGTTTGTGGTACTTTAAACCTGAGAGAGATGATTTAGGGTATGGGGGAAGAAAGTTTTAAGCAGTGAAGCACTCAAGAGAAAACAAAGCATAACATTTGGAAAATTTGCAGCCTGATAATGTGATAGAAAAGAAAACTTCATTTTCTGAGGAGAAATTCAAGTCAGCTGCAGAAATTTACATAAGTAACAAGGAGCCGAATGTTAATTAATAAGACAATGAGGAAATGTCTCCAGGGCATGTCAGAGACCTTCAGGGGCAGTCCCTCCCATCACAGGCCTTTAGGCCTAGGAGGGAAAATTGGTTTCTTGGGTCAGGCCCAGGGCCCCTTGCTGTATAGCAGCCTTGGGACATGGTGCCCTGCATTCCAGCTACTTCAGCTTCAGCCATGGCTAAAAGAGGCAAATGTAGAGCTCAGGTCATTGCTATTGAGGGTGCAAGCCTCAAGCCCTGGCAGCTTACATGTGGTGTTGGGCCTGCAGGTGCACAGAAGTCAAGAATTAAGGTTTGGGAACTTTCACCTAGATTTCAGAGGCTGTATGAAAAAGCCTGAATGTCCAGACAGAAGTTTGCTGCAGGGGTGGAACTCTCATAGAGAACCTCTGCTAGGGCAGTGCAGAAAGGAAATGTGGGGTTGGAGCCCCCACACAAAGTCCCCACTGGGACACTGCCTAGTGGAGCTGTGAGAAGAGGGCCACCATCCTCCAGACCCTAGAATGTTAGATGGACTGATAGCCTGCACTGTGCCCCTAAAAAAGCTGCAGACACTCCACTCAATGCCAGCCTGTAAAGGCAGCCAGGAGTTGGGGTGTATGCTGCAAAGCTACAGGGGTGAAGCTGACCAATGTGGGAGCCCACCTCTTGTATCAGCAAGGCCTGGATGTGAGACATGTAATCAGAGGAGATCATTCTGGAATTCTAAGGTTTAATGACTGCCCTGTTGGATTTTGGACTTGCATAGGGCCTGTAGCCCCTTTGTTTTGGCCAATTTCTCTCACTTGGAATGGGTGTATTTACCTATGCCTGTATCCCCATTGTATCCAGGAAGTAATTAACTTGCTTTTGCTTTTACAGGCTTATAGGCAGAAGGGACTTGCCTTGTCTCAGATGAGACTTTGGACTTGAACTTTTGAGTTAATACTGGAATGAGTTAAGACTTTGGGGGACTGTTGGAAGGGCATGATTGTGTTTTGAAATGTGAAGACATGGGATTTGGGAGGGGCCAGGTTGGAATTGGATATGGTTTTGCTGTGTCCCCAACAAATCTCTTCAGCTGTAGTTCCCCATGTGTCGTGGGAGGGACCCAGTGGGTGGTAATTGAATCATGATGGCAGTTACCCTCTTGCTTTTCTTGTGATAGTGATTTCTCATGAGAAGTGATGATTTTTGTAAGGGGCTTTTCCTTTTTTTTTTGCTCAGTACTTCTAGCTGTTGCCATGTAAAGATGGACGTGTTTGCATTTCTTTCCACCATGATTGTAAGTTTCCTGAGGCCTCATTAGCCCTGCAGAAATGTGACTCAATTAAATCTCTTTCCTTTATAAATTACCCAGTCTTTGGTATGTCTTTATTAGCAGTGTGAGAATGGACTAATAGAGGGTAAGACATTTTTCTGTAGATGTAGCTATAGTGTTGATTGAGTCGTGCTTTGGCTTTGGTTCTGGGTGGACACAGTAATGGATTCTTTATATGATTTATTCTGCTGTAATCTCTCAGTGGTATCTGCAAGTTCGTTATTGGCTTAGGCTGTTATTGTTTTTGGAAGGTGTGGTATGAATTTTGGGGGATGGAAAAAGCCTTACAGAGAGGTCCTCAGGCTTCTGGGTGGCATATGTGGGCACTGTCACTGGCAGCAGTGTCCCTGTGTAGGCTAGCTCTTGCTCCCCTGGGTGGCACATGTGGGCATCAGTGGTGGCAGTGGTGTGCATGCATGTGGTTGCCAATGACAGCAGGTATGGGCACATGCACAGTTGCTGCCAGCAGTGGTAACCTGTGCAGGCTGATCCTCATGTTCCTGGGCAACAGTCATGGGCATGTAATGACCCTACCACTGGAGGGCATGAGGTTGCTATTACCAGCACCGGGTCCCAGCATGTGGCTTGCAGGTTGTGGGAAGTGGTTACTTTGGTTCCTTATATCCTGGGAGCAGCTTCCCTCATGTGCTGGACTGCCTGTTCCCCAGGATGTAGTGTATTGTATGTACCAGGAATGTGGCTGCATTGCTGGGTTCAGCTGGCACTGTGACTCTGCAGCTCTCTGAGTGGATGTGAGGGGATTCTGGCGGGGCTCTAGGAATGTGGTGATGCAGGGGCTCTTGGTTTTGAGGGCAGAAAGTAGTCTAGTGGGAGTCTACTCTCAAAATAGCACTGTGCTGCAGCAGCATGGGTCCTAGATATGGGGAGGTTACAGTGTGAATTCCCTCTCTGGACTAATGGAGTCACGTGAGTTCCAGGGAGTTCTCTACTATGAGGACTGAGGGGATCTTCCATACCTAAGACTGCAGGGAATGTGCATTGCTAGGGATCTCCTGCTGCATTATCTCCACAATGGAATGTTTTTCTTCTCTCAGAGTCAATCCCAGCTGGCTGCTTTGTCTCCCTCTATTTGCTGCCATTTTTAAGTTTTTGTGTCTCAGAAAATCATTTTCACTTTCTTGCTAAATTCCAGTGTTTTCCCTTAGAACACTACTCCACATGTTATTATCTACTTCCTGTTTTAGTACCTCTTTGTGGAATAGGTGAGTGCTGGGCATCTCTAGTCAGTCATCTTGATGATGTCTTTCTCTAGTTGCAGTATTTTAAACATTTTCTAAAAGAAGAATATAGCCACATTACATCAAAAGTGCCCTTCAGAGAGTCTGGTATTTTATATTGCCTGAAGTTTCATATAACCATCAAAATATCCATATAAATGTATACATACATATATACACACACATATACATATATATACACATACATACAAACACAAAAACACATATATTGACTCATTTTTTCAGAAATATTTCAGAAAAAGGGAACTGTGTGTGGAGACCTTGCCTGGCTTATTCAAAACTAAATACCCACAAAAGTGTTTGAATTGTAATATTTTGAATATTTGCCAAAATAATGATCAAATGAATGAATAATGAATGAATGAATGAAACAAGTATAAGCATACATGAGTTTGAAATTCAGGGTAAAATTTAAGGCTGAAGACCAATCTATGAATCATGGGTATGTAGATAGGTATACAGTGAGCCCTTTATATCCCCGGGTTTTACATCTATGGATTCAACCAACAGCAGATTGAAAATATCTTAAAATCCATCTGGGCTGAACGTGTACAGACTTTCTTCCTGTCATTATTTTCTAAACAACACTATATAACAACTATTTACATAGCATTTACATTTCATTGGTAATATAAGTAATCTAAAGATTATTTAAAGAATATAGGAAGATGTGCATTGTATTTATATGCAAATACTACACTACTTTATATAAGAGACTTGAGCCTTTGCAGATTTTGGCATCCCTGGGAAGTCCTAGAACCAATCCCCAAGAAGTATCAGCCAGGATGAGATTACCATGAGATATAGTGTATTAAGTACAAAGTTACAAAAAAGAAACATAAGAACAATACATCCCTGAAATACACTATATTTACAAGTTGAAAAAAAGGGAAGGATTCATAAAATGGAACTCAGAAGTACACATCAATAAAGCAGGAAGAAAATCAGGAATCCATAATATCACATAAGTCAAGGGAATTTACTGTTTAAAGAAGGAGGTGCTGTTCAATTTTTCTGAGTGATTCTGAGAGAGCATGTAAGATGAGAAGAGACAGAGGGCTTTTGTTCTTTGTAATAGGAGGTCAGTGGTGATATATACATGAACAGCTTCAGTGGAGTTCCAGGGGCACAAGTTCAGCAAAGAAAAGAAATTCAGAAACTTGAAATGGATTACAGCCAACTATTTGAGTTTTCATGTGAAAAGTGACAAAAAATAGGGCAGTACCTGAAGGCAGATAGGAGGTCAAGAGAAGCTTCTAAAAATATAGATTGCAGATATAGAACATGTTGTAAGTTAATGGGAATTATTTCTTGATTTTACAATAATTAAAATTTTTAAGTCAAAGCTGGAAGAAGTAATTTTATTTAATAAATGCTAATTAATAAAGAACATTAAATTCTTCTACTTTGTTACAAAAAGAAAATTGAGAAGTGAATGGATAGTGGAATGCACCAGCCATTAGCACAGATAGTTATAAAAGACGAAAAAACAAATATCATGCTACGGACATAAATAACTTAATGGATAAATTGGACTTTTTCTTGTATTATCTTGCATAATAATCTATAATCTATTCAAAGATACTGGAAGCAACAAGACAATGAAGTGATGTGACCAATCTAAAAATATTTTTCCTCTAAATATGCTATCACATATTTTATATCTGACCACAACAGCATGTGCATAGGTCTATGCTAGCCTAATTATAGTGCAATTAACGATTATTGACTTCTACCACTAAATTATAAGAATTCCTAGACCAGAAGATTCATTTTTTATGATTATTTGCATTTATTTATTTATTTTAGGGTTAAGAATGTGGTCTCTGGGGTTCTAGTATCTTGATTCTAATTCTACTGTATAGTCTTGCTTAAGTTTTTTAACTTCCTTAAGCCTCAATTTGATTTATTTTAAAATGGACATAATATTAACAGATACATAGTATGATTTTCCAAGGTATATCATGACACATAAGAGTCAAGTTTTTAGTTCATATAGTAAGCACTCAATAAATTTGGCTATTATTGTTATGTTTCAGGAACCATGATAGTGTTTGGTACATAGAGGACACTGGAAATGGTTTTCTTAACTGAACAAGTGACTAGAATAAAGGAATTAATGAACGACATCAGAGCTGAAATCCCAAACCATAAATCATAAAAGGATCAGACAGCAAAGGTAAGGATAGTGTTTCTTGAACAGCTGTGTCAGTATGTCCATGATCCTGAGAGGAGAAGGGAAAGTCTTGACTGACTAAAGTGATGATTCTGAACTGTGAATAGACTCAAGAATATCACTGTTTTGCATAATCTATTCTTTGATATCTAGTTTAGGGCCAAGAAGGAATATGTGTTCTTGATAATGACAACAGATATGTTTATTGATCGTAGCAAGACATATAAGATAGCTGCTTGGCCAGAAAAGGAGGAGAGAGCTGAGCCTGGGGACCTGGTTATGAGCAGGTGGTTTGTGTAGGTGGCTTTGGTACTTGGTTTAAAATATAGCTGGGTTCCTGGGATAGAAAGACAAAAATACTCTTGAGAGAGATTGCATAAAATTTGGCCACCAATGAAATCTAGGTGCTTATTTATTATTTTGACATATTATGGTCTTTTAAAGAGGAAATTTATACATTGTCTGTATTTATAATATAAAATGACTTGATCAGAAATAGTAAATAGAACAGCTGATTTTTAAAAATGCTACTAATTCAAGTTCTAGAGAAAATTAATAATTTTAATAATAATAACTACATTTTTAATAATATCCTTGTTTTCTCTGTAATGAAGTGCATAAATTTAGTGATTCATGATAAAGTCACCTGCATTTTCCTCCAAGAAATTTAACTTCCAATTCTATGGGGAGTTTTCAGTAACAGAACAAACACTCGAATTCTCCAATGCTTACAAACTGTTATGGAATGTTGGTACTCTCTTGGGATTTTTGTCCCTGACAAGCAATTAAGATTAGATTTTGAGAATAAATTGTGTCAAATGAGTGGATACAGAAAGAGCGGTTCTGACAAAAAATAATAAAGCATCATGGCAGAGATGGATAGGAAGGCTTACACTAAACAAGGACACAAATAGTAGTTAAGAAATTTTGAAAACAAACCTACTTTTACTACCTACAGCATATATTTGATAGATTCACCTCAGGATACAAAACCAGTGAATTTATCTCTGGGCTTACCCTCGAACAACAAAAAAGGAGCGAATTTCCATTTCCACAAGAAACATAATGAAATCTCCTTGTGATTTCCCTTATTTTTTCTATATCGTAACAACTTATTCTTTGATCTTAGTTGGATAATATCCTTGTGATTGTCATTTGTTCTTTTAAAAAATGCACCTCTGTACACATGAGTAATTGAGTATAAACATCTGGAGCCAGATTGCACATTTAAACTATGGATCAATATTCCTCCAGAAGTGGTAAAGACTTTGTGTGTTCTAAAGTAGTAAGAAAAAAGAAGTACCTTTCTGTTATTATCCAGTAGCTCACAGGAATGTGAGCACAAATTATTCTAAGTAAATAACAACATTCAGAGCACACTGTGCTATAACACGTCATGATAATGGATACCATTTGCTGGTTTCTATTGGTTTTCTTCTCAATAGCTATGAAGTCGGTTGGGATTTGGTAAATGATATTTGTCTCACACTGAGAAAATGTGTATTCCCTCAAACTGCTGTTTCTCATGTAGTGCTTATGTATTTATATGGATATTACTGTTAGGAAAAATCCTACATTACCTAGTGCACTCAGCCCCTCTTTCTGTAGTAGCAGTAGTTGTTGTTCTTGTTTTGTGGCGGAGAGTTGATTGTTGTTTACTTGTTTAATTTTGTCAACATATTTTGAAATATGAATTTTAGGAAAATAAAGTAAAAATGAGTTGTGACAATTCAAACTTTAATTAGGGGCCTTAAATTTTACATTCATATATGTAAATGTTTGCATTATTATTTTGTAAATATTTGAATATTTAATCATGTAGCTGTATATCACTATTTGTTTTGTAGGTTTTAAAGTAATCAGGGATTACTTTATGGGATTATGTGAACTTCTTTTTGATTAGTATTTATTTATTTATTTGGTTTTTATTTATTTATTTATTTATTTATTATTTTTGAGACGGAGTCTCGCTCTGTCGCCCAGGCTGGAGTGCAGTGGTGCGATCTTGGCTCACTGCAAGCTCCGCCTCCCAGGTTCACACCATTCTCCTGCCTCAGCCTGCCAAGTAGCTGGGACTACAGTGACTGGCTAATTTTTTTTTTTTTTTTTTAAGTAGAGACGGGGTTTCACCGTGTTAGCCAGGATGCTCTCGATCTCCTGAACTCATGATCTGCCCACCTCGGCCTCGCAAAGTGCTGGGATTACAGGCATGAGCCAACACACCCGGCCTTGAATAGTACTTATTTAGACTAAAACTATGGTAGTTACAAAATAAAATCCAGTGTGTATAATAGGTTATGTTTTTTTAAAAATCTATTATAATTTTACAAAGTAAATTAAGATTTGGGAACATAACGAAGAAGGAAGCACCCAAAGACAAACTAGGTCTATTTTTTCAGGAAAAGATAAATTTATTTCATCTTCCTAACATCTCTTAAATTTTTCATAAGCAATCTGGAACCCTTCCACTGCCGTTTTTCTTGTTTTGTTTTATATCTCACCTTTGGGGTATTGACAACTTATTTTGAGTAAGCAGATGTTCATATGATTATTCCTCCCTATCCATGTGCTCCATCTTCCCTCTTTATAATGTGTAGACCCAGCTCATTCTTCACCTGTCATAGTATGCTATTCCTTGCCCTCTACTTCTCCCTATCTCTGAATTGCAGTGCCCTAATTTTTTCCTGCCTCCCATACTGCCCTAATTTTTCACAACTTATTGCACTGTCCTGTTTCTTTGGATTCAAATCCTTTTGTCCTTCATCAGTCTTTTCACTCAAATGTGTATGTACATGGACAAATTTATTTTGGGATCAAAAATTGAAAAGGACAAAAAATGTCTACAAGGACACAAAGAAATGTAATGTGTACCAGTTTTCTCCTTGTTTTTCTCAACATTTCTCCAATTATATTATGGAAACAAAAACACTAGACTCAGACAGCTTTCAATAAAGCATAGTAACTTTAGAAATATTTAGAATATGAAAGGAAGCCATGAAGTATAAAGAAAAAAAGCTATGCTTTGTATTTACTATTTTCTAGGCCAGGAGGCCACAGTGTCAAAAAATTAATTCACTGTATTTCTATCACTTTTCAAAGAAAATTCTGGTCAACTAAATTTAAAAATCATAAAGACTACTTTTAAATAGTTGAAGACTAAGTTTTAAAAATATGTATATCTTAATATTTAGCAACTTTTTTTTAAATTTTGACATTGAATAAAATACTAAGTTTAAGATGATGAGGGAAGCTTTGGTAAGGAAAATTAAAAACCTACTGAATTTAAATTCTAGAATTTTAGATTTTAATATAAGGCTAGTGGTTATTTGACCATAAATAGAAAAAAAAATGAGTTCCTAGTCAGCAAAGTGATTTACACAAGTTACATGAAAATTTTCTAGAATAACTAGAGCTTTAGAGCCTCCTCACTCCAGGATATGTTCTTTGGAATAAAGTGCTTGTTTGAATTTCATTTGCCATCTGTGTGACTTACATCCCAGAAAACACACACACAAAAAACAAAAACAAATAAGAAATAATAATACCAGTCAGTGCTCACCTTTTGTTTAATTCTATATTAAACATAATAGATGGATTGACATTTTTGAGCAGTGATATGATCAGTGAAATCATTCTTAATATGTTGATCAGACCATATCTAATATTCTGGATCATGGATCTGTAAATTTTTTCAGTAAAGAGCCAGATAGTATAAAGTATATGACTTTGTAGACTCTATGGTTTCTGTTGGCAACTACTCAACTGGGCCATTGCTGCACTAAAGCAGGCACGCACAAAACTTAAGTGTGTGAGTATGTTTTAAACGGCACTCAAATATTGATTTCATATAATTTTCATGTGTCACAAAATATTCTCTTTCTTTAGCAATTAAAATTGTAAAAATCATCATTAGCTCATGGACTATGCAAAAATAGGTCATGGAGCACATTGGTCCACTACACCACTCTTTGCTTGTCTTGAGTGAAACACAATCATAATGTTGATAAACATAGAAATAAGGTTGGAAACCTCAATGGTGTCATCCACTAAAAATGTAGTAGTCTTTAAAGAAACTTCAAGACTAGCTGGGCACAATGACATGTTCCTATAGTCCCAGGTACATGGGAGGCTGAAGTGGGAGGATCCCTTGAGTCCAGGAGTTCAAGGATATAGTGTGCTATGACCACACCTATAAATAGACTACACTCCTGCCTGGGCAACATAGTGAGACTCTATCTCTTACTAAATGAATGACTGGATGAATGAATGAATGAATGAATAAATGAAATTTAAAAAATAAAAAATTCCGGACCAATTTTGTTCTTTAAAAATATCTAGAGTATAGGTAAGGAAGATTCACTCAGCAAGCACACACAATGTACCAGGCACCCCCTGGACACATTTCAGATACATGAGCAGACTTAATCACCATAATATGTGAGATGAATTAACAATGATAAAGCTAATAGGAAGGGGCTAACTAACTTACCCAGGAACACACAACTATTAGGTGATTAAACCCAGAGTTCTAATCCAAACCTTTGGATTCCGAAGCCTCAGTTTTTTCCACTTTCCCTTATTATAATAAAGTTCATGTTAAATAAGGAAAATGTATGCAGTTTGATTCCTCAGTAATATATGATACCCCTTCAAACAAGTTTGAGATCGATTAGTGGTGACAGCATTTCAGATATCATTATGCAGAAAAGCCTGCTGAGAAATTCCCCTGGAAAGAACATAAAAGCTCAGGGAACAGATGAAAGTACAAGTGTAGCCAAATCTACTCAATAAAACTTGACTTTGTCTTTTTTTTATGTTTAAGCAGATGAAGGCCACAGGGTGGTCTGAGTTCAAAATTGGTGCTTACTCCAAATGAAGAGCAGTCTTTAGTAGTGAAGGAATCCCTTGCATATCTACAGGACCTTGTTTATGAAAGCAGAGAACCACTGTTCTAGCAAACTGGCAAAAACTTACATTTCCCTAGTTTTGCTGGCTCTGCAAAACATTGTGCACAGCTGTACTCAAACCCATTAGCTCAACCTTTCAGAAAATTCTCTCACAGAAATTGCTTAGAGGTTCATAGCCTGACAGTTGCTGTGTGTTTTGAGAGCTTTACCTGTCGGAAGCCGGCTCAGCATTCTTTTGCTTAATTGGTCTGTAGAGACTGGTCATTTTAGATGAAGAAGTTCCACACCTCCGAGAGAATGGCATCTATCTCAGCCCATAATCAGCTAATTTGGAGAATGGGAATACAGCTAGCTCTGGGGGATGCTTACCCTCCACTCTATGTTGAGACAGGGTGAAAGGACTGTAGAAAGCGCATCAAGCAATGTAAAATTAAGGGGAAACTGGGAATAGAGAAAAACAGTGTTCAAAATATAAAAAGTGTATTACTTCAAAATCTAGGATACAGTCACCTGTGTGTGTATACAGATTTTGAAATTTAAATAGGAATATCTAATTTTGATTTCAGATTGCCAAATAATGACATTTCACATTTAGTTATAGCTTTGTCTATCACACAAGCTGTTTCTAAGATCAATGAATTTTGTAGTGGAAAGGATCAAAAGAATAGAGTAACTTGGGCCTTGAATCATGAGGGTGTGCCAGATAATGCTTTAGGGAGCAAAGAAGCAAACAGCATATTCATTTCTTCCAAGTAATTTACTTAGAAGGCAGTTTAGCCTACTGATTAAAAGCTTGCAGCTTGGTGCATAGCAACCCAGACTTATGCCTGGGCTTGCCATCTTCTAGCAATGTCATTTTGGGCAACTTAACTTCTCAGTGCTTCTGTATCTTTAACCTAAAAATCAAATTCAATTGAATTATCTTTTATTCTTATCCTTAAAGCTTTAAAATGTAACATTTAAATCTTACTATTTTGAATTAAAAGTCAGGACCATCCTTAAAACATTCTGGTGGCAAATCATTAAGGATATGCCAAGATGACTGATACAATTATAATTTCTCTTGAATGTTATAAAAAGCTCCTATTACTCTCTAGGTGCTTATTGAAGAGTCCAGGAATCATCACATTGTTCTATCTTATTTAAAAATGAACACTCTTTTTAAAAAATAAGAACAATAAAAGTTATACACTTTCACAAATAAGAAAACACCAACAAGAGCTATGTAAAATATGCGACTGTTTTCTTCAATTTTTACTTTAGAAAACATTATAAAAGCACATGGACACCTTAAAATGACACTCAGAGAGATAATTCATGGTCATTATAAATTCAGCCTGAACCATCAGATGTAAAATAGCCGGATATATTTATAAAATTATAGCACATAAGAAAGTAATGATGATCATCATTTCAGATTAATAATGTGGAAAAAATAATGCAATATAATATGGCAAATATGGAACAGGAAGATTCAGGACATACTCTATTAAGCTGAACATTTGAGTATTTAAAAGGGAGAACAGATGGTGCTTAGGAAAATGTCTGGAATATTATTTAATTGGCACACAAACTTCATTGTATTTTATCATGTGTATAAATAGGAATGATTTAGAAATATAAAAATATTAGTTTGATATAAATTATTATAAAAATGTTTATATTTGTTTAAGTGGTACAAGGTGACCTGATTTTATCAAATACAAAATAATGTAACAACACTAAAAAAATAAAAAATTCTATGGAAAATGTTGTTTTCATATTTCTTTGCTAATTTAATAAATGGTTCCAATTAAGAATTCTTAAATCAGTAATGAAATATCTTAATAGTCACTATATTTAGGTTAATGTATGAGAAATCATTAGACCTCAAAGCAAAAATTATACAGGATAAAGTTAAACAGGCAAGGAAGACTTTATTTTAATTTATTGAAATGCAGTGTGGAAAGGGGTGGACATAGGCCATTTATGGTTGTTAATTGGTGTTACCCAAATGAAAAGTAAACTTTCTGATATTTTCATAACTAGACATAGTTTTACAACTTAGAATATGTCACCCATTGAAGTCAGATTCCTACCCTACCACAGAGGCTGGGAGGTAGAGGTGCTGTCTTCCTTGATGATGATTATATATCAAAGGGATGGCTCCCAGGTCCTAGTGAGACAGTCCTGTGTGGTAAATCTGACAAGAGGCTTTTATAAAGATCTGCATTTCAAGGACGCAGAGAAGAAATCTGTAATTACAAGTTTTCTAAAGGAAAGGGAAGTCAGGGGCTATAGTAAGGAAGAAGCTTCTCTAAAACATAGTCAAACTGAGCCCATGTTGGCAGTCTAGATACTATGAAACTGTCACTACAAAAGTGACAGTTTTCTTCAGGAACCCGTTATTGATCTAAATATAGGTACACTGTTAGGAAAAGCACCACAAATTAATAGCAACTCAGAGAATATGTTAGAGAATGAAGGCAAGGCAAAAAGGAGCTTGTAGACAGGGCAAGGCTGGTGGTGGACTCCAGGAGTCAGTTCTGATTAGGAAATGAACCAGTAGCTCAATACATTAGAGTTAGACATAGCTCAGAAAACAACAACTTAAAACACTTTAAAGGCAGTAGATTAACCAGAGATAGATAAATATGGAATTAGAAGATCTGAAACTTACGTGCAGAGGCATTCAATAATCTGCACACACCCTTGCAATGATTTTTGTTTCGTTAATAGTAGGTGCTACTAGAATCTCTGTGTCTTTTGAGGGAACTCTATGGGCTCTACTCATACCTGTGGTTGCCCAGACCTTAAGGAATCATTCACATACTAGGAAGCATTTAATTTTCTGGTAATGACTGAAATGTTGCTTTTTTGGCTGGACCTGGGCCTCCCAATGTCTTCTTCCTCTCCCCCTCCTCTTGTAACCCTCCTTAGAGACTATAAAAACGAGACTGAAAAAGAAAGTGCCCTGTGCTGTGTAATCTCACTTATCAAAATGCTTATTCCACAGTGAATTAGTTTCCCAAATTGGCTACACATCAAAATGGCATTCAGGATTTGTAATTGTTAGAGTAGGTAGTTAGGCAGACATAAGCAGGGCAGGAGAGGAACCCCCAGGAATGTCAGGCAAATGTCAGGTGATGGTCAGGCAGTTGTTAAACTGTCTCTCTGAAATAATAATTGGTCACAGCCAGTGACAGGGGAAGACAGTCTTCCAATAGATAGAATACACCTGGAGCTGGATCTGCAGCTTCCCAGTAAGAACTAAAGAGGTGGGCTAGCAGGCTCGAGCATGAATACTAAGAGGCAAAATGGCAGATGCATGACCTTGCTTTGTGGGTGTTCAACCAATAAAGGAAAATTGCCCCTAGAGAGCATGAGCACAACCTCAGTAAACACACTGTGTATGTGTCACACTCCAAAATGCTGACCAACACTGTGCATGCAGCAGTTGAGCAACATCCTGCCCCAGAGGAAGAACCAAGAGAGGAGAGAAGAAAATCATGGAGTCATGCCAATGTATGAAACTCCAAGTCAAGAAATGAATGGGGCACTTGAGTCCTCAGAAATAACACCACACATCTACAACCATCTGATCTTTGAAAAACCTGACACAAACAAGCAATGGGGAAAAGATCCCCTATTCAATAAATGGTGTTGGGAAAACTGGCTAGCCATATGCAGAAAACTGAAACTGGACCCCTTCCTTACACCTTATACAAAAATCAACTCGAGATGAATCAAAGATTTAAACATAAGACCTAGGACCACAAAAATCCTAGAAGAAAACCTGGGCAATACCATTCAGGACATAGGCATGGGCAAAGACTTCATGTCTAAAACACCAAAGCAATGGCAACAAAAGCCAAAATTGACAAATGGGATCTAATTAAACTAAAGGGTTTCTGCACAGCAAAAGAAACTATCATCAGAGTGAACAGGCAACCTACAGAATGGGAGAAGATTTTTTGCAATCTATTCATCTGACAAAGGGCTAATATCCAGAATCTATAAAGAACTTAAATTCACAAGAAAAAACAAACAACGGCATCAAAAAGTGGGCAAAGGATATGAACAGACACTTCTCGAAAGAAGACATTTATGCAGCCAACAGACATATGAAAAAAATGCTTATTATCACTGGTCATTAGAGAAATGCAAATCAAAACCACAATGAGATACCATCTCACACCAGTTAGAATGGCAGTCATTAAAAAGTCAGGAAACAACAGATGCTGGAGAGGATGTGGAGAAATAGGGCTTTTACACAGTTGGTGGGAGTGTAAATTAGTTCAACCATTGTGGAAGTCAGCGTGGTGATTCCTCAACTATCTAGAACTAGAAATACCATTTGACCCAGCAATCTCATTACTGGGTATATACCCAAAGGATTATAAAACATGCTGCTATAAAGACACATGCACACGTATGTTTATTGTGGCACTATTCACAATAGCAAAGTCTTGGAACCAACCCAAATGTCCATCAATAATAGACTGGATAAAGAAAATGTGGCACATATGCACCATAGAATACTATGCAGCCATAAAAAAGGATGAGTTCATGTCCTTTGCAGGGCCATGGATGAAGCTGGAAACCATCATTCTCAGCAAACTATCACAAGAACAGAATACCAAACACTGCATGTTTTCACTCATAAGTGGGAGTTGAACAATGAGAACACATAGATGTAGGGAGGGGAACATCACACACCAGGGCCTGTTGGGAGGTGGGGGGCTAGGGGAGGAAAAACATTAGGAGAAATACTTAATATAGGTGACGGGTTGATGGGTGCAGCAAACCACCATGGCACGCATATACCTATGTAACAAAACTGCACGTTCTTCACATGTACCCCATAACTTAAAGTATAATAAAAATAAATAAATAAAGATGGATCTTTCACAGAGAAGTTTTGAAAATGACTGATCTAAATAACATTATGTAAAATGATAGGAAAACTCTAAGTTAAATAAAAAGAAACAAGTTTATTTCTTGCAGGACTTTACAAACTCCTTAAAATGGAAATTCACAGTGTGAATCTCCAGATAACAGTTAATAGAATCATTTATTTTCTTTTGGGTATACACCCAGTAATGGGATTTCTGGGTCGAATAGTAACTTTAAGTTCCTTGAGAAATCTCCAGACTGCTTTCCACAGTGGCTGGACTAATTTACATTCCCACCAACAGTATAAAAGCATTCATTTTTGTCCACAGCCTCATCAGCATCTGCTGTTTTTTGAGTTTTTGATAGCAGTCAACCTGGCTGGTGTGAGATGGTATCTCATATATACCATTGAATACTACACAGTCAAAAAAAAAAAAAAAAAAACACACCAATAAAATCTTATCCTTTGCAGCAACATGAATGGAACCAGTGGCCATAATCCTAAGGGAGTTAATGCAAGACCTAAAAACCAAATACCACATAGCCTCATTTAAGAATGGAAGCTAAGGCCAGGTGCGATGCCTCACACCTGTAATCCCAGCACTTCGGAAGGCCAAGGTGGGTGGATCACAAGGTCAGGAGTTCGAGACCAGCCTGGCCAATATGGTAAAACCTCGTCTCTACTAAAAATGCAAAAATTAACTGGGCATGGTGGCTGGCACCTGTAATCCCAGCTACTCTGGAGGCTGAGGCAGGAGAAGCGCTTGTACCCGTGAGGCAGAGGTCGTAGTAAGCTGAGATCACACCATTGCACTCCAGCCTGGGCAACAGAGCAAGACTCCATGTCAAAAAAAACAAAAAAAGGAAGCTAAATATTGGTTAGCACAGATAGACATAAATACAGGAACAATAGACACTGTACTACTAGAGTAGGAAGGGAAGGAGGAGGGTGAGTTAAAAAAAACTACCTTTCAGGTACTATGCTCACTTCCTGGGTGATGGGATTCATATCCCAAACCTCAGCATCATTTAGTATATCCATGTAGCAAACATGGAGAAGGACCCCCATATCTAAAATTCAAGTTGAATTTTTTTGAAAAGTTGAGTAGACAGTGTTTCTAAATTTATTTGAACACACTGTTTGTTTTTTTTCTTATTCAGCATCTCATGATCTCTTGTAACTAAAATTCTTCAGAACCCATGGAAAATACTTTTTCAAAAATAATTAATGGATGCATAAGAAATGCCGTTTTAGTTAGCACATACACATGCAGTAAGCATCTTCCAGAAAATCTCTAAGTGCTCAATTTTCTAGAGAAAGAGTAAATTAAGTACTAGGAAAGGAAATATTCTATTCAGTTAACTAAAGAATACGTAAGGTATAAAAATGCACAAGAAGAAACTAAATATGATTACCTTGTACCTTTAAATTCAATAAATATAGGCTTGTTGAAGACTTACTATGTGTTAGTTTTTATTCTTAGGTAGCGTCTATTCCAAGAGCAAAAATTGAAGTAATAAACATGAGGGAAACCCAATTGCTAATGCAAAATATTCTGTGTTTTATTTCAGAGGCAGTTTTATGAGCAAAATATTTGAAAATGTATTTTCTTTGATTTTTATAACTTTGAAGAGTCCTAGAAGGTGATAAACTCTATTTTTTTCATGAGACTAGAAACAAATTGACTTCAATATATTTCACATATTTAATAGGATAGAAACAAACACAATACCTTATGTAAGAGAAGGCTGTGCAGTACTATAGCCTATTGAAAAAGGATATTTCCAGCCCTGCCTGAAGAGCCTGAAGGTACTTTTTAATCTCAGAACAATTCTCTGAAGTACCAGCTTGTTTATTTGATTCGCCTGTCTGTTATCTACTAGTGAACCAAATAATTCTGCATTTCTTACTCATGGCCCTAATTCTTTAGAGAGCTTTCTAGGGGTCATACCCATGCCTTACTGTCTCAGTTTACTCAGGCTGCTCTAACAAAGGCCCATGAACTGGATGGCTTTTAAAAAATAGAAATATATTTTTTACAGTTCTGAAGTCTAGAAGTCCAAGATCAGAGGGCAGCCTGATCAGGTTCTAGAGAGGACTCTCTTTTTTCAGGGTACAGATTGCCATCTTCGCATTGTATCCTCACATAGCAGAAGAGGGCAGAGAGCTCTCTGGGATATCTTTTATAATGGCACTAATCCTACCCATGAGGGTTCCACCCTCATGACCTAATTGTTTCCCAAAGGCACCACCTCCTAATATCATTGTACTAGGGTTAGGATTTCAACATTTGTTTCTGAGTGGGGACACAACCATTCAGTCCATTGTACTTACTAAATTTCAAATCTCTAAAGTAATAACACTGAACATCTATGATATTTGTTTTAAAAAATATGCATGCAAATTAGGGTCTCCAGAGCATCTAAATGCATATGTTACAAATGCTCTAATAATGAGATTTTGCATATTTAATATGAAGAGAAAAAACAAACACAAATAAAAACTGTGAAATTACAGTCAAGCCAGGGCAATATATATTGTGCATTACAAATGAACATTATCATTGAATTTATTACCTTTCAATATTTAGCTATCCCTGTGGATTATACTACTTTGGTAAGGTTTCATGAAAAAGGAATTTGAAGTGGGGATTGAAAGAGAAACAGGGCTGACAGAAAAGTATTTTAAGCAGGGAGAATATAGATTCAAAGGTGGAGAAAAATGCATGGCACATTGAAGGCATAACCGGTGGGCCAGCAAGCTCCTTAATTGATATAGAAAAACAATAGAAAATACTTTTACCTAGAAATTATCTAAGGTTGTCCAGAGATTAATTGTAAGTTATCATAAATATTAAGCTAAGCTGAATAGATGTCATATTATAGGCAGTTCCGTATCACTGAAGGTATTTATTTAAGAAGGTCAAAGTAGAATTTTAGGAAATTTAATCTGACTGCTATGTGAATCTTGGCATTGGAGAAACAATACTAAGAGACCATACAAAAGTCAATTTGTAAGAGGCATCAGTTACTAAAACTAAAACTTATTACTGGTCAGGGAGGTGAAGCAGAATTGTTCTTATCAGAGATGCTGCAAGTATTGACGCTATTAACAGCTAAAAACTGTGATAGCTCGGTGGATGGGAAGTCAGTAGACAGAAGAGTGTTAAATTTATTTTCAAAGCATCAAGCCTATCCATGTAATAGACTCTCTGATGGAATTTTTACAAAACACTGTAAGAGATGCCCACTAGTAGATATTAAAATAGACATCTATATAGATGTTTATACAGACAAGTAGATGTTTATATAGACAAGGACGTAAAAGTGGGACAATATCTTACAAATATTGTCTACTCTGTATGGAGAGGAGGCAGAAAATTAGAGAAAAGATTATAATAAAAATTTAACATTTAAAATCAAGTGTAAGCACTATATTTGAAGACGTGACAATGAGTAGTATATCTGAATGAATAAGGGAAGACTAAAAATTTCAAGTAGGCCTAGAACTGAATTTTTATATGAATCCACATTGAATGGGTGAGAACTATATAAGTTTATTCAGCTAATGAGACAGAAAAAAATGCAAGTAAGAGGAGCTCTAGAAAAATATAATGCAAAAGCACAAGTGAAAACTAGAATACAAACCAACTCGTGTATAACATACACAAGTGATAGCTATGCAAAAATAAGAAAGGAATCCGTGTGTCAAATGCAAATAAAGCTTGAAAATCTGAAACCATGTAATTTTCTGTCCATGTGTTAAACAATATTGGAACCAGATATATTTCCTGGTCCCTATGTTAAACAATTCTTGGAAGAAGCATAATTCCCTGTTCTTTGCTAAGCAACACTGAGAGCAACAAAAATAACTCCAATGCTTACTGAAGGAAATACCAGTTCCTAGAAGGTAAGAAACCAAAACAATTGAACAGCTTACTTATGGCTCATTTAAAGATCTTCATCTTGCTGTACCCTTCATCCAAACAATTGTCATAATAGTAGCCCATCTACTTTCCAACCCTGTAACAGCCATCTTAAAATTCTTCAACTCAAGCCTTCAAACTGCAACTAAACCATGCCCATATTTTCCATTTTGAAACACTTCTAAGATTTTTGTTGAGATACTGCTCTACTTTGCTTCAATAAGTCTAATAAGCTTTGTTACGTCTTATCAAAAAGTTGTTCTGGTTGTCTTTTTGGAAATAAACAATTGATTCTTGATGAAGAAGCAAAAAAAAACAATGAGAACATTCATATTCATTAACCTAATGAGTACTTACATGGTGCCTACTAAATGCCAGGTGGATAGAGCAGCACATGATAAAGTCTGTCCTCTTATGGACAGACATTGGAATTGGGAACTAATTATGAAATAGTAAGTAGATGAATAAACAAGATAACGATTACAAATGCTAGGAAAAAAATAAAATAGGGTAACGAGATAGAATTGCTTGTTGGAACTAATTTAGATTAATAGTACAGAAAGGCTTCTCTGGGGAGGTGAAATTTGAGGACAAGAACAGGGTCAGGGAAACTTAAAATAAAATAAAATGCTACAATTGCAGTTTTATAGTTCTATTTTAAAGCCTGACAACAATGACAATGACCACAAAGAAGGAGGAGGAGGAGGAGGCAGCCAAAATGTCTAATGTGAAAACTGTGTCAGCTCCATTATATGCATCTTTTAATACCTTAAACAACTTTAAGAGATAAGTATTGTTAATACAGCCACTTTATAAAAGAAATAATGGAAATTTGTGTGGTTTAGTAATTAATCAGGTTACGTAATTAGTGAATGGTAGAACCCAGATCTGCCTAATTAAAAAGCCTACCTTCTTAAGTTAGATACTATAATGTCAAGAGTTCATTAACATATAGAGAATATAGAAAATTATTGCCCAGTTCTATAAATATGTCTTCTATACCAGACTCTTCCTCTAGTTTTTGTAGGTTTTGTCTGACAGGTTAAAGAAAGTGAAAATTTATTCATTTATTAGTTTTATTACATAACAGGTAGATAAAGAAAACCTATACAAATTTGGAACAATGTGTAAACACCTTTCCTTTATTAGGAATTTTTTGTCATATATCTCTGACCAATCAAGTATTTTTTAAAATGCTACATTCACTTTTTAAAAATTGACACCAGACTCTAATTTCCAGAGTATATGTAAAGACACTGGCTCTACTGACAAGATACATTTTGCCATTCATAATGTGTGGTGGCTGTAGGGAGATTGAAAACTTCTGTCAGGGATACTAGTAAACATATTCTGGAGTACTCTTTTCAGTTTGCTTTTGTCTTATACTGAAAACTGATTATGGCAACTTTTGCCTTAGGGGCTGTGTGGAGCAGTGTGTTCATTGATTAAAGAAACTAAAGATGTATCAAGACAGAGTGAAACACAAATAAGGAGTTTCAAAGGCATCTAAACATGAGATTTCTTCAGGGCACACACACTATCTTAAGCTTCTAAACTTCACATAAAATGTCTTTATATAATCTCAACCTCATTTAATTTTTAGAAGGTAAAATCAGTCTTTGCAGGCTGCAATAAAAATGAAAGTTTTTCAAATCTATATTGAACAAAGAAAGAATATCCTAGTAAGAATAAAGCAAAAATTTTACTTGGTTTTACAAATACATATAAATATGACTAATTGCCATGTCTTTGTTTTATCTTTCAATGTAGATGACTGAATTTGCTTATTACCAGAGAATACCGAGTAAAAAATTTGTTCTTAAATACTCCACTCAAGACTGAGACAACCAATCTTTTCCCTCATGTCTTATCAAAATTACAGACTTTAACTAAAAATGACTTCATCAGTATTGCACATCTCCATTACCACTGATTTTGATATAATATATACATATAGAATAGCAGTCCTCTGGATTTAACGTTATATCACGTACTGTCTTCTTTGTAGTTATGAGCAAAGGTGAACTTTTTATGTTAGATGTCATATCCTAATACACCTATGACCACGGAACCCCTAAACAGGTTAATGATGTAATGTGATTTAGTGGTTTTCTCTGGGTACGTCTCCCACCTTCTAGAGTGGATGTATCAGCAAAGCCCTCCAATATGCTAGGCATTTCTTGCTCGTTTAGACCAATTAGCATAATATTATTGATTAATGAGTCATTTTAATGTTCTGTGGGACATCCAGATGGTCCATATCACTTTGGACAATGTTATGATACATAACCAAATAATTGACATAGTTCTAGAGCTAAGCTATAAATGTGTATTGTTTTCTGTTCTATGTGAATCTGAATATAAACTGTTCACCAAACCGATGTCTTCATACTATGTCTTGGAGATCATGTAAATCTGCTGTAACAAATATATCACATTTGATATAGAGTGAGAATTTGGTGCCACTAAATTGAATTTGTGAAAATCTGCTGTCACTAAAGGTTTAGAGCTTTACTGGAGGATCCAGCCTGGTGAGTTATGTGTTGATATCTTAGGAATCCTCAGCTTTGTGTTCTTTATGTACTTAAGGGTGGCATTATTTTAATAATCCCTTCCCACAACTCCAGAACACAATTTCTTTTTTATTTACTATCTTGACTCCTGAAGGGGTTGTTTTTGAGGCTATCACTTGACTTTCACCACAATGATAGCCTTATGCCACAGGACAATCATGCAGTAGGTGGTGTGAGTGATTGTGTCAAATCACAAGTATGGTTACACCGATTATATATGTGGTATATTTGTTTTCCATTGCTGTATCAGAAATTATACCAAACTTAGTGTTTAAAATAATACACATGTATTATCTCACAGTTATGAAGGGTTAGAATTTCAGAAACAACTTAGCTCAAGTTTTTGTTCATGGTCTCCTAAGGCTGCAATCAAGATGTAAGTCATACTACATTCTCATCTAAAGGCTTGCCTGAGGAGGGATCCATTTGCAAGCTCTCCAGGTTGTTTGCAAAATTCATTTCTTTATGGTTTAAAACTGAGGTCCCTGTTTTCTTTCTGGTCATTGGCCAGGGACACTCTCACCACTTCTTGGCCACCTCATAAGCCCTCTTATAACATTGCAGTATACTTCTGCAAAGCTGGCAGGAGTTTCCCTCTCTCTACTCTGACAGAGTGGGAGCAACATCCTATTGCCTTTGCTCCACAGCATAACCTAATGAAAGGAGCGACAGCTCATCACTTTGGTAATATTATTTTAGTTAAGTTCAAGTCACAGGTTTCACTTGCGCTCAAGGGGAAGAGATTCCATGAGAGTAACTCACTGGGGTCATCTTAGGGTATATCTACCACATTTGAAGACCAGGTAAATCCCCCTTGCCCTGCACAGGATAGTAAATATACCTTAAGGAAGTGGCCTCTGTATTGTTCTCTAGCAAATAGTGAGTGATAATCAGGAGGATTAGGGTGATTAGGGTGTCACAGATATAGTCTATTACTGGATATCACACATGGGAGATAATGAGGTAAGCAATTATAACCATATCTCCTCTCCTCTATGCCCATCTTGAATAAAACAGAGATAAATGTGAGAGTCAGAGGTAAACTTTTATTAATTTTTCTTGTGAAAAACCGCTTAGAGAAAAGTTGTTTAGTTTTAATGCCATACGTACTTTCTGACACTATTTGAATTGAATTTAGCCCATCTCAAAAGTTACCCTGCTATGCTTACTGCAGGCCAGTGGGGCTCAGCAGCACACGTTCTCTCTTCAGGCAAGCAGGAAGGACTGCACATGTCCAGTTTGCTCTCCCAACTCACCAATAAGTTAATGCATCCCTTTCCTTTTGGTACTAATTGATTAAGGATACATAGCAGGAAGATAAGCCAGGAAGATGAGTTATCAAATATCGGTTCTTTAAGATTAATAAGTGTTTCACCTAATATTCAGTCATGAGTAGAATCAGACAGATATAGATTTGGAAGTTAACACAATTATAACTAATGTTTATTTTTCATGTTGGTCAAGTTGTGTAATTTGTGTTTTGGTTTCCTCTAGCCAAAATGGCAATAATAATAAATATATTTATTTCATGGAATTTTATTGTATTAATTAACTATAATGCATATAAAAATACATGTCAAGAATAGTGAGTGCTCAAAAGGTTGACAAGTAGTTATTATCGCAGGTGTATAAACATGTTTTTAATTTGTAATCTCTTTTTGTTTCTATAATGAAACAGTGTCTGCTTCTGGATCCATATCTTGGACACATTTCATTTTCTTTTCTTTCTTATCATTATCTTTCCTCTAAGTGAGAATGTGGTGAAAAAGATTAGGCATCATATTTTGCTCATTCTCTCTGAGAGCTCAAGTAGTATCATTGCTATGAGACAGGCAGACACATTAAAGCTAGATTCTGAGCATCTCTGTTCAACTTCCAAGTATCTGATCCTGAAGAGTGCTATATCATCTGCAATCTGTCTTGTTAAAACAAGTTCTCCATCTTCCCTTATATAACCTCTTGCGTTTCCTGTTATGCCAAAGACACATGATTCTTCCTTTCTTTCATTTCAGAAAGCTAAATTCATCTTTGACTTCAATTGCTTCTCTTCCTATTTCGGGATAATTTTTGTATTTAACCTATCAATTCTTCTCATCTTCTTAGATCTATTTATATTTTTATTTTATTCTCAATGTCTCACCCATAGTTCATCCCTTCACTGGCTGTTTATCTTTCTTGGGCTATTGCAAAATTTTCTAGCTTGTCAACTTGACACTCATCTCTTCTTGTTTCAGCAGTTTCTCTATGATTATCAGGATAACATTTGTAAAACACAATTGAAAACATACTAAACTATAATGTAAGACCATCAGAATCATCCCAATTATAATAAAATGAATATCATACTCTCATCTGACACTTGGTATTTTTCATAATCTAGCATATCATTAATTCAAGTTTATCACCTGATTTTTTCTTAAGCAAATTCTACACTAGAAATAACACAAGTTCTAATGTGTTATGCTTTTTCCAACACCTTCCTCCTTTCATGAAGCATGCCCTTAAGTCAGCTTTTCCTAATGGCTTTTCCTTTGAGTCAGCATAACATTCATTGGTATCGCACTAGGCATTGGACACATATAATTGTATCTGTTTCCTATTATAAGAAATGAAGAAAATATCATTCATTTTACAAATGGTATAATGTATGCAAATTACCAAATATTGTGCTTTTAAAATACTAAATAGTGAAAAAAGTAACTTTCCTTATTATTTTTAACAATTACGTATATGCTTACTAATAACAATGAAGATGATATGAGTGATGAGGATATTGAAGAACAGAAGAATACAAAGAGGTAAAAAAATAAAAAAGAGGAGAAATATAGTTAATTGATTTATGTATCAGCTAAAATAAGTTTTCTTTGCCCTTTATATTTTGTGCGCACAAATTTTCTATACTCTTCAGACTAAGAGATGTTTATTGCTGAAGGATGAATACAGTTGTTTTATATTTAAATATGTGTGGCATTTGCAACAAGAGGATAAATTAATAAGTATCAAGATTATTGAATAAAATATATTTTAGGATGACAAATGGTTTCAATATGTCAGCTATAGTCTATGGATCAATATGAATGCTAAGAATAAAATCATCTATAATATATTTTCAGCTTCTTTTTTAAGGATTCTCAGGTTATAATTTGTGGGAGGTAGCATCATCAGAAATTTAACAGTAGTAATTTATGTTAAAAGAAAAGATTTATGATAGGTATATTTTTATTCATGAAATAAGATAAATTGAAATTATCCATCATTACTGTCTAGAAGAGTTTGGTTTATTACAATTTATTTTATAGAGTATTCTGTAGGAAATAGAGTTGGCTAGCTTACATTTTATTATTAGATTCACATCATTTTTATTCCATAAATATCAGCTGCCAAAAACTTAATGTTATGGGAGAGAAAATCAAAACCTATTCAGAAAAAAACTTTTTATTTTAGTATTTGCTACTATTTTTGTAGTTAAAGTCAAATTCTGAAAATCCATTAAGCAAACACAGATCTGAATTATTCTCTTTATTGTTAAAAATCACTTTATAATACTAAATTTCAGCATCATAGAATGTTATTTATTCTTTCATCCATTTAATCAAGCACTTTTGAACATCTATAATATACCTGAAATTCTTCCAGGAACTGTTAACAAAAACAGCAACTAAAAAATGTACATTAATTACGATTCAGCTATATTTGAGGAGGCTGTGTTCTACTCGGTTAGAAACATGAAAAACAAACACACAGAAATACCCAAACATACGCATACACACTGCATATGTGGTATGGTCATTGCGTGTGCACTGTGCAATGCACTGAGAACTCTTCTGATTCTTGCAACACAACATGAAATCTTCCAAAGACAAAAAGTAGAGACGGTCATTCTGAGCAGGAATAATCTGACGTTCAAAGACACAAGAATCTGAATGTCCCTGAGATAGTCTAAGGGATGCATGATATTCCACATGGCTAGAGATAATGCTTGATTTGGGGATAAATGAAAGAAAGAAGAAGTGTTCAGATTTGGAATAGTCCATGGCAGAAACAAATTTTGGGACTTCTAATTTCCCCCAGTATACATTGTTAGTTATATACTGAGTATTATCATCTGTATTTAGAAATAATATTATGAAACTCATTTGACTTACCTCCCACTGGGTTCCTCCCATGACAAGTGGGGATTATGAGAACTACAATTCAAGATGAAATTTGGATGGGGACACACTCAAACCACATCAAATTAAATTGAGATAACATATTTAATTTATACCAGAATGTTGGCTATGTATCACACATAGCTGTATAATATGTGCTAGTACAATTTATATAATTATAAACCAAAGATGTTCTCTTGGCAAAAGCAACACAATTATTGTTTTAGAAAAATGAAAGAAAAATCATCAGCGATGAAAGAAGTGTGTGTGGAAGGAGGAGATATTCAGGAAGACAACTTGAAAAACTCCTGATAAATTTTGGTGAGAAATAATATAAAATAAACATAAAAACACCACAGTCTAAACAAAGATGTGACATATTCAGGACATATGCAGGAGGAATTGATAGGAACAGAAAGAACCAATTATTCCCTTGAGCTAAGTGAATGATAATGTTCTTTAAGCCTAAATATTTTGAGGGTGACAGCAATAATATTACCTTATTAATACTTTAAAATTATTCATTAGCATATATAAAATGATTTATTATAAAAAGAACAATACAATTTATATTGTTCTTGGTTGAATATAGTATGTTATTTAACCTTTGCAAAGAACCTCCAAAATAACTTCTATTATTAACTCCATGCTAAAAATACAAAAATTAATGCTTAATTAGCTAGTAAGTGATGCAACCTAGAGCTTAAACTGAAGTCTGTCATATTTTCAGAGCCTGAATTCTTAACACTCATTTTGCTGTATTGGTATTTAGGCACCATTCAAATTGTTTAATGATGGTTTTAAAATCCAAAGGCTAAAAGATTTAAATCCTAATTGATTTATGTTTCTGTTCACTGATCTATAAAGCTCTATTGAACCAGATTACATTTCTACAGTCTAACTTTTTATATAAAAATATGTTTTTAAATATAAGAAGTTGTCAAAAACTTCAAGTTAAAAATATTTTTTGTTTTCATTGTATTTATCGATAATTCTTTTCCTTATGAATTAATGTTGCTTTTTTATGGACTTCTTTGACTACTTTACGTTTATAATCTCATTGTTACATGTCTCATTTTTTGACTTCTTAAAATTAGAGAGACTTCAAAGCACTGTCATTCTTCAGTAGGTGACCTTCCTTCTGAGGGACATTGCCCTGAAACATTCCTGGTATCCCCTAGCATCTTGGAGAACTTGACAACTTTAGAAGTAGTTACTTGGAGTGCCAGTCATAATTTATTTGGCTGGAAATTCTGATGTCAGACAAGATTAGGTACAAGAGGGCAAAAATTATCTGCCTTTACAGTTTGCATTTTGGTGAATTAGCTAAAGAGCAAGAATGTTGACAAATGATGTGACTTATCTATCTTTATACCTATGTCATATTAGAGAACATGTAGACTACTAATGTGTGATTTATAGAAATAAATTTTTAGGAATATTTTACCTTGAATTGTCCTTGATTTCAGTTTGTTCACAGCATACAACATGTACATTATCTTACATAGCTACAGATATATCCTGTTATTATATTAAATTTATTATGTAAACAGACTATTAATATATACTACAATTACAACAGAAGCATCAAAGAGGTATGGCTATATTAAGACAAACTCACTCATTCTGTGGTAATTTGGTTTGGCTCTGTCTCCACCAAAAATCTCATCTTGAATTGTAATCCCCTTAATCCATATACTCCCCACATGTCAAGGGAGAAATCAGGTGGAGGTAATTGAATCATGGGGTTGGTTTTCCCCATGCCGCTCTCATGACAGTGAGTGATTTCTCACGAGATCTGATGGTTTCATAAGTGTTTGATAGTTCCTCCTGCATATATTCTCCTTCCTGCTGCCTTGTGAAGAAAGTGCCTTGCTTCCCCTTTGCCTTACTGAGGCCTCCCCAGCCATACTGAACTGTGAGTCAATTAAACCCTTTTCCTTTGTAAATTACCCAGTCATGGGCAGTTCTTTACAGCAGTGTGAAAATGAACTAATACATGTGAGAAAGCATGGATTACTCTATCCTCACTCAGGAGAAAATGTTAGAGATTGTGAGGTGGTTTCTAATAGTTTGCACGTCGTGTGTCCACTAGCTCCCCTTTTCATGCACACACTACTCCCTCCCCCAAGCCTCCAGAAACTCAAGATAGATTCACAAAAAAACAGTTTTTAAAATGAAGTCATGTGAGAAGCGATGATAAAATTCTCATTAGAATAATATGGAATATAGAAGTAATGGTAATTGGCACATACTCAGCATCCTCTGATAGTCTACTATGTGGCAATATCCTTAAGATGATCTAATCACCCTTCCTTTCACCAGAGCATCTCAAGTCAGTGAGCCCCATTTGTCAGTGGAACATCAAGCAAACTGACAGTTTGACATTTTTCCCTGGAGTCTGTGCTTGAGATAAGATGAAAACTAGAGCTCAGTTGGGGATGAGAATGAAAACTTCAAGGATAGAAAAGACTAGAGGATCTCTTGGTTAGGAGAAGAGAGATAATAGGTCAACAGAGTGGACACTGGAGATACAAAGAGCCATGCACAGGCCTATTATTCAGAATCCATCTTGCTCTCCCTCTCTTTCTTTCTCACTCTGTGTTTCTTCATCTCCCTCTCCTCTTTTGAGAGGAAGTACAGAATTGTGTTTTAGACCGTGCAACTATGAAGTAAAACTACCTGTATTGGTATTCCAATTTCACTGCTTCTACTTGCCTCAGTTTTCCTCTCCATAGAATGCCCCGGTTCAAATTCCTATCCTCACCTAGTATTGGGGGTTTCTGAGCATTCATGAGAAGTACTCTAAAATTTCTACTAGGATAATTAGTTCAGATAGGAAGTAGTGCTGTCTGTTGTTTTTTAAGAAAATAAGAAAGATAACTTTAAGAAAATAGACACCCAGAATATTAAATTCCACAGGATCTGAAATTACATAGAGGTGAGCAACCCTAAATAACCCCCAATATGCTCTGGAATTTGGCAGTCCTCTTTTCTCTTACAACAACCTGCCTTGTTCTCAAACTTCCATCACTAATACCATTTTTGGAATCCATAAGGTGACCATTTTTACTTTTTCCAAATTGGAAGAGTTTTGAGTATAAAAGGGTACATTGTCAACAGTTACACTGGCCCAACTGTGACTATTAACTATCCTACCTTTATTGTGAGATTTCACCATGGGGTTAAGTCTCTCTCTCCAAATATATTTCTTAAAACAAAAATATGATACATGTAAGAACCACCTATGACATGGTTTGGCTGTGTCCCCACCCAAATCTCACATTGAATTGTAATAATCCCCCCATGTCAAGGGTGGTTCCAGGTGGAGATAATTGAATCATGTGACTGGTTTCCCCCATACTGTTCACGTGGTAGTGAATACATCTCACAAGATCTGATGGTTCTATACATTGGATTGTCCCTGCACAAGCCCTCTTGCTGCCCATGTAGGATGTACCTTTGCTCTTCTTTCATCTTCTGCTACGATTGTGAGGCCTTCCAGCCATGTGGAACTGTGAGTCCATTAAACCTCTTTCCTTTATAAATTGCCCAGTCTCAGGTGTGTCTTTATTAGCAGCATGAGGACAGACTAATACAATGTAATTAGCTCACTTGTTTATATAATTCATTAGATTTAATCATCAATGAGTAGGACTTGAAAGAACCAAACTATGGAATGAGTAAGACTTAGTTTGGAGGAGAGGGATTTGATGAAAATAAAAGTGGTGATGTTGGAAGATGGTAAATTCATGCAAAATGTTTATGTGAGAGATTCTGAAATAAAGGCTGCAGCCAGGGATTATGATAGGGAAGAGGAGGTGAGGGAATAATCATGAAATAAGAGAGCCTGAAATCAGCCTTGAACCACTACACATTTTAGCCTAGGGAAGTTCCTGGTTTTGGTGGACAACTCTGACCAAGATCTTTCCCTGGGGCAGGGCCTTACCCTAAGGACACTTCCAAATACATGCATCTCAGACTCAATGTTTGAATGAGTTCTTTCCTAAGTGGGTTAACTCATTTGTATTTTATATAATACATTTTAGGTCAGGTCTGAGGAACTCAAATTGCTTTCCTCATTTAAACTGCCTTCAGGCATGTACTCATCTGTATTTCCTGATAAACTGTACACATCCCATAGCCTTATTTAGGGACCAATTTTTTTAAAATAACTTGGTTTAAAATAATGATGAATTAGAGAGAGAGTTTTTTTTTCACGTATTTTACTTGAAACTGAAATGAGACAATCTGAATGCTAATTCCAAATTAGGAAAAAAAAATAAAGTAACATAATAGAAATTAGAAACAGTGTAGGAATGGTGATAGAATTTTGTATATTTTTGGACTATAGACCTTGTATCTATTAAGAACGCTCTAAGAAAGATTATACCTCACCAGTTATATGGGAAAGGAAGGTTTTATTTATACTACTGTAGATGGAGAGAGAGATTAACTTCAAAGATTAAATTCAACTCCACTGAAACAAAAGGCAGGATGATTTTTAAACACTGAGTGAGTTCATAAAAAAGGGCTGCATTATGTTAGGGCAAGTTTGTTTAATGTAATTAGGCCATTAGGCTCCTACATTTCTACAGAGACCAGGAGATAGAGGCCCTATCTTTCTTGATTATTACATTTCAAAGAGATAGCTCTTGGGGCCTTGAGAAAGATATTTCTGAGTTTTGGAATATTTACATCTCAAAGAGACAGGAAAGGAATTTTTAATTGGAAGTTTTTTTTAAAGAAAATGATCTAAGAAAAAGGAGATCAGGAACATTAGCCAGGAACTAGGGAAATTTTAAGTTGGCTTTAGTCAGTCGGTAGTGTGTTTAAACCGTAAACTGTCTGTAGGCCAATGTTGCCTCCCCTTTCCTCTCTGATGAAGTAGAAAAATAAAAGGATGAGGCAGAGACAACAAATGTAAATAATCCTCTAGTCACATGCTCGATTAAGGAACTATTAGCATTTTTATACTATTTTAACTCTCTCCACATTTTGTGGCCATCTTCTAGAATAGCCTTCTTAAACAAGCTCCTAAATCAGTCTCTTCCTCACCCTACTTGTATCCCCAATTTCAGTTGTATTCCTTGCTCTTTATTAGCAAGGCTTCTGTGCTTATGAATGAATATGAAAAATGAAGACACATTATGGTGAGTCTCTCATAATAAAGCTATTTGTTTGTCATAAAAAGCAGACAAACATATATAATTAAAGTGAAAGGAATAGTACTACTACAGAAAAGGAGCCTAGCATAGCTATTCACAAAGGGATTACAAAGATAAATTTGCATATTGTTCAGACTTTGAAGACTACAATAAATACTTAATTCTTCAATGCCCAGACACTGATGAACATCCAAAAGCATCAAGACCATTCAGGAAAACGTGATCTCACTAAATAAGTCACCAGGGCCCAGTTCTAGAGATACAGAGATATGTGATATCTTAGATAATTCAAAACAGCTATTCTGGGGAAGCTCAGTGAAATCCCAGATAACACAGAGAAAGAATTTAAAACCCTATCAGATAAATGTAACAAAGAGATTAAAATAATTTTTAAAAATCAGACAGAAATTCTGGAGCTAAGGCTGGACACGGTGCCACATGCCTGTAATCCCAGCACTTTGGGAGGTCAAGGCGGATGAAATACCTGAGGTCAGCAGTTCAAGACCAGCCTGACTAACATGGTGAAAACTCATCTCTACTAAAAATACAAAAATTAGCCAGGCATGGTGGCGTGCACCTGCAATCCCAGCTACTCGAGAGGCTGAGACAGGAGAATCACTTGAACCTGGGAAGCAGAGGTTGCAGTGAGTCAAGATTGCACCACTGCATGCCAGCCTGGCTGAGGGAGTAAGATGCTGTAGAAATAAAGAAGGAAGGAAGGAAGGAAGGAAGGAAGGAAAGAAAGAAAGGAAGGAAGGAAGGAAGGAAAGAAAGAAAAAGAAAGAAAGAAAGAGAAAAAAGAAAGAAAAGGGAAAGGGAAAGAAGAAATTCTGGAGTTGAGAAATGCAATTGACATACTGAAGAATGCATCAGAGTTCCTTAATGGTATAATTGGTCAAGCAGGATCAAGAAATAGTGAGCTTGAAGATGGGCTATTTGAAAATACATAGAGGTGACAAAAGGAAAAAAAAATTAAAAAGAATGAGGCTTGCCTGCAGGATCTAAACAACAAGTGTCAAAAGGGAAATCAAAGAGTTCTCATCCTTAAGGAGGAGGTAGAAAGAGAGCGATGGGGACAGAAGTTTCTTTAAAGAAATAGTAACAGATAACTTTCCAAACCTAGAGAAAGATAACAATATTCAAGTAGAAGAAAGTTATAAAATACCAAGCAGATTTGATCCAAATAAGACCACCTCAAAATATTTAATAATGGAACTTTCTAAAAGTAATGGATAAAGAAAGGATCCTTCCTTTAGGATTCTAAAGGAGCAAGAGAAAAGAAACAAAAAGCACATAAACGAGCTCCAATATATCTGGTGGCACATTTTTTAGTGGAAACCTACTGTACTCATTTTCACACTGCTATAAAGAACTGCCTTGCCGGGCGCGGTGGCTCACGCCTGTAATCCCAGCACTTTGGGAGGCTGAGGTGGGTGGATCACGAGGTCAGGAGATCGAGACCATCCTGGCTAACACGGTGAAACCCCGTCTCTACTAAAAATACAAAAAATTAGCCGGGCTCGGTGGTGGGCGCCTGTAGTCCCAGCTACTCAGGAAGCTGAGGCGGGAGAATGGCGTGAACCCGGGAGGCGGAGCTTGCAGTGAGCCAAGATAGCGCCATTGCACTCCGGCCTGGGTGAAAGAGCGAGACTCCGTCTCCAAAAAAAAAAAAAAAAAAACAACTACCTTAGACTTGATAATTTGTAAAGAAAAGAGGTTTAATTGACTCACAGTTCCTCATGGCTGGGAAAGTCTCAGGAAACTTACAATCATGATGGAAGGTAAAGATGAAGCAAAGCACATTTTATTTGATGACAGGAGAGACAGAGAGTGGAATTGCCATACACTTCTAAACCATCAGACCTCGTGAGAACTCACTCACTATCATGAGAACAGCATGGGGAAACCACCCCCATGATCCAATCGCTTCCCACCAGGTACCTCCCATGACACATAGGAATTGCAATTCAAGATGATATTTGGTGGGGAAACAGAGCCAAACCATATTATCCTGACCTTGACTCCCCTGAATTTCCTTCTCACATTACAAAACAAAATCATGTCTTCCCAACAGTCCCCCCAAATCTTAACTCATTCTAGCATTAATCCAAAACTCCAAGTCCAAAGCCTTATCTGAGACAAGGCAAGTTCCTTTTGCCTATGAGCCTGTAACATCAAAAGCAAGTTAGTTAGTTCCAAGTTACAATGGGGGTACAGGCATTGGGTAAATGCTTTCATTCCAAATTGGAGAAATTGGCTAAAATGAAGGGGCTACATTCCCCATGCAAGTCCAAAATCCAAGAGGGCAGTCATTAAATTTGAAAGCTTCTAAATCATCTCCTTTGACTCTGTGACTCCTACCTGACAAGCAAGGAGAGTTGGGCATGACATATTTAAAGTGCTGAAAGAAAAATACTTTTATGCTAGAATAGTATATCCTATGAAAATATCTTTAAAACCAGAAGGACAAATAAGACTTTTCCAGATAGACAAAAGCTGAGGAATTTCATCAGCACCAGACCTGTCCTATAAGAAATGCTAAAGGGAGTTCATCAGTTGGAAAGAAAAGGGAATTAATAGCAATAGGAAATCATTTAGTATAAATAAGTACATAGACATATTTGTCTATGTACATAAGTACATAGACAAATAAGTACAAGACATAGAATATTATAAAACTCTAACTGTGGTGTGTAAACTACTCATACTTTGAGTAGGAAACGCTAAAAGAGGAACCTATCAAAAAAATAACTGGAATAACTTTTCAAGACTTAGGCAGTATAATAAGATATGAATAGAAACAAAAAAAAAGTTAAAGCTCAGGGGGAAGTTGTTAACAAGCACAATTTTGTGAGTTTACCCTTTGTTTGTTAGCTTGTTAATTTGTTTATGCAATCAGTGTTAAATTGTCACCAGTTTAAATTAATGGTTTATAAGCTGTTATTTGCAAGCCTTAGCGTAACCTCACGTCAAAAAACATACATCAATTACACAAAAGATAAAAAGCAATAAAATAAAACATACCACCAGAGAAAATCATCTTCACTAAAAGGAAAACAGGAAGGAAGGAAAGAAGGAGAGAAAACCAGAAAACAAGTAACAAAACAGCAGGAGTAAGTTCTTATTTGTCAATAATAACATTGAATGAAAATGAGCTAAACTCTGTATTCAAAAGATATACCATGGCTAAATGGATAAAAATAAGACCCAATGATCTCTTGCCTGCAGGAAATAGACCTCACTCATAAACACACACATAGAATGATGATAAAGGGATGGAAAAAGGTATTCCATGTTAATGGGAACCAAAACAGAGCAGAAGTAGCTATACTTCTATCAGACAAATAGATTTCAAGATAAAAATTATAAAAAAGGAAAAGAAGGTCATTAAACAATGAAAAAGTAGTCAATACATCAAAAGGATGTAACATTTATAAATATATATTCACTGAACACTAGTGTGCTCAGATATATAAAGCAAATAATATTGGAGCTAGAGAGAGATAGATCCCAATATAATAATATTTGAAGATTTCGACACCCCACTTTCAACATTGGACATATTATGCACACAGAAATCAACAAGGAAATATCAGACTTAATCTGCACTATAGACTCAACAGAACTAACAGATATTTACAGACCATTACATCCAGTAGCTGTGGAATACACATACTTCTCCTCAATACCTGAATCATTCTCAAGGATTGATTATATGTAAAGTCAGAAAACAAGTCTTTAAATATTCAAAAATAATTAAAATAATATCAAGCATCTTCTCTGACCACAAAGGAATAAAGCTAGAAATCAATAACAAGAGGAATTTTGGAAACTATGCAAACACATAAAAAGGAAACAATATGCTCTTAAATAAGCAATGGGTTAAGAAATTATGAAGAAAATTTAAAAATTTATTGAAACAAATGAAAATGGAAACACAACATATTAAAACCTTTGGGATATAAGAAAGCAGTAATAATAGGAAAGTTTACATCAATAAAAGCCTAGCATTTCCACTGTTCTGATAAGAACAAAATGCCTGTGTGTATAAGCGACTAAGTATGTATTGTCTAATTTTAATAATCCTGCATACTAATTAAATGCATTTATAGTGCAAAATAAAAAAAAGAAAAACTTCAAATAAACAACCTAAATATGCATCTCAACTAGAAAAGCAAGAACAAATAAAACCCAAAATTACTAGAAAAAAGAAATAACAAATATAAGAGCAAATAAATGGAACAAAAATTTGTGTTTTTGAAAATATAAGCCAAATCAACATTTAGTCCATCTAACTAAGAAAAAATGAACACACAAATAAATAAAATCAGAAATGAAAAGGAGACACTGCAACTGATACTTGAAAAATTCAAAAAATCATTAGAGGTTACTGGGAGCAATTATAAGTCAATAAATTTAAAAACCTAGAAGAAATCGGTAAATTCCTAAACACATAAAACCTAACAAGATTAAACTACGAAGAAAATCAAAACTTGAAAATATTAATAACAAATAATGAGAATAAAGTTGTAATGAAAAGTCTCCAGGTTGGGAAAAAAAAAAAGCTTGGATCCGTTGCATCCAGCGGCTTCACTGTTTAATTTTACCAGATATTTAAAGAAAAAAATACAATTTTATTCAAACTATTTGGAAAAATAGAGGAGGAGAGAATACTTCCAAACTCGCTCTACAAGGCCATTATTACCCTGATATGCAAAACAGAAAAAGACATATCTAAAAAAAGATAAGAAAACTAAAGGCCAATATTCCTGATGAACATGATGCAAGAACATTTAACAAAATGCTAGAAAACCAAATTTGACATTGTGTTAAAAAGATCCTTCATTGTGATCAAGTTGGATTTATACCAGGGATGCAAAGATATTTCAACATATGCAAATCAATCAATGTGATACTTCATATCAATAGAATGAAGGATAAAAATCATATGATCATTTCAATTAATACTGAGAACAAATTTCATAAAATTCAACATCCTTTCAGGATAAAATCCCTCAAAAATAGATATGGAAGGAATATACCTCAATACATTTAAGCCATATATGACAGATCCACAGCTAATACCATACTATAAGGAGAAAAACTGAAAATCTTTTCTCTAAGATCTGGAACAATACAAGGATGCCCACTTTCACCATTGTTATTCAACATATTACTAATGGTCCTAGCTAAGGCAATCAGACTAGAGAAAGAAACAAAAGGCATCCAAACTGGAAAGGAAGAAGTCTTATTACCCTTGTTTGCAAATGATGTGAGCGTATGTTTGAAAAAAAACCCCTGAAGACTCAACCCAAAAATTATTAGAAATGATAAACTAAATTCAGTAAACTTGCAAGATATAAAATCAATGTATTAATATTAGTAGCATTTCTATCTACTAACAGTGAACAATCTGAAAAAGAAATCAAGAAAGTAATTCCATTTATATTAGTCACAAATAAAATTAAATGCCTAGGAATAAACTTAACCAGACAAATGAAAATTCTCTACAACAAAAACTAGACACACACACACACACACACACAGAAACACAAACACACACAAAGGAAATATTTTCCATGTTCATTGATTGGAAGAATCAGTGTTAAAATATCCATACTATACAAAGCAATCTTTAAATTCAATGCAATCCCTATTGAAATATCAATGACATTCTTAACAGAATTAGAAAAAAAATCATAAAATTTATACAGAAACACAAAAGAACCAAAGCCATCCTGAACAAATAGAACAAAACTGAAGGAAACACATTATCTAACTTCATTCACACTACACTACAGAGCTATTGTTACCAAAGTGGCATGGTGCTCTAATAAAAAAATACACATAGACCAATAGAATAGAAAATAGAACTCAGAGATAAATCCATACATCTACAGTGAACTCATTTTCAACAAAGGTGCTATGTTAGTCCATTTTCACACTGCCAGTAAAGACATACTTGAAACTGGAAAGAAAAAGAGGCTTAATTGAATGTACAGTTCTACATGTCTGAGGAGACCTCAGAAGAATGGCGGGAGGCTAAAGGCATTTTTTACATGGCATTGGCAAGAGAAAATGAGGAAGATGCAAATGTGGAAATGCCTGATAAAACCACCAGATCTTGTGAGAGTTATTCACTACCATGAGAACAGTATGGGGGAAACTACCCCCATGATTTAAATTATCTCCCACAGGATCTCTCCCACAAAACACGGGAATTGTGGGAGTGCAACTCAAGATGAGATTTGGGTGGGAACACAGAGCCAGACCATATCAGTCTGCCCCAGGCCCCTCTAAATTTCACGTCTTCACGTTTCAAAACCAATCATGGCTTCCCAACAGTACCCCAAAGTCTTAACTCATTTCAGCATTAACCCAAAAGTCCACAGTCCAAAGTCTTATTGGAGACAAGGCAAGTCCCTTCCACTGATGAGCCTGTAAAATCAAAAGCAAGCTAGTTACTTCCTAAATACATTAGAGGTACAGGCATTGGGTAAATACAGTCATTCTAAATGGGAGAAATTGGCCAAAACAAAGTGATTACAGGGCCCACGCAAGTCTGAAATCCAGCGAGGCAGTCAAATTTTAAACCTCCAAAGTGGCCTCCTTTTACTCCAGTTCTCACATCCAGGTCATGCTGATGTAAGAGGTGGGTTCTCATGGTCTTAGGCAGCTCTGCCCCTATGGCTTTGCAGGGTACAACCTCCCTCCCAGCTGCTTTCATGGGCTGCCATTGAGGGTGTGGCTTTTCCAGGAGAATGGTGCAAGCTGTCTGGATCTACCATTCTGGGGTCTGGAGGACGTTGGTGCTCTTCTCACAGCTCCACTAAGTGGTGTCCCAGTAGGGACTCTGTGTTGGGGCTCTGACCCCACATTTCCCTTCTGCACTGTCCTAGCAGAGGTTCTCCATGAGCTCCCCATCCCTGCAACAAACTTCTGCCTGGGCCTCCGAGTGTTTCCATACATATTCTGAAATCTAGGCAAGGTTCTCAAACCTCAAATGTTGACGTGTGTGCACTTGTAGGATCAACACCACATGGAAGCTGCCAAGGCTTGGGGCTTGCACCCCCTGAAGCCATGGCCTGAACTCCACATTGGCCTCTTTCAGCCATGGCTGGAGCCACTTCAACACAGGTCACCAAGTCCCTAGACTGCACACTGCACAGAGACCCTGGAACCAGCCCAAGAAACCATTTTCTCCTAGGCATCTGGGCCTGTGATGGGAGAGGCTGCCTTGAATGTCTCTGACATGCCCTGGATATATTTTCCCCATTGTCTTGAGGATTAACATTCAGCTCCTCATTACTTACCTAAATTTCTGCAGCTGGCTTGAATTTCTCCTCAGAAAATGGGTTTTTCTTTTCTGTCATATTGTCAGGCTGCAAATTTTCCAAATTTTTATGTTCTGCTTCCCTTATAAAACTGAATGCTATTAACAGCACCGAAGTCACCTCTCGAATGCTTTGCTGCTTAGAAATTTCTTCTGCCGGCCGGGCGCAGTGACTCATGCCTGTAGTCCCAGCAGTTTGGGAGACCGAGGCGGGCAGATCACGAGGTCAGGAGATCAAGACCATCCTGGCTAACACAGTGAAACCCTGTCTCTACTAAAAATACAAAAAATTAGCCGGGTCTGGTGGCGGGCACCTGTAGCCCAGCTACTCAGGAGGCTGAGGAAGGAGAATGGCATGAACCCGGGAGGCGGAGCTTGCAGTGAGCCGAGATCGCACCATTGCACTACAGCCTGGGTGACAGAGCGAGACTCCGTCTCAAAAAAAGAAAAAAAAGAAAAAAGAAAAGAAATTTCTTCTGCCAAATACCATAAATCATCTCTCTGAAGTTCAAAGTTCCACAAATCCCTAGGGCAGGGGCAAAATGCTGCCAATCTCCTTACTAAAACATAGGAAGAATTACCTTTGCTCCAGTTTCCAACAAGTTCCTCATCTCCATCTGAGACCTCCTCAGCCTGCACCTTACTGTCCATACCATTATCAGGCTTCTGGTCAAAGTCATACAATGAGTCTCTAGGAAGTTCCAAACTTTCCCACATTTTTCTGTCTTCTTCTGAGCCCTCCAAACTGTTCCAACATTTGCCTGTTACCCAGTTCCAAAGTCGCTTCCACATTTCCACGTGTCTTTTCAGCAATGCCCCACTCTACAGATACCAATTTATTGTATTAGTTTAGTTTCATGCTGCTTGTAAAGACATACCCAAGACTGGGAAGAAGAGGTTTAATTGGACTTACAGTTCCACATGGCTGGGGAGGCCTCAGAATCATGGTGGGAGGTGAAGGGCACTTCTTACATGGTGGTAGCAAAGAAAATGAGGAAGATGTAAAAGCAGAAACCCCTGAAAAAACCATCAGATCTCATGAGACTTATTCACTACCATGAGAACAGTATAGGGGAAACTGCCCGCATGATTCAAGTTATCTCCCACCAAGTCCCTCCTACAACACATGGGAATTATGGGAGTACAATTCAAGATGAGATTTGGGTGGGGACACAGAGCCAAACAATACCATTACAACATACATTGGAAAAAGGCTAGCCTCTTAAATAAATGGTGCTGGGAAAACTGGATATCTATATGCAGAGAAATAGAAACTAGACCCCTATCTCTCACCATATGCAAACATTACATTATAATGAATTGAAGACTTAGGTCTGAGACTTTAAACTATTAACTAGTAAAATAAGACATTGGAAAAACTCTCCAAGATATTGGATTGGGCAAAGATTTCTTGAGTAATACCCCACAAACAAAGGCAACCCAAGCAAATGTAGACAAATTGGATCACATCAAGTTAAAAAGCTTTGCACAGCAAAGCAAACAATCAGCAGAGTGAAGAGACAACTGATATAATGGGAGAAAATATTTTTGCAAGCTACCCATCTGACAAGGGACTAATAACCAGGTTATATAAGGAGCTCAAACAACTCTATAGGAAAAAGTTTAATAATTCAATTTAAAAATGGGCAAAATATTTGAATAGACATTTCTCAAAAGAAGAGATATAAATGGCAAACATGTATATGAAAATGTACTCAATAACATTGATCAACAGGGAAATGAAAATCAAAACTACAATCAGATATTATCCTACCCTAGTTAAAAATGGCTTTTACCCAAAAGACAGGCAATAGCAAATGCTGGGATGTGCAGAAAAAGGTACTCTCATACACTGTTGGTGGGAATGTAAATTAGTACAACCACTATTGAGAACAGTTTGGAGGTTTCTCAGAAAACTACAAATACAACTGCCAGATGACCCAGCAGTCCCATTGCTAGGCATATATCCAATAGAAATTAAATCAGTATATTGAAGAGGTATCTGCACTCCCATGATTATTGCACCACTATTTCCAATAGTCAATATTTGGAATCAACCTAAGTTTCCATTAATAGATGAATGAATAAAGAAAATATAGTAAATATATATAATGAATGCTATTCAGCCATAGAAAGAATAAGATTTTGTCATTTGCAATAGCATGGATGGATCCATAAGTCATTAGGTTAAGTGAAGTAAGCCAGGCGTGAAAAGACAAACTTCACATATTCTCACTCATTTGTAAGAGCTAAAAATTAAAACAATTGAATTCATGGATGGACTGTAGAAGGATGGAACCCAATGCTTGGAAGTGTAATGGAGATTGGGGAATGGGGATGGTTAATGAGTACATAAATATATTTAGATAGAATGAATAGGAGCTAGTATTTGACAGCAGAATAGAGAGGCTATAGTCCATAATAATTTATTGTACAATTAAAATAAGTAGAAGAGTAGTATAATTGGATTGTTTGTGATACAAAGAAAGGATAAATGCTTGAGGTAATGGCTACCCCATTTACCTTGATGTGATTATTAAGCATTGTATGTCTTTATCAAAATATTTCATGTGCCTCATAAATATATACACCTACTCTGTACCCACACAAATTAAAAATAAAAACAAAAAAATAATTGAAACCATATAATTTCTGAGATAGGTTCTGGCAGGGATGAGGCTGGAGAAACAGTTAGAAAGCATGCTATTCATATCACCATGTGTCAAATTAAGGAGTAACTTTCAGTTTAGGATCTGCCAGAGAAGGAGAAACCAATAAAACAGTAAGAAACCTAAATAATCCATTCTCAGGTGACTAATTTTCAATTACATCCCTAAAGTGGGGAAAGCCTTCTACAACACGACTGAGATATAGATTCTTTTGTTATCACTATCATGAAGTTTCCACAGGGTATAGATGAAAAGGATAGGAGTAAGGATCAATGAATCAGGGCTGAATAAATCAGGGAAGTTAGGCAGCCAGACTAAGATACTAAATAATAAATAGAGGAAAGGGGAGATGGTGCTTCCCTTTCCTTAGTGGTGGAAGTTACAAGATAGAAGGTGAGGTTAGGACTAACCTCAGTCTCCCAAGAGAGGTTCAATTATTTAATGATCAGGAACTAATAATATTTGAGTCACAGAGGATGCTAAATACCAGAATGAGGGACTTTGTTTCAAATACCTTTGAATAGAAAATACGAAGTCAGATTTTAAAGGACATTAAAAGAATAGACAAACACAATCACAAGAGCTAAATTTATTTGATATTTATTACAGGACATACATTCCTTTAATTTTTTATGCATATTGAATTCTTTTATTCCTGCCATCACTCTAGGGAATAGGTAGTATTATTTCTTTCATTTTACTGTTTAGGGAATTTGGTACAGAGCTGATGAGCAACTTGCCCACGGTCATACAGGTAGCATGTTTTAGAGCTAGGATTTGAACACAAAGAGTTACATTAAAAACAATGTAGTTTTAAACATTATTTCTTGCTTCACATGGAAGAAATTTTGAACTACCTTTGTCTTTGTTAATAGAAACTCAAAAATATTAAAATTTAAAAATGGCTTCACTCCCTTCAGTTGAATCAAAAGGATTTTTCTCCCTAAAATTGAAACCTGAAATATACATTCAACTTACCATGTGAGCCCTATAGCTTGAAAAACTCTTTTACTCTGATCGTGTTTTAAGCATCTAGATGTACATTCAAAATCATACGTGCACAAAATCTTTGTTTGCTTCTTGTTAAAATGAACATTGCAATAATGGATGGTTGCTAGTGGAAAATTTCAGAGTAGGAATGGAGGGCTGCTTACTAAACCATGCTCTCACATACATGATGGGATATACTGTGTTTTAGGAATTTACTCTCCTCTGTCACATATAGCAGTTGCTTGGGGTTATGTCAGTATATTATTAACGATGTTGCTGCAATAGCTGTAAGCATGAAGTGCACCTTGCTTTGCAATAAATTTTCTACACTCTTTGAGGTAGTCAGCAGTATAGTTGAACTGAGACTGATGGCAAAAAGACTGGCTTTGTCAACTGTGACTGTGACAGGCAATAAAACTAGAGCAAAGCTGCAGCTCATGGTACATGACATTTTCTAAAACAAAGAAAACCAAAAAAGATACAGTATTCAGAGACAACATTGAAAATGACATCTGGTGTACTTTGCAACCCCAGAGATTATCTTTGTTTCCTTTTTTTCCCCCTCTTCTTCCTCTTATCTTCCTATTTTTATTCGCCTTTTAAATGTGGTGCTTAAATCATCAGTTCATATTTGAACACTGTTATGAACCCCAAAGAACACACATATATTCCATACTTAAGGTTTTTAAATATAAAATTGACTTATAATTTTGACAGATTTTGTCAGGTTTCTTCATTATAATTAATAGATTGTCAAATAATACATCTTTAAGATTCTTGCTCAACATTCAAGCACTTTCTAAATCATGACTCATGTTTTCCTTTGTGATTTATTAATTAAGAGAAGGTGAATTTTTCTTTTTTTCTTTTTTTTTTTTTTTTTTTTTGAGACGGAGTCTCGCTCTGTTGCCCAGGCCGGACTGCGGACTGCAATGGCGCAATCTCGGCTCACTGCAAGCTCCGCTTCCTGGGTTCACGCCATTCTCCTGCCTCAGCCTCCCGAGTAGCTGGGACTACAGGCGCCCGCCACCGCACCCGGCTAATTTTTTGTATTTTTAGTAGAGACGGGGTTTCACCTTGTTAGCCAGGATGGTCTCGATCTCCTGACCTCGTGATCCACCCGCCTCGGCCTCCCAAAGTGCTGGGATTACAGGCGTGAGCCACCGCGCCCGGCCGAGAAGGTGAATTTTTCTAAACTAAAAAAAGTCTATCATCCATTGACATTGATTATACTAAACAATGTTAATTTGGGAAAATAATGAATAGAACAGTAAGTGTTAGTCACTTTTAAAATAAGGCAGCTTCTACAGGTCAGTTTTAACTTTAGAAAAAATGTATGGTCTTTTTAGGAGGAGTAAATTAAAGGCTAATACTTAAAATGTCCCTTTTAACAGAGGAAATATGCAAAAAAGAAGCCTGAATGGTCCCACTCTTTCTCTTTAAGAAGAGATATATAATTTAAAATTTCATAACCCTATTATATTGTCTTTGCCATCCCAGTTATAAGATGAAAATAATGTGAATACTTTTTTTTTTTACTTATGTACTGGTATTTGTATTTTTATAAAAGAGTGTCCAACGTGTAATTTCTGGGTCAACATGTAGGGATGCATCTGTTAAATGCCACTGTTACTCTGCCAGTTGTTAATCTGAAGCTATCTGATTTCTTCTGTGGAATGATAGAGTCATGGAACTTTTAGGAATGGAGCAACTGTTCATAAGAGTTGACTTCCTTTGTTCTAAGAGAACATTTTGTAATGCTCTTTTCCTGCCAACATTTAAAACATTTCAAACATACAGCAAAGTTGAAAGAATTTTACAGTGAACATCCATAAACCCACCACCTTGATTCTACCTATCATTAACATTTTATTATACTTGTTTTATTACATATCTGTGCATCTATCCAAGCCTCCAACCATCCATCAAACCAGCCGCATTAGTTTCCTAGAGCTGCTGTAAGAAAGTACCATAAATTGGGTAAAATTTATGGTACTTTGTTGTAAATTGGTTAGCTTAAACAACAGACATTTCTTGTCTCATTTCTAGAGGCTAGAAGTCCAAATTTAAGAGGCCAGCAGAGTTTGTCCCTTCTGAGGGTTATAAGACGAGATCTGTTCCAGCATCTCCCACTGGCTGCAGATGGCTGCCTTTTCCTTGTGTCTCTTCACACAGTCTTCTCTCTAAGTTTCTCTCTGTGTCCAAATTTCTTGTTTTAACAAAGACACTAGTCACATTGGGTTTGAGCTTATCCTAATGATGTCATTTTAACTTGATTACCTGTGTAAAGACCATATCTCCAAACAGTCACTTCTGAGGTACTAGAGGTTATAACTTCAACATATGGCAGGAGGTGTGGCGGGAGACAATTCAACCCATAAATCCAACTTCTTTTGTGATACATTTCAGGGTAATTTTTTAATTTTTATTTTTTCCATAAGTTACTGGGGTACAGGTGGTATTTGGTTGCATGAGTAAGTTCTTTAGTGGTAATTTGTGAGATTTTGGCTCACCTATCACCTGAGCAGTATACACTGAACCATATTTGTAGTCTCTTATCCCTTGCCCCCCTCCCATACTTCCTCTCAAGTCCCCAAAGTCTATTGTATCATTCTTATGCTTTTGCGTCCTCATAGCTTAGTTCCCACATATCAGTGAGAACATAGGATGTTTGGTTTTCCGTTCCTGAGTTTCTTCACTTGGAGTAATAGTCTCCAATCTCATCCAGGTCACTGCAAATGCTGTTAATTCTTTCCTTTTTAGGGCTGCATAGTATTCCATTATATATATGTGTGTGTGTGTGTGTGTGTATATATGTGTATATATGTATATATATAATGGTATATATATAATGGTATATATAAATATATATATAATGGTGTATATATATATATATATATATACACACACCATTGGTGTGTGTGTGTGTGTGTGTGTGTATATATATATATATATATACCATTGGTGTGTGTGTGTGTGTGTGTGTGTATATATATATATATACCATTGGTGTGCGTGTATATATATATATATACCAGTTTGTGTATATATATATATATATATATATATATATATACCAGTTTGTGTGTATATATATATATATATATATATATATATACCAGTTTGTGTATATATATATACCATTGGTGTATATATATATACACCAGTTTGTATATATATATATATACCAATGGTATATATATATACCAGTTTGTGTGTGTATATATATATATATATATACCAGTTTGTGTATATATATATATATACCAGTTTGTGTGTGTGTATATATATATACATGGTATATACATGGTATATACCATGTATATATATATAGTGTATATATATACCATATATGGTATATATATTGGTATATATATATATGGCATATATATATACACACACTATATATATATAGGTATATATATATATACCATTGGTATATATATATATATATATATAGATACCAATGGTATATATATATATATATCTATATACCAATGGTATATATATATATATATATATATATAGATACCAATGGTATATATATATATATATCTATATATATATATAATATGTATATACCAGTTTCTTTATCCACTTGTTGATTGATGGGCATTTGGTTTGGTTCCAAGATTTTGCAATTGTGAATTGTGCTGCTATAAACATGTAAGTGCAAATATTTTTTTCAAATAATGACTTCTTTTCTTCTGGGTAGATACCCAGTAGTGGGATTTCTGCATCAGTGGTAGTTCTACTTTTAGTTCTTTAAGGAATCTCCACACTGTTTTCCATAGCAGCTCTACTAGTTTACATTCCCACCAGCAGTGAAGAAGTGTTCCTTGTTCACCACATCCATGCCAACATCAACTGTTTTTTGATTTTTTGATTATGGCCATTCTTGCAGGAGTGAGGTGGTATTGCATTTTGGTTTTCATTTGCATTTCCCTGGTCATTAGTGATGTTGAGCATTTTTTCATATGTTTGTTGGTCATTTGTATATCTTCTTTGAGAATTGTCTATTCTTGTCCTTAGCCCACTTTTTGATGGGACTTTTTTTTTTCTTACTGATTTGTTTGAGTTTCTTGTAGATTCTGGATATTTGTCCTTTGTCAGATGTATACATTGTGACGATTGTCTCCCATTCTACCCATTCTATGAGCTGTCTGTTTACTCTGCTGACTGTTCCTTTTGTCATGCAAACGCTCTTTAGTTTAATTATGTATCAGCTATTTATCTTTGTTTTTTATTGCATTTGTTTTTGGGTTCTCGGTCATGAAATCCTTGCCTAAGCCAATGTCTAGAAAAGTTTTTCCAAAGTTATCTTCTAGAATTTTTATAGTTTCAGGTCTTAGGTTTAAGTTCTTAATCCATCTTGAGTTGATTTTTTTTCAGTAGGTAAGAGATAAGGATCCAGTTTCATTCTCCTACACATGGCTAGCCAATTATCCCAGCATCATTTGTTGAAATGGGTGTCCTTTTCCCACTTTATGTTTTTGTTTGCTTTGTCAAAGATCAGTTGGCTATAAGTATTTGGGTTTATTTCTGGGTTCTCTATTCTGTTCCATTGGTCTATGTACCTGTTTTTGTACCAGTACCACACTGTTTTGGTGACTATGGCTTTATAGCATAGTTTGAAATCAGGCAGTGTTATGCCTCCAGGTTTGTTCTTTTTGCTTAAAAGTCTTGCTTTGGCTTTGTGGGCTATTTTTTGGTTCCACATAAATTTTAAAATTGTTTTTTCTACTTCTATGAAGAATGATGGCGGTATTCTCATGGGGATTGCATTGACTTTGTGGATTGCTTTTCACAATACTGTCATTTCCACAATATTGGTTCTACCCATCCATGAGCATAGGATGTGTTTCCATTTGTTTGTGTCATCTATAATTTCTTTCAGCAGCGTTTTGTAGTTTTCCTTGTAGAAGTCTTTTGACTGTTTGGTTAGGTATATTCCTAAGTAATTTTTTTGGCAGTTATTTAAAAAGGGGTTGAGTTCTTGATTTGATTCTCCACTTGGTCTCTGTTGGTGTATAAAAGAGCTGCTGATTTGTGTACATTAGTCTTGTATCCAGAAACTTTGCTGAATTCTTTTATCAGTTCTAGGAGCTTTCTGGAGTAGTCCTCAGGGTTTTCATGGTAAATAATCATATCATCAGCAAACCGTGATAGTTTGACTTCCTCTTTACTGATTTGGATGCCCTTTATTTTTTTCTTGTCTGACTGCTCTGGCTAAGACTTTCCAGTACTATGTTGAAGAGGAGTAGTGAGAGTGGGCATCCTTGTCTTGTTCTAGTCTTCAGAAGAAACACTTTCAACTTTTCCCCATTCAGTATTATGTTGGCTGTGGTTTTGTCAGAGATGGTTTTTATTATATTAAGGTATGTCCCTCGTATGCCAATTTTGCTGAGAGTTTTAATTATATAATGATGCTGGATTTTGTTGAATGCTTTTCTGCATCTATTGAAATGATCATGTGATTTATGTTTTTAATTCTGTTTATGTGGTGTATCACATTTATTGACTTGCATATGTTAAACTATCCTTGCATCCCTGATATGAAACCCACGTGATCATCATGGATTATCTTTTTGATATGTTGTTGGATTTGGTTAGCTAGTATTATGTTAAGGATTTTATCATCTATGTTCATCAAGGATATCTGTCTGTAGTTTTTTTTTTGGTTATGTCCTTTCCTGGTTTTGGTATTAGGGTGATGCTGGCTTAAAGATCAGATCAGAACTAAATGAATTTGAAACAAACAAATAAACAGAAAAACACAAAAGACAAATGAAATGAAAAACTGTGTCTTTGAAAAGATAAATAAAATTGACAGACCATTGGCAAGATTACCCAAGAAAAGAAGAGAGGAAATCCAAATAACCTCTTAGAGAAATGAAACAAGAGGTATTATATCTGTACCACTGAAATACAAAAGATCATTCAAGGCTATGAATGCCTTTATGCACATAAAGTAGAAAACCTAGAAGAGATGGATAAATTCCTGGAAAAATACAACCCTCCTAGCTTAAATCAGGAAGAATTAGATACCCCAAACAGAGCAATAACAAGCAGCAAGATTGAAATGGTAATTTAAAAATTACCAACAACAAAAAAGTCTAGGACCAGATGGATTCACAGCAGAATTCTACCAGACATTCAAAGAAGAATTGGTACCAATCTTTTTGACACTATTACACAAGATAGACAAAGAAGGAACCTCCCTAATTCATTCTATGCGTACACTTTAAAGTTTACTTGGGTTACATATGCAGTATTTAATGCTGCTCACTAATAATCCCTATCCACTTTTCCTTCTGTGCATAAGGGGATATTTCATTTCATCATATCTTTGATGTAAAGTTTTCCACATAATCCCTTTCATCAATGAAGACTGCACACAAGTTACAGCTGTCTTTTGTGGGGGTTATGGTAGTGTATCTGGACAGGGAATTGCCATAAGTTTAAAGCAATCCAGAATCGTACACCATAAAATGGGAGTCAACCGTCCTAGAGAGTCACTCAAGCTTGATGTGGCATAGCAGAGCAAGAAATAACGTTGTTTGCATTGCCACTGAAATTCTGGTGTTGCTTCTTCTATAAGCCATAGCACAGACTATTCTTAGATGCTAAACACACCATTTCCAATTAAATGAAATATATAAAAATCTAAAGCATACTATATCCATTTTTTTTTTCTTGAGACGGAGTTTTGCTCTTGTTGCCCAGGCTGGAGTGCAATGGCACGATCTCGGCTCACTGAAACCTCCACCTCCTGGGTTCAAGCAATTCTCCTGCCTCAGCCTCCCGAATAGCTGGGACTACAGGCATGCACCACCATGCCCAGCTAATTTTGTATCTTCATTAGAGATGAGTTTCTCCTTGTTGGTCAGGCTGGTCTCGAACTCCCGACCTCAGGTGATTCACTCGCCTCAGCCTCCCAAAGGGCTGGGATTACAGGCATGAGCCATCGCACCTGGCAATAGCTACATTTCTTAAGGCAGTTGTAAATGATTGGCATTAAGAACTGGGCTAATTAAAAATTATATACATATGCATACTTGAGAAATGCTGGAAGATACAATCAATAACAATTTACATAATTTGTGAACAAAACTATAGCACCAAATTGTACTTATTTGATATTAATGAAGTAAACAGACACACACAGAAACATTACACTTAGGAATAGCTGGTTGTAGCATGGAGGTGCTAGGCATTTGTGATTACAACTACCCACCTACTACTATTTTTTCATAGAGTAATGGTTGCTGCCTTGCTTCTATTTCTCAAATTACTAAGTATGTCTATAGGCCAAAGTTCACCATGGTCCCTATTCAAGGAAGAAAATTTTAGGAAACAGAATTCCAGGCTAACCAAATTGGCAAGGTAAGGTTCCAACACAGTCAAACTAAGATACCAAAGCATGGGAACACTTCCACTGGGTTTTAGTTAGGAAATGACTTTAATTCCTCTTTATGTAGAGATGTAGCAAGCTAAGTTAGATTTCAAGGAATTAAGATAAAGCGATTTATTATATATTATTGTGACTAAATAGAGATTTTGTAGCGATCAAAGAGATGAAAAACTTTCCAGAGGATCGTTTGAGCCCAGGAGGTTAGGGCTGCAGTGAGCTGTGATTGCACCACTGCACTCCAGCCTGGGAGACAGAGTGATACCCTGCTAAAAAATACAAAATACAAAAAAAAAAAAAAAAAAGAGGCCAGGGCGTGGTGGCTCACAACTATAATCCTAGCACTTTGGGAGGCCAAACTGGGTGGATCACTTGAGGTCAGGAGTTCGAAACCAGTTTGGCATCACAGTGAAACCCCGTCTCTACTAAAAGTACAAAAAAATTAGCTGGGCACGGTGGTGCGCGCCTGTAATCCCAGCTACTTGGGAGATTAAGGCAGGAAAACTACTTGAACCTGGGAGGTGGAGGTTGCAGTGAGCCGAGATCGTGCCACCGCACTCCAGCCCGGGCAACAGAGCGAGACTTCATCTCAAAAGAAAAATTAATTAATTAATTAATTAATTAATAAAGAGAGAGAGTGCAAGCAATGAGTAAGATGATTAGTTCAATGTGGTAGCAGTGTCCAGGCAAACTGATGTTTGTGTTGAGAGAGGAGGCATTTATATATAAAAGAAAAGGTAATAAACCCAAAAGGAAACAAATTCTCATCACTTTTAAAAAAGGCCATGGTATAACAATGAAGTGCACACACTTCAGAGTTAGATAAATTTCAGATATATTATATAAATTCTATTAACTTTACCCTTCTAATATTTAAAGTGATAATAATCATAGTGTCCCTTCATGTGTTCATACTGAGGTAAATAAAATTTTATATATATAAATAAATATATAAATATAATGTGTATACGTATATCATTAGACTTAGAACATAAGAGTACTAAATGGTTGACAATATTTATATTGTTGATGATATTAATTATAGAGTTTTTACATTCAAGTTGATGATAAGCTGATATTTGTGGTTAGTACGTGTCAAAGAAATTATTTATTGCAATGCCACTTAGATTTGCTATATCAGCAGTGGATTATTATCTTTTCATCAGTCTCCTCTAAATAAATTCCTACTTGTTGATATTCATATTCTGTTTTGTTGTAACTTGGACTCTTTCAGATTCCAAAAAAGACATGTGATCTGTATTTGTATATGGTGACCTGCAAAATAATGAAGTTGGACCTTTTTCTTACACTATGCACAAAAAAATTACTTAAAATTAGTCATATATTAAAATGTAAGTGATACATCCCCACCAACGGTGTAAGAGTGTTCCTATTTCTCCTCGCCAGCATCTGTTGTTTCTTGACTTTTTAGTAATTGCCGTTCTGACTGACTGGTGTGAGATGGTATCTCATTGTGAATTTAATTGGCATTTCTCTAATGATCAGTGATGTTGAGTTATTTTCATGTTTGTTGGCTGCATGAATATCTTCTTTTGAGAAGTATGTGTTCTTATCCTTTGCGTACTTTTTAACGGGATTGTTCCTTTTTTTGTTGTAAATTTGTTTGGGTTCCTTGTAGATTCTGGATATTAGACCTTTTTCAGATGAATAGATTGCAAAAATTTTCTCCCACTCTGTAGATTGCCTGCTTACTCTGATGATAGTTTATTTTGCTGTGCAGAATCTCTTTAGTTTAATTAGATCCCATTTGTCAATTCTGGCTTTTGTTGCAATTGCTTTTGGACGTTTCATCATGAAATATTTGCCAATGCCTATGAACTGAATGGTATCGCCTAGATTTTCTTCTAGGGATTTATAGTTTTGGGTTTTATATTTCAGTCTTTAATCCATCTTGAGTTAATTTTTGTACAAGGTTTGATGAAAGGGTCCAGTTTCAATTTTCTGCATATGGGCAGCCGGTTCTCCCAGCACCATTTATTACATAGGGAACCCTTTCACCATTGCTTTCTTATGTCAGGTTTGTCAAAGGTCAGATTAGTTCAATCATTGTGGAAGAGAGTGTGGCAATTCCTCAAAGATCTAGAACCAGAAATACCATTGACCCAGCAGTCCCATTACTGGATATACACCCCCCAAAATATAAATCATTCTATTACAAAGATACATGCACATGTATCTTCATTACAGCACTATTCACAATAACAAAGATATGGAATCAACCAAAATGTCCATGAATGATAGACTGGATAAAGAAAATGTGGTACATATAAACCATGGAATACTATGAAGCCATAAAAAGGAATGAGATCATGTTCTTTGTAGTGACATGGGTGAAGCTGGAAGCCATTATCCTAGCAAACTAACACAGGAACAGAAAACCAAACACTGCATGTTCTCACTTATAAGTGGGAGCTGAACAATGAAAACAAATGGACACAGGGAGGGGAATAACCCATGCTGCGGCCAGTTGAGGGATGGGATTGGGGGAGGGAGAGCATTAGGAAAAATAGCTAATATATGTTCAGCTTAATACCTAGGTGATGGGTTGATAAGTACAGCAAACCACCACAGCACACATTTACTTATGTAACAAACCTGCATATCCTACCCATGTACCCCAGAAATAATAATAAAATTTAAAAGCAAAAAAAATGTAAGTGCTAAAGCTATGACATTCTTCAAAGAAAACACAGGAGTGTGTCTTCATGTCCTTGAATTAGACAATGGTTTCTTCAATAAGGTATCAAAAGGACAAGCAGCAAAAGAAAAAAAGAGGTAAATTGGACTTTATCAAAGTTAACATCAAAGGGCATCATTAAGAAAGTAAAAAAAAAAAAAAAGATAGAATGGGATCTTTTTTTTTTTTTGCAAATCACGTATCTAGTAAAGGACCTAACGTTGAGAATTTATAAAGAACTCTTCGAACTCAACAAAAAGACAACCCAATTTAAAAATGAGAACATAATTTAAGTATAATTTTTCTAGAAGGAAGGTATATATACATTGCCAATAAGCACCTGAATAGATGTTCAACATCATTAGTCATTAAGTAAATGCAAATCAAAACCATAATGACATACCATTTTACATTCATTACAATGGCTATAATAAAAAATGCAGACAATAGCAAGTTTTGGAAACCTCAGAAATTGTTGAGTGAATTTAAAATGGTGCATTGACTTTGAAAATGTTTGACATTCACTCAAAATGCTAAACTTGGAGATAGTCACCTTATGACTCAGAAAATAAATTTCTAGTTACCAAAGAGAAATGAAAACATACGTCTACAAAGAAATGCATGTGAATGTTTATAACAGCATTATTCATAATAGCCAAAATAGAAGATAACCTATCAATGTTTATCAGCTAGTGAATGGATAACAATATTTAGTACATAAATATAATGGAACATTTTTAGACAGTAAAAAATAAAGTGTCAGTACATTCTACCTCATGGGTAAACCTTGAAATATTATGCTAAGTGAAAGAAGCCAGTCACAAAAATATTCATCGTGCATTAATCCATTTGCGTGAAATTTCTAAAATAGGCAAATGTACAGAGAAAGAAAGTAGATGAGTATTTTCCAAGAGCTGGTGGTGGGTAAAAGGAAAAGTTGGAATGTGGTTGAGGGTGAGGAATGACTGCTAATCTGCTAATAATTTCTTTTGAGGCTGTTTAAATAATCTAAAATTAGATTTTAGTGATGGCTGAGCAACTCTCAAGATACTGAAAACCATTGATCTGTCTGTGCACTTTACACGGGTAAATTTTATGGTATGTAAAATATATCTCAATAATGCTATACAATACTATTCTGTTTTTGATTATTAAAAATTATAAATGGTCCATCTTTATTGCTTTTTATCTCTTAATCCCTTTCTTCCTTCAATACATATGTATTCATGCATGTATAGAATAACATTTACATTTAACTGACTTGGTTATTTGCACCTTACTATTAATCGCTATCTTATCACTGTCCCTTCTAAACATTTTCGATATGGTCCTTCAGACTTCTTAGAGTGAAATATTTCTGCTTAATTATTTATTTTATTTTTATAAGTAGTCGCATTCTTCTAAAACTAGTAGTCATATGAAAATTGAAGGGCATACAAAAAAATACAGTCTTCATTAGGTTATTATAATTTGCTTTGACTTTCCATGTATACCTTCTATGACCATGTGGCCTGGATATTTTGAAGACCAACATCTCTGATCAAGGTCAAAATGTACATAATAATAATATTCAAGTGAAGTTCACTTTGTAATATGTGAACCCAGATTAAAGTTAGTGCTGGAAGTGTTAAAACATTATTTGTAACAAAATGTCACATACAGCAGTGTCTAGTTGACAGAAGTAGAAGACAAAATTTAGAGAAGCTCTATTTAACAAGTTATAATTTATGAAGAGATCCCCATTAATATTAAAATATTGAGCTTATTAGTTAGTTATAAGCCTTTATGAATGATTCAGAATAAAACATCATAGTGTTATCTCTATCTGCACATATAGATATTTACAAAGCCTACTGAGTTGACTTATTACTTATTTTTTAAATTTCTAATTAACACATAATCATAGATATTTTGGGGGTACTAGGTGATGTTTCAGTGCATGTATACATAGTATAATGATAAATCAGAATAATTACCATATTCATCACCCTAAATATTTATCATTTTTTTGTGATGACAACGTTCAAAATATCTTTTATACTACTTAGTAAGTTTTTCAGCTGTAAGTTCACTACAATAGCTAAAATTGAATAATTAACCTAGCATCCTATCAATAACATTCCTTATTTAACTATTTATTTTCTTGTCTTCAATTTCCTTTCATTTTCTCAGTTAATCAGACCTTACTGTTTTTTTAATTCATTTTGAATGGCCTAGCATTTAGAGCTTAAACATAATTTATAACCTTTCCAAAGAAGCCATCATAAAATCATGTGGTGGCAATTAATCAGCAGATTATTAATGACCCTGGATGCATATAACCTTAATTAAAAATCTTCTTTGGCATAGAGAAATGAGGTAATAAGAAACAGTAGAATTTCAATGAAGCTTAAAGAAAAAAAACCGAGTATTTTGGACTGCTTACAATGGTCTTCATTAAAATAAAGAGAAAAATCTAGAAAAAATCTAAATAATAACATTGTAATATATATTATATAGATATATACATACATATATTAGTCAGGGCTCCCTAGAGGGACAGAACTAGTAGGATATATACGTATGTATATATATATATGTGTGTGTGTGTGTGTGTGTATATATATGTGTATATATATATATATGGGACTTTATTTAGGAGTGTTGACTCACACAGTCACAAGGTGAAATCTCACAATAGGCCATCTGCAAGCTGAGGAGAATGGAAACCAGTCTGTGTCCCAAAAACTCAGAAATAGGGAAGCTGGCAGTGCAGCCTTCAGTCTGTGGTCAAAGGCCCAAGGGCACCTGGCAAATCACTGGTGGATGTCCAAGAGCCCAAAAGTTGAAGAACTTGGAGTCAGATGTAGAAGAGCAGGAAGCATCCAGCACAGAAGAAAGATGAAGGCTGGAAGTCTCAGTGAGTCTGCTCATTCCACTTTCTTCTGCCTGTTTTACTCCAGGGGTGCAGGCAGCTGATTAAATGATGCCCACCTAGATTGAGTGTGGGTCTGCCTCTCCCAGTCCACTGACTCAAATGTTAACATCTTTTGGTAACACCCTGACATACACACACCTAGGAACAATGCTTTGCATCCTTCAATCCAATCAAGTTGACATTCGGTATTAACCATGGCAATACACATATACACATATGCATTTGTATAAAGCAAAAAGTTGCGTTGCAACATTTTAATGTTATAAAAGAAAGGAATGCATGCCTGGGAGTAAGTAGGCTTTCTTCTAAAACACACCTGGAGACAGGCGGATCACGAGGTCAAGAGATCGAGATCATCCTGGCCAACTGGCCAACGTGGTGAAACCCTGACTCTTCTAAAAATACAAAAATTAGCTGGGCGTGGTGGCACGTGCTTGTAGTCCCAGCTACTCAGGCGGCTGAAGCAGGAGAATCGCTTGAACTTGGGAGGCGGAGGTTGCAGTGAGCCAAGTTGGAGACCCTGCACTCCAGCCTGACGGCAGAGCGCGACTCCATCTCAAAAACAAGCAAACAAACAAACAAACAAACACCTCAATCCCTCAAAAAAGGGTGAGCTTCTAAGAGCTCGACTTTAAAATGAACTGTGTGGTTTGCTTTGGTAAAACTTATTTGCAATTGCATTAGACTTTCCTACTGTGTCCACCTTTTCAAACAAAGAGCATAAAATATTTTTAGAAGTCAAGTGAAGCTATGCTGGTTAAATCCTTGCTATGGAATTAGATAAGTCCTAGATTATTTATTAAGTCTATGAGAAAGTGAAAACAAGCTACATTCTTAAAAAGACCTTGTAATTTTATAGAAAGCTACCCAAAATATACGCATGAGAATGAATCAGGAGGAAAAATTCTAAATGGATCTGGCTCTATAAGGGGTCTGTTTTCTCTTTGGTATTTCAAGTTTTGAAATACCAAAGTAGCTTATTTTTCCTGCAGTTACTGAAACACAGTAACTGAATGAATAATAAAAAGAAAAAACTTCAAAAAAAATGGAAATATTTACTACATTTAAGTAGGCATTTAAAAAAATCTAGGGTAAAAGTATGATTAAAATTCTAATAACATAATTTTGCATATAGTAGTATTTAAATATTTTGCATTACAATTTAGTCAGGGCCTTTTTTTTTTTTTTTTTTAAATAGTGCCCTAGAAAAGCAAGCACAAAAAACAAAAGTTAAGACTAGGAGTTGGTAGTCAATCTCTTACTTTAAAAAGGGCTGATAATATTTAAATATTTTGTATTTTATAAAAGAATAACCTACATAGTTTTAGAGATGACATCTATAATGTCATCAAACTGTAATAAACATAAGTTCTTATTTAACATTGGTGCAACTGACATGTACTCATTGTGATAATTGCAAATAGAATAAATTGTGATATTGCAAGTTATAATGTTTTATCTTTTCAAGACCAGCATTTTAACAGAATGTTCAAATTGAATCTTAATATGTTTACAAATCCCATTACTAGATAGTGGATCTGAGAGAACAGCTGAAATAAATGGTGGAAGTACCCTTATTTCCAAGTCACTTATCTGTACGAATATATTTATGAGGCCAGCTTTGTTATTACAATAAACAACAAAATCATTGAATTTCTTGGCATGCTAAGGGTCTCTTCCTTTTATTGGCAGAAGAGCTAAGGTAAATATTTAATTTACCTACTAGATTTTGTAGATATTTTTATTATCTTTCAGTTGCAGAGCAGTAAGAGGAACAAAACCATACTTAAATTGTTTTTATCTGAATTCTCAGTTTTGTTATCAGATTATGATTCTTTAATGTTGCTATTCACCAGCATGATTGACAAGCATGCTTAGAATGTAAACTTCCCCTTTTCCCACTGTCTGCTTAATTTCTACTGACTTGCTGTATTTGCATGTGTGTGTGTGTGAGTGTGGGTGTGTACATGCACCTGTATGTATGTGTATGGTGGGGGTATTGTCCTTTTTATCCTAATATGTCAACCCTTCATGGCAATCTTGTTTATTTTCCTCTTCTTTCTTTTTACCTTCTGGTTAAATTCTGTGTCAGGAATCCAAAGAGAGCAGTCTTCTTCAGAAACTTTGGAATTTTTAACAAATTTACAAAGTCTATTTTGATTAGAGTACCCGATTCACAAAGAAAACAGCATCTCCTTAGGAAGATGACTAATTAGCACTGAAGATTCATTAGCATTGACTTCTACTAGGACAATATACTTCTATAGAAAAGCCTCTTTATGTATTTTTATTAGTCCATTCTCATGCTACTATAAGGGCATGCTCGAGACTAGATGATTTATAAAGGAAAGAGGTTTAGTTGACTCACAATTCCACATGGCTGCGGAGGCCTCAGGAAACTTACAATCATGGTGAAAGGTACCTCCTCACAGGACAGCAGGAGACAGAATGAATGCCAGCAGGGAAATGTCAGAGTCTCATAAAACCATTAGATCTTGTGAGAACTCACTATCACGAGAACAGCATGGGGATATCTGCCCCATGGTTCAATTACCTCTCAATGGCTCCCTCCCACAACACATGGGATTATGGGAACTATAATTCAAGATGCGAGTTGGGTGGGACACAGCCAAACCATATCATTCCACTCCTGGATTCTTCCAAATCTCATGTCCTCACATTTCAAAACATAATCATGCCTTTCGAACAGTCTTCCAAAGTCTTAACTCATTCCAGTATTAACCCAAAAGTCCAAATCCAAAGTCTCATCTAAGACAAGACAAATCCCTTCCACCTAGGAGCCTATATAATCAAATTCAAGTTAGTTACTTCCTAGATACAATGGGGGTACAGGCACTGGATAAATATACCATTCCAAATCAGAGAAACTGGCCAAAACAAAGGGGCTACAGGCCCCAGGCAAGTCCAAAATCCAATAGAGCCATAATTCAAACTTAAGGTTTGAAAATGATCCTCTTTGACTCCATGTCTCACATCCAGGTCATGCTGATGCAAGAGATGAGCTCCTAAAACCTCAGGAAGCTCCATGCCTGTGGTTTTGCAGGGTACAGTCTTCCTCCCAGCTGCTTTCACAGGCTGGCCTTTAGTGTCTGCAACTTTTCCAGGCACATGGCAAGCTGTTGATGGATCTAACCATTCTGGGGTCTGGAGGATAGTGGCCCTCTTCTCACAGCTCCATTAGGCAGTGCCCTAATGGGTACTCTGTGTGGGGGCTGTGACCCCACATTTCCCTTTTGCACTGTGCTAGCAGAGGTTCTCCAGGAGGGCTCTGCCCCTGTAGCAAAGTTCTGCCTGGACATCCAGGCATGGCAATATATAATCTGAAATCCAGGCAGAGCTTTCTGAACCTGAATTCTTGACTTCTGTGCACCCACATACTGAACACCATGTGGAAGCCACCAAGACTTGGGGATTGCACACTCTAAAGCAATGGCCCGAGCTGTACCTTGGCCCTTCCAGTCATGGCTGAAGCTGAAGCTGCTGGACAAAGGGCACTGTGTCCTGAGGCTTCACAGAGCAGGGGGCCTTGGGCCTGGCCCAGGTAGCAATTTTTTCCTCTTAGGCCTCTGGGGCTATGATGGGAGGGGCATCCCCCGAAAGTCTCTAACATGCCCTGGAGACATTTTTCCCATTGTCTTGGTGATTAACATTCTGTTCCTCATTGTTTAAGCAATTTTCTAAAGCAGGCTTGAATTTCTCCCCAGAAAATGGGTTTTCTTTTCTATTGCATCACCAGGCTGCAAATTTTTCAAACTTTTATGCTCTGCTTCCTCTTGAATGCTTTTTTGCTTAAAAATTTCTTCCACCAGATACCCTAAATCATTTCTCTCACGTTCAAAGTTCCACAGGTCTCTGGGGCAGGGGCAAAATGCTGCAGTCTTTTTGCTAAAGCATAGCAAGAATCACCTTTATTGCAGTTCACAACAAGCTCCTCATCTCCATCTGAGCTCACATCAGCCTGTACTTCATTGTCCTTATCAATATCAGCATTTTGGGCAAAGCCATTCAACAAGTCTCTAGGAAGTTCCAAACTTTCCCACATCTTCCTGTCTTCTGAGCCTTCCAAGTCTCTAGAAAATTCCAAACTTTCCCACATTTTCCTGTCTTCTGAGCTCTGCAAACTTTTCCAATCTCTGCCTGTTACCCAGTTCCAAAGTCACCTCCACCTTTTCAGGTATCATTATAAGAGCACTTCACTCCTGGTACCAATTTAGTGTATTAGTCTGTTCTCATGCTGCTATAAGAACATACCCGAGACTGGTAATTTATAAAGGAAAGAGGTTTAACTGACTCACAGTTCCACACGGCAGGGGAGGCCTCAGGAAACTTAGAATTATTACAGAGGGCGCCACTTCACAGGGTGGCAGGAGAGAGAATGAATGCCACCAGGGGAAATGCCAGACATTTATAAAACCGTCAGATCTCATGAGAACTCACTCACTATCATGAGAATAGCATGGGGGTAACTGCCCCCATGATTCAGTTACCTCCCACTGGGTCCCTCTCACAACATGTGGGGATTATGGGAACTACAATTCAAGACGAGATTTGGGTAATAACACAGCCAAACCACGTAAATATTCATTAATTTATTTGTTAAATTCACTTTGAAAACTGATATTTTAAAATATTTTCATTTGTCAGACATAGTTGAATTACAACGGAATATGGCCAGTAGGGCTTCTTCCCTTTCCAGGAGATTTGATGGAGAAACCTTTTAATAGGTGTCTCATGAAATTTGGCTCAGTTAGCCTGAGCTCTCTCAAGAGCCTACAGTATTAATAGAAAGGAGAATACTTATAGAGGAGGAAGGGAGGGGAGAACAAGAAAGAGAACTGGTTCTTATATGCCTGTCAACTCTCACACTAGAAATAACAGCTTGACAGTACATGTGATCAGACAGAAGCATTTAGGACTATTGTAGATCTTTAATTTAGTTCTTTTATTGAGGTGTTTTGCATTATAATTCATTCACAGAAAGTAAAATAAGAAAAATAAAAACAGGAAGGTGCTATCCCCTTTATTTAAGTAGAATAGAGGACTTCCTCTCCCTGCCACACCCCTTCCCCTGTGTATAATTATTTCATTAAATGGTTCATATGTATTTCCACCCTTAGAGAAGATCCACTTTTATGAAATAATATTCATCCTGATCCACTCAGTAGAAATTAAATTTTACTCTACTACCATGCACATTTTAAAGATGCAAGAACTAAAGAGCATTAAGTCAAGCAGCTCACACATAACTCCTAGATGCATGACTAGAAATCAGGTCATCTTATCATGATATAGAACTTGGAGTTACAAAGAGACAATATGTAGCATAAATACTCATAATATATTATAGATATATAAATATGCTAATTAGCCATGTGAACTGAATATTTTGAAGTGGAACCATAAGGCAAACTTATAAAGGCACATGGTGTGAAGTTATGCATTCATCGTAGCTCATCACAGCAAATCTTCAGAGCTGGATTGGGGAAGTGCTACTTTGCAAACCTTCAGTTGTACTGCTTCCTTAAGATGGGAAAATGAACCTTTGTGAGACAGTAGTTATTTTTCTTTTCTTGCTAGATGTCTAGTGCCTAAACCAATGCTTTTTCTATAATTGGCACTCAATACGTAATGGTTAAACAAATGAATAAGGGGCATGGAGTGTTAGTCCACTCTGATTTGTTCTTGCCGTAGTAACTGAGCAATGGAATAAAAAGCATGATAAATTGTTCTTACCTCTTTTCAGCAGTATCTCCCTGCTTTTTCCCTGCAGTACTTCCCCTCAACACACTGCCTCTTCCTCATCTAGCCCAGGGTTGTGTTTGAATACTAGCTTTGACTGCCAAATGCAAGCTAAGCAAGTAATCAGGCATAATTTCCTGTATTTTTACCACCCACTTCCACCAACTCATACACACTACACACGTTAACTTACCCCTAAAGGTATCGTTAGAAGAGAAAGAGGAAAGCAGATACCATGCAGGAATCCACTTTTTTTTCAATAAAATCCGCATATAGCTGATACATAGAAGTAAAAACAATAGAAGTTAATAATATCAATAATTGGTATTCATAACCCAGATCATAAAAAATATTTAATAATAGTCACACCACATTTATTTGTGGGAAGATTATTTTGTCCCATAATAACAGCAAAAACAACAGCAAAAGTACAGAAAAAGACTTTAAGAACAAAATAAAGCTTATGTTAAGCAATCTAAATTATGAATGAATATCTAAAAATGTATCATAAAGTTATGCTCTTTTTTGGAATTTCATTATTGCTCTACAATTTATAGTATCTTTTTATAATATTTTAATGTTACTTTCAAAAAATATATGACAGCTCATTAAATATAATAATGACCACATATCCAGAGTTAGCTTTTTGAAAAAACTTTTAGTGGTCCTTATATTAATACTTCACATGTATTGTCTTTCAATAGCCTTGAACATTAAATAGAATAAACAAACATTTTAAGACATTTTTCTCTCCAAAGGCATATCCTATTTGCCCTGGTCAGAAAAATCACATACTGATGCAATTAAGCCAGGCAATTGTTACCTGACTAGATGAAACACATACCAATGCAAAATGAACTTTGTAAAACAGGTGGCCCAGTTTAATCAGCTTCAAGAGTTCATCCAGAATCTTTTGCCAATCTTATCATTATCTATCTTCACAATCTGCATTGTTTTGATACGGTAGTAAAAGCAGTCTCTTGGGTAGTGAAGTTCATTAAAACTTTGCAAGTTTTTAATCAGGAGGCTAAATTTTGGAAATGTTTCTCAGTAATAGAATTCTGTTAGAGTAATTTGCAAAAGAAAAAGGCACAGGCTGAGTGTCCCATTTAGATATGATAGAATGAATACAATAAGAATTAAGAAATTGTGATACAATCTTAAATTGATTGAAGGTAGATGGAAAACTGAAGATATAAAAATAGGAAATTAAAAGGAACAGGTATGAAATAATGTTGGACAGAGTGGTAATCAGGTTCATGACAATAGCATGAAACACAATGTGGTGACTAATGAAATAAGCAGTCCTGGACTTTCCTATCTCTGTGCCTCTTCTGACTTGCATACCTGCTGCTAGTATCCTTACCTATCAGAGGTGGAGCTCTGCTGAGTTTCTAAGCCATTACTCTTGACCTGGGCAGTGAATGCTTTAATGGCATCAGTCAAATCACATTACCATTTCCATCTCAACACAATTTTGTGGATGTGGTCCATAAGGGCTGCACTGGGTTACTTTTCAGACATTCCTAGGCCATGAATGCACAGGTTTTTCTAATACAATTTGTCTTCTGTTTTGGTTAATGGGGCATGCTAATTTCTAGTGAATATGGGGCCTAGGTATTTATTATTTCACTTATTTGGTAACATAATAAGAAAATATTAATAAACAATAAATATGTGGTAAGCTCTGTGCTAGATACTGGGAGATAATAATGAACAAGACACAGAGCAGGCCCTTAGGGAGATTAGAAACGCAAATGTAATGAAACAGGCATTTATACTGCAGTCAGAATAACTACAGTCAGGCTAGGTATAAAAACCTGTGTAAGCTGTGTAAAGAAAAAAAAAAAAACAGACATCTAATTCAATCGCATTCATCAGAGGACTCTTTCTAAAGTATATAGGTTGAGGACTGCAGTAGAAGAAATTTTCCAGGAGAAAAAGGAGAAATGAATTGAGGACATTCCAGGCAGAGTTCTAGAATGTGCAGTAATAGGTCAGACCTTCGTGTAAGAATTTTATTCTTGGATTTACCACTTCTTTAGGATAACTACAGATAACAGCAAAAAGTCAAGGGAGACAAAAGAATGGGAGGAGATGGAAAGAATGAGGCAGACCCATCACTGGGACTGTCAAAAACAAATCCAGATGTAGGTGATGATTTACCCCAAAAGACTTGCAATAGGGAGGAAACGCTAATCTTAGGATGTGCAAATATCTTATCCAAAAACAGAAAAAGCTCTCTTTTATAGGGAAGGATAAGCAGAGATAGCAGGAACTTGAGAAGAACCTGGACATCTAGGTGGGGATTGGCAGACAGCATGATTGGGGTGGTTCAACCAGAAATGTTTCTCTTTGTGTGGTAGTTGTTGGAATGAGCTGTTAATGGGGCAAGTTCTGTACCTTAGTGCGTGCTTAGACTTGGGGTTGAACCAAGTTTAGGTTCAGAGGTCTGTAAGGAGAGGAGAAGCATGATTAAAATTTGCTCAAGCCGGCCGGGCGCGGTGGCTCACGCCTGTAATCCCAGCACTTTGGGAGGCCGAGGCGGGCGGATCACGAGGTCAGGAGATCGAGACCATCCCGGCTAAAATGGTGAAACCCCGTCTCTACTAAAAATACAAAAAATTAGCCGGGCGTAGTGGCGGGCGCCTGTAGTCCCAGCTACTTGGGAGGCTGAGGCGGGAGAATGGCGTGAACCCGGGAGGCGGAGCTTGCAGTGAGCCGAGATCCCGCCACTGCACTCCAGCCTGGGCGACAGAGCGAGACTCCGTCTCAAAAAAAAAAAAAAAAAAAAAAAAAAAAATTTGCTCAAGCCAAGTCACTGTGTACTCAATGGACAATTGGATTGGACAGGACTTAAGCAATCTGCCTGCTGAGTATTTGCCAGCAAATTCTTCTTGTAACTGAGTCCTATTCTCTAGCTTTGTAATGAGCCGGGCAACTCTGAATAGACTGATTCCTCGGGCCCACAGTGCCACCACCCATAGGACTTTGATCTCTTGCATCCAAGCTCTACAACAATTTATTTGACAAGTTTGCATGCCCTTGTAACACTGTGCACTGGTAAATGTTATGCCCTCAGTGGTAACTTTCCTTCCATACACTACCTGGCTTGACATCTTCTTGCTTCAGCTCTCAGCCAACCTTTGCTGCTAGATTACCAGCCTGACTCCAGTCATGCCAGGGACATGCTTCTCTGCAGTTCTCTATTAACATATCACTTTATTTTGAGTAGTTTTGGGACGCCCTAGAGATCCTCTTCCTTGCTGCCAGAATTATTTCGGGATTAGCAATTATAATGGCAGAATAATATTGGATGTGCTGAAATGTGATTTCATATTTATATATGTTGTTTGCATATTGGTCTGGATTATAGCTGAAAAGAAGATTCAGGAAAATGTATGCTAATCCAGAGTTAAGTTTTTTTATATTATCTATTTAAGGTAAAAGTACATTTAAATCTTAATTATTCAGACTAGGTTTGCATTTTGAAGTCACATTTTATCTGAACCTCAAGCTATTCCCCAGGCCAAGATAATCAAACTTTGGGTAAATACTCAACAAAACTTATAAATTGCAATTTCATTCTGAATTTTTTAAAGAATTTTTTAAAGAAATAGCACTCTGCAAAAACTAAGGTAATTTTTAAAGTCTTATTTATTTTTAATAATTCTAGTAAAGTTTATTCTTAGTAGAAAAATAATGACCGAATAATATACCATATTTTGAAAAAATTCAGTTTCATTAATGCGCACTCTGACTAAACTAGGTTAACAAAATATTGCCTAACAAAGGAAAACTGTTTTAATGATCAAATAAGAAAGGGTTGTAATTAGCTCTGAAAAACTTTTACATTATTAATTTGCTTGGCAAACCATTTCTTCCTAGGGAAAAATTATTTTCAGTCTTTCAGACACCTTTTCTCTGGAATTAGTAATTTTAGATATTATGCCAATTCAGTTTAGCCTGATACACTTATGTATTAGACAAATCAAGATGGGCAAACTAAATATCAATTTGCTGCGGTTATGAATAAGAATGGCTACTTTTTTTTTGTTTTGTTTTGCCTTTTAATTAGAACCTGGCTTAAGGTAAAAAGTAAAACCAAGTTTATCTAATTTCTATACTTGAAGTTGAGGAAGCAGTTGTTGCAGAACCTCCAGAATGAAGAATCATTTGAGGATAGAAGCCAGGACAGAGCCATCACTTCTGAAGGCAGAGACAAAGAAAAGGCCAACTGCCAAGGGAGGGCAGGGCAGGGAAAAACCCAATAAAAGAAGAGCAGAAAAGGCTTCTGCCTACATCTCCACCGTAGCTGCTGTCTTCAAAACTTCATAGTCAGTGATAGAATGATAGGAGGGATGAAGAAACATGACTGGAGGTGCTGTTAATATCCTTTCAAATTACAGTATAACATAAAAGGGACTCATGTCTGACATAATCCTTACAGAGCCATAGCTACAAGGTTTCAGTTATGCAGGATGAATGAGTTCTGAGGATCAAATGCACAGCATGGCAACGATAGTTAACAATACTGTATTGTATACTTGAGATTTGTTAAGAGGGTAGATCTTAAGTCTTCTCACCACAAATAAATGAATCATAACTATGGCAGATGATATGCTAATAAGCTTGACTGTAATATTCATTTCACAACATATATGTCTATCAAAACATCAAGTTCTACAGCTTAAATATATGCAATTTTTATTTTTCAATCATTCCTCAACAAGGATGAGAAAAAAAACAACCAAAATTTAATGCAAGCCACATAAGAAACTTCATGTTTTCTAGTAGCTATAATAAAGTTAAAAAAAGAAACCTAAGAAATTAATTTTAATCATGTTATGTTTAATTCAATAAATCTCAATATTATCTTTTCAGCGTGTAACACAAAGTATTAACAAGAGAGTTTACATTCCTTTTTTTTTTTTTTGGTATAATATGTCTTCAAAAGTTGGTGTGTGTTCTATACCTGAGGCATATCTCAGTGTAGATTAGCCATATGTCTTTGCCCAGTAAGCCACATTTAGCTAGTGGCTCTCCTATTGGAAACTAAACAGAGATTATGGCAAGATTTCCCCATGGCTATGCACTACATTGTGGTTCATTTGCAGAATACTGTTTCTACAACTGCTAAGAAACAAAGCCAAGATGGGACTGAAATTTGCAAAGAAGTTACTAATTAGCAAATTAATTAGCTGACCACAAATTATTTGGACTACTCTACATTGTTTGATGACTGCTTTTTTGTTTGTTTTCTATTTTAACTAAGAACATGTCTCGTATTTGCAAAGAAGCACTTTTCAAACTCTTTTATTTTTACTCCCAGTAGATTGATTTTCCTTAGGTTCTCTTAATGTTCTCAAGTTTCTTTTTCTGCTAAAATATTTCAAAATATTTTAATATTATCTTTGCAGTTGTTACATATTTCGTATGAGGAAAATAATATATTCATGTTAATTTTTACAGAGTGGTGGGATTATTAGGATTGTTCAAAATATATGAAAAACTTCATAAATTATGATTTCTCTAATTTGGTTATACTGTAAGAATTTAATAATATGAAAGAATATTATGGCTGAAGGTGTCACAGAACAAATCTCTCCCTAAAAAGTTCTGTGCCTATTTTCAAGAAGAGAATGCAGCTTCCAGAGAGAGTATAAACACATAACAGGAATGTAGAGTTGTTTTGGTCTTCTTTCTTTCATCTAAAATATTGTCTATAATCCACCTGAAAAGTATAGTGACTTGTAGGGAGAGAGAGAGAGAAGGAGAGACGGATTGATTCTTGGATATCAGAGTAGAAGTACTGAATCAGAATCTCTTGAGATGGGGCTCTGCAATTCTGCAATTTGCATTTTAAATAAGATTTTCGATTGATTCTTATGTGCTTTAATGTTTGAGAACCTCTAGTTAAAAAGAATATTCATAGACATCATTTAGCTATATTTTTGTAGGTCCAGAGAGGAGGTTTAATTTAAGTAGGCAGCTGTAATTTGCAGAACAGGTTCTGAGTTAACAAAGACTGATAATTGATTCTGTACTTACAGTACTTTAAACACTTGCATAATCAAAGACTAAAGAATTAAATGGAGATGCCATGTGGTGTCTTACTCCGGGAATTTCCAAAGCCTTAAGGTAAATAGTTTAGTCATCATGGTTTCTCATAGATAGATAGATAGATAGATAGATAGATAGATAGATAGATAGATAGATCTATAAATAAATAGATATATTTACTTCCTCCCATCCCTCATCTTTTACATTTATTAGTAACCAGAAAGAAGATCTTAATGTATAAATAAAAAATAGTGCTTGTTCAATAAATACTTCCTGGGTTGAGAGAACAGCGTTTCTTCTCTTCAAGGAGTGCTATACGGGAGGCCTGGAAAGTTAAAATAAATTCCATTTAAAGTCATTCAATGATACCTATTGCTTGTAGCATTTAAAACAAAGTGTTCTAACATTGACACATATTTCACAGGATAAGGCCCCAAACAGTCTTTCTGAATTTTCTTCTCATCATTCCTTTCATAAACCCTGTGTCTACTTAGCTGCAATGGGCTTGACTAGTTCTTAATTTAAAGTCTACTATTTTTTTTAATTTAGGATACATTTATCAATAGTGTAGATGCACAATATTTAAAGAATCAAATGATTATACAAGGATTTAATTGAAAAAAGCAATCTTTCATGATCCTTCCCCCATTTCCTGATCACCAGAAGCAAATGCTTTGAACAATTTAGATTTCTTCTTTTTATTATCTTATATCTCTAGTTTACAGTAACATACTTATTTGTTCTTTACTTTTATAATGATGTAGCACTCACTGCTTCACCACCTGCATTCTGCTGCCATCACCATTCAACATACTACTGTTCACCCATTTCCACAGAATTAGTTGTATCGTAATTTATGATTATATATTCTCCGTATTATGACTGTTCATATAAGAGGCATGTATAACATTTTATCCACAAGTAACACTAAGTCACATCCCAGCACGTCATAATCCCACTCCAGAAATAAAATCAAAACCATCAAGAAATACCACTTTTGTAACATTTTATCATTATTGGTTTTGTAAGCTTAAAGGCATCTCTAGAACTTTCTGGCCTGCTGGACAGGCTGCTCTCTCCGTTTCTTGCACAACTCTCAAAGTTTAAACTCCCTATATTAACTTGGAGATTGCTCCTGCTGGCATGTGTATTTCATTCCCTGATTTCATAACCCATGTAGTTTCTTTTTATACTGTCTCATTTTGTTGCATATATCCTTCTGTACCTTCCTAAAATGGAAAATATTTTGATATCTATGCCTGAAATGTCTTCATTTGACCCCTATTATTACATGGATGGCTTAGGTGGGTACAGTTCTGGAAATCATTTTCTCTGTGAATTTTGAATGCATTGCTCCACTTTTAACTTCTCAGTCATTTCCTTTATCAATATGATAAATCTTCTTCAATATGGGAAAGATGAGAATGGGGCAGGATATCTGGCATTATCTAGCTGAGAATGGGGCAGGATATCTGGCATTTTGATGCTTTTAAAACGCTTTTGGCTTGCCTCGTGTTTTGAGCACTACCCTTCTACACTGTCACAGACGAAAGTTCAGCATGCCTTATCTGCAGACCCAAAAGTTAATGGTTTTTTATTTGTTTGTTATCTTTCTTTGCTTTTATAATGAGTTTGGAAACAAACTATGACCTTACTATTATATATAAGGTTTTGCTTTTTCTTCACTATGAATTATTTATATGTTTCATTGCAGTATTAATGTGTGTTACGTGTTACATAATATACGCACCATATTACCTTTCTAAAATCCAAAAGTTCTGAATTTTGCAACTCATCTGTTGCCAAGGAATTGGAAGAGATGTGGATCTGAACCCAGTGCTACAAAACTTTGAGCATTTGTAGGTTCTTATGAAAGAAAAAAGTTGTGTCTTGGATTCCTACTCAGAGGGCTTGTTTCAAATGTGTCATATGTGCTATATCAGTGATTGTTTATCTCTCTGTTTTTCACTTCTTTAATTTTGATTGTTTTCCCCTACCATTTTTTTAGTGTGTGAATATATACACACTTATTGATATAAAAGGAAAACATTTCAATGTTATTCTAGTAAATATTCTGAAGGAAGACTGGTTTAAGATATTTCAAAGCAAACAAGAATGTTTTCTCTACAATAGAAGAAAAGTTAGCAACTGTTGGATAGCTTTTAAGATGAAAGCTCTGAATATATGTATTAATAAATTTTGACAAGTCTAGATAGATAGATCAATAGATGTTACAGATATGAGCTCATATTCCATTTTTTCTTCAAAATTAAAAAATATCAGTAGAAATCACAAGTTAAAGCAAAATTTTTTCTAATTTTCATTAAATATTTATATGTAGACTGAGTATTTCTGTCATGACAATTGGACTAATATTCTGTTGCCGAGATAGAGAAAACAATCAAGTAAATAGTATCCAAATAAATTCTGCCTCATTTTAGCTTATGCCTTTTTATGCAATATTTTATATTAAAAGCACACAATAGCCAGGCTGTGTACCTAAAACTTAATACAGAGTAATTTATTGTAGCACCTATCTCTACCACTACAGAGGACAATCTATTAATGATTTTACTAGCAAAATATTATGATAAATGTTTTGTTGAGTATGCATACTTCTAACGGCTAAACTGTGATTGGAATAGTCAGGAGTATCTTCTTGCTCCCCATTTCATATGTAAAAGTTTTTCAGTCATTATTTAACTTGTTACCTATGTTACAAAAAAACTTTTGTTGTAAAAGGCAATATATATTCTAGGTTATGCATAAATATTACTGTCTCACAAAGAAATCAGTGATCATTCTTAAGCTATGTGACCATGAGTGAAGCCCCGCCTTAGGTGTTTCACAGCCATTTATGCTTAGTCGACTCTTTTGATATCCTGTAACATTTTCCCTACCACATTCTATAGTTTACTCCATAATCTATTGCTAAATAATTCCATAGTTATCCCATACTATAATTATTCCATAGTGATTGCTAAAACTCTTATCATTTACATACTTTGTAAATGTATATTCTTTGCTTATATTATTGCTCAAAGATGATTTTAGCATATTCTTGGTTATGACTTGTATAAAATTGTACTTTCTCCAATATTTATTTTTATTGTGACTCTCAGGACTAGATTAGAATATTTTCTTGTTATTTTTACATTGTTTCTTAGTATTAATCTTCAAGATAATGTCCATATTACAGCTGTTTCTTTCCTTTCTATGTTGTTACCTATATGCAGGGTTTGAATGATAACAAGGACATTTCTTTCACATACTTGTAGCTAGATTTCTTGAGGCAATATAGGGTCAGCTAATGAGATGCACTTGAACAGAACCAGGAGGGTTGACCATTCTTCCTACAGCAATGAAGGCAAATGGACAGGCTTCCACAGGCACGAATATTTATTGTGAGGTGCTAGAACTTATACTCCATTGTCTAGCTGTCAATGTATCACGAATAGCCTGGTTGTGATGGCAAGAACACTGATAGCAATGACAACACCATTCTCCTGATCTTATAGATTGCAGCCACTGGATTAAGGAATGAACAACCAGGAATAGTCCCCTGAAGACATGCATTATTAGGAAGACAAATAGTAAAGTGGAAAATAAAGTCGAATGATAAAGTAGAAAGTGAAGTAGTAAAGCACAAAAATGAAAACAAAGATTGTTGAATACTACTGCTGGCTGGGCTACAACATTCCTTAGTAATGAGTAAATACCCTATATCCTCTGAGCTTTAACAATTCACAATATACAAAATCTTTCCCGTTAATTATTTTTAAGCTTTTCTACTTAAATTTACCAGACAGCATAACACTTCTCCAAATGGAGTGAAGTGGTGCTATGTCTGTGGTCTTACCCGAAGTGCAAAGGGTATTTTCCAACTCATGTTTTTTACATTAAAATGAATTTATTTTAAATCATACATTCTTCACCATGATGTCCTCGGGTTCCCTTTGTATGAAATGTGATTCTAATTATACATAATTCAAAACACCTCCATATTACAGGAACATTTGCTCCCGAAAAACATGGCATCATTTCCCCATGGGGCTGTGTATGTCATGCCTTACTATCCCATATCCCTGGTAGAAAACATTGAAGAGCCTGGTACTAGAGAGTCTTAAATGTTTTCTTTAAAAAAATCCTATTCAAAGATAATATACATACTAACTGCTACTGAAAGTTAGATTTTTTAAAAATAAGTTTTGTTATTGTTACTATATACTTCATATCATCCATTTGTAAGAAATATAGTTAAATGTCTTTTTTTATTGTCAGTATTATCAGAGGAATATTTCAACAATTAGTTATAAGAATCATATCATACTGTAAAACAAAATACGGGAATGTTAGAATTTCTTTGTTATTCATTTTATTCATATTTTATATTAAAGAAACCAAGAGTGTCATATAAAGAGCAACTATATATATATATAGTTTATACCAGGTATACACAAAAAAATAGATAACAGAATGTCTCAGAGCAAGATTCTGGATCAGAGTAATAGAATTTATCTTTTGGACCCACTATGCAGGAGTTGTCTGATCTTCGACAAACTGCTTACTGCTCTGTTGCTCAGTTTCCTCACCTGTAAAATGGAAATAATGGGAATCAGTATTTACAATTATTTTGAGGATTAATCCATAGCACATGCTCAGAACAGTGACTGGCAGATATTAAGCTGCAAGGTATTTTACTGTTACTGGTATTACACAAACTTAGATATATTGTACAAACACTTATGTCTTTGGGGATGTGATACTAGTTTATATGCTATAATAATAATATTAAAATATTAGCACTTTTATGAGATCGTAATTTATAAACCAAACAGTACTCATCAGGTTTTTGCAGATTTAACACTTGAATTTAATACATTTGCTTTTATAAACCAAGTTTCAATCACACATAATTGACTGCAACACAATTGTTGCTTTGGAAAATTATCTGTGATTAAGTAAATAAGCCAGATAAGATATACGAGTAAAAAAGTTGACAGATTTTATTTAAATGGCTTACATGCAAATTCAATAGGCTTTTCTTAATATACATAAATATTAGAATATAATAAATTTCTATATAAATTAAGATGCTTAACATATATGCATACTAAAAAATGTAAAGTAAAAATAATATGTATTTTTGGTTATTTTCAATTCATTGCAATTTCTCATTTTTTAAATCACAAAAATATACTTGTGTGGTACTAACAAGATTCATCATGCCCTGGTTACCACTTCAGCTCACTGAATCTTGGTCTGCAATTTTACTGCTTGCCAGAGTTCAGTGAGATAGAACATTCACACTAGTTGTATGAAGCAAGTTTGTTGCTTACAGATACGCAGTAAGGAACAGCAGAAGCCTAGGATTCGTAGAAACCCGCTCCTTCAAAGCTAAGGAAATCTGCTCAGAGCGAATGGAATCTTGTCTGCCGGTGCCTCACTTACATCACTGCTGAGGGATCCTGAAAAGTAGCCCACCTGGGTTATATACCCTAGAATTACTGGACTCAGTGGGCTAAAATGCTGTAGGACACTCTTCTCTTGGAGGGAACAGAAACAGAGCTTAGGCTGTTCCAGTCAGTTCAACCTCATCTCAAGATGTTGCATTCCCAATACAATCTACAGATATTCTCAAGAACCACAAGTGAGAGTGGGGAAAAACATGGTCAGTTCAAGGCCTCCCAGAGATCTATTCTTCCTGTAGCTTTGTAGCCCAATAAATATATATGCTTAGCTTTTGAGATCTGATTTTTGAGTTTTGAGGCTAGGTTATATGCTTATAATTTTCATCAATGTTACATTCTAGAGATTGAAGAAAAACAGATTTAATTACAGGAGGAAGAGATAGATTAATGGAATGTTAAAACTTACAACAAAGTTAGAGATAATTTAAATCATGTGCTGCATTTTACAGATACCAAAACAATGTAGAGAAAAGGTGATGAATATCCAAGAGGTTATATTACAATTTTAATGGAAATGGGCTGGGCACCATGACTCATGTCTGTAATTTCAGCACTTTGGGAAGCCAAGGCAGGAGAATTGCTTGAGGCCAGGAGTTTGAGGCCAGCCTAGGCAACACAGCTAGAACTGGCCTCTACAAAAGATAATAATAAAAAAAAAATAGCTAGGCATAGTGGTGTGCACTGTATTAGTCTGTTCTCACACTGCTATAAAGAAATACCTGAGATTAGGTAATTATAAAGAAAATAAATTTAGTAGGCTTATGGTTTTGCAGGCTGTATGGAAGCATAGCAGGTTTCACTTCTGGGGAGGACTCAGGAAACTTACGATCATGGTGAAAGGTAAAGGGGAAGCAGGAATGTCTTACATGGCTGGAGCAGGAGCAAAAGAGAGAGAAGCAGAAGGTGTTACACACCTTTAAACAACCAGATATCATGATAACTCACTATCATGAGAACAGAACTGAGGGGATGCTAATAAACTATTCATAAAGGATCCAACTTCATGATTCAATCACCTCCCACCAGGCCCCACCTCCAACACTGGGGATTACAATTTGACATAAGATTTGGTTGGTGACAGATCCAAACCATTTCATTTTTCCCCTGACCATTCTCAAATTTTATGTCCTTCTCACATTTCAAAATAAAATCATGCCTTCACAATGGTCCCCAAAGTCTTAACTCATTTCAGCATTAACTCCAAAGTCCAAAGTCTGATACAAGCTAGTCCCTTCCACCTATAATACTGTAAAATCAAAAACAAATTAGTTACTTCCAAAATACAATGGAGGTTTAGGCAGTGGGTAAGTACTCCTATTCCAAAAGAGAGAAATCAGCCAAAAGGAAGGGGCAATAGGCTCCATACGAGTCTGAAATTCAGGAGGATGGTCATTAAATCTTAAAGCTCCAAAATAATCTCCCCTGACTGCATTTTTCACATCCAGGACATACTAGTGCGAGGGTTGAGCTTCCAAGGCCTTCAACAGCTCTGCTTCTGTGGCTTTGCAGGGCTCAGCCACCACAGTTGTTCTCAAGAGCTGGCATTGCAGCTTTTCCAGGCACGTGGCACAAGCTGTGGGTATCTCTCTAACATTTTGTGGTCTGGATGATGGTGGCCCTCTTCTCACAGCTTCACTTTGCAGTACCCAGTGAGGACTCTGTGTGGGAACTCCAACACCACATTTCCCCTCTGAACTGCCCTAGTAGAGTTTCTTCATGAGGGCTCTGCCCCTGCAACAGGCTTCTCTTCTGCCTGGACTTTCAGGCTTTTCCATACATTCTCTGAAATCAAGGTAGAGGCTCCTAAGCCTCAATTCTTGCACTCTGTGTACCCACAGGCTTAACATCACCTGGAAGCCACCAAGGCTTATGGCTTGTACCCTCTGAAACAGCAGCTTGAGGTTTACCTGGGCTCCTTTGAGCCACGTCTGGAGCTGGAGTGACCAGCATCCAGGGAACAGGGGCATGAGGCTGTGCGGGGCAGTGGAGCCTGGGCCTGGCCCACAAAACCAGTCTTTCCTCCTAGGTATATGTGCCTGTGATGAGAAGGGCTGCAGCAAAGTTCTCTGAAATACCTTCAAGGCCTTTTCCTCATTCTCTTGGCTATTATGACTTGGCTCCTTTTTACTTATGTAAATTTCTGCAGCATGCTTGAATCCCTGCCCCAAAAATGGGTTTTCCTTTTCTATCCTATGGTCAGGTTGCACATTTTCCAAACTCTTATACTCTGCTTCCCCTTTAAATATAAGTTCTAGTTTTACATCTTTTATTTGCTCATGCATATGACCATAGGCTGTTCTAAGCAGCCAGGTAAATTCCCGAATGCTTTGCTGCTTAGAAATTTCTTCCTCCAATTACCTTAAATCATCGCTCCCAAGTTCAAAGTTCCACAGATCTCTAGGGCAGAGGCACAATGCCTCCGAGTTCTTTGCTAATGCATAGCAAAAGTGACCTTTGCTCCAGTTCCCAATAAGTTCCTTATTTCCACCTGAGACCTCCTCATCCTGAACTTCATTGTCCATATCACTATCAGCATTTTGATCACAACCATTTAACAAGTTTCTAGCAAGTTCCAAACTTTTCCTCATCTTCCTGTCTTCTTATCCCAGCCTTCTAAACTGTTCCAACCTGTGCTTGTTACCTAATTCCAAAGCCACTTCGACATATTCAAGTACCTTTATAATAAGCACTGCCTCACTCCTGGGTACCAGTTTTTTTGTATTAGTTTGTTCTTGCACTGCTGTGAAGAAATACCTGAGACTGGGTAATTTATAAAGAAATGAGGTTTAACTGTCTTATAGTTCTGCAGGTTGTAGAGGAAGCATATCAGCTTCTGCTTCTGGGGTGGCCTCAGGAAACTTACAATTACAGTGAAAGGTAAAGGGAAAGTAGTCATCTTACATGGCCAGAGCAGGAGCAAGAGAGGGAGGTGGTGCTACACACTTTTAAACAACCAGATCTTGCGACAACTCACTTACTCATTATAAAGAGAATAGCACTGAGGGGATGGTGCTAAACCATTTGTGAAGGATCCACTCCCAGTCACCTCCCACCAGGCCCCACTTCAACATTGAGGATGACAAATTGATATGAGATTTAGGCAGGGACGTAGAGATCCAAACCATATCAGTGTTTGTAGTCCCAGCTACTTGGGAGGCTGAGGCAGGAGGATTGCTTGAGCCAGGGATGCTGAGCTGCAGTGAGTCATGATGGTGCCACTGCACCCCAGCCGGGGTGACAGAGTGAGACTCATACTCTGAAAAATAATAATAATAGAATAAAATATGATTTTAATGGAAATTCTGAAGCATACATATCGTTACTTGCATAGTATTAAATAATTGAAAACAGCTGGATTTTTGTTATATACTATTACACATTACCATTTCTAGAAACGTCTTCTAAGCAAATAAATGAAAATTTCTTGTGTGGATTAATGCCCACAGTCAAGAATTTTGTGTGTGTGTGTGAGACAACTGAAAAAATTATGTAGGCACAAGTGAAATACTCAGCAGCCACAAAAGTCAGGCTTCATGGTAAATTGGACCATTTCAAAAACATGTCTGGATTTAACACCAACTCATGTAAAACGTTCAACATTCTTTGAAGTTACTGTCAGTTTAGCGTTATTGTTAACTTACTATTCTATCAGAGACAGCATCTAATGCTATCTAATCGTGTTTGCGACTTAGGTTTTCTCTCTCTTAGCTTTATGCATACTATCTCTTCTATTCTTCCTAGCGTTTTTGTTCCCTCTTTGTGCCTTCTTCTTTACAGACCCCGAGTAAGGATCCAGAAATTCAACCACTATTTAATGACCATTTTATGCAGAATTCTCGTATTTGCCACCTTAATTTATTTATACCCTATCAATTGCGCGGAGCACAGTCTCAACTGTGACATGAATTGTAAATAATTTAACTACAAAACATCAATGGCTGCTTCTCATGGAAAAGGTAATAGGCATGAGAAATACTTACAGTGTCATGAACAATCTGAATCAGTGTATTATGCACCTGACTCAATATATTATTCACCTTTTCTTGCACAAACATTGTCCCTCCAAAAGAGTCTCTCAGTAGTGTCATCAGCTTTACAAAACTACTATTTTCTTTGTTGATATTGCAAAAGTGTTCAGAATATGGGACCCGAGATAACATTGTCTGAATTTCAATATTGGTGGTACGCCATGCTAGCTAAGTTATATTTTCAAATTACTTGCTTTTTCAAAGTCTTGTATCAGTTGTTAAATAAGGAAAATAATAGCATCTACTAGATAAGATTGCTTTGACTATTAATTGCAATAATACAGGGAAATATTTAGTGCGGATATAGTAAGCACTCAATAAATACTAGTTATTAGTATTATTTGATTTTCTATAATGTTCACTTCACTTCACATGCCTGATACCCATATAAAAAAGTACAAGAATCACTTGTCTCTTAAAAATAATTTTAAATCATCAATTTGAAATAAGTATGGAATTATAAATAATAAAACATAAAGTCAGAGAGGCAGTATAGCATATCTTAGCATGAATTTCAGTAATACGTCAAGTCCTAGATATTCCACTTATGATTAGTGTGGCAAGTGACATTCTTTATGATTGTGCTACAGGAAATATCTAAAGGGTTCATAGTATTCATTCAGCGATTAGTAACTACTATAGATAGCTAAGAGATATATATATACATATCAATGAGAGAGGGTAAATAAAAAGCATGGGAGAGTAGAGTCCTAAAGACCACTCTAATGGGCCTTTTTAAATTGAGTATGGAGTAATGCCAGGGTAGGCAAACCCACTGAGCTTGTGGCAAAATACAACTGCAGTCTGTTTTTCTAAATAAAGTATTACTGGAACACAGATTCATTCACATAACTTCTACAGCTGCTTTCTCGCTGCAACAGCAGAATTGAGCAGTGGTGACAAGGACCACATGGTCCACAGATCTTACTCTTTAGCTCTTTATGGAAGATGTTTGCCAACTCTGAAATAAAAGAAAATATGTTGAGCCTGATTTTGCTCATGTTGAGAATAGGATACAGGAAGAACATAAAGGAAATTGTTGTCTCTAGTTGAATGGAGTAGAGAAATGAAGTTGAATGAGAACTGAGGTAATGTCATTATGTTTGACAATGGGCTAACAGCAATTTCACTATTGGTTGTAGAAGGCAATCTTGTTAATAAATAAAGCAAATAAATATAGAATTTATGATTATGGATGTTGAAATCATACTGCCTTGGTTTAATCCTAATTGTAACTTACTATGAAACCTTGGTCAAATTAATTAAGTCCCTTTCCTGAGGTTCTTCATTTGTAAAATTGGAATAATAATAGCATCTCTCACAAGTTGTTTGTGAGAATTACATGAGTTTATATAAGCAAAGCAAAAACCTCTGGCAAACTTATTATGCCATCAATTTCTAGCTTCATTTATATAAGCACATTTAATGTTATTCAGTGATAATGACCCTATTATTATATTAATGACATGTAAGTGATATTTAGTAATAAGAAATCTCATTTAAGAGATTCAATGATAATAAAGCTTTTCAGCAAGAACAGAAACCTAACATACAGTTGTCCCTCTGTATCTACAAGGAATGCATTCCAGAACCCCTGAGGATACCAAAATTCCAATGCTCAAGTCCCTTATACAAATGTAATATTATTTGCATATAACCTATGCACATCCTCACAAGTACTTTAAACTCTCTAGATTTCTTACAATAGCTAACACAAGATCAGTGTTATGTAAATAGTTGTTATATATTTTTTAATTTGCATTATTTTTAACTGTATTGTTATTTTTATTGTTTTTTCCAAAATATTTTAAATTCATGCTTGGTTGAATATGCAGATGCAGAACTTGTGGATATGGGGACACCAACTATATTTAGAAGCTTAGGTTCTACCTGAGAATGAGTCTCTGAAGCTTTTTTCTAAGTTCATACAGTACTTTAACATTTAAATAGTACTATTATTCTTACAAACATCTTAAGGAGAGAGAGATGAGAAACAGACAATTGCTGATAGTTACTTTGTTTTCTTATGATGACAGGGGACAGGTTGAGAATGGACTAGTCCCCATAAATGTCAGTCTGAAGTCTTGACTGAAGTACAATTGTGGGAAAAATTAAGTTTGCAGAAGAAAATAAATTATTTTTATTCAGAAAACAGGAAGTGACAAAAAGATGCTGTTCTTTTTACCCTTGATATCAACTGTTCTGAAATATAAAGTGACCTAAAAAATGACTCAGAAGTGTATTTTAAAGATAATATTCAGAGCAACAGATTTAATAGTGAAATGATGACACTTGTTTAAAAATAGAAATGTATGACAATGTAGGGTTGATTTGATGAATTCATTTGACATTCAAAATCATTTTATTGAATATCTGCCATGTGGTAGTAATTATACAAAGCAATGAGTCTAGTCTGTTATTTACAATGAATTACTATAGAAAGACTAAAATGACATAAAAAGAGACACCTGCTTCAGGTGGGAATGTAGAAAGTCACAAGAAATCATTAATAATTTCACCATATAACTGATACCAATAAGGTGAATGAGAGAGAAATTTATATTTTTTTAAATTTTTATCCTATAATGGAACTGAAGATATAACAAAAAATAACAAGAAGTTAACGAAATGAAAACAAGTCCAGAAAGTGACACATGCTTACTAGGAGACAGAACACCAATAGTTGCTTTCATTACTGATCAAGGGGTGGAAGGAGAAGAAACCTAGTGTAAATAACTGATGAAGAAGCCAGCCGCACCATTAAGAAATCTTTAGCCGTACTTTATATATAAGCTGTTATGATGGTTTGGAAACTTATGGAGTCCAGCCACAAGGTTTGCATGGCCTTGCAGACTATTTTTTGAGTCTGCTTGGTGGGTGGCAGTAGCATGCAGAGGTCAGTCAGAGTGTGGGAAGGGGATCTGAGGGACCCCTCCTAGGGTTGCACAGCCTTTTCAAGTGGAAGATAGTGGCCTGTTGAAGGCTTAGGGGACAGGACAGAGAGAGGAGACAAATTCACACAAGGAAATAGAGGCTTAAAATGGAGCAAAGAAGCTGCTGTAAAATGCTGGGAGCAGGACAGGAGAAATGAGGGAAAACTTTCTCAGGCATGATGGTCGTTAACTGCTAAAGCCTGGGGAAGGCCCAGAAAACATGAGAGAAATTCTTTTTCTGTTGTTGTTTGTAAACAGTTTTATTGAACTTGAAGGGCATCATGCTAAATGAAATAAATCAGTCACAGAAGGACAAATGCTGCGTGATTCCACTTATATGAAGTATCTAAAATAGTCAAACTTACAGAAGAAGAGTCTAGAATGGTGTTGACAATGAGCTGGGAGAAGAGGGAAATGGGGAGTTTTTCAATTGATATAAAGTTTCAGCTTATGCAAGATGAATTAATTCTAGAGATCTTTTTACAGCATAGTGCCTAAAGTCAACAATTCTACATTATGCATTTGAAAATTTGTTAAGTGAATAGATCTCCTGTAAAGTGTTCTTACCACAAAGGCAAGCAAACAAAACAAAGAGCAACAATGACAACTAAGGGACACAAGGAAACTTTTAGACATGATGAATATGTCTGTTACTACCTTCATTGTGGTGATAGTATCATGGGTGTATCCCTATGTCCAAATTCATCAAATGTATACATTAAATATGTGCAGTTTTTGTATATTGGTTGTATCTCAATAAAGCTCTTCTTAAAAAGAGAGAGAGAAAGAGCGTGTTTTCAGCCATACTGGTATTCTATTGCAAAGTGGCAGCCCCTGAAACCTAGTGCAAGGTAGGAAAGCTCAATTGTATTCCTACAGGGCACTTCAGTGTGTCTTCACTGAGGGCAAGCAATGACTACTCAAGCAGATAAAAATGAAATAAGTTCTATTTTATTTCCACTCATTTTCCTCTTTGGAATCTAGTAAAACACAATGAAGGCAGCATTACCACTTCCTCTCCAGCAGAGCTTGGGACATGAGCATGGAAAAGGCTGTGGAGAGCTGTGATTTATAGCCCTGACACCAGCATCAGAATGAGGAATTCCCTTTGCTCTTCTGCTGTACTCACAGCTTTTGGTGCCTCGGGCAATCTCTCTCCCCATTTCCTTGACCAACCTGTAGCAGACCTTTACTGAGCACTAGGTGAAACCTAAAGTATCGCAGAGGACATTTTAAACTGTCTTCTAAAGACGTTTAATCTAGAAAAATTTCCATAAAGCTATTTTATAGCATCTTTATTTGTAACAACCCAAAAGTGTAATACCCAAACTTCATCAGCAGTAGAATAGGATAAACAAATTGTGGCATGTTGATACATTGAATATTATTTAATAAAAAACAAGCACACAATTGACATATGCCACCGAATGAATAAATCTCTAAAATATCATGTTGAGCAGAAGAAGCCAGAGACAAAAGAATACATCACATCTTATGACTGTATTTATGTTAAGCTTAGGAATAATAAAAAAAGATAAAATCAAAACAGTGACCATAGTGGCGGTGGTAGTGGTGGTGGTGTGAAGAGAAAAGGCACAGGGAAGCATTCTTTCCTGTAATACAACAGTCGCATCTTTTAATAGTGTTTACATCAGTGTATACAATTGTTAAAAAATGTATCAAACGGAACATTTATGTTCTCTACATTTTATTATAAATTGTTGACTTCAGACAGCACCTTGAAGTGCACATCATAAATGATAATTGTGAAAGCAAACATTCTGATAGGCAAATTGCAGGTTTTCATGATAAAAAAGAATGGTTCTGTAGAATCAAAAGCCTCCAAAGTAATATCACATCGATGTAATAGTGCCCAAAGTATTTCATAAGGGCTATAGACCCAAACCTAAAGCAATCCAGATAAAGGAGGAGTTAGATATGACATGACTTGGAGGATTGATGAGGGGAAACACATGCAGGCAAAGCATAAACCAACTGCCTAGAACATGCCAAGAACATGAAGACTTAAATGTAATGGCACATATATTCATAAGTCTTGTCTGTTGTTCTCAAATCATTAACAGGAATAATTTCTTCCCTGATCCAGGGTTAATCTTGATGGGGATTTATTATAGGATACTGATATGGGATTTATTATAGGATACTGATATGTCCCCACCCAATTCTCATGTTGAATTGTAGCTCCCATAATTCTGACATGTTGTGGGAGGGACCTGGTGGGAAATAATTGAATCAAGGGGGCGGTTTTCCCCATACTGTTCTCATGGTAGTGAATAAGTCTCATGAGATCTGCTATGTTTATAAGGGGTTTCTCCATTCACTTGGCTCTCATTCTGTCTTGCCCGCCACCATGGAAGACGTGACTTTTGCCTTCCGTTTTGATTGTGAGTCCTCCCCAGCCACATGGAACTGTGGGTCCACGAAACCTCTTTTTTTTTTTTTTTTTAATATATAGATTATCCAGTCTTGGGTATGTCTTTATCAGCAGCACAAAAACAGACTAATACAGATACTGATGACCTTTCAAAATATTTAGAATGACTAACAACAGACTTTACGCTGACCTTCTCCCATTAATGACTTTCAAAACTCACAGGACACATTCGGGATGCTGAGACAGCCAGTGCTTCTGCTGCAATCAGGAAACGGCCTGCCAAATCTGAACGTTACTGCAACACTGGCCAGATCTTAAGTCTACCACCTCTGCTTTTCTGTGAAGCAGCCAATATTTCCCAGAAGTGATATGAATGATGTAAACCAAAATCACATCTAGATATGTCAAGAGAATCTGGAAAACTGTGTGTGGGCTTGCTTTTGTTTTTGTTTTGTTTTTTTTTTTAGCTTTTTAGCCTCTGCAATATAAGAAAATACACAATAAGCAGGTTTGAATGGATGTTGAGCAAGCCAATCCAAATATATCATCCCTCACACATATTTTCTTCCCATTCTTAAGCCTCCAAACAGCAATAAGAAACAAACAAAAAATGCTCCTGTGTAACACAACCTGGCGATCCTAACATAAACAACTGCTCACCCTCACGTAAAAGGAAGAACAAAGCTCTTAAGTACTGCCTCCATTTCTGAGTAATGTTCACTCCTCCTCAATTACAATCCATCTTGACATTGTGCAATCAATGACAATGAATTTTCATTTTAATAGCCATCAACCTTCTATTGTAAAAGAGTAAGAACAGAGAAGAAAAAAACAGGAAATTGAGTACTTATATAGAAACAAAACAAAAAGTTAATAAGAGTAGCCAAGGAAATCCTTATTTCTACAACTGAACAATCATTCATAATCAATATTTGAAACTTAACACTTAAGGATGGTGACACCATGGAGTTTGCTATTCACAGTTGACATAATTAAATTTTGCATTTGGTTTTTGATGGTATCAACCTTATGACCCTAATAAATAAGATAGTATTTTAGGACTGTTATGAAATCTCTCTGGTTTAGTCATGAGTTGACGTCTAAATTCCTGAGCTTATCATTCATTTCTGTAAGCGTTCCAAGTCACTCAGGAAATTCTGGCCACAGCATAGTCTTTGTAGTCACTTTCTGTACATTAAATTATGGCAGCCATTGAGTTTCCATGGGACTTGATTCAGTCAGCACTTGATCACAATCAAGCACAGGTGATGTCTTGATTAATTGGTATGCCACTACATGCCATAGATTACTTAGCACTCTGTTTCCTTCTGGCAAAGTTTTCACCAATATGCTCAAGCCCAAGGGCATGAGTAAACCAATGTCCAAATACCATCTTTTCAGATCTTTCTCCAGGAACCCCTCTACTTCCTCATACCACAACTGTTATTAGTCAACATTCAACCAAGAGACAGAAACCACAGAATAATTTGAACACAGGAAGTTTAATACAAGGAATTATAAACTCTCATAGGGGATTAGCTATTATGGGAAAGAGACAACTCTAAAGAATTCAGGAATAGCATATGGAGTAAGCAGCCACAAACTTTGAGGCTGAGGCAGACCTTCTAAAGAAGGAACAGATGTGGAAGAACCCCCTACCTGTGGCCCACCAGAGTATGAAGTTACCTTAGATTCTGTATAGAAGAAACAGCTTGAAAGCGTTCTTCAAATATACTGGAAGAAACTGCCTCCTGAGAAGTAGATTATATTTTAGGCAGTCTTTCACTGCTGGCTGTGATATACTGTTGGTTGTCATGCACTAGAAGAGCATGTCCAGAGATGTGTCCTGGAGTGAAGAAGAGTAGACCCTTTCATCCACAGTGTCCCTGCAGAGTCCTCTATTGACAAAGTTTAACATCTTGACACCTGGAAAAAAAGAAATGTTTACCAGGTTTAACTCAATTATACATTAGGAAATGAAGGGTGGTTAGAAAGAAAAACTACCTTTCCAATGAACTATTTGAAATATAAAGCTTGTGTTGTTAATTACAGAAAAATGCAAATGAAGTATAAATTCATATACCACCTCTAATTTTTTTTTTGTAAAAAATATTTCAATGACAAAATCTCCCAAATTAGAATATGAGAACTTTGATTCTGGCAATCCTTTAATGATGATGTAGTAGAAAAAGAAATGAGGCAGGAGCTTTAAGTCCAGGTGTCATATTTTTCTGTCTATAAATAAGTTGTTATGGTTTATTTTGAACAACATAGAGTATAATTAGATGGTTCCTACCTTTTCTAGGAAATTTCTGGAAAAATAACATTCTCAAATTAAAATATGGCAAGTAAAATGATACAAAAAATAAAACTTTTAGGTTGATTTATCAAAGAGGCATGAATAAACAGAATAAAATAATGAGTTTGAATTATCATATTTTAAATAATTGCATTAAAATAGATTGGTATCAGGTGCCTTTAATTCAATAAGCCTTGAGCTCTTTGTCACACTTTTTTTTCAGTATTGAGTTAAAGAGTGGATATTAAGAAAAACCTATCTACTGCTGATGTAGAAAAGGAGTGACCGACTTCATAAGTTATCTTTGTTTCCAATCATTTGAAAGAATGTCCAACATTACTTATAAGTTTTCTATAAACCTTCAGTGAATGTTAATAATTGTTGGCATTTTTTGAACAAATATTATGTTCCATAGTATATTCATGTATTCCTAGAGCTTTATACAATTAATGTATTTAATATTCATAAATACCCAGTAAGACTATTTATTAAATGCTAAAATAAATTATCATTGTCATTTTACAGATGGAGAAATTTACCAAAACCTGACTTTTGAAAGTTAAAGAGCTATGTAATGAGACAGCAATTCCACAAAATTTGGTTCCAGAATTTGATATTTATTCTATTACTATTTCCATGATGAAAAAAAAACTGAAGACATAAAAAATTTGGAAGTATATTTCTATTTTGATTATAAATTCTTTCTTCTAAGCACCACATGGTTAGAAGGGCAAAGTTTTGCAACCTATGATGGTAATTTTAGGTGTATAAAATAATCCACTTTTGTCTATTGGTAACTATTTTGCCAATTAAATTTTGTGTGTAATAACTGGGGCAAAATATATGATTAGCATTTGCAGCATCAATAAATTGCCTAATTGCAAAGTCTTGTTTTAGCTATTGCTGATTCTGTTTAAATTTTTAAAATTCCTGCATATTGAAGAATATATGCAGTCTGAGTCATTTAAAGTGGGATTTGAGTAACCAATGTTTGGATTTCATGAAATCAATAAAAACATATTTTTATTTCCCTTTGCATTTTGAAACAGATTGAAAATAAAGATTCCCTAATAACAGTGAGTATATATAAAATACCAGAGGGTCAGTGCAGTCTGACTGAGAGTACTCAGATATGCTGAACCAAGCATGTTCTATTTATTCTCCCCTCCTCACCATGGGAACCTCTCACTTCTCCTCTTCTTTGTTGGAGCAACTGAAGTATTAGAGCAGATATTGAAGAGCTCTCACAATACCTTTCCCCATCGAGTATAAATTTTCTTCCCTCAGTAGAAATATGATTGTCAGACTATGAACATTTTTTCAAAATTCTAACTCTCACTTTCAGATTTCTGAGGTTCTTCCAAAAATGAGCTAGTACTGACAACTTTTGAAGCACAGGTAAGGGGTGCCCTTTTAAGTAAGGACAGATTTCATATAAATATATAAAGATGTATCTATTACATGTTATATGATATCTATCTATCTATCTATCTATCTATCTATCTATCTATCTATCTATACTCAGCAGAGCTAAGGTAAATTATAGGGAATGGTTGCTGGCTACAATAGCTGCCAATAATATCAGAATTTATTGCAAATCAGTCTTTAGCCATCGGGTCAATTGTCCCTTTCCTACCAGATTCATGTACAGTAAATTGGAGCTATTTCACTGCAACAGATTTATATAATTAAAAGATATATATTTATATACAATTATATTTAAAACTATATAAACCTGTTGCAGTGAAATAGCTCTAATAGGAGAGAACACATTCTTCACAGAGGTGTGATGCAAAGTTTGGGTTGTTTCTAAGGAAGAAATTCTTGCATATTCAGTAATCATTACCTGAGCCAAAATGGAATGAAGAGTTTCCCAGTGAGCTAATCCAGAGCCACAGGCATCCAAAGGGGAGAACTCCCTGTTTGTCACCCAGGCAGTCAATTTTTATTGTGGCTCTGTAAAAAATAATGTCTCATTAATAAAGTGCAGTACTGAGGAATGGCAATGTCCAGTTTGAGGAGAACTAAGCTGGTTGGTGTTTTCAAGAATGTCTTTGGTCAGTGAGGAAACAATAAAACACAATACAAACTAAATTACTTTTATGGCACAAAATAATAGATGTGTCCAGTCCAAATGTAACATCTATGCACATTCCACCTAAAGAGTAAAGTGGCCCACATGATAGTTTACTTGGGTTATATTCAAAATTTCAAATTAAATAGCATACCTAGACTTTTTGTCCTTGGAACCCAATAGCCAGAGCTTAGGATAAGTCACTCATCCGAGGTCAGAACAAATAACAGAGTTACTTAACAATTTTGGGAACAAATGAGAATTCCTGCTAGAATTTACTCAAATTAAATGTGAGATTTTGAATGTCACCAACCTCAGGATATATTCCACGTAACTATAGTATTGCAATGAAAACCTGCCCCTTAGCATCCACAGGAGAACAGAGCTGAATATGTTGGCAACTGTTTCTCCAGTGCAGAAAGGACCAGTACAGAAAGGGTTGAAGAACTTCTAATTCACATCTATAATATTATGAAGACATACATTACAGGTTTTTCTCATTATATCATTGCATAGCAACCTATTAAGTTAGACGATGCAACTTATTTGAATGACATATTTGTTTTGGTGGTAAAATACTATTTCTTTTCTTCACAATTGTTTTTAGTTAACTCTGTGGTTTTACCATCACACTGCATGAATAAAGAGAATACCTTTAATGTGGTAATTAGAATTTTCAACAAGAATTTATAAAGTAGAAATTGGATATTTGTCATAATTGTCAAAATATATACATATATATGTAGAAATATCATTTGAGCTTTTTCTTCCTCCTATCTTCCTACATGGAAGATTACTAATTAAATAGTCCCCTTTCAAGTGCTCCTTTCCTGGTCACACTAACTTTAACTTGTTTCCTTTGCTCTCAGGTGTATGCCCTTATTAATCTCTAAGAGAGTGAAAAACAAAAAAAAAAGATAATTGCAGACAAGATGATGTTTGTCTAAAGCATTCATTTTGATTAGAGCCTGGGCTCCTGAATAGTGATAGCAATTAATACATAAGTCTAATGCGACCATTGCTGGACAAGAGTTCTAGTACTCCAGGTTTTCTAGTATACTTGGGTTCTTCCAGGGAAAATTTCCTTTTTCATATTCCCAGTGTGATATTCAGGCATGATAGAGTAATAAATATGTTATTTTATTTTGAAGATACTAAGCAAACAGATGAAAATTGTGTAGGAACGGGCACTAATTAGAGCAACATGGGGGGAGTGTGAAGTTGAAATCTATGATAAAAGACAGACAATATTGCTCATCCGAGGGAACAATTTTATTCTTATTTTATTTTATTTTATTTTATTTTTATTTGACTTCTATTTAGGTTCAGGGTACATGTGCAGGTTTGTTATGTAGGTAAATTGCATGTCACTAGGGTGTGGTGTACAGATTATATTGCCACCCAGGTGATAAGCATAGTACTCTAGAGATAGTTTCTCAATCCTCACCCTCCTCTCACCCTCCACCCTCAAGTAGGCCCCAGTGTCTGTTGTTCCCTTCTTTGTGTCTATGAAGTCAATGTTTAGCTCCCAGTAAGAAGTGAGAACATGCAGTATTTGGTTTTCTGTTCCTGTGTTAGTTCACTTAGGATAGAGGTCTCCAGCTCTCTCCTTGTTGCTGCAAAGGACATAATCTCATCCTTTTTTATGGCTGTATAGTATTCCATTGTGCATGTTTACTACATTTTTTTTTTATCCAGCCTACTGTTGATGGGCATTTAGGTTTATTCCACATCTTTGTTATTGTGAAGAGTGCTGCAGTGAACATACATGTGCATGTGTCTTTATGACAGAATTATTTATATTCTTCTGGGTGTATATTCAGTAATGGGATTGCTGGTTCAAATGGTGGTTCTGCTTTTAGCTCTTTGAAGAATCACCATATTGCTTTCCACAATAGTTGAACTAATTTACACTCCTACCAACAGTGTATAAGTGTTCCCTTTTCTCTGCAACCACACAAGTATCTTTTTTTTTTTTTTTTTTTTTTACTTTGTAATAATAGCCATAATGACTGGTGGATATGGTCTCGATTTGCATTTCTGTAATGATTAGTGATATTCAGCATTTTTTCATATGTTTGTTGGCCATATGTATGTGTTCTTTTGAAGTGTCTGTTCATATACATTGCCCAATTTTAAATGGGGCTGTTTGTTTTTTGCTTGTTAATTTGTTCAAGTTCTTTCTAGATACTGATTATTAGACATTCGTCAGATGCATAGTTTGCAAATATTTTCTCACATTCTGTAGACTGTCTATTTACTCTATTGATAGTGGGTTTTTTTTTTTTTTTTTTTTTTTTTTTTTTGGTGCCATGCAGAAGCTCTTTAGTTTAATTAGGTCCCATTTATCAAGTTTTATTGTTGTTGCAATTGCTTTTGGTGTCTTCATCATAAAATCTTTGCCAGGACCTATGTCCAGAATGGTATTTGCTAAGTTTTCTTCCAGAGCTTCTGTAGTTTTAGGTTTTACAGTTAAGTTTTTAATCCATTTGAGTTGATTTTTGTATATGGCCTAAGGAAGTGGTTCAGTTTCATTCTTCTGCATAAAGTTAGCCAGTTATCCAAACATAATTTGTTGAATACAGTGTCTTTTCCCTACGCTTGTTTCTTTTTTCTACTTTGTTGAAGACCAAATGGTTGAGGGGTGCAGATTTATTATGTTGCTCTATATTCTGTTGCTTTGGTCTAAGTGTCTGTGTGTGTACCAGTACCATGCTATTTTGGTTACTATAGACTTTTAGTACAGTTTGAAATCAGGTAATGTAATGACTCCAGCTTTGTTCTTTTTGCTTAGGATTGCTTTTGCTATTTGGGTTCATTTTAGTTCCACATTAATTTTAGAAGTTTTTTTTTCTTATTCTGTGAAAAATGTTATTGATAGTTTGATAGGAGTAGCATTGAATCTGTAATTTGGGCAGCATGGCCATTTTAACAATATTGATTGTTTCTATCCATGAACATGGAATACTTTTCGTTTGTGTAATCTCTGAATTCTTTGAGCAATTTATAAAAATTCTTATTGCAGAGATCTTTCGCCTCCCTGATTAGCTTTATTCCTATGTATTTTATTCTTTTTTTGGATATTTTGAATGGGATTTTGTTCTTGATTTGGCACTCACCTTGGACGTTGTTGTTGTATAGAAATACTACTGAGTTTTGTACATTGGTTTTGTATCCTGAAACTTTGATAAAATTGTTTATCAGGTCTAGGAGCTTTGGGACAGACACTACAGGGTTTTCTAGGTATAAAATCTTACCATCTGCAAACAGATATTTGACTTCCTCGCTTCCTACATGGATGCCTTTTTTTCTTTCTCTTGCCTGATTGCACTGGCTAGAACTTCCAGTACTATGCTGAATAGCAGTGGAGAGTGAATATGTTCTTGTTCCAGCTCTCAAGGAGAATACTTCCAACTTTTGCCTATTGAGTATGATGTTGGCTGTGGTTTTGTTATAGATGGCTCTTACAATTTTGAAGTATGTTCCTTCTAGGTCTAATTTGTTGAAAGTTATTAACATAAAGAAATTTTGAATTTTATCAAAAGCATTTCCTGCATCTATTGAGATGGTCATGTGGTTTTTGTTTTTAGTTATGTTCATGTGATACATCACATTTATTGATTTGCACATGTTGAACCAAACTTACATCCCAGGGATAAAGCCTATTTTATCATGCTGGATTTGCTTTTTCATATGTTACTGAATTTAGTATGCTAGTATTTTGTAGAAATTTTTCGAATATGTTCACTTTTGCTGCTGAATTTAGTGTGCTTATATTTTGTTGAGAATTTTTACATTTATGTTCATCAAGGATAATGGCTTGATGCTTTATTTTTGTGTTGTGTCTCTGCCAGGTTTTGATATCAGGATGATGTTGGCCTCATAGAATGAGACAGGGAGGATTCCCTCTTCAATTTATCAGAATAGAAATGGTAACAGCTCTTCTTTATACATCTGGTAGTATTTGGCTGTGATTTTGGTAGAAGGTTTTTTCTGGTTGGCAGATTTTTAATTAATGATTTAATTTTGGAACTTGTTATTGGTCTGTATAGGGTTACAAATTTTCCAGGTTCAATCTTGGGAAGTTGCTTGTTTCCAGGAATTAATCCATTTTGTGTAATTTTCTAGTTTGTTTGCTTAGGGGTGTTCACAATAGTCTCTAACGGTTTTCTGTATTTCTGTGAGGTCACTAGTAATGTTTCCTTTGCCATTTCTGATTGTGATTATTTGGATCTTCCCTCTTTTTTCTTTATCATTCTAGCTGAAAGTCTGTCAATCTTACGTATACTTTCAATGGACAAACTTATGATTTTGTGTTCTTTTGTATACTATTTTTTGCATCTCAATTTTTTTCACTTCAGCTCAACTCTATGCCATCTTCAAGAGACCCATCTTACATACAATAAAACACCCACAGGCTCAAAGTAAAAGGACTGAAAAAAATCTACCAAGCAAACAGAAAACAAACAAACAAAAAAACTGAGGTTACCATTCTAATTTCAGACAAAACAGAGTTTAAACCAACAATAATCAAAAAAGATAAAGAAGGGCATTACATAATGGTAAAGGGTTCAATTCAACAAGAAGGCTTAAGTATCCTAAAGAAATATGTACACACAACACAGGAACACCCAGATTTATAAAACAAGCTCTTAGAGACATACAAAGAGACTTAGATAACCACACAGTAATAGTGGGATATTTCAATATCCATGGACAGTATTAAATAATTGATGGAGGCAGAAAATTACCAATGATATTCCAGACCTAAACTCAAAACTTGACCAAATGGAACTGGCAGACATCTACAGAACTCTTCACCCAACAACAACAAAAAATACATTCTTCTCCTCTGCACATGGCACATGTCTAAAATTGACCACACAATTGGCCATGAAACAATTTTCAGCAAATTCAGAAAACCAAAAATCATACCAACCACACTCTCAGACCACAGCACAATAAAAATAGATATTAATATTAAGAATATTGCTCAAAACCATACAATTACATTGAAATTAAATGATCTTCTTCTGAATTACTTTCAGTTAAACAATGAAATAAAGGCAAAAATCAATAAATTCTTTGAAACTGACGTAAACAAAGACATACATGTCAGAATCTCTGGAATGCAGCTAAAGCAGTATTAAGAGGAAAGTTTATACTGCCAAACGCCCACATCAAAAAGTTAGAAAGATCTCATATTAAAAACTTAACATCACACCTAGAAGAAGTAGAAAAATACGAGCAAACCAACCCCAAAGCCAGCAGAAGACAAGAAATAACTAAAAATAAAATAAAATAAAATAAAATAAAATAAAATAAAATAAAATAAAATAAAATAAAACAGAACTGAACTTTAAGATACTGAGTCATTGAAAATATTTTAAATGGCCACAAGCTATCATAGAAAATATTTTAAATGGCCACAAGCTATAGTACTAATAAGAAAAAATAAGCAATGTAATAATTATTTAAAAATGACATTTGGATTTCAGCACCTTATTTTGTTAGTTTATTTCTTTTTCCTGAGGATAAGAATATTGAAAAAATGCCAGTGATTATTAACAGATGATTAGATACCAAGGTCAATCAGAAAGTCAGGAATCTCAACAACACCATTTCTTTAAAGCTGATGTTAACAGCCATGAACCTATTGATACAGCTATTTTTTAAATGGAGTATTTGAAGAGAAATTTTTCAGATACATCATAGTTGAAATATGTTTACTTTCTATATTAGTTGTTGAAATTTCTGAAAATTAATATAGTGATATGCAAGAACACCAAAGACGGAGTCTACAGCTTCACAGTATAAATAGGTGTGTGGTTTAATCAGGAAGCAGTCTTTCATACTAGTTTAGAATCTCTGGAATCAAATCGTCAGGACATAGACTTGACTGTTCCATTCACTAACTGTAAGATACTGGGCAAGATTGTCCATTTTCTATACTTGAGTCTCTTCAACTCTAGACTGGGTATTATAATGGTTCCTACTTCATGGCTAAGTTCTGAGTATTAAACGTGATGTTATGTGTATAATATAACCTGGGATTGTGCTTAGCAGTCCTAGATACAGAATAACAGTGACTTAAGTGATGTAAACAAGCAAACACACAATAAAGTTCATTTATCTTTCATATAGAAACTAAAAATCATGTGGAATCTGGAAGTCCAGTGTGGATATGGCAGTTTGCTTCATAAACTACTTGTCTATCCAGGCTTTTTTGCTCAGGAACAAATCATGGTGCATACATCTGCTCCTACTGCCTCTGTGTCTACACATCAGGTTACAGGAAGGGGGTAAGGGACAGGGAAACAGGACAAAGGATCGACAACTACTGTCTCTTAAGAAGGGTTCCTGAAAAGGTCCACATGACTTCTGCCCAACTTCACATACCCCAGTGACCAAAATTTGGTCAAATAATACACTTCTCTACAAGAAAGCTGGACAATGTGATGTCTATTGGTTTGCTTATGTGCCCAGCTAACAATTGGGAGTTTAAATTCCATAGACTACAAAGGAAATAGATATTTAGGGAATACCACTCTCTGTCATACAATAGTTTTCAGCACAAACTAAGCACTCAATTAGATGTTTGTAAAATAAGTATAAATTACCTACTCACATCATGCTGGACTAATAGGTAGTGAGTTAACTCTTTGAATGAGTCCATTTTTGTTAATTACATTAGTTAAACTTGCTAAAGAGTAAAAAGAAAGCACCTAATTTTCATTCTTTCTTTTTTGCCTTAGAAATATTAAAAAAGAGCAGTTACCTTCTATCTTTAATGATGAACACATACTTAAGTTCAGTATTAACAAGAAGTTTTGGAGGGTAATATCTATTAAAGTAATAAACAGATGTAGATGTGGGAACTGCATTGCTCTCTGGAATTCAGATTCCAAAGGGGAATTCGTTTAGGAAAAAGAACTAAAAGCATATTCAATCAGACTTTTCAAAGAGATCATCATGAGCAGAACTATATCTTTGTTAAAAAAAAAAGTAGTCATGATTGCAGAAAGTTCAGTTTAGAAGAATAGTCAATTAAAATGGATACTGATTTCCCCAGGTGTATATAATATATGTTACATTTTGATGTATCCTTGTATGAGTGACAATGTTTTGTAGCCTAAAATAATATAATACACTTCCATCAGAGGGCTATCTTTTTCACAAGAATTTGATAATCATATTTTATTATCCAAAATATTTGGCCTTTATATTTCACATTGTGGAATCAGATGACTGGCCCTCACTTGATGATTCTTTATTATCCTTAACCCCTGCAGAGGAGGACGGAAAGAGGGATGTGATTAATGCTTTAGTCAATGAAATGTCACATACCAGAAGACAAGCACAGTGATTGCAAATCAAACTGTTATTTCTATCTTAGGCTTTCTATTCATTATTTATGTAAGATATAGGTACTCTATTGGCTTATTATTACTCAAAATTATTAAATGTTAATAGTGAAAGACAATGAAACAAAGCTATGGTATCTATGATATAATTGTGTATATTCATACATAATTCATTATAGATGCATCTCATATTGTGGAATGAATGGTATAAAGGATAAAAACAGAAGGAAAGCAGTAAAATAGAAAACAAAGAGCTTGCTAGTTGGGACTAATTTCCAAAATTCAAATTTGAAAGAGAAAGGCTTTTATTCCGAAAGTTTAGCAACCAAGTCATCTGCTGCTAGAAAGTGGAGGAACCGGTGTGTTTCTAAAAAGACACCACAAAAAATTAGACACTTTTTATATGAAAAGAAAAAAAAGAAGTGGCAGATTTCTGCATCTCTACATAGTACCACTCAAACTTTCAAGAACACATTTTGGGCAAAAATCTGTTTCCTTAATTAAGGGCAGATATAACATGTGAATAAATGATAACACTCTCAAACTATGGGATAAATAAAGTTAACCAGCTGTATTTAACCTAATCTTAAAAGGACAAAAGAGATGAACATCTGCTAGGACATGAGTTAAAGTCTAGATTCCAGCTATGGTGATTTTATTAGGCAAGCAAGATCAAAGATGACTAAATCTAAGCAATATTCTAAATGAAGCTGCCCACAGATGCTCTAAATTAATCAAAATATCCTGTGTTCATTTTTGTGAAACCAAATGCTTACCCACATAAAAATAAAAGAGAAACCAACAGTACATTCATATCTAACATATATTTGCCCAAGAAAAAAATGTTTTTAAACCATCAGGACAAATGATGTAAATTTTCAATGTAATTTGACATTATGCTTATGTAGTACAAGTGTGTCTTTAAACAATTGAATTGGGATCATTGTGAATAATACATGTATTTAAAATTACTATTCTCCAACTCAGAACAAAGGAATCATATTTTTTAGAACTTAGGCCATTGAATGTAGATTTTAATAAGTTTCCCAAGAGATTCTCATTCTCATCAAAGTCTGAGAACCACTTTTTACACTATAGTATATTCTATTACCTGATATTATATAATTTTAATTAAATTGCTACTCTTCATAACAAATCATTGTCATGCATAGTTGTTACATGTATTAGAGAGCTATTGCTGCAATAATACTGCATAACAAATAACCCCAAATTTCAGTGGCTGTACCAAAACAAACCTTCATTTTATATTTTCGTATAGGTGTATTTGGGACCAAGGCATATTTGTTTTAAGATCTGGACTGGCTGGTCTTGGTTCCAGCCTTCAAGTCCAGTTGAAGTCTTTTTCATGTGCCCACTCTGGGGTCCACATATGTCTTTCCAGAGAACACAGGCACACAAAAATAAGTGTGTATGCACACCCACATTGAGTGTCTCCTCTTGCTTCACAAGTTGTTTTTCTTGTTTTTTCCATCAGACTGCATCTGTTGGTCTAATTGCCTGCTATCATCCACACGGGGATTTTTCCTGTTGTCTCTCTCTTTTTTTTCCAATTCTTATGCAAAATTTTATCTCCTCAGATATGTCCCTATCTTCACCCGTTCCAGTTTACTCCTTAGCCTATCTTCTAATTCTATTTTCTTCTTATGACTTATAATTACTTGAAAGTTTTATTTATTTATTTATTGTTTTATTTTAAAGCTAATAATTTATTGAGATGTAATTTACATCCATTAAAATAAAAAAATCCTAAAGACATACATCATTTAATTTTGAAATTGTAAAATTGTAAAAATTGTAAAAACACATGTATCAATTACATGGTTGAAGACAGATAACATTTCTATGATGCCAGAAAGTTACTTGTGCCTCTCTCTAAGCAATGCACACTACAATAGGTCTGTACTCATCTGATTGCTATTACTATAGATAAATTTTGTGTGTTCATTAAATTCATATAATTGAAATCATACAGTGTGTATTATTATTATTATTATTATTATTTTTGAAACGGAGTCTCACTCTGTCTCCCAGGCTGGAGTGCAGTGGTGCAATCTCGGCTCACTGCAACCTCTGCCACCTAGGTTCAAGCAATTCTCCTGCCTCAGCCTCCTGAGTAGCTGGGATTACAAGCACCTGCCACCGCGCTTGGCTAATTTTTGTATTTTTAGTAGAGACAGGGTTTTACCGTCTTGGCCAGGCTGGTCTTCAACTCCTGACCTCATCATCCACCCACCTCAGCCTCCCAAAGTGCTGGGATTATAGGCATGAGCCACCACACCTGGCCCATTGTGTATTATTTTGCATTTCATTTCTCTCACTATCATGCTTTTGAAATTCACAGGTGTTGTTATTTACATCAATTCTTTTTTCCTTGTTAATTCATTGTATAGATATATCATAGTCTGTTCATTTATCTTCTAATAGATAGCTGATTTTTTTTCTTCTAGTTTCTGAATATTATGAATAAAGCTGCTATGGACATACTTACACATATCTTTTGTGTAAACTTAAAGCTTTTTTTTCCTCTCACATAGTAACTAGGAGTGAAACTGCTAGGGTGTAGGGTTGATATCTATGTAACTTTATGAGAAAATACATACATTTCCAAAGTAGTTATGTCATTTTTTTACTCTCACCAGCAATGTATAAAAGTTCTGAATGCTCTATATCTTTGCTAATACTAATTATTGCTGGCCTTTTCAGTTTTTTTTATTCTGGGTTTTAAAATTGTACATTTTGATTTTAATTGACATTGTTAAAAAATATTAATGTTTATCACTGATAGGGTTAGGCTTTGTGTCCCCACCCAAATTTCATCTTGAATTGTAAACCCCATAATCTCCATAATCCTCACTTGTGAAGGGAGAGACCAAGTGGAGGTAATTGAGTCATGGGGGCGTTTCCCCTATGCTGTTCTCATGATAGTGAGTTCTTACGAGATCTGATGAATTTATCAGGGACCCTTCGCCCTCCACTTGGCACGTTTCCTTCCTACTGCCTTGTGAAGCAGGTGCCTTGTTTCGCCTTCACCTTGCACCATGATTGTAAGTTTCCTGAAGCCTCCCCAGTCATGCTGAACTGTAAGTCAATGAAACCCCTTTCCTTTATAAGCTACCCAATCTCGGGCAGTTTCTTATAGCAGTGCGAAAATGAACGAATATAATCACCCTTCCACATGTTTCTTGTGAGTCACTTATGTCTTTTTGGACATACATGTTCTAGTGTTTGACACAAATTTTAGTGGAAATGTTTATCACTTTAGTACTAATGTGGAAGAATTATTTTTATATTCAGGGTATGAGTCCTTTCTTTGGTAGCATAGCTATTAACTCATCATTTTCTTCAGTCTATTTGTGACTTTTCACTGCCTTAATAATGTTTTTGATGATTAAAATATGTTAATTTTGGTAAAATACAAATGATTGCTTTTTCCCTTTTTTGCTAAGTGCCTTTTGAGTTCCATCTAAGAAATATTGACAAACCAATATCATAAAACTTATTACTTTGTATATTCTACCAAAACTGATGTAGCTTTAGTTTTTTTATATGTATATATTTTGATACAGTATCTTGTTCTGTTGCCCAAGCTGTAGGGTAATAATATGATCACAGCTCACTGCAGCCGTGACCTCCTAATCTCAAGTGATCCTCCCACCTCAGCCACCCAAGTAGCTGGCACTACAGGTGCACCAACTTGCCCAGCTAATTTTTGTATTTTTTGTAGAGACAGGATTTCCCCGTGTTGCCCAGGCTGGTCTTGAACTCCTGGGCTTAAGTAATCCACCTGACTCTGCCTCCCAAAGTGCTGGGATTATAGGCCTGAGCCACCACACCTGGGTCTAGATTTAGTTTTCAAAATTTTATCTATCATCCATTTTAAGTTAAAATTTCTGCACGTGGTGACTTGGGGTTGGGAAAAGATTATCGGGTTTTTGAATATATATATTGAGCTTATTAAGCATAATTTTTTGAAAAGATGTACTTTTCCCATAAAATTGCTTTGATTCCTTCATTAAAAATTAATTATCCTTTAGTTTGTGGATCTACTCTTGCCTCTGTTTTTGCTGATCTGTTCACCTATTCTTACATAAGTGTTAAACTCTCTGAATTACTATAGTTTTGTAGTAACCATTGTAGTCAACTCCGTTCTCCTTCATTATTCCCTTGAATATTCTAAATCCTTGGTATTTTTAAAAATATGTTTTATATTCCATTTGTCAATTACTACATATATTTTTTAGCAGAAATACGTTGTCTCTGTAGTTAATTTAGAAAGAAAATTATAAATTGACAATATTGGGTATTCTTAACCATAAAAATTTAGCTAAGTCTTCTTTAGTTTAACTCAGCAATGATGTTTTATTTGTTACATATCTTTTGTTACATTTCTAAAGATTTCATGATTTTTATGCTATAGAACATATTTAAACATTTTTTACCACTGTCTTTAGTACCTAAATATAAAGTTAGTTTTATATATTTACTTTTACTTTCTGCTAAATTTATCTACTATTTCTATAAGTTTTTGCATTTTTAATTTTTTGTTACTGTTTTTACCAATAGTGAATTAGGGCAGTTTAATTTTTTCCATCTTTTATGTCTTATATTTTTTTTATTTTCTTATTGTACTAGCCAAGATGTACAGCACAGGGTTTATATAAATATGGAAAGGAAATATTCTACATTTAGACTTAAAAGTAGGAGTAAAACATTAACTGTTTTATCATGCAATATGATATACTAAAATAAATTATATAGATACTCTATAACAGATTAATATTCTATTTCTAGATTGTTAGTTTTTCTTATAAATGAATATTAATTTTTATCAAATCCTGTTTCTTCATCTATTAAGATGATTATATATTTTGTTTATTTTGCTAACATGCTGCGTTAATCTACTTTTTAATATTACTTCAATCTAACATTACTACTGGGATAAATCTCACTTGGTCATGATGTATAAATCTTTTTATATATTGTTTTATAGTATTTGCTGATATTTTCTTTTTAGAATTTTTCTGTCTATGCTTTGATAAAAGTTGCTCTGAAATTTGCTCTTCATGTAATATTCTTTTTAGATTTTAATATAAGAATATTTTAGTCTTTTAAGACTGCCATAACAAAACACCACATCATGGGTGGCTTAAACTACAGAAACTCATTTCTTACAATTCCGGAGGTAAACATCCAAGATCAAAGTGTTGGCAGAGTTGGTTTTTCCTGAGTACTCTTTGGCTTGCTAATTGTCACCTTTTCACTCTGTCCTCACATGGCTTTTATCTGTGCATGCATGCACCTGGTGTCTCTTCATCTTATAAAGACAACAGTCCAGTTGCATTAGGGCTTCACCTTTATTGATCACATTTAACATTAAGTACCTCTTTAAAGGTTTGCAATATTACCTCATTCTCCTAACAAATTTTACAGCACCTGGAATAATATCTCCTTTTGCATTCCTGAAATTGGTCATTTGTATATCCTGTGTCTCATCTTCTCAGTAAATCATATGAATTTATTAAATTTGGTAACTTTTTCAAATATAGTCTTTTGAATCTATGATTTTTTCGTCTGTTTTTCTGTTCTAATAGTTTATTTATTTATGTTCATATCTTTTTCTTTTTCCTTTTCAGTTTTTATTTGCTTTTCTTTTTTCAGCTTCTCATGCCAAGGTTTGAATGATTGATTTTAAAACTGTTTTCCCCAACATCCAATTAATGAGCTTTGAGGTTTAAAAATTCCTTCTAATCACTACTTTAATTACATACAAACATGTTGTTAGGTTTTGTATTCACTATCATTTAGAAAAAATATTTTCTCATTTTCACTCATTCCTTTTTCACCCATACGTATTTAGAATGGGGTTTTGTATTTCTAACTTTTGATGGATTTCTAATAATTTGAAGTAGTTTTTCAGTTTGTTTTTATTCATTCAGATTATGATATCTATATAACTTTAATTCTTTGGAACTCATTTTATGCTTCATCTTGTAGTGTATTTTGGTGAATATTCCTTGAGTGCTTTAAAATAATGTGTATTATTCCATTGTTGAATGTAATACTCCATATCCGTAAATGTGAATATGGTCACATTAGATAATGTAATCCTTCTACATCTTTAATGATATTTTGTCTACTTGTTCAAGAAATTACTGAGAAATTAAAATTAGTGATATTATTATTATTATTTTAAGAGACATGGTGTCCCTCTCTTGCTCAGGCTAGAGTGCACTGGCACGATCACAGCCTGCTGCAACATGGAAGTCCTGGGCTCAATCCTCCGACATCAGCCTCCTGAGTAGCTGTAATTACAGGCACACACCACCCCACCTGGCTAGTTTTTACATTTTTGTAGAGAGGGGATCTCACTATGTTGCACAGGCTAGTCTAAAACTTCCAGTCTCAAGTGATCCTCCCACCTCTGCCTCCCAAAGCACTTGGATTACAGACATGAGCCACTGCACCTGGCCAAAATCTTAAATTTAGTTATTTTTCTTTTGGAACATTTAATTATTCTCTTATGCATTTTAAACCTATGCTATGGATGCATACATATATAAGACAGTTATGCCTTCCTGATGAATTGACGCTTCTGTCAAAAAATCTCTCTTGCTCTCTCCGGTAATATCTACTTTTTAGATATCTACATAGGGTTCTCTCTATAGCTTTCTAATCATTACTGTTTGCATTACATATTGTTTTTCATCCTTCGATTTCCTGGTATCCTTATAATTAAATTTTGTCTCTTGTAAACACCATATAGTTGGATGTTGTTTTTTCATCCAGTCTGGCAGCCTTTGGCTTTCAAATGTAGTGTTTAGTGCCTTTGAATTTAATGTAGTCAGTGAAATGACTAATATTGTTTATAATTTTGTAATTTATTCTTCTATGTTTCCTCTAGTCTTGTATTTTTCCTGACTTTGCTTGAATTAATCAAGTATTTATTCACTTATTGAATACTCTCATTTTATTTTCAAATTAATTTTTAATTTTTGTGGGTACATATTAGGTGTAGATATCTATAGGGTACTTGAGATATTTTGGTACAGCAAGAAATGCATAATATGCATCATGGAAAATTGGGTATCCATCCCCTCAAGCATTTATTTTTTGTGATACAAACAATCCAATTACATCTCTCGGTTAGTTAAAAATTTACAGTGAAATTATTATTGTCTATTACCCTGAAATGCTGTCTTATTCATTCACTCTGTATATTTTTTGTACATATTAAGCATCCCACCTCTCTCCTGCCCCCTCACAACCATTCTTAGCCTCTGGCAACTAACATTCTATTTTCCATATCCATGGTTTTAATTGTTTTGATGTTCAGATACCACAAATAAGTGAGAATATGCGATGTTTGACTTTTTATACCTGGCTTATTTTACATAGCATAATGACTTGTGGTTCCATCCATGTTGCAAAAGACTGAATCTCATTTTTTTATTGTTGAATAGTACTCCATTGTGTACAAGTACCACATTTTCTTTATCCATTCCTCTGTTAAGTCTTTAATCCATATTAATTTAATTTTTGTATATGGTAAGAGATAGGAATGCAGTTTCATTCTTCTGCATTTGGGTGTACAGTTTTCCTAGAACCATTTATTGAAGACCATCTTTTCCCCCAAAGAATGTTCTTGGCACCTTTATCAAAAATGAGTTTATGTAGAGTTTGGATTTTCCCCTATGTTCTTTATTCTGTTTCATTGGTCTATATGTCTGCTTTTGTGTCAGTACCATAATATTTTAGATACTATATCTCTGTAGAATAATTTGAAGTTGGGTAAATTATTTCCTCCAGTTTTGTTCTTTTTGCTTAAAGTAGCTTTGTCTATTCTTGGTCTTTTGTAGTTCCATATAAATTTTAGAAGTGTTTTGTTTCTATTTCTGTAAAGAATATCATTGGTATTTTGTTAGGTATTGCATTGAATCTATAGATTTATTTAAGTACTATGGATATTTGAATAAAGTTGATTTTTCCAATCCATGAAGACCTTTCCATTTTTTGTCTGTCTTCTTCAATTTCTTTAATCAATGTTTTATAGTTTTCATCATAGAGATCTTCCATTTCTTTGGTTAAGTTAATTGCTAGCTATTTAACTTTATTTGTAGCTATTCTAAATGAGATTCCTTTATTGATTTTTTCTCACATTGTTCATTGTTGGCATATAGAAATTCTATTGGTTTTTGTATGTCGATTTTGTATCCTGCAAGATTACTGAATGTCTTTATTGTTTCTAATAGTTTTTTAGTGGAGTTTTTAGTTTTTTTCAAATATCAAATCATATCATCTGTCCACAAGGATACTTTTTTCTTTCTCCTTTTCAGTTTGGGTGGCTTTTATTTTTTTCTCCTGTCTGTTTGCTCTAACCAGGACTTCCAGTACTACGTTGAATAAAATTGGTGAAATTGGAAAGTCTTGTACTGCTCCAGGTCTAAGAAGAAATGCCTTCAGTTTTTCCCCATTCAGTATGTTACAATTAATAGCTGTAGTTCTGGCCTATATGGCTTTTATTATGTTGAGGTATGTTTCCTCTATATGCATTTTTTGAGAAATTTTATCATGAAGGGATGTAGAGCTGTATCATATGCTTTTTCAGCATCAGTTGAAATTACTATATGGTTTTGTCCTACATTATATTGATATATCACATTGATTCAATTGCATATATTGAACCATCCTTGCATCACAGGGATAAATCCCACTTGGTCTCGATGAATGATCTTTTTAATATATCATTGAATTCAGTTTACTAGTATTTTTTGAGGGATTTTGCATCATTATTCATCAGAGATATTGGGCTTTTCTGACGGTATTCATTTTATTAATTATTGTTCTGTTCTGATTTTGGATTTCTTCATGGTTAAATCTTGATAGGCTGTATGTGTCTAGAAATTTATTCATTTCTTTTAGATTTTCCAACTTATTGGAATGTAATTGCTCATAGTAGCCACTAATGATTCTTTGAATTTCTGTGGTATTATTTGTAATTCCTCCTTCTTCATATCTGACTTTATTTATTTGGGTCTTCTCTTTTTTTTTTTTTAGCTATTCTGGCCAAAAGTTTGAAATTTTTTTCATGGATATTTTATATTGTTTTCTTTGTTTCAAATTTAATTCTGCCCTAATCTTTATTATTTGTTTTCTTCTACTAAATTTAGGTTCAGCTTTCTCTTTCTTTTATAGATCTTTAGGATGCATTATAAGGGTATCTTTTTGAAGTTTTTCTTCTTGTTTGAATTGGCACTTATGGCTATAAATTTCCCTCTTAACACTGCTTTTGCTGTATCCTACAGGTTTTGTTATGTTGTGTTTCCATTGTCATTTGTTTTAAGACATTTTTCAATTTCCTTCTTAATTTCTTCATTGACTCAATGGTCATTCAGGAGAATATTGCTTAATTCACATGTTTTTCATATAGTTTTCAAAATTTTTCTTGTAATTGATTTCTAGTTCTATTCCATTGTGGTGAGAGAGGATGCTTGGTATTGTTTAAAATTTTTGAAATGTATTAAGACTTGTTTTGTGACCTAACATATGATCTATCCAAAAGAATGATCCATGTGCTAAGAAAAAAAAATGTGTATTCTTCAGTCATTGGATGCAATCATCTATAAATATCAATTATGTCCATTTGTTCTACAGTGACGATTAAGTCCAATTTTTCTTTATTGATTTTCCATCTGGAATATCTGTCCAATGCTGTAGGTGGGGGTGTAGTAGTCTCCAGCTATTATTGTGTTGAGGTCTATCTTTCTCTCTTTAGCTCTAATAATATTTGCTTTCTGTATTGGGGTGCTCCAATGTTGAGTGCATATTTATTTGCAATTGTATTATATTCTCTTGCTGAATTGAGTTCTTTATTATTACATGATAATCTTGTCTTTTTATACAGTTTTTGTTAGGAATTTTTTTTTCTGACATAAGTATAGCTGCTCTTTCTCTTTTTTATTTCCATTGGCATGAAATAACTTTTTCCATTCCTTTATTTTCACTCTTTGTGTGTCTTTATAAGAGAAGTATGTTTCTTGAGGCAAAATATCGTTGAACCTTGTTTTTTCATCTTTTCAGCCACTGTATGTCTTTTAATTGGAGAGTTTCTTCCATTTACATTCAACGTTTTTATTGATAAGTAGGGAGTTTCTGTTGCCATTTTATTATTTGTTTTCTGGTTGTCTTGCAGACTTCTCCTCCTTCTTTCTTTTCTTCCTGTCTTCCTTTCAGTGAAGGTAATTTTCTTTGGTAGTATGCTTTAATTTTGCTTTTTATTTTTTGTGTATTTGTTATGTCTTTTTTTATTTGAAGTTACCAGGAGGCTTGCAAATACTGTTTAATAACCCATTATTCTAAACTGATAACACTGATTCCATAAACAAACAGAAAAGAGAAAACAAATAAAAATTCTACACTGTAAATTTATGCCCCCACTTTTTAACTTTTTGTTGTTCCTTTTTATGTCTTATTGTGCTGTCTATGAATTTAAAAGTTATTATTTTTGATTGGTTCATTGTTTAGTCTTTGTACTTAAGTCAGGAGTATTTTGCATATCATAATGACAGTGCTATAGTACTCTGTTTTTCTTTGTGGTTACTACTCTCAGTGAGTTTCGTACCGTCAGGTGATTTTTTTATTGCTCATTAACATATTTTTCTTTCAGACTGAAGAATTTTGTTTACCATTTCTTGTTGAACAGGTCTGGTATTGATAAACTCCCTCAGCTTTTGTTGGACTGGGAAGGTCTTTATTTCTCTTTCATGCTTAAAAAATATTTCTACCAGATAAACTATTCTAAGGTAAAAGTTTTTAATTCTTCAGCACTTCAAATATATGTCATGTCATCCTCTCCTGGCCTGCAAACCTTTCCACTGGAAAGTCTGCTGCCACACATATTAGAGCTACATTGTATGCTATTTATTTCTTTGCTCTTATTGCTTTTAAGATCCTTTCTTTATCCTTGACCTTTGGAAGTTCAAGTATTAAATGTCTTGAGGTTGTCTTCTTTGGGTTAAATCTGCTTTGTGTTCTGTAACCTCCTTGTACTTGAATGTTGATATCTTTCTCTAGGTTTGGGAAGTTCTTTGATATTATCCCTTTGAACAAACTTTCTCCCCCTATCTCTTTCTCTACCTCGGATTTTAGGCCAATAACTCCTGGATTTGTCCCTTTGAAATTATTTTCTATACCTTGTAGACATGCTTCATTCTTTTGTATTCTTTTTTCTTTTGTCTCCTCTGACTGTGTATTTTCAAATAGCTGTCTTCAAGCTCACTAATTCTTTCTTCTGCTTGATCGTTTTTGCTATTGGGAGATTTTGATGAATTCTCCATATGTCAATTGCATTTTTCTCCTCTAAAATTTCTTTTTGATCCTTTTTGTTTTAATCTTTTTGTTAAATTTATCTGAATACCTTCAATGTGTTATCTTGAATTTTGTTGAGTTTCCTCAACACAGCTCTTTTTAATTACTTGTCTGAAAGACGATATAACTCTTTTTCTCCAGTATTAGTCCCTGGTGACTTATCTTGTTCATTTTGTGGGCTCGTGTTTTCCTGGATGGTGTTGATATTTGTAGGTGTCTGGCCATTGAAGAGTTAGGTATTTATTTGTTATGGTCTTCAGAGTTGAGGTTTTTTGTAACTCTCCTTCTTTGGAAGGCTTTTCAGGTATGCAAAGAGATTTGGGCCGCAAACCCTATAACACTGTGTTTTTTGCAGACTTGTAGAGGTACTGCCTCAGTGGTCTTGGATAAAATTTGCAAGAATTCTTTGGATTATTAGGGAAAGACTCTTGTTATTTCCCCTTATTTTCTGCCAAACAAATAAAGTCCCTCTGTCTCTGCTGAACCTGGAACTGGGGGTGTGGTAATTCAAGCACCCTGTGGTCATCAACACTGAGACTGTGCTAGCTCAGACCTGATGCCAGCAGAGCACTGGGCCTTGCCCAAGGCCATTTTCTTCAGTGTGGTGAGATCCCCCAGTTTCCAGGCATGTTCAGAGACATTTTCTGGGAGTGAGTAATTAGAGGCAAAACCTTAGCAATTTACTTGAAGTTATATACTACTGCAGCTAAGCTGTCACTCAAACCACAATATGAAGTCATTCTTGCTCTTCCCTCCCATCACTTTTCCGCAGGCAAAGGAACCTCTCCCTGTGGCCACCACCACCACCAGTTCATGGGTGGTTCTGCCAGGCCACCAGTGATGTTCACTTAAAGATCAAGGGCACTTCTGTTAGCTTGTGGTGAATGCTGTCATACCTGGGACTCACCTTTCAGGTCAGTGGGCTCTCTGGCCAAGGGCAGGTCCAGAAACGCAGTCAGAATACAGGCCCAAACTGAGGGACCTTAACAGACTTCTTCTTGCTCTATGCCACTATGGCAAAACTAGGTATCTGGTACACCAAAACACTTCAGCCCACAGTGGTGAAGCTTGCTAAGACTCTCAAATTCTGATGGCTAGGATGGATGATTCCCCTCTGGCTAGGGCTGGTCTAAATGGCCCTCCATTCACAGGTGCTGGCTGAGCCCAACATAGCTTTCTTCTCTTCTGCAACAGTGCAGCACTGGGTTCAATGTAAAGTCTTCCAGTCATTGTGCTCATCCTCTTCAAAGTCCACAAATTCTGTCTTCATGTAGCATGGCCACTGCTGGGATGGAGTAGGGGTGGTGTCAGTGATTCAACACTATCTCTCCTGCTCTCCTCAATGCCTGTTTCAGTGATGTAAAATCAAAACCAGGCACTTTAATTGTTCACCTGCCTGACTTTTGGTTCTTGTGATGGTGTTTTCTTGTGTGCAGATAGTTGTTAAAATTTGGGTTCCAGGAAAGCGGGGAAGGGCAGGTGGACTAACAGTGTAGGCTTCTATTCCATTATCTCACCCTACCTTCCTCTATTTTAACTCTTATTTGATGTTTTTAGCTGTCACTCTTTTTATTACATGTTTAGTGGTAGATCAAAGGATTATAATACACATTCTTAACTTATCTGAGTCCATCTTGCTTTAATATTCTATCACTTCCTGTATAAAATAAGATTTTCTAAGGTACATAACAACACAATAAATAAGAGCATACAGACAGTTCTTGTTTTGCATAGTTCTGGTATGTAAGAATTTGTTAACACAATTTAATTGACATCAAGTGACATTAACTACACATTTAATATTTTAGATATTATAGTATATTGACTATGAGTAAGCTACACATTTAGCTAACTCTTTGTTTCACAAACCACTATGTAAATAGCATATGTGGTTCATGCACATATGATGTGCACTGGTTATAATAAATTATAACCAGTCTTTTCACTTTTTTCAAATTCTTTTTGTGTTTGGTCACCATGCATCTGTTATTCACAGGCAGCAAATCTTATAGTTGGATTGTCTACTCATATTCTTGCAATAAGCCCACATGTCATTTTTGAAAAATAAATAATCCAAAGAGTCATTTGACTAAGAAGTTGAAAAGGCAGCAAAAAAATGTTATAATGTGGCAAATACAGTTTGAATAAAACAAAAATAAAATTATAGAAGAAATAGCCAGCTATGGGGATGTTGACATTGCTACTGTTTAAGAGTCTCAATCTACAATCAGAGAAACTTGAAAGTGAATTTATTAATAAAAACGAAGAAAAGTGTTTGAAACAAAAAGGATAAAGGTATCTCAGAAGAAAGGACACTTGCAGAAATATATTTTTTAAAATTCTTACATTAAAGAAACTCTTGGAGATATCTTAACGATATTGAACGTGCAAAGATTAAAATGTTCAAGGCTGATCCACACTTAGAAAAAGAGTATGACAATTTGCCAAGACATAGGAAAGATTTTCATGGCATATAAAAATAAGATATATGACCAGAAGGCAAGCAATATTGATAGTCTTCTTAATACCTTTGTTTCTTACAAAGAAATAAAACACTTTAGTGTTTCAAATCACAGTGTAACAAATAAATATTATTTAAAATTTTTAATTTCCATATGCATATCTGGTTCTAAGCAAGTTTTTAATATTTTGACACAATTTTTACAGGTCAGAGAATAGTTATTTTTTCTCATTGATTTTTAAGGTCATGTTGCACAGTTTCAGATTGCAAAATTAGTACTGCATTTAATTCATTTTATTCCCACTTCTAGACACATTCTGTGTGATTGTTGTTTTATTTCTACATAGGACTTCATTTAATTTATTTTAATCGCTTCCCCACATATATTTTGTGCTGCTGTTGTTTTATTTCTATGTACGTCATATTTAGTGCATTATTACTTTTGCATTAGTGACATTACATTTATTATCTTTTAAACATTTAACATTTTTTTTAAAAATTGTAATGAAACTGTATGTTTACCAACATAACTGCTATTTGGGTTTTTCTTCATTTTTTAATGAGATCCAAACTTTCATCTGTGAACATTTCTATTTAACCTAAATTTTCTTTTTACACATTAACAATTTCTAATTAAATTTTGGAGAAAATTTTTACTAAATCTGGATATCTAAATTGACTTTTCTCTTTTGGCATTTTAAAGATGCTGTTTATTTTTTTTTTGTGACCTTTACTGTTTTTGATGTGAGTCATTGTTCATAACATTTTATTCCTGAGTATAATCCTGTTTTTTTTATTGGGAAGGGGTTTCTGATATGGTTTGGCCCTATGTCCCCATGCAAGTCTCACCTTGAATTGTAATAATCCCCATATTTCATGGGTGGGACCAGGTGGAGATAATTGAATCATGGAGGTGGTTTCCCCTATTGCTGATTGCATGATAGTGAGTGAGTTCTCACAAGATCTGATGGTTTTATAAAGGGCGTCCCCCTTCACTCGACACTCATTTTCTCTCCTGCCGCCCTGTGAAGGGATGCCCTTTGCCATGATTGTTAGTTTCCGGAGGCCTCCCCAGTCATGAAGAACTGTGAATCAATTAAACTTCTTTTCTTTATAAATTACCCAGTCTCCAGTATTTCTTCATAGCAGCATGAGAACAGAGTAACAGAGTTACTTAGCAGTTTTCTTTTTATTGTTATATTAAGCAACTTAACTGTTTGCCCAAATATGTCCTCTATATTTACCCTTCTTGAACTGCACTGAGTTTCTTAGACTTGTGGGTTTTTATTTTTCACTAATTTTGGAAAAAATGGGAATTATTTCTTTAAATATATATTCTTTTCTATTTAAATATTTTTTCTTCTCATTCTTCACTGTCCATTGCTCAATGCATGAAATTATTCTATGTATTTTTCCCATTGTCACAGGTATTTATCTAGGGAAGTACTATTGTCTAAGTATTTAACAAAATTTATATGTTGAAACCTAATCATCAATGTAATTAGGAGGTAGAAATTTGGAGGTAGGGCATTTGGGAGGTGATTAGATAGTGAGGGCAGAACTTGCATGAATGCGATCAGTGTCTTATAAAAGAGACCTTAGAGAGTTCCTTTTCCCTTCTATTATGCCAAGTTATAGTGAGAAGATGGCTATGAGGAAGTGGGTCATCATCAGACCCAAAATCTATCAGCCTTTTCATCTTGTACTTTCCCTCATCCCAAATTGTGAGAAATAAATTTTCATTGTTTATAAACCATCCAGTTTATGGTATTTTGTTATAGCAGCCAAAATGGACTAAGATAGGGAGTTATGTCTGATAGTAGCTGCTCCATCATGGTGAAAAATAATGTTTATTTCATTTTAAATGGGCTTATTTTCTTCTTCTCCCCTTTAGAATGTATGACATACTAAAGAGAGGAAAATCATCTATCTTATTTTAAACTATTTTCTTGTCATCAATATCAATGAACAATACATCTTAATTAATTAAAAGGATTTTAAGCCATTATTTGAGGACATTGTTTTATGAGTCCATTATCAGTTGATCCAAAGTATGAGTAGAGTTATTAAAAATATTTCAAAATTCTCTAAGTATCTGTGCTGAAATTCATTTAGTATAGTGTTGAAGCTGTTCCCATTGTTCAGAACTGAAATCGATTTATATTTATGATGTACATTGCATTCCAGTGATTATTCAATATTTAAAATATCAACTTTGGCTGTAACTACACCTAAAATATTGTGCTGAAGTTAAAAAAAAAGTCAAGAAAAACTTAATAGAACTGGAAAAAGTATTACAAAGAAATTTCAATTATAAAACGTTGGAAGATCTTTATATCCGTATAAACTAAGTTATGTTTATCCTGTAAAGATGACTTTGAAGGAAGATGATTTGAAGGGAAAAGCACACTTGCAAAATTCATGACTTATGATCTATGATATAAATCTTCATTTATTAAATCTAATAATAGATTTATTAAACTTAAATTATTCCATGAAACCTCAAAAAAGGGGTTCTGAGAAACTTAAGGAAATCCAGTGCAGAAACAGTCCAGTAAAATAGCATGAGTTCACTCTAATTTTTGATAAAATGTAATGTATATGTAGTTATATTTCATGAGAAGAGAGTAGTCAGATCCAAAAATCCAAAAATATAATGTAATTATACTTTTTACTTCTGTAAAAAGATCCAAAAATATAATGTAATTTTGAATATTTAACTATTCATGATAGGAGATAACTGAATAGTTAAAAAAATAAAATGGGACTATCAGTCCACATATTTCATTAATAATTGCAAATAAAATATTTGAATTTTTTGTTATAAAATATTTTGATTGAATACTATAGTTCAGTATCATATTTTCATATTCACCAATTATAGAAAATATATAAGAAATTTTATTTTGTTTTTATATTCAATTTATTCAGAAACTATATGTGATTCAGAAAAAATATATTTATATATTATGTGAAAGATTTTTTTATATATATAGATGTATATAATCTTTTAAATTTTATTCTCCTTTAAAACTCTTTCTCTTTCATGCTATGTAGATAAGATCAATGAATTCCGGGCACATTTATAAATTTGTATAAATTATGTATTAATTTATATTTTAGCCCACAAAAAAAAAACCATGTAAATGTATTTGTTTATTCTAAGACATTTTTATTACATTCATTTATTAGGCAATTACAGTAAAATAAATTTTAAATAATTCTATTTTCTTATTGTGTACCGATTTTTTCCAGCCCTACATACTTTTTGATATTTAGCACTTATGATTTTAAATCAAGGGCCTTTTCACATGAAGTTAGGTTACTTTAAAAAATTTATTTTTTATTTATAGGAAAAGCAACTTTTTAATTTAATGCAAATTAAATTAAGAAATTTTGTAATTTCAGTATATGTGTCCCTTTAAAATTCATATGTTGAAATATAATAATAAATTTATATTATTAAAAGGTGGGGCCTTTTGAGAGGTAATTAAATCAGGAGAGCTCCACCAAATCAGGAGAGCTCCACCATCATGAATGGACTAGTGTTCTTATAAAAAGGGTTGAAGGAATCACTCTAGTGCCATTTTTGCTGTTTTGTCTTCTACCATGGGAGGACACAGCAACCAGGCTTCAACTTTGAAGCAGAGGGCAGCCCTCTCCAGACATTGAATCTGCTGGTGCCTTGAGCTTGGACATTTCAGCCTCCAAAACTGTGATAATATAAATTTCTGTTTATATTATATTATAAATAGCCTAGTCCCATGTATTATTGTAGCAGCCTGAAGGGACCAAGATGCTATTATCTACATTCTATTATTTTTTCAAATTGTGAAATTGAGAAGATTTAAAATTTAGGATATGTAATTACTACTGTTCATTGTTGAGAATAAGATAAAATATTATAGATAGGTATAAATATACAAATAACAAATTTTTAAATATCTCTATACTACCATACATTGAAAGAATATGAATTGTGTTAGTAGTCAATAATTTATTATTAGAATTTTGAAGCACTTTGAATTTTCTCATGCTAGTACTGATATATCTGTTCATTCTCAAGTTGCCAGTAACTTTACATTTGTTTTTCTGTTTATAAAACTTGTATGTAGCTGAGTGCAATTGTGCACCCTTGTCATCCCAGCTACTCGGTATGCTAAGGAAGGAGAATGATTTGAGCCCAGGAGTTCATGACCAGCCTGAGCAACATAATGAGACACTCTCTGAAAACAAATAAAAAATAAAAAAACTCTAGAAACAAAAAAGTGTATGCATTATTGTATATAAAAATTGAAACAAAAAAAACTAAAATGTTCCAAAGAAGGTGAGACTATAAAGAGAAAAACATCATTTATCTCAAAACTTAAAGATGCATTTTGCTGGTATGCATACCTTTTTATATGCACACACGTGAACAACTATTGGTTTATTCTGTTTTTCTTACATACAATAGTTATTTTTTGAGTACCACTGTATAATAGGTATTGTTCTCAGTTATGGAGGTATAACACAAGTTAATCCTCCTTAAGCTTACATTTTAGTGAGAAGAGACAAATTAAAAACTAAGAAGTTCATAATAATAAAGAACGATTGTAATACATGCCAAAAAGTTAGGGAGGGGATGGATATGAATTATAATGAGGTAGGAAGGGCTAACATAAGTTGAGAATTTGGAAGGCTTCTGGGACCTAGGTGAGTAGAGTAGAACCTGAAAGATGAGAGGGAGCAAGACGTGTGAAAAACAAAAGACAGGGAGTTTGAGGCAGTGTAATTGCCCATCATCTCATTGTACCGTAATTTATTACACTATCCCCTATTAATACCCACATACCTCACACTCATCTCAGAGATATCTGTAATTACTTTTGTAGAATCAATTATTAGAAGCGGCCTTTCTTGCCCCAATGGGATTTAAATTTAGAATTCTAAACACATTTCACTTCAAACAGTACATTCATTTTTATTCTACCAATTTCAGATATTTTGAGATCAGTTTTAGCATATGGTTATAAACATTATATGTTATGAGCCTTTTCTTTGTAGTTTAATCTGAAAGATCAAAACTGATTTCTCATTGGTTTAGATTTCATTTATTTGTTTATGAGTGAGATGGCAATCCTTTATAGACACATGGATTACAAACACCTCTGGAGCCAGCCCTTCTTGGTTTAAATTCTAGTCCCTCTAATTACAGGATGAACAACTTGGATAATCTATTTAAACCCCATGCATGCCTTATATTTTTTCAGTAACTGAAAATTAGAAATAAGGGTAATAATAGTGCTACATCACAGGATTATTAGTGAGTAAAAATAAAACAATAACTTTAAAATATTAAAATATTAGAAGTACACTTGGCTGATAGTAAGCATTAACTTGTGTTAAAAATGCCTTAGTAGTAATAATAATAATAATATTAATTGAAAATCTGTGTTTATTCTTTTGTACATTTTACTTCACATTGACTGTTTCAGTTCTGTAGTTTGTTGGCTTTTTTTTGAAACATAGGTCTTTAAAACTATTTTAAATATTAATGTATTTGTTTAAAATTTTCTCTAAGCTACAGCAGTTTTCCAAGTTGGTTGTTCATTTAAAACATTAATTATGGAGTATTTTTTCTATAAAATAAGTTTACAGTTTCTAAGTAACAATATTTTCACTTGTAGTTGCTGGCTTTAACATTTTAATAAGTAAGTACTATGATACAATTTTATTTCTAAACTTCTTCACTTGACTTTCTACTTAATGTTTTTATAAATTAAAACATAAGATCCTCGGAAACCCATATGGATCATATTTTTCTACATGATCTGCTTCAATATATATGACAATCATTTCAAACTTCTTTCATATATTGATATGATGAATTAATGGATATTTTAATAATGAATTATTCTTGGATTTTTTAAATGATACCATTTGTTAAGGCAGAAAATTATTTTGTTACATAAGTAGATTCCATATTCAAATATTTTATTTATGAATGGAATACACACATGTATAAAGGTGTATGTGTGTATTTATATATATATGTAGTCATACATTTTAATGGTCCATAGTATTCTTTTTTCCTTTGTTTTTTAGCAAGTTTTAATTTTATACTTATACTAACCTGATAAGTAAAAAAGCTGTCTTTTTTTCTATTCTAAGGTAAGTTTTAAAAGCCTAGAAATCTGTGCTCTTATAGAAGATTTGAAAATACTCTTCAGACTCTAAATAGTCTCTTTTATAATCTTTTAAAGTATATTGGTAGTTGACTAGCCTAAAATATCTTCTGAATTTTATTCATAGAAGTCAACTTAACTATGACTTATTTACACATAATAGGTGCCCAGTGATAAATTAATGTAATAAATTAGTGGTCTAAAGAATTATTATTTCAGCAAAATACACACTCATTGCTCTCATATTTAACTTAATTCAGAGCTAGTAATACATTGCTAACATTTTTACTAATTAATACACACGTCAATCATTTTGTAATAGAGACTTTTCATCATCTTAACACTAGTTCCCTTTTCTACTTAGAGCTTTCTTGGAAGCATCAGTGAGTCTTTACAGTCAGTAAATAAATGTGGTAATATCTATTTTGGACTTTTTGAATGTAGTCACCACAGCTGTGTTTTATTTTTGGGAGGGTTTCATTTTTCAGCTTATAAAATTGTAGGGAAGATGATGAGATAAGTAGAAAGTAAGTAAAAGCTCCAGCTCAAGGATGGGAAACATTTGATCCTGCTCCCAAACGATAATGATAAAGAAAATTTGTTTTACCCCTGATGGAATGGAATTTTCAGATAAAAGAAATAACAAAGGTTTTCAATCATTACGTTCCTCATGCATATTACTGATTTTTATTTATTTAATTTATTTATTTATTTATTTATTTTTGAGAAGGAGTGTCGCTGTGTCGCCAGGCTAGAGTGCTGTGGCGCCATCTCGGCTCACTGCAACCTCCAACTCCCTGGTTCAGGGGATTCTTCTGCCTCTGCCTCCCGAGTAGCTGGGATTACAGGGATGCGCCACCAGGCCCGGCTAATTTTTTGTATTTTTAGTAGAGATGGGGTTTCACTATGTTGGCCAGGATGGTCTCCATCTCCTGACCTCATGATCCGCCCGCCTTGGCCTCCTGAAGTGCTGGGATTATAGGCATGAGCCACCACACCCGGCCTCATTACTGATTTGAAATTATTTCAGTAATAATCACATGATATTCAGGGATATGTGGATCTCTGTAACTGTACATAACTTTTTGACAACTTAGCATATTTGTGGAAAACAAACTACGACTGGTGTGTTATCCTAAATTAACAAGTGACATGATATATATTAGTTGAATGATTAAACAGAGAAGTATTGCCTATTATACTCCAGAAAAAAAATAAAATGCATGCCAGAAAATTTATTTTTGCAAGGATGTTCCCACATCTACTTTGTGCCCTTCACATCTAAGTTCGTTTTTATTACAGAATCTCTAGTGCCGTAATCATATCTTTCTATCAAAAAATTTGGGACATAATTATTTATGTTAATTTATGATGTCTTAAAATAGTCCTTAAACTATTTCTGGTTTTAAATGATCTTTTGAAATCTTACCATTGCATGAATAAGACTTGAAGCTTATGTTCCTTCCCAATGAACCTGGGCCAAGTTTTGTGATACACCATAAGAGTCTGGCAAAAGTTGGTTATATAACTTCCAAGGCTCGGTTCTTAAAATCAGTATAGTTCCCACCTCACCTTCTCTCTGTCTTGGAATAATTGCCCTGGGAATACAGCCACTATACTCTAAGCTTACTTGGATGGGTAGTCCAAGCAACATGAAATGGAACCAAAACTCCAGGACCTTAGCCCCAGGTGAGATCTTAGCTAACAGCCAACACCAACCTGCCACCCCTGTAAGCAAACTGTCTTGGAATTAGATCTACAGTGTTCAATCGAGTTGCTTCAGGTGATGCTATGTGGAATACACAGGTCTTTGACCTATGCTGTCTCCAAATTATGCATTTGTGGGCACAATAATTAATTGTTATTTTAAGCTGCTAAATATTGAGGTAGTTTATTTCTCAGCAACAGATACCCAGAATAGTTGAAGTGAGAAACATATTTTTCAAATTTTCACCAAGATAAGTAAATAGCCATAGAAATAAATTCAGATGTTTACAATCCCACGATCAATGCATTAAGTTTCAGCCTCCTGTTACGGAATCTCCACATCTGCTATCATTTTCATGAACAGTCCATCTCCTACCCAGTTGATACACAGAAATGTGAGATATATGAGGCGCTTTATATCATGTGAAGAATCAAAATCTTAAGGCAGAAACAAAAATTTTGGCTTGACATAAAATTTGCAAAAATGTAACCAACTATAGTGAACTTTACCTGAGTTCCATGCTCTTGGAAAAAAGCTATGGTGACAAAAGCCACACTTCTTACCCCAACCTCTTTTTTTCTACTGTACAAAATTTTTATTGCAAAGAATCTCTCTCCCTAGATGACTCAGAGAAGACAATCATAAATACCCCTTTGTTTACCTATGACAAGGTCAGACACAGACTTTCAAATACTCATTCTGTGTCTCATAAATGTTTAGTTGAATTATTAATATTTGTCTCCAGCAACGAATCTGGACAAAATTCTTGCAGTGGAACTTAAATGACCCTTCCTCAAAGGTCCCTCCTGAGAATCTGCTAATACCAGGGGAAAATATACTCAGGTCAGCTATCCAGTCTCTCCACTTCATCATTCCATTTCCCCACACCCAGTTCTTTCTAGCCTTGTTTACTTCTCATAAAAAAAAAAGTTGTTTTTTGCCTCACTTTAATACTACTCCAGATCTCAGGTTAAGCTGGAGCTTTCTTTCTATGGCAATAGTACTTATCCGCTATCACAACATTACTTTCCTCTATTGCAATAGTCTTTTCTAAAAAAGCCTCTCCTTTACTTAAGTCTGGACTTGCTTTCATGTGATAGAACTAATAGTAATAATTTGAGAGCTCCCTTTTCGTAGGTCAGGAACATCAAATAAATGATCCATTCTCTCTGATACCACATCCTGTCTGATTCAATATGATCGCTACATCCACAATAGATTGTGTGCTTCTTAAAGGCAGAAAGGTTAATGTTTTCTTTGTTAGAGCTTTGTATGATCAATCATTTGAAATCCAACCATGCTTATAGTTATGGGAAAAGAAAAATAGGTAGGAAAGATAAATATGGCAGTTTGATAGGCATTTCTCTGAAACATTGATCTGCAAAGATTCTGCCCATGGTTAAAACTGCCTTGTGCATTCAGTAATTTGTCCAGGAAAAAAAAATAAAACATGCAAACAAGGTAACATTGTGTACCAGGAATAATGAATGAGCAGCCAAATATACTAATCAGAAAATGAGACTTAATGACTTGAATAATTTTTGTGGTGTTTGAAATATGCCAAAACATAATGAATTCATCTGAAAGAATGCCTAATAAAAGACCAATATCCCTTGACAAGGGGGTTGGAGAACACTAATGTAGTGACATTAGTTACTACAACAACAGGAGGTGCAACAGGAGGTGGTTCTGCATAGGAAAAGTACTATCCACTACCCATTATGCACAAAATTTCAGGACAGATTCTAGAGTCACTACTTACAAAATGTTTGAAAGCAGAAAAGCAGTGAATTCCCTAGCCATTTCATGAAACCGTTAATTTGCATGACCAGAAATACACACAGACATATTCAATTTATATCAATCTAACACACACAATTTAATATGTACAGCGACATGCTGGTAATGTTTAACTGCTAGCTTTCTGAGAGGACAAGAACAAATTAGAAATCCCATAAACCCATGAATTTCAAAGTTTCTTCCATTTTCTCTCTTTTGTCTTTATAAAATAAATTATTTTGTTTCTGTGATATAAATATGGTTACTATTGTCAATTTCAAACTACCAACTGGAGGTCAATTGTTCCCAGACAACACTCAATATATAAGTGCATTTATTTGTGTGCCTTTGTGCATTTGTGTGTATGTGTGCATATAAACATACTAAGTATATAAGTGTCTATATACTCAACTATATATTCCGTGTATATTTGATATATTCTTTATATATATTCTATGTGTGTGTGTGTTTCATATAAATATATCGATAAAAGAAGAATGTCCATCTAAAACAGTAAATACAGTGAAACATTTTGGTTTTGTCTTTAGCTTTATTGAGATATAATTGATGAATATAATGTGTATATACTTTTAAGATGTATAACATGGTGCTTTGATATACATTCTGAAATTATTGCCACAAGGAAGCTAATTAACATAATAACCACCTCACATAGTTATTTTTGTTTTGTGATGAGAAAATTTAAGATCTACTCTGAGCTAATTTCAAATATACAATACAATATTATTAACTATAGTCACTTTGCTATACACTAGATCTTTTACTATTTATTTTGGTAATTATTCACAGAACTTATTCATCCTGTATAACTGGAGCTTTGTTCTCTTTGATCAACATCTCCTCATTTTGCCCACTTCTTAGCTCCTGGAAACACCATTCTATCCTCTGCTTTTATGAATTCAACATGTTTAGATTCCACATATAAGTGAAATCACTTAGTATTTGCCTTTCTGTACCTGGTTTATTTCATTTAGCATAACATCCTACAGTTTCATCCATGTTGATGAAAATTACAGGATTTCTTTCCTTTTTAAGGCTAAATAATATTCTGTTTTATATTTTATAATTTTAAAATAAAAGATAATTCTAAGAGTCCTACCTGAAAACTATGCTGAGAACACTGTTATTTAAGTTGAATTGAATGTGATCACACTGTAATTAACGCATGTTGTGAAATGTTTTTTGTTTTGTTTTTATAATTTTATATTATGGGAGTTTTGCATTTTTGTATCTATTTTAGGTGCGCAACATGATGTTTTTATATACACATATATAGTTTAGTTATTACTACAATGAAGTCAGTTAACATAGCCCTCAATTTACATAATTCATGTGTGTGTGTGTATGTATTTTTGTGTGGTAAGAACATATAAAATCTCTCAGAAAATTTCTAGTATACAACACAGTATTATTAATTATTATCCTCACACCTTGTATTAGATTTCCATATTTATTTATCCTAAATAACTGCAACTTTGTATTTTTGACCCAAACATTACATTTTCTTTATTCATTCATCTGTGAATGGACACAGGTTTATTCCAGATGCTGGCTGCTGTGAATAATGCTGTAATGAATGTGGGAGTGCGGATATCTCTTCAACTTACTGATTTCATTTATTTTGGATGTATACCCAAAATGGGATTGCAGGATCATATGGTAGCTCTGTTTTTAAATTTTTTAGAAACATCCATGGTGTTTTCCATAATTGTTGTCCAAATTTACATTCCCACCAATGATGTATAAGGGTTTCCTTTTCTCCATATCCTTGCTTAAACTTTCATATTTTGACGTCTTAATAATAGTCATACCAACAGGTATGCGATGATATCTCATGGTAGTTTTGATTCACATTTCCCTGATGATTAGTAATGTGAAACACATTTTTATATACCTCTTGGACATTTGTATGTCTTTTTTGAACAATTTCTATTCAGGTGTTTTACATAATTTTGAAATTGCCCTGTCTATGACATTTTGAATAAAAGATTAGGCATGATTTTGAGATATAGGATCAAAAGGAACTAATTGCCTTTAAGTAAACTTATCAGAAAACAACAAATAACAAAGTTTTGTAAGTGCTATACTTTGGTAATACTTTTATACATATATAAATTAATGCAGTAAATATATTTTACTATATGTTTTAGTAATTATATTTCTAAATATACAGATGCAGTCATTTTATTTCTTGCTCAAGTGCCCCACAGATTTTTTTGCTGTATATAAATCTATTGTGAATTTTTCTTTTATTTTGGTCTGAATTACTGTAGTAAATTTAACCACATATAATGGCAACATGATCAGACACTGATAAAAATGACTCTTGGATTTGCCTTCCAGACAAATACATGCAGAGCTTAGAAAAGCCAGCAACAAGCTGTAGCCAATAGAGCTTTACTGCACGTAATTAAGTCAGCATTGGCATTACTATAGTCAAGTGCTTTGGGAATTGAGTTGATTTTTTTTAAAGACAGGGAAATAGAAAAGTCTTTGGGAGGTATATGGTAATCTGTGCTGTAATAAAAAAACATATTCATCCAGATGAATGATTTTAAATGGATTTACCAAAAAATGGCTATAATTCTGTTGCACAAAACCTGAGCAAGAAATGCATATAAAATTAAGATGACTCATGAAAAAGTTGCACTTACCATGTAAAAATCAAGAGAGCACTTTTTTTCTATTTTTACCTGTCAAATAAGAAAAATCTAATGATATCTTTTTGTCTCTAAGTGTACTTTCATAGAAGTAAGAGTTAAATTCAATCTCTACTCTAAAAGGAATAAATAAGTGATCTGAAACAAAATAATTTCTTTCACAAAGACAGAAAGAAAAACTAGAAGTAAAAAGAAGTTCTTCAGAAGCTACCGTTTGTAAGAAATGATCATTGAAAATACTCAATGAATGGCAAAGAAAACATCCTTTTGTACTAATCCTTGCTTAACATATTTATATCTCAAAGAGGTACTTTGGGGCAGGTTATTTTATAGTTCTACTAATTACTAATTTGTAGGTCTTAACTATCTCATTTTATTGAATTGTCTTCTTAAAAATGTTTATGAATTGACAAATAAGATATTATTTCACAAAGTTTCACCAAAAATCAAATATTCAAAGAAAAAAAAGGACAGTTGAGTGGCCTCTGCAAAGGTTTTATTTTTGTTTGTTTTGTTTTGTTTAAGACATGGTAATCTGAAAAGTTCTTAATATAAACTTGATCCCATGAAAAGGAGATAGGCTGCCTTATTTATGTCATATATTCTGGAAAATCATTTGAGATCAGGAGGACTTATTCATTATTAAAGAACTTTATTCTCGGCCTCCTCTCTAGCCCTTTACTTCTTCAACACTGCTTGGTTTCTATTGGGAAGCAAACTTTCCCCTTTCATTCAGTTGACAGCATTTTGGAGTTCTGATCCTGTCTAGGAATATGGCCCTTAATCAGCCATACTAGAATAATCTAGAGTATTTAATAATTTTTAATCTTCTTTGAAATGCCTAGATCAACTACTTTAGACTTTATTGGAAATGGATTTGGGAATCTCTAATTTTAGCATTTCCAGTGATTTTACTTATATTAATGTTACAAAACCACTAGCCTAGAGGAAGATTGAAGCTACCTTTCTTGTGCTCATTACAAATTTTGCAAGAATGGCTCATTAACCTTCTTCCTAAAGCCAGCTTTAATAACAGCAAAATCGTTTAATTAATACAAAATATGGCATAGATGGAAGACTGTGCTTTCACCCCTTTTTAACTTGGATGTAATTAATATTTAATTCTTTTTGGTTGAAATGCTTAGTGAAAATTAGTCATTTGCAAGAATGTAGCATAAGAAAATTAGTGACTATCATAATTGTCAGAATTCCTAGGTTTTAATATTGTCTCAAGCACTAATTAGCTTTTTTACCATGGGCAACTCACTCAAATTTTCTCTTATTTAAAAACTCATTTTGATTATAGAATTTATACATAAATATGCTATTCTCATAAAAAGCAAAATTCAAATATTTCGTAGGATCCTTCAACAATCACTGTCAATATCAGTCCTATCCCAGAAATAACCACAGTAATTAATTTGGTTTATATCTATCCAAATATATGTGGATAGGTAGGTAAATATAATAACAGCCATAAATATAAATGTAGATACAAATGCATAACATTGTAAAATATACTTTATAGAGAGCATGCTAGTGCACATTTTGTCTATAACTTGATTTTTCTGTTTAATAATAATATATCTTCTAAATTTTTCTATATTAGTCCATTGAAAGCACATTATTCTTAACTACTGCATCATATATTATAACATGAATAACATAAAATGGATTCATCCATATCTATACTGATAGCATTTAGGGACCTTCTTTCTTTATATTTTTGTTTTGTTTCATTTTTCCTTTTTATTATTATTTTATTTTTTGAGACATAGTCTCGCTCTGTCGCCCAGGCTGGGGTGCAGTGGCGCGATCTCAGCTCACTGCAACCTCTACCTCCCAGGTTCAAGCGACTCTCCTGCCTCAGCCTCCCGAGTAGCTGGGATTACAGGTGTGTGCCATTACACCCAGCTAATTTTTGTGTTTTTGGTAGAAATGGGGTTTCACCATGTTGGCCAGGATTGTCTTGATCTCTTGACCTCGTGATCCGCCTACCTCGGCCTCCCAAAGTGCTGGGATTACAGGCGTGAGGCACTGCACCCGGCCTTTATTGTTATTATTAATCCAACTAATATATATTATTCTTGTGTAAACATTATTTTTGACATATGTAAATGCTCCTCCAAAGTATATATCACAATCTAGAATTACTGGTTAAAACCATATATGTATCAGATTTGAATAAAAACAGTCAAATTTTCTTCGGAAGGTATTTTACCTAATGAAGGTCCTGGAATCTTAACTGCACGATTGCATCACTCAAGCTTGTTCTTAACTGGATCTGCAGCAAAAATTATTCCAAAATGATCAAACAAGCCACAATCTTACTCAGAAATTTCACTGGTAGATCCTGAACTTTTTGTGGAATTAATTTCCAACTCACTAATGTGCATATGTCATACTTAGTTAAGTAGTATAGCTACTATTTCACACTTTCTGTATTCAGTATTAAGCACTATGTCATTGATGCATTGACCGATATCATGAACTCTTGAAATTGGAAAATATTTATGTTCTCTCTGTATTAAATTATGGGAGAGATTTCACATGTGTCCAAGGCATCAAATTAAAGTTATAAACTATCTTTGCCAGATGAAAACATGATTATTTAAGAACTTTTTTGTACAACTATATATGTATAGGGTTAAAATATCATTTTTCAGTTCACTAGCTGTATTCCAGTTGCTATAAATTGTATAGGCTGACTACAATAAAGAGACCATATTAGGAAGAATAGCAAGTTATTCTTATTTTATTCATTCCTCTATTTTCTATTATTTGTGTTGGCTGAATTAGAGAATTAAACATAAATATAATAGGATTCACTTCTTAGCATTATTCAAAATTTTGAGTGTGGAAGAAAGAACCAGATTTGCAGTCGTTCAATAATCAATGTAACTTTGGGTTCTACAGAAAGTGCCTTACAGTAAGGTCAGTCTGGTGCAGGTATTTCTATTGAGATTAACTCACTTCTGTCATTGCTTCTGTTCTTGCAAACCTCACTTAAGATTCAGAGTCCCTTAAAAATGTGGTGGGGTTTTGGTTGTTGTTGTTAAGCTTAAGTCATGTAATTAACCATTGGCAGAATTGACAAGGTAAGAGCAAGGATCTTTCCCATTTTCTAACATAATTGGTGGTACATAACCGTATGCATCATCCCCAAAGGAAAAACAACATGTTATCAAATAAAGGAATGGAAGCTGGTGGCCATGAAGCAAACAATGTCACCTACCAATGTCACTTTGTCATGATATTTTCTTGGCTCAAATATTTGTGAAATCTTAAATGTATGTCCATTTATATAATTTAAAGCCCATAAAATTTTACCAAGCATATCTGTGTTTTGAAGACTACTAAGGAAATTTAAGACTTATTTTCTGATTTATTTTTGCAGAGAATGTGAAGAAATGGAATGGGCTCCAATCATTTAAAGGATGAAAAAACTTTTTGAAATACTATTTCACATCAAACTTTGATTTATAGCTACTAAATATTTAACCTTTTTCATATAAAAATTACAGTATGTACTGTTATCTCAGAGGCCAAAGTGATAACATTTGTTAACCCCAAATCCAGCAGAAAAACAACTTTTTGCTTCATTAGAGCACTGTCCCACTTGTTTCCATGGGTGGCAAGAAGGTCTTTTGTTTGTTTGTTTGTCTGTTTGTTTTTTTGAGAGGAGACTCGCTCTGTGGCCAGGCTGGCGTGCAGTGGCGTGATGTCGCTGCAACCTCAGCCTCCTGCCTTCAAGCAGTTCTCCTGCCTCAGCCTCCCGAGTAGCTGGGACTACAGCTGTGCGCCACCACGCCCCGCTAATTTTTGTATTTTTAGTAGAGACAGGGTTTCACCTTGTTGGCCAGGATGGTCTCCATCTTTTGACCTCGTGATCCACCCACCTTGGCCTCCCAAAGTGCTGGGAGTACAGGCATGAGCCACCGCGCCCGGCCCAAGAATATCATATTTTTAGGTGCATAATGGTGATCCTTTGCATGTTTACTGGCTTATATTCTATTCCTTTTGCACATCTGCATTTTTATGCCAAATTAAATAAGGTATGTTTATATATTTCTGGGGAATAAAATTCTTTGTCAGCATTCAGTTTTCTGCATTCCCTTGTGAGTTCAAACACTGGAAGTTATTTCATTAGAATTTACTGAAAATGTTTTTGAGACCAGTTAAAAATTGCTGTATAAAATTAATGATATTGAAGACCCTTACACCATGTATTTTTATAGTAATAAAGATTTCCCTAAGTAATTCGACATATGAGTGTGACTGTAAGAAAAACTTCCCCCTTATTTTTATCTAAAGATATATGTTGCAGCTATAAATAAAAGTAATGCTTTATCTGTAAATAGTTCATAGTTAAATTATGAAATTTAGGTAAGCAAAATGAAGAAAAACCTGCAATCCCAATTCATATTCCAAGTTATTAATATCCTGTAGAGGATGGATGTCAATAATAATGAATATATTTTATAAATACCATTATTCCAGTATGATCTCACTAGAGCTAGTCATACCAAAAATATCATCCTTCAAGAACAGCTGCTTTTAAGCCTTGGATGCATACATTCTGAAACCAAAAGGCTCTAAGATTATTTTGAGTCTTACACTGTTTAATAATGTGTTAAAAGCCCTCACATATGTTTCTTTTTTATACAGCAGTATTCTAAAGAATGTGAGACAATAAATAACCTTTGTGTAAGATTTAACAATTTATGTTTTGATGTTAAGAACATACAGAAACATAAATCATAGAGCTATATTAATATATAAATCATAATATCTCATTGTATAAAATTATTTAACCCATCCTTCACTATGGAAATTTTAAGGTTTTAACAATTTTACTCTTATAGACATTGTTTATGAACATTCTTGTATAGACACATTCACAAACTTGTATACATATTTTTGTAGAAATATTTTACCATAGTAGATTTGCTTTGTCAAAGAGAATTCAGTTCTCCATTTGAGGTCCTTCTAGAAACATTGTAACATTTCCCCCAATCACGGAAAAAAAGTCATTCCTCCAAACCCATTCTCAGATAGTGGTATTATTAGTTCTCTGCATGAACTCTCATCACCAGACAGTCAGATGCACTTACTCCCCAGCTGCTAAGAATGTTAGCTACTAGAGGACTATAGCTACTAACTTTTCTGGAAAATTGATGAGGCCAAGCAGAAACTACCTGATCAAAAAATTTTGATTGGTAACTTTCTGGAGCCATTAGGCCAATGATTGACTGAACTGAAGGGGTGGTAGGAAAGTTTAGTTATCTCATTTTAAGCTGAGGCTAGCTCCTTAGTGCAGTTTATATAGCAGAGAGTCTCATGAGACCAGATTGAAGCTATTTTCCAGCCAAAGCAGCTTATCTTCAGCTTTCTTCCCTTGTACTGCCTTGCTTCTCTTAATCCTCTTTTTATAGGAGAATTTTACCAACAAATTATCTCCTCCCAGAACTCATATCTCAAACTCTGATAGCAAATGAAGACCCCCATCATTGGTGGGAGGTAGAGTATTGATAGTCTTCAGGAAATTGTAGCAGTGAGACTTCTAAGATTTCTAACTGTGGTAAATGTAGATGGGAAGCAAGTGAATGTGATTTACAACCTGGTACATTGCTGTTAGAATTTGAAAGATAAAGGGAAATATCAAACAAAAACACTAAGGATTTGGGTGGTTTATTGCTAGGAAACAATGATGCATGAAGCAATCTGTTAATTATTCAAGTGTCAGAGCCAGAGAACTCTTGGACAATATTTAAGAAGGCATTCATCTTCTGCAACTAGAAGGCACACAGAGTTGAAGACCTAAGTGTAAGCAGGGTGGCCGTAACTTCAAATAAGGTTCAATTCTCAGAGAGGGAAAGAATCCCAAGCCAAAGTCGAGATTTTGGGAAGAAACAGGTAGGAGATGTGGTTAGATGTCTTTCAACACTTCAAATAGGAATGATTTTGCATTTCTTCACTCCTACTAATCTACTTGGGAAACTGGAGTTCTCTGTTCTCATAGCTTTAGGCTCTGTAATTATAATGCCTCTGGGTACAAAAAAGAGAAGCTTTCTTTGGAGGGCATAGAATCCCAATACATTTGAAGCTATTACTGCTACCTGGCCACTTTGCCCACCTTATGGCAATAGTTTATCAGGCACAGAAAGAAATTATACCAACAGAAGCGTGTGTTGCTTACAAGATCAACTTCTTAGAAAGCAGAAGTATTTATTACAAATATAGAATGGGGTTGGAGGAGGCCACAGGCTGTTTATCTGGTAAACATTACTAAGCTGAACTCTCAGATGACAGCTGCATCAACTGATAGCCATATGAATAAACCATCTTGAATTACCAGGCTTGTTCTGCCTTCAGTGATTGAAGCACAGAAAACATTTTACTATAACTGCATGAGCACGTCCAAGTAAAAAAGTCCAGCCACACCCTTAAAAAATTCCTGACCTGTATCACATGCAAAGGGAACCACATCAGACTAACAGTGAACTTTCCAGGAGAAATCTTACAAGCCAGGAGAGATTAGGGGCCTACTTCTAACATTTGTAAAGAAAAAAAAAATTCAACCCAGAATATTATATCCTTCCCAAAAAATGCACTAAAAATGCACTAAAAGAATGCATTACCTCTAAACCCACCTGATAAGAAATCCTTAAGGGAGTTCTAAACATGGGGAAAAAATATGTGCTACCACAAAAACACGCTTAAAAACAGAGACCGCGGACCCTATAAAGTAAAAACACAATTGAAGCTGCAAAGCACACAGCTAGTATTTGCACAATAGGATCAAAACTTCACATATCAATATTAACCTTGAATGTAAATAGTCTACATGCCCCCAGTAAAAAGGAACAGAGTAGCAAATTGAATTTAAAAAAAAGGCCATCAGTCTGCTGTCTTTGAGAGACCCATCTCACATGTAATGATACCCATAAGCTCAAAGTAAAGGGCTCTAGAAAGATCTACTATGCAAATAGAAAACACAAGAGACCAGGGGTCACTATATTTATATCAGATAAAACAGACTTTAAACCAACATTAGTAAAAAAGGACAAAGAAGGGCATTACATAATGACAAAGTGTTCAATTTAGCATGAATTAATGATCCTAAATATATATGCATATAAATATATAAATGTGTACATATATATCCATAAATATATATGCATTCAACATTAGAGCACCTACGTTAACAAAACAAGCACTTCTAAACCTATGAAAAGACTTATACAGCCACACTATAATAGGGGGGATCTTTAACACCCCAATGACGGCATTAGATCATTAAAGCAAAAAAAAACAAAGATTCTGGAATTAAAATTGACCAATTAGACAATTCGATCTAATACACATCTACAAAAACTTCACTCATTTTTACATGGAGCATACTTCAAGATTGACAATATTCTCAGCCATGAAGAAATTCTCAATAGATTCAAAAAAAGTTTCAGAATCATAACAACCACATTCTTGGACCACAGCAGAATAAAAATGAAAAACAATAAGAAGATCTCTCAAAACCACATAAGTTCATGGAAATTAAGCAACTTGCTGCTGAATGATGTCTGGGTATGCAATGAAATCAAGGCAGAAATGAAAAAATTCTTTGAAATAAATGAAAATAGACACACAACATACCAAAATACCTGGCATGCAGCAAAAGCAGTGTTAAGAAGAAATTTCGTAGAGCTAAATGCCTACCTGTAAATGTCAGAAAAATTTCAAATTAGTGATCTAGCATCTCACCTAGAGGAAACAGAAAAACAAGAGCAAACTAACCCAAAAACTAGCAGAAGAAAGGAAATAACTGAAATTAGAGCAGAACTGAATGAAATTGAGACTCCAAAATCCATGCAGTTTAAAAAAATAGTTGGCTTCTGAAAATCTAAACAAGATTCATAAGGCTGCTAGCTAATTAAAGAGAGATTCAAATAAGTCCAATCAGAAGCAACAAAGGTGACATCACAACAAACCCATCAGAAATACAAAAGATCCTCAGAGACTATTATGAATATCTCTACATAAACAAACTAAAAAATTTAGAAGTAATGGATAAGTTCCTGGAAACCCAAAATCTCTCACGATTGAATGAGGAAGATAATGAAACACCGAACAGACCAATAACAAGTTCTGAAACAGAATTAGTAATAGAAAAGCTACCAATGAAAATAAACCCCAGACCAGATAGATTCATAGCTGAATTCTACCACACAGACCATGAATAGCTGGTACCAAATCAACTAAAATTATTTCAAAAAATCATGGAGTAGGGACTCCTCTCTAACTCATTCTACAAAGGCAGAAGTACCTATATATGAAAACTTGGCAAAGAAAGAGGAAAAAAAACCTAAAAAACTGCAGGTTGTTGCTCCTAATGAATACTGATGTAAAAGTTCTCAACAAAATATTAGCAAACTAAATTCAACAACACATCAAAAAGTTAATTCACCATGATTAAGTAGGCTTCATTCCTCGGATTCAAGGTTGATTCACCACATAAACAGAAATAAAAACAACCATAGAATCATCACAATTGATATGGAAAAAGCTTTTTATAAAATCCAACATCCCTTTATAATAAAAACTCTCAAGGGACTAGGCATTGAAGAAACAGACCTCAAAATAATAAGAGCTATTTATGATAAATCCACATAAAACATCATACCGGATGGGCAAAAGCTGGAAGCATTATTCTAGAGAACCAGAACAAGACAAGAATATCCACTGTCACCACTTCCATTCAAAACAAGACTGAAATTCCAAGCCAGAGCAATCAAGCAAGAGAAAAAAAAGTCACCCAAAGAGCAAAAGAAGAAGTCAGATTATCTCTGTTTGCTGATGATATAATTATCTACCTCAAAAACCTTAAGGACTCCACCAAAAGACTCTTAGACTTGAGAAATTACATTCATACAGTCAGGATATATAATCAATGTACAAAAATTAGTGACATTTCTATACACCAATAACGTTATAGCTGAGAGCGAAATCGAGAACACAATCCCATTTGTAGTAGCCACAAAAAATTGAACTACCTAAGAAAATCTCTAACCAAGGAGGTGGAAGATCTCTGTAAGAACTATTATACGAAACATTGCTGAAATAAATCATAGATGATACAAACAAGTAAAAAGTTCCATGCTTATGGATTGGAAGAACCAATATTTTTTTAATGGCCATACTGCCTAAAACAATCTACAGATTAAATGTTATTCCTATCAAACTATCATGTCATTTTTCACAGAATTAGAAACAAAACTTATAAAATTTATATGAAACCATAAAAGAGCTGGAATAGCCAAAGAAATCCTAGGCAAAAAGAACAAGGCTGGAGGCATCACAATACCTGACTTCAAACTATACGGTGAGGCTACAGTAACCAAAACAACATGGTACTAGTACAAACACAGACACATAGAACAATGGAACAGAATGAAGAACCCAGAAGTAAAGCCACACACCTACAGCCATCTAATATTCGACACAGTCAACAAAAACAGGCAATGTGGAAAGACTCCCTATTCAGTATATAGTGCAAGATAGCTGTCTATCTGTATGCGGAAAAATGAAACAGGACTCCTGTGTTTTATCATATCTAAAAATTAACTCAAGATGGATTAAAGACTTAAATGTAAGACCTCAGACTATAAGAATCATAGAAGAAAACCTTGAAAACATCATTCTGGACACTGGCTTTGGCAAATAATTTATGACTAAGGCCTCAAAGGCAATTGCAACACAAACAAAAATTAACAAGTGGGACCTGATTAAACTGAAGAGTTTCTGAACAGCAAAAGAAATTATCAAGAGATTAAGTAGACAACCTACATAATGAGGTTGCACTCAACAAAGATCTAATATCTAGTATCTATAAAGAATGTAAACAATTGAATAAGCAAAAGACAAATAACCCCATTAAAATGGGCAAAAGTCATGAACAGAAGTAATCTAAGTGGCCAACAGGCATATGAAAAAATTCTCATAATCAATAATTATCAAAGACATGCAAATGAAAACAACAATAAGGTACCATCTCACACCAATTAAAATGACTATTATTAAGAAGAAGAAAACAACAGATATTGGTATGGCTGAGGAGAAAATTAAATGTTTGTACACTGTTGGTGGGAATTTAAATTAGTTTAACCACTATGGAAAGAAGTTTGGATATTTCTCAAAACAAAATTTCCATTTGCCCCAGCAATCTCATTACTGGATAAATATTCAAAAGAAAACAAATTGTTGTACCAAAAACACACATGCACTTGCTTGTTCATCACAACCCTATTCACAGTAACAAAGTAACGGAATCAACCTAGGTGTCCATCAGTAATGGACAGAATAAAGAAAATGTGGTACATACGTACCATGGAATACTATACAGCCACAAAAAAATAACAAAATCGTGTTCTTTGTAACAATGGATGCATCTGGAGATAATTCCTTCAAGTGAAATAACACAGGCACAGAAAACCAAATACCGCATGTTCTCACGTATAAGTTGGAATCCAACATTGGGTAGTCATGGACATAAAGATTATAAAAAGAGACACTAGAATAAAGGGGAATGGGTTGAAAACTAACTATTGGATACTATGCTCAGTACCTGGGTAACAGGATCATTTATACCCCAAACCTCAGCAACACGTAATATAACCAGGTAACAAACCTGTACATGTACCTGGAAACACAAATCCAAAATAAAAGTTAAAAAAGGAAGAAAAAGAAATAAATAATTTTTAAACAGAAAAATAAATAAAAAATAAAAATCAAACACACACACACCAACCATATTTTCCATTGGGTAAAAATAAACTCAACTTAGTAGAAAAAAAAAACCTCCCTGTCTTTCAAGGTAATATCTTTATAATATATAAAAATGCTCTTTGTAAAAATATAACCATTCCGGAATTAAAAAAAGTAATCCACATTGTTGTAGACAAAGTAATATGGTCGGTTTGTACTACTCTGTTTTAGAGTAACCTATTATGTAAAATTAAAAATTAGAATAGCAAATACATATCTACTAGGTGGTATGGAAACATAAAAGTCTCAGAAATTTTCACTGCTTAAAACTTTATCACTTTAAATTTATAAATGGGAAATTACGGTGAAATTAACACACACATACAAATGAGAAAGTAGCATCCAACATTCTTATAAGCTAGTAGTTCTCAATAATATTTGTAAAAAACATTTGAAACGTTTGTTAAAATTAGAGGTTCCCAAATTAAATCCCAACAAAGTCTGAGATAGTTTAACTAGGATGCTCCTAGAAGCCTACAAGATTATCAAACCCACTAGGTGATTCTAACATGGCTGGGACAAAAATCCCTCTAGACCATAGTTGGTCTCAGGCTCCAACTGATTTTTTTATATGTGCTGTAATCTGGATGTTTATGCCCCTCCAAAATTCATATGTTGAAACCTAATCATCAGTGTAAAGGTATTAGGGAATAAGACACTTGAGAAGTAATTAGGTCATAATGGCAGAGCCCTCTTGAATGAGATTAGTGACTTTAGAGGTACTAGGCTGTTCTTTTCTAACTACTCAGTAAAATACAAACCTTTAATGACCAATGCTGAAATAGGTGTTCCTAAAAGCCATGTCTGTAAAGATCTTATATGTGATAATGGATAGGCTATCTGGTAAAAGTTGGCCATATAACTTGAATGTGAAGATTCACAAAGAATCCTCTGTAAATGTGCATTGTGAAGAATCCTACACTATTTATTCATATACTGCAGAAAATTAAGAAATAGAAGACTCTAAATTTTCTTTACCCCAAAATTCCACACTAATAAAACTGATTTTTGTGCAATTTTTCTTCATGATTTGAAATGAAATTTTCTAATGACACATTATTTTGTTTGTCAGGTCTTCATCATTTTTTATTATTTGCTTTCTTGCTTAACTTTTGAACTTTGGGGACTTTTAGAAATTATCATCATACTCAGCATGAAGAAAGTGCATAGAAAAGAAAGAAAATCTTAAATTAGCTAACATTGCTGTGTTTTTGAAGATGAGGTACATTTTACAATTTTCTACATATGGTGGAATATGCATCTGTGCCTTCTCTCTTCTTAACCAAGAGTTACATCAATTACACACAAAATTACATTGAAATAAAAATGCAGCAAAAATTAATCAGAGAGAGAAGCTGAACTGTGTCAGAGATGGATGTAACTTCCTTCAAATTATATTGATAAAATACCTAAACTTGAGTCCACTGAAATCATGCAGGCCGAGTCATTAGGAAGGTTGCTTCCTCTGTGTTGTACCTCACATTAATAGACTGCCAACCACAGCTTCCATGAAATACCTGAGACTGGGTAATTAATAAAGAAAAGAGGTTTAATTGACTCACAGTTCTGCATGGCTGGGGAGGCCTCAGGAAACAATCATGGTGGAAGGCACCTCTTCACAGGGTAGCAGGAGAGATAATGAATGCTGAGGGAAGGGGGAAGCCCCTTATAAAACCATCAGATCTCATGAGAACTCGCTATCATGAGAACAGCATGGGGAAAACTGCCCCCATGATCCAATTGCTTCCCACTGGGTCCCTCCCATGACATCTGGGGATTATGGGAACTAAAATTCAAAATGATATTTGGGTGGGGACACAGCCAATCCATATCAACTACTATACTCACCAATCTCACTAAAACATAAAATAGGGCATGAGTATCTGAATTAAGTGCCCTTGGGTTTCTGCGTTTAATTTTCTCTTCAAGTGTGTTGAACCAAACCACAACCTATATGGAGCTTTGAAATATTGTTATCATTTAAAAAATAATTTAATATATAAATATTTTATATGCAAATTAGAGAAATCTATATGTGATTGAAAATGTTATATGATTATGACATGTCTTTCAATTTACTAATATGGTGAAAAATTAAAACTGAGAATATTTAGTGCTTTTTATATTTTTAACCTTTATGGGTACATAGTAGGTATATATATATTTATGGGGTGCATGAGATATTTTGATACAGGCATACAATGCAATATGTAATAATCACATCAAGATAAATGGGGTATCCATCACCTCAAGCATTCATTATTTCTCGGTGTTACACACATTCCAATTGTACTCCTTCAGTTATTCTATAATGTACAACAAAGTATTGCTGACTGTAGTCACTCTCTTCTGCTAACAAATACTAGCACTTATGCATTTTGTCTAATTATTTTTGTACCGACTGTATCAGGCTGTTCTTGCATTGCTGTAAAGAAATACCTGAGACTGGGTAATTTACAAAGAAAAGAGGTTTAGTTGGCTCAGGTTTCTGCAGGCTTTATAGGAAACTCAACTTTTGGTGAAGCCTCAGGGAGCTTTCAATTATGGCAGAAGATGAAGGAGGAACAGGAATGTCATAGAGCAAAAGCAGGAGCAAACAAGAAAGAGACTTTGGGGAAAGTTTCACACAGCATTAAATGACTAGATCTCATGTGAACTCAGAGAAAAAGCTCACTTATCACAAAGGGGATGGCTGAAACCATTGATGAGAAATTTCCCCCATGATCCAAACACCTCCCACCAATCCCCACCTCCAACATTGGGGATTCAATTTCAACATAAAATTTGGACGGGAACAAATATCCAAACTATATCACCACTAAACATCCCTGTTTCCACACATCCTCACTACCCTTCTCAGCCACTGATAACCATCATTCTACTCTTTATCTATATGAGTTAGTTTTAATTTTTAGCTTCCACACGTGAGTGAGAACATTTGAAGTTTGTCTTTCCGTGCCTAGACTATATCACTTTACACAATGTCCTCCAATTCCATCTGTGTTGTTGCAAATGACAGGATCTCATCCTTTTTAGGGCTGGATAATATCCCATCATGTATATGTACCACATTTTCTTTATCCATTTATTTGTTGATGGACACTTAGATGGATTTCAAATCTTGGCTATTGTGAGTAGTGTTGCAATAAACATGGAAACGCACATATGTCTTCTTATACTGATTAGGTTTCTTTAAGTTATATACCTAGCAGTGGGATTGCTGGATCATATGACAGTTTTATTTGTAGTTTTTTGAGGAACCTCCATACTGACTACATAGTAGCTGGACTACTTTATATTCCTACCAACAGCATATGAGGGTTCTGTTTCTGTGCATCCTAACCAGCATTCATTATTACGTGTCTTTTGGATGAAAGCTCTTTTAATTGGGGTGAGATAATATCTCCTTGTAGTTTTAATTTGCATTTCTCTGAAGATCAGTGATATTGAGCACCATTTCATATCTGTTTTCCATTTGTATGGCCTTTGGAAAATGTCTATTCATATTTTTCAACCATTTTTTATGAGATTATTAGATTTTTTTGATTGAATTGAGTTCCTTATATATTCTAGTTATTAATCCCTTGTCAAATAGACAGTTTGCAAACATTTTCTCCCATGCTGTGAATTGTTTCTTCATTTTTATGATTGTTTCCTTTGCTGAGCAGAAGGTTTTTAACTTGATGTGATTATATTTGTCCTTTTTTTTCGTGGGTTGCCTGTGCTTTTTGGGCATTACTCAAGAAATCTTTCTCCAGACAAATATCCTGGAGAGTTTCCTCAATGTTTTCTTTTAATAGTCTCATATTTTCAGGTCTGAGATTTAAGTCTAATTCATTTTGATTTGACTTTCATACACGGCAGGAGGTAGATATCTAGTTTTATTCTTCTGCATACAGATATCCAGTTTTTCCAGCACCATTTATTGAAGAGAGTGTCTTTTCTCCAATGTATGCTCCTTGTACTTTTGTTGAAAATGAATTCACTGTAGATGTATAAATTTATTTCTAGGTTCTATATTCTGTTACATTAGTCTATGTGTCTCTTTTTATGTCAGCACCATGCTGTTTTGGTTACTATAGCTCTGTAGTATTATTTAAAGTCAGATAATGTGATTCCTCCAGTTTTTTTTTTTTCCTCAAATGGCTGTGGCTATACTGAGTCTTTTGTGATTACATTTAAATTTTAGGATTTTTTCTATGTCTGTGAAAAATATTGTTGGTATTTTGTATGGATTGCACTGAATCTGTAGATCCCTCTTTTACGGACATTTTAAGAATTATATCAGTTCCTCCAATCCATGAACGTGGACTATTTTTCCATTTTTTGTGTCTTCCTCAATATTTTAAATAAATGTTGCATAGTTTTTATTGTAGAGATCTTTTACTTCTTTGGTTAAGTTTATTTATAGTTATTTTATTTTACTTTATTTTATGTAGCTATTATAAATGGGATTACTTTCTTGATTTATTTTTCAGATTGCTTGCTCTTGGTGTATAGAAATGTTACTGATTTTTGTATATTGATTTTGTATTATGGAACTTTATTGAATTTGTTTATTAGTCCTAATTTTTTTTGGTAGGGTCCTTAGGTTTTTCTAAATATAAGATTATATTATTTGCAACCAGGGTAATTTGACTTCTTTCTTTCCAATTTCAAGCCTTTTATTTCTTTCTCTTGTCTAATTGCTCTAGCTGGGATTTCCAGGATGATGTTGAGTAACAGTAATGAAAGTGGGAATCTTTATCTTGTTCCAGATCTTGGAGAAAAGTGTTTGTTTTTTTCCCCCATTCAGTATAATATTAGCTATGGGTTGGTAATATATGACTTTTTTTTTTTGAGATATGTTCCTTTTATTCCCAATTTTTGAGGGTTTTCATGATGAAGGGATGTTGAATTGTATCATATATATTTTTCAGCATCAATTAGATGATCATATTCGTTTTTTCCTTCATTCTGTTGATATGATGCATCACATTGATTGATTGGTGTATGTTGTACCATCCCTTGCATCTTTGGGATGAATTACAATAGGTCATAATAAAGGATCTCTTTAATGTGTTTTGGAATTTGATTTGTTTGCATCGTGTTGGGAATTTTTCCATCAGTGTTCACTAAGGATTATTGGCATTTCATTTTATTTTTTGATGTATCTTTGTCTGTTTTTTTGTATCAGAGTAATGCTGATCTCATAGAATGAGTTTGAATGTATTTGTCTACCTTTATTTTTATGAATAGTTTGAGTAGGATTGGTATTAGTTCTTTTTTAAATGTTTGGTAGAATTCAGCAATGAAGCCATCAGGTCCTGGGCTTTGCTTTATTGGGAGACTTTTTATTATGGTTTTCATCTCACTACTTGCTATTGATATCTTCAGGTTTTTGAATTTCTTCCTGATTCAATCTTGCTAGGTTATATATGTCTAGGAGTTTATTTTCTTTAGGTTTTCCAATTTATTTGCATATAGTTAGATATTAAACAGTTAGACATTTTTTTTCTAATCTTTTCAGTCTGGGCTTGTTTGTACATCTTCTTCTGGAGAAGGCTTTCCAAGTATTCCAAGGAAATTGAGTGTTGTGATCCAAGTCTTTGGTCACTGCAGTTGTATGTGCAATAGTGGACATCCCAAGCCCAGTAATGCTAGGATTCCTGCAAACTCATAGAAGTTTCATTTTAGTGGTATTGGGTGCATATTGTGACAATTTCATGGATTACCAGGTAATGTCTCTTGTTCTCTTCCCTTACTTTCCCTCAAACAAACAGAGCCTCTCTCTCTATGCTGAGCTGCCTGGAGTTGGGGGAAAGGCAATGCATGCACTCCCATTACCACCACCACTGGGACTATGCTAGGTCACACCTGAAGTCAGCACAGTACTGGGTCTCACCCAAGTCTTCTGTTGGCTATTTCCTGGCTATAATTGATGTTTATTCAATGTCCAACTGCTCTTTAATCAGGTTATAAAACCAGTCAAGACTGGGCTTTTTTCTTCAGGTCAGCAGGTTCCCTTTTGGCACTGGGTGGATTGAGAAATGCTGTCCAGCAGCTGGGACAGGGACTGAGGGCATTAGGTGCCTGCTTGGTGCTTTATTTAACTGTGGCTCAGCTGGTACCCAAGTTTCAAGACAAAGTCCTCTTTTCATTTCCTTCTCTTTTTCTTAAGCACAAGGAGTCTCTCCCTGTGGCCATCAAGGCTGGGAATGCACTGGGTCATGCCTGAAGCCAGCATACTACTGGGCCTAGAACTATGGCTTTCGTAGTGATGCCCAGAGAGTCTGTTAGGACACCTAGAAATGTAAAAGAGTTGTTGTCTTGTTGTGTAGTCTTTGATAAGGTACAGCAGTCAAGAAGGAGCCATTATATCCATGGTTTTGCCCTTCATGCCTGAAAACTGTCCCAAGATGGATTTGTGTCCTTTGGGTCTCTAGGGACATCCCTCTAGGACACAGCCCCCAGATGTATTTGTTGGAAACCTATGACCTGTTATTTAACTCTCTTATATATGCTCTATCTCCAGGCCTCACTTTTCTTTTGCTTTGGTGGTCCTCAGAATTGCACTTTCAATAAAGTATTAGCTCACAAGATTTTGCCCCAGTCTCTGCTTCCTAGGAACCCTGTGTAAGACATTCCTCTACTGGAAAATGCTCTTACTCTTTCATCTCCCAACTGAGAAGCACAACTTTATGGAGTTGTATTCTACCCGCTGATTTCAGTAAAAGTAATAATTTGGTAATGCAATTATGCGACCTTAACAATGAGAATATTCCTTTTACAACTTCACAATAACCAGGAAGTAAGAGTCAAAAGTTATTACAATTAATGTATTTTTACTCAGGTCAAATATACAATATTGATTATATAAAATAGCGGTGTACTAGACATTTCTGTAGGACTACATGACTTTGTGTGAACTGAAAAAATGTACAAATATATAAATGTAGATAACTATGTTATATTAAGTAATCATTGAACAATTAAACATTAAATTTTGGGGTATTAGCTATAATTGTTGTAAGGATTAATGTAAAATAGAGATTATGTAGCTCACTAGAAGTGACTTAAAAAGGGATGACATGGTACAAATCTTTGTAAATTAAGAGTCGTAAAGCAACCAGAATTAGAATAGTTGAATCCTACTGCCTCTAATAAGAGGCATGGCAAAGGAAGAATGGATGAAAATTGATAGAGAACAATTGCTTACTTGCCAAAATCATTTACATATGTAAAGTAACTGTGATTATTTAATTAAAATATTGAAATTTTACATTTTAATTCAGTATTACAGATAAGCTAGTGTTCAGACCATTGTTTAATGTGATGTACAATTCCTTAACGATTCTGAAACACTTCAAATAGATTTATACTTAGCTCTGACATCAATTACAATAATACCCTTAGATTATTGCTTTTTATTCAAACATCCGATTAATTTTAAGAAATAAAAATATCTGACTATATTTTTTCATTAATAACAATTATACTACCAGTATGTGAGTCACTATTACATGTATTCATTCAAACTAAAAATACCAAATCTTAATTTCTTAATTTCATAATACTCACATAAGATACTACTATTATTAAATGAAGAAACCATGGATTAAAAAACTTAACTACTCTCCATATAAAAGACCAACATTAGCTTCTATTTTTAGATTTATTTAATTGCAAAGCCCAAGCATTTTATCAGCATTCTATACAAACCAGAGGTCCAAATTATTTCAAACTATAAAATTCATAAACGTGATAGAGATGAATGTCCTTAAATAAAATATGTAAGTGTTTAAGTTATAGCAATAGTATAAATGAGTTGCAGTTAAATCACAAAAAATATGAAAAGTTGCTCAAATTCACTAATAGATACCATTTTTAAGAAACAAACAAGGTACACACACTATTCACACATAAACAGACGTTTGTGTATGGATAAAGGTGAAAATATATGCTCATATGTATACATGATTATAAGAGCGTGAAGAGATTTGGACAGATGCTCACTAAGTTATACTACAGTTTTGAACACCACACTTTCCAGCTCTTTTAGTTAGCAACTTGAGCTTCTTTAGTTTTCCTCCTACTAACTCTGAATTCTTTGGTCCTTGTGTGTATTCGTTCTCTATCTTCATTCACTCTATAAGTGACCTAATTAATTACTACAACTTTAAATACTACCTTTAATACAATGATGGTTAAATATATTTATTTTCATTATTTTTCTTTTAGAGTACTCAAAAGCTGATTTATTGAGATCCTGATGAGTTTGAAGTAACTAGAAACTTGATCAAGTAAGTGTAACAATAATAGTAATAGTCAAAATAAAACAACAATCATAGTTACTTTTATATTAACAGTATTATGTAGACCATATAGGGACTATTCAAGAGAAATCTTTGTGCTAACAGATATACAGAGATATCTAGATAGCTTAATATTGTGAAACTTGAAGATTTCTCAATGACATAAAAACCTGTAGTTTTTCCAAGAAACACCATTCCCCAAAAATTTAATTTGTAAAATTTGAATCCTGTCTTTCTACTAATTTAGCATATTTTTGAAAATTTTCCTTATTTTTTTTGGTTTCTCTGATTTATTAGCCTTACTGCAATTATAAAGGAACCCTGGAATTTTGCTTTAAGCAAATGTCATTTATTTATCTATGAGAAAATGAGTGAAATGAATGAAAAACTATGTTAAAGATAAGGGGAAACCAAGTGTTTTGTTTTAAAAGTCAAATGTGGAATGACTAAAGTATACAAGTTTTAATATAAAATAGAAATTTAATATGTGCTCCTTCAACGTGATCTGTGTAAGATTTTTTGCCATAAAATTCTGTCTACTTAGAGAAAAAAATAAATATTTATTCTGAAATAAAATAAGATATGCAAATACTCCTTGCAAAATTGAAGTGAAAATTATTAAGTATTTTAATTTTTTAATATTGTTTTTTGAGACACAGTCTTGCTCTGAGGCACAGGCTGGAGTACAGTGCCACAATCATAGCCCACTGCATCTCATCCTCCTGGGTGCAAGTAATTCTCCCCGACACTCAGCTAATTTTTTATTTTTATTTTTTTCTGGGAACAGGGTCTCACTATGTTGCCCAAGCTGATTTTGAACTCTTGGGCTTGGACAGTTCTCCCATCTTGGCCTCCTTAAGTGCTGGGCTTATAGGCATGAGCCACAGAGTCAAATCTGTTAGAGTATTTTAAAATGTAAAAATAATTTCCTTTTCTTTTTCTTGTGATTGATACTTATCAAACTACTAAATGTTACTTTTCACAGAGAAAAGTTATGACCATATACTATCAGATTTCTAAAACCACTTTTAATAAATACTTCCATTTAGATTTTCTTAGAAATTTTTTCTTAAATAACAATTGAATAGAATAATTCCTTTCTGTAATATCGCCAACATTACATTGCACCCTAGGAGCAAATCATGAATGCTAATAGATGACTACTGAAAACTACTAGTATTATTGGTGGGGTTCCTTAATTTTTCTGGGCCAGTTGTGTTCCCCCCCAAGAAAAAAAACAGGTTCCCCCCAATATAGCAAGACATCATCTTCACTTCATATTGTTATAGTGAAGATTAAATTAATTAATACCTGTGAAGCATTTAGGACAGTGTCTGAAAAATTACTCCTTTAGGTCACTTATTACCTCAAATATGACTTGTCTCACAGTTCTCTGCCCCTTCGTGGCTGCCCCTCTTTCTAACAGCACTTTCTAAGACAGTCTTACTTCCAAGTCACTATCTATTATTTTCTTGTAATTTCTAGTAACATTTACTAATACTCTGAACTATCAACTTGCCTGGACTCTTAAGATGCATTTCTACCAGGTCTCCAGGATCCTATTCTTGTTCTAGAACAAATATCGCTGAGAGCTTGAGAATGAGAAGAGAGAAGTAACCATTATATTTGAAAACATAAAAGTGTTTGATATTCTGGCAAAAATTGTTACAGTGTAATTGACCACACCCAAAAAAATTAAGTAGCTTAATAGTGAAATATATTTATATTTTATCAAATAAGCAGTATGAATTTAAATTGTATTCTGAGAATGAAAGGGAATATGGAAAGAAGGAAAGCTGAAGTGTTAATTGCCTCCTCTCTTTTAGGTCTGGTGGAGTTTGTTGTCTCTTGACGCAAAGTCACAAGTCTCTAGTGGCTCTTTCCGTATGTGTACCACTCACATTATGATAAGCATTTCTACTCTACTCTTTGTTCCTTCAGACTCAAGAGTGAGAAGTGCTACAGCTCTCACTAATCCTGGCACATGGCACTGTCCTTTGTTGGTTTTCTTAAACTCAAACTCTTGCAAATTGTTGATTTTGAATGTGCCCTTTTTTCTTCCAGGACCCTGACTAATATAAGATGATTTTTTAAAACTGGAATCTCAGTGGATTCGTCTCAACACGGCCAGATGGATGATTCTTCCAGGGACTAATGAACTTGTTAGAATTTCGGATAACATTTGGTTGTCAAAAAAAAAAAAAGAGCATAAAAAGTAATAGACCATAACTGAGATGGGTGGGGCTTATTCTAGATAAGATAGTCAAGGACTGACATATGGGAAGAAGGCTACCTTCTGTGAAGGCATCAGCCATTGAGGATGCTACTTCTGTAGCATCTGGAGCAAAATATTCCAGGCAAAGGGAATAAGAAGTGACTCTAAAATAATCAATAATATGGAAATTGTACAGCAGAAGTTGAAAGATTAGAGAGGCAGAAGTTCAGTGAGAAAAAAAAAAAGTAGAATAGATAAGGTCAAAGGCTTAAGCCATAGCATATCAGACAGGCTAATGTTGACCATTAAAGAAAGTTCCAAATTCTAAGAGTAATAGGAGGCTATTAGATGTATTTAATTAAGAAAGGATGTGCACTGATGAGCATCTTAAACAGATAGCTTGCTGCTATTTAGAGAACAGATTGCAAGAGGGAAAGACCAGCAGTACAAATATTGGCTAGTCTGCTACTTCTATAGTACAAGTGAAGGATGATGATAAAAAGAGGACATTCGTGGTGGAGTAGGGGTTTTTTAATTTTATTTTGATGATGGAGCTACAAGAGTTTCTGATGATAATATATGTGTGGTTAGAAAATAAAGTCTTAATCAACTGGGCACATGATGATCCCATTTCCAGAAATAGGAAAGATTGGGGGAAAATAGATTGGATGGGAGGAAAAAAAATCAGAAGTTATATTTCAGTTATGTTAATTTTTATGTTAATTTGGTTATGATAAGTTTTACTAAATCAGACAAGAATAGAAGGAATCAATGATGTGTCTTTGCTACATCTGAAAGAACTGATTGGCATAGAAACTAGAAGAGATTCCAGAAGAAATCTATTTAGGGAATCTTAAATGGACTAAAGTTAAGACTAAAAAAAATTCTGTATTTCAGTTGACGGAAACTGTGCATCCCTCCAGCAATTCTGGAAACCACACGGAGCACGTTGCCTACTGTACATAATTCTGGTTTAAGGGGGCCAGAGAGGTGGGAGTGGTGTGGAGCAGGTAGTGTAAGAATCACTGCAGCTTCCTATTAATAATAAAAATGTGCAAGACAATAAACACGGCTGCTATACCAAAGAAAAGCAGATTTCTACTCAGAAGAAAATTCTCTGAGTGACTGCCTCTATCTGTACCTCTTTCCTGTAACCCTATAGCCTTCCAACTTACTGAACTACAATATAAAACTGTAGGAAACAATCAGCTTTACTATAAAGCTATAGTAAAGTTTTGTTCAGTTTTTTTTCTGAATTCATAGAAGGCTATTGATTCAGAATCCATAGCCACGCCTGTCACATCATTTTGCCTGTTTTCATTTAGAATCCTTTCCCTACAAATTTCAAAAGTGTCCTTAGTGTTTTAAATACTGTTCTTTGCACCTTATGTTTCAAGTATTAAGCACTTTTCTCACCTGCATTTCCGAGCTGAATTCACCAGCTGGACGCCATTCCAGTCCACTTATAACCCAGGCTTAGAATACCCTCATATTCAGGGAAAGGGCAGTTGTCATATAACCTGTGACTCTCACCTTCGATGATTTTGTGATCTGTGCTACTGCCTGTAGCCTAGTATGCATTATAACTAAGCTGCTAAGCTATATTCTGTTGTTTTTTACTCCTACCAATGAAGTTGACTATGTATTTCCAGTAAAGAAAAAGTTCATTTTAAAATCCACACACTAGCCGACTGGGTGCGGTGGCTCACGCCTGTAATCCCAGTACTTTGGGAGGCCAAGGCGGGCGGATCACGAGGTCAAGAGATCGAGACCATCCTGGCTAACACGGTGAAACCCCGTCTCTACTAAAAATACAAAAAAAAAAAAAAAAATTAGCTGGGCATGGTGGCGGACACCTGTAGTCCCAGCTACTCTGGAGGCTGAGGCAGGAGAATGGCGTGAACCCGGGAGGCAGAGCTTGCAGTGAGCCGAGATCATGCCACTGCATTCCAGCCTGGGCGACAGAGCGAGACTCCGTCTCAAAAAATAAAATGAAATAAAATCCACACACTAAACATCTCTGTTCTCTGTGGAAAGACACAATTTCAGCATCAATTAAAATATAACTTTATGTAGGTAAGGTATTTGATCTTAGTGATGTGTTTCTCTTAATTTCAGACAGTGACAAGACCCAAGATTTGTTTTACTCTAAAGTGAGAAATTATCCTCAACAAAAAAACATTTCACAGTGAGAATCAGAAGAATATTTGCATCAGGCAACTCTGGGTGCTAGATATTTATTTTTTTTCTTTTTCACATGAACTATAAAAACTTACCACAAAAGACTGATCTCCACAACTGCTTATACTCTAGGTATGTGAACATAAGCATAAACCCAAAGGTCATTATCCAGTCACAGTTTGGTATTTTATCAACATCATGGCAAATGATGTTGTTCATAAGAACCTGAATCTTATGCTTCCATTTTCCAGGATTATTATACATTGCACTGTTCTTGCTGATACTCCAAAGACATGTAGAAAATAGAAAGGTAAGTTTGCAGGAGGAAAAAAGAACAATGGAATGAAGAAGCAAACAGGGAGTTAAAATAACTCCTTGGAATAGTAGAATCAGGAAAGCAAAGGTAAAGCATTAAAGTCTAAGGGCTGCATGACTCCTAAGGGGAAAATGCATGTATTTCTTTTATTTTGCACTGAGATTAAATTTGCTGATTTTTTTTCATACTGTGTGTTCTTTCGCTCCCAATCCTCACATAAAATATTTCAGGGTGACCAACTGCTCTTTTGTGTTACATTTTAAACAGGTAGATGACTTTCACATGTAGGCAAAGTTGATTCTAGGAATTATTGTGAGGTAAGAGAAATGTGTTTGAGACAAGGTGTGGTCTCTTCTTCTTAAGTTTTCCTCTCTGCATGTTTTTATTTCATCCTAACCCAGAGTCCTTAAATTCTCCAGCATCAATCTTAATGCACAATTTACTTAACACTTTTGAGTAGAGACACATGGGGAGCCCATAAACTTAAATATAAAATGTGAAATCAGATATGTGATTTCTGTGTAAATGTGTCTCTTGCATCTGCTGTGGGTCTATATTTTACTGGACACTCCAGATGCTATATCTTTGGATCCACAACTGCATGCCCACTAAGATCATACTTTCCCCAGATTTCCCCAAGTCAGTGACTCAGTATAATGTGAATACACAGTGGATTCATTACTGGGAGATATGAGAGTTTTCCAACAGGAGACCGTAGCTCAAGTACTCCTTTTCTGGAAACCAAACCTCTGTTGGAATCATGCTACATCAGAGAATTTTCCTCCTAATCCATTTTTTCATCCCTATCTCCTTCTATGTGTATCAGCCCAGCATTATGATATAAAGAATCTACTGTTCTTTTCTTGCTTCTCCCTACAATAAATGTCTTGAATGTCTAATTCTTTCTTGCTGTCTGCCACTCGGTGGTCCTAAACAAATGCAAATGATACCAATATATTTAAGAAAAAAGATGGAAAAATGAAGAAATGGGTGTTATTCATTGGCAGAAAAAGTAGACATTATCTTTAATGGTAGGAGGATCACCAATAGAGGATGACACAAGATGGCATCTTAACTGCCAAGGGTTTATCTTGCAGATACTTGGGGGAATGGTGGAAGTCCTCACCTCTTCAGGTGCAATGATTTAGGCATTTTGCATATCTGAGGGCTGACGAGTCATAACAGGATAGCCATACTGGCTGTTTGCTGCTAATTTGAATGAACTCATTGAAGAGGGTAGGACAATCTGATAGTGTTGCAGACCTTCAAATACATTTTTATGCTCAGGTAAACAAGATCTGTTATGGAAAAGTCAGGCCTTAGTTATGAAAACCTTACCATGACACATAATCTGGGGACATCCGTATGTAACTCCTGAGGATATTGGCTTTGCAAATTTGCTTGAAACCTCAGAGCTTGAAGACGTACCCCATCAGTCCCTATTAGGCCCTAACAGTACATTGTACAGAAGAGGGCTTTTTATCACTAGGAAATAATTGCTTTCCTCAGAAGCTGCACCAAACAAAATTAGAATTAATTCCAGTATACCCTGGCTAGGAGCATGCTGAGGCTGATAAAGGAAGAAATAAATTATAAACAAAAGGAGAAGTTGGAATTAGATATCATGTGCTGGCAAGGGCCAAGGAAGTTATTCTCAGATTGGATTTTTAGAGTGTTTAATCAGGGGACCAGAATGTCAAACTTGATAAGTAAGAAGTAATAAGTGACCAGGGGACAATTTATCAAAGCAGAAACTCCAAAGATTGAGACAAACTTACAACCAGGTGAGTCTTAGAAGCTGAGTGCAGTAGTACTGTCCAAGGTGCTCTGGCAGACAAGGAAGAAAAATAGAAACCCAAAGAAGTGGTCGTGTAAAAAATGTTTATAATGCAAGGCAAAAAAAACAAAAACAAAAACGCCAGATGAATATATGTTTACGGGATAGGCTCTAAGGACACACCCTTTACTAGGACTATCAGGAATACACTTAGAAGCAGGATATCGACATCCTTAAGAAGTTCAGCAGTGACTGCTCGCTGCAGGTTCAGTTTGAAAAGAAGAGAAACAGTGATAAAATGAGGCTCACTAAAAGCCATTGAGATTAATGGACCCTAAACTAATAGAGGCCAGGTGGCAACATATAATGTCTAAAACATGAGAGGTCAAAACTATTGTAATAACCAGTACAACTGGAGGAAATTGATGAGACATTACTCCTGCGAAGTTGTAGAGACGGTCGATTTAGCATCCCTGGACAAAGTAGATTGCAGTCAACAAGAGTGCTACTGAGCATATACAATCAAATAAGGATGAGAATTAAGGAGCAGGAAACTGAGGGCTGTTATCCCAATAAAAAGCCCCAATCATTTGTAGAGCTTGTAGACCTTGACCTCACCATTTTTAGATCTGGATCCCAGTGACTAAAAAGGAGGTTGTATCTCTGGAAGGAAGAACCCTGTAACACCATGACAAGTACATACAGAAAATGGCTTTATCCACCTGCTTCAGGGATTGAATGCCGAAAACAAAATACCCAGACATTTCGAGAACTATGTATATAGGGTAAGAGTTGATACTGATATCCTGAGTCTCACGATATCACCATGCCTCCTGTTAAAATGGAAACTAGAGGGGGAAAACTAAAATAAATTCCTATCTGAGGTGTTTCATGTGAAATCACGGGTATTTTAGAACTACCTATGGCTTTGAAGTATGTATTTGACTATACTGAGAAATTGAAGTAATCTGAACATTGACTCAGGGTTGAGTTGTCATAGTAGGGAAGGTTAAATAGAAACCTCTGAAATGTCCAGGATAAAAACTGTTGGCAACCTACCTCAAGCTTAACCACGTAGTAGCCACAATTTCAGCTGTTGTGTCAGATACTTTTTGTTATGCAGTAATTGATTTAGGGAGTACTTTCTTTTCCATTCTAATCATAAAAGAAGATCAGAGACAGTTTATGTAGGAATGGACAAGAATATTCATTTTCAGCTCTGCCTCAGTCATATTAACTCCAATGGTAACTGTTGTAATGCGAGTGATAGACACAAATGCACGCATGTAGTATGAACACTCCAATATTACTGAATTGTGACACTGTACCAGTAATATTCTCTTTACAAATTTGACTTAATGGTATAAGTTGCAACAGGCTATGATGGTAACATGAAGAAAATAATGTGATATATTCAATTTTGTAGACATTATAAATGATCTATTTATAGCACTGGTGATATGTATGTTGCCAACATGCTGACAGTAGCTCATTATTTTTTATTTAATCCTGCTTTATTCTGATTTTTTTCTTACATTTTTTGTTTTGGTTTGTTTGTTCATTTCCTTTTTTCTTTTTTAACTGAAGAGTCAAGGAGGGTAATATAGCTCAAATTATACAGCTCCCTATTAATGTAAAAACTAAATTCTTTCTGAGAAAAGAGTATTAAAAAAAATTTTCACCCCAACCCCTGGTAAAGTACATAGTAGGTACAACTAATGTTGGATTAAACCTTACTATAGGAATAGTTTTAAAAAAAAGAGAGAGAGAGAGTGTGTAGAAGTTAAAGGAATGTTTGAGTATATGCCAGTTGAGGTTTTCATAACTTTATATTACTAAAATATTTTAATCTATGAAAATATGTTAATTTTAACTATTTATTTTGTAACTGAGAATGATTTTGTACAAGATTGAAGTATAACTGCTTTTGTCAATATGTGAATTCTGATTAAAACGTAAAGATATCTCTTCAATGGAATTAAGTTTCAGATATCATTTTGAAATTTAGGTAGATTCTATCATTATAAAAATCATAGTTATTAAGGATGAACAAAGGAGATTACAGAAAACCATCTATTCTGTGCAACAACACAGGGTTTACTTTTTTGTCTCTCTGAACATCAAGGAATGAAATGAAACTGACCAGAAATCTTCATCCAATCCAGATAAAGTTCAGTGGAACAATGACTTGGAAGGTTATTAAGCAAAACAATGCACTTTGTTAAATCTTATAAAGTATTAGACTCACTCGTGTGATCTCAAACCAATCTGAGGGTGTTAGAAGAATATCTGGTCCCAGGGATCCTCCAAAATAGGCAGTATAATCAAAGTTTATCTCATTAGATATGTATATTATGTTAAATATTATAATTACATACCTTTTTGAATCCTCATAATCACCCTTAATACATATTATATTCCACTATTGATAATGATGAAATTGAGACTCAGAGAAGGAAAGTATTTTTTCTAAAAAATCATCTAGTTATAAAATATTAGAACTATTAATTAATCCCTTCTTTGCTGACTCCACACCACTTTCCCTTCTAATAGCTCATGCTCTCTGCAAGCAAAATAGAAAACAATACTTTTCAGATTTTAAAAAGATATTTATTTTCAATTAATCATTGAGGTTGACTTTGAAAATACTATTATGTAATATAATCTGAAATTTCATCAGAGATAAATTCTTCAAATCTGTGAATTCAAACTTATAGAAATGTTTAGAGATAAATTTATAATGTCTAATATGTCAATCAAATATCACAATCTACAGTCATTTCATTTAGTGCTATAATTAAGATTTACCAATACATAATTTAAAAATTTAACACATTGGTAAAAGTAATGTCTATTTTAGTGATAGAAACTATAGCTTGGCTTTTGAGAAATGTTTTATTAGTGGGAAGTTTCACACAAAGTAGTTTTCTGAAATAGGCAATGCAGCAAAAAATATTCTGACTTTCCATGATTTAAAAAGAAATGCACTTGGTTTCATATTTTTTTCACTAGTTTTATCACATTCTTACATGAATTGAGACAAATTACCTTTATTTCCTTAAAGAAGGAATGACTTTGTTCTGTGCTACTGTTTATTTGTGTAACCCACCAGGATCTCTTAATTTAGCATAAGTGCGAGCAGTTCAGACATATATCCACTGTGATAAAGAAATTGACACTGAGATTGTCACTAAGATGCTCCAAGATTGATGATCCTTCTTAAACATAAGGTATCATTATCAATTCAAGGTCACCCAAAAGGAAATCACCAAGCTGTCAAAAGTATCACACTGCTACTTTTCTCAAAAGAAACATTACCTACATTTTGCTCTGGCTAGTGAGTCGTTTTCTGTATATAAAAATAAAACAAAGTATATAATATAAAGAATTTTACAACAACTAAGCTCACTGATGATTGTTAAAGAAGAAATAATATCGCTTTTTTCTTCCTTCTACATTTAATCTGAAAACTCAAGATGGAGTACAATATTTTTTATTGTTCACTTTAGTTGGTATTGGGGCAATATTAGATTGGAATATTTGATATTAAAATAAGACCTAATATGTAGTGTAGATGCTTTCTAAAAAAAATTCCTCACTGCAAGTACTTGCATGCATGTATTACATTTAATAAATTTTAAAATATGTAGATCGTTAAAAAGAAATGCAATGTAAAATGCACGAGATAGGTTTACAAAGTGATATTTTATGTGACTATATACGTATGTGTGTAGATATACACCTGTATTTGTGTATGTCTATGTGTGTGTTATTTGGAACAGATACTAAATTTTAAATTTTATCTAACTTTAATTATTTTTAGACAATAGAAATATATACACAATATAAATTGTATATATATGTGTGCATGTGTATATATATATATAAATGCAATATAAATTGTGTATATATATACGCACACATGTATAGATTTTGTGTGTGTGTGTGTGTTTGTGTGTGTGTGTCTGTGTAGAGACAGGGAGGGATTTTCCAAGTAGGATGGAGTTAAATTCATTCTAGGAAGAATTGGAAAAATTTGCAACGTAATACTATTGCTTCACCACACTGATTATTTATGTACTCAAAAAAGCTTATTTTCAGGTCATTTGTAGCCAAACTACTGAAAAACTTGAAGTGCAAAGAGAAAAAAAAAATCTAAAGAATAAGGTTCAGTTTTAGGCAACTGCAAAGAACTCTCATATTTCTATGAAATTACATTAAATGCATTAGTTTGAGTTAATCCATACCTGCTGATAAATGCAACCATTTGGAATTTGGAATTTAATTTTTTACCTCAGAATATTGTTTTAATTATGAGGCAATTGTGTCTTTCATCAGCAAGAAGTTTTTTGTGTTTTTGTTTTGAGACAGAGTCTAGCTTTGTCGCCAGGCTGGAGTGCAGTGGTGAAATCTCAGGCTCACTGCAACCTCCGCCTCCTGGGTTCAAATGATTCTCCTGCCTCAGCCTCCTGAGTAGCTGGGATTACGGGTGCATGCCACCACGCCCGGCCAATTTTTGTATTTGTAGTAGAGACGGGGTTTCACCGTGTTAGCCAGGATGGTCTCAATCTCCTGACCTCATGATCCGCCAGCCTCAACCTTCCAAAGTGCTGGGATTACAGGAGTGAGCCACTGCACCTGGCCATCATCAGCAGGAAGTTTTAAAAAATGTTCAATTTTCCATTATTAATGCTGTCATTCAAGTATGCTAGTTTGTATTCTAGTGACTTGGACTTGCTGGACCTCCTTCATTTCTTTACACTTTATTTGAGAAGGTATTAGCTGTGGAAACACTTTTCATGCTACCAGATAGACTGAAGAACAGGTAGCACAACTGGATTCTTTAGGTGGAGGGCCATCTCGAAAATAATCTAATGATTTTAATCCTGTCATGTTTGCCAATTTTTAATTTAATCAGTACATGAAGTATGTTTTAATTGGAATTAAGAAAAATTGTTTTGTTAAAAATATCAAACTGGGGTTTTATTTATTTCATTCTTTTATTAAAATATTAAAAACTAATTTGTGAACCACCACTGTATATCAGGAAATTGAACAGGTACAGAGTACTCATTCTCCTAACAGAATAGGTTTCTGCACTTGTAAAGTCAAACTTATTATTGAATCGCATACACAAATTCTAAGGAAACAAACGGAATTAACTACCCAATTTTTTAACCAACAAACTTTAATTATTGTAAGAGCAAAATCAAGGCAACTGTAACCCATTTGAGGAACAGAAAAATATCATTTACAGCATTACTGTCTGGTATTTCATTTATCATAACATATTTACCCAGATTTTGCAGTTAAATTTAAAAAATTATGAATCATACTTGTCATCTCAATAACACCTGACTGTGTCTCAACTTACATTTGCAGGATCCTCAACTTACATAGATCCTCACCATCTCAATAACAATTCTGTGCCATATTCCATTTCACAGCAAGGAAATTAACACTATTAAAGGCAAGAGTTACTGTCTTAAGATACAACTCTTAATAAGAACTATACCAAAACCTGAAATCAGATCCACTGATACTTGAGCTCATATGTTTTTGTACTGTAAGGGAAGATTTTACTAAGATTTATACAATGTGATATCTGTTGTTGCTTTATTAACTATATTCTATTTAAGTATATAGACCGTGGATTCTTAAACTATAATACAAATGTGTTTGTATACCTAGAAATATTGTATACATGAGATTAAAATTTTTGAACCACTTACATTTAGGTATATGCATTTTAAGTGATTAAACTTTTGAATAAATGAGGCCTAATTGCAGATATTGAAATTGCTATTTTTCCAGCAAGGCATGGTGGCTCATGCCTGTTAATCTGAGCACTTTGGGAGGTTCAGGCGGGTGGATCACTTGAGCCCAGGAGTTCGAGACCGGCCTGGGCAACATGGTGAAACCTCGTCTCCACAAAAAGTACAAAAATTAACCGGGTGTGTGGTAAAGCATGCCTGTAGTCCCTGCCAGCTACTCAGGAGGCTGAGGCAGGAGAATTGCTTGAGCCTGGGGGGTAGAGGTTGCAGTGAGCCAAGATTACACCATTGCACTCCAGCCTGGGTGACATAGTGAGACTCTGTCTTCAAAAAAATTACTATTATTCTGAGAGTGGATGTATTGTCAGTTGGAGTTTTTGGGAACATACCAACCTACTTCCCACTGGGGCTGAATAGATAAATCTTGTTTAACCTGTAACAATATGGCTCTTTCTCTTATCAATATTTGGTGTTTCTAATGAAATGTCTATCAAATGTCTATTTCTACTGTGGAGTATTTATAGCAAAACAAATAAATTCAGATGGTATTAGCACCAAAATCTACTTCTCAATATGTATGGATAAGTGTCCCAGGTGGTCTTCCTTCTCTCCTTCTTCTCCTCCTCCCCTGCCTCCTCTTCCACCTACTCCTTCTTTTTCTCATAAGAAATTCCAGAGATGCAGGATGAGTAAAAAGCTGCCGTAAGCAGGCTGAGTAGAGTCTGCTGATGATGTTTTGCACGGACAATGAACTTTGATTCTTATTGATTGCTTCTTGTCCATTCATCTCATCTCTCCTAAAACTCTGTGTTCTTTTGTCATCTCTCTACTACTTTGTATTTTTTACACTGTATCTTTCTATTGGGATGTCCTTGTCTGAATTAAGAGTCATCCTCCTAACAGAAGAGAATTGAAAGATGACCTTCACAGGTCACTATCAGCCACAAGATACCATGGCATGCTGTCAGAAAATATATAAAGTGAGAAAATATCAAGTAAAAAGAAGGGCATCTTTAAATTTTGTTTTAATAGTATGTTTATCTCTCTATAAGATCTCTTTGATGTTTATTATTACTAAAGCCTCATACTGTTCTTATCTTAAAATCATCAATGAGATTATTATTGATTTATATATACTAAGGATAAGATAAATTATTTCAAAAAAATAGTGCTAATTCTTGTAGGTTTGGATTTGTGGTGATTGTCGGATACCAAGTGCCTCCTCTTCAAATAAAATTTGTATTTTAGTCATTTATAAACATATATATGTGTACATATGTGTATATATATGTATATATGTATACATATGTATATACATATATATATGTTTCCCTAATGTAATATATAGGTTTGTTTAGTCCACATAAATGTCTTAGTTTTATTTTTTAAATAACAGTTAAGAACCAGCATGCATGTATTTTTAACCTACTGGAGGTTAATTGTGATAGAATTAAAAGAAAGAAAAGCAGAGAGAAAAAGAAAGAGAATGAGCTTGTATGCAAATATAGCAATTTAAATAGTGTATTCTCTTTGCCATCTAGCACAACTGAGTATGTCTCCTTATGGATATGATATGGTAAAAATTTTTCTGCTATTTCTTTAGCCAGTTTTAGTACCAAATTTGCACTCTCAACACTGATGTGGCTAGTGTTTGAAGGTAAAATATAAGGTCTTATTTCCTTGGCCCTCAAATACAAGGAAGCCAACAGCTTCATTTAGTACTCAACTAGAAAACATTGTGAGGAAAGTGGCTGTGTTAATTTAGTTAAGAATTGCTATTGCAGTGCCCAATGCGATGCCTTGTTAACAGGTTTCCGAAAACAAATTTTACTTCATGAGATACTTGCCTAATGTTGTGTATAGATAGCAATTCTATCAAAATACAACTCCATTTCTCCTTTGATGCATCTGAGTTGCTTTTCTGGAATTTTCATTTTGTTTCATTTAGACTGCAAGCCATTTGGAACAGAGGCTATGTTTTCTGTACCTTTATTACTTCTATAGCACGTAAGACTATTATGAACATGGTTTGTGGCTCAACAAAAACAAATAAAAACATATAAATTAATTTTTAAGTGAGTGGGTAGAGCTATTGACGGATTAAAATACTCACCTTGCAAATTCTTGAGAGGATACATAATATTTTATTTTTGCTAGAACAAAAGCAGGAATAATAATGGAACATTCTCAGTGAATTTAATTTATGTATCCCAATAGCCTACATTATAATTAGTTGCCTTTGTAAGTGCTACAATTAACTTATTATTAAATGGAAAATATATTAAATATGTATTTCCTGAAGTTAAAACACTTTGAATATGAGAATAGGAACCCTATATTTTCTTTATCATTTATCTTTAGTAATTAAAATAGCAGTACCAATAATGGGTATTTAGTATGCACTTTCTGGTGATGAATAGCATACATGCAGTATGTGAGAGATATGGATCAGAGAGAAAAGGGGTATTTAAAAGGATTAATGACAGCAAAACTAGACAAAAACATTGAAAGAAAAGAAAACTACAGACTAATATCCCCCATGAAAGTAGCCGCAAAAATCCTGAACAAAATATAATCAAAATAAATTCATCAAAATTTAGAAAGGTTAAACCATCATGACTAAGTGGGCTTTCTCATAGAAAAACTAGAATAGTTAAGGTTTTTAAAAAACAATTTGGTTCACAATATATACAGAATAAAGTGAAAAACGGCATGGTCATTTTTTTTTTTTTTTTTTTTGAGTTAGAGTCTGGCTCTGTCGCCCAGGCTGGAGTGCAGTGGCGAAATCTCGGCTCACTGCAACCTCTACCCGGGTCCAAGTGATTCTCCTGTCTCAGCCTCCCAAGTAGCTGGGACTACAAGTGTGCACCAACACGCCCAGCTAATTTTTGTATTTAGTAGAGATGGGGTTTCACCATGTTGGCCAGGATAATCTTGATCTCCTGACCTTGTAATTGGCCTGCCTCAGCCTCCCAAAGTGCTGGGATTACAGGAATGAGCCACCGGGCCCATCTATGCATGGTCATCTTAATAGAGAAAAAATTGCTTGGATAAATTCAGCCTCCATTCAGAATAAAATTCTCAGGAAATTTGCACTAGAAGAGAATGTTTTTCTCAATGTGATAAAAGGCAACTACAAAAACACTATGCATAAAATTATGCTTAATTTTGGAAGATTAAATGCAGATTTTTTTGTGGAAATTTATAACTTCATTTTAAAATTTATACGGAAGGCAACAGGATTTAAAATTGTCAAAGAAATTGTGAAAAATCACTGATTAAAGACTCATATGGCCTACTTTTAAGACTTATAACTACAATAAGTAATAGAGCCTCAGTACTGGGAAAATATACAGACACAAGGTTCAATGGAATATATTAGAGCATCAAGAAATAAATCCACATATGTATGGTCATTTAATTTTAATAGAGGTACAAAGGCAATTTGGTAAAGACAAATAGCATTGGGAAAGTTAGTGCTGGAACAAATGGTACTGAAATAATTGATATCTATATGCAAACAAGAATCTTGATCTATATCTCATACCGTAATGAATATATTAAAATGGATTATAAACCTAAATGTACAATGAAAAACTATAAAAACTTTTAGAAAACAAATAAACAAAAATATCCATGATTTTGGGTTAGGCAAAGTTCTTTTTAGCATTTTGAGAGGTAACAGAACTGTTCTATGTATTTTACATCTATGTGGCTTACTTATATGTCTTATGATAGTAAAAACTGTACTCTTACAAGGCTGCATTTTATACCACATGTTAATACCTCAATAAAAAAGATACTGTCATCCAGCCTATTTTAAATTCAGGTATAACATGTATTATAAATTTCATGTATTCATACTAAGAATCTTTTTTCAAACCTATAAATGACCCAAAAGTCCATACACAGGAAAATGGATCAGCAAATTATGGTGTATTAATAAAAGAGAATACTCTTCAATAGTAAAAGTGGATGAACTACCTAAGAGTATACAAAATCTGGCCCTAATGTCAATCTATTCAAATTCATAAAAACAGATGTGCCCATATAAACATTTCTTAATTTTCTTGGCTGAAGTTCTGATGAATTTATAAGCTTGTTTCAGAAATACCAGCACAGAGTTTCTGTTGGAAGAAGTGTTGTGATATACCATCAACTAGAGTTATCAAGTGAGTCTTAAAACTAAGTCAGAAGCAGTTAAACTTAGCTTTTCTGGCTATGCAAACTCGAACATTATTACAATATTTGAATTTCTCTTTATCATTACTCTAAGGCATAAACGTAGGTCTTGTAGATGGCAGAGCTAATTAGGTTGCAGAAAGAAAACAAAACAAAACAAAAAGAACAATCAAGATAACCCTCTAAATAAATAAGTGTAAATATATATTTTCTGTATCTATTAGTTTCCATTATTAATAGTGACAATGGTAACATCAGTTCACAATTTCTAATGTGTTTAACATATGGTACTTGGGTAAGATAGCCAATGGTATTTACTTCTTGTCATAAATTGCTGCTTGATTGCATATGGTAGATTGATAACTGTCTTTTTTGTTTTTCCACATACTGGATATGTAAAAGGCCCTTTATCGGTCCATGAAGAGGCAGACCACATATCTCATCAGAGAAAAAGTTAAAATACATACAATTAAAAATTAAAATGAAATTAACACATTAATTTTTAATCTATAAATATTCATTTTTTTTTCTTAGGTTAATAGTGTTTGTTCTGAGCCTTTCAGATAATGCAGAAGTCACTGGGTTTCTGACTGTGGCACAACAAGTAGCTCTGCTGCTGTTCTTATTTCCCAATATTCACAGCTTTGCCATATGGTTTCAAGTACATCAGGGCCTTTTAAAGGGTACCTTCCAGCTATCCAGCCTGTGGTGGGCTCACCACAGCCCTGCAGTCCACAGATGACTAAGAGGCCTGCTGTTTTCACATCTTCACATGCTCTCAGCACCAGAGATTTGCAATGCAAGAAGCATTGCTGCAAACCTAGAGAACTGCTGTTTTCCAAGTCTTTGAATTTACTCCTCTGGATGTATCATTTATGAAAATTGATTCTCTTATTCATGTCTGGGAGGTGCCTAGCAACTCTCTGTGGAATGTAGCCATAGGAATAGCATAAGAGAGGTAATTAAAGAGGCAGAACAGTTGCATGTGTGGTGAAGAACAAGGAAAGGTAAAATGTTCTATGCAAATATCAAATAATTTCTTAATTTTATTCAGTAACTCACAACTACTCAGTATCAGACCAAGGTTTATTGATTATCAATATAGTGCTTTTTTCAGTAAACCACAACATTGTTATGTAAAGGCATTTCTGTTAAACATCATCATTGCTATTATTTAAGTCAAATCCTTTCCAAATGAGAATTTACAAAGATCATGATTTTTCTGAGTCAATTTGACTTGAGATATTCATGTGAGTATTTAAAATTGTAAGTTCTCACTCCTTGTATACACACATGCAGACTTGTCCTGGAACAAGAAAGAGCAAGAAACAAGGTAATTGTTAGAAGCACCCAGAAAGTCAAGGGATACCTATAATTTCCAAAATCTTTTCCTACCACCCAAATTTTTATATTTATTAAACAAAAAATAATTTAGACATTATATTTGTCACTGAACATACAGCAATAAAAGGAGGATATATTGTTACTCTTAATAGCTTATTGTCTCAGGAGAAGAAAGATAAATAATGACAATTATATGTAGTCAATTCTAAAAGTGACGTAAGCCCAAAATGCATATAAACGAGCACTAACCTGTACTAGAGGGTTCTAGTAAATATTCTCAAAAAATAATATCTTATTTCCTCTCTCTTATTTCCACTATTGAATTATAAAACTCTCCTATTAAAACTCTTCAGTCAGCTCCTTCTTTTCATGTCCAGTTTCAGTATCCTAGTTCAACTCATCATTTTTATCTCAAGTATATAATAATCTCTTCATGTTGTCCTACATTCACTCTGGCATGGATGCTGTCTGTCTGGCCTCTAGGCAACATCTCAAATTGTGTTTTAAACATTTTTATATGATCATAGGACAAATTTGTGTAAAAACATATGGAAATATTTCCTTTGATTTTAAAAAACTTTATTTTTTATTATGGTCTGTAAGCTCCTGCATAATTATGCCCTGGTGTTTATCTCTAGACTAAGCTCACACTATTTTTTTCTCCCTGCTAAATTTCTTTCCAACCACTGTGACTTTCTGTCTATTTTGCTAATGCTCAAAGTTCCAGTTTAATCATTAAAGTGTACAGTTTCTTTCTTCTTGCACTTTTCTTAAATCTTTCCCACTCTGATTTTGCTACTCAATTATCATGTCTCATGGCTGCATTATCTCATTCATTAATTAATTTATATTAAATAGCGTTTATCCTAAATACCCTTTGCAAACCTTTCCAAAAGGCTAAGGCATTTTGTTATATCTTTGCATAGTATTTTGTAATTTCCCCCATAATAATAATGCTTGTTGCATTACATATTTATATTATATTGTTAATCATAATATAAATAGCTTTCACCAGAATATCAGCAACATGCAAGCATATCTCTATCTTTATATTCTTACCATTTTTCTTCATCTGTTATCAACACCTAATATTATGCTTCATACACTCACAACAAATCTTTGTTGAATAAATAAATGTTCCAAATTATGCAAAATAAACTAAGCTGGTAAAGAGAGGAAGAGAATTTTCAGGAAGAAGAAGCACTTATATCAACATTTCTGAAGATTATGGATACAAATATCTGTAAATAGATTCAGGAGGCAAGAGTAGTAAAATGTGGACCTAAGTATTAGTAAAGTGCTCATTAATGAAGGATGTTTTATTCTATGCTAAGGAGTTTGGATTTTATTCTAAAGTCAATGAGAACTAAATGACAGATTTTATAATTTGGTAAGTTACATGTTTTAGATACTAAGGTACTAAATATATTAGAATTAGCAAGATTTGAAACTTTAATCAGTGTTAGAAATCAAAAGACAATGGATGGTAAAAGAAAGTAGGAAATCTAAGATTATACATGCCCTTCTAAATTAGAATCTTGATGTCTTTTTTTTTTAGAGATTTAAGCATTGCAAATTGATTCCAATCATAAAACAAGTATATATATATACACACACATATATGAATTTTAAAATTACATATATAAATATATACAAAAATATACATATATGAATTTATTTAAAAAATTTGACCCTGTCTACTCATTATCTACAGGTATATTTCTCTCTTACCATTTATAGTCGATTTCTTGAAAGATATGTACATGTCGTTACCTTGCGTTCACCCCGCAACTGACTTCTGTATAATTTTCTACTCACCACCAGTGAAAATGCACCTGTCAAAGGTATTAACATCACCCTTATAACAAATCTAATTACCATTTTTAGCCCTCACCTTATTTATCATTTGAGTTCTTTTAAAATTCTCAGAAGTTCCACCATTGGAAATAAAAATGAAAAAGATTTTGCAAAGGCAATTAATAATGAGTCATCAGAGAGAATGAAGCCACCAAGGAAATCTAAAGTTTCAAAAACTTGGGAAAGGTCGACAATGTCAGACATCCAAGGGATGACTGAAAATATTCTGCTAATATGCCATTGGTGAACAATACAGGTTAGTATCAGGGGACTGCTGGAATAGATAAGTGGGAAATTAGCAAGTAAATACACTAAATGTGGACAAATTGATTTGGGAACTAGGCACCAAATGGAAGGTTGATAAGGACAATAACTAGATACTCAGAACTAGAGTTGATGGAATCATATTTACTGTGGCTATAATTATTATTATTATTGCTATTACTCTTTATTGTCCAAAATAGAACAAAAGGTGGGAGAGTAGATGAAGAAATTCCCTGAGGAAATAGAAACCAGTTAGGTCAGAGAGTAGATATATACCATCAATAAGAAAAGGAACTCTGTTTCCACTGAACTGTAAGCAAGGAAGCATGATGAAAGACGTAGGTAGAATTTTGAGGTGTAGACAGCAGTAATGTGAAGTTTCTCAATACCCTGATTTCCAAGAATAGAAATAGAACATGAATCATGTTCTGAGAAATGTGTTGAGTTGAGTTATAAGAATAAGGCTGGAAGCTAGAAATAGGAAATTTATTAGGAAAACAGGAAAATTTCAAGACAGGATTCAGATCTTATTGCAATTCAAAGTATATTTTGTATGATTTTTTAATATCAGTGATCAGCGTTTTATGTGCAAAAGGAAAGTCGTATGATAGTGTTGAGATCAGATTCAGATTTGTCTAAAAGGAAATAATAATGAAAGAAGTATGGCTTACATGATGGATAATGGGTAGGTTAGGATAAGGAAAAAGGGAAATAGACCTAATTTTTTAAAGAAAATAGGAATTAAGGAAAAATTCATTTTAATTTAGTCTGAAATCAGGAATTACAGGGAATTAATGGAGTAGAGAAGAGGAAATATATAAATTTATGATCAAGAGTTGAATACTGAAGTATATAATCTCTAAATTTAAGCAATTCCTAGATATAATAATTTTATATGGTAGTAGATTATAGTTTAGATATCTAGAAAATATGTGCTAGTAATTGAGATCAATTCCCCATTTGATTGTGTTGTATTTTATAGAAAGTTATCCAGTTATATCTGTTGTGGAGATTTGCCATTTATAAAATATTATAAATATACAAACTTGCTTTTCATTAAGTAACATTTGCAATTTTGTAACAAAATATTTTAGTCACAATTAGCACAAAATAATAAAAATATATATTTACTAGACAAATTATTCCAACAAACTGTTAACAAACATTAGTCATCCACTAAGGAATTCATAATAGTATTGCTAGCAACATAAAATTATGATGATGAAGACACATATCTGCTAAAGAAACATCAGCAATATTTCAAAAGTTAGTAGTTTTGAAACAAAGATAATGAAAATATTCAGCTGTAAGAGTTGTTTTTGTATATGATTTTGTTATGATTCATTTTTTATTCAGATCAAGTGATTCTTCTAAATTAATTTTGCTAATTTTTAGTTTCAAGTTTTCTTTTGCATATTTAAAAATTGGACTAGGATGTATTAATGTGTAACATCTGTTAACATCAAAACAAAGTCAAAATTGTTAAATAATGCAATAGGATATCATCAGTTACTTTCTATAGTAATTCACTTACTGCCAATGATGGCTCAAAATTTTCATCAAATTCATGAATTAAACGTTTTAGAAGTTTATTCTGCCAAAGATGAAACATCTGACAGTATTGTGAAAATAAATTTGCAGTTATAATTCAGTTTCATAGATCAATATTCCAGATAAAATTACCTAGGTTTATAAGTTACTATGAATATAAATTTGACTGAAGCATGGTATCACAGTTAAAGCAACATTCTGATTAAACATCTGTCAAGCAGGAATATACATGGAATTGGTTGTGGTGAAAATGTAATATATATAGGAATCTATACTTGTCAAGTTTTCAAATGTTTAAAAATATTCACAAAATAAGTATATATTACCTATTTATAGATTACACACACAAACACAAATCTGATGTTGATACAAAAAATACTTGAAGTGTACCAATATGCAATTTTTCTTTTCACAGCTTATCAATTTAAAATATTTGTGCTTCTGAGGAACTATTTAATTAGCAACCTAAGAGCCCACCTATGAAACTGAACCTTTTTGCAAATGAGCCTTATAAATTATGATTACATTTCCAAAGTAGTTGGAGAACAGCTATTCATAAAGAATAATGAATTAGAGGCAATAACAAAAACAAAATCACTTTTGAAGTTTTCAGAAAATTGAAATTATTTAAAATAAGTATTTTGAAACAGAAGGACATAAAAATCTATTCTCTCAAATAAGGAGGACTAAATAAATTGAATAATGGCAGAGATCAAGTGGTGTACAATATTTGATTTTAAAATTTTACAAGAGTTTTTAAGAATATGTGAACTTGTGGAAACAAACTTTTGATGGGTTTTTTGTTTCAAATTTCATAAATGTATACTCTATCAAACAGTTTGTCATTCAAGAGATAAAATATTCAAAAATTATCTATTTTTATATTTATTGTCCCTTTTCATAGTCAAAAATATCCATATATAGATAATAAATTATATTTTAATAACACTATTGGTGACACTAATAATATTGGATCAAAATATCAAATTGAGACATGATAGAACATTCTGGAGACAAGGCAGACAAAGCCTGGTACAAGCTTAGATTGAGAAGAAAGTATGAATTCTGCTGTAGTTGAACTGTCAACAGAGACTTGCTGCAGTATTACTGACTGATGGTTTTGTCAGTCTGTCCAATGTACATCAGTTGTCTGTCACTTATTGTGGGCTTATGAGGGCTTATACCTTCAAAAAAGGAAAAGTAGGCCAGGTATGGTGGCTCACGCCTCTAATCTCAGCACTTTGGGAGGCTGAGGCCAGGAGTTCGAGTCCAACAGAGTGAAACTCCGTCTCTACTAAAAATACAAAAAAATTAGCCGGGGGTGGTGCCAGGCACCTCTAATTCCAGCTACTCGGGAGGCTGAGACAGGATAATTGCTTGAACCCGGGAACTGGAGGTTGCAGTGAGCTGAGATCGTGCCACTGCACTCCAGCCTGGGTGACAGAGTGAGACTCTGTCTCAAAAAAAAAAAAAAAAAGAAAAGGAAAAAAAAATATATATCTATCACCAATTTATAGAAAATTTTGTCGTTGTTTTTCACATATCATATTTTAGTAGGATCAATATATTTGTGATGCATGAACAAAAGAATAAGTAAATAAATTACAGAATCACCTCAGCTTGATATTTGACGGGAATTCATTGAAGCAGAGGAAATTGGGAAAATTATGAAAAACATTAACAGGAAGAAGCAATAACAAGTTACTAGATTTAGGACTGGGAAAATTCTAAATTAGGCTATTAATAATGTCTTTAAGAGGGGTCTTAGTGTCCTAAAATGAAAGGGCATAGGAAACACTTGAAAAAAAAAAAAACTTGTGTAAATAACGGAAAGACAGGAGATAGAAATTTGAGTGAAATTTAGGTTGAAAAATTTTGTACCATAAAAGTGAGTGCATCTTATGAGATGTATTGAGGGAGAATAAAAAATGAGAAAAAAAGCAACTGTCACCAGCTTAGCCTGATAGACGCCGAAGTTTGCTCATACAAATCCAGATAGTGTCTTCCCATAGATTTAACAACTTGCAAATTGGCCCTAGTTTATATCACTGTTAAGTCAATCACTAAATTTATTATTTTTCTTTCTTTTACAGTGGCATGCATTGTTTTGCTAAGTAAACTCAAGTTGAGCAAAATAAAAGTTTCTAATATGTAGACTTCATTCATCTGCACAAATATATGCTACAAAAACCATGATTTTGTAAAATATAGGAAATATTAGAGAAAGCTATAGTTAATTAGAATTTAGTTCAAAAATAATTAAGTTACCAATATTTGGTAACTGATGAAATATTCATATTTTGAATATTTTCAAGAAAGCAAGAAGTTTTGGATTCTAATAAAACATTTTCTTAGTACTCTTTGCCAGAAAATATATATTTGCTTTATTTCAGAGATTCCAAAATGAAAGAAAAGTCATCCTCTCTGGAAATGTGAAGCATAACTAAAGTTTGACCAACAAGTTGTAGAAGTAAGGAAAACTTTTTTCCAGATAAACATTATATTATGGATTAAAACAAGATTTGTATTATATAATATGGAAATATTGTCAACAATTGAGCATTACAGACACTATAAAACGATTTTATTTTTATTCATATTTTGCCTTTATTTTCCTTCATAAATGTGAAGTGGTTGCTATTTATTTCCAGTATTTTTTTCAGAGCTTATTATTTTCAGTTTCAACAATATCACCTAAAGACAAATGATGAAAAGTTGTAAATTTAACAAGTATTTTCTCCATCCAAATTATAATTCGGTGGTTTTTACGGGGTTTGAATTTTGAAAAGACAATAAGTGAAGAAAGTAAATAAATAGTAGTAATTCAATAGAATTTTAGAGTGTAAAGTTTTTAAAGGAAAATGTATAAAATAAACTTGTTGGCTAAGTGTTTTAGAAGTATAGGGTTGAGAGAGATTTCTCAGTCACTGGTGATTTGAAACTGCTTTTCGGGATTTATACATTTGTTTATATTCTGTTCTAAATTTTAGTGAAAATAGTGCCATTGATAGAGGATGCACAGTTAAATGGCAAAAGCCTATGGCATATTTTATCAAACATTTACAGTTCTAAAAGGCAAGTGTTATTATTATTGCAAATGGTGAAAGAGAAAAATAGGATACATACTTTATCACTATCACTGTTCATAAGAAACAGTGGAAAAGTGAGAAAAAACTCCAGATTTGTCCAATATCCACGCTCATGTTCTTTTCCCTACACTATGATTTCTGTTTAGAACTTCTTTCTTTTATATTTTCTAATTCTGTGGCGAATAGCCCATGACATCCCTCTTTTTACATTTCACATGAATGCCATATATAATCATTACCTATAGTCACCTTGTTGTATGATAGATCTCCTGAACTTATTCCTCTTAACTGCAATTTTGTATCCTCTGATCAGCATTTCCCCATCCACCCCCTCCCCATAACCTCCCCAGGCTTTTATAAGCACCTTTGTACTCTCTACTTTTATGAGACCCACTTTTTTAGATTCTGCATCTGAATGAGATCACGCCATATTTTTATTTCTGTGCCTTGCTTATGTCACTTACCATAATGTCCTCTAGGTTGATCTATGCTGTCACGAATGACAGAATTTAATTTTGTTATGGCTGAAAGTATTCCATTGTGTATACATATCACATTTTCTTTATCCATTCTTATGTTGTTGGATACCTAGACTCCATATCTTGGCTATTGTGAATAGTGCTACAATTAAAATGAAAATGCAGATATTTCTCTGATACCCTAATTTCTAGTGAGATTGGTGAATTGCATATATAGTAGTTCTATTTTTAATTATTTTTGTGGAAACTCCATACTGTTTTTCATAAGGGCTGCACTAATTTACATTCCCACCAACAGTATGTAAGAATTTACTTTTCCACAACCTCAACAACTCCTGTCTTTGAGACCTGAAACTATGAAACTACTAGAAGAAAACATAAGGAAAATGCTTCATTACATTGGTATGGGCAAGAATTTTTGTGGGATAAGACCTTAAAACTACAGGCAACAAAAATGAGATTGAATAAATAGGATTGCCTGAAACTAAAAAGCTTCTGCACAGCAGAGGAAATAATCAACAGAGTGAAGAGGCAACATACAGAATGGGAGAAAATATTCACAAACTGTACATCTGACAAGAAGTTAATATTTTAAATATGTAGGAAACTCAAACAACTCGACAGACAAAAATAAAATAAAATAACCTGATTTTTAAAAGGAGCAAAAATCCTAAATAGACATTTATCGAATGAAGAGATACAAATGGCCAACAAGTGTATTAAAAAACAGTTCAACGTTACAACATCAGAGAAATGCAAATTAAAACTGCCATAAAATATCACCACACTCCAGCATAAAAAATACTATTAACAGGCCAGGTGCGGTGGTTCACGCCTGTAATCCCAGCACTTTGGGAGGCTGTGGTGGGTGGATCACGAGGACAGGAGATCGAGAACATCCTGGATAACAAGTCGAAACCCCATCTCTACCAAAAATACAAAAACTAAGCCAGGTGTGGTGTCATGTGTCTGTAGTCCCAGCTACTCAGGAGGCTGAGGCAGGAGAATCCCTTGAACCCAGAAGGCGAGGATTGCAGTGAGACGAGATTGCGCCACTGCACTCCAGCCTAGGTGAGAGAGCAAGAATCCATCTCAAACAAACAACAACAACAACAACAACAACAACAAAACACTATTATCAAAAAGATAAAAGAACTTTACTTTCTTAATAAAATGAACATTTTATTTTGGCATTCATTTATTAAGAACGAAACTGAAAGGGTCTGAAGATTAAGGTATCCAGAAATACGTTTTTACAGTTATGTAGGGTTTTGTAAATATATATTTTGGAAAACATGTTGATAAAGTTATTCAGGGCTTTATAAATAAATCCTTTCTAAATTTTTATTTTATTTGTAATTGAAAATAATAATTACATGAGACCTACTATTTGATAGCATAATAGGGTTACCATAGTCATTAATACATTAGTCGTACATTTTAAAATAACTAAAAGAGTGTAATTGGATTGTTTGTAACACAAAGGATAAATCCTTGAGGGGATGAATACCCCATTCTCCATGATGTGATTATTACGCATTGCATGCCTGTATCAAAATATCTCATGAATCCCATAATATATATACATACCATATACCGACAATATTAAAAATAAAAAAAGGAAATTATAATTGCATATATTTATGGGCTACAATGTGATGTTATGATACATGTATTCATTGTGGCATGATTAAATCAAGTCAATTAACGTATCCATCACCTCACATCCTTAGCATTTCCTTGCAGAGAGAACATTCAAAAATCTCCTTTTTTAGCAAGTTTGAAATGTATATTGTTATTAACTACAGTTACCATGCTGTGTGATAGATCACTAGAATGTATTCCTCCTGTCTAACTGAAACTTTGTACCCTTTGGCTGACATTTCCCCTTTTCTTGTATCATCCCAACCCCTCTGGTAATTGCCTTTCTACTACTACTTCCTTAGGTTTCACATAAAAGTGAGATAAATGTGATACCTGTCTTCTGTACCTGTCTTATATCACTTAGCACTATGTCCTTAAATACATCCATGTTGTCACAAATGACAGAATTTCCTCTTTTTTTAAAAAGGCTGAATACTATTCCTTGTGTATACATATCACATTTTCCTTATCCATTTATCCATTGATGGTTATTTAGGTTGTTTCCGAATTTTCGCTGTGTTAATAGTGCTGCAACGAACTTGGAGAGGTTTCAACATACTGATTTCAGTTCTTTTGGCTATGCAGCTAGAAGTAAGAGTGCCAGATCATATGCTAATACTCTTTTTAGTTTTTTGAGGAACCTCTATACTGTTTTCAGGAGGCCGAGGCAGGTGGATCACCTAAGGTCAGGAGTTTGAGACCAGCCTGGTTAACATAGTCAAACCCTGTCTCCACTAAAAATACAAAAAATTAGCTGGCCATGGTGGTTGGCGCCTGTAATCCCAGCTACTTGGGAGACTGAGGCAGGAGAATTGCTTGAACCCGGGAGGTGGAGGTTGTAGTGAGCCGAGATCTCGCCACTGCATTCCAGCCTGGGCAACAAGAATGAAACTCTGTCTCAAAAAAAAAAAAAAAAAGGTTTATATTAGTTTACATTTACATTCACACCAACAATGTGCTAGGGTTCCCTTTCTCCACATCCTTGCCAAAAAATTGTTATCTTTAATATTTTTTATAACAGCCACTCTACTGTGTATGAGGTGGTAGCTCATTGTGGTTTTAATTTGTATTTTCCTAATAACAGGTGATGTGGAGCACTTTTTCATGTATCTGCTGTCCATATGTATGTCTTCTTTTGAGAAATTTCTATGCAGGTCCTTTGACCATTTTTAAATTGGGTTATTTTGTTTCTTGTTATTGAGTACTTTGTGTCTTTTATGTATTTTCAATATTAGACCATTATCTGATGTATGATTTTCAAATATTTTCTCTCAATATATAGGTTGTTTCTTCAATTTGTTAATTGTTTCTGTTGCTGTGCAGAAGCTTTTCAGTGTGACATAATCCCATTTGTCTATCTCTGCCTTTGCTGCCTGGGTGATATCCAGGAAATCATTGGCAAGACCAATTTTGTGGAACATTTTCTCTGTGTTTTCTTCTGGTAGTTTTAGAGTTTCAGGTCTTACATTTTAATCAATTTTGAGTTGATTCTTGTATAAAGGGTAAAATGAGGTTCAAATTTTATTCTTCTGTATGTGGATAGCCAATTTTTCCAACATCATTTATTAAAGAGACTGATCTTTCCCTGTTGTGTGTTCTGGGCACCTTTGCCAAAAATAAATTGACTGTATATGTGTGAGTTTATTTCTGGGCTCATTGTCTTATTACATTTGTCAGTGTATGTGTTTTTATGCCAGTATCATGCTATTTTGATTACTATATCTTTGTACTATATTTTAGGTAGTGGGTTGCCTCAAGCTTTGTTCTTTTGCACATGATTGTTTTGGCTATTCAGGGTCTTTAGTAGTTCCATACAAATTTTAGAATTGTTTTTCCTATTTCTGTGAAAAATGACATTGCAGTAGGAATTGCATTGAATCTGTAGCTTGCTTTTGTAGTATGGAAATTTTAAAAATATTAATTCTTCCAATCAGTGAACACAGGATATCTTTTTATTTATTTGTGTCATATAATTTAGTTAATCAATGATTTATAGTTTTCAGTATACAGACCTTTTATTTCATTAGTTAAATTTATTCTTAAGGTTCTTTTTCATGCAATTGTAAATAAGATTGATTTTTCTTAATTTCCTTTTCAGATAGTTTGTTTTCAGTATATGAAAATGCTACTGAATTTTGTGTGTTGATTTTGTGCCCTGTGCCTTTACTGAAATTCATTTATTCATTTTAACAGGGTTTTCTTTTTTTTGGTGGGGTGTTTTGATTTTTCTGTTTATAAGATCATTTCATCAGCAGAGAAAATTTCACTTTTTTCTTTCCCATACGAGTGCCTTTTCCTTGGTGTTCTTCACCGATTGCTCTGGATATGATTTCCCATAATATGTTGAATTGAAGTGGTGAGAATAAACATGCTTATCTTGTTTCTGATCTTAGAGGAATAACCTTCAACTGTGAAGCTAACTATGATGTTATTTGCAGGCTTGTTATAAATGGCCTAAGTTATATTGAGAAACACTTTTCTATACCTAATTTGTTGAGAGATTTTACTCTGAAAGGACATTAAATTATTTCAAATGCTTTTTCTGCATCTACTGAGATGATCATATATTTTTTATCCTTTATTCTGTTAATATGGTGAATCACACTGATTGATCTCCATATATTGAACAATCCTCGCATCCCAAGGATAAATCAGAGTTGATTGTGGTAAATGATCCTTTTTATGTTCTAATTAATTCAGCTTACTATTGTTCAGTTTAGAATTTTTGCATCTATGCCTTTTCAAGCTACAGTGGTATAAAACTGAAAATCAATAATAGGAAAACTCACATAAAATTCACATATGTGGAAATTAAACAATATGAACAACCAGTGAGTCAAAAAGGAAAAAGAAGTTAAAAAATATTGAGATTAATAAAAGTGGAAATACAACACACCAAAAACTTATGGAACACAGCAAAAGCCATCCTAAGAGGGAAGTGTATTAACTTTAAACTTAATAAATGTCTTAATAAACTTAAAATTAAATATCTACATCAAAAAAGGATGAAATATCTCAAATAAACAACTTAGTATACTTCAAGGAACTAGGAAAATAAGAACAAACTAAACCAAAAATTAGCAGAAGAAAGAAAAAAATTGCTTTTATTAGAGCAGAAATAAAATATAGACTAGAAAGAAAATAGAAAAGATAAAAAATATTAAGAGTTGGTTTTCTAGAAAAGCTCAAAAAAATTGACAAACTCTTCACTACATTTATTAAGAAGAGAGAAGACTCAAATAAATGACATCAGAAATAAACAGAGACATTATAACCGATAATGCACATGTCCAAAGATCGTAAGAGACTACAGTGAACAATTATATACCGAAAACTTAGATAACCTAGAATAAATGGATACAATTCTAGAAACATATAACCTACCAAGATGTAATTATGAATAAATCAAAAATCTAAACAGACCAACAGTGATTTAGAAGAGTAAATGAGTAATAAAGTTTCCCATCAAAGAAAAGTCATGGCCAGATTTATTCATGACTGAATTTTACCGAAGACGTAACGAAAACTAATATGAATTCTTTCCAAACTCTTCCAAAAAACTAGAAAGGAGGGGATATTTCCAAATTCTCTTCACAAGGCCAGCATTACCCTCCTATGAAAGACAGACAAAAACACTACAAGAAAAGAAATCTGAAAACCAATATCCCTATAAATATATCTTTTTAATTAGTTTTATGACTATTATAACTGTCATTATCATTTGTTTTCCTTATATGGCCTATATTCCAATATTCAGTGTTTCATAAGTAACCTAAGATCTTTTAGCATGCAGAAAATCTTTTGGAAATTTGTCTTTTTTTTTTTTTTTTTTTTTACTGATAACTCATTGACAGGAAACAAAATCATTCTCTGTTCAATCATTAAGTCTTCCTGTCTAAGCAACTAGTGTAGACCAATTTCACGTTATTATTTAATCGACGCAATCCAAACTCTCTCCCACCTAACTCAATCCAAAAGTAATATATTGTACTTGTTGATTATCACATGATGAGGTTACTTTATATCTATCTTCAAACTAAGCTCTGAGTAAATATAGAACTAGTAAAACTTCCTTTATTTCACTCTTCCTAGAAAGGGATTATTGAAAAACAAAATTTGAAAACTGAATGAAGAGAGATTCATCTCAGGGCCTCTATGCAGTATTTTCAAGGAATTGAGTGGCAATTACATATCCTTGATCAAAATTTTGGGTTTGTCAGGAGACAAGAGAATAAAAAGCAGTAGAGGATTATAACATTATCTCTTTGTGCATTTTTAGATATGTATTTAATTGGAACACATGGACTTAATTTTGGCTGATATATTCAAACCATGTGTTACTTTGTATTGAAGATACATCAGAAATACATATCTTAACTTTTTCTTTTTATATATACATCAAATTGCTCAAATTAGACAAAGGAAATGAACTTTCATTCTTGACATATGTATTTTACATGTATACATCATTTTAGTTAATATAGTAATAATCCACGTACATTTTTACTAAAAGTATCTAACTGTTCTATTAAGTATAAAATGCAAAACCAGATAAGCAACACTCATTTCCACCCTCATTTCCCTCAAAAATGTGTTGATTCTATTAAAGTTCACAGGATGTTCTTATTTTAAATATTTTAATTAAAGAAATATGTCTTACAGTTCCATTACCTAACAGGTAGACAGTGGTAATCTAATGATGCACTTGGGTCTGTTCTCATATACTTTTATATTTAACATAAAGCAGTGTGAAATAATAGCAGAGTATGTTAATTATAAAAACATGCAATTTTCAAAAATAAAGTGTGTGTCAGCAATTCATACTATCTCCATTAAAATGTTATGATAGATAAGATTTATATGCCTACAATAGCAGAATAAATTTTTATTTGATATCTCTATTAATTTTTCCCTAATTTTATGTGGTTATTTCAATACACTTATGATTTTCAAAGTGATAGAATTATAATTTTAATACTAGTGTTATTTGTCACTGATAATAGTTTGAAAATCAGTAAATAATAAAGCCTGTTATAACTGCTTTCACATTTGATTTGAAATACAGGTGAAAGGCATCAAATATAATAACCAAAGAAAACAGAAAAATACCACACGTCCGGTAATTCCTCAGCTGGCAGTAAAAACAGATGATTGATTTAAACCTTTTCTCTACATACATTCTCAGGTGGGAGGCCTTTGCCCCACATTTTGCTAATAATGTTATGCATTTCATGCATCTAATGTCACACTCTCAGTGCTGGAATCAAAGCCATATAATCATCAAACAGGTCTTTGGTCTTTGTTATTCAAAATCAGAGGAAAATAGAATTAATTAATGACTAAAAAATAGTTAAGTCTCTCACTTTTTGAATCCACCTCTCTTTATAGTATTCCTTAGGTTTCCCTGTTTTAAGAGTTAGCACTTGTATCTGATGGGAGGGGAGTTAGCTTTTTAAAATTTTTTTTAATTTTTGAGTTTTGTAGGTACATGGCATATATATTTATGGGGTATATGAGATGTTTTGATACAGGCATACAATACATAATAATCACATAATGGAGCATGGAGTTTCCATTCCCTCAAGCATTTATCTTGTGTGTTATGTACAGTCCAATTATACTCTTTTACTTATTTTAAAATGTACAATTAATATGTTACAGTTAGGTGAAGAATATAGGTTAAATAGTCGTAACAATTTCATAGACTTCCTTTACATAGCTAAGGCTGAAAGTAATTAAACATCATTAAAAAGTGATTCAAACTCATTAAACACTTGTTATTATGCCTTTGAGATTCTGCAACCAAAATTACACACAATATTTCACATGTACAAATACCATGGCATTATCCAAAAATGAGTGAGCTTTGTTCTTCTTACTATCCCCCTTTTTCATCATTTTTATTTTTTAGATTGAAATTTTGTGCAGGGTGAGTTATAACAATTTTATCCTCTTGGATAACCTATAATGATAACCAGATTAAAAATGATCTCATTCTGTCTCCCAGGCTGGATTATAGTGGCATAATCTCGGTTCACTGCAACCTCTGCCTCCGGGGTTTCAGCGATTCTCCCACGTCAGCCCGCTTAGGAGCTGGGACTACAGGCACGTGCCAACGTGCCCAGCAAATTTTTTGTATTTTTAGTAGAGACGGGGTTTCACCATGTTGTCCTGGCTGATCTCGAACTCCTGACCTTAAATGATCCACCCGCCTCGACCTTCCAAAGTTCTGGGACTACAGGTATGAACCACTGTGGCCTGCAAAATTAAAAATTTTAACTTGAAAACTGGAAAACTACAACTCAGAAGCTATAATCATATAAATTGTTCATTGGTAGTTTATTGGCACATACCAATATAACCTAAAGTATTTTGTCACCTGAATGTAAAACATGGTGAGATATATATCCTCCTTTAGCTACTTTCTTTACTTTTCTCCTTGAAATGTAACATTTTATAGATAATACTCAGGGCAATCTTTAAAAATATTGTCTGTGATGTACCCTGTGATTTAAGCCAAGTGAAAAAAAATATTATAAAATTTGTATTGTAGAAATACGACTCACAACATGTAGAAATGTTAGTAAAGTTTGTTTAACAAGTTTTATTAAAAGGAATGCAACTGTGCTTACAAGCCTATGGTAGTTCCCCATGTTCCTGAAGTTAAGGAGATGCCAGATCCTGAGAAATAAGAATAATAAAATGTTGAGTTTGCTCTAGAAAGAAGCATGAATTTTAATACCATGCATGAACAAAAAGTAAGTTATCAGAAATGGGTTACAACACTATGGGGTGATCAGAATAGGCCTCATCAAGATGATGACATTTGAGCAAAGACTAGATAATAAAGGAATTATCAAGAAGATATCTTGAGGGAAAATATTATGGGCTGAGTGATAATATGTGCAAATGTTACATTATAGTGTGAGGAAGTCATAAAAACATGGTTATTGGTGATATTATACATAAAATAATAAAGCCATTGCAAACTCAGATAAATCAGTTCTCGAACGAGAGACGAACACACTTGTTTCTTACAGAATTTACAGTGAGAAAATGCATCTTTTAAGAATAAACATTCTGGTACACTATTTCATGTTTATTTAGAGTGCAGAGTATTTCACTTATATTGCTTAGTAACTCCAAGATAAGAAATTAATTTTTTTTTTACAATTTCACAGGCAGACTGACTTTTGTTATGGTAGAATAAGGAGATAATCTCAATAAGCAATTATATAACTCGGGGAAAATATTAAAAAAAAAACACCCACATGTTGCAGGCATTTGGGTATCAACCAAATGCATACAACACATTGAGAAGCATTTATTCACAATAATCCTTGGTGTTCTTATCCAGACTATTACTATCACCCACTGATTGGTCAGCAGTTCTATAAGTCAGGAAATACCACAAAAGCCAAGCCCTCTACTCGCCAAGGAAATCACTTGATTAGGAACAGAAAACAAAACAGTCATGCCCAGCAGTGATGTCAGTGAAATTATCAATTTCAGTTTCAAGTGAAGAGAGAAAGTTTAGTGGACCAGCCATTTTGATCTTGTCTCCTAGCTGGGAGGAGCAATGGGACACTAAAATAGCCAACATTTTCAAAAGGAGATTTTATAGATGAGGCAGAGTGGCTTGATAATTTATCTACAGTTCCTAGACTGACTTGATTGCTGCAACTAGTGAAGACCAAAACAGAAGACTCAAGCTGTTAAGCTATGTACATATTATTTTGGCTGTCAAGAAGACGGTGATCATGCATAGAGGAGAGATAAAGGGTCCAGCAAAAAGTAAAAGTTAGAGTAAGTCTGAATTCTTTTTCTTAATTTTGGAAGTATTCCACAACCCACACACACATCTGTCAACAGGGGTTGGAAGCCTTCTTGGCAGATGTTTGGACATAATATTACACACCTGTAGTCCCTGCTCCTTGTAAGGCTAAGGTGGGAAGATCATTTTAGCCTGGAGGCAGAGGTGGCAGTGATCCAAGATTGCACCACTGCACTCCAGCCTGGGTGACAGAGTGAGGTCCTGTTAAAAAAAAAAAAAAATGAAAAGTAAAAGCAGAAACATCAGCAGTCCCATACTAGAATGGAGTCAGATTGTCCAGATTTAGCTTAACAAAGTAACAACTTACTAAATAAACAATGAAACAAAACAAAAATAGCAACAGCTTTTGGGAGGAAAATTGAGAATCTGGAATTCCTGCAATATAATATCGAAAATGTCTAGATTTATTTTTCTAATTAAGAGACATAAAAAGAGAAAAGTTAGTCACGGAGTGGAAGGGGCAGTCTGTCAAGAAAACTGAGTGTACTCAGATGTTGGATTTGTTATAGTATACAGCAAATTCAAAGCAGCTATTAAAATACTTTCAGTATTAAAGAAAGTATAATGATAATGAATCAAAAAATAGAAAATATCAACAAATGAATAGTAATTACAATAACCAAATAGTTATCCTGAAATTAAAAAATTGAATAACTGAAATAAAGTTCAGTAGAGTAACTCAACAGCATAGGTCAGGTTACAAATGAAAAATTAAGCAAAATATAAATGTAGATTAATAGAAGCTGTCCAACAAGAGAAGAAATGATAAAACTGTACATAAGAGCAACATCAAGCATACTGATGTATATGTAATGTGTGTGCCGAGAGAAGAAAAAGATAGGAGCAGAAAAAATATTTAAACATATAGTTACCTAAAGCTTCTTAAATTTGATGGGAAAAAATTATCCACATTTCCAAGTTTAATGAATTACAAATAGGACAAGCAGAAAGTGAGCCATACCTGAACATATCATAGTCAAACTGTTGAAAGCACAGACAAGGAGACCACCTTGAAATCAGTAAGACAAAATGACTTATCATGTAAAGAGGGAGATCTATACAATTAACACTGATTTTTGATATAAAGCAAAGGAAGTTACAACGTATTGAAATAGCATATGTTTCAAACACTGAAAGAAACAAGCAAACGAACAAGAAACAAAAGAACCATAACAAAGAATCCTATATCCAGCAAAACTACTCTTCAAAAAAAAACATGGTAAAATGAAGACATTCCTAGAAACATGATGATCAAGAAAATTCATTACTACCATATATGTCTTCGAATAAATTCTTAAGAGAGTTCTTCAAACAGAAAGGAAATAATACTGGCAGCTAATTCAAACCCATAGGAAGAAACCAAAACAACTAGTCTTGGTAAATTTAAAATTATTTCTAAATATATTTTCTCTTAGCTTATTTCAATGTTACAAGGTTATATAAAGCAATTACAGCATTGAGTTGTCATGTCTATTGCACACAGAGATGTAGTGCATATGAAAATCATAAAAGATAATAGGGGAGATAAAATGCAGCTATACTGGAAAAAATTTTTCTCTAATTTATAAAAATTAGCTAAGTATTGATCAATATGTATCTATCTATCCATCTATGTATATATCTATAAAAACACACAGGCATACTACACACACAAAGAAAAAGTAATATTCAATACTATAGTCACATTTAAAATTTAATTTCAGATACATTAAAGATACACAAAATAATAACTTTAAACTATCAGTTAAAACATTTTTTATATATAATATAGGCAAAATTATAATTAAAATTTTAATTAGGCTGGGCGCAGTGGCTCACGCCTTTAATCCCAGCCTTTGGGAGGCCGAGGCGGGTGGATCACGAGGTCAGGAGATCAAGACCATCGTGGCTAACACGGTGAAACCCCATCTCTACTAAAAATACAAAAAATTGGCCTGGCGTGGTGGCGGGAGCCTGTAGTCCCAGCTACTTGGGAGGCTGAGGCAGGAGAATGGCGTGAACCCCAGAGGCAGAGCTTGCAGTGAGCCGAGATCATGCCACTGCACTCCAGCCTGGGTGACAGAGCCAGACTCCATCTCAAAAAAAAAAAAAAACAATTTAATTAAACACACTTTTTCTAATTCACCCTAACGGACATAAATTTTTCTAGGTGTTCAGCATCCAATAATGAATATTACTGACAAATATCCCTCTCTCATGTGGCTTACAGTCTCATGTGTTTAACAGTATACACACAACCAAATGAATGAAGTGTAAAATTTTACACAGTACAATGAAAATCTTAAATGATATGAGATACTACAAACAAAATAGAAAGACAAATTATACGCTGAAACAAGGTATATAGTACATACATAACAACAGAGGCTTTTACTCCAGAGTATGTAAGACGAGTTCATATATCAGCGAGAACAATAAGATGTGCCAAGATAAATATGAAAAAGTCTGTAAAGAGAAAATTTGAATGACCAATAAGCAAATGAAAGATGCTCAAATTAATCATTTATTTAAGAAAACTTACTTAAAACAATACTGAAAAATAATTTACACTCATAGGATTAAACAGTTTTAAAAGTTGGCTAATATGAAGCTGTCAAAAGTTTAAAGGATGAAAAATGGGGCAAAAGAACACTATGCTACTTTCTGATAGTGTAAGTTCAGGAGAAATTGGCAATATCAAAAAAGTTAAAAATGGCTGGAAATTATGCTCAACAATTTACTCCAAAAAAAAAAATGCTTGTATTTGTACAGAAGGAAATATGGCCACTAGTGTTTATGGCAGTAATTGTGTGTAATTATGAAAACACTAAAACATCCTAAAATTTCGATGTGGTGGTAGAAGAAAAATCAATGTAGCTCATTAGTATTAGGGAATATTACACAGTAATTGATTAACAGATTAATGCACTAGAGCTACATAATTCTCAAAACCATCCTGTTAAAGGAGAAAGGAAGAGTGCTTTATGATGGTAAAGAAATGTCATTATTTGACTTTTATAAATACACAAAACCAATCCCTTACATTATTTATGTGTGGATATGTGAGCAGTTATATATAAGCACAAAACTGGATACAAAAATATCTGAATGTTCACACTAACTTGAGATTAGTGGAAAAAAAAGAAGTAACCTGTGGAACTTGGCCATAAACTGGGCTTTTCACAAAAAAATAGCTATGAATCTGATAAGTGAAATTGCTAACATCTTCCAAAATTAGTGTTCAAAACATTGTGTTTTTTGTATTATTTTTGTAGTTATGTGTTTTTAAATAATTGTATAATTTTATTGCTAAAATATAAAATTCTGTTACCTTTGAATGCAGTTTTGTTTGTTTGTTTGTTTTTGAGACAGAATGTTACTCTGTTGCCCAGGCTGGAGTGCAGTGGCATGATCTCGGCTCACTGCAACCTCCACCTCCCAAGTTCAAACGATTCTCCTACATCAGTCTCCTGAGTAGCTGGGATTACAGGCGCGTGCCACCATGTCCAGCTAATTTTTGTGTATTCAGTGGAGACGGGATTTCACCATATTGGCCAGGCTGGTCTCGAACTCCTGACCTCAGGTGACCCACCCTTCTCGACCTCCCAATGTGCGGGGATTACAGGCATGAGCCCCCACACCCAGCCTGAATGCAAGTTTTAAAAACAGATGATTCAGAACATCATAGTAAAAATAATGAGATACAAAATTAAAGCTTAAAATAATCAGTTAAAAGGTTTTCTTCTAAATACTAAATACTGCTCTCCCATCAGTGCACTTCATTGTTCATTTAGAGATCAGTTCCTACTTGACAGAACCCACGGATCAAAGAAAAATAATCTTGTATTTCTGTTCAAGAGTCCATTAATTAGCAGCCGGGGATCTGAGAAACTTTAATCAAAATATAAAGAGACATCAACAATTACAGAAGAATCCTAAAAGAAAATAAACCATCTTCAAAACTAGGCCAATATGAGAAAACACACACACACACACACACACACACACACACACACATACACACACACACACACCCCATTTGTAAAAATCTAATTTACATGCTATTGTTTTACCCCTTTTGAAAACAGCTGGAAACCTCATAAAAGCCTTAACATAATTTTACTCGGAAACAATGTTTTAGTAAGTCTTTAATTTTCAACATAAAACTTTTGAGAAATTGTGTTATTTCTTATTAAAACAAGACTTTCTTAACTTTTTTGCCTTCCCAATTCTGTGTGTTACTCCAAAATACTTTGTTTATGCCAACATTGCTTTTGTAAAATATATCATTTTTCATGTTATTGAAATTACATATTTTTAAATTTAGTGTTGCTTAATAATTTTGATGAATACAAAGGCAAAATTCTCTAAGTCTATAATATAGCAAAAATCTAATGGTCTGATAATAAGCATATTGTGAACTTTAATATAGTAAACAAGCCCACAAATTATTTCATTTACAATATGTCCATAAAATTATAGTGTTCAAATTTTTCTTCAAAAGAAAAGTGAGGTTGATAAGTAGGGCTTTAGAAATAGTAGATGTCAATTACTACTTCTGATAATACTAGGCTTGTGGTACATTTATGTATTCTGTAAGTACAGGAGAATATAGTAGAAAAAATCAGAACAAATAGTTAATAAGGATTAAAATAATATTTGAATCCAGTGTTCTTATTTAATATACTTTTAAAATAGTATGATAGTTAATATGACATTCTTTAGGGAATTAATTTTATTGTATTTATTTAGGAAATACATTTTGTATTTTTCCATAACATTTTTGTTTTATGAGATTAGAAAACTTCATAGGGCTGCCCTTCTGTTATGTGTTATTCTGACCTCTACTCAAGGGGGCCTGCCACAAGGACAGTTAGCTGACAGCCTCCAGCTGCAGGTACTTTCAGGATATGTCTCAGCTTTTATTCCCTGGCACACAGCAGAAAGGCTGTGCCCATCCAGTGACTTAGCATCACCATGATACAAGAGTTTAACATTTCTGAATTTGAGGGAATCTACCAAAAACATGTTAGCATTGTAGTTCCCTGCTGGGCTAGCTAGGATTTTCTCAATGCTGCACCATTTTCTGGGGCTCTTCCTAGTCAACCTTTTATCCTTTGTACCCTCGTTTCACAGATTGGAGACCTGTATGGCAGTCAGAAGTCTTCCCCTGACTACTCCTATACTCTGTTCCCTTTATTTTAAGTGATATTGTGTCCAATTAATAATTATTCTCTAAATACATGTTTGTAGTCAGTCTTCTAACTACTTATTTGTGTATATATGCGTGACTTCTTGGAAGACCCAATTGAGAAATATAAGATGTGCAAGTAAATAATAAATTAATTTTCAATATAATTAGCTAAAATTTGTTTTAAGTTCTTAAATGTTTTAATAAATTTTTGAGCAATTATTTTTAGGAAAAATACGAGATATAACAGTTGACATATAGTATCCTTAATAATAATGTGCTAGTGAATCTTGATTGAATGAATGCCCTGCTCTTTTCAAAAGAGTATACTAATATAACATATTCATTTATTAATGACTGCTCTCTATTACTAATTACAATATTGAGTGACACCATAGTCATTCTTGTTCAGTCCAATCCGTCATCAACTTTTCCCAGATAGCAATCTCCAATAAGCCTCTCTGCTTGAATTATTGCAGAGTCTGACTCAAAATAAAATAAAATTTTGAATAATTTTATATCACTATATTTACTAAATTAGATGAAATAGACAAATTTCTTGAAAGATACAAACTACAAAAACTCACTCAAGAAAAAATGCATACTCTGACTAGGCTGAGATCTATTAAAGACATTGAACTCTTAGTGAAAATAAACAAGCAGGAAGAAAACTCCCAGCTTTGATGGATTCACTGATGGGTTATACCAAACATATAAGAAATAAATAATTTCAATTCTACACAAATTTTTCCAGATCCATATCTCTCACGTAGATGCAAAAACTTCTGATCAATAATTTCTCAAATCAAGTCCAATAATATAGAGAAAATTGGTTTAATATTTGAAAATTTAAAAGCAGCACAAGAAAACATTGCACGTTACAGAGGTTTTTTTTTTCATGCTTGCAGTGGTGTTTTCACAGAATATACAAATGTCAAAATATATCAAATTGTACACTTTAAATGTTTCCAGTTTATTGTATGTCAAGTAAATCTCAATAAATCCATTAAAAAAAATAAAATGGTTGTGTTAAGTCACTATATTTTGGGGTAGACTGATACACAACAATAAATACCTAGAACGGTGTGATAACACTCCCTCTCCTTTGGTTTGGTTAGCTCTGAGCCTCAAGCTCTATCCTGGCTCTTGGTTCTTAGTCCTGCAACTTAGTTCTGTTAAGTGGTTACTTGTTTGATAACAAATCCTTTTGAACATTGTAAAAGGAGTCAACTAGGCTTTGGCAAAACACCTCAGTTGGGTTCTGATAGAATAGATTCCCTCGAGGACAGATCCTTGTTAGGGACAGCAGAGTGAAAGACCCCTCCTCCACTCCCTTGTGGAACATGAGGGGATTTCTTTTTAATTTTCACAGGGAGAACCTAGTACAACTCCCAGGGCTAAAGCTTGAGAATGTGTATGTGCCTTCTTTGGGCTGCATTACTTCAGAGTTTTTCACACTCATGTTAGTTCTCATAGAGCCTCTAGAATTTCATCAGTTACAGATTGAAGTGTTCCTGTTAACACTAGGTCCAGCTATAAGCTTCTGCTCCTAGTACGTTCTAATTCTATCTGCCTCTCTCGCCACTTTTTAGGGCAGGCAGCAATTTGCCCGGATTTTCAATTCTTTGACAAATATAGTAAGAGTTGTTGATTTTCAGTTTGTTTATCTTTTTTGCTTATTGTAAGAATACGTGTGACAGCTTCCAAAGTCTTTATGTGTTGGGACAGAAACTAGAAGTTTAATATATTTTACAAAATATTCCATCCTATAACAGCAGATGACACAAACTTTTTACACTCGCATAGAACCTTCACTAAGATGAACCACATTCTGAGGCATAAAGAACACCTTAAAATTTTTTAAATAATATAAATCATACAAAGTTAATGATCTCATAAAAGAAATAAACTAGAAATTAATAAGACAAACATAAATGGAAAATCCTCAAAATATAGGAAAATTTAATAAGACACTTTAATTCATGAGTCAAAGGAATCTCAAAAATCACTTAAAAACTTTGAATCATATGAAAATGAAAACATAACATGAACATTTATGAGATGCAACTAAAACTGTACCTAAAGTGAAATTCATAGCTTTATGATCCTATATTAGGGAAGATGAGAGATATAAAATAATTAAATTTATACCTCAAGAAACTAGAGGAAAAAGAGGAAATTAAACCTAAGTTAAGCTGAATGAAAGTAATAAAATATACAGCTCAAATCAATGGAATTGAAAACAGAAAAACAACACAGAAAATTAACAAAACAAAAAACTGGTTTTTTGAAAAAAGATCAATAACATTAATAAACTTCCAATGAGGCTAACCTTAGGAAAAAAGAGAGAAGATACAAACTACCAGTATTAAAAAAAAAGATATTATGACTACTGATTACATTAATATTAAAATGATAAAAAACTACAAATAAACCTATGCTCACACATTTGGTAACTTGCATGAAACAGAACAGTTTTTTAATATCACAAACTAGTAAAACTCATTTGAGAAATAGATAACCTATAACATTTTGAACAAAATCCCAAATACTTATAGTCAAGAGGGCTTCATTTGTCTTAGTACTCACCTTACTCACATATCCATGCTTGATGTTCTTCAAACAATATTAAGAAATCTTACTGCCAGGCGCGGTGGCTCACTCCTGTAATACTAGCACTTTGGGAGGCCGAGGCAGGCAGATCATTTGAGGTCAGGAATTTGAGACCAGCCTGGCCAACATGGTGAAACCCCGTCTCTACAAAAACTACAAGTAATAGCCAGGCATGGTGGCTCGCACCTGTAGTCCCAGCTACTTGGGAGGCTGAGGCAGGAGAATCACTTGAACCTGGGAGGCAGAGGTTGCAGTGAGCCAAAATCGCGTCACTGCACTCCAGCCTCGGCGACAGAGAGAAATTTTGTCTAAAACAAGGAATGAAGGGAGGGAGGAAGGAAGGGTGGAAGGGAGAAAGGGAGAGAGGGAGGGAGGGAGAAAGGGAGGAAAGAAGGAAGGGAGGAGAAAGCTAAAGAAAGAAAGAGAAAGCTTACAACTTCACTTGTCTTTACTCTGACTGAATTGATTCTCCCAAAATATCCAGTTCACTCTGATCTGTGGAAATATTCCTCCTTCTGTGCTCTATCTAAAATACCAGATGTCCATTCTATTACCCCATCCATTTGCTCTCCTGAATTTCTTTCAATGCATTTATCCTGTCCTTATGGTTTTATTTATGTATCTACTGTTTCTCTTACCACCAAGAGTAAATCAATATTAACCATGTTAACATATTTTCTACAAGCACATTTTTTAAAATAAAATATGCACAAGATATCAACTAGTTTTTTCTCCTTTCAACTCTGGAATAGGGTTATACTAAATGTATTGTCTTAAACTCTTTCTATTCTGCTATGTACTATCATCCTTTTTTCATATTTTAGAATGTTTACTTCCTATATATTTAAATGCAAATAACATAAAATATGCATTTTAAAATTTAATATGCTATACAATATAATGTTCTTCTTGCAATTTGTGATTTTTTGCAACATTTAACTGGAAAATAATATATTCTGAGACCTATAGCCCTAATTTGTTCATTTAACTGCTATGTAATTTTCCATTTTGTGAGCAGATTATAAATTTCTTTACCTTATTATCTACTAGGAGACTATAACTTTTTCCCACATTTTAAATATTTCAAACAGTGCTACTACGAACATCTTTTCTGTGCACTTATGCTACAATTTCTCTGGAAGTTGAATTATTGGAATATTTGTGCTTGCTGTTAAAAGACATTCATTTTAATTTATGTTATGGCTAGTTTAATTTGCAATTATCTGAATAGATACAGGTACAAATTTTAAAAAAATATATTTATATTATTCATCCAATTGCTTTTGCATTTTTATAATTTATTTTTATGTGTTCTTTACATATTTGTGATATTAATTCTATGATAATTATTCCCTGCAATTATCTTTTACCTCTCTACACTTCGTCTTTTTCAGAATGATTTTAATGACTATTCTTGTCTTTTGAGAAAATCTCTGCCACCCAGTGAGTAACAATAATTGGAAAAGCAAAACTGGATTTGATTAGCTGAATCTGTCCCAGAGATTTGTCCTGTAGGTAAAGATCTTTGATAATAGATTGACTCACTGTTGAATAGACAGAACTTCTAAGTCAGCAAACTCCCAAATAGAATTCAGATGCTATCACTTTTTTTCAATTTTACAGTGCAGTTACCCAGCTTTTAGACAATGTTACAGTTGATCTTACCTCATTATTTTTAGCAAACCAAGCATTTGTCATTTCCTTTTCTGTTTTAGTATGGAAATATTGAATAATTATTTACCTTATACTCCTTCAAATAAATGCATTATGTTTAATTTAGACTGTTTCTGGCAGTCCTTACGGAAGTATAGTTTCTCTGAGTGCTGCTTGTATGGCTTTCTCATAATGCATTTTCCTTCAGCCTCCTGAAAGACCCATGCCTGAAGGTTTTTTTGCTCATGTGCAGTAGATTGTTGTTCAACTATTTTACCAAATGACTTTCCAAATATGGTTATCTTCATGTACCAATGCTACTTCTTTTATATTAATTTACAATTAACCTCATTACAACAAATATTAAAGGTTTTGCCTATTTCGTTGACTTTACTATTTACCTTATTATTTAATTCAGCTATGTCACTTAACTTCTCTAAATGTGTTTGTCTCATCTCAAGAAGCTTTCGAAATATTTTTTCTAAAACACAGGCTTTCTAATACCTGGAACTTCAAATGTGACCAAAAAAGGCCATTGCAAGCAGCAGCAGTTCAAAAAAAAAATAATGTAGCAAGTGTGGTGGAACAAATCTGAATGAGTACTTAAATTTTTAAAATATGCTAAATTGTTCAGCACATTAAAAAGGAAAATACTTTGGAATGAGATGGAAACATGGTAAGCGGAGGCTCAGAAATGTTAAGGGCTAGTTATTGCAAAAATGAGTAATGATGGGGAGAACTGCCAATACCAACATAAGAAAGAGGGACAATGTAGAAGAAAGATGGCATTTTTTGGTTGTGTTGTTCTCTATGAAATGTGAATTCTCCATGTAATACACAAAATATGAGGTTATACCAATTGTGCAGCCAATCTATAGGAAAATGGGTGATGCAGATCGGATAAAGTCATTTCTTGATTCCCCAAAATAGATTCCACCCTGCAAATATTTTGTGAATGTGTATATATCTGCCACATAATGATATTTCAGTCAGTAAGAGACTGACGGTGGTCCCATAAGATTATGATGGAGCTGAGAAATTCCTGACACCTACGTGTGATATCGTAGTGATATCATAGTGATATTGATAGTGATATCATAGCCATCATAATGTCACAGTGCAATGCATTACTCGTGTTTGTGGTGATCTGATGTAGTAAACAAACCTACTACACTGACAGTCGAATAAAAGCCTGGCACATGCAACTATGCATAGAACATAATATTTGATAATAAAGGACTGTTACTTGTTTATGTATTTACTACACTATACTTTTTATTGCTATTTAGTATTTACTCCTTCTGCTAACCAAAAATAAAAGCAGTTAACTGTAAAATAGCCTCAGGCAGATCAGGAGATATTCCAGAAGAAGACATTGTCATCATAGGAGACGACAGTTCCATGTGTGTTACTGCCCTTGAATACCTTCCAGTGGAACAAAATGTGGAGGTGGAAGGCAGTGATATTGTTGATCCTGAAACTGTGCAGACCTAAGCTAATGTGTGCATTTGTGTCTTAGTGTTTAACAACAACAAAATATATATATATAATATAAAACATAAAAACATAAACATAATTCAAAAATCAAAAATATGCAATAAGAATATAAAGAAAAAAACTTGTATATCTGTACAATATGTTTGTGTTTTAAGCTAAGTATTATTGCAAAAGAGTAAAAAAGTGTTTAAAAAGTCAAAAGTTTATAAAGTAAAAAATTACAGTAAGCTAAGGTTATTACTGAAGAAAGAACTACATCATTTCATAAATGTAGTGTAGCCTAGGTGTACAGTGTTTCTAAAGTCTATAGTAGTATACAGTAATATCCTAGGCCTTCACATTCACTCTCCACTCACTCACTGACACCCAAAAGCAACTTCCCGTCCTGAAACCTCCAATCAGGGTAAGTGCCCTATATAAGTGTACCATAAAAAAAAATTATGCCATAACTTCACTGTACGTTTTCTATGTTCAGATATGTTTTGATACACAAATACTTACCATTGTGTTTAACTGCTTACAGTATTCCGTACAGTATGGTAACATGCTAGACAGGTTTGTAGCCTAGGAGCAATAGGCTATACCATGTAGCCTAGGTGTATAGTGAGCTATACCATCTACTTTTGTGTAAGTACACTCTATGAGGTTCACACCACAACAAAACTGCCTATCGGTGCATTTCTCCGAACATATCCCCATTATTATGTGACATGCGTATAACTGTATTCTACTCTTCTGTGAGGAATTTGACATCCTAGCTGAAAATATATACTTGAAGTGTATGAAATATCCCAACGAGACCATGCAAAGATTGTGAGTTAAACTATTACAAAAAAAAGCATAAGGACAAAGAAAGGGTATCAAAGAAAGAATCAGAGTGTGATTCAATGAACAAAAGCTTCTTAAGAGAACGGATTTTGTTTGGCAAATAGGCTGCATTTAAGCCAAAGTGAGTAAACAGAGATGCTTGGATATTGGTGATAAAAATGTTGGGGGTTAATGAAATGAAGCCTGTTAGAAATGCATTTTTTTATAAGTATTTCTTTCTGATAAATATTTCTTCTGGGGTTAATATTTGTGAACTGTGTCTAGCAGTAGGAGTCTTAAGCATCAGCAGTCAAGTGAACATCCAGGACACAACTTTAATCAGGTTACTGAGAAGAAATGTTTTAAAGATCCACTGAAGCACAAATTCAAATGACACAGCACAACTGTGTGCTATAGGAGAGCAACAGCTGCAGTCAGACCTCCTGGCAGTTACTTATGGTTCCTGTCAAGCAGTGCTATCACACAAATTTGATTTGTTGCAGTTAAATGATGGTGTCAAAAAGAAAGCAAGAGTGGCTTTTGAGCTAACAAGGCTAAAGGCAAAGTTCATTCGGAAACAAAGCTAATTTTTGTCTGGGCACAGTGGCTCACGCCTGTAATCCCAGCACTTTGGGAGGCCAAGGCGGGTGGATTACCTGAGGTCAGGAGTTCGAGACCAGCCTGGCCAACACGGCAAAACCGTCTCTACTAAAAATATAAAAATTAGCCAGGCATAGTGGCACACACCTGTAGTCCCAGCTACTCAGGAGGCTGAGGCAGGAGAATCGCTTGAACCCGGGAGGCAGAGGTTGCGGTGAGCTGAGATCGGGCCACTGCACTCCGGCCTATGTGACAGAGTGAGATTCCATCTCAAAATAATAATAATAAAGAAACAAAGCTAATTTTTTAACCATCCACATAGTCCTTCTCTTTTATAAAACCTTCAAACAAAATTTTTGGCCCTTGTCATATCTCTTCTCTTTTTATATTTCTTCCATAAGTAAAAATCGATTATTTGATTAGCAGACATTAATCATTGTTAACTCACTTTTTTCAATTGGTCTGCCTTAAACATGTTTTTGAAATGCCCAACTACTGTTTGAATTCTTCTGTGGTCTGGTTAATCTAAACAAGAATTTACAAGTCACTTTTATAAGAGTATGAGTTGAAGTGCCCTCTCCTGTAGTGAAATAAAACATTTCATGTTTTATATTTTACATGGTCTATAGCAATTATTGATGTTTTTCTAAGTAAATCTTTGAAAGCACAGCATGCTAAGGATTCTGCAAGTGATGTCAAATTTTAAACAGTTGGCAGTATCTGCACAATTATATTGCATTCTTTACATAAATTATATGTATTATAATGAAGCAGAGGTTTTGCATAGACTATCCCAATGGTCCACATTCTTACAGAAATCGGAGATTTATTTCTTTTAATCGGGGCCACATCCTTTGCCCACTCGTGCTCTAGAGATAGAGTTATGTTGGCTTTATGGTAGCTCTGCCTCCAAAAGGGTTTATCAATTCTCAACAAGTAGCCAGAATGATATTGTCAAAACTGAAGTCAGAAGATTTTATTCCTCTTATCTGAACCTACCAATAGCTTCCCATCTCCTTCACTTATAAGGCTTAACTCAATCTTGCCCATGTTACTTCCCTGAATTCAACTCTTACTGCTTTCTCTCTCTCACCACTCTAGCTATACATATGGTTCCAGATTTACAATAGTTTGACTTATGATTTTTCAACTTCATGATGGTGAGCTACATGCATTCAATAACTGAGGCCTGATTGGCTACTGACTTGTTCCACTAACTACAAACAATTTAGCAGAGACAGTACCAAAACATTGGCCTCCTGATTTCAGATTTGAGGATCAGCAAACATCTTAATATAGAGGATAAGAACGTGACTCTAGTGAGAGAATGCTACATTTCAACCCTCCCTTTATTAGTTGTTAACCCTTACTTAGTATTTAGGGCAAGGTACTTAGCCTTCCTGAGTCTTAGTCATCTGTACAAAACCAGAAAATAATATTCGCTTCACAGATTTGGGGTCAAGATTAATCAAGTCAACGTATATAAAATATTTTGGGCCGGGCACGGTGGCTCACGCATGTAATCCCAGCACTTTGGGAGGCTGAGGTGGGCGGATCACGAGGTCAGGAGATCGAGACCATCCTGGCTAACATGGTGAAACCCCGTCTCTACTAAAAATACAAAAAATTAGCCAGGCATTGTGGCCAGTGCCTGTAGTCCCAGCTCCTCGGGAGGCTGAGGCAGGAGAATGACGTGAACCCAGGAGGCGGAGCTTGCAGCGAGCAGAGATTGTGCCACTGCACTCCAGCCTGGGCGGGAGTGTGAGACTCCGTCTCAAAAAAAAACAAAATTATATATATATATATATATAGGGCCTGCCACACTGCATGAATGTCAATAAATGCTAGTTACTGGTTTTTTTAGATATTCACTAAATTCATCACATTAATAAGAGTCTATTTTGGTATGTTGTCTTAATAGATAGATATAGAATATATTGTTTATGATAATGTGTGCCTGTAACTTAATGATGCTCATTTCCAACACATGGACTAATTCAATTTTTATAGAGGTGAATTCAAACTGCATATGCATTGGTTGATTGATATTAGCAAGTATAACATTTAACACCAAGGAAACTATAATTGATTTAATTATGCCCATTATGGTATCTCCTCTAAGGAAGTGCTGTCATGAGAATCACACTCAGAGTTAAAACAATAATTATTTATGTAAATTGTGTTTAAAAGACAATCATAGTACAGTCATACATTTTATCTTCTCTACAAATAAGAAGAGTGACACTTTCAGTACCACTCATTGAAATAATTGGGACATTTTAGGGACAATAATACACAGTATTTTCTTAGGTTATATGACTAAACATGACATAACTTCAAAACATAATTTTTACTACTAGAGCGTATTTAAAAGCTTTCTAGATTTTTGAAGGACAGATTTCTATTTATTCATTTTTTAATACAATGAATGTATAAAATTAATATGTGACTTGTTAAAAACTTTCCAAAATTGACTGATGCCAGTGGGCAGTTCATGAGTATTTTAAAGTCAGTGTTCACTGAGTTACTTGACTGTTAAACATACTCCTTTGTAACTGAACATGCATCTGAAAGATCAGCTATTTTAAGACATATATATTTTTCCATAAACCTGGAGCCCAGGGCTGCAGTGCCTTTGATATAGGGGAAAATAATTGCTGCAGTAACTGTTCTATTTAAGTGGGCCTTGAAAGGTAGCCCTCAGTGAAATTAGTTCTTTTAATTATCTTTGACCTATGAAAATATTGCACAAAGATGCAATTCAATAAACAGGGATTCCCATCATGATTGCCAGTGAATACCACTTTGATCATAACATGTGGTTTAATAGATCAGAGCCCTCAAGCTAGAATTCATGCTGTCAGCAAGAAACACACCATATGGAGTTTCTCAGTTGTTCAAACTATTACCTTATTGAGCCTAACTAGTTGTTGTTGAATATAACAAGGAAATATCTTGAGTCAACAGCAGGTAAAATTCTTTAAAAAAACTTAGTTAAAAGGCTTAGAAATATTCTAAAGATTTTCTATTAGAAACAGTTGAAGCACAACTGATACACTTTCTTTTATATACAGTATTTCAAATAATAGATATTCCAGTTATTTCAACAACTATAAAAGATCCAATGACAGATAAAAACTTAGATTGCAGTACCACTGATTCCTGCTGTTTACCAAGTGCAGCTTAGATGCTCGAAAATAATGATTCTTCTCATCTCTATGACACATAGATTCACAACATTTTATGTTCAATATCAAAAACATATATTAAGCTACAAAAGATATGCACTTTTATGTGTATATATATATTTCATATACAACACAGGATGCTATTTATGATCCCATGTTTCAATATCAAATAGTTTCATCCTTTTATATCACTCCTTCTTTCTTTTATATGTGGGGTCTATGTTAAAGATTAAAGAAAACTTATTTATGAAACCACATTGAAATGACAGAGGTCTGAAGACTGCATAAAATGGATGTACATAAATTTGTCAGTTCCTATAAAATAACTACTTGAATCCATAAAGTTTAGTTACAGGAGAAAATATAGTGAAAGAAAAATGTCTTGGACTTTGAGTTAACCCAGCATAGGATCAAATTCTTCTATTTGGAGTCTTTGTGACCATGGGTAAGTTACTTAACCTGACTGTACACCTCATCAATCAGTCATCATTTGTGGGCTACTATGTAAAAAGAGGTATAACTTTCTTTAACTTTAGGTGAGGCAGCTCCCTTCAGATATGGGCAATTTCAAAGGAAGGAGTTAACTCCCAGCCTTCAGCAGACAGCATTCTCAACAGCAGAAGGTGGGATAAATACTTCTGTTCTAAAGGAGAATCAAGGCAGAGCACCACATTACTCATGAATGCCAATTATTTTGCTAACTCTTCCATTTTCAATACCAACTGTTTCAACCCCAAATACTAAGCCCCTCCTCTGTAAATCTTACAGGTTGACTCTATATGAAAAATATTCCCTTTGATTGTGATTATCTTACACTGCTTTTTAATCATTGACTTCTTACATAAATAATATGGTAAAATAGCCAAGCAGTAGTTCAGCAACTAAGAGTGTGGGGTTTGGAGCTAAACTGTTGGGATTCATGCCTTAGTTCACTAATCATTAGCTAGGAGAAATTAGTGAGGATTTATCTCTCTATGTCTTGGTTTCCTAATCCACAAAATGCTGATAATTATAGTACTTATTTCATAGGTGGTGAGGATAAGATGAGTTTAATAATACATGGAAAGCCCTTATCAGCACCTGGCATAAAATAATCACTGTGTAAGTATCAGTTTTTATTACTATGTCCTATGCTTTAAAATCTTCAATATCTTTCAATATTTATTACTCTACTTAGCTTTTTTTATGGTAATAGAAGAAAATGAGTTCAAAACTCACCAATATCATTAAAGAGTTATAAAACATTCAAATCCCTCTCAGAGTGACTGTTTCATTAAATAAAATGTGAGTCAAAATAATACACCCTTTCTGCCTGGCGAGTTTATTTTGAAAATCATATATGTGATTTTCACATGTATGTTCATATATGTGAAAACACTATATCCTCTAGCTAAGTAAACTCATTTTCAATGCTCCCAATGCACCATATTTTCTCATGTCTCAGGTCTGTTGCATACACCCTATTGTGCCTGGAGTTCTTGCCTGTCTCCTTCTCATCTTTTGACTTTAATTGCCCATCAAGCTTCAGGTCTATTCTTTCCTGGGTCTGTAACACCTCAGTTAACACCAAACACCCACCACCCCGCACTCCCCTGAAACTCTGTAATTAACAATAGCGTCACATTTATCCCACAGTTTTGTAATTATCTGGGTTTTTCTTCTTTGTTGCTTTGATTTGTTTGGTTTTCAGATGACTCTACAAGATTGTTATTTTAAAGGAAAGCTATATTCATTATTTGTTTATTTGTTAGTTTGTTTTGATACATGACCTCACTCTGTCACTCAGACCGGGGTGTAGTGATATAATCTTGTCTCACTGCAGACTCAGACTCCTGTGCTCAGTGATCCTCCCACCTCAGCCTTCCAGCTAATGTGTTTTTGTTTTATTTTCTGTAGGGATGGATCTCACTTTGTTTCACACTCAACTCAAATTCCTGGCCTCAAGCAATCCTCCTACATCAGCCTCCCAAAGCACTGAGACTACTGTCCCCTTATTCCTTTTGTTGATATTCCCAAACCTAGCCCTGCATTTGGGTCATGTAGGAAGGAGTACAGTGGAATAGATGGAATGGGCTTTATGGACTGGACTGAATTTTTCAAAAACAGTTAGATCTCGGGACATGACTTAAGATAACTAGCAAAAATTTAGTTTGATGGTATAAGTAAAAATTTATCTACTTTCTACCAAAATTATCAAAACCGATTCTTCCAAGATTGAATTTCTCAACATTACTTCAAAAGTATAGGTATTGTTTTGTTCAATATCTTAGCTAGAGTTAGCCAAACCACCCCCTCACCCCAGGATTTCTAATGGCTTCTTTCAAAGTATGTCTGCAGTTCATGTTATTTTTCCTACTAAACATAACAAAAAAAAAAAAAACTTGAAACTAGAACAAAGAATACCTGAAGAGACTTAGAATGTAATGATGTTATAACACCTTAGCTGTAAGTACACACACAAACATTACCACCAATGAAAATGGTGATTCAAAATCAAATCACTTTATGCATAGCTGTAAGGCCTGTTGAAAATTTCTAGAAAACCAGATATTTATTTCATTGTATTTGCATTTACACTGCATTGTATTTGGAAATACAGTATTTGGTTAACCTTATTTTCCTGATGACTGCAACAGAGTGAAAATAAGAGACTGGGACATGGGCATCATAGAGTCTCCCATTCTTTTGTTTGTTTGTTTGTTTTTTTTTTTTTTTTTGAGACAGAGTCTCTCTCTGTTGCCCAGGCTGGAGTGCAGTGGTGTGATCTCGGCTCACTGCAAGTTCTGCCCCCAGGTTCACGCCATCCTCCTGCCTCGGCCTCCTGAGTAGCTGGGACTACAGGCGCCTGCCACTGTGCCTGGCTAATTTTTCGTATTTTTAGTAGATACGGGGTTTCACTGTGGTCTCGATCTCCTGACCTCGTGATCCGCCCACCTCAGCCTCCCAAAGTGCTTGGATTACAGGCCTGAGCTACCACGCCCAGCCAGAATTTCCCATTCTTAAGAAATCATAATAGTACTTAGGAATGGCTATATTATTAGATTTCTATTTAGAATGAAAAAAAGCATATATTTTTTGAGAAATAGGCACTATTTTTATTAGAGCAGCTCTATCTCATTGTGTTAGTTTTTTTTATCCTAAACTTCAGGCTGTTTTTTTGGAGGGATCTAGCCACCACTGTTATCTTTTAACTAGCAAAACTTTTGACTTTTGCATTTACTATAAAGAGAAGTTTACAATAGGAGAACAGGATTTTCAAAAAAAAAAAAGGATCAAATTATGTTTAGTAATACACTCCTTCCCATTTACATGCTTTTTGTTGACTTTGCAGAATTACAAGTAGTGCTTCTAGGTCAAGTGAAGTTTCACATGCAAGGTTGGTAAGTTTCATTCCTTAATTTCTTTCATTTAAACCTTCATTAAACCCCCAAATTTAGCTATTCTCTTCCAGAGATCAGCGGTCCATGCTTTAATAAGTAAGAGTAGAAATACTTCTAAGTGACCCATGCATATTTTTGCAGGAATATGGGGATAATGATGTTGCCTTACTTTAACAGTGATATGGAGTTCACTCTCAATTATCTAGGAGTGATTGTCCATTTTCCTCATTATTCCGAACCTTTAATTGTTCTCCCTTTTCTCCTGTCATAATGCTTTGTTACTTGGCGGTGTACCAGCAGAAAATGGAAAGGAAAAACAATGAATTACAAAATATAAATGAATATTATGTTGTCATTACTGGCCTTATAAAAATGAAACTATATTTAAATAGTTACAGTAATTTTGATCTCTTGCCTTGTCTTTGTAAATTTTTTTCTTCCATTGCACTAGGGAAAAAATTGCTAGATAATTTAACGGCATAAAGATTCCAAAAGAGACACTTAAAAATACCTAGTAAGAGAAACTTACAATAATTTTAGCACATCAATTATTTATATGAAACAAAGGATTTCTAATAATGCCAATTAGACACATATCAATTAAAATCACACCCTACAGGGCCTCCACAAGAAATCATTTATTAGATTAATTTAAGTTACTATATAAAGTTAAATTACAACACTTATATATTCTAGAGTTCTGACATGTTCCTATTTTGTATTTGAATTCACTGCCAATGATTTTGAATTTATGATGCCTTCTTTGAGTTTTTCCAATTCCATTTAAGTATTATTAATTATTCAGTGACTATTTTTTATCCATATATAGCATAAAGATTTTCCTTTCCCTCCCCACAACAAAATATCTTGCATATTGATATGAAGCTAAGCTATCTAAAAAGGCTCTTGCAATAATCATATATAGTTCATTCTCACAGGTCAGTATATTCTGGTCCCAACTTGTCTGTCAAACCAGTCTTCCCACTCCTCTTCAATTCTTAAACTCCATATGATTTAGGTCAATTCTATTTACTTTCTCACTAACATAACAAGATATTTAAATCCATTTGCCAATCCTTATTGGTGATGTGCTTGCTTCAATTCTGTGTTTTTTTCACAGAATGTGAATATACTGTTAAGTCAGATAGGCATGGTTTCATATAATAAAACAGTCATCATAGTAAGAAAAGTTATAGTGACAATAAAATGTCAACACCTATGTAGTGATTATAGTGTTCTGTGTTTTTAGTACTTGAGATATTATCATATCTCATTTAGCTCCTCACAACAACTCTACTTATGAGACAGATAGCATTATCTTTAGACAGATTTACTTCTAGGGAAATCAAGGACTCATGATTGAAAATTGAGCAAGGTGTCAAAACTGGCAAGTGAAGAATATGGGGACCTTAACCTAGACACTGGGGCCCACTATCTGCTGTTTTAATAAGAAACCCATGCTCTCCTTGACACTTACTTATGCCTGTAACTTTGTGTAACTGACACAACCTCTCCAATCCTTTATTTCTCCCTTTATAAAATAAATTTATATTTGTGCACGTTTCATGTCAACCCTTTCTCCAAGGAGCCCTGGAGAATGGGACATACAAACCAAGATCTGTTGGCTAAGTATGCCCATCGTTATCACAGTTCCTTTTTTTCTATATGCTCTTAGCAGATATAGCTAGTGACATCTACCAATTATATTTAAAGCCTACAAGTTTGTAAATGATCCATTCAAAGCAAATCAGACACCACAGAGTTTATTCTAGCTCTTCCCCTTTCCACATTTGTAACTCCCTTCTTTGATGTTTTTGAACCCTGATTTAAATGTCAGCTTATTAATATCTAGTGAAGACTGATCTAAAACTTAATCTTATTCAAATTAGCAATGAGATTATTCATTGCACCAGGTAGTATTAACCTCACATTATGAGAAAAATTAATAATTTAGACTGCTTCTGAATATTTCCTGTTGAGTTGTAGAGTTGTACTGGCTTTTGGCCAACATGAACACAAAACAATTTCACTAACATTAGGTTTAAAGTTTATAATGGAAGGACAATATACACAAAACAAGAATTTGATGGCACATTAAATAATTGGACTTAATTCTGAAATTCTTCTTGGAAAGTGAAAAGGTGTATTCAGAATTTTAGCCAAATGTTTCTTCTGACGTGTCTTTAAAGACAGTATTTCTGGCTCTTAAGCTTAACTAGGATTGGATAAATGTCTAATTGGCCTATAAAACCTTGAGATTACGTGTGGCATTTTAGAACCGTAGTAGAGTGTACATATGTGATCCATATATAAAATATAGTAAGCCAATATCAATTTGGTCCATAAGATTCACAAGAACTGTTCACATGTTTATATGTCACTGTTAACTAGGTGATCCAAGGTTTTTCTAGGCTCAGTCTTAGAATTCTCATGGGTATTTAAAGTAGAGCAGGCTGAGCACAGTGGCTGAAACCTGTAACTCTAGTGCTTTTGGAGGCTGAGGCACCAGTATTGCTTGCGGCCAGGAGACAAGCCTGGACAACCTAGCAAGACCCTTTCTCTATAAGAAATTTAAAAATAAAAACATAAATTAAAAAATAATAAAAACAAAGTACAGATTATTGAATTTAAACAACTTCTCCAATGCAGGACAACTTTACTAGTGGTATATATAAAATAGCTCCAGAATATTGGTCTGAGTGCCTTAGAATAGCTGATTTACAACTGAAGTGGTAAAGCTAAAGCTCTCTCTATCTCTGGAGATACCTAGATGCCTGTTTGTGTGACTTTTACCCAAGATAAAGGCAGAAGAATTTACAGTGTGCTGTTTCACCTCAGAAATTCTCCTGGCAATCCTGCCCCACCAGGGCTAGTTTCTTTACTGGTTTGCAACTGGCTCAAATGCTTTGACAAGCCTGGCTTGACCACTTAACTACTGAAAGCTTTTCCAAGATGTGTCCTGAAGCCAAGATTCCTGACACAGACTTGGAAGTTCAGCCAGAGCTTCAGCACAATTCAGGTGTGTAAAGATTATCTCTCAGCCTTTTGATGCTTTCCTGAATTCTACTTCTATTGCTGCTCTGTATGTTTTACCTTTAAATAAAAGCCTTATATAGATATACTCTGTGAGGTTTGCTAGATTTCTCAAATATCCGAACAACAACAACAACAAAACAATACAGCACCACACTGACTATTCCACAGCAAATTGGAATACTGTTTCACACAAGGCCAATATGGAAGGAAGGTGTAGGAAAGTTGGTAGGCAACTCCAACACAGTCAAAAGAAACTCCAAAAGATAAGACCCAACATTGAATACGCAATTCAGAACAGACCAAACACACGCTATGGAGGTATTACTTTTTCCAAGGTTTAGGGATCTGTTCTGATCCAACTGAAGCAAAATCTGTTGTGATCCTCAATCTATGTGCTAAATGGGGAAAGTGATGAAGCCCCCATGATGCTTAAGTTTTCCTCTATATCTGACTGAAGGAAAATTGATCCCAGTAGGGAATATATGCATAGGGATTTTTCCTGTTCACTGGAATTAAACGTTATACCTGAACTTTGCCTTATTAGTTGCTTCTCACCAATGTGCTTACTGTAGTAGGTCATCATCTCCTTATGAAAAGGAGATGATACACAGTTCAAACACCAACTCTAACACTAACTAAATGATATTTTGTTACATTGCAACCCTTACCCACAAAATGAGGAAAGTAACACTACAATCCTTATGGGATTTTGTGGATTAAGGTATCAATGGATGAAAAGCACTAATATATTCCTGGCTTATAACAAATGCTCAATAAATGCTGCTTATTTGATATTTCTAACCTCATGATCAGACTGTCTAAGTCTTCTCCACAAAGTCTGGTTAGGCAGAATTAACTCAGCATTGGATGCTCTGTGCTCAGAATATCTAGTCCATAAGTCATATTAACTGGCTAAATTTAACATATTTAGCACCATTGTACTCCAATTTGACCTAAAGTGGCTGTTTGCATTACAAATCAGTGTGACCAGAGCCACTTCTGTATATAGTCACAGGAAATATCCTTGTGATCACCCAATTCACTTCTCTTAGAGAGCATTAATGCATCTTCCTTGGACATGTTAATGGTGGGAATTATCTGAGTCACACGGCATCAAAATACGTTACCAGTGGCGGATCCACGCAGGTCTGGCTGCAGCAATCTCAATTCTTGCCTCCTCAGAAGAAAGAATTCAATGGAGGAGAATAAAACAGAAAGGAAGACTGAGGCAAGTTTTCGAGCAGGGGTGAAAATTTGTTACAAAGCTTTAGTGCAGGAACAAAAGGAAGGAAGGTATACTTGGAAGAGGGCCAAGTGGGTGACTTGAAGGACAAGTGTAAACTTTGACCTTTTGACTTGGGGTTTCATATGTTGACATACTTCTGGGGTTTTGCGTCCCTTCTCCCCTGATTCTTCCCTTGGGGTGGGCTGTCCATATGCACAGTGGCCTGCTAGCACTTGGGAGATGAGCATGCACAGTGTGTTTACTGGAGTTATATGCATGCTCACTTGAGGTATTCTTCCCTTACCAGCCAAATGTCCCTAGGAGGTTGTATATCAGATAAACTCTGCCATTTTTTCTCTTAATGTGCATATGTGAGCCCACTTGCCCAACTCCTGAGATCATATTGGGAAGCTACTGATCACCAGTTTCAGGTTTTTCCTATCTATTGGGAGGCTGCCTTTCCCTGGCAGTGGCTGCAACCCAATAGTATTTTAGAGAGACAGTTAACAAACCACATGACCATCACTTGATGGTCGCCTGACTTTCCTGGTTGTTGTTGGTGGGGGGCTTCTCCTCCCCTGTTTATGTCTGACTAGCTACCTACTGTAACAGGCATTATACAGTACAATGTAGTGATCCAAGCTAGAGGCAGACATCATCGTTCTTTCTGAACTGTAAAATAGAGGGTTTCCTTTGTGTCTGTACTGTTTTCTATATTTGAGCTGAAATTACTATTGCTTAAATTTCAGTGGGGTTCTTTTACCTAGGTGAACACTTTATTGATTTATTTATTTTATAAAATGAAATCCATATCCATAAGGTTGTTCATATAGGTGAACACTTTAATAATAACTTGCATTTTATATCTTATCATTACCACATCTCTTCAATTTCTGGAGAAGGAGATAAAGATGGAACTATTTTTAGAATTAACAAATATTAGAGGTTGAAACTTTGAAATATTCACTGAGTTTCCTTTTGATGTTTGAAATGAGACATCAACACTTTATTTATATTCAGTTGACATAAAAAAATACATTAAACTGTAGCCATTGCTTTGGAGTTAGAAAACACACATGCACAATTCAAGATTTTAATGTACCTAATCTGTTATTCCTTTTGAAATGTTTCATTGTGTGAAAAGAGGACATTCCACATGATTATCAGCTTCAGAGCCATTTAAAGTGTTTGAACAGAAGTGCATTTTTTGAGACTAGCACATACATAAATAATTGAATGTATGCAAAAATGTTAAATTTAAAAAATAGATGAGCATCATAAAAACATAGTTTCCTTAACATTTATTGAAAATAAATAAGATTTTCCTCCATATTGGAAAACTTTGGCTTCATCTCTTATATGTTGCATACCAATGGGAAAGCTTTAATAGAAGCGGAGTAGGCAGGATTCTAACATGGTTGTCAAGATTCCCACCACATGGTGTGTATGCCTTGGAATCCTCTTCCTTTGGGGGCAGGCTGACCTGTGACTATAATGGGATATCACTCTTGTGATTATGTTACCTTATAGGGGAAAGTAATTTTGTGTGTGTAATTAATTTATGTCCTGAATCTTTTGGTTTAGACTTAACTGAAAGAGAGATTATTCTGAGTAGGCCTAACTTAATTATGTGAGCTCTTAAAAGATGTAAGCGTCAGCACTAGATGACCTCCTGCTGACCATGAAGAAGAAACCTGCTATGTTACGAAGAGGGCCATTTGGCAATGACCCAAGAGTAACCCCTGGAAACTGAGAACATTCCCAGGGCAACAGCTAGCAAAAAAAATGGGACCTCAGTCCTCTGGCAGCCAGAAAATGAATTTGGCCAACAATCTGAGGAAACTTAGCTGTTGGATCCTTCCCTAGCTGAGCTTCCTAGTGAGAGCACTAGAAGCTGGCTGACACCTCAATTTTATAGTTTTAAGATCCCAAGCAGAAAACCCAGCTGATCTGTGCTAGACTCTTGGACCACAGAGGCTATGGAGTAATGAATTTGTTTTGTTTGTGGCCCCAAATACTGTGGTAACTTGTTAGGCTGCAATAGAATAGTGATACAATAAGTCATATTGATACCAATGTTGACCAGTCAGTATTTGCTGTGTACTGTAACACTACTAGTTATATCTGCTTGTAGATGCCTAGCATGTGCTATTGCCTTCATTCATGACATAAAAATTATTTTCCATTTAAATATAATATTTTCAAACATCCTTTGAAGGGTGAGATTACCAAATCCTGGCAAATGAAATATGAGTAGCAGTGAAACGTATCATTTTATTAAGTCTTTAAAAGGACAGTGAATGCTCTTTTCTTCTTATTCCTCTTATATATTTAAATGATAGTAAGCCCATTCTGGCCAAGGTTGCTAAGTGAAGGATTGATGTAGGAGACACTTATTTCATTAGGTATCTGTAAGTTGCTGGACAGAGAAAATTAAGAACAAAACAACCAACTCAAGCTCACATGTAATAAAAATCTACAGAATGCACATGTATTAAGTGACAGAATACCAACAATAAATCATCAGAAAGGCATTACCATGTCTATGATGTATTCACACGCAGACATCCACATTAATAACATATATTTTAGTATTTTTTGTTAAAAAATTTTTACAAGGGCTGGGCGCAGTGGCTCTTGCCTGTAATCCCAGCACTTTGGGAGGCCGAGGCGGGTGGATCACAAGGTCAGGAGACTGAGACCATCCTGGCTAACACGATGAAACTCCGTCTCTACTAAAAATACAAAAAATTAGCCGGGCGTGGTGGTGGATGCCTGTAGTCCCAGTTACTTGGGAGGCTGAGGCAGGAGAATCACATGAACCTGGGAGGCAGAGCTTGCAGTGAGCTGAGATGGTGCCTCTGCACTCCAGCCTGGGCAACAGAGAGAGACTGTCTCAAAAAAAACAAAAACAAAAACAAAAAGACAAAAAAATTTTTACAAGACTATTTACTTAATAGAACTTTTTTTGGCTAATTATGATTTTGTAACAGTCTATTTATTTTCATTCCTTTTGCTGAAAGGCATTCATTAGACTAAAGTCTCACAGCCAATCAACTCATTTCCATTTAGAGTTACTTACTAGGTAGGTACTAAGTATAGGATTATATCAGGAGGATATAATCCATACAAAGTCTATATTCCAGTATTAGAGACAAATAAGGATATGAATTTAATACAGTGTTAAAAGAGATATTAAGAAGGAGGATAGAAGGACACCTGTCTCAGTCTAAGAGGCCAAGTTAGCATCCTGGAGGAGCTGATGTCTTACAATTGAAGAAAGTGAGTGGAGAGGGAAAGATACACCAGTGAGGCAAATTGAATCAGCAAATAGAAACCCGGTTAGAATATTTGAGAAAGCATATGTAGTTTAGGCTTATTAGATTATATTACAAAGTAGAAGGTGGCAGACATAAAGATGGAAAGAAAGAGAAACTCTAGATTATTAATATATGATACTGAAGAGATGAGATTTTATTCTGCAAGCTATGGAAATGACAGAAAGCACATAAAATGGGTATAGAAGGGAGACTGCTAATTAACCTTATTTACTTAACGATTATCTTGTTTTAACTTAATATTAACATGTCTAATAGCAGCGTACAGCCTCTATTTGATATTATTAGGCAGTTTTGGCAACAAATAGGCCCCGTGATAAAGATGAAAATCAACAGATACCCAATATAGAAAGAGAAAAAATTTTGAAAAATGTTGTTTTGCTACTTTAAAATGTATATTCATGATGATAAATATGAAGTTATTCGTGAAATGTGAAAGACACATATTACTGAATTATGTGTCAGATAGACCTTGTAAATCTATCTGTAATTTTATATTCTACAGAATGGGGTAAGAATGCATTTCATTGGGGAAGGAACAAAGTCTGTCCAAGTTCAATCAACCCAAAGTAGTCATTTTGGGGGTAAGTGCACAATTTAGAAAGTGTTGGGTTTTAATTCCACCCTTTATAACTCACCACCTATGGAGACTATGGGAAAATTATACAAGTGATTCTAACTTTTCTTAAAATAAGAAAAACAGAAAAATATGGTATTCAATACTTAAATTGTTAACTTAATACCTGGCCAAAAAAATCAATACGGGTTTCTATCCAACCATCAAAAAATAGGTAAAGCCTATTATCTTTTTAATAATGTTAATATGTTTCACAAAAGTCACTTGTAGACTCAAATTTGATAGTTAGTAAACAAGATTCTCCTTTTTTATTGTATCTAAATATAGGATAGAAACAGTTTATGTAAATAACTTTTATCAGAAGTATTACTCTCCTGTTAAATAATATGTTGCAAAGATATGTGCTGACCTTCATTTATCTTCACCTCAAAATGTTCATGTAGTGTGTAAAGTATCTATAAGAGCAGTTCCTCTCCACAGCTGTAAATGCTCAAGTAGGCATACATTGTGATTTGACCTGGATCACACAAAGTGCAAGAATGACAAATCCAGGAGGAAGACCAGAGTGGCTTCAAACTTAATCCACTACTCTGTATAGAGAAACGTGCAACTTTTGAAGAACTTGGCTAATTCCGTGGGAGCTTATGTTATGCTGGCTTATGTAATTGATCTGGCATGAAAGACAAAAATACGGATGGCTCAGCACTCTACAGATCTGTGGGCATTGAATTCTCCTGGATAATTGCATGAGCAAAGGGGAAAAGACATGCTTCCTTTTTACTCTCTATTCATCTTGTTAAATCTTTTTTTTAAAAAAGGAATAAAAGAATACCAGACTTTCAACAAATAGAACTAAAGATATTATTAACAGATAGCATGTTTCAAGTTTACTTTTTAAAATGAGCATATAAATTCAGATAAACAGATTATTAAATCACTGTATTTTAAAAATTTACATTAAATTTAAATTAAATTAACTAATTAAGCATATTTACCTCTTGGAAAAAATATACAGAACATACACACACATACACATACACACACAGAGAGATGAATATACCTGGAAGTTATTCCATTATGTCTTCCCTGACCTTTGCATTTAATTCTAGTTGACATCTAAAAGGAATGTATATGCTCCTAAATTATACTAAAAAAAAAGTTTAGAAATAAAATTTTGATAGCTGCAGTTATCTAATTTTATTCATATAAAATTTATAAAATGCAATCATAATTAAAGTATCAATGATATTAATAAGTAAATATAGAAATCTGAAAATGTTGATATGAATTAGAAGATTGATTTATTAAAAATTATGAAATTGTAGCCAAAATTTTCATAGCCCAAGATAGTTTATACAGTTTTAGCAAGCAAATGTAGATGATATTGAGATTCAATAGATTTAGACATGTCAAAATGAGTCATTAATATATATAATCATATCAAATATAAAGCAGAATCTGAGTCATTATCATGGCAACTATATTTAGGAAAATGAAGAAACCAAAGGGAAAGAAAGAGTGAGAATTTCATTGGTCTGAATTTAATTTTTACAGTGCAGCGTACCTGATAATTTCCTGAACAATTTGCTTTGGTTTCCAAAGCTATTAGTCATAATAATTAATCATCATGACTCCATTTTTTTTTTTTAGACCGAGTCTCACTCTGTCACCCAGGCTGAAGTGCAGTGGCGCAATCTCTGCTCACTGCAACCTCCGCCTCCCAGGTTTCAAGCAATTCTCCTGTCTCAGCCTCCTGAGTAGCTGGGATTACAGGCACCCACCACCACACCCGGCTAATTTTTGTATTTTTAGTAGAGATGGGTTTTTGCCATGTTGGCCAGGCTGGTCTCGAACTCCTGACCTCAAGTGACCCGGCCACCTTAGCCTCCCAAAGTTATGGGATTGTAGGCATCAGCCACCATGTACACAGGCCATTGTTAAATAAACATAGTGCTTACTACTGTAAGTATGTAACATTTTGAATTTTTTTTTTTCTTGAGACAGAGTCTTACTCGGTTACCAGGCTGGAGTGCAGTGGCATGATCTCGGCTCACTACAACCTCCACTTCCCAGGTTCAAGTGATTCTCCTGTTTCAGCCTCCCAAGTAGCTGGGATTACAGGCGCACGCCACCACGCCCAGTTGTATTTTTAGTAGAGACGTGGTTTCACCATGTTGGCCAGGTTGGTCTTGATCTCTTGACCTCGTGATCCGCCCGTCTGGGTCTCCCAAAGTGCTGGGATTATAGGCGTGAGCCACCACACCCAGCCTGTAATTTTTTTTAACAGTTGTATTTAATGGATCATTTATATTGGTTGTTTTGACAAAACAGGTTAAAATAATCTGAGCTTTTTATTTAGCACTGAACTATTCAGTTGTTTGACAAAGATAAACATGCAGAACTAGTTATTTTAAAATCACATATCCGTAAGTATTTTTAAAAATTTATTTCTCTAAAATGTGTGTATGTGCAGCAAATCACACTGATTTAAAATTTATTTAGTTACTATAAAAGAATCCTGACACATGCTATGTACTCACATAAATATAAATTTAATGAAATCTTTATAAACTGCATTGAATTGTTTAATATGATTTAAAAATCTAAAGCAGTGCAGTTTACCTGCATATATTTTAAGTACAATATTTTTAGATTAATAATTACTTTGTCGTGATGGGCTACATTCTATCTTTAGAAGAAAACCATCCAAGAGGATTTGAACTCATTGTAGCAAAGCTCAAACATCAAAGAAAACAAAAACAAAACATTTCTAACAGAGGAGCACCACACTCTCTTTACTCCAAGCACAAGACCTTTCAGCCATCAAAGATGCCAAGAATGTTCTCACTTCTGGGCCTTTTATGTGCTGTTATGACTGGTTAACTACCATTATCCAGTTATCCTGATCTTAAACTACCTCTTCCAAAATTAGGACAAATCTAAATGTCATATATGTTCATTACATCTATATTTAAAATTCACACAATGAGGATTCTTTGTAATTATGTTATTTGGTCAGATTATTGAACATTTTTCTACCCAATAACTGTGAAGCTCATGAAGGCAGTCATCTTGTTTAATAATTATTTATTGAATGCTCCAAATAGACCATAGGTCTGGTGCATCATAGGTTATTAAATAAATATTTGTTACATAAATAATGTTTAAATGTGGTAGGTTTGTCTTATATAATCAAAGTAAATTTATTTTTATCACAACAGTGATAAATGACAAAATTTATATTCAAACCCGCTGTGTTTTACTAAAAATTCAAAATTGTCTCCGTGCCCACGTACATATATCATATATAGTAGGTGTTCACTGGGTAAAACTCATGCTGTGAGAAGATGGAGTTATGAGGATGGTGGAAGATAAAATCAGAGATGATGTGAAACTCTGTAAAGGAAGAAGTCATGGTTAGCACAGATATTTTTACTCAGAAACATTGTATCCTTTGCCAGAAAGAGAAAGACACAGGATTAAAAATAGACTTATCACTGCTTAATAGAACGAGTTTCAATTTAGGTTTTAGGAGAAGGCTGGGCTACGTTTGTAGCACATCTAGTTTTAAATTTCTGACATCCAACTGCAGTTGTGCAACCATAATTCAAGGGATGAGGAAGAGAGACATGCCAATTATTTCTGCAGGAACCAAGTCAAAAGTACAAACAATAATAGTATATTCCTTCTGTGTGAGAGTAATTTTCCCATGGTTGCATGACCAGGAAACTGTAGAGGGGCTGTTGTTCCTTGGCAAAATCCACGGGAAGCTCAATGGCTGAGCATTTTCAGCATAATAGAAAGTAACTCTAGTCTATCAAAATTACATAAAATTGAAAATCCTAGTGGGGTTGGCACAACTTCTTATAATTTGTCACCTGAACCTAGACCATAAAATACATAAAGTCAAAATTTTTAAACTGAAATTGAACAGTTTAGATATGGATCAAGAAATGCTACTGAATAGGTGTCTTTTGTAAATATTGAAATTATAAATATGGAGAAATTGAATAAAATAAAAGCAGCAAGTATGAAAGCTTTAATAAAACTTCAGTTTGATTTGGCAAGTAATAAATGTCAAAAGGGGTATCAGCCAAAGATATTTTATTACTAAGGCCTTAGCTCAAATAAAATCTGCTAACTACTGGCCTTTAAACAAGAGTAAAGAGGAAAAAATAATAAATACAACCACGGCTATACTAGAATCATAGATTATAACAAAATAACACAAAAGCTTTCTTTACTTACTGTTTTGCAGGTGGAAATGTGGAAAAAGAGATCTTTGTTGTTTCTCTGTGCTCAAAAGAAAGACACTGTCTGCAATGTGTTATAACTTGTGTATATAGTTCAATACCTGTGGTGTATAAATAACATATAACCCGAAATGGTGTAAACAGCCATTCTTCTTTTTATGCATTAAGAACTTGATATGGTTTAGCTGTGTCCCCACCCAAATCTCAACTTGAATTGTATCACCCAGAATTCCCACGTGTTGTGGGAGGGACCCAGGCAGAGGTAATTGAATAATGGGGGCTGGTCTTTCCCCTGCTATTCTTGTGATAGTGAATAAGTCACACGAGATCTGATGGATTTATCAGGGGTTTCTGCTTTTACTTCTTCATTTTCTCTGGCTGCCACCATGTAAGAAGTGCCTTTCTCCTTCTGCCATGATTCTGTGGCCTCCCCAGCCATGTGGAATTGTAAGTCTAATTAACTCTCTTTTTCTTCCCAGTCTCAGGTATGTCTTTACTAGCAGCATGAAAATGGGCTAATACAGTAATTTGGTACCAGTAGAGTGGGGTAATTGTTGGAAAGATACCCCAAAACTAGGAAATGACTTTGGAACTCGGTAACAGGTTGAAACAGTTTGGAGAGCTCAGAAGAAGAAAAAATGTGGCAAAGTTGGGAACTTCCAAGAGATTTGTTGAATGGCTTTGACAAAAATGCTGATAGTGATATGAACAATAAAGTCTAGGCTGAGGTGGTCTCAGATGGAGATGAGGAACTTGTTGGGAACTGGAGCAAAGGTGACTCTTGTTATGTTTTAGCAAAGAGACTGGTGGCATTTTTCCCTGCCCTAGAGATGTGTAGGACTTTGAACTTGAGAGAGATTATTTAGGATATCTGGCAGAAGAAATTTCTAAGCAGCAAAGCATTCAAAATGTGACTTGGGTGCTATTAAAAGCATTTCATTTTAAATGGGAAGCAGAGCATAAAAGTTTGGAAAATTTGCAGCCTGACAATGCAGTAGAAAAGAAAAACCCATTTTCTTGGGAGAAATTCAAGCTGGCTGCAGAAATTTGCATAAGTAGCAGAAAGCCTAATGTTAATCCCCAAGACAATGGGGAAAATGTCTCCTGGTTGTGTCAGAGACATTCACAGCAGCCCCTCCCATCACAGGCCCAGAGGCCCAGGAGGAAAAAGTGGTTTTGTGGGCCAAGCCCAGGGTTGCTGTGCTGTATGCAGCCTAGGGACTCAGCACCCTGTGTCCCAGCTGCTCCAGCCATGGCTGAAGGGGGCCAATGTACAGCTTGGACTGTGGCTTCAGAGGGTAGAAGCCTCAAGCCTTGGCAGCTTCCACATGGTGTTGAGCCTGTGGGCACACAGCAATCAAGAATTGAGGGTTTGGAACCTCTGTCTAAATTTCAGAAGTTGTATGGAAATGCCTGGGTGCCCAGGCAAGTTTGCTGCAGGAGTGAGTCCCTCATGGAGAACCTCTGCTAGGACAGTGCAGAAACATAATATTGGGTTGGAGCCCCCACACAGTGTTCCTAATGGGGCACTGTCTAATGGAGCTGTGGGAAGGCCCCACCGTTCTCTAGACCCCAGAATGGTAAATGCACCAACAGCTTGCACCATGCACCTGAAAAAGCCACAGACATTCAACGCCAGCCCATGAAAGCAGCCAGGAAAAAGGCTGTACCCTGCAAAGCCACAGAAGTGGAGCTGCCCAAGACCATGGGCACCCACCTCTTACATTAACATGACCTGGATGTGATACATGGAGTCAAAGGAGATCATTTTAGAGCTTTAAGATTTAACTGCCTCTCTGGATTTTGGACTTGCATGGGACCTGGAGCCTGTTTTGGCCAATTTCTCCCACTTGGAATGGCTGTATTTACCCAATGTCTGCACACCCACTGTATCTAGGAAGTAACTAATCTCCTTTTGATTTTAAAGTCTCAGAGATGGAAAGGACTTGCCTTGTCTTGGATGATACTTTGGACTGTGAACTTTTGAGTTAATGCTGAAATGAGATGAGACTTTGAGGGACTGTTGGGGAAGCATGAATGGATTTGAAATGTGAGGACATGAGATTTGGAGGGGCCAGGAGCAGAATGATATAGTTTGGCTGTGTCCCCACCCAAATCTCAACTTGAATTGTATCACCCAGAATTCCCACGTGTTGTGGGAGGGACCCAGGTGGAGGTAATTGAATCATGGGGACTGGCCATTCACAATGGTATTCTTGTGATAATGAATAAGTCTCACGAGATATGTTGGGTTTATCAGGGGTTTCTGCTTTTGCTTCTTCCTCATTTTCTCTTGCTGCCACCATGTAAGAAGTGCCTTTCTCCTTCTGCCATGATTCTGAGGCCTCCCCAGCTATATGGAACTGTAAGTCTAATTAAACCTCGTTATCTTCCCAGTCTCAGATATGTCTTTACCAGCAGTGTGAAAATGGACTAATACAGAACTTGTTTCTGTTTGTTAAGCCCCCATGAGTTGATATCATAGAGTATACTTTTACACAAGTTTGGCAATGCTAAGATGGAGAAATGAGTCCTAATCAATATTCTTATAAAGACGACACAGTTTTCATCTCAACTTCCTGTCTGAATTCCTGTGGGTAAAATGGAGTGAAAATGGAAAATGGGTGCAAAACAAAACCAAAATGACTAACATTGCAATTTGGTCAATACTTTAAAAGTCTATACCAAAGGTGCAAAACTTTTTAAGAGGACAAGTAAATGAAGACATAGTGAAAAATAGTGTTTTTCAGCCTGTCTCTGTTTGAACCTGTTTCTTAGCCATTCTGATAAAATATATTGGATACAATTTAGCCTATCACTGAGCCCAGCTAAATTACAGAAATATCTTCATCCTCATATTTTCTTTTGCATTATTTTCTCCAGTAGGTATTATGTCAACTGCAGCTGATTCACCTCTACATAGTAATTATTAATAGTAATAATATTATTCTAGGCAAGAATAATTAGTTCACATTTTACCATGATTAAAATCATTAAAAATACCAACAACTTCCTGTATATAATATTAACAACTTTTCAAATATGCAATATTTATGCAAGGTAAACTTACACACAAAAGCAAAATATATCTCTACTTATCTAAAGCTACATTTTACAAAACTGTTGTCATTCACCCAGGAAATTATCCACCAATGTTAATGTATCCTCCCTTCCCAACTATCAACAGTGGATGATCTTCTGCTTCCTTATATTATGCTCTATAATTTATTTCACTGATAATATCTGTACTACATATAAAAATGTCTATAGCTATCTTGTCTGAAATTTGACCACAGAAAGTTAAATGATTATTGCTCAGCTTAAAAAGTACAATGTAAGATCCAGCACTTACTTTTGAGAAGTATGCAGGTAAATTGTGTAACCTTAAAATAACATAAGGGGGCAAACATTGCTTTTGAACAAATAAATATCCATTATATACTGTAATCTTAATAATATTCCAGTATTTTGAGAGACAGTATTATGCCTAGTTGGAAACACGGATCTTAGATTCCTTTGAAACTGGTGGTGACTGAGACTCAGTTCTGACAAATTGAATATGTAATTGAAACTAAAGACTTGAGCAACACTTCTAAAATCATGCTCTACTGTTCATTTTCTTTTACTTTTTTCACAACATGAAAATAAATCTATAAATAAATACATGAAAATAAATCTATAAATAAATAAACAATAAATTAAAGTTGATTGAGTATACATCTACAAGGTATTTTAATATTATCTGGCACCAATGAAGCAGTTGTACTAACTCTGAATTAGCAAATAACAAGGGACTTTATCATGAGAAAAACAAAATCATTATTTACTTTAACATCATGTAGTGGTTGCATAAAATGAAACTAAGTCTAAACTGACAGAACAGATCTAAACTATTTCATTTGAAATACAACAATCCTTTGAAGAAGGGATTATAACTGTTCCTTCAATTTGAGTTTCCCTAACTTCTAGGAAAGTTCAGTATTTTTTCAACATTGGCCGTCCACATTTGCATTGCTATATATTCCTTATTTCTGTTCTTTATTTAACCTCTTAATTTTTAGTAGCATGCCTTTCAGATTAATTTACAAGTCTTCTTTGGATGTTAAACATATTAATTAACTTTTTATATTTTATCTGCAGGGCATTTTTCCTCTAATAGATCCTTTTGCACTAATTTGATAATGTTATCTTTTGCCACTATGGAATTAAAATAATAAAAGCTCCTTCTCTTAGAAAACCATGAAATCAGGCCAGGCACAGTGGCATACACCTGTAATCCTAGCACTTTGGGAGGCCGAGGCAGGAGGATCGCTTCAGGTCAGGTGTTTGAGACCAGCCTGGTCAACATAATGAAACCCTGTCTCTCCTAAAAAAAAAAAAAAAAAAAAAAAAAAAGCCAGGTGTGGTAGTGTGTGCCTGTAGTCCCAGCTCCTCAGGAGGCTGAGGCATGAGAATCACTCAAACCCAGGAGGTGGAGGTTGCAGTGAGCCAAGATAGCACCACTGCACTCCAGCCTGGGCAACAGAGTGAGACTCTGTCTCAAAAAAAAAAAAAAATTAAAAACAAAGAAAACCATGAAATTATATACATATGAATCTTCTTCAGGATTGAAAATTAATTTTAACGAAATAAGGCAGCAAAATATACTGCTTATACCTAAAAGAACTTTTGAAAGTTTTTGATGTCAGCAAGTTGGCAGAGTAGAAAACTCCAGATCTGACATCCTCCCTTGGAGATATTGATTTCACAGCAATACATGGACCAATACCCTTTGTGAAAATCCAGAAAAGATTTAAGAGACTTTTAAATCAAGGCAAGTGTGAAATCAGCCACATCAAGTTTGGTAGGAAAATCTATGCCACTCTCTCACAATAGTCTTTCTTCCCAGCAGAATGCCACATGACTGCGAAGAAACCCCTAGTTCCTGGATTCTTCCTGGGAAGAGGAGTAAAAAAGACAGGATTATAGGTGCAATGTTCTGACATTTCAGGAGGGCTGCTCAAAGTACTAGGATCTGTCTCTCTTGTCTCAGAGAGCTGACAAGACCCGGCACACTCTAGATGCTTCTAGGCAATAAGAAACAAAAGAGTTGGGCAGCTTCAGTGTACATGAGGTACAGCAAACAAACACCAAGATCCTAAAAAAAGAAACAGAAGAGCATTCCTACAGACAATGAGAATACATCAGAGATGTGCACAAAGCTTGTAGGTACCATTACCTGCTATTTCATCACGGGCTAACAAATCTTAATAAAATAATACAAGACATAAAATAATAATATAAGTAAGAGCAAGGCAAATTCACAGAGTTCACAGAACATTACAGAACTTCAGTAAGAATTATAATTTTTGAAACAATAAGAAATCAAGAACAACTAGGTATAAAGCAAGAATGAATAAATATATCTGAACTCCTATATTGAACAGGCTGCACTGATCAAACAATAACAGTTACAATGGATTGAAACCAATCTAATATGCTTAATTGTGCTGTCTCACTATGATTTTTAAAAATCTATATTTGGATAGTAATAGGGAACCAATTATTATCTTAAAAGTTAGTAAATAAAGAAAATCAATAAAGGATTTAGTCTTTATTTCTTATATCACTCTGTAACCATGTAGTATAGGAGTTGTGACTATGTATTAACGAATTTCAACTAATGAATGAAAAAGAAATAGTTCAATTATAATATCACTGTATTGAAAACCCTAATGGATTAATATATCTAGGCATTGAGCTTCAATAGTTTTCTGATATTACAAAACATGAGGATAATTAGAAATATTTTTCTGATGAAAACCATTTCCCAATGTCTTGACAGGGGCTGAACTTAGACCAATGATCTAGATTTAGCTGCTGATTTTAGGAGACACAGAGGTCAGAGCTACAAACTGAACCACACTGTGAATTTGCACTCAGCAACATCTGGCCTATAGAAAACTCTCCAGGTCAAATGGTTGATGCAAGAGATAAATTTTAAGAAAATTAATGGGATGGATACGGATATATTGAATGAAAAGATGGCAGACAAATCTTTTTTGTTTGCTTCCCAATGGACAAACCTAAACTACCCTGCACACTTGCATAATGTTTTTAATGTAAGGGAGTAGTTTCTATATAATTCAAGATTGTGATTACTTATGAGGGATGTGAGATCACTGTTGGATGGCCAGCAATGCTCGATTTCTTTTTTGGTTGTAATACCACAAGGGCTCATCTTATACTAATTCATTATGCTATTCATTTTTGTTAAGTGACTCCCTGTATCTGTGTTCATTTCACAAGAAAAAGTGTGAAAAATTAAAAAACAAAGTCACAATTCTCAAGGAATGGCCTGGATAGTTTGCTTGGAATTAGAACATTTAAAATCAAAATCTATGGATCTCAGCAAAAGCTGTAATTAAAGAATTTTTAAAATCCCCAAAATAACTATTCAATAGAAACACATAACTTAATAAAAAATCTTAATACTAACTTTAAGAAATTAGTAAAAAGGCTACTGCATTAGCCAAGATAGTAAAAAGGAAGAAACAATTCTGTTAAAATTTAAAATTAAGGAAATAGGAAATAAATAAAAAATAAAGGATAAGTCCACAATATAGTCTTTACAACCAAAAATAAATCCATAAATTCCTCACGTACTCAGTTAAGAAGAAATCAAAAGACTGAGCAAAATTATATATGCTTATAAATGAACGTGTAGATCTGACCATTATGTTTTTGTGGGTTTCACCTCCAGGAATACTCACAGTGATTACTCAAAATGAAGTTTGAGAAAATCAAGGAAGCTCTCATATTTTTATATAGGAACATTTTTTAGTACCTGTGTGTTTTTAATAAATCTAAAACTTTTCTACATATAAAGTGTGTTAATTTATATTTGAAACATCTAACAATTTATACACAATACTAAAAATTATATAAGTACCTAAGGAAACTAAAGTGATAAATATTCCAGATATATTAAGGCCTGAAAAATAATTTACTTGAAATTTTAAGAAGTTGCTGGGTCCTGCTGTTAATAATTCTAAATTGACCTTTCTTCAGAACTTCTTAGAAAGTTTTGAATTAAATTTCAATCATGTTTTACCTTCTGCTAATAAACATCTCCTGGTACTCAAAGAATATAATCTTTTTGCATAAAATACTACATAAACAATAATTTAGCATTTCCACAAGAAAGCAGTCATAGGTACTTTGTGAAGAGTTTCCAACAGCTAGGATAACATGCAAATGAGCACTTTCAGTCACTTTATCATGTTCTTCAACTCTATAGTTCTAGGCTGTATATTCACACCTAATATTCCCAACACAATTTGTAGTCTGAAGACAGAGTTTAAAAAATGCATATTTTCCCTTTGACTGACTTACAGTAAAAAAAGACATTGCAAATGTGCACAGATAAATCTACAATAAATTTTAAAATTGGTTTCAGTGAATTTCACATAGAGACTATTTAAATAATTGAAACTTAAATAACTGCATTATTAAAAGTATCCTGTTAAAATTTCTAAAACATAGAGATTTACATCAGACTTTTTTCTTTAGCATCTCTGGAAAATAATGGTTTCATGAATAGCTGATAAACTTTCTTATGTTACATAAACCTATGTATTTTGTACACCGTAAAGCTTAAAATAAGTATTTTAACTGAGTTGCCTGTTCTCTCCGTTATACTTCTTCTTATTTGATAAAGTTGCTTTTATTGAAGTTTACGTTACCTCAAATCATTTATACAAATAAATAGATAAGTTAGATATAAATACATAGGCAAAACAAGGTAACCAAACAATATAAAACAGCAGGATTACGAGAAGTCTTGTATTGTGACATTGACTTCTAGTAATGACGTGACCCATTAGGTCAGGGCATAGATGTCTGTGATTGGGAAAGAGTCTGAATACATGGTCAAAAAACATGTCTCTGGTTCTTTTGCAATTTCTTGCTACCATTGGCAACCAAGCAATGAGAAATTTCAGTATTAAAATGATGTAAAACTTGATTCAATATTTTAAAAAATGGCTCCTACAAGCAAACTATCCAGGCCATTGCCCACAGTTTTTACATAATTCCTCTTCAGAAAATAAAATTGCAAAGCATGATTTAGCTTCATTATCTCATCAATATCTAAGAAAATATCCAGTTAATCATCTCTAACATCACAACAAAGTACAAAAATTAATTATCCTATTTCAAATATTTTGTTTACATAGCTCTTGCATCAGTCATTAAACAATTGTCACATTATGTTAGAATTTGTAGAAACCCAGGGTGTTCCTACAAAAAGTCCGCCCATCCAGACCTAATCTTACTTAGATATTTATAAAAGTGCAAATATCTTCCGATCAACTTGGTTATAGAACTTTGAACACTGCTTTTTCTTTAAATTTAATTTATATATAATCTTAAATAAAATGTTTGTGAAAATTATAACTTTTATCCAAAACTAAAGTCAGAAATATACTACCCTAAATCATCTGATCTTAGCAAAAAGGACAGAATGCAAAATGCCTTAAAAGACATGCGGTGTGAGCTTATATGAGTTTTTCTAAATTTCGTTGTCAAAAAATACTGAACAAACCTATTTATTCTGACATATCTAGCCACATGCGTTTCACCAAATCAATATTATGGTGATAATCCCCAAGTTTCCAAAGACTTCTCAGAACATCTGGTAGAGTTGAAGGCATGTATATGCCAATTTCAATTTATGTACATCCTGGATTATATCTAAGCCTGGGAATTGGTAAATGCCTAATCTTCACATTTAATTTTGTAAACCTTTAATGATTGGGGCTTAGTACAACAATTAACAATTAACCCTGCAAATACAAAGGAAAAAAATGAATAATATTTCCAAAATTCTAAAAGCAGTCTCCTTTCCTTTCAGAATTGATATCCACAAAGTAAGGAATGAATTGAAATGTATCCACAATAGCTTCCCCTCTTCCAGAGAAAATCATATTTAAGCTTTCATCCCTAGGAAACCTTCCTGGAACTTAAAGCCCACTTCTCAGAGATGCTCGTTTATTTTAACACCATCTGTTCTACAATTGAAGACATAGGGTAAAATGCCCTTATGTGTGATAGCTCCAGCCTTTAAATGTGGAGAAAATGAAAGAGAAGACAAGGACTACTGAATTCAATTTATTGATAGTTTATGTTTTTACCTAGACTTGAGTCTCCTCTTTTTTACATTTGTGCATTTATATCCTTGTGTTGGCACCCTGTAGAAAGAGGAATTTTATGTACATATGTTCATGATTATTGGAAATGTCCAGTAAAACCTCAGAAGTAAAGAAAGGATTTACTTCACTGGATCCTTGCTCTTCCTTTATATACATTTTTTGTCAAACAGTCAATACAGGACCGACGGAATCATGCACAGCTATGCCACACATGAAAACAGACAAAGTTCTAACTAATTTATTCTGTTGAACAGTTGTTTAACAAATACATATTTTGTACCTCTTCTGCACAGAAGCCAGAGATAAAATGGTGAGATAAACTGACATTTTTCTTGCTTTTGTAGAACTTAATGGAGGAGGCAATCATAGTAAAGCAGTCGTGTGCATACCGTAGATTTTTAATTCCAATCTATGCTTATTGCTACAAAGAAAATAAAAGAGCCTTATTAACATGCCTGAATTAGACCAAGGGCAGTGGAAAATGAAGGGTTACCCCAGGAACTGAAGTTTCAGCTGACTTTGAAAGATTAGAAATTATTTCTCTTGTCTCTAAAATAAAGAGTTGAACATGCAGAGGTTCAGTGTCAATTTTTCTTCCTGGAAGCTGGGGAGATTCAGATTTATTTATTCCATTGTAGTATGGGAAGGCTATGGCACTGGTGCACTGAATACATGCAGAGTTAATGTCTTTGGGCAGCCTGCTACAAGTCCATTAAGAGGATTTGTCTTTCCTTCCTTCTGTCTCCTTTTATTTTATGACTTGTTCTTCCTAGAGCCTAGTTTTTAAGAATTTCACCTAATCTCACAGCATCAACTCTTATCCCTATATGGCTGATCCTTACTTAAATCTACCAATCCAGTCCAAACCAATCTCTGTGATTTCAGCTTTAAATTTATAGCTGCCTGATTAATATTTTAACTTGTATATGCTGATCTTTCCTTAAACATAATATATCTGAAGTAAAATAAAATAAAATAAAAACTTATTTTTCCCTCCATCCCAATCCCAGACGGTTATCCGACCTTGGAAAGTTTAGGATAATATGGATTCCTCACATATTCAATATTCAATCTGTCAGGCCTCTAAGCCCAAGCTAAGCCGTCATATCCCCTGTGACCTGCACATATACATCCAGATGGCCTGAAGCAACTAAAGAATCACAAAAGAAGTGAAAATGGCATGTTCCTGCCTTAACTGATGACATTACCTTATGAAATTCCTTCTCCTGGCTCATCCTGGCTCAAAAGGTCCCCCGCACTGAGAACCTTGTGACCCCCGCCCCTGCCAGCCAGAGAACAGCCCTTTGACTAATTTTCCACTACCTACTGAAATCCTATAAAACGTCCCCACCCCATCTCCCTTCGCTGACTCTCTTTTCGGACTCAGCCCGCCTGCACCCAGGTGAAATAAACAGCCTTGTTGCTGACACAAGCCTGTTTGGTAGTATCTTCACATGGACGCGCGTGAAACAACCATTCATTTATTCATATTGATTACCTCGCTTTCTCTCTGTTTCTCTCTCTCTCTGTCTTTCTCTTTCTCTGTCTGTGTGTGTGTGTGTGTGTGTGTATGTGTGTGTGTGTGTGTGTGTGTGTGTGTGTGTGTGCAGGTCTAGATGTGTCATTTCTTGAGTTTTTAGATAATTTCCCATTCACGTGTTCCATGCCAATCCATATAACAGAATTTTGGTTTTGTTTTGTTTTCTGTTTTGGTTGACCTTTACATGAATGCAATTTTAACAAGTGTATTCATTAAATATTTATCCACTCTGTTATGTGTAGCACTTTCTTTCATTTTATTTGGAGTATGGAATTGTATGGATATACTACAACTATTTTATACATTTTAAAATTGTTGAGCCTTTGAGTTATTTCCAGTTTATGGTTGTCATAAACAATATTGCAAAGATTATTCTTGTAAATGTCTCAGTGTTCATATGTTTAAAATAATTTTATCTGTGCAGTCCAAAAGGGTAGCCACAAACCATATGTCACTACATAGTGCTTAAAATGTGGTAAGTGTAACTGAGTTAAGTAATTGAATTTTTAATTTGATTTTATCTAAATTTTAATTTAAATTGTCACATGCAGCTACTGGCTACTTTACTGAACAGTACAAGTCTATGACATATACACAGAAGTGGAATTGCTGAGTTATATGCTATGTTCATCTTTAAATTTCTTAAATAATATTACATAATTTTCCAAAATTATTGCAAAAATTTTCCTAGCAATATTTGGAATTTCCTAGTACACAGTATGCTTGCCAGCACTTGGCATTTTTAGGATTTTACCTTTTCCCCACTGTGATGGGAGTAAAATATTACTTTTTGATGTTTAATTTGTATTTTTCTTATTTCTAATGAAATGAATATCTTTTCATGTAGATATTTATTTTCCTTAATGTGTGTGTGCACATGTCTGCACATGGGTTGCCTGCTCAAGTATTTTGCTTCCTTTTTGATTGTCTAGCTTTTTCTCCATAAAGATAGGTGTTCTTTATATTTTCTAGGTATTAGGGTTTTTTTCCGTATTATAAACAAATATAAACATTACAAATATTATTTTCTTCCTCTTTATCTTTCTACTCTTTATATGCACATTTAATGAATAAAAGTTATTTTAAATGTAAGCATATTTATAAATATTTTCTTTACAATTACTTGATTTTTGGATCAGTTTTAGAAAGGAAAATACTTGTTTTCAGTTTAGTAGATTTTAAGAAGTCTGAGGTTAGCCGTTTACTCTCTTTCTGTATATATCTACACATACACACACTTACTGTTTTTAGGTTATGTACTTTTTTGTCAACTTAGTCATAAAAACCTAAGAAGTTCTACCTTTAACTTATTTTTAGATTTACCTAAATTTTCCATTAGTTTTCCTGGCTTTCTTACTTCCTTTTTCTTTCTCCTTTCCTCCTTTTAACCCCACTTCTATCCTCTCTTCCTTCTGTCATTTTCTCCTATAGTCATGCGTGCATTTCACACTGTCATCACCTAACCTCTTACAATTTCTATTTGTATTGTCTATTAGGTAAATATATGTTTAGAATTCATTTCTTCAGACTGCCGGAAGCTTTTAATTTAAAGGTCTCAGAAATCTAGTCAATGTCACCCCACCCTCATTTCTCACTTGAACTGTCTTTTAACATCCTTGTTTATTTCCTGTAGCACCCACTGTCTCATTCACTCAACAGTTTCATTCTCTGTAGAGTAAGTTCCATTAGGCTAACCAAAGCACTTGGGTGAAATTTAAAGTCCACTGAGCTAGATGATTAGATCTATTTAAATACAGATTTTCTCCATGGCTCTGGGATTTATTTCCTGAATCTAAGAGATACAAGACGTAGTCGTTTTGACCATATTTGTTTCTAAATATATCAGTGAGCTTTGTATTGTTTTTATCTGTGACTCCATTTGCCAGATTAATGTGCTTCATAATGGTTCTATCAACTCTGTCTTCTGAGAGTAAAGTTTCTCTAATCCAGAACATCTATTCAATCTGAAAGAATTTTGGTCTTAGAATTCTTGAAATTTTATCATTTTTAACCTTTTATTGTCTTATAATAGTCTAAATTATTGCTTAGAAAATATTTATTTATTTCTGTATCCCACTGAAAGTGGAATATATATCCCTGTACCATTGATATTGACTTTGAATATTTGACCAGCTTTGGCTAATGAAATGTTAACACTTGTTTTTAAAGCAGAGTTCTTACATAGGCTTGTGATCTGGTTTTATGCTCTGAGAGGCATGTGCCCGAGGTAGGCACATTCCCGTCAATCTAGAACCCAAACTAAAACTAATCACAGCCTAATGCAGGGGTAATTGATCCACAACCTGAAGAAGAGTCACCCAGTCAAACCAATCCTGGGTCAACTGAACCAGAGTTGCCCTGGTGACCTGCATAAGAATAAATGATTGTGCTGTAAACCACTGAGATTGGGAATGGTTTGTTATGCAACATTACTATGGCAACAGTTGACTCATACCTGTCCAAGTGCAAAACAGTTATGTCCAACAGCTTTCAGTTCTCTGTTATCTACACATTTTTATCAGATTAACTTGATTTATTCTTCATCTTTGAGAACCACCTTATTTTCTTCCTTAGACCTTCCTCAGTTTGTATAGTTATTGACAATACAAATCTTTTAAGATGAAGATGCTTTTTCTTTCTGCTTTAAGAGAAAAAGTTTTTTAAAGTATAGTCATTATTAGCACACTATGTCAAAAATAGCCTAGTAAATTCTTCTGTAATATAAAACAGGAAATAAAAAAGTTGTAGGCCAGCACAAAATGTCTATTGCTGAAGCCAATTCTAATGTTTTAACCTGACTTTGTAGGACACTTCTGTACTGGGAACATCCTTCCACTAGCCCAAATTTTAACTTAGTTTGAGACTCACTTATTATGAAGAGTCACTTGCTACATATAAATGTCTTGTTTCTTTATAAATCCGAGTTTTCATCTATACTAACCGTATAACTTTTATAATCACTGTTTTCTGAGATATTCTAACTGGAATTCCCAGTTTTCCCTTCACAGATCCATTCAAATGTGGTAGAAGTGGCAAATATAATGATCCTAGTCATGTAATAGATTTTCTCTAGTTGCCTGCTTTGTTATTGACTTCCTATCTTAACTTTGAGAAACTGCCTCTCAATAACTTTTTGGATATAGTTTCCCTTTAGGGGAACATTTTTGTATACTCTGAGATTTTCTTTTTTTTCCTCTGTTAAGAGTTCTCTGAGCCCTAGAAATCCTCACTGATTTTGTCATGAATAAAATATCATCCTCTTTCCTAGCTCCACATTTGAAAGCCATTAGTTCCAGCTATATCATTCTGGGTATATTTCTTTTTCCTTTCACATAAGAATAGTTTGGCCTCCAAGATTTCAAAGTTAGTTTCTGTTTTCCTCCATTCTCTGATGTTTCTCTGGCTTTCTCTTTGTCATTTTAAAACTAAGATTATCAATTGTGCTACATTTGTATGCTCATGAGAGTTTGTAAATCATATTTTGTCGTAGATCCCCTGACATCAGAACATCTTAGAAGTAATAGCTGTGTAATCTTAGGCAATTTACTTAATTTTCTATGCCTCAGTGTCCCACTTGTTAAATAGAGATTATAACAGTATTTACCTCACGTAGCACTTTGGGGAACTAAATGTGATAGTTTATGTATATTACTTAGAATAGTCCTAGTGCATCTGAAACACTTATTAAGATGTTGCTTCCAACATTATTATGTGCATTTGGTTGTGAGGAGTAAATGAGATATTCTATGTAAAGCAGTTAACATAGAGGTGCTCTGTAATAAGTACTGTACAAACATTAATTCCCATTATCTGTATAACCAAAAGTACTTTGTCTGCCATCCAAAGTCTATGACCGTTTCCAGGTACTTCTGATTCTCAAACCTGAGACTCTTCAGCAAAAAACCTAACTTAAAATAATAGACACACATTAATTTTTATATTTACAATTATTAATTTACATTTACCCTCTCCAGTATGTTCCCTAGTATGTTTTAGTTTGATACAAATCACACATTGCTGTCTTCAAAGTAATAAAATATAAAGAGAAAAAAAGATAAAGACCAATAAGCATCAAAAATATTGGCTTTATTACAGGCAAGTATGCAATAATCCCTAACCTGCAGTACTTCTTAATAAAAGGGGTAAAAGACCAATGATAAAGCCTCCTACTCCAAGTCTAAATGTAGACCATAAGAAGTGGGTGAATTCGATCCATATGGAAGACTCAGTCAGAGCTACTATCCAGCTCCTTGGAGTATTGACTGCTTGACTGGCACACAGTTTCTGGCATAAGAGTTAATGACCTTACTAGTTAGTGTGACTCTATCTCCTAATAAACCCATATCCCAGTTAACATTCTAGGTTTTGCTTATTCCAATTAGCACTACTTCTATTATGTGGAAGAGTGAGGGGGTGAAAAGACTGCAATGATGCCCATTTCAAATCTCTCTCCACTATATAGAAGGAGCTAGATTATATTCCTATAATAACACAGAAGGAAAATAAACATTCCTCTAAGCATTCACTAGATTATATTGCAATCTCCTTAATTTATGTAATATATATTGTATCCCTTTTTTGTATTCTCAGTAATTACTGAATTATCTGGTATCCAGGAGAGAATTAATAAATTGAGACACATTTATTGATTGAATACGTTGTAGATAAATAAATATGTTGATGCTAAATTAATCATAGTTTGAAACTATGAATCTTTTCCATTTCCTTTATTCAAAAAAATAAGTTTGCTTGCTAAAGATGAGGCAAAATCTACTGCTCTTCTTCTTGACACTAAAATCTGCAGTTATGAACAAAGGCCATTACATGGCCCACTGACATTTATTTAACATTTAATCTACTTATAGGTGAGAATAGTGGCTTGTAATGTCATACGAATACCATGAATTCATATGATTAATACAAAAAAGGAATGCTAAGATATTAGATGGTTTATATGCAAATAACACATACAACATATTTTTCCACTACCCTCTCATTAAGCCCTGCCAATAAGAAATTCTGAACCAAAACAGAGAACATTGAAAACATTGGGAGGAATTTTCTATCTATAAAAATCCATGTAGATACATGCACGAGTGGACACTTATTCTGGAATTGTCATGTTCCATGCAAAGTAACTTTGGAATCAGTCTTTCCCTGTCATCGACCTTTATTCTGTGTTTTCACTAGATAAGATATGAGCTATGTGATTAATGTAATTGGGTGAATAGAGTGACCATGCTCAGATCAAACAGCTCTTTTCTCATTTTCTTTAATAAAGCCTCGCTGTACAAAACAGTTACACGGCTCTGCCCCCCATCACTTACTAAGAGATTTGCAACTTTGTTTGACATACATGTGTGCCATGTCTTTCAATCTAACATTCGCCTCTAATAAAAATGTTAATTTCATCTCCTCTCACCTGATTTTGCATCCCTGTCTCAATTGACTCAAATGTCACATGGGAAAAGTGGATGCTTTTGGAAAACCTCTAGTTTCTTTAATATGTATTTATGTAGGCATATTGTGTACATGTTTGTGTGGTGTGAATGTGTGTGTGTGTATACACACATCAACATTTTGAATGAATTGACTTTACCATTGTTTAAACATAAAGATGTATTTTACTCAAAACTAAAATACCTCTTTGGTTTTATAATTTATTCTGGAAACTCAAAACTTTCCATTCTAATGTGTATGAGGTTTATTTTGTTTGTTTGTTTTTCACTATTCTAGAGTATTTTATGCTGCATTCTATTGTAATTCAAAATGCCAAAGCTAGTTGATTTCATAGTTTCTCAGACCTTACATCTTAATTTTCTACACTGGAAAAACAAAAGCAAAACTGTATGTCTTAGTGGAAACTAGCAGTTACTCTGGCACCTTGCCCATTTTGGCTCTTCTTCCTGAGGTTTCTCTCAGATCACTTTCTTCTCTTTGGCCCCAGATGAGCTTCCAATTTCTCCTTCTATGGCAAATTCTGATTGGGCAGGTACTGTTTTACTTGTTCTTTCCAGGTACATATCTTGGTTTTGATATATTATTAACATGAATATTCCACAATAAAAATGCGTTGCTCTGTTTGGTAGATTAAACAGAACAACTAAGATTCTCTCCGAAAGGGACATAAAATCTAGAATCGTTTTGCTATGAGAACAAAAAATTAAGCAAACCCATTTTACTGCAAATTATTTGTCTAATTAACACAGAGTTGTATCTTTAGCTGTAAACATTTTACTGTTTGCATTGAAAATATTAAATACTTCCATTCTGTTAAGAATGGCATATATCAAAGAGAATGATTGACACATAGATAATATTTTAATGTTGAAGCAGAACATTTTTAAATCCTTCAAGATCTGTAGGCTCTTTTGATACTTCCAAGGAAGTTGTGCTTTTAGCACATGGGAAATTTGTAGTTCATATAATCAATTTTTGAGTGTTTTATATATGTTATAAGTTTTAAAATTCCAGTTCTACCTTGATTACACAGCATATCATAGTGTTCATTCCAGCTCAGATATGTACTTAATTCAATGACCTGAAAGAATTATTGAAACTTTTTATACTTCTCCAAAATAGACATAAAATAAAAAAGGAAATATAAATAATAATATGGATGTGAGCCTTAAGTAAGAAAATGCATTCTTAGCTATAGCCAATGTAAAGAGCATAAATGCTTACCTTAAGCATCAGGAGCTGTGAAAAAATAATTTTACCCCAGCTTTCAGAGAGCTTGAGTTGATCTCAAGAGAATGACATAGAACATTACAGGGAAACTAGACATTAATATGCTATAAGTGGTACTGCAGTGTTTTAACTCTATGAATTGAAGTGTATTATGGCTCTTATTGACAGGTGAGTAATGACAAAGCGTTGGGTTTTCTGAAAAGTAAAATCTGACACAGATTGGCATGGAGGTCAGATTTTGGAGATCGAGCACAGAATCAACATCTGTAAAAGAGGGAAGGAGGTACGATTTTCCAGGTAGAGAAATTGCACAGCCATGTAGGCTCCTTGGGGACCTCTGGATCTAAAAAGGCCCTTCAAAGTAATTCCTAGTAGGGGAAAGAGGACCAGACCTTTTTATACCCCATGTTTATTTAGTGTGGCCACCATAGGAAGTTAATATGACATTGGCCAAGGTGTGTTTCTTCACTGAGACAATTCTTGAAATGACTAAGAGTTGAGGGCTGTTCACTGCAAAAATATCCAACAGCTGGAGAAAAGTCCTTCTGAACATGTATCTGAGCACACTGTGTGAGGTTTATCTCAGGGCAGAGACATAAGATGCTAGTATTCTGTGAAAATCCTGTAGAGTGGAATTTCCCTTAATTCAAGTTAACAGGAGATCCTTGGACAATCTTAGGAACAGCATCACCTTATTTCTGATTGTCCACAATGGACTTTGTGAACGAAGATGTCAATTAGCCTAAAGTACCAAAAATAAACTCTCAGTTTTTATATTATTTACAATTTAAGATGTTTTAATATAGAGAATGCATATGTGTATAGGCATAAATAAAGGTGTTGACAAAATGTAGATGTAGATGAGAGATATAGATATAGATATAGATATGGATATAGATATTGATCATCTCCATACTGGTCTGATTTAGTATTAAAAGATCTAATTAAAAACTTTCCTCCAGAAATAAATGCTACAACTCTTTTTATGTCCAATCAACATTAAGGGGCTTATAAATTAACATAATGAATGTTAGAAATGATTTTTTGTTGGTAATGATCAGTAGTAAAAATATGCAGATAAGGAAAAATACTTGCAGAAACTTCAATTCTGATAAGTTAAAGGTCTAGTGAAACCAGAAGCCCTCATCAGAATGGAGTCTTAGGCTTAGAACCCCGCATTCTCTTGGATCAAAATAGCAAAATATTTTGTCACAGGATAATTTTTAAATGATAATTGAATGCTGAAAAAAATTGTCCACACCAAGAATTTACCTGATTGTCTAAAAAAGTCAGAAATGAGAGACTTCGTCAGGATTGCAGAAAAGATTGCACAGCTGTGTCCACACACGTGTATGGAGTGCACACATGTTTGCTTGCTAACAAATATGTCAGAATATAATCTGTGACTTGGGTTTTGTTATAGCACAGCTCATGATAGTAAAGTTTTTGAAGAGAAAATATCCAGCCACTAGCTATCTTTAACTCTTGGAGGCTATCAATAGTTACTCAAAAAGCATCATAAATCTGAAAAACAAATTAGGTAGTTAGGTTGTAACACCAAGAAACTTGAAGTAACTCAGATCATAACCCACTGGGTTAATATTTAAATATAAAAATGAAGTTTCTTTTTTTACATTAAGATTTGCTCTCATAACTGCAATTATACCCAAACTTGCAACAATCACAAAGCTTTGTAGTATTTCCTTCCAATAAGAAAGATTATAAGGGATGGTTACAGCAAAGTTAAGCCACTTATAAAAAACTTGTTGGAGAAAAATAAGTGAAATAATCTGAACTCAAACTGCAGCTAAAGATAGATGCCACTTTTATAAAATACAGGAAAAAATTACTTATTCTGTGCTAAATAGAAATATCCATGGAGGAACAAACCCCTAAATGTTAATGGAGATTACATTACAGGGATAGGATAATTGCTAATTTTTTTTCTTTATCTTCATAATTTTTACTTAAAAATTTTCTAAGTTAAGCAATAGGACTTCTATACTTAAAAATTACTGAATTTAAATAATTTGCTTTATTATTTAAACAATTATTACCTCTTACTCTCTGCCATTGACTCATTCACATTCTCATGGATTTTATGGTCTTTATATCATGTTTTTCAATTTGTGGAGTCCAACTACAGTCATGCACCTCATAACAACATTTCTGTCAATGAAGAATTGCATATATGATGCTGGTCCCATTAGGTTATAACAGAGCTGAAAATTCCTTTTATTTGCTGATGATGTAGCCATCCTAGCCATCATAGCACAATGCATTACTCACGTGCCTGTGCTGATGTTAGTATAAACAAACCTACTGACCCGTCAGTTGCATGACAGTATAGCACATGCAATTATATACAGGACATAATACTTGATAATGATAATAAATAACCATGTTACCGGTGTGATATGGTTTAGATGTGTCCCCACCGAAATCTCAACTTGAATTGTATCTCCCAGAATTCCCACGTATTGTGGGAGGGAGCCAGAGGGAGGTAATTAAATCACTGGCCGGTCCTTCCCCTGCTATTCTCGCGATAGTGAATAAGTCTCATGAGATCTGATGGGTTTATCAGGGGTTTCCGCTTTCGGTTCTTCCTCATTTTCTCTTGCTGCCGCAATGTAAGAAGAGCCATACGCCTCCCGCCATGATTCTGAGACCTCCACAGCGATGTGGAACTGTAAGTCCAGTTAAACCTTTATTTGTTCCCAGTTTCAGGTATGTCTTTATCAGCAGCGTGAAAACGAACTAATACATGGTGTATGTATTTTACTATAATATACTTATTTATTACTATTTTAGAATGTATACCTTGTACTTATCGAAAAAAAGCAGTTAACTGTAAAACACCCTCACGTAAGTCTTTCAGGAGGTATTCTGGAAGAAGACATTGTTACCTTAGGATGGAGCTGAAGACAGCTCCATGTGTGCTATTAACCCTGAAGACCTTCCAGTAGGACATGTGAAGATGGAAGATTGATGATCTTGACCTTGTGTAGGCCTAGGCTAATGTGTATGATTATGTCATAGTTTTTAACAAAAAGTTTAAGAAGTTAAAAAACAATAATTTTTTTTTTTTTTAAACGGAGTCTTGCTCTGTCGCCCAGGCCAGAGTGCAGTGGCGCAATCTCGGCTCACGGCAACCTCCGCCTCCCGGGTTCAAGCGATTCTCCCGCCTCAGCCTCGTAAGCAGCTGGAATTACAGGCGCGTACTACCACACCCAGCTAATTTTTGGCCAGGCAGGTCTGGAACTCTAGACCTTGTGATCCGCCTGCCTCAGCCTCCCAAAGTGCTGGGATTACAGGCATGAGCCACTACATCCGGCCTAATTTTTAAAAGAAAAAAAGCTTATACAATTAATATATAAAGAAAGAAATACTTTTGTACAGCTATACAATATCTTTGTGTCTTAAACTTTTTACAAGAGTCAAAAAATTTTTTAAAGTTTATAAAATATAAATTACAGTAAGCTAAGGTTATCTTATTTAAAAATATATTTGTTTATTTAGTATAGCCTAAGTGTACAGTGTTCATAAAGTTTACAGTTGTATATAGTAATGTCTTAGACCTTCATACTCACTCACAACTCCCTCACTGACTCACCCAGAGAAACTTCCAATCTTGCAAGCTCCATTCATGGTAAGTGCCCTATACAGGTGTACCATTTTTTTTTATCTTTTATAGCATATTTTTACTATGCCTTTTCTATGTTCAGATATGTTTAGATACACGAATACATATCATTGTGTTCCAGTTGCCTACATTATTCAGTACAGTAACATGCTATCCAGGTTTTTAGTCTAGGAGCACTAGGCTATACTGTATAGTCTAGGGGTATAGTAGGGTCTACCATCTGGGTTTGTAAAACTACACTCTATGATGTTTGCACAAGGACAAAATTGCCCAACGCCACATTTCTCAGAACAAATCCGTGACATTCATCTGCTTAGCTTTACATTCACTTCACTCATCTACTTCTTCATATAAACTGCTTTATGAAAGCTGACCAATTCTCTTTTATTCCCCTACCACTAATCCATATAAAATTGTAAAATCCTTCAAAGCACATCAAGAATTCTTCTTCTATGGGTCAAAACATTCAAACAATTACACATCAAAAGATTGGGGGGTAAATTTGAGAATATTTACTCTTCCTCCTTTCACTATTACTGTCATTTCTGGAAAAAGAAATGGAAAGTTGTCCCATCCTTTATTCAAATACAAATGACAGTATCATTGAAAACTACACTAGTGATTTTTTTGTTTAATTTTGCCTTTTTTTTTACAGAAAGCAAATTGTAATCTATTACTTACACAATTGCTGGTGAGAAGCAAATTTTCTATTCAAAGTAATTATTGCCAATATTGCTAAATTATTGTAAATATTGTAAACTATTGTAAATATTGCTAAAATATTGACATCTGGCATCCCAAATATTATATGCTATAAGCTATTAAAAACGAAAATTAAAAATATTCAATTGTTGAATTAATTCAGGACCATACTATAAAGCATTAACAAAAAATTGGGAGTAATGTCCATTTTTGTAACTTTTCTATGCAGTATTTTTTACTATAATGGACTAATTTGATTTCAGAGGTCATGTCTTATTTTTTTTCACCTATTTATACCAAATATCTAGAATAATGTATTCTATTCAACGATTAGGTAAATATTGAATGAGTGAGTGAATAAAAATCATGAATAAATAAATGAATGGATGTTCAAAACTATGAAGCACTCATTCTCAAATATTCAGAGTTGCCTCTAAATAAATCTATTACTGAGGAAAAGATAAATGTATCATTGAGGAACTAGGCTGATTTAAAATTACAAGAACTTTAAAAAATTCAATTACGTTACAGAATTATGATCACTTTCATATTTGTTCTTGAAAAAAAAAGAATCACATGTATAACCAGCATTACTTTTCATATTTCTTGCTTTACCATGAACATAGATGTTACTATGTTTAATGATGTATCTGCTCAGTGTTCCTTAAGTGGTCTAAATGCTTAATGTGTTTGTGGTTCCAACACCTGTTGTATTTCTTATATTTCCCTTTGATGATGATCCTCAGAGGAAATTACAAGAAGTAGCATAATACTGTTTGAAAGAAGAAATTTTTTGTGATAAAATGAAAAGTGAAAGTATTTTCAAATGGAAGAAGTACTGGATGAGTAATGGTTAATGGAACATGTAGAATGCATTTGAAATTGTGTTAATGTATTAACATCGATTTGACTACCACTTTTCCTTGCTTTAGAAACTTCTACTTGCTAAGCAGTTGGTGGGAATTAATTAGCTACATAAAAAAGCATTGACAGTGTGCTGCTTTGTAAGGTAATGAGAAAATTAGAATTTGTTGAATTTAGAAAAATCATTGACACAAATTTTGGCTGAATATGTTTATTACTACACAGAATATCCTGAATAAAATATTTGAATCAGTATCTCATGTAGACACATTCTACAAGTTTAATTATGTAATAATTTTTAATAACTCCAATAAAGATACAAACATTTTACTCCATTTATTTCTTGAAACTACGGTATTTTTTTCTATATTTAAACAATACCTGAAATGCCTTAGGAAGATAAAGAGAAATTATATTAACAATGCATATTCATCTTTTTTTTTCACTAAAGGGCCTATACCTTCTGAAGTAATTATGAGCACAGTTGTTTTATTTTTATTGTAATTATGTAAATCATCTCAAAATTACAGATCACACATGAATAAATTGGTAAATTCAAAGGTTTTTGTTTCACTATTATCAGCACACATGTAATATTTCTTTAGTCATTTTAGGTGTTATCAATTCTAAAATGCATCCTTTAGAAAGTAAAATAGAATATTGGGAGAAAAAAGTTATTTAGAAGTAATACGTAATGTGATTTTATACTCTGCTTTACTTTTTCAAAAATGATCTTTTTTTTTCTGTACTTTAAATGACTCTGTGCTATTGAAGAATGCTCCAAATTTTGGTAGATCTTAATGGCTATCTGCTCTGGCTACAGTAATGTTTCTCTTGTGGGTAGAAGTAAACCTTACATCCCTCATATTATACATATGAATGTATTTTAGTTCTTGTGTAATAATTTATGAATCTGTTCTACAATTCATATTTATAATGTTTTAAGTGAGTTGTATACAACACCAATACCTGAAATATTCTACAACATTCACACTATTGTCATTTATATATTGAAGCTTAGAAAATATTCATTGAATGAATGATTGAGTAAACATGAGTGGTTTTGCCATGTTTCCTGGATTGGTTGTTCCATTTTTTTTTCATTCATTCACGTATGTTTATACATATTTATTTATTTATTTTGCAAATCAAGAGAAGAAATGCTGCAAACCCAAAAACAAAAAACTTTTTCTCTCTTTGGTCACACATTTCATGCCTCAATCATCTTGGAGGATTTATGCTTTGAAACACATAAGATTATTATTTCTCCAGCATACTGTGTGAATTTATGTCCTAAACTCTATTATCTATTCCTCGTAAAGCATGACATTAAATAAATAAAAGAGTCTGTAATCCCTTCAACACTATTGATGCATACCATCTTCCATGGCAAAAAAAGAGACTACATTGAGAAATGCAAAAACTACAAATGATAAGGATTAGAAGTCCTGGCAAAGACTCTAAAGTACCTTTAAGTTCAAAGAATGAAAGAGTATAAAATACAGAAATCTTCAAAATAAGGAATAATGATTAGTCTCCATTAAGACAATATTTAGCATCTAATCAAGTGAAAATGAATTTTGTGCAGAAATGTAGACAAGGAAAAAACTGAATTTAACTGAGGTAGCTCTCAAGAGTCAAATAGATATGCAGGCCTCACTTTTCAAGCTTTTCAGCTTTTTTACGAAGGACAATTTATTTAAGCTCCTTGAAACATAAGTTATTTCTCTGTAAAATGGTATAAATAACTGTAGTTGTCTCTTAAGGTTTGTTTTTTGTTACCTGATTTTATGATCTTTATAGGGTTATGAAAGTAATGCACTGTTACCTAGTATTGATTATTATAACACAGCATTCATTAAATGAAAGTTTTACTATTATGCAATAGTAGGTCTTACTGGCCAAATTTTAAATCGAGTACAAACATAAACCTGTGAATATTGGTTGAAGATTTGTATCATCAGGTGAAAGTGGCTGAATCTATGCAATGGTGAAGAAAACATGGACAGTGAAATAGTAATTGAAATGGGAATCCAGAAACATACATTGTTGTTCTGTGCTTCAGTCTAACTAGATTTGTGATCTTGAATTAGTTATTAAATATTTCTGGACCTCATATTTCTCAATCAAAAAATTAGATGATAGGCTTAAATGATTTCTGATGACATAAACACTTGCCAGAAACCAAGCTTTATAAAAATTGTTCTTGGAACATTTTCCATGATATCATTTGATATAGTAGAAGCTGTTCCCATTAATTCTGGAAGTTTGTGCATAAGCTATAAGCCTTTGGCTAGGTTATAGCACAATTAAGATGGTAGGTCTCTAAGAATTTCTCAGAATATTAACTTTTTTTTTTTATTGGGCCAGTTAACCCTGATAAGGTTAACTATGATCTTTGCTTTTGGCTTCTCTCACCCAAGAACTATTCTTCCTTGCCATGAAGGAGAAATGGAATTCAATAATATTCCCTGGTAGTAGGAATATTCCTTGATAATTGCAGTGATGTCCATATTGTTTCTTTCTCCAAAGTGGACAGCCCAGGAATTTCAGCAAACATAGCAAGTTCTAGGAGATGTAAAAAAAGAATGGTGGATCTAATGTTCTACATTTTTCCATGACTATGACAACCTGGTGATAAGAAACATAATTATCCAAACTTTTATTTCTAAATTTTTAAAAAACTGGAGTCTCTGCAGCTCTTCAAAAGAGCCTTTGAATCTCTTTCCAGAAACAGAACTAACGTATGTGCTCTAGAATAATTTTAGAATGTAAATTCCTTAATACACATTTACAAATACATATGCATATATATGTATTAAGTATCTACATTCATATTGTGTTGATTTGACTCAGATATCAAGCAACAGGAATGTGTTTAGTTTACGTCTACTACTGTAGGCTTTTTATTGTAAAATTATGCGGAAAAGAAGGGAAATGCAAGAAAATGTCCCAACAAATAAAGTGAAAACATTAAGGTCATATAAAGTGTTATTTATAATACTATATCTAGACTAAAGTCACCAAAATAATTCACAACTCAAACTCATACAATTTGGTTTCTATGGTGTCTACTTTTTTTTTTTTTTTTTTGCCTCAGCCTTACCTCTACCCTTCCACTTCTGGTTATTCTTGGTTTCTTCTGAAAAATGTTTTTTTTTTTTTCTTCAGAATGCTTGCTCTGCATATCATGTGAGTTTTACTCCATACAACTGCCTGAGAAAATTGCCTTTATGTCTGATGTTAATCAACTAACAAAAAGAGAGATTTGGCTGGGTAGGCTTAAAGATTTAAAGCCAGTCTTCCTCATAAAGCTACTGCCTTCCCTTATATTCAGTGAAACTTTTGGTCAGGCAACAATCTGTGGTCTGAAGAAATTCTCCTGGTCATCAGACCCTAAGGCACGAAACTCACATGCAAGGAACCATGTCTGAGTGCTTGGCTTGTAAGGGAGCTGTGGGTGTAACAAGAGCTCAGAGTTGTTCATTATGCAGTGTTCACACAAAATTTATTTTTAATAAGAAAAGTACTGAAAGTTATGTTCAAAATAAATGTGTGAACATATGTGTGACCGTCTACATTATACAATATGGATATTTATGTATTTAATATGACAATTTTCATTGACATGTATTTGCACTTAAGCAATTGATAGCACTATAAATACAAAGAATTAGGAAGAGAGAAAAATGGGATAGTAGTGTTGTCTTTTTTAAAACCTATAATTGTTCTTTAATTTTCAGCACTCAACAATATCTACTTATTGTCAGAAGTGTTCTTGGAAAGGTTAACTTGTAATATTTTTCCTTAGGATGTGATTTTCATTTAATTTATTTACTAGCATGTGTGAAAGTCATTCTCCACATTGATCAGTCACCACAATGAAATGGTGTTGCTGCTTTATGTGCCCACAGATAATATATTGCTTTTTAAATTAAGATTTACATTTCTATAAGTGCCTGAAAATATGTTCACTAATACGCTATCAAGGGAAAATTAATTCCTAGCAATTCCTTATTAGATAAGTATTATCTGTCTTACTTTTATAAAGTATAGCTCCCCTCTCCTACTAGTCCCTGAACATAATTTTCAAACAAGATTAATCACCAAAATGTATACAATAATGCAAATCAGCAATGATATTGATCCAGCTTTTCAAGAACATTGCCTAAACCACAGAATGAACCAGAATTTATTTAGGTCACCAAGTTATCATGTCCCAGACATTGGTTACTAAATACCATACTAACTCTTTACCAGTCCTAACTTTGGTGTTTCCTCTTTGGTTCCCGTAATAGCAGATGTAGGAATGCTATGTATTTTTTTAAGATGTGTATTTTATTCTATTTTTGATATTTTACTTATCACATTTTTATTGACTAATAAAAATTGCACATATTTGTCATGCGTAACATGTTTTGAAATATGTGGAATGCTACTTATTCTGTTTGCCTTTTTATTTGCAAATACTTAGAAGCACAATTGATCACTACTTTTGCTATTTTTTTTCAAACCATATGTTAAGGCAGCTGCAATACGCTAACAGCAGTTTCTATTTAGAACGTAACCACAGAAATCAGTGCTATTGTTAATTATGCCATATACTTTTTTTCATTTTATCTTGCTGATTAAGACCTGTGTAAATGATACATTTGATTAAAGTAATTAATACATGAAATTGGTAAGCTTCTAAATTGATATAACTAACTTAATCTGGCTTCCACTGCTCACAAGAACTGAAGGTTTTTGGGGTAATTTGGTCAAATCATTTTAGTGCATCTAATTTCCAGATAATAGCTAGCATTCGTTAAGATCATGCATGTGAGGTTATCTTGTGCAAGCTTGATAGTTGCTTAATTAGTGTAGGCTTTTGCAGTGTCAGAGATAATCAGACAAGAGAACTATCATTTTTGTTTCATGCCCATTTCACAAGCCACATCTCTAGCTGGTTATTCCTCTGTGCCATGGGCTATAGGTGCTCTCCTCTACTCTAAAATATAGATAGAGAAGATATAAAGTTAAAGTTACAGTAATTATATGTTATCTTGAAATAAGAAGAAAATACATTAAAACATGAATTTTTGACAACAATTTTAGTGTTCTGACAAAACTCCCTTCCAGGTCATCCCTATTCCAGAGAAAAAAACTGTGGGACTCAGTTATTTAAGAGAATTCAAAAACTGCCTTTAGCATGGCTTTACACCTTGTTAGTTTTCCAACACAAGCGGCCAACTGAGAGAAGAAAAAAATGTGTATGTTCCATTTGAGTTGACTATGGGTCACATAATCATTGAATCTAATGATGGGAGCCATTAGTTTGTTCAAGATAGCTTTTAATCATTTGCAAAAGTCAATTTTTAAATATTCAGAACATGTGTGAGGCAGTTTTTGGACACAGTTATGTTTAAAAATTAATGTATGTAGTTAAATTAAATGAATAATATTTTGAAGTGCATTAACTACTCACAACTCATTGCTTCCCAATGATTAGACTTCCTTTTCCTCTTATGTTTATATTTCTTGCATCTCTGGACACATGTGCTACTGCACATTTCTTGTCAATGTTATATTAGAAATTTAAAATTGGCTTTGGTAGGAATATATATGCCACTGAAATCTGCAAACACTGTAGTTCAGGGCTTCATATTTTTTTAAATTGTCCAGACTTTATAATGGAGAATCTTAATAATGGGAAATAAACTTTAAAAAATGTTGTGTCTTTAGCCATTACATTATTAATACAGCTCTTTTACAATAACTGGCCAATGGATATATTCTGAAATCTTCTTGCCTTTATTTGCATCAAATCTGAAAGGTCATCCTTGCTCCAGGGCTACCTGTGGGGTTGAATAAGTTTTCTGTTACCACAGAATTACAATTCACCTTCTGCTAATACTTGTCTCCCTCATTTATTAGAGATGTTATTTACAAGAGCACTTCCAAATAATTTTTTTCCATACAAATCTCTATCTAAGAGTCTGTTTTCTGAGAAACTCCAGCTATGACAGTTAAAGTCGGGAGTGATTTGGGGAAACATTATAACATGGTATTTTGTTGCTGGCTGGCAATGAGGACCCTGTCTTTGACGGTAGTTGGACTGTGGATAACTCCAGGTGTGATGTAATGGTGTAAATGTAAAAATTGTCAATAGGGACGAACTGGGACAACATACCAGTGTAAGTGTACGCATTGTCAGAGGAGGTAGTATAGGATGTCAAGAGATACAAGAGAAATATTGATTATAAAGACTATGTAATAATATAGCTGTTGTTTATAGATTCATTAGAGAAAGGCAATAAAGGGCTGAAAGTAAATAATCACTAATTATGGCAAAATGTGAAAATCAGAGGGAGAAACTGGAAGCATATAAAGAGATAATCCTCTCTTTCAGCAAGAGGGCAGAATAAAAATGAGGATAAGTTTTAGGTTTTACCTAAAAGGGTAACAGAGTTCTGAAGTACTTTAAAGTCTCAAATCCAGCAAATCTGTTATGTCAAGATTAGGTGTTTTACAGGAAAAAAATGAAACTGTAAGAGTTGGTATATGGGGCAAAAAGACTGACATACTGAGATATCATGAAACCTTAGATATCCCTGAGTACTCTGGGTCTACCAAAGGGGTCAACTCTTCTGCTTTAATGGCTAGTTCTCCCCTTATTTAAGACAATACACAATCTCTGTTTTGCAAACAAACAAACAAAACATAAAACAAAATATGAACTGTTTTATTTCTCCTGCCCTTCTGGCTTCCAGGGAAATAACTGGTGTCAATACATAACAGAATCTGGATGAGCAAGTACTCAGCTTGATAGAGGAAAAAAGGGGCTATATGCTGAAGAAGTTACGGGGCCAAGCCAAAGTGTTCTGGCAAGAGCTGGGGAGCCATATCTGTGATTGGATCCTGAGGATACTAGGAAGTTATATAAAGTTGGATAAGTTATTTGATATGGTAGCACTCTGCCAGAACACAGGATTTTGCACCCTGACAAAGATTCTGGGAGCCGTGCTAACATGCTGCTAAGATAATTCTTGGAAGCTTGGAGAAAGCAATGTTTCACAGTAAAATTGACATACTAGAAATGGATGGCAGATGGTAGACAAAAAGATCAAAAGGCTAGGAGAAGTGGGGATGTTAGAATGAAAATTCTAATAAAACCAATCTTTGTACTCTTCAGTGGGAGGACTCAGAGGACATTCTGTTCACTAAAGCAATAATGAATGCTGCATTGAGAAGGAACTAGTAACTTTTGTATGTTTGTTACCCTTTTTGAAATTGCCCCATAGTTTTGGGGTTTCTATGTATTTTTTTCTCTCTCTCGTTACATTTCAGTTTGGGGAGTTTCTGTTGACCTATCTTCAGGTTCATTGATTCTTATATTGGTAATGTCCATTCCATTAAAAAAACCACAGTTACTTTTGCACCAGCCTAATGCTGAGATGTACATTCCAGGCTCTCTTTATTTCTGTTCAGGTGTTTTTTTAAATTATTTTTTCTCATTTCCCTTTGATTTCTTTTCTTAGAATCTCCATCTCTTTGCTTACATTACATGTCTGTTTTTGAATGTGGTCTACTTTTTCTATTAGAGGTCTTAACATATTGATCATTTTAAGATTCCTATATAATAATTTGAAAATTTGTCATGCCTGAGCCAAGATCTGATGCTTACTTTGGCTCTTCAGACTGTGATTTTTTCCTGCATATTTTAGCATTCCTAATATTTGTTTGTTGTTGAAAGTCAGTTGGGATGTATTAGATGAGAGGAACAGAGGTAAATAGACATGTACTATGAGGTTTTAGGTTAACATGAACAGGAGTTCCACTGTGTTAATTGTTTGCTATGCTGTAGGTGCCAGCTTGATTTGCCACTAGGGTTCTCATTCATGTTGACTTTGGCCTTCTCCAAGTACAAGACTTCTGAGAGATTGAGTCTTGCAATTCACTGTTATTATACTGGTTTTATTTCTATTGCAATTCACTGTTATTATACTGAAGCTCTATGGGTCTTATGTGAAAATGTCAGTATTTTAGTGGGCTTGGATCCCTGAATTGTGACCTTCATAACTGTTTCTTTGCATCCATCCAGTCACTGCCACCGCTCAGGTGAAGAAGGAAGTCTAGATGTTGCTGAAGTATTAGGAATGCCCTTCCCTGAGGTGGGATAAGGTGTAATAAAGTCTTTCTCTGGAGGCTTAATCTTTGTGTTGAAAAATGCTCTGGACTTATTTCACAATCATTACTCTTCCTCTCCTTCTGCAAGAGCCAAGAGGGAGCATTTCTGGCTTTTCACTGTGAGAACCTGGTGGGGATCCTGGAGGTAAAAATGCATAAAAGAAATGCCCCCTAAGACTTCAGCCTCAAGAATTTCTCACCCTTATGCCAGTCCACACTCAGCTTCCATCAATTTGTCAAAATTACTGTTTAATAGTTTCTATTAACTTATGGCTTCAGCAGCTTCCCCTCTAGATAAACAGCTCTCATCTTTGACTGTCTAGATTCATTCCCTTAGATTTTGGGATGGTACTTTGCTGTAGGACCTGTTTTCTGATAGCTTAAAAGAAGTCAGTATTTTTAGTGTTCAGCTTTTAATGTTGTAAAGATGGGAATAATGACTACCAAAGATAAGTACACTTATCATCTTTGTACTTAACAGCATCTCATTATCTAATATTTTAATATACTCTCTAGGCATCCCTTTTTTAGATTTAGTGCTCTTCCAAGACCAAATTTTTCTTTTCTTTTTATTTATTTATTTATTTATTTTGAGACGGAGTCTCCCTCTGTTGCCTAGGCTGGAGTGCAGTGGCACGATCTCGGCTCACTGCAAGCTCCATCTCCCGGGTTCATGCCATTCTCCTGCTTCAGCATCCCGAGTAGCTGGGACTACAGGCACCTGCCACCACACCCGGCTAATTTTTTGAATTTTTAGTAGAAATGGGGTTTCACCATGATAGCCAGGATGGTCTCGATCTCCTGACCTCGTGATCCGCCTGCCTCGGCCTCCCAAAGTGCTGGGATTACAGGTGTGAGCCGCCGCCCCCAGCCCAAGACCAAATTTTTCAAATGGAAGATGGTAGGTATTTCTTCTCTCTAGTTGGCCTTGTCGCAGGCACATGTCCTAGGCTTGACCAATAAGATGCTCCTGTTAGGTACCGTAAATTTTGAGACCATGGTTTGAATACCGAGGAAAATAGAGAAATCACACGACCTTTGTAGAATGATGCAGTTTGTAATGAAATGGAGATGAGCTAATGGTAGCTATGCTGTCTGCAGAGCCTTTACCATTTATTTTGACTTGATTTCCTATTTGTTTTATGTTAGTAAACTTTCCCTCAGTCCCTGAATATTTTTCAAGCCTAGTCCTCTATCTACTCTATGAATTTTTTAACTATTCAGTATTCTTCAATATTCAATATTCATTCTCCTCTTAAATTAACTAGACTTAGATTTCCTTGCATACAACCATGAAGACTGACTGATAATGGAGATTTATATTTAAAAGTTAACACTGTTTGTGTTTGCCTATTGCAAACATAAAATCCATATTAATAATATCTTCATTGTGATATCATAGGTTATTTTACTGTTTCGTTTATTTTTTTTTGATAGGAATATGTATAGTCTGTTCTCACTCTATAAAGAACTACCAGAGACTGAGTAATTTATGAAGAAAAAAGTTTAATTGACTCACGGTTTCACAGGTTGTACAGGAAACATAGCTTGGAAGCCTCAGAAAACTTACAGTCTTCGCAGAAGGTGAATGGGAAGCAAGCGCATGTTCACATGTTGGAGCAGGAGACAGAATAAAGAAAGAAGCGCTTACAAACTTTTAAAACAACCAGATCTTGTGAGAACTCACTCCTTATCATGAGAACAGCAAGGAGAAAGTCTGCATCCATGATCCAGTCATCTCCCACCAGGCCCCTCTTCCAACATGTGGCAATTACAATTTAACATGAGATTTGGGTGGGGACACAGAGCCAAACCATATCAGAATAATACAAGTAAAAATACTAAAAATCTAATATTTATGGAGTATTTTACAAAGCACTGTGACCTAATAGAAATTAAGTTACAGTTTAAGTTATTTATGATTCACCCTGTCTCTTCTAAGAAAGTTTATCATGCCAAAAATAGGTATTATACCGGCAGTTAACAAGAATTACTTATTAAAATGCATGATTAAAATAGTCACTGACAGAATAGGTCTGTCAGTGAGATATGAACTTCGAAAATATAGTAAGTTGATATTCATTTCACGCTAAAGCTAGTTCTTGTGAGATTAATTTCATATATACACACAGGCATACATAAATTGACTTGTACTATATATAATATACAAACACAAAATACCTAATTGATAAGTTTGCAGAAAGTAGAAATTAATGAAGAAAGAGAATATTTTGATTAAAAGTCCCTGTATCCAGTTGCAATACATTTATTCAATTGCAATTTTAGATGATTTTTGTTGGTTTTTCAATCTGAGTGAACAGGAGTATGCACTACTTAGTGACTTTTTAGCATAAAATAAAGAAATAATTCTCACAAAGTAATGTCAATGGGCAACAGTTTAAAAATAAAATATCCGTGAGCACTGTTTTTCACATTACCATTTGTTAATTATTAGGTTTATACATACAGTTTAAAAGTGTCTGGAAGCTGAATTAATTCACAAGAACTGAGATGACTTAAAAATAGTATACGGAGACAATGAGGAAGTAACTAGGGCTACAATGAAAAAAAAGGTATTTCCTTATAGATATTCTGATAAACTGAAACATTCATATGTCTGCCAAGTGATCAGTGCTTTCTACACTTTCTTCAGGCATTTCTTCCTGTGCCATCCCACTTTGATTTTAAGTGCACCTACACCCACACATACAAGTGATACAGTTGCATGCCTAAATCCATATGTATGTATATTTCATTTGGCATCCACGTATTCATTTTTAAAAGGATAATCCTAATATAGTTTGACTGCAATAAAAATATCAAATTAAATTAGAAATAATGATTAAGAAATAGACATTCACTAGATTGTGGAATATGAAGCCATATATCACAAATGTATGAATTAGAAATGAACAAGATGCAGAGTCACATGGAAATTGGAATAAAGTTGTATAACACATAACTCATTCAAGAAGATTAGGTGGCATTTTGAAACTGAAATTTTGGTATAAATTAAAATTTACGAACATTTTGAGCATTTCTGCAAAGTTAGTTTAGCTGGCTTCAGTGTCAAGAAATGCTCTTTAGAATTCATAAATCTTCATGCAGTCTTGATATCCATGTTCTTAGGGGTAGCTCTTAAGTTGTTATTGTTGGTGATGCTGGTGTAGGGAAATGAATAGGGGAACTTGACAGAGAAATAAGCTAGGTTTTGTAGAAAAAACAGTTTCTGTCATCAGAGTAAACAGTCAACCTACAGAATGAGAGAAAATTTTTGCAATCTATCTATCTGACAAAGGGTTAATATCCAGAATCTACAAGAAACAAACAAATTTACAAGAAAAAAAAACAACCTCATCAAAAAGTGGGTGAAGCATATGAACAGACACTTCTTAAAAGAAGACATTTATGCGGCCAACAAACACAAGAAAAAAAGCTCATCGTCACTGGTCATTAGAGAAATGCAAATCAAAACCATAATGAGACACCATCTCACACCAGTTAGAATGGCAATAACTAAAGTCAGGAAACAACAGATGCTGGAGAGGATGTGGAGAAATAGGAACGGTATTACACTGTTGGTGGAGGTTTAAATTAGTTCAACTTTTGTGGAAGACAGTGTAGCAATTCCTCAAGGATCTAGAACCAGAAATACCATTTGATCCAGCAATCCCATTACTGGGTATATAACCAAAGGATTATGTCATTCTACTATAAAGACACATGCACATGCATGTTTATTGCAGCATTGTTCACAATAGCAAAGACTTGGAACCAACCCAAATGCCCATCAATGATAGACTGGATAAAGAAGATGTGGCATGTATTTACCATGGAATACTATGCAGCCATAAAAAGGATGAGTTCATGTCCATTGCAGGGACATGGATAAAGCTGGAAACCATCATTCTCAGCCAACTAACAGGAACAGAAAACCAAACACCACATGTTCTCACTCATAAGTGGGAGGTGAGCAGTGAGAACACATGGACACAGGGAGGGAAACGTCACACACCGGGGCCTATTGGGCAGTGGGGAGCTAGGGGAGGGACAGCATTAGAAGAAATATCTAATGTAGATGACAGGTTAATGGGTGCAGCAAACCATCAAGGCACGTGTATACCTATGTAACAAAACTGCACGTTCTGCACATGTATCCCAGAACTTAAAATATAATAAAAAAAAGAAAAAGAAAAGTGTCTATTTTTTGCATCTCCAAAGTCATAACTTGTGAAAAATCACATTTGTACAATTTTTAATGTTTTTGCCTTTTAATATATAATATTTGGTCAAGACAATTTATCACAAGGAAAAATAAGATGGCTTTGGATTTTCAAATTCAAGGTGATGTCATACATAATATAATTTAATTTGCATTGTTTTCCAACCCATCAACACATCTTTCCAGTTCATTATTTCTTCACACACTTTCCAATTTTATCCCTTATCCTGAAGTCTCACAGTCAACACCTACAGATCCATTAACTATTGCAGTCAACACCTACATCAGCCATTAAGTAACTCTGAATTTTAGAAAAATTCCTCCCAAGTGCCTTTCCTGTTCCCGTTTTCCAACTCCTATAATATATATAGATACTACAACTCAATTACTTTCCTAAGAATTTTTTTTAAAAAGCGTTCTTGTTAAATCTTCTCAGTGATTTTCATTGCTGAGAGCATAGTCTTTCATAATTATACACTGACCTACCATTTGCAATCAACAGTGAGTCTAAAAGCTGTTACTTAAAATCCTGAAATTCAATTGCTATTTCCCTTTTTCCTTTGTGGCTTTATGCTATTCTCTCAATTCTAGGATAAGCCACCTCCCCCCCTACTTCATGTCTGTTCAAAAAGATAAGAAATTTCACTTAGAGTGAGCTAATATAATTTTTCTCTATCTAATTGAGATATTTTGTGTACTTTGCCTTGTCTGGGTATTTTTGATCTTCTCACCTTATATTGGCAGCCTCCTGCACTCTTGTAACTTTGTATAGATTGACACTTAGCAAAAGTGATAAAACCTTTTCATGTAACTGCCAATTACATATTTAGTGAGTGATTATTGAGTAAATAAAGGGGCAAAGGAGAAGCAACAGAGAAATAGCAATTAGCTTAGGAAGGAAAGCCAATTAAAGTGCAAGTTGGTTTGTTTTTTCTGGGTTCCATTAACATTATTCTCTCATCCCTTTAAAGAATGCTATCTTTGATTTATCTTAAGAAACAGATTTCCTTTGGTCTTTTTAAATTTAAGTACATCTGGATCAACTTTCCTCCCATTCAGGCTTTGTAGTAAAACAATTATTATAGGATACAAACACTGAGCTTCAAATGGCAAACTTCCCTAAAAGCTGGAACTTTGTAGAACTTTGAAAATACAATGCATTATTGACCTGATTGTCTAATACCCAACAGATTTCTTTTTCTAGGGCTTTGTTCCCATATTATCTTTTGATGTTCCCGTGGAAGAGGTGAATACTTGCAACACCAGCAGCTTAATTAGGAATACTCTTTTCACTGGGGGATATCTCAGACTTCCTTCATGCTCAATCATCATGTCCTAAAATATACAGGGTGGGGTAATGCATCTTATAAATGCCAATTTATTTAAGTTCTAATCACAGATACTTCATCAACTGACAAAAGAAAAACCTCAGTAGGTACACCACTTCAAAATCTGGGACAACTTACATGTAATTTCAGGAATCAGCAGGGACACACAGCTGGAGAAAAATAAAAAGCTTGCTGTAATTGAAAATTGCCTTGCAGCTTGTTTGTGATTAAAATGAACTTCAGTTCCTTGAAATCTTGTTTAGCAATTAAATCTGTTTTACTTAGGCATTGAAATATTGTCTATTGTCCTGGAATGATCAAACTGGTACAGACATGTCTTAGCATTGGATGTTACTTGAAAATGCGAATTTAAGAAAATTCTAGTTGCATTGATCCCCAAAAGCAGAAGGTTATCTTTTAGAGCAGTGAGAGAGAGCAACTCAGTTAAATTATCCATCTAACTTGGAAATTCAAAATTAGGTCATTATATTAACAGAAGTGTTAATAATGACGAAGCTGAGAGCCATACCTAGAGTTGAACCTTCTCGGGGCTGTCTAGTCTAGCAAATGCTGCTTTTCTTCAATCTTTCCTAGTCCACTAATTTCCCTTATGGGCCTATTATGCTAGTATAGGTAAATAAATTTGTGATTAATACAAATCTGGTATCTTCAAGTAGGCTCGAAGTTTCATTGTTTCCCAACAGTTGCTTCAAATAAATAAAGTGAAGGTAACATTTACAAAAGAAAGGAAATATTTCCTGCTCTTCTAGAAAGGCTTGGCTCACAGCAACTAAATAACAAAATAAAATTTATGTGATTCACTTTGCAGCTCTGGGAACCTGTAATCATCCTCCATCTTCTTGGGAATATGGTTTTTGACAGCTTTGTTTTTTAGTTAATGTTTTTCACTATTGAAAGTCTTATGTACATTTTCCTCTACTTTAATCTGTTTTCGCATAGAGAATGTAATACCCCTGCAAATATTTGCATGTCTGTGTATCTCTCTTGGTTGGCTGTTTACATTAAGGCTCTCATGTAAGTTAGATGAGTTCACCTCAGTAGCCATAACTTTATCGTTAACATAGCCTCCATGGCATAGTTCAAAATCCTTCAAATAGAAATTCTGTATAATTGCTGTTAGTCTAAGTCCACACCAACTGAATGAACATTGTTAATGCATTTCAGAAAGAATAAAAAAGTTCATTTAGAGTGGCTGCCTTAATAGTTAGATTGGTCTGGTCTTCTTTAACAAAAACTTTTTGAACCACTCTCCCTTTCCCCAAAGGAAGATTTCTGTCGGATGCTTGACTATTCTCCTTGATGCACTTAATTATAAATCACAAGTGGCTGTCTCCGCCTTTTTTTTTTTTTTTGAGACAGAGTCTCGCTCTTTTGCCCAGGCCGGACTGCAGTGGCGCAATCTCGGCTCACTGCAAGCTCCACCTCCCGGGTTCACGCCATTCTCCTGCCTCAGTCTCCCGAGTAGGTGGGACTACAGGCGCCCGCCACCGCACCCGGCTAATTTTTTGTATTTTTAGTAGAGACAGGATATCCCCATATTAGCCAGGATGGTCTCGATCTCCTGACTTTGTGATCCTTCCGCCTTGGCCTCCCAAAGTGTCTCTGCCTTCTTAACCATAACTGTTCTTCTTTTGAGCTCTGAGATGTTCACCTTGAAAGCTAGAAAGCTAGTTTTAATCTGCTGTGAAGGAAAAATATAAAAAAAAATATAAAATATAAATATATAAAAATAAAGGTGGCCAGGAGATGGACATTGCACTGTTATTTCTAAACTCATTTGCTTCAAAAGCAGAGTAGTAACAACACATAATATGGTGCTCTCAAAGCCTAAAATATATAGTATTTGACCCTTTGCAGATAAAAGCTTGCTGACTTTTGGAATAAATTATGCTATTCTGTGTGGTTGTGCTCAGATCTATGAAACTCCAAATATATTGGTACAGAAATTCAGTATTGCAGCTCTTAATTCCACAACCAGTATTCTGATGCAATTACTGTTTGCAATAATTTACACCCTTAACATTTATTTGTTATTCCTTTGTGGCTTTGTCTGCAGAGTACTCAACAAATATTACCTTGATTTGAAGAACATGCTGCTTCTTGGATTTACTTTTATCTACAGAACAAACTGGACAATGATTTCCATGTCATAAAGCTTTCAATGATTTGGCTCCAAACTTTCTTTTCAATATCATCATCTATAGCTTCTTTCATCTACATACCCTCTGATTCCATAACAGTGAACATGGCATAAACTTTCAAGAAAATCTTGTGCCTTTGTCTACATAATCTCTTAACATGGAATTTCCGTTTTTTTCTGATTATTTTTCATCTTTCAAGACTAAGCTGAAATGCTCTACATCTTGAATGTTTTACATTTTCTTCAGTGTGAGCTATTTACTACTACTTTCACATTTTTGCAACTCTAATATGTCAACAAAATTCATTCTAGTATTTTGCAGTAATATTGTAGATGCTTAAAATAAATGATGAATGAATTCATAACAGTCAAAGATTTTCTAAAAGATATGGAAATAATTATTCATATAAGTGTCATATCCTTTGACTTAAAATTTTAATAAAGGATTAAAATTTATTTTTCTCAACACTGAATTTCAGTAATATGTATTATCTCCTTTTTTTCAGCTTTTATTTTGGATACAGAGGGTACACGTGCGGGTTTGTTACATGGGCATATTGTGTAACACAGGCTTGGAGTACAGATGATCCTGTCACCAAGGTAGTGAGCATAGGCGGTTTTTCGGCCAACACCCCCTCCTCCCTCTATCCTATAAGGGTCCCATATTTACATCAGTGTGTACCCAATATTTATTTCCCACTTATAAACGAGGACGTGGTATTTAGTTTTCTGTTCCTGTGTTAATTCACTTAGGACAATGGCCTCCTGCTGCATTCATGTTGCTGCAAAGGACATGATTTTCTTCTTTTATGGCTGTTTAGTATCCCATGATGCGTATATGTACCACATACTTTATCCAATACACCATAAATGGATATTAGGTTGATTCCATGTCTTTGCTCTGGTGAATATCACTGCAATGAACATATGAGTTCATGTGACTTTTTGGTAGAATGATTTATTTTCCTTTGGGTATATACCCACTAATTGGATTGCTGGGTCTAATGGTAATTCTGTTTTATTTAGAGGTCTTTGAAAAATCTCCAAACTACTTTCCATGGTTGCTGAACTAATTTACATTCCCACTAACAGTGTATAAACATTCCCTTTTTTTTCAAAGCCTTGCTAGCATATGTTATTTATTTTATTTTATTTATTTTATTTTTTGACTTTTTAATGATCTACATTCTGACTGCTATGAGTTGGCATCTCATCATGGTTTTGATTTGCATTTCTCTGACGATTAGTGATGATTAACATTTTTTCATTTGCTTGTTGGTCCCTTAAATACCTTCTTTTGAGAAGTATCTTTTTATGCCCTTTGCTCATTTTTTACTTGGATTATTTGTTTTCTTCTTTTTGATTTGTGTAAGTTCCTCATAGATTCTGAATGTTAGCTATGAAGTTATCATCATCCTGATACCAAAATCTGGCAGAGACAAAAAAAAAAAAAAGAAAGAAAAGAAAACTACAGGCCAATAGATAAACCTAGACACAAAACCCTCAAAAAAATAATAACAAGTTGAATCCAGTAGCACATCAAAAAGTAAGTTCACCACAATCAAGTAAGCTTATTCCTGGGATGCAAGGTTGGTTCAATATATGCAAATCAGTACATGTGATTCACCACATAAACAGAATCAAAACCAAAATCTGTATGATCATCTCAACAGACACAGATTAAGCTTTTGGTAAAACCCAGCTTACTTTCATGATCAAAATCCTCAACAGACTAGGCAGCAAAGGAACAGACCTAAAAATATTAAGGGGCAACCAGGACAAATGCACAGCAAATATCATATTGATCAGGCAAACGCTAGAAGCATTCTCCCTGAGAACTGGCACAAGACAAGGACACCCATTTTCACTGCTCCTATTCAACATAGTCCTAGCCAGAGCAATCAGGTAAGAGAAAAATAAAAGGCTTGGGAGGCCAAGGCAGGCGGATCACGAGGTCAGGAGATCAAGACCATCCTGGCTAACACAGTGAAACACGGTCTCTACCAAAACTACCAAAACTTAGCTAAGCATGGTGGTGGGCGCCTGTAGTCCCAGCTACTTGGGAGGCTGAGGCAGGAGAATGGCTTGAACCCGGGAGGCAGAGCTTGCAGTGAGTGGAGACCACACCACTGCACTTCAGCCTGGGCGACAAAGCGAGACTCCATCTCAAAAAAAAAAAAAGAAAAAAAAGAAAAAGGCATCCTCAACAAACTAACAGGAACAGAAAACCAAACACCACATGTTATCACTCATAAGTGGGAGTTGAACAATGAGAACACATGGACACAGGCAGGGGAACAACACTCACCTGGGCCAGTTGGGGGTAGGGGACAAGGCAAAGGAGAGCATTAGGACAATTAGCTAATGCATGATGGGCTTAAAACTTAGATGACAGGTTAATAGGTGCAGTAAACCACCATGACACACGTATACCTGTGTAACAAACCTGTGCGTTCTGTATTTGTATCCCAGAACATAAAGTAAAATGAATAAATATAATTTTTATGAAAAAATAAGAAATTAACCTATCTATCTTTGCTGATTATATGATTATTTGCCTAGGAAACCTTAACGACTCCACCAAAAGGCTTGTATACCCAGGAAACAACTTCAGTAAACTTTCATGATACAAAATCACTGTACAAAAATCAGTAGCATTTCTACACACCAATAATGACTTAACTGAAAGCCAAATCAAGAGCACAATGGCATTTACAATAGCCACATCAAAAAAAAATGAACTATCTGGGAATACATCTAACCAAGGAGGTGGAAGATCTCTAAAAAGAACTACAAAACACTGCTGAAAGAAATAAGAAATATCAAAAATAAATGGAAAAAATATTCCATGCTCATGGATTGGAAGAATCTGTATCATTAAAATGGCCATACCATTCAAAGCAATCTACAGATTCAATGCCATTCCTATCAAAATACCAAAATTATTTTTCACAGAAGTAGAAAAATTTTTTTTTACAATTTGTACAGAACCAGAAAAGAACTAATGCAATCCTAAGAAAAAAAAAAAGGAAACCAAAGCTGAAGGCATCATGTTATCTGAATTCAAACTATACTATAAGACTACAGTAACAAAAACAGCATGGTACTGATACAAAAACAGACACATACACCAGTGGAAAATAATAGAGAATCCAGAAATGGAGGTACATACCTGAAACCATGTGTTCTTCAACAAAATTGACAAAAGTAAGCACTGGGAAAAGGACTCCCTATCCAATAAATGGTGCTGGGACAACTAGATAGCCATATAAAAATACAGCTGAACCCCTATCTTTCACCATGTACAAAAATTAACTCAAGATGGACTAAAGATTTAAATGTAAGACCTCTAATTATAAAAATCCCAGAAGAAAACTTAGGAAATACTCTTCTTGACATCGACTTTGGCAAAGAATTTATGTTTATGTCCTGAAAAGCAATTGCAACAAAAACAAAAATTGACAAGTGAGATATAATTAAACTAAAGAGCTCCCACACAGCAAAAGACATTTCAACACAGTAAACAAAGAGAGCCTACAAAATGGGAGAAAATATTCACAAACTATGCATTCAACGAAGGTCTATTATTTCTCTTCTAATGGGAACGCTTCATGATCACTGTGATCAGGTCTTATTTTTGTGTATGTCACAAGCCTTATTACAATATTGAATATACAGTAGTTCTTTAAAATCATGATGAATAAATGAATAATCATCATGATAACTTAGTATACATGTATCGTGCCCTCTTTTGTTTGTGATGAAGTTGATGATGTATACTCATGACTATGGGCCTTTATCCTAATGCATCAACCTTCATTTCCTCTCTATTTACTTAGACCAATTACCAGTTTCACTGTAAAACCCCAGGTGCTATAATTATTATTATTTTTTGCCTGTACTGTAGCATACCTAGCACAGAGATAGAGTTGACTTTTTTATGACTACCCAACAAGTATTCCTTAAGTTGAAGAAGGCAGTAAAATTGCATGCAGTGAATAGATCTCAAATATTTGGTACTTGTAATAGTAGAGGCTTTAAAAAGTTTGGTATTTTTATTCTTTTATTACTTCCCAGTCCCAATCTCTGATGCAGCTGGGATAAATTTTCCAATAGCCTAAAGCAGCCCACCTCTTCTTTCTCACCCCACCATACATATATGCACACACACAGGCTGAGTCACATGTTTGGTGAAAATATTTAGGTCAAAATAATATCTTCATCTGACTACTACACAAAGCTATTAGTCATTAAAAGTCGGGTACGTACATGAAGTTAATGTTATAATTTTACAAATTAGAAAACAAATTTTTCTGTAGGGATGTAGACCAAGAGCAATCCACTCAAATACTTGTATCTCTATATTCTGAGAGCTGTCCTGAAAAGAGAAGGCTCACTAAAATTATGTGTGTGTATGCCTATAAAAGAAATATACATACATACACTCACATACACACAAATATAATGCATGCATATGTTAATGTTTATATATGCATGTATATACATTTTAAATTAAATTCCATTAATTTGCACAGGTCTGATAATATTAGGATTCAATGGTAGTAGATGGTAGAGTATATATGCTTAGCCATGCTTCTACAGTTGTGTCAGACACTGTTTTAATACCAGTTAGTAACTCACTGTTCACCATAAAATGAAAAAGAAACTGAAGAGATTGATGCAAGCATAGAGTTCCTCCCCCATAAGTGATAAGGTAGGAATTGTCTCAAGAAACAAATCAACATTTTATCAAAAATACATACAGCCAAACAGCTATAATTCTCTACTGTGTTTTTCTTCCATAAAAGTCTGTCATGGGAATGTGATGCACCTATATTACAAATCAATCCAAGGCCATTTCAAGGTTATACTCACTCTCTGGGGCATTGAGCTAATGAATTTGAGTGACTTTATTCATTATATAAAATTTATTACATACTCATTTAGTATTGCACATACGTTTCTCTTAAAGATAATACAAAACACAATAAATAACATATAAGATATTCATGATAAAGACAAAACTCAATTAGTGTTAATCATAGTTCTTTCACAGAAAGTAGAAATCTACCACAGTAACACATATAGAAAAGGTACTAAATAATATCCATTTGATAAATAAGTAGCATACCCTATGCAATGTATAAAAGACTGAATAAACAAATAGAAGAAGAAATGCAGAAGGAGGATAAATTAATTATGTTTTTAGAATTATGTTTTTAGAAGGCAGTGCAAAAGAAACTTCCTAAAAGAGCTGGCTCTTGATTTGAGCCTTAAAAGATGCCTTAAAGTTCTTGATGATGAATATGGTTTTGGAAAGGTAGAAAAATATTCCATTACTTGAGGTATGAAAGTAACCCATGTATGGAATTATAAATGTGACTACCTCTCTAATAGAACATTTGAAGGGTAGTATGAATTGTGGTTAAAGGGTTGACCTGTTAAAATCCTGCCATATTTATATACTTAATACTTAGTGAATTTGAATAAGTTAGCTAACTCCTGACTTTGGGCTTCCATTTCCTCATTTGTAAAATTTAGATAATCATTTTGAGGATTACATAAGCTGATACAGGAAAATAATGCATAGAATATAGCTCAGTGCTAGTGCTCAATTATATGGAAGCTATTATTAACAAATTTTCTTGCCATGAATTGTCTACATAGCACAATCACATACTGAAAATCTTTAGAATGGGTGCTATCATTCAGGTACTGTTAAAATGGCTCTGTTGTTTTAGTATGTTTTTCTAAAAGGAAAACATGGTGTCTCAAAATTTATCCTTGAGAAAAAGAATAAATGCTAATGTAATACCTATTATTGTGCCAGCTGTGTAAGTGTTGTACTGTCTCATGTGTTGTACTCATTTTAGGTAACTTTCTCATTACCCTTTGAATAACCAAGAAAAGGTATACTTTTTCCATATTCTCTGCTGATTAAAACATGCTAACAACTCCTGTTTTCCCAAAGTAAGAATTTTAAATTCCTAAATTATATCCACGTTCTTGTCCAAGCTTACCTCTCTAGTTTCACCTGTAATTGCTTCTCTAACACACTATGATCTAACAATAGCCACCTAATAACTATGTTTTCTCTTTTAGCCTGAGCTACTCATTCCACCTGAAAAACCCCACTCACCCTGCCTACCTGAAAAATTCATTATCTTTTGCAACAGTGCCAAAGTATTGCCATTTTTCAAAGCCTTCTCTCCCCCTATTTCTACCCTATTTTCAGAGTGGAGTTTACATGTCTCTGCATGTTTATATAGTTTTATTATGGCATGTCAGTTGTCATTTTAAATTTTGGTTGTCTGTTCTGTCTCCCCCACACTGACCTGAACTACTGTGCTCAGTCAAGTCCAGGTAAACTTAAGTGTCTAATAAATAGTGGTTCATCAACTGGGCCAGGGTCTTAAAAAAAAAAAAAAAAAAAAAAAGAAGAAAAATACCACTAGCTATATTTTATTTTTCTTTAGATAAAATATGTGTGCTATGCCCATCTTTTAAATATGGCTAAAATATATTTTAGAATTAATACATAGGTAAAGTTAACTGAGTTGCCTGGGATGCCTTCAAGACAGGGGTTGCTCTTCAATTAGCCCTTCAATATAGTTAAATGAAGTGACTTTAGATCCAATGAGGAGTTAGAAACTGAAAATTGCAAATGGTGTATGGATGCATAACCAGGACCAGATAGTTCAAGAGATGACAGCAGTGATCTTCAGAAGTGATCTTCAGAAGTAGGTTTTATACCAGTGGGAGCATCATAGCTTTTCTTTCACCACTGCATAAAAGGCTAACTCCTGCCAGAAGAGTGCAGCTCTTGGCCGGGCGCAGTAGCTCACGCCTGTAATCCCAGAATTTTGGGAGGCTGAGGTGGGTGGATCATGATGTCAGGAGTTCGAGACCAGCCTGGCCAACATAGTGAAACCCCATCTCTACTAAAAATTCAAAAAATTAGCTGGGTGTAGTGACAGGTGCCTGTAATCCCAGCTACTCAGGAGGCTGAGGCAGGAAAATGGCTTGAACCCAGGAGGCGGAGGTTGCAGTGAGCTGAGATCACGCCATTGCACTCCAGCCTGGGCGATAGAACAAGACCCCGTCTCAAAAAAATAAAAAAAAAAAAAACAGTAGAGCTCTCTTGGCCACATACGTCTCTCAAAGAGAACTTAACAGTGGATCAGAAAATAGTGTATCACTAATCTCATAAAGTTCTTCCTGTCAGTTCAACTTTCCCAACACCAGTCCCTAAAAACTATGACTTTGTAATGATTTAAAAAGTAAGTCCATATCAGAGACTCTCCTTTTATATATTATATACTGGTTTGTGAAAGGCTTGTGAAAATAGAGAAAAGTTTGCAAATGAGAAAGGTAATTTAGAGTAGTATTTTTTTCCCACAGTGTATGGGAAAAACAACAGTGATTGCCCATGTTGATTACCTTCAAATATTCTCAATAAGCAAAAATGTGTAATAGCTCCTTTTTATACATTTATGTCTAATGAATATGTCTAGGAGGTTTTAGCAATTTTTAAATAATTGTGGATATATGTGACTTGAAAAATGAAAAGATAAATGTTTTCTGGTAGAAAAACATTATCATTTACAAAGCCTCAAAGATACGTCACACCGTTGTCAGAATCCTAAGATTAAAATTTTGTCTCTAAATTAACTTCAGTTCAATAGGGTGCTATGTGGTCTACAAGAGCTTATCACTGGAAAGTAAGATGGCAAATCTGTCTATCAATGTTGATGATTGATTGAAAAACACTCTGACTGATTCCACAATTGAACTCTGCACAATTCACTAAAAAAAAAAGTTTTTTCAACTTTCGACAACCTAATGAATACTTCAAATAAGGCAGAAAATAAACCCGTTTAAATTTCAAAGGTCATTATTAGTAGTTTCTGTTGAATGTGTAATTGACATATATGCATTTTGTTGCACTTTTCACCTTAATTGTTAACCATGACTGACAATATGACTATGACACTTTTTGAAAACCTTAAGTCAACAATATCTAACCCTGTATTAAAAGAAAAATAAGGACACTTTTGTCCAAAGTCAATGAAAAATCAGGACACTTTTGTTGAAGGTAAATGAAGTGGTGAAGGAGAAATCATTATTCACTCAGTTAATAATTATTCACATATGTTTAAGTTACGTTAATAAACAAATATGCCTAGTATATGAAATTATTTTTACTGAAAATCTTTCCAAAGTACTTATCATATTTTCCATCATATGAACAAGGGGAAGTTTTTGCTGCAATTAACTTAAGTATGAAAAATAATACATTGAACCAAATTTGTGAAAAGACTTCTCAGAGCATTAATATTTCAATGATTATTCTGAGTCTTCCAGAAAGAGCTATATCATGCAGGAAGTTGACTTGTATATTTTGTACATCTAATTCTCCTTAACTAACATTCTGAAAAGGATGAGATAAGGAATATACATTTGGAAATTTCAAACTGCCTGAGCCTGCTCTATTTGCTTTTTCTGATAGAAAGAGCCATCCATTGTAGGAAAACATGCCTAGTTTAAAATACAAGTACCCACATGCACACACTGTACATTTTTTAAAAATTATTTTTAACAATTTAATTCAACCAGGTATTTAATTTTAACTCTTAGGAACTGTGCTAACCCTTACTGGGAAATTTTTAAAAATTAAGATGTGGTTTTGTCTATCAAGGAATGCCCTATTAATTTAAGGAGTAAGTTGCATAGATAAATACTTGTTTCTGTATACAATATTAACATAATAAAAACACTTAAGCCTAAGATCACATAGTGAGTGTCCTCCTGTACCCAAAGGGACTAAATCATGTTCATAATTATAATTGTTATCATTTATAGAAGGTCAAGTTTCTATAGAAATATCTCTTCCAGTCATGATCTTGCAACATATAATAAACATTTCATTATTTAGATTTCATATGAGATATATTAATTAGACTATATATTTTAAACAAACTTTAAAATATGTAGCTTTGGCCAGGCACAGTGGCTCACGCCTGTAATCCCAGCACTTTGAGAGACCGAGGCGGGCGGATCACAAGGTCAGGAGATGGAGACCATCCGGGCTAACGTGGTAAAACCCCGTCTCTACTAAAAATACAAAAATTAGCTGGACGTGGTGGCAGGCGCCTGTAGTCCCAGCTACTTGGGAGGCTGAGGCAGGAGAATGGCGAGAACCCAGGAGGCGGAGCTTGCAATGAACCGAGATTGCGCTGCTGCCCTCCAGCCTGGGCAACAGAGCGAAATTCCGTCTCAAAAAATAAATAAATAAATAAATAAATTTAAAAATAAAATAAAATATGTAGCTTTGAGAATTATTGCAGCATGTGTAGAATTACAGAATTCCTTATACTGAAATGGGATTTGAATTTGTAACTTTGGAAAAATTATCTCTTCACCCACAAGTTGGGATGGTTAATAGCATTTTCCTCATAATAGTGCTGAGGAGATCAGTTACAATTGCGGGTATATAAAAGCTGCTCAACAACTACTAGTAGTTATCTCATTGACTTAACAGAATAATAATGAACTTATTTTACCTATATTATATATTGGTAATAATACAATTTATTTATATTGTGATTATTTTATGCCATGCAATATTGCTTTTTCCTCAAATATTAATATAAATTATTATAAATATCTGAAAATAATATTAATATGTACCATCATTATAATATTATAATATAAAAACCTATTATATTAGGGCAAGGGGAACTTCCAACTTTCTAATGTTATAGGCATTTGCAAATAAATTTATCAAAGTGCTTTATTTTGTTAAACAGAGTTCTGTTTATGAGATACCTACAAAACATATGGCTATTATTAATACAGTTATCATTCAGACTTTATTTATGAAAAGTAATTACAAACTTTGGAGCATTATTTTACACAAGGTTGATTCATCTCGGCCATTATCAAGCCTAACCTTAGGGCACATTGCCATTTCTAATGATTGATTTTTTTTTTTTTTTTAAGTTACGTAGGACACTTGCAGTGTAAGTTATCCCTAAATGTAAAAAGGTGGGCCTGGACCTCCAATTACAATTACTGATAATCGATTTTTGCTGCATTTTCATACCATAATGCACTCCTTGAATGCATCCAAGATTCCATGAAGTGCCTGGAAAGGTCCTATTAATCATTTTCATGTGTTGTTTTCCTATTTATTAAAGTGCTAAACAGGCACTTTAATCTCTTCAAAAAATCCATTTACTTATGTTATCAGAAAAATAATGAATTAGACATGACCATAGGCAAATTTTATTTTTTAATCACTGTGCCATATCAATTTGAGTATTTCATCAAGAAAAAATGTAATTATATTAATGTAGAAGATTTTACAATGTTATGTGTAGCTTATTTCTATACTGCCTTTTTGATACTTCTTAGGAAAGTCTTCTGTCACAGCTTCATTAATATTGTCAGCACCCCAGGGCAATAAAAATACTGAGACAATTTATGGAAATGCAATTAAGCTACTGATTTAATAATCCAGTACTCAGGGGCTCGTTCTCTCTCCCTCGTTTTTTTTTTTTAATTTAATTCTCTTGTTCCTGGGACAACTCAGTAAAGATATGGCTATATCCAAGCAGACTTTTTTTGTTTGTTTTAAATCATTTTAACCAATGATTTTCCCGTTAGGAATTGAGTTACAACTTCGAACTTGTTCAAATATCCTTTAATACTACATTTTCAATTAAGTTTTAAAATTAAAAACAATTGTCGTGATAAAGTCTTTATTACAATGTTTGATGTCTATAAATAGTAGTCATTATCGATATGCCTACAAGGAAACAGAAGCAACAAGAAACTTGTCTCATTTTTAGAACTATCTATTGCAATGACCTTAAGTTTTGTCTATTTATGTATCCAGTTATTAATCACTATATATTGACATTTCACTAATGAGAATAGATTTTTTTCAGATAACATAAGTAAATGCATTTTTTGGAGACTTTTGAAAGTATGTGAATAATATCCTGAAGAAAATAGAAGTACCCTAAAACCCCATTTCAACAGTAAAAAACAGTAATTTCCATGGCTGTTTGTTTTTCATGTATCTTCTTATGCATACACACACACAGAGCTTTATTCCAGTGAAGTCAGATCATACATTGTTTTTCTCACCTCATTCTCATTCATACATCCATCAAACAACCTTAAAAACCCAGTTTTTATTCCTTCAGTTTATCCATAGCATTCTTCCTACTCTTAATCATATAAAAACATGTCTGGACACACAAATACATAATTGGAGAACTGTTATTGCTTACTTTAGGAGAAATTGAGTAATATCACATAGTCTTTCTAAATCTTGTAATATATAACTGCCCTCAAGTCAATTTATACTTCGTGGTTGCCTGACAGTTAATGCTGTAGTATATCAACAGGTGATTCAACCATTCTTGTACTGATGAACTTTCATTTTCCTTTTCTTTTCCTTTCTCCCCAAATCATACTGAAATAATCATGTTCTACAAAATATCCTTATACTGTTGTATTCTTGTATCTATGGGGATAATTTGTACAGATGAGATTAAAGAGTAAAAAGCACATATTTTTAATTTTAGTAGATAGCGCCAGATCACCTTCGAAATGCTGTAATTGTTCTTTTCACCAAATGTAAAAGTATACCCTATCCTCATCATTCCTGGCCAGCAGTAGGGGTAATCTTTTTTACCTAACTTTTGCCAACTTAAAAGTAGTGTCAATAGTTGTTTTTATTTGCATTTATCTGGCTATTAGAAATGTTAAGCTTTTGGCTGGGCATGGTGGCTCACGCCTGTAATCCCAGCACTTTGGGAGGCCCAAGCAGGCAGATCATGAGGTCAGGAGATCGAGACCCTCCTGGCTAACAGGGTGAAACCCCGACTCTACTAAAAATACAAAGAAATAGCCAGGCATGGTGGCCGGCACCTGTAGTCCCAGCTGCTTAGGAGGCTGAAGTGAGAGGATCACTTGAGCCTGGGAGATGGAGGCTGCAGTGAGCTGACATTGCACCACTGCAATCCAGCCTGGACAACAGAGCAAGACCCTGTCCCCTCAATCCCCCAAAAAGATTGCTACACTCTATTGAATGCCATTTGTCATGGGTAATTGTGTAGCATATACATTTTGCAAGTTCATTACCTGGTAATTGTGTCATATACACATTTTGCAAGTTCATCTCCGAGCAAAAACCATTTCCCCTTCTCTGTAAAATAACTCCATAGCAGTGGTTTCCCAGTAGCTATAATGTACTCTATGACCCTTCTCACAAGCTGTTGCTAATTATATCATAAATATATGTTAATTAATTTCAGTATCTTCTATAAAAGAAGTTAAGTGAAAGCTGATATTAGGATTGCTTGTCACACTTGCAATAAAATAACAATATACACATGACATAAAAATTCCAGATTAAAATAAAATAAATGCACCAGGTCAACGAAACACTGGTGCTTCATCAAGTAGCATATGACCCTTCAGAATCTTACTAAAAAGAACAAGAAAATTTGAAGTTACAAAAACAAAGAGACACATACTTCAGACAGATAGGCTTGAGTTAGTACTGCCGAAGAGAAAGGGATTATACTTGGCTGTATGTTGAATTCACATTTATATAACCCAACCTAGGTGGTATAATATCAAGAAGATAAAAAGAGTAAGAAATATAGCCATACTCTGAATTGACTAATGAAACCTTTATAATCACGACCAAGTCAATCTTCAGTAGCAAAGATTATATGGAATCTAACTCTAAATTCGGAGTTAAAAACAAGTCCACTTGAACTAATGCTTAAAACATAACATGGCGAATACTTATTGACAGTAGTTTCTCTTTTCATTTTTGGATTGAGAAGAATGGACAAAAAGACCTCTGGAAACATAACTTTCTTTTCTTTTCTTTTCTTTTTTTTTTTTTTGAGACAGAGTCTCACTTTGTTGCCCAGGCTGGAATGCAGTGGCGCGATCTCAGCTCACTGCAAGCTCCGCCTCCCGGGTCCATGCCATTCTCCTGCCTCAGCCTCCCGAGTAGCTGGGACTACAGGCACCCGCCACTACGCCCAGCTAAGACTTTTTTTTTGTATTTTTATTAGAGACGGGGTTTCACCCTGTTAGCCAGGAAGGTCTCGATCTCCTGACCTCGTGATCCGCCCACTTCGGCCTCCCATAGTGCTGGGATTACAGGTGTGAGCCACGGCGCCCGGCCTGGAAACATAACTTTATTTTCTAGTGTTGTATTTGTATATATACTTTAATAGCCCCGAGTTTTAATAAAGTTGCTTTTAAAATATATATCTTATTTTTCAGAAATATACCCTAAGACATGTGATTAGTTGGGTGGCGTGTTCTTTAGTTTTTACAATTGAAGGATTGTCATTCCTTTATACAAAAAAAAAAAAAAAAGGTGAAGTTTTATCATATACTAGAGGAAAGAAGGCGGATAATAAATAATAAATACTGTATGCCTCCATGTAGATAAAATTTGAAATTATATAAAGACAGAATGCCTTAAACTTTTCTGGGGTTGAAGTGGGGAATTTCATTGACAAAGGTCATGCAATAAATGTGTAGGTGAAGGGAATATTCTATATTTGATTGTATAGGTGATTATCTAGCTTTATAAATTTGTAAAACTGAACTGGACTAAAATGTGTGCCCTATATGCAAATTATAATTCTATAAAATTGATTAAAGCTAGTTAGGAGAAAATCAGTCAAGGGGAAAAGAAAGAAAAAGCATGTGAAAAAATAATGCCAAAGCACTAGAATTATCTTTGATGACATTAAATATGGCCTGGGCTTCTCTTAGTTCATTCTTTTTAAAATTAATGTAGATTTCTCAATCCTTTGATACTTTTTCCTCAACACATTTTATATTCTCATATATGTTAATGTATGGCTACATAAGAGAGGACTCTCTTACAGTTGGACTGGAACAGCTTGATATTTATATCTAGAGATGCATTGGAAGCATAACACTGACCCGTGAGCAAGATGAAAATGGCATGTGCTAGTTAGTGATTCATAATATGTTGCTTTAAGTTTAGTGCCAACTGGTCTATATCATTGAGAATGTTTAGTTTGATGGTTTACACAACTTAGCTTGAGATGTATATGACCAACAATGTATGAGAGAGACTGCTATAAAGACTTTTCTGCACTTCCCTTAAATTATTATAGTAAGCTCAAATCCTGAAGGTTCGTAATATACAGATAAAATGTGTCTGTGAGACTGAGAAAGGACCTTTAGGGAGAAAGGCTCTGTTCCTGAAAGACAGACTTTCAATGATTTCCTGCATTTTATTTCTGTTGTACTTTACCTTTACCTTTATTAAACACTAATAAGATTCTTCTTATAGGGCCTCATAGGCCTTTTTAGTTTTCCAACCTATTCATACTTGGTGCAAATCTAGTAATTTTTTGCATGATAGTATTGGGATTTTACTCTGAGGCTAGGCTTCAAACTGTAAAAACAGCTTTTTGGAATTGTATCATTTTCAGTCTTTCCATCATGTTCCACTGTCCCAGCCACACACACACCAGATATCAAGACTAAAAGCAATCTCAAAAATTAACACATCTATAGTAGATGTTTTTACCTCTTGTAAAATCTAAGGAAAATATACTAAAAATGAAAGCATGAGTAAAATAGTATCATTTTAGGTTGACCTCAAGTATTTCAATATCAGTCTAGCTTCAGAACAATACATTTGCAAGGGGAAATGGGGTACTTTTGTGGTTTTTTACACCTGTTATTTCAATTGAAATTGAAAAAAATGAACTAATTTGAACTAACCATAAAAAGAAGGTTTTATCAGTATTGAAATAAAATAACAGAAAATGCATTTGTGGGTCTGACCTCAGGACGGATTTTAAATAGTCAATACTACCTCTAACTCTCATTCCCCCTTCTCTGAGCATCAGCTTTATTCTTATTCCATCTTACTTAATTTGGCACTGACAGATACAGACTGATTCTTACAACATATACCATCAGAAGTGAAACCTTTGCACTCTCCAACTCTTGAAAAATCTAGATGCACTTTGACTATTCTCAGATCATGGATCTGTTACTTGGATCAAAAAGTACTGCACAGGGAAGTAGATACTGTAATCTCTGACATTACAGTTTCAAGGTTGAAGTGAGAAAGGGATATAGCTCCCTAATAAGGGAGTATCATAGAAATGATATTTTATTTTCATGGTCATACTTTTGTGAACTAGGCAGACATCCATTCATGTCAACTACATCTCTACTCTACTTTAAACAGATAAATACCCATGCATATACAAAATTATACAGTAATGTAAGCATGACTTTTCATTAAAATTTTAACCAAAACAGTCTATTTAGGTGAATAAATACTGATACAGGAGATAGTTCTGCTTGAATGATCTTTACCCTTGGGGAGACATAAATAAAATAATGTCATACTTTATTATGAAATGACTCTCCAGCATATTTATGAGTAAACTTTCATAATAAATTTCTTTATTGTCTAAAGTAAGCACAAAAACCCTTTTAGTTAATTAATATCCCTTTTTAATATACAGAATAAATATAAGAAAATACCACAAATGGTATTATGCCAGCACACAGAAATAGTTCCAGTTAAAAGTCAATCCTGTATTTTGAGAACTTGAGAAAATCATAATTGAAAATAGTATATTATCTTACATGCAGATGTTGTGTAATCAGGGACATCCAAATCAACTTACATCCAAATATTTCACAATTAGTCTTTGACATATTCTATGAAGTATTGTAAAACCATGCCCTCAGGAATATAAAAGCACAAAGGGAGCCAGGACTCCAAATAGTCATTTATTCATTTCCTAAGGTTAGGTACAATGAGGACTGAATTTTCAACATTATCAGGCCCATACAGACATTGGAGCTTAAGGATAAGATCCAATTTCCCAGCAATCTGTTAAACTATAAGTCAGTCTAATGACCCAAATGTTCACCATAATAATTACCATCTTGAGTGATGATGCTATGAATACAAAGGAACACTGCATCTCTAAAATAAACTACGTTTATATGACATGAGACCAATTTGATGAAAAGAAGGCAAACTGTGAATGGTAATTTTGTTTTTTTAATTGTTTTCATTGTGTGTGCTCATATCTGAAAATATAATACCATGTAATTAGAAAAGTTATCATAACAGAAAATAAAATAAGACTGGAAGCCTTAACTTTTTATATCAAATATTATGCACACAAATATAGCCTTTTACTGATGATCTATGGCTCCAAAATATTGGTAGCTATAATTATGCTTTGTAAAACAGAAGCTATGACTGCCTTACTACAGAAAGACACAAAGAATCATTTCCTTACTCATTCACTGCTAGTAGACCCTGAGGCACAGCATTTCCTGCCCAGATACCTGATTATTAATCCAGTTTTTGTTAGGGGTATACTAACATTAACTAACGGAGATTGGTGTTTAAACCAGTTAATATAAAGAAATGCTGTAGGAACTGAAATATTCCTTTTAAGTTAACAAAAGTGTTCTTTCTAGATAGACAAAGTTATATGAGGACCCAAATGTATACCAGAAAATCATTTGATAAACATGGAATTAATAAAAGAATGTTTTGTTATATGGTTTTAGTACTTTGTTGGTGCCAGGTTAAAGACATGTGGCCCTAGGTAGGATAACTCTACCGAAGATAATTTAATTTCTTTACCTGCTTCACTAGAAATCCAACAATTAAGTCAGTGACTCTATTTTCCAATATTCATTTCCTCCATTTTCTCATCTCTTTTTGATTGATGGTATCATTTCGTTATTTTATTTTTATTGACATGGAATTCATTTTGGCTAAAATGACTTTTTGACTATTTGTGTGTATATATATATGATATATATTATCATATATATCATACATATCATATATAATCATATATATAATCATATATATATGATTTTAAAATCAATGAACAATGTTGTTTCTCTGTTTCCAAGATTATCCCTCTATATTCTCTAAAGTCGATACTGTGAAACAGTCCAGATATGAGTCTAGGAATGGCAGTATGAAATACTGTAAAACTGGAAGCAATTTAACTCGGTAGGTAATCAATAGGGAAAATGAAACTCAATATAATTGACTCTATTTAGTTAATACAATGATGCATTCATTTTCTATTTTTCATAGAAGTATTTTTTCATATTTTAAAATTTCAAAGTTAAGTATACATGTGACTACAGTTCCTCCCAACTTCTTTAAGGTACTTTATCTGGCAGTCACTAGCAGATGTGTTTGTCTAATTATTTCTTATTTTTTTTTTCTGCCTCATAATTTTGTTCACATTTGCTGTGGAGATTTTAGAAATCATCTAGATTGTTTGGTACAGGAAGGAAATCAACCCTGGGCTGCCTAATTACTGACAATCTTCCTGTTTTTCCTTGGATACATTTTCATCCTTACATACATTGATGATTTTGGTTAACCCTTTCCACAAACAACTCAACCATACGTCCCATGATAGCTTGCTGCATATTAAATCAGACTATTTTTTTATTGAAAGTGGATAAAGTAAGCCAAGGTATTCCAGAAGAAAATACATTTGGTTCAATATTTTTAAAAATAAGCTACAGCTTGAAAGTTTCACATGCAGTCGTAACAAGAAAATAATTGGGAGAAATAGTCCAAATACATGAAACACATTAAAAAAATGAATCTATATCAAGTATAATAAATTGTTTACACCTCAGGTTTTTTCTGCTTTGAAATTTGTCTTGATATTTGACCACATTCATTTCTGTTGTATTCACTTCTCAAAATAGAACAGGAAAGATGTGGACAACAAAAATAGGACATGAATTGAGAGAAGACATGAACTTTCAGAAGAGGAGAAGCATGAAATAAGGATAATTAGCATCGAGATATTAAATCTCAACAAAATAAGACAAGGTGGTATAGATAATGATGCAAGCATGCTTGATGTGTAGACTAGCAATTTGGTCAAGCGAGAAATTTTGACATTCGGATTGAATACAAATAATTTAATAAAATTAGACCACAAACTGCATAGTGTGCTCACATAATTGTTTTTATTTTTTCAAATTTTTTCCTTGCTCTGAATTCAGATCTGACAGAGGAACAGATGATACAAATAACAGTTGATCCCCTTACATTATCTAGCTAGACAAAACTATGCATATATACTACTACCAATGGAAGTTTTCTTCTTTTCCTTGTATCACTAATCTTACTTATTTTTAAATTTTATCTATTTCAATTTATACCTTCTATTTTTCTTTTATTACCTAAAAGGTTCTATGTGAAAAACTTTCAGGGAAGCTTGGATTAATGCTGCACCTGTTTAATATGTGACATTTTCCAGTTCCTCCATAATATTCCAGTTAAGTGTGTATGGCCCATTAACCTCCTTCTTTGTGTTTCAGTGCACAGTCTTCTCTCATTAATCATCTGTACAACTAAAAATTCAGTTCTTTTTTAAAACTCACATCAGACTAAAGCTTTAGAGATTTGACAGGCACTGGATACTTTTTTATTTTCAAAAGAATAGTCAAAATGTCTCATAACTATCAAAATGAGGCTTAGTTGGGGAATATGTTTAAGACAGACTTTGACTAAGGGGAAAAAAAAGAGAAATAACAAATCCTTGGGCCAAGTACTCCAGCAACAGGCTTCAAGTATAAATGCAAATCCTTTTAGTTGAATGAGTTACTTATTTTAGTTTAAATAGATAATGTTGATATCAGACATTTTGGTATTTTATATATAATTGGTAGGATTAATAATTGATTTTATAGAAAATTGCCTCATTTATATTTGGGATAGCATGAGATACTGAAATTCACTCTAGAAAACAGAACATACTTTTATTTTACTTGAATATTTACAGTACATCTTTTGGGGCATTTCATTTTTTAAAGTACTTTTTTTATAAGTACATATAAGCATATGATAACAATATCAGCACACTAGCAAACACACTGTTACATTTTGTGAAAAGGCTCATTGGCTTATGGATTCAAACATTTACAAGGTTACTGTATCACTCACTAAGAAAGCATAATTCATTTATCACTGACTAGAATAGTATGCCTTTTTTTGAAAGCCCAGATAGTATATTAACTTAGAGAGGGAATATAAAATTGCTTTGCATTTTATTGGTATAGGAATAATTTTATTTAAATTGCTTAGTGACTTTTTGCTATTTTGATATTGTTTTGGTGGTGGTGGTTGTTAAATTCCTTCATTCTAGCCATATTTCCTCCTCCGAATTTTTTCATTCATTTATTGATAATACATTTATTAATTCATTTATTCATTATCTAATTCATTTATTATGTGAGTAAACATTGAGTTGGACCACCTGATGTAGATATAAAAATGAATTAAAATTTTCTTGCAATCAAGCATAATTGAGGCAGACATAAAAATATTTGACAAATATTATAATTGTTATAGTTGAAGTCACTGTTAAATAACAAAGTAGCACAATTTGAGCTTAAACGCCACTTAGAGAGTAGAGGAAGTCTTCATAGAAGTACAGCATGAACTGGACTTTGAAGGTTGAGAAGGCTCACTTAAGAAGGCTGGGGGGTTGGCAGTCATATACAAAGCCTCAGAAAAGTATAACTACATGGAGTAATTGCAGAAATTGACATAATTAATTTAATATTGCTTTGAAATTGCATAGAAGTGGTTAAATATAAAACTGGATATGTCAGACCAGGGTCAGGTCCATATGTTCAGCTAAAGAGGTTTAACACTGTTTCTTGAGAAATGGGGAGTCATTTCAAAAAAGAGGAATCATATAAATAGATTTCTGTATTACTGAAATTATCCAAGAAACAGTGAAGATGACTGAGTTCATAGTCAAAACTGAAGTCAGAGAGATAACAGAATAATTCAGTAATGTATATATGGGAGGAGGAGAGTCGATATAACACAGGCATTGTGTAAATGATGAGCAAAGAATAAATATAAGAAATCATAATAAATTTCAGAGATTACAAACCTGGAGTCAGTATACATATAGGACAAATAGAAGTGGTGGATAAATGAGAAGAAGTAGTTTTGACAAAGATCAATTTTCTATGAAAGAAGAAGTACAGTGCACATTTTGCCTTAAGGTAGCTGAGGGTCCTTCAGGTAGAAATGTTTAGCGTTCACTAAAGTATACGGCAAAATTCTAGAATAAAGATATAGAATTAACCAGATTCTAAGCTACAGGTATAGAATTAGCGATTTTCAATGCACAGTTAGTGGTCAAACTACCCACTTTACAGTAACTATATTGTGTTTAACTAGAAATGATTTCTTTGAGAAATAGATTTTCAATAAAAGTTATCCTTAGCTAAGAAAAAGTGAAGAAAAGAGTGGGTATCTAGAATCTAAAGAAAAAAGTATTACTCCTCTATGGAATAATTTTTCTTTCTGTCAAGCAACAGTTGAGTAATGGGAGTTATATTGTCCCTCAGGGACCAAAACTGGCTACGTAAAATAATAATAATAATAAGATTATACTATTTTATGTATAAAGTATGGATATAAATATAGTAAATAAATACACAGTATAACTGTGGTATTAAAATTTAATGGAAGGCAATGACTTGGAAAAAGAAATGTTCATGAATGCTCCTAGGAAAAGGTAAATGTATTTTTAAAAATGAAGTTGAGAAACATTAATCTGATAGAGGGATGTGTCTTCCTTTTTTTAGTGAATGTATTTCTGAGTGTCGTATGTAATTTGTGAAATCAGTTCTCATACTAAATGTGACTTAATGGCCACAAAATCACAAAGACTGGTGATCTCCCTCTCTTAACATTCTTACATCAAATTCACAGTCTGACATTCTGACATATTCTGCCCGCTCAGCTGCTGTGGAGTTGAACTCCTCTGTCGAGTCCATATCCCTAAGGGATCATAAGCTTTTATTTCTGAGTAAGCCAGAAACTTAATGCCAAGATAATTAGTGTTAGTTATTGGAAGATCATTAATGGCATCAGCATCAAAAATCACTCCAAGTGGGAGAGCTTCCTTTCTGTTATGGAGTTTTCATTTAATAAGCCATGTTTCCACTTTACATGACCAAAGAAATCGGTTGTATTTTATAATTTTTTTTCAGAATTTATGTATTCAAAATGACTATAGATCTTATATACAGGATATTTTTAATCGTATATTAAAAGTTTTCTTCTTAGCACATATAGTCTTCTGCATAAAGAAGCCAAGAAGAAACTATAATGATAAGACTTCTTCTCTGGTACTATCACATAAATAATGAGTTGTAAACAAGCTTTAAAAAATAATATATACGATATAGAATATATAGGCATGCACTACTTAACTAAGGGGATACATTCTAAAAATTGTGCCATTCGACATGGTGAAACCCTGTCTCTACTAAAAATACAAAAATTAGCTGGGCGTGGTGGCGCACGCCTGTAGTCCCAGCTACTCAGGAGGCTGAGGCAGGGAAATCTCTTGAACCCAGGAGACAGAGGTTGCAGTGAGCCGAGATCGTGCCACTGCACTCCAACCTGGCTACAGAGCAAGACTCCGTCTCAAAAAATAAATAAATAAGGGCCGGGTGTGGTGGCTCACGCCTGTAATCCCAACACTTTGGGAGGCCGAGGCAGGCGGATCAAGAGGTCAGGAGATCGAGACCATCCTGGCTAACATGGTAAAACCCCGTCTCTACTGAAAATACAAAAAAAATTAGCCAGGCGTGGTGGCGGGTGCCTGTAGTCCCAGCTACTGGGGAGGCTGAGGCAGGAGAATGGCGTGAACCCAGGAGGTGGAGCTTGCAGTGAGCCGAGATCGCACCACTACACTCCAGCCTGGGCGACAGAGCGAGACTCCATCTCAAAAATAAATAAATAAATAAATAAATAAATAAATAAATAAATAATAAATAAAATAAATAAATAAATAAATAAATTGCTCCATTAGGTGATTTTGTCATTGTGCAACCATCATTGGGTATACTTATACAAACCTAAATGGTATAGCCTACTAACATACCTAGGCTATATGGCATAGCCTATTCCCCTAGACTACAAACCTGTGCAACATGTTACTGAACTGAATACTGTAGGCAATTTTAGCACAGTGGTATTTGTGTATCTAAACATATTTAAACATAGAAAAGGTACCTAAAACTACACTATTATAATCTTATCAGACCACTGTTGTATATGCAGTCTGTCATTTAGACTGAAAAGTCGTTATGGGGTGCATGCCTCTATTGTTTAAAATAAGCAAGTGGCTTCTCTGCCTAACGTATGCATGATGCAAGCACATGAGATGTGTAATCTAATTCCTCTCATGCAGAAAGTCAGTTTGGATAGATAAGAGCAGCCTAAACCCTAGCTGAGGTTAAGTGCAAATGGGTTTGCACCTTTAATTTCTAAATTCTAGCAAGCAAAATTGTTTAAAGTATGTGAAATTAACAATCTGACTTTGTTATACTTTTTCTGAATTATTTTATTAACAAATGAATTTAAGGATTTTTAAAAAGTGTCAATTGACTGTGACTCAGTAAAATTCCATCCAAGATGAAATGAAAGAAAGTCAGTTTCTTTCTTTCAGTCTTTTCTCATGCTTTCACTAGAGATCTAGACCTGGGGTAGAAAACGTAAGGTTTTCCTTTCTAACATTTTATTTTCTTATATGAAAAAAGTTTTAACTTGGGGTCCATAAATTGCTGCTGCAAGCAAGGGTCTGTTCAGCTGCAAAAATGGTAGAAAAAATGTGAATGTGTATTCTTTTGTTTACTTTTCCCCCTGTAGGAGAGATTTTTCAAAGGAGTTCTTGACTTGAAAGCATTAACATTTGTCTGGTGCTTTTTCGGCTTCACTCTTCCTTTTGTGTTTGGAGGGAGCTAGTATCATTCTTTATTTGGCAGGAGACAGAGAAAAGTCACCTCCATCACATAATTATATGGTTTGCCTTTAGCCAGGCTTATGCTTACTGCAGTGACAGCCAATTTCTCTTGCTTAGCACAGGAAGAGGCAAGCTGACTTGTCTTGGCTTGCTGTCTCTCCAAATCCACTTCTCTCCTCATTGCGCCTGGCCAATACTAAAGTCTCTGACGAGGCCAGGAAATCTCACATAACCTAACAAATGATATATAATTTTTAAGTAAATTTGATATTAATCATAAATGTTTCATGCTGCAGGCATTACAATGAATTTCACTAGACTATTGGTAATGGAAGAGCTGGAATCATATCTATTGTGCCAGTTTGTTTTTTTCTTAAGTGTAAATTAATAGAATTATTTAATGACGTTATTGGAAGTGATTAAGAAAAAAAAACACAAGAAATAAACCATGAGACAAGAACGTTATTCCTTTGCATATTTTAATATGGACTGAAATGCAGTAATAGGTTAAAAAACTGATAATAAATAAAACCAGAAAACGTTTGCAGCAATCTTCTTTGGGGAAGAAGAAAGCATTTACTTTTGCCATAGGGTATAATACATTTACATCATAATAACAGAGTACCTGTGTCTTTTATAACCTAGAGAATTGAACTCTTACATGATGTCACTTTTTAATAATAAATGCAGGAAGTTCACCTTGAGAGCAAATAGTAGCTAGAGCTCAGTAAATTAACTGAAGGAAAAGACAAAAACATATGAATAGACAACAGAATGTTTTCCCTTGAGGAGAAGAGCAATAGAATATTCACAGAAAAGCAATTACTCTGAAACATAGTAAGGTTTGCAGAAAAAAGTGAAAGGAAAGTTAATGAGTTTAATAGATGGCAATAAGAAAAATAGATTATTAAAATGTTAAACTTATCAATAAATACATATCTATATGTAATATCTGTAGATCATCTGCTTCTTGAGTGCATTTATATGCACAACTTATCACTTTTGCTAGATTGTAAACTACATGAGAACAGAATCTGTAATATATTCATTTTAAAATAACTGGCATCTCTTATTAGAATGCCTTTCCTGGAGTTCAGATCTCAGAAACACATTCTGTAACTAGGATCTATCCGAACATCCAGATCCAACACGTATAAATTGTCTGAGAATATTTCCTGATCTAGGTCTAGGTTGTCACTTAGAGGTTCTCTTGAACTTAAAAATCCAGCTCAGAAAAGACTTCCGTATATCTTTCCCCATGTTTCTCTGTGTTCAAACATCTGAGTCCCAAAGGCTAATGATCATTCAAATAGAAACACGAAACAAGAGCCTTAGCAAAAAGTATAATTTCTAAACCATGCTGCAGCAAAGATTCCCTCATAAATGTGATATTAAAGGAAGTAAGTCTAAACCTTTACCTAATCTAAATTTCAATGACATATCATTTCTTCCATCATAAAGGCAAATTCTTTGCTAGTTTGGCTTAATTTCTTAAAGTATTACCACACTTACCCAAAGGTGGCCGTTGGGTCAGGGTTTTTGCATTATAGTCCCTTCTGTGGTCACCAGAAATATGTTATAGGAATAGGGTCCCAATCCAGACCCTACGAGAGGGTTCTTGGATCTCATGCAAGAAAGAATTCAGGGCAAGTCCAAAGTGAAAAGTGAAAGCAGGTTTATTAAGTAAGTAAAGGAATAAAAGAATGGCTAATCTATAGGCAGAGCAGCCCTGAGGTCTGCTGGTTGCCCATTTTTACTGTTACTTCTTGATGATATGCTAAACAAGGGGTGGATTATTCATGCCTCCCCTTTTTAGACCATATAGGGTAACTTCCTGACATTGCAATGGAATTTGTAAACTGTCATGGTGCTGGTGGGAGTGTAGCAGTGAGGACGACCAGAGGTCGCCCTCATCGCCATTTTGGTTTTGGTGGGTTTTGTCTGGCTCCTTTATTGCAACCTGTATTAGCAAGGATTTATGACCTGTACTTTGTGCCAAGCTCTTATGTCATCCTGTGACTTAGACTGCCTTAATTGTCTGGGAATGCAGCCCAGTAGGTTTCAGCCTCATTTTACACAGCTCCTATTCAAGATGGAGTTGTCCTGGTTCATGTGCCTCTGACATTAATGCTGTACCTTCAACTATTATTGCAAGAAATCAAGAGGATGTTAATATTCCCCTCAGCTTGACTAATCTTTAGACAGGATTCTTCTTATTCTAGGCCTCTGACCTCTCTTTTCTTAGAACATTTACATTAGAACACTTATCATTCCATATTATCTCTTCGCCCCTTTGAGATGTAAATCTTGTTAAAAGCATTTTGCCAGTTTAGAATTTAGGAATGTCTTCCTAAAGGATCTGGGAACCATCTCTTTGAAATGTAAGTATTTGAGGAGATATCACCCCACTTTCCAATCTCCTTGGGAGGGCAGACTCCTAACATCAATGGGTACCAATTAGCAAACACAGATGACATAATCTCAAAGAAAAACATTTGAAAACTCAGGAATAACTAAATGTGATCCATACATCCCACAGATCTTGCAAGACGTTTTCTTGCAACATCTTGCAAGACGTTTTCACTGGCTTACCCTAGTATATAAAAACTCTCCCACTTCTTGTTTCATCTGAGTTGAGTTCAGAGTGAGTTCTGGCCTCTATCGCCTACTGCAGTGGCTTTGAATAAAGTATTCCTTGTCTATTTAACTTTATCCAGTGCAATTTTTGATTTGACAATAGTTATCAAAAAAGTAGTCATATCAAATTGATTTTTCATTTACCCTGTAGTTGTTATAAAATCTATTACCTGTGGATTTTGTTTTTGTTGTTTTGAGATACAGTTTCACTCTGTCACTCAGGCTGGAGTGCAGTGGAGTGATTTTGGCTCACTGCAACCTCTACCTCCTGGGCTCAAGCCATGCTCCCACCTCAGCCTTCCAAGTGTCTTGGGCTACAGGTGTGTGCCACCATGCTTGCTAGTTTTTATATTTTTTGTAGAGATGGGGTCTCTCCATGTTGCCCAGACTGGTCTCGAACTCCTGAACTCCAGCAGTCCACCAGCACTGGCCTCCCAAAGTGCTGGGATTATAGGCATGAGTCACTGACTTGGCCTATTATCTGTTTTGTGATTAAGGGTCTCTGTGTTACAGGATTCTCTCTTCAGTTCAGTTAAAGATGGGATCCTTGTCACATGGCCATGAAAAATTTGTCTTGCAGACAATTTGAAGGGTGAGGAAAATGGGATTTATTGGGAAAAAAGGGGAAAAGGGACCCTCCACAAATCCAGAGTCCCTGCTGTTCACTTCCTGCCTTGCAGATTGAATACCAGGTTCTACCCAGGAAGAGGAGGAGCCAGGCTCTTCCCTGCTGCAAATGGCACAAACTTCCTGAGGCTCCACCACAGTGCACACCAATCCCAGTGTGCAGTTTGGTTGGGGGTTTGCCAATAACCCCTTTATATGGGCTGTTTCACGGGAAATGACTTTCATAGGATGATCACAATAAATGCTATTTTTTATTGTTTTTTTCAATGGATAAACTTTATGTTGTTGAGTTATTGATGACATATTGAAATGGACTTTTCATTATCATTGAGGAAAAAGTGGCTTCCCTTTACCTTCCTAGATTATTTCATTAGACTACAAATTAAATGATCATAAAACAGATTACCAACAAAAAAACTATAGTTAACTATGTACATGCACAGGAGTCCAACAGAAATATGAGATTCAGTGAAAAGCCAGATGATTGATGCTTATATAGCATTCTGAGCTATAGAAAAATATTGAGGCTTGGGATTTCTGAAGGTTGGTGAAGACAAGTTATAAGGGTGAGGGGTGGAGATGTATGGTAAATAAATGTTGTCTTGTTCTGCAGATCAAAAATCTCTCAGGTAATAAAATTGTCTCAGAGGAGCTATCTTCCTGTATTGGACATCTGTATTAAGTACTTTTACTAAAGCAGTGAAGAGGCAAGGAGAAAACTTCCCCTTCACCCTTGGAAGCTTCACTGAAAATTCAACTCACAAAAGAAAGATTAATAAGAGAAAAGCCATCTTATTTATTAAGGTGCACATGGAGAGATCCGGAGTGATTACCCAAACCCCTAGTGGAGTATAGAAGCTTATATACCACCTTGAGGTTACAGATAGAATGGGGACTCAGAGCCCAGGCAAAAACAGGTCATGGTGGTAAATCAAGTTATAGTAGCAAGGCAGGTTATGGATGGAAGAGAAGTGGAGGCTTGGCTAGCAAAGGTGACCTTGTAATGTAAATGAAACCTTGCATGTAGCTGCCCTCAGATAGAATAGATGGTATATATTTCTTTCAGGCCTTTAAAGCTGTCAGACTCTCAGTTACTCTTTGCTAGATCCAGGAAAGGGAAGTCCAGGCTACATCAATGCAGATTGTCCACAGATGCAAATCCCTGACACAAAAGACAGCTTTGTAAGGCTACATCTGTTTGCTGGCTCTCTGAACAGCCATCTCCATGTATGCCAAATAACCATATTTTGGGGTATGATATCCTTCAGGTCTGTGTCCCAACTCAAATCTCATCTTGAATTGTAATCCCTGCGTGTTGAGGGAGGGACCTGGCTGGAGGTGATCGAATCATGGTGAGGTTTCCCCCATGCAGTTCTTGTGATAGTGAGGGAGTTCTCATGAGATCTGATGGTTTAAAAATATGTGGCAGTTTCCCCCTTGCTGTCTCTTTTTCTGCCCCCTTGTGAAGAAGAAGGTGCTTGCTTTTCCTTCACCTTCCACCGTGATTGTAAATTTCCTGAGGCCTCCCCAGGCATGTGGAGCTGTGAGTCAATTAAAACTCTCTTCTTTATAAATAACCCAATCTCAGGCAGTTGTTTATAGCACTGTAAAAACAAACTAGTACAGCATAAAATATTTTTATTTTCTTCAGTAGATTTTCTTTATAGATTACAAAAGGACAGTTTTCAGAGCTACTCCTTTGTCTGCAGTTTTTCAGGATAGCCAGCTGAAAATATACCAAACGAATCTACTTTGCAGTGGCACATTCTGCTCTCCAACAGTCATATGAGAGTTAGGCTCAGATGTACCCTGAGCCCTGAGAGTCCCAAATCACTGGTATAAACCAAAAGTAAAATTCTGAAGCCCCTTAGCCACCTGAATAGACCCTGTCCTCTCAGGCAAGAGCATTCCAAAGTTAACCTGAAAAACTAGTTGAGGCCATGATGGGAATGGGAAGCCAGCCGTGTCTCATTATACCCTCCTCTGTTTTGGAATTGCTGATAGAACAGACTCTGAGTCTGATAGGAAACATTTACAATATTCTCTGAAGCCTGCTACCTGGAGGCTTTGTCTGCATAATAAAACCTTGGTCTCTACAACCCTTTAACTTAACCCAGACAATTCCTTTCTATTGATTCTAAGTCTTTATATAATAACTTAATTCTTCCTACAAATTGCCAATCAGAAAATCTTTGAATCTAACTGTGACTTGGAAGCCAGTTGTCATGCCTTTCTGGAGTGAACCAATGTACATCCTACATGTATTGATTGATGTCTTTTGTCCTCCCTAAAATGTATAAAACCAATTTGTGTCCCAACAACCATAGGCACATTTTCTTAGGATCTCTTGAGGGCTGTGCTATAGGCCATTGCTCACTCATACTTGGCTAACAATCAATCTCTTCAACTATTTTACAGATTTTGGCTCTTTTTGTCAACATTGGTAAGAATATAAATTGTTATGATCTTGTAGAGAGCAACTTAATGTGTTTCAAGAATTTTATCACATTCACACTTTTTGACCAAGTAATTTCAGAACTAAGAATATGCACTAAGAGTAATCAGAGATTTACATAATTATTTACAAAAATGTTCCTAAATGTGAAACAATGAAATAATGTATAAAGTGTATCATATTTAGAAGAAAATTTATTGTAAAATATCAAATATTATTGGTAAAATATTTAATAGAATATATGTATTGTTGTTGTTGTTTTTAGTGCCAATTGGGAATAGAAAGAGTTTTGTTACGACCATATGCTAACCATATCAAAAGAAACTATCTAAGCAGTGGGTGATTTGAAGGCTCAAGAAGAGTTGTAAGGGTGAAAACTTGTGATACCTTTCCTCACCCATCATAGGTGTCACGGCCAACACTCCTATAACAAAAGACATATTAACAAGAGAAAAGCATAACAAATTTATTTAATCAAATATTTATGTGACGTGAGATTTCAGAAATGAAGGCCCAAGGACACAGGGAAAAGTGTTGTTTTATGCTTAGGTTAGATGAAAAATGGGTAGCCATGTAAAAAATCTAATTGGACAAAAGGGGATTATCTAGTGGTAATAGAACATTAGATTTATTAATTTAGTAAAAATTGAACTGTACCTGCAAGGTCTGTTTGTTCAGATACTTCTTTGTCTCTCTGTGTAGCATTCATTATTTCCAAATATGAGGCAAGACACCTCTTGCTCCATACCTGGGGCAACAAACCTGGAGGAAATAAGGGTGGTCAAGGGAGAAGGATGAGTGTGGCTTGTCCAGGTTTTATGGCTTTTTGTGGGGGAAGGTAGTTCTAGCTTATGTAACCTGCTTTGAGGAAGACAAACCTTGGTTTGTATGAATCACTTCAGGGAGAGAAAGGCAGCAGGAGATAGGAGTACAGGAGACGGTCAGACAGACTTTGCTTCTGAGGCTTCTATTTCCTTTATTTCAAAGTACTCAACATGCCCAAGTGCCATACTTTGGGGTAACGTTTTCTGAGCCGTAACAGAGTAAAATCTGTATATGAGGTAACAGTGCAGTGTGCTAGAGACACAGTGACAAATAGCTTTGTTAGTGGGGTAGCTATTTGAATAAGGCATCTTTTCCTAGAATCTGTCAATTCTCAAGGACAGCTTTAGGAAATATGTGCCTCCTCCCAAATTAACATGGAGATTTTGTGATGTTTATGTTTTTTCCGGGCAAGAAGTTTTTCTATTTAAGTCAGTTCTCAATGGATTAAATCTTCAAAATCTTAAGAACAAACCCATTTAAATTAATAGAAGAGCATCTCTTTTGTTGGACCAGAGTAATTTTTCAGCTATTCCAATAATAATATAGAGGTAGTATGTTTAGACATTCCTCTGGGCGTGGACAGCTTCCTGGTAAATTCAGGCTCATCATCTAAATATCATAGTTAAAAACATAAATGGAACAAAATGCTTTTATTACACAGGTGTCTTCCATTTACATTAGCCAATGTTGCTTTCCTCAAATTGTACACAATACCCACAATGTTGCTAAGAGTGACAGAGATTAATGGAATCAAAAGTTATCTCTCACTCATGCAGGTGCAAGTTAGATTTCAAATTGTATAGCCATTTGCTTTGTTCTAGGGAAAACTGTTTCTTCAGTAATAGCATTTTACTTTCTATGGTAATTGAGCTTTCCAAAAGCAAACTGCTTCTTCAATTATGTTTCATTGAATGAAATTTTTGCAGAGTATATGAAGAGTTCTGTTTCTTTAAACACTTTAAAACATTAGTTTACCTTTTTATATACTGCACAAGTGCAGTGAACTGAACTCATTAACTAATTATTATTTAATTGTGATGCTGAAAGCTAAAATATTACATTGCAAGAGCTTTTAGTGATCATTATTTAGCATTTTAAAGGTACTAAAAGCACTATTCACCCATCAAATTGTTCATTTGTTTAAAACACGTGCAACAAAAACTGAGTGTACCTAAAAGCACAAAATAAATCTGCTCCCTTGCACTTTAGTTAGATGAAGCAGAATGTGCACAGGTAAGGTCAGTAGAAACACATACACACACACACGCACACACACACACACAAACACAATATGTTTGATGTACTCCAAGAAGTGCAATAACACTTGAACGTACATTAATAACGTATCTTTGGAAAACACATGAATATAATTTTAAATCCGGAAACAGTAAAAAAGAGAATTGTCACAAGATTGGTTTGGATTTTAGTATCATTATATTAGAAGTAAACTTCATAATCATTTTAAGAACAGCAAACATCTGTCTTATTTTGCATTTCTTTCCTTTCCTTGTTTCCCTCTCTGCTTCTGGGCTATTAGAGTTTCTCAAATTGTTTGTATCACATAGATACCCATGTAAATGCTGCAGGGTTGACTCCAAGACTATATTAGACACAAGTGTGCTTGTATTTCAATTCTTGTAATTATAAGTGGCCCCACTTCAGCCTATTCGGTTTTCTATGAAACACAACGGAAAGCATCAAATTAGGGGAAAAGAGTGGCTCAGGAAGCCCCAAGCAATTAAGTGAATTAAAGAAAATTACTACTGGATGCTTTATGTACAGCAGGGGCTCTGTGCATGAAGAAATATAACTGCTAGTCACACCTGTACTGATTCTCACTGTGGAATTGAAATTATCATGAGTAAATATAATTACTTAGCAAATTTAATAAATGTTGTTTGGGATTCTGAAAACAGCACTTGGATCTACAAATTACACAGTGATAAATGTGGCAGCACAAGTTCAGTGGTATCTAATAGCACTAAAATATGTAGAGCATCCTGGAATGTACCAGGAAAGCTTATGAGTAAGTAAAAGTAATAAATTGCTACAAAAAAAATGGGTACTCAGTGTATGTCATAGTTACCCATGCTTTCATGTTTTTCTTTGATTATGTAATTTTCACAAAATTATTTTTTTCAAAATCCCCGGTAGTTTAGATATCCAAGCTGTCCTACTGAATTACAAATAAGTTTATTCCTAACAAGAAATTAATAAGTATTTGGTAACACTTGAAATGAAGTGCACTAAATAAGTATTTAATTAAGAAATAAAACAGTTATTGCTCTTGGGTTGTGATGATTGGCAATAATTGCTTTACATGATTTAATGGTTATAAAATTAACAGAGATAAGTAATAAAAAGAAGAAATTAAGCTACACTTTCTACCATAACTTTAATTTGTATGCTCTTAAGAATCATAATAATGATTGGTCTTTTATTAAATGAATATTAAGATAAACCTTCATATAACCTATCTTACCTTTGAGGAATATGTTGAATAATTAAGTCATAATTTATAATTAAAATGCAATACAATTTATTTTGTCAAAAGAAATAAAGTATTTATGTATTTTGTAACATTGCCATACGGTAAAAGCCTATTTAGAGTATAAGGCTTCTGCTATAATACTAATAACCATAAGTCTTCTACTTTAAATCAAGAAAATGTTAGAAAATGTTTAATAGCTTTAATATATTTAAACAATTCATCAACATTATTTAAAATACTGTTCTTTTGCTGGGGCTGTCATAACAACGTGCCACAATTGGGTGACCAAAAGTCACAGAAACATACTCTCTCACAGTTATGGAGGCTACAAGTCCAAAATCAAGCTTTCTGTGGGACCATGATCCCCACAAAGGCTCTGGGAATGAATGCCTCCTTGATCTTCTACCTTCATTCCTCATTTTGTAGACCTGGCACTGAAATCTCTACTTTCTTTATCAAGTAGTCTTCTCCCTTGTGTCTTCATGTCTTCATCTCTTCACATCATCTTCCTTCTCTGTATATTCACATCATCTTTCATCTGTGTGTGTGCCTATGTCCAAATTTCTCCCTTATTAGGGAAAGGAAATTATCTAGTATCCAATGTCTTAAGTTCAATAATGGATTTTGTGGCTGCACTAGTTTAATATGACTATATATGAACTTGATTACATCTATAATAATCCTATTTCCAAATAAGTTTACATTCACAGGTTCCGGGTGGGCATGAGTTTTTAGGGGCCACTAATTAACTCAGTAAAAATATAAAGTGTTAATGTTTTGTAAGTCGTATGGCTGACTTCTCCCTGTTTTGTCAGTGTCCTGCAATAAATAAAATTCCCACCTAGTATTCACCTATACACAAAAAAGAATATTTATTATGCTCTAATGGAGGAATCAGGGTCAGAACACTTATTCTGTGACCAGATAATACGTATTTTAGGCTTTGCAGACCACATGGTCTTTGTTACAACTACTCACCCCTGCTGTAAACAATAGGTAAATGGATTGGCATAGTTGGATTTGGCCCCAAGTCATGATTTTGCCCACCTTTCCTATGGTGGAAAGGAATTGTTTATTTTATTTTAACAGAGTAAATTTAAATATATATATAAAGGAAAATCTGTTCTTTGAAAGCATTGTCCACAATTTTTGAAAACCCAGATTTTATTTTTAAAGCTATTTCAAGACCTAGGAAACATAATGTATTTTAAAAATCAAACCCATATGAAGAAGTAAAGAAACCTAGAGAAAAATATATGTATATATTTGGGGTGAATTGTAAGTTCAGACACAAAGCCCTTCTGAGTGTGGGACACCATGTGACTGCACAGATATGCCCTTGAAATTGCTTCTGTCTGAAAGTATTTTCAAAATCTCGTTCTTTCAACATACTAGGTCTTACTAAGTGGGATTTTTATAAAGTCACTAATAATAACTCACAAATGGATCAAATGAATAATATATTACTTAAAGTGCCTCCTATAATGTTTTGGACATTGAGTGATGTCCCAGTACAGAGGTTTTTAGATGAATTTATTTACACCTTTAATAATATAAATATCAAGTGGTGATATTGCCCCAATATAAGGTTATTTTAAATGCGATTTAGTATATAATTAACAATATTATTCTTATAATCATAGTAATATTTTAGTCAAATATCAATAAATAACGTGCTATTGATTTATGATTGTTTTGTAGAAATAGTCAAAGTTCCAGCTATGAATCCTGAAAAGTCAACATTTAGTGAAAACTTTGGATCACTAAAAAAGTATACAACAACCAATTTTGTGGAATTGTTGTTGCAAGTCTCATTAAGTGTGATTAACAAAGGAGGTTAAATTTCACATAGCATAAACTTTTTCTGTTTTTTGTTTTGTTTTGTTTTGTTTTTAGTGTGAGAACTTTCTCTAGAAATAAAAAAAAAAAACTCATGTAATTTTCATTTTAAATATATAAACCTTGGCACAAAACTGAGAAAATGGCTGCTTCAATAGATATGAAACTTGCTTTCCCTTGCAAGGGTTAATTACTAAAGAAGAAATTCAAACTTAAATCAAACAATAAGCACTGCAATCTTAATTAAAAATAAACTATCAACTGGTGACTCCCGGTAGTTTAGAGATGACAAATATCAAATATGTGGTAAAGTGAAATGTAAAAAGTGGAAGAGGGTGATTATAAGGCAGGCCAGCTTTTAGATTTGCCATAGCAGAGATAAAAATACTATGACTGATTTTAAAATCTGTATGTTTAACTTTACCTAATGAGTTTTATGTGGAGGCAGATGAATAGAGTACAGAAAACAAAAAGTACATTTGCATAATGGAATATGTTTCTGCTTAACTGGCAAGAGAAAAGTATTTTTTAACCATTAACGCAAATATATACTGTTTCATTTTCTATTATCTGATTATTTTAAATAATGTGTCTGAGTACCAAATAGAAGGCTTTTTTCCTACAAAAGATCATTATATCATTTCATTTTTCCAATTCTGTATAAATGTCCAAGTTAGTTTTTTTTGAGGTCTTGCAAACAAAATAGACATCTAAATATCCAGATTTTTATTTTTCTTAAATTAATTCTGGTATTTAAACAATGTAAAATCTTCTACCACTTGATATATATTGATAATCCAGAATTCTGTTTGATGGCACAATAAAAATCACATTTGTGTTTTAAATTTTAAAAATGCAAGAGTTATTTATAAACTAAAAATTTAGACTCTTAGAATAAATTACGCAGTCTCAAAATACCATTGCACTCTCCTACAAGTGAAAAGCATAATTTTTTTTTATTAAAGAAGTTCAATCTTAGTGAAATAATTTACAGTAACCTAGTAGGGATGGTGTTTAAGAGATTGAGCAATACAATTCACTTGATTAAGATACATACATACAAAATTTTCTAACAGTTACTTTGAAATACATAGGCTTTCAAAGTTCATTTTAATTCTTTATTCTGAGTATAATATTTTTATTACAATGTTGAACTTAATTTTATAAAGACTTTTCTAAAGTATAATTATAACCCCTCATATATTTTCTAGACAATTGAAAAGAATATTTATAGATTGAAATTTTAGGCTTAAAACAGACCCTCTTAATATTTCAATCTTTTCTGAGTCTAAGCCCACGTTCCCTGATCTAACAGATAACTTTAAGAAAATGATAATAGTTCATGTCAAACAGGATTTCTGTCTCTTAGAGAATCACTTACCTTCCTCAAAGTCATTTTTGACCATGTATTGTGTTTAATATGAGATGGTTATTGAGTTACTTGATAAACTTCTAGTTTCCATACACAAAAGTATAACCATTCTGAATATCAAATACTTTGTGATAATAAAATTATAATTTACATCTATATTTTACTTTGTCTATTCAAAAAATGTTTGAAAAAATACATGGAGACTGTAGTCAGCATATTATTTCAAAATTAATACTAATGTTAATGTATGTTGAATACCTGTGATGATAGTAACTGTACATTCTGAAAAAAATGTTACTATCCTGTGTCTAATTGCTAAGTAAATCACTCACCATTTTTAAGCACTTATTGTATGCCATGCAGTGTGATATGTTGTGAAAGGATGTATAAGGTGACACAAGGTTCTATCATTAAAGACATGGGGAATAAACTTATCACAACAAATGATATCTAATGGCTTAAAAAAGAAAGAAAATATTCTGACAGTGTTAGAGTTTCAGGCTGGGGAAATAGTCACAATGATGATGACTAATAGATAATTTAGGCCTTAAACATAAATAGAACTTTATTAAGCATATACAGGAAGGGGAAACAAATCTACATAAAGGAAATAGTATGAAGAGAAGCATAGAAGATAAACATTTAAAAATACAAGAAATTTTAGGAAATTTTTAATGAGCAACCTAGAAAACAACTTGAGATTCTTCCTTATTTTTAATTTCCTATATACACCATTAACCTTACTGAGTCTTCCTCCAAAATGCCTCTTAATTTTATTACTTCATCTCTATTTGTGTTACTTTCTGAATAAAGTTCTATGTCATCATGATCAGGGATTCCCGCCTAAGGGTGATTTTCATGCATGAAGGATATTCGGCAGTGTCTGGAGACATTTTTGATTATCGCAAGTGGGGGAAGAGCGCTAGTAGAATGTAGCAGGTAGAGGCCAAGTATATTGGCTAAATTGTGGCCAATACTAATACACTGAAGAATATACTAAATATTCTACAATGCCTAGGTCAGGTTCCCACAACAAAGAATTATCTGTCCAAAATGTCAACGTACCAAAGTAGAGATAACTTCCTAACTTTATCTCTGCCTTAGAAATTCCTATTCTTGATTAGAAATCATCTAGTCATGTAATGAATTTGATCTACTATAAAATATCCAAGAAGAAATATCTATGAGACAGTTAAAAATCTAATGTTAGGCATCAACTAGGCATCAACAGGGAAATCATTTTTGGAGATACAAATTAGTGAGAAATAAATTATAAAGGTTCAAAATATGGAGATGGTTAACATTTTCTAGAGAAAATCTTTAAAAGGAAAGAATAAATAATAAGATAATAAAATATATATATTTAAAAGGAGGATGGGCTGGGCGCGGTGGCTCACGCCTGTAATCCCAGCACTTTGGGAAGGAGGCCGAGGCAGGCAAATCACCTGAGGTCAGAAGTTCAAAACCAGCCTGGGCAACATGGTACAACCCCATCTCTACTAAAAATACAAAAATTAGCTGGGTGTGGTGGCATGTGCCTATAGTCCCAGCTACTTGGGAGCCTGAGGCAGGAGAATTGCTTTAACCCAGGAGGCAGAGTTTGCAGGGAGCTGAGATAGAAACACTGCACTCCAGCCTGGGCAAGAAAGTGAGATTCCATCTCAAAAAGGAAAAAAAAAAAATAGAGAAGAATGAAGTTGAATCTGCCAACAAAATATTGAACAAACAACTGAAACAGAAACATTAAGAAAGGGGAAAGAAGAGAACATCTCTTAATAAAGCACATGGGTTCAGCTACTGACCACTTCCATGAATTTGGCTGTCTTCAACATGCCCTTCTTATAATTCCACTTCTTCCAAATATATGTTATCTACACATATATTAGATATTGTTTCTTATATTGTTAACCCTTGTGTTTATTCTCATTTGGTAAAGTAGTAGAACCAAGAGAGAACAAACCAAGTTCTTTCGAAATGTGAAAATTTGGGGGGTCACAGGATAGAAGGCAGGAGCGCATCAGTGGGCACAAAATCCCAGAGGAATACCAACCATTTCTCAGCTTTTGGCCCTTTCAATCCACTGCATGATGCACCAAGGATGTTCAGGAAAGTAAAATGGCACTATTTCATCAATCATTTCCAAGGCGTCTATAAAATGCTGCCCTGTTCAGGGAAGAAGGGCATTTTCCCTTACCTAAAATGAAAATCAGCTTAACAGAAATTGAGCTTAAACATTTTACCCAACTCAGTAATTTTGGCATTTGTAAATTACCTGATGGATACATACTTGTTTCTTATCTAGAAATTAAAAAATCTTACAGTAGTTTTGTAGGGTGAAAAATCTATTTCTGTCGTTGACCCAAGTATTCCCAGTAAGGAAAGAAAAGCTTTTATTGTATTAGATCCTGGTTGCATTAAAATTATCTTTAAATATTTTGACTTCATCTATTTGTTAAAACTATCAAATAGTTTACTTAGCAAAATAAATATTTAATTCAGAAAAGAAAATAAAGCAATTACTGTGTGTAGATTCAGCCATATACTTAGAAGGTGCCAACTTAATTGCTCAAACAGAGGTGAAGGCTTTCTTTTTCATTCTATGGTCACATTCCCTTTTAGATTCATATGTGTATGTGTGTGTATGTGTCTGTATGTGTATAATTTATATATAATTAATGTATAAATATATGTTATATATAACATATGTTATACATATGACATACATAAATATTTATATTCATTTACTTATTTGTTATACATTTAGTAACTATCAACAATATGCAAGGTGCTAAGCATGTCACTATGTTAACAACTATGAAAAAGCCAAAGAAGCTTTGAGCTTGGAATCTAAAAGGAGAGACAGAAATCAAAGTTTATTTCTGTCTACAGAATTAGTTTATTAAAATATTAATAAATGATGTTTGAGAAAATTATAAGTTGTTATGAAAGCATAAACCACAGGACATGACAAGTCTAGAGATTTTGATAAAGCTTTTGTAGGGAGAATTTGAATGAATCGAACTAAGAATTTATGAAAATTGGGCTGGTAAGGAAAAGGGATAAATTTATTCTAGGAAGAAAAGGAATGGCAGAATGTCCTTAGGAAGAAGTGAGCATGAATTATTTGCTAACAGTGGAAAATGCTACGAAATTACGTGGAGTGCAAATTACACACCCAAGTAGAGATGTGAAAGTGCATAGGAAAACATGCAGCATTTAATATGCATTTAAAGTATATTATTAATAGCTTGAAAATAAATACATGAATGAATGAATGAAGAAAAGATTCAGCAGAAGATTTTTTGCTATCAAGAGGAGCAGAAAATACTTATTAGACAAAAGTGAAAAATGCACAGAAAATTGAGTTACTTGCCAAAGGTCATCTGGAAGCATCAAGGAAGGAATTAAAATGAAGTGGAAAAGAAACACAAGCTTAGAGAAATTATGTTGAGACCAGAGGCTATTTATTTTTAAAATTGGAACACTTTTCTCTGAACTTATAATACATTGAAATTCATTGGAAATATTATTCATACTCATATCTAAGTCAAATATATAATCTACCAAATGGTTTCTGGCATATATTTTCCTTTCAGTCTTTTCTTCAGAGCATACCATGAAAATACATGAGATAGATGGGATTTATAAAAGGAGACATAGAGATTGTGGGGCTACATTATTTTGAATAAATAAGAGAAATGAAATCTAATTTAAAAACATATCACAAGATCTAACTTATTGTTATATACACAAAGTACATTTTAGTAGACAATATACAGATAAGAATGTTTCTTTTAAATCAACATTTGTTGACAATGTTATCCATTATCCTCTATTATTCTTATTAGTTGTGTCTTATTTTTATTCAATTTTTTTCTATTGGATTTTTTATGAGAGATTAGTTTGGTTATAAGATTTTAAATATAACAATATTATATCAGAATACATATTTCAATTCAAATGAATCTTTTTCCAAGTTTACAATCAACTATGTCCTTCCATAATTTAATTTGTTGAAAATAGGAAGCATACTGGTAGTACATTTTAGTAATTTTAAAATCCTTTAATAAAGGAAAAATTACATTTTGGCTTTGAGAAATATCATCTTCAATAATAAAAACATTCTTTCATATTCATATTTATATTCATAGAGCATAAGGTATTCACTCTATATCACTCTATAGTACGTTTTTAGATTTGCAAATATTTTTGAGTAGAACATAAAATATCTAACTTCCCAATATCAAGGATGGGTGAACATCAGAAAGCTACCTTTGTTATCCTAAAGCAACTTAGGTTTTGTTGAGAAAATATAATTAAAACAGTCTTATTCCAACCCTGAAAACCTCTCTACAGGGGTAAAAGAGAAAAAAAGCAATTTTATTATTGAATAAGCATGAAACCAGGATGTGATGCACATCACAGGCAATCCACTAAAGAGAATGCAGACAGAAAGGAATCTCACCCTTTTATATAGCCAAACAGACACAACCGATTACATACACCTTTTCATTGTTGTGAGATCGTCATAGGATGTAATGTACTTACATAAACTTGGATGTTCTTACAGCACATAGTCTATATGGTATAGCCTATTGCTCCTAGGCTACAAAGCTGTACATGTTACCAGATACTGTAGGCAACTATAACACAATGGTATTTGTGTATCTAACCATATCTAAATATAGAAAAAGTACATGAAAAATACATTATAATCTTATGAGACCACCATTGTAATATGATCCATTGTTGAACAAAATGTTGTGATGCAGCACATGACTACATAGGCCTTTTAGTAATTATTCAATCTTCCTAAATAGCTTTTCTCAGTTTTGCAATTCAGTAACATCCATGGTCATCATCTAATATAAAAGTCTTGGCCGGGCGCAGTGGCTCATGCATGTAATCCCAGCACTTTTGGAGGCCAAGGCGGGTGGATGATGAGGTCAGGAGTTCGAGACCAGCCTGGCCAACACGGTGAAACCCCGTCTCTACTAAAAATACAGAAATTAGCTGAGCATGGTGGCAGGGGCCTGTAATCCCAGCTACTTGGGAGGCTGAGGCAGGAGTATCACTGGAACCTGGGAGGCAGAGGTTGCAGTGAACTGAGATCATGCCATTGCACTCCAACCTGGGCGACAAGAGCAAGACTCTGTCTCAAAAACAAAAACAAACAAACAAAAAGTCTTATTATAAGGTACAAACTGAAAGGCACAGATTAAACTTTGAGGGTTTAATGTATATAACTATTATTATTTTAAGTCTTGAAGACAAACCTAGCCTATGCGTAATTTTTTTTTCCAGAATGGGATCTAAACCAATAGCTCTATGTTATAATAGTCAACAAAATATTCATGAATGATAGAAATTCAGTTTCATGTATCAATTTATACTTAGATGGGAGAGAAGTTACATCACAAAGTTAACTAAGTAACAGTAGACCTGTTTTTTGTAGTCTCTATCTTACAATGCCAAGTTTCTATTTTTCTATTAGCTGGAATGTTTATGTTTTCGATTAAGCCAATTAATTGTTTTTGTTTGTTTTACAAGTAGGACTTGTCTTAGTCCATTGTGTGTTGAGATAGCAGAATACTAAGATGGGGTAATTTATGAAGAAAACTATTTCTTACATTTCTGGGGACTGAGAAGTCTAAGGTTGAGGAGCTACATCTGGTGAAGTCATCGTGCTGGTGAGGTCATCATAACATGGCAGAAAGCACCATATGGCTCATATTTCTCCTCCCTTTCTTATAAGGCCACTAATCTCATCACGGGGGCCCTACTCTTATGACATCATCTATCACTACATCCCAAAGGCCCTACCTCCAAATAGCAACAACACATAAATTTGGGAATTAAATTTCTGACACATGGAATTTGGGGACACATTCAAACCACAGCCAGGCTTGAGTACTTGGATGCATATTAGTTTTATTTTGTTATCAACAATTATAATGAAGATGGTCTCACCTTTACTCTTTCAATAATAAAACTGTTGGTTATACAATTCCAGGTCCTGTTTCTGCTGGGAGGACAATTTGAGCTAACTGGAAAGGGGATTGTGAGAACCATTACTGGGAGTACAGAAAGAAAAGGTCATGTAGCAAATAACTTTTGATTCCTAGTAAAATATAATTCTTAAAGTAGTCAAAATAAACCTACTGGAAATAAGACAGCAAGACCATCTAAAATGTAATATGTTCTCTAGATTACCTCTTTATCTGAATTCAATACGAAGCTCAGTTACTCTTGAAAACTTAAATTTCAAGGCCTTGTGAGAACCACAGTCAAGTCTTCCCCGGGTGCTGTCTCCACGTGGGAAGCATGACTCCAGCTGAGCTGTTTCTCTTTTGTTTTGGTTTTGGTTTTTGTTTTATTTTGTTTTAATCTCTGATAGCCAAACGAGTGATCAGTAGCACTTGAAAGACTTCTTCCCAACATGGTGACTGCATTTTCTTTCTGGAATACCTTTTTGTAGATGAAATTTCCTGGTCCACAGAGATAGCCAATTTCCACTGGCGTGTCCTTCCAGATCCTATTGTCTTTAAGTTTCAGGGTTTCTAGGAAAGAGATAAACCCTTTTAGGCATTGGAAATGGTTAGAAGAGGATTTGCTTATATCAGGCACAGGACGTGCTCTTAGACCCAAATTCATGGGCCTGCCAAATGTAGGTTCAAAGAAAAGATTCTGTGCTTGAATGCAGAGGCAGGAGGAAAAAGACTAATGATAAAACTCTGGAGATTTTAACCCAGTACATAGCTGAGTCTTAGTTAATTATTTTTTAAAATTTAATTTATCTACTTTATTTATCTGGAGGACTGAGGAATATAAGGTGTATGATACTTTATGGAAATCAGCACACGTTTGCATAAATCCTAGGTACAAATAAAATAACTTTCTCTGTCTGATTCAAATATTGTGGTATCCCAAAAGTTAGAACTAAGGTTTTTAAGAGAGTCTTTACCATTGCCTGAAAATCAGTTTTTATGTTTTGTTTCATTTTTTTGAAGAGGTTAAGGTCTCAGGTCATCCAGACATCACACACACAGTAAACAGACAAAGCTCTTACCTTTTACATGTAGTTCTATGAAACTCAACTACCAAAAGGTTCCTGGTAGTTATTCAGAGAGGATTTCCTGTGGTTTATTAGGAGTAGCATGTAAATAATTCTGCTGACGAATATTACATCTCTCTAATATGTTCGTATTAAAAAAATCTTTTTTGGTATGCAGGCTCAGAGTCTAGTGACTTTAAAATTCATCTTTTTTTGAGATGATTTGTTGATGACATAATAACCCTAACCAGGCCAGGCACGGTGGCTCACGCCTGTAATCCCAGCACTTTGGGAAGCCAAGACGGGCAGATCACGAGGTCAGGAGATGGAGACCATCCTGGCTAACACGGTGAAACCCCATCTCTACTGAAAATACAAAAAATTAGCCAGGCGTGGTGGTGGGCGCCTGTAGTCCCAGCTCCTCGGGAGGCTGAGGCAGGAGAATGGTGTGAACCCGGGAGGCGGAGCTTGCAGTGAGCAGAGATGGCACCACTGCACTCCGGCCTGGGTGACAGAGTGAGACTCCGTATCAAAAAAAAACAAAAAACAAAAAAACAAAAAAAAAAACCCTAACCAAAGCAAATAAAGGTTTTGATATAGGAATTATTATTGTGTTAGGGCATTCCCATAGTCCAGTTAAATTTCTTTTTTCTTTCTTTTGAATTTATTCTTCCTGTCTGACTAAAGTTTTGTATCCTTTGAACAATGTATCCCCAATATCTACTGCACCTCTAGTATCTGGTAGCCAGCATTCTACCGATTGCTTATAATAGTTCAACTTCTTTAGATTTCACTTACAAGGGAGAGCAATAGCATAATGTTCTCCAGCCTCATACATGTCGCCACAAATAACAAAATTTCCTTAATATTTAAGGCTGAATAGTACTACGTTGCACACACACACACACACACACACACACACACAAACACACACACATATGTTTTCTTTTTCCATTCACCTGTTGATGAACATATTGGTTGATTCCATATCTTGGCTATTGTGAATTATGCTGCAGTGAAAATGTGGGAGTACAGATATCTGCTCAACATGCTGATTTCAATTCTTTGGTTGTATACCCAGAAGTGGAAATTTTTGGATCACATGGTAGTTCTATTTTTAATTTTTTTGAGAAACCTTTATACTGTTTTCCATAATGGACGTACTAATTTGTATTCTCACTGACAGTGTGCAGAGATTCCATTTTTCTCTTCACAAACTTATATTTTCTTTAGATATCACCTTACACCTGTTAGAATGGGTATTATCTCCTAGAGCAAAGGAAAAACTTTTCTTTCCCCCTCTGAAAGTTCACTGAAAATCAACTAAACTAAAGGAAGATTAAAGGAGAAAAGGCATGCAAATTTTATTTTGATGTGTATAGGATGAGGAACTCTCACTAGAATGATTACTGAAAAACCCAGTGGGGTACAGATGAGTATTTTTTTTTAATACGGGAAAAGGAGTTGGCGAAATGTGGATGATTTTAAGGAGGATAATGAATGACTTGTAGGGGACTCAATGGGTTTGGAAAACATACAGTGGCCTAGGACAAAGTCTGTTTGGGCTGCAGAGCAGACAATGGTTTGCCACCAAAGTCTGTCCAAGTGTGTTGACAGACTTCAGGTTTTCTTCCTGAGATACCAGTTCAGTTAATGAAAACTCAGGGAAAGGACCAGAAGTAATTGTTTTCTTCTTTGGTGGGTCTGATCTTTAGGCACATAACAGAGTATCAGAGTAGAGCTTCTTCCAGCCTCTGCTGGTCTCCAAGGGTCATTCATTTAAAATAATCAGCAAACTATGGTGCTATATTTGGGGGTAAAATTCCCTGGTCTCCTTGGCTCCTTATGGTTTTAATTTGCATTTCTTTAGTGATATTGAACATTTTAAATAAACCTGTTGACCATTTGAATGTCTTCTTTTGAGGAATGCTTATTCAGATCTTTTGACCATTATTTAATCAGATCATTTTTTCTTATTATTGAGTTGTTTGAATTACAAATATATTTACAAATATACCTTTTCAGACATATAGTTTGTAAAGCTTTGCTCCCATCCATAGATTGTCTCTTCACTCTTTTGATTGTTTCCTTTGCTGTTCAGAAGCTCCTTAATTTGATTCAATCTCATTTGTCTGTTTTTGCTTTTGTTGTCTATAATTTTGAGATAGATCAAGTTTCTTTGAATCTCTTATATAATTCATTTATTTCCTTTTGTGAAACATATTTTTGAACATTAAAAAATGTTTCTTAATGCAGTATAAGTGGAGCTTCTAAATTTGGAGTCTTCTATGTTTTATCAACAGCTCTTGAAGCTCTGTCAGCAAAATGAATTATTGATATTTTAGCAGGCAATGGTAAAGTTCATAACAAATCAGCCATCAATTTTCCAAGAGTTTTTTAGTTCTCATGGAAGTGAAAAATCCTTTTCTTTTTAATTTATGCTGTTGCATGACAGACTCAAAACATATATATGTTTTGTACTATGAAAAGTACTATGAATACTTTTGAAAATGTACACAAATGCATTTTAATTCCAGAACCAAAGAAAGGCATCTCTAGTATCTGTTATTATCTCCTCTCCTTGTGGAGACTTAATTCCAGGCAAAACAGAAGCTTCTATAATTTTATGAAAAGTTGCTATAGCATGGGAAGCCTTAACTAGGACACTTGTTTTCCACGTGCATGACCCATAAGTAAACATTATTAAATATGCAATATGAGCATAAACGTCACATAAATCAGGTCAGACTTCTCAAAATTTTGAATCTCCAAAGGTGGGAAAGAAGTTATATTCAATTTCAGCTTTTTATAAGCTCTTCATTTTATAGGGACCAGACCCAAGGATCTGGAGAATTATGCAAATGAGATGTATTGTTCATGCTGCAAAAAGTGGAATCCATTCTCTACAATACTGTGCTAATCCCTAAAACTATTTTTTTTTTAGTAGTAGTAGTAGTCCACTTACATCTGCAAAATGAACTAACACTTAGATGTAACACTTTGTGGCCTACAGCTATAAACCAATGACCTCAATACTTTGCCTCAGTTGAGCAATGCTGCAATTTGTCTACTGAGGCCTTATGCAATTGTACCAAGGCCAAGACATGAATTTTTCATTGCTCTCTAGTTTCTGAGGCTACCAGAAATTCATCTGTATTTGAATAACTATAGATGTTTCTGGTGGGAAAGGTTTGTCTGAGTGTTTTTTCTTTTTTTGGGAGGGGTTGTTATTGCTGTTTATTTGTTTGTTTTATAAACAATTAGCCTGATGCAGCTGTGAGAAGAGGTCCACCATCCTCCAGACCCCAGAATGGTAGATCCACCAACAGCTTGCACCATGCTCCTGGAAAAGCTGCAGGCACTCAAACACCAACCTGTGAAAGCAGCTGGGAGAGGGCCCATGCCCTGCAAAGCCACAGGGTTGGTGTTTCCCAAGGCTGTGGGAGCCCACTTCTTGCATCAGCATGACGTGGATGTGAGACATGGGTTCAAAGGAGATAATTTGGAACTTTAAGGTTTAGTGACTGCTCTATTGGATTTTGGACTTCTACGGGGCCTGTAGCCACTTTGTTTTGGCCAATTTCTCCCATTTGGAATGAGTGTATTTACCCAATGCCTGTACCCACATTGTACCTAGGAAGTAACTAACTTGCTTGTGATTTTACAGGCTCATAGGCCGAAGTGACTTGCCTTGTTTCAGATGAGATTTTGGACTTGGACTTTTGAGTTAATACTGGAATGAGTTAAGACTGTGGGGGATTGTTGGAAGGGCATTCTTAGGCTTTTAATTGTGAGAACATGAGAGTTGGGAGGGTCTTGGATGGAATGATATGGTTTGGCTGTGTCCCCACCCAAATCTGATCTTGAATTGTAGTTCTCATAATCCCCATGTGTCATGGGAGGGACCAGGTGAGATAAGTGATTTGTTGCGGTGGTTTTCCCCATTCTGTTCTCACAATAGTAAGTTAGTTCCCACAAAATCTGATCGTTATATAAGGGGATTTCTTATATAACCACCCTTCGCTGGGCACTCATTCTTCTTCTTGCCACCATGTGAAGAAGGATGTGTTTGCTTCCCCTTCTGCCATGATTGTAAGTTTCTTGATGTCTCCCCAGACATGCTGAACTGTCAGTCCATTAAGCCTCTTTCCTTTATAAATTACCCAGTCTCGGGTATGTCTTTTATTTTTTATTTTTTATTTTTTTTGAGACGGAGTCTTGCTCTCTCACCCAGGCTGGAGTGCAGTGGCACGATCTTGGCTCACAGCAAGCTCTGCCTCCTGGGTTCACGCCATTCTCCTGCCTCATCCTCCCGAGTAGCTGGGACTACAGGTGCTCGCCACCGCACCCAGCTAATTTTTTTGTATTTTTAGTAGAGACGGGGTTTCCCTGTGTTAGCCAGGATGGTCTCCATCTCCTGACCTTGTGATCCACCCGCCTCGGCCTCCCAAAGTGCTGGGATTACAGGCGTGAGCCACTGTGCCTGGCCAGTCTCCGGTATGTCTGTATTAGCAGTGTGAGAATGGACTAATGCAACCATCTCTATCAAATTTGCCTTTCTTCTTTACTGTAAGTATGTGAGTATGACAAAGTAAGTGCCCTCTTAAAATTTATTCCTTGCTATTCTTATATTTGTAATAACTGATTTTATTCCTTTTAATGGAGCTCTCAGTAAAAGATACCCTTTTGCATGGGTCATGGCTTACCCTTTTGATAAACAATTTTTATTGGTTCTATAGCAAGTACAACAAGTATCACTAGAGCCAAAAGTGAAACTTTGTTTTCATTTTCAGTTTGGAGTGTTTTTCTGGCACAGTGTGAGACTGCTGTCTTCTTACATAGCCCTTTTCTTTCAAAAGGCACATAGTAGCTAAATCAGATAACTTTTTTCCCAAGGAGCTCCAGAGACATTCACAGTACAAAATAAGGTAGCCTTTAAGTTGCACAGTTCTCTCCCAAGAAGATGTATAGGAGAATCAGGACAAGGTAAGAACACATGTTCCTCAGATCCTCAGAGGAGTTATCTGTATGGGAACTGGGGGAAAAAAAGAACAAGTAGGAAAAAAAATGGACATAAAATACCAGCAACTTGTATTAATCTATTACCAAAAGAATGTGAGAAATTATTGAGAAAACTACAGAAAAAGTAGCACCACTGTTAGCAATTCTCGCATCTGAGAGTCCCTAAAATTAAATCATTTTCCATTTATTCCATAGCTTTCTGGACTTCCCTGATTCCCTTGTCCCTGTGCCTCCTGTATCCTCCTCAGTCTACTTCTATGCTTCCTTTTCCAACGTCATGGATTCTTCTTTTTCAACCCTTATAGACTGGCCAGAGTAGAGATTATTCCCTTTAGTAAAGAATGCTCATTGATCAGTAAACACAGTAGGCTTTAATATTTTTTTCTCCTTTGTCTTTCTTTTGATGATACCCAAACCGAGTAGCTACTGATAAAACTCAAGTGATATTCTACACTCGCCATCCTATTACATTTTCTGTAATTCTGTTTTGTAGCCTGCAAAAGAGACAAGGCAAAGGTATTCAAGGTCAGAAGGCTATTTCATCTGCCATTGGATCTATACCAATAAACTTTACAAATGTCTCAGTGAACAATTAATGATCATGAATTGGGGGACTCACCCCCCTTCTGGGCACACCATTATATCTTCCAACTCACATTTCTCAGCAAGCATTCAACTCGAGCTATTAGCAACTGTTGTCAATGTGTCTCTTAAACTATTAGATCCTTTCATAGTTGTGTGTGGGTATTGGAGGGGAAGATGTGTATCAGATAATCAGCTTCCCTTGTCCACCAGAACTCCCTGATGAAGTCTTTGGAATCCTATTGTTCTTGTTCCATCAAAGGAGCAAAGCTGACTAGTTAGAAAATCTCATAGAGGAGTCAGTACACATCCCCATGTGTGAAGCTGTAAAGCAGTTTGCTTTGCACTACTTCAACTTCTGAAGCACGGGAAAAAGAAAAAGTTTATAAATGAATAATATTAGCTTGCAAGGAAGGCATGTAGATGAACAAGGAACCCTCAGTAGCTTCTTGATGGCATCAGCTTTGCTTGCAATACAAATAAAAGCAGGTTTTTCTCTCACTGAGACAAGGGAAATGTAAATTATATAGCGTTTTGGTTTCCTTTTCTGTGTCTACATTTATCAATTTAATATCTTTTCTGTTTGCCTTTTTTTTACATGTGACAAGTGCAGCTACTCTCCATCCTGTTGTCTTCATAAAAGACAGCCTTTTTTTCAAGTTCTCATATTTTCCTGATTAGATCTCCTTATATCTTCTGCTTTTCTAGCTACATGGTACATGGATAATAAGGGACTTTTGGAGGGGGAATCAGGGCTAAGACATAGAATGAAATCACATGAGGCACTCAAACCTGTGTCCTCAAAATAGAGTAGATAATAATGTTTTTCCCTTATCCCTCTTTTCAGGAAAATCTCCTGACAAAGGTATCTTAGTTAATTTGTGCTGCTGTAACAAAATTCCTGACACAGGATAATTTATAAGAACAGCATGTTATTTCTTATAGTTCTGGAGGTTAGGAAGTCCAAAATCAAGGCATCAACAGGTTTGTTTGCCTGGCAAGAGCTCTTTCTGTTTCCAATATGGCATCTTGTTACTGCATCCTCCGGAGGGGAGGAACACTGTTCTCACATGACAGAAGGCAGAAGGGCAAGGGAGCCAAAGTTTGAGTGAAATTTCCTTTATAAAAGCCTTAATCCCATTCAGAAAGAAGAAAACCTCATGGCCTAATCACCTCTGAAGGCTTCACCTCTTAATACTATCATATTGGCCATTGAATTTTAACACAAATTTTGGCAGGGAGACTTTCAAACCATAGCAGGAAGAAACCATTCATCCAAGAGATCATTAACTTCCCTTCCCCAGACTCATTCTGAGGTAGTGAGTGATACAGACAAGATGTTTAGGGGAAGCAGGGGGAGTAGCCACTGCAGAAAAAGGGTCAGAAGGGTTCTGTGAAAGAAAAATTACCTTTAATTCTCACATTTCCTGTTCTATTTTGCTTTTTTTCCTTTTGCCTATCCAAATTAATTTTTTTCTTAGAATAATATTGATTACATAAATACTAGTGATTCATTTGTTTTAGATGATGTCTGTATTAGTTTGCTAGGGATTGCATAACAAAATTCCATAGACTGAGTGACTTAAAGAGCAGAAATTTATTTTCTTCACAGTTCTGGAGGCTGGACATCCAAAATCAAGTTGCCAGCAGGGTTGGTTCTCAAGACACATCTCTCCTTGACCTGCAGATGATCATCTTCCTACTGCATCCTCACATGACCATGGCCTTTTTTTCTCTGTGGTTTCCATCCCTGGTGTTTCTTCCTCTTATTATAAGAATATGAGTCATATTAGATAAGGGCTGTGTTCTTAAGACCTCATTTGGCCTTAATTATCTCTTTATGCTGTATCTGTAAATACAGTCCCATTGGAGGTTAGGTCCTCAACCTATGATTTTGGGGGATAGGAGAACATATTCTTATGTAACAAGGCCTGTCTATGAACCTCAACACATTCATTTAGTTTATTCAAATCAGAAGAACTGTCCTCAGTCTACTGCTAGACTGAATTATCATACACTTATTCAAATATAATAGAAAGTTATTAACTCTTTAAGAGACACACTTTTCAGGCAACATTTCTGGTGTCATTGATTTTCCAACTATAGTAATCCTGATGAGAATTAGAGCCTGTATTATTGATGTTTATTTAATAGTAAAATCTTGAATTTTAAGATGGTAGTTCATTTGGCTGGTATTCCAAAATTGTTCAGAGTGAAAAGAGAGGCATAATAATTCACGGTATCTTACCTGAGTGTTGTGTGCCCACAAGACCTTCAGCTGGACCACTCAATTCAGAAAATGGAAAACTCATTCTATCTCTGTTGCCAAAATTGTTAGTAAAAATGAAAACAAAATCTCCTCCCAACTCTGAAAACCTCTCTGCTAAGGTAAAAAAGAAAGTAAAAATACTACCGACTAGCATTAAACCAGAATGTGATGCACATAGGCAATTTGCTAAAGAGATTGCAAACAAAGAAATTTCACCCTTTTATATATTCAAGAAAGTACAATCCATTACATATATGTTTTCCTAATAAATAATAGCTAGTCCTCTAGTAAGAGGACTTGATAGTACCATTTGTCACACATAGTTGATCCTAAATTCACTTGGTAATTGAGATGACCATCTGTGTTAGCTAATTGGATTTATTCAAAGGAAAAAACAAATTATCATATTTTTACAGCAAGAGGCAGTTTTGCAATTTGGAGTGAGAACCAGCCCCCTACACCCAAGGCTAAGCTCCTACCATTTCAGAAATTGAGAGATGGGGGTGCTATCTTCCTTGATGATTGCACTTCAGAGAGATGGTTCCAGGTCATTGAAAAAGATATTCCTTGACCTTAAAGCTGGTGAGAGACTTACTAAGTTTTATTTTGGTTTATGTTTTTTATCTCTATTAATGTTTAATGGATTACCTTTAAAATTGTATTGTGGTATTTTTGATATCTATATACATTGTATAATAATGAAATCAAGTTAATTAACATATCCTGTAATGCACATATTTATTATTTCTGTGTGTGTATAGGGTAAGAATATTTGAGATATATTCTCTTAGCAATTTTTGTGTATATAGTGTATTATTATTAACTATACTCACTATGCTGTACAACAGAGCCCCAGAACCTATTCTTCCTGTCTGACCAAAAGTTATTTGTAAGCCTGATTTATTTCACTTAGCATAATATCCTCCAGGTTCATCCATGTTGTCACAGATGACAGATTCCTTTTTTACTAATGGGTAAATAGTATTCCATTGTGTATGTATATACACCCCACATTTTAAAAATCCAGTTGTCTTTTCCTAGATACTTAGATCAGTTTCATATCCTAGCTATTGTGAATAAAGCTTCAGTGAACATGGGAGAGCAGATATCTCTTTGACATATTTATTTCAATTCATTTGAAGCAGAAGTGGGACTGGTGGATCACATGGGTAGTTCCATTTTTAATCTTATGAGAAACCTCTACACTATTTTTCATAACAACTGTACTAATTCATGTCTCATCAACAGTGAAAAAGTGTTACCTTCTCAACATCCTTGCCAATATTTGTAATCTTTCATTTGAGTTCCTTAACCCCTTATCAGACATATCGTTTGCAAATATTTTCTCCAATTTCACAGACTGTCTTTTCACTCTGTTGGTTGTTTTCTTTGCTGAGCAGAGGCCTTTTAGGTGTATGAAATATCATTTTTCCTATTTTTATTTTGGTTGCCTGTGCTTTTGGGGGTCATATCCTAAAAATCTTTTTAAGACTTATGTCAAAAAGCTTTTATCCTATGTTTTCCTCTATAACTTTTAGTGTCCAGTTTTACATGTAATCTTTAATCCATTTTGATTTGATTTTTGTATGTGGTTTGAGGTAAGGATCCAATTTCATTCTTCTGAATGTGGATTTCTTGTGTTTTTAGCACCACTTATTGAAGAGACCATCTTTTCCCAATATTTGTTCTTGGCATCTTTGTAGAAGGCTAGTTCACCATAAATGCCCAGATTTACTTCTTGTGTCTCTGTTCTATTCCATTGAGCTATGTGTCTGTTTCATGCCAGTGCCATGCTGTTTTGATTACTAGAACTTTGCCATGTATTTTGAAATCAGGTAGTATAATCTAGTGTGACTAGCTAGTCACACTAATTATATGAGATAACTAGTGAAAACAACCTTTTCTAATGATTTGACTATTCAGTGTCTTCTCACATTTCCTTCAAATTTTGCAAATTTTTTTCTATTTCTGTGAAAAATGTCATTGGAATTTTAAAAGGGACTGCATTAAATCTGTTTATCACTTTACATAGTGTGAACTTTTTAACAGTATTAATACTTTCAATCCATTAAAATGAGGTTTTTAAAAATTTATTTGTGTCTTCTTCAATTTCTTTCATCAATGTTTTATAAGTTTTAGTATACAGATCTTTCACCTCCTTGGTAAAACTTATTCCTGAGTATTTTTTGTACTATTATAAATGAGGCCATTTCTTAATTCTTTTTTCAGTTTATTGTTAGTGTATAGCAACACTATTGATTGTGTGTATGTTAATTTTGTATCGTGCAACTTTGCTGGATTAGTTTATTATTTCTAACAGCTTTTCTGGTGTAGTCTTGAGGGTTTTCTCTATATAAAGACTATACCATCTACAAATATAGACTATTTAACTTCTTTCATATTTGAATGTCTTTTATTTATTTTTCTTGCCTAATTGCTCTGATTGGACTTCCAGCACTATGTTGAATGAAGTGGTGAAACTGAGTAGCCTTATCTTGTTACTGACTTTATAAGAATCGGATTATCACCACTGAGGAGGATGTTAGCTATGAGCTTGTCATATATGACCTTTATTGTGTTGAAGTACATTGCTTCTATACCTAATTTATTGAGAGTTTTTATCATAAAAGAATGTTGAATTTTGTCAAATGCTTTTTATCTATTGAGATGATTATATGGTTTTTGTTCTTCATTTGGTTAATATGATATATTATGTTTGTTGATTTACATACAGTGAAACATCCTTGCCTGCCAGGAATAAATCCAACTTGATCATGGTGAATGTCTTTTATTTTATTTTATTTTGCAATTTTATAACTTCATTTGATGTATTTGATGATCAGCGATTAGTTCTCATCCAAATTGACTGTGTGTAGATTTCTGAAAGTGGTAACAGGTACATAGGTAACCAAAGTATATAGCTTACGTTTTCTGGACAGCCACACACGGATTCAGTATGGGACATTCCTTATTCCTTTGGCCCAGACAGCTTTGTTGAGCCTGGTATCAATGCACACATCTGGAGTTCCCGTCTCCTTCATGGCAAATTCCTGAATCTCTTTGAGTGCCCAGGGGCACGCTTCTTGAAGCCCACTCCATGGATGTGCTTGTGAATATTGATGGTGTATTCTCGGGTCACCACTTCGTTGATGGCAGAACGGCCCTTTTTCTTCTTGCCACCCTTCTTTGTGGGAGCCATTCTGCTGGGTCCAGGTTGGAAAGGAAGGTGAATAAGTCTTTTAAAGTACTGTTGAATTCAGTTTGCTAATATTTTTTATTAAGGATATTTGCACCAATGCTCATCAGGGATATTGGCCAGTAATTTCTTTTCTTGTAATGTTCTTAGCTGGCTTTGGTATCAGGATAATGCTAGCCTTATACAATGAATTTAAAAGTATTGTCTCCTCTTCAAGTTTTTGGAAGAGTCTGAGAAGAATTGGCATTAGTTCTTTAAATGTTTGGTAGAATTCAGCCATGAAGCTATCAGATGCTGGGCTTTTTGTTGGTGTTATTTATTTTTTGTTTTGTTTGCCTTGATTTAATCTCCTTAGTCATTAATGGTGTGTTCAGATTTTTTTATTTCTTCATAATTCAGTCTTTGTACATTGCATGTGTTTAGAAATGTATCCATTTCTTTTGGTTATACAATTTGTTGGCTTACAATTGTTCATTGCAGTCTCTTATGATCCTTCATATTTCTGGGGTATGAGTTGTAATGTCTTCTTTTTATTTATGATTTTATTTATTGATGTATTCTTTCTTTTGATCTTTTTTGTTGTCTTTCAAGTCTTTATTTCATTTATTTCACTTCTGATTTTTGTAATCTTCTTCCTTCTACTGACTTTAGGCTTTGCTTTTCTTTTACTCCTTCGTGTAACATTAGGCTTTCTATTTGAGATTTTTTGTTTGTTTGTTTAATATAGATATTTATTTCTATAAACTTTCCTTTTAGAACATTCTTTTCTGCATATCATATGTGTATTAGTTTGATTTCATGCTGCTGATAAAGACATACCCAAAACTGGGAACAAAAAGAGGTTTAATTGGACTTACAATTCCACATGCTGGGGAGGCCTCAGAATCATGGCGGGAAGTGAAGGGCACTTCTTGTTCGTGGTGGCAAGGGAAAAAATGAATGAGAAGAAGCAAAAGCAGAAACCCCTGATAAACCCATCAGATCTCATGGGACTTATTCACTATTATGAGAATAGCATGGGAAAGACCAGCCCCCTGATTCAATTAACTCCCCCCAGGGCCCTCCCACAACACTTTGGAATTCTGGGCGATACAATTCATGTTGAGATTTGGGTGGGGACACAGCCAAACCACATCAATATGTTAAGTTACTATTTTCATTAGTCTCAATTATTTCTTGTTTGACCTAGTGGTTGTTCAGGAGTATGACATCATTTTATATTTTTTATAGCAGTGTGTATTTTTGGTGGCTTTGATTTGTGTATAAAGCTATGATTTTGATAATAGACTATTACTCTTCTTATAAAGATGAAGAAACAGAAACTCTAACTTATTTGCCTGATATCAAAAATAGTTATTGGTAGAGATTATAATTTTTTGAGGTGTAAGATGTACAGAAATCATCAGGATATAAATTGTTTACTCACAAATATTCATGTGTATATATTTTATGTACCTAAATGCAGATATTCATGGATGACCATAAGTATAATTATGAAGATATTTTTAAAAGAATTTTGGCTGGGTGTGGTGGTTCACACCTGTAATCCCAGCACTTTGGGAGGCCAAGGCAGGTGGATCACTTGAAGTTAGCAGTTCGAGACCAGCTTGGTCAAAATGGTGAAACCCTGTCTCTACTAAAAAATCAAAAAACAAAAATTAGCTGGGCATGGTGGTGCGTGCCTATAATCCCAGCTACTCAGGAGGCTGAGACGGGAGAATCGCTTGAACCTGGGAGTTGGAGGTTGCAGTGAGCTGAGATTGTGCTATTGCACTCAAGCCTGGGTAACAGAGTGAGACTGTGTCTCAAAACAATATATTAATAATCCTATTACTCATTTTTCTTTAAACTTTATGACTTTTTCTCTCAAATTGAAATCAAAATAGAAAATAATGTATACTTATTTTTAGTGATATTGAACTAATTAATACTTTAAAATGTAACTTTCTCATATTTTTTTCTTAACATAACCTTTATTTTTTACCTTAGCTCCAAGGGTGAGATTAAAGATAGATTTTGTCTTACTAAGAGAATTTTGCAAGGAAAAACCAAAACCGTTAGAAAATATTTGTAATAAATAGACACTATTCCTTGTGACTGCTCTAAAACCTGAGACAGATGAGCCTCTCCTTGGGTTTGTTCTTTAGAAGTCTTCACCGATTACAATCCCCAAATACTTCACAGTGCATTACGAACTTTTCTTTGGGATTCAGTGTTCAGTGCTGACATAGCATCGCTCCAGTTACTAACATGGTTTATGCTCCAGGGAAGCACTTCACAAGTTTTGCCCTAAGTTCTCAAAACAATTGCATCTCAAGGTCATAAGGGTTGTGGATTTCTTCTCTCCTAATATTAATGGAGAGACTGAAGCATTTGGGAAAAATATGCACAGACTTTGAACTTGTCAGGTCCTACTCTCTTTTACCTGGAATGAAATAGTTTCCTGTATAGCAAAATGTAATTTTTCAATAGCTTCAATTGTCCATTTGCTTGTTTTGTTTATCTTCTAATTTGAGATTTTGGATAAACCCATGATTGGTTGTGAGTTTCACAATAGTTGTACATGGTTATGAATGAATTCTTTTGGTATTAAATAATTCCTGTAACTACTAAATTTATATATCTACATGACCAGCAGGCATGAATAATATATTTTTTTTACATTGAACATTAGAACTGTGAGTGGTTTTATTCTTATATATAAAGAAATGTAATTTTAAAAATAATTATGTCAATTCTATCATTTTACTTAATTTTGAATATTAATTGATTATGGTATGTATATTTTGGTTTTAACTTAGTTTTAGCATTTAAGAAAAAATGTACAAATAATGTATATTTTTACATTTAATTTATTATGTTTTTAAAAATATTTTTAAACTTTGTTCACTTTTGAATAAGATTGTACAAAATTTTAAAATTCTACGGATAATTGGGATGAAATATGAGAGTAATTATGTTATATTTAGAAAATAAAAACAGAAGAACAAGAAAGTATAGACATAAAGGCGAAAAAGTAAAGAAGAAAATCTTCTAAAAACGTCCTAATTACATGTTTAAAAACTGAAAACAATGAAAGAGTGAATTGTATCATATTTGGTCTTTACAAAATTCTTGAACCGAGCGTTACAAATTTCATAATGTGATTAAAAATGAAAGCTATAAAAGTGAGAAAGAAAGTTATTCTCGTCAAATCCCCAACATGAAGTCATTGGATATACTCCATGAAATGTCATATTCTTTTGTTAAGGAGATTTGATTGGTGCCAAAATAATTACAGCGACAAATAATATTTTATTCATACCTCAGAAGTAGTGGATGAATTTGTGGCCTGTGCATTAGAAGATAATATTATATTGATTAACTTGACATGTTTGTTTAGAAAGTCGGAAACTCTGAAGTGTTGCTGTATTCCTTGTTCATAATGACACGTGCTTTTACATAAAAACCGATTAAAATCAGAAGACTTTAATGCAAGTCTCCATTGGTATTGTTATATTAGTTGTGGATTATTCCAATAGAAAGGAAAATGTTTTAAAACATGGAAATCAATATGGTTGATTAAGTCCTAGGAGAAAGACATGGTTATTAGAAAACCTAATTTACATAGAAGAAAAAATAAAACCATAATAATTAGTCATACTGTCATTCTCTGGGATAGTCTTGGATGTCACATCTAAGTTCAAAGTGCTTTTGTTCTTCAGTCACTTTCATTAATAGGCTGTGTGTAATGGCAATTATTTAACCAATTAACCTCACCCATACCCAAGTTCTATTTCGGCGTTAAGGTCAAGTAATCTAAGCTGCTCTATAATTACCCTTTATGGTGAATGAAGAAATTTACCATCCCAAGATTTAAAAACAAACAAAAAACAATACTTACTTATTTTGAAGTATACAAGATAATTAACAAACATTTTAAAATCATTGATTTTATGTGCATTCTGATAGTTTTTTAAGATGTTTGAACATTTTAAATACTTTTTTTTTTTTCTTCTTGAGACGGAGTTTCACTTTTGTTGCCCAGGCTGCAGTGCAATGGTGCAATCTCAGCTCACTACAACCTCCACCTCCCGGGTTCAAGCAATTCACCTGCCTCAGCCTCTCAAGTAGCTGGGATTACAGATGTACACCACTATGCCCAGCTAATTTTTTTTGTATTTAGTAGAGAAGGAGTTTCACTACGTTGGTCAGGCTGATCTGGAACTCCTGACATCAGGTGATCCACCTGCCTCAGCCTCCCAAAGTGTTGGGTTTACAGGCATGAGCCATGGTGCCCAGCCTAAATACTAAATTTATGTTTGAGTTAGCATATTTGTTCTCAAGGGCTTAGTAAGACCTTAGTTTTTTCAATAACTAACTACTTTCTTAAGTGCTTGCAATGTTTGAGAAAATTAACCCTATTTAATTGTATATGTAGTTCAAAAAGCTTAAAATAATTTCATAAATTGTAAATAGGGTTAGATATAATTTTTTAAAAATTTACATATATTAGATATATTACTTAATTTAATATTTATCCAAATGCATGTTAAAAATGATTGAATTTGTATATACAAATTACTTAAATGTATGATTCATATACAGAAGTGATATTTGAAATTAGGGAATTAAGAAAGAGTTTCTAAGCCTGGCATGGTGATGTGCTAATAATTCCAGCTACTACTCGGGAGGCTGGTGCAGGATGATCCTTTGAACCCAGGAGTTTGAATCCAGCCTGGGCAACATAGCAAAGCCCTTTCGCTAAAAAAAAAAAAGAAAAGAAAAAGAAAAAAAGAAAATAGTTCCCCAATTTATAAACTTCTCATGTGTAGAATTGATAGATAAGAATGTGTCCCCTCAGAATATAAATTAGTTCAGCCATTGTGGAAGATTGTGTGGCGAAGATCTAGAATCAGAAATACCATTTCACCCAACAATCCCATTACTGGGAATATACCCAAAGGAAAATAAATCATTCTGTTACAAAGATACGTGAATTTGTACGTTCATTGTGGCACTGTTTACAATAGCAAAGACATGGAATCAACCTGAATGCTTATCAATGACAGACTGGATAAAAAAGTATGGCACATATACACCATGGTATACTATGCAGCCATAAAAGGAACAAAAATCATGTCTTTGCAAGGACATAGGTGGACCTGGAAGCCATTATCCTCAGCAAACTAATGCAAAACCAGAAAACCAAGCATTATATGTTCTCATTTATAAGTGGGAGCTGAACAATGAGAACACATGGATGAGACTCTGTCTCAAAAAAATTTTTTAAAAAAGGCTCGTGCCTGTAATCCCAGCACTTTGGAAGGCCGAGGCAGGCAGATCGCCTGAGGTCAGGAGTTCGAGACTAGCCTGACCATCATGGTGAAACCCAGTCTCTACTAGAGATACAGAAATTAGGCAGGCACCTGTAATCCCAGGTACTTGGGAGGCTAAGGCAGGAGAATTGCTTCAACCCAAGAGGAGGAGATTGCAGTGAGCTGAGATTGCACCACTGCACTCCAGCCTGGGTGACAGAGCGAGACTCGGTCTCAGGAAAAAAAAAAAAAAAAAAAAAGAAGGAAAGGAAGGAAGGAAGAAGAAAAGAAAAGATTAGGACATGCTTATCAGATAACCTTTGATGGGTTTTGAGAGAGTGCTCCACAGAAGCATCTGTGGAATATGATAAAAGTTGATTTTTTTAAGATAAAGAATTTTGAAAGTTTTGGGTATATTTCTTTTAGTACCTTTGGCAAACACATGTATAAGAAGTTATGGCCAGGCGCGGTGGCTCACGCCTGTAATCCCAGCCCTTTGGGAGGCTGAGGCGGGTGGATCACGAGGTCAGGGGTTCAAGACCAGCCTGACCAACATGGTAAAACCCCTTCTCCACTAAAAAAATACAAAAATTAGCTGGGTGCGGTGGCGGGCGCCTGTAATCTCAGCTACTCAGGAGGCTGAGGCAGGAGAATTGCTTGAACCCGGGAGGCTGAGGTTGCAGTGAGCCAAGATCGCGCCACTGCACTCCAGCCTGGGTGACAGAGCGAGACTGTCTCAAAAAAAAAAAAAAAATTAGTTACATTAAAATTACATTCTGCTTCCTGGAGTATTTTTTAGCCACATAATTGCTGTGGTCCTGATCCTGTGGATCATATTTTGAATAGATTACAATAAAATCTTTAAGGATGAATCAGAACATCAATCTGGTTTTGTATATCTGGGGATCTGGGAGCAGTAGAAAGATTACACCACAAGGAAAAGTTTACTGCCTCAGGCTCAAGTTGCCTCTCTCATCTCTCAGTTATGCTAGAGACTTGGGGGTTTCTGTATTTTGTCCCAACACTCAGAAACTGATTATTTCAGTTTCTGTCTATATGTAAGAATATTGATCCCCCGTTGATATCCTGGGCTCCACTATTTTCATTGCATTCTATTTTCTTGCCTTTTCTTAATTAGCTTCTATATAAAGAGTAAAATTTAAGTGCATGTTTATTCCATAAATAGGTCTGAAGAAATGTGGCTATTACAGAAGTAAATCCCAAAGCAATTCATAGGTAGTTTCTGAAGCTGCCAAAAGAAAAAGTAATTAGCTGTTAGTTTATATGACACTATGCAAACTTTTTGTTACATGAGAACTACAACATGATGTGAAGAAGATATATAGACATCTATATAGACATCAAAGACAGAAACACATGAAGACACATATTCAAGACCATAACACAAAGACTTTTTGAGAATTTCAACACTGAGATTAGAAAGTATATAAATCTCAAATGATTTAAACATTGCCTGTAACTTGCAATTTGTCTGTTTCCTTGGAAATAAGTTGTCTCCTGTCACTATATTGCTGCTCATTGGAAAAAAAAATATTGTTCTGCAAACCCCCACATAATTAGTATAGATAGATAGATAGATAGATAGATAGATAGATAGATAGATAGATAGTTACAATTGAGGGACAGCACTTAGGTCGTTTGTCATTATTTAATATGTTTAGTGTGGACTCTGTGTGTTTGTTCTGTTTTTATTTAATATTATATTATAAAAAAATCCAACAGAAACAGAGTGTAAATTATTTGCTCTGAATCTGAGAGATAAATGTTAACGGAAGCCAGATGCAAAAACAAGCAATTCAAAATGAAAATTTCAAGTAAAAAAAATTCATTTGGAAAATCAGTAGTAATCAGATGAATAAAGAGGTGCCATACTGATACATTAAAAAAAGGTGATTGTAAGCAAGCCCATCAGCATACTGCGTGTGTGTGTGTGTGTGTGTGTGTGTGTGTGTGTGTGTATGAAACAATATAGGCTAAATCACTACAACAAAAGTTTGAGAAATATAGTGACCAACAGAACACACACATACACAGCACACATATGCTGTGTATCAGTTTGGTTTAGGGCTATTTGCTGGGTTGAAGCTTTTAGGAACCCAAGATCTTTCTACTCAATTGTTACATTATTTATAGGGCTCACCTTTGCTGTATAATCAGTGATGACTCACTGTTACTTTATCATTCCAACTTTCGACTGAGGAAAGAAGAAATGTATGCTTTTTTCTTTTTTCAAAAGCTTGGACCCCAAATTGCAAGTATTACCTGTGCCTATAACTCATTAGCCAGATTCTTGCCATATGGCCACTCCTGCCTTCAAGAGAAGCTGGGAAATTAACATGTTAGCTGGTCAACAATGTGCCATGTAAATCTTTAACCACTATTGAAGAAGGCAGTGAGGACTCCTGGAGAACAACTAGCAGCTTATCTCTATGAAATGGTTCCTCATGAATGTTGTGACTTAGAGTGTTATTTGGATGCTACTTTCCAGAAAGTATGTTAGAAATCTAAATGCAAGAACCATACAAATGCAGTATAATTTACTTTAATTCTAATTCTATGCATTTATTATACGGAAAATAATAAAAATAGAAAATTTTAGAAAGAGATTTGTGACATCTTTCTTTTCTCTTTTATTTCTTCTTTTGTTATTTTTTCTCTTATACTTTTGTTTATTTTTTTCTTCAGCTTTTAAGTTCTGGGGTACGTGTTCAGAATATGCAGGTTCGTTACATTCATGGGTAAATGTGTGCTATGGTGGTTTGCTGCACAGATCAATCCATCACTTGCTGCATAATATTCCATGGTGTGTATGTATCACATTTTCTTTATCCAGTCTATCATTGATGCGCATTTGGGTTGGTTCCATGTTTTTGCTATTGTGAATAGTGTTGCAATGAACATACATGTGTATGTTTCTTTATAATATAGTGATTTATATTCCTTTCGGTATATACCCAGTAATGGGATTGCTGGGTGAAATTGTATTTCTGCCTCTAGGTCTTTGAAGAATTGCCTCCCTGTCTTCCACAATGGTTGAATTGGTTTACACTCCCACCAAAAGTATAAAAGCATTCCTTTTTCGCCACAGCCGTGACAGCATCTGTTGTTTTTGGACTGTTTAATATTTGCCATCCTTTCTGGGGTGAGATATTATCTCATTGTGGTTTTGATTTGCATTTCTCTAATGATCAGTAATGTTGAGCTTCTTTTGAGAAGTGTCTCTTCATCTCCTTTGCCAACATTTTAATGGGGTTGTTTTCTTGTAAATTTGTTTAAGTTCCCTGTAGACCAGATATTAGGCCTTTGTCAGATAGATAGATTACAAAAATGTTCTCGTTCTGTAGGTAGTCTGTTCACTCTGATGGTAGTTTTCTTTTGCTGTGCAGAAACTCTTCAGTTAATTAGATCCCATTTGTCAAACTTGCTTTTGTTGCAATTGCTTTCATAACATCTTTAGTGAAGGATTGGAAGCAATCAGATATCTAACAATAGAGCATTCGTGTATCACCTAGTATATATGATAAGAAGTCAGTATACTGATGTGGAAGATTTTAAGCATTTTAGATTATAAGGACCATAATGGAAGTATTATTGGTCATTATATCCTGTGACTTCAGCCAATTAAGTATTTTCCTTGAACCTCAGTTTCCTGAGTTTTAAAAAATAAGATAATAGTTTTGATGTGAGGATTAATAATGTTAACGAGCTTCAAAAATCTGACAAAAACTGTATACATATAAATCACTTTAATTTAATAATTTAACAAAACTAAGAATGATGTAATGTTGAGAGAAAATATTTTTAAATGAAGGCTTGGTTTGGTTGAATTATTTAAATACTATGAGAATATGAGAGTAAAAGAAATATATATATACACACACACACCCCTATATACAAAATGAAAATTACATTAATTTTATACCATTGGTTCTAGAAAATACAGATTATTGGCTCCAGGTAGGGAGATTATGGGTAATTAATTTTCTTTTATCATCTTCTAAACTTATCAAATAATATTATTTGAATAATATAAAATAAGTTTCTTATAATATTATGAGGGAAGTGGTCAAAGTGGCCAACTAGAAGCAGCTAGCGTGCATTGCTCTCACAGAGAGGAGCAGAAGGGGCGAGTAACTATGATACCTTCAACTGAAGCATTTAGGTACTCACATTGGGACTAATCAAGAAAACAACTTGACCCAAGGAGAATGAAGAAGAGATAGGACAACGACCCACCTGGGAGCAAAATGGAGCCAGGAGAACCTCCTCTGCCCTGGGAAGTGGTGAGTGGATGAGCGGTCTTGGGAAACCACACTTCTCACATGAATCTTTGCAACCCTTGGGACAGGAGATCTTCTTGTGAACCTACTCCACCAGGGCTTTCGGTCTGACAGACAGAGTTATGTGGAGTCTCGACAGAGCAGTCAGTCAGGCATGTGTGGGAAAACTGGACCTTTAGATACTTGGTCTTTCCAGCAAAAGTAGCTGTAGCTCCAGCAAAGTGGGAGGTTAGACCCCTTATATATCCTTAGGAAAGAGGCTGAATCTACTGAGTGATTTCTGACCTGCATGTTTCTGGAGTGAAGCCCCGAGGAGACAAGCAAATGACCCTCTTCCACAGCCACTACTAAGATCTATTCCTCTGCTGCCTCTAAGCTGAGGAAGGGACATAAACACTGAGATCACTTCAGAGCTGCAGTGGACAGCCCAGGTGTACCAAGTCGTGAACTACAGCCAGCACTCAAGGAGGAGAGGAACCCACACTTTCAGAGCATTGAGAGGGAACAAGGCTGCAACAGTGAGGAAACCTAGGGGAGCCACATAACCAAGCAAGAGTTTACCAACTTACCAATAAGCCTGAGGGCCTCCTGCTGGATCATACCCAAAGCTTCAACACCAAAAACCTCACTAAGATACCCCTCTCTGAAACCAGAGACAAGCAGCCAGCTTCAAATAAAGGCCCTGCAGAAAGGCTTGGCCTAGTGAAAATACCCAAAAAAATTTATTGACTGTATTCAATCTATTTTGCAGTTAAAGGAATACCCACATGCAGAGATGAAAAAAAAAAATAATGCAAGAACTCCAGTAACTCAAATGCCCAGAGTGTCATATGTTCTCCAAATGACCACACTAGTTCTCAGACAACAGTTCTTAACCAGACCAAACTGGCTGGAATGACAGACATAGAACTCAGAATATGGACAGGAACAAAGATCGTCGAGATTCAGGAGGATGGCAAAACCCTATCCAAGGAGAATAAGAATCACAATAAAGTGACACAAGAGCTGGAGGCCAATATAGCAGGTATAAAAAAGTACTTAATGGGTCTGACAGAGCTGAATAACACAATACAAGAATTTCCCAATACAATCACAAGTATTAACAGTAGAATAAGCCAGGCTGAGGGAGAGATCTTAGAACTCAAAGACTGGTTTTCTGAAATAAGACAGTCAGACAAAATAAAGACAAAAGAACAAAAGGGAATGAACAAAACTTTTGTGAAGTATGAGATTAGATAAAGAGGCCAAATCTACCAATCATTGGCATCCCTGAATGGGAGGGGGAGAAAGCAAACATCTTGGAAAACATTTCAGGATATCTTCCATGCAAACTTCTCCAAACTTGCTAGAGAGGCCAACAAATTCAAGAAATACACAGAACTTCTGCCAGATTCTACACAAGAAAATCATCCCCAAAACACATAATCATCAGATTTTTCAAGGTTGAAATGAAAGAAAGAATGTTAAAGGCAACTAGAGAGAATGGGCAGGTCACCTACAAAAGGAACCCCATCAGGCTAATAGCGAGGTTGTGGAGAAAAGGGAACACTAATACACTGCTTGTGGGAGTATATATTTGTTCAACCATTGTGGAAAGCAGTATGGCAATATGGCAATTCCTCAAAGAGCTAAAAGCAGAACTATCATTCAACTCAGCAATCCGATTACTGGGCATATACCCAGACGAATATAAATCATTCTACCATAAAGACACATGTATTTGAACCCTCGTTGCAGCACTATTCACAATAGCAAAGACATGGAATGAACCTAAATGCCCATCAATGACAGATTGGATTAAGAAAATATAGTACATATATATTGTGGATGGAATACTATGCAGCCATAAAAAAGAATGAGATCATGTCTTTTGTGAATGGACCTGGAGGCTATTATCCTTAGCAAACTAATGCAGAAACAGAAAATCAAATACTGTACGTTCTCACTTATAAGTGGGAGCTAAATGATAACAACTTATGAACATAAAAGAGGAAACAACACACAGTGCCGTCTACTTGAGCAGGGAGGGTGGGAGGAGAGAGTGGAGCAGAAAAATATAACTATTGGGTACTGAGCCCTGTGACCCAAAACACCTCGACTGGCTCAGTGATCTGGGTGCAGAAGGCTTAGAACCAGCGTAGTCAGGCGGGCCTGCTCCCAGGGTGCATGCCGAAGGGGGACTCACTGGATTGTGGGAGCACAATCCATGGGTGGGCTTAATACATGGGTGATGAAATAATATGTGCCAAAAAACCCTGTGACACATGTTTAGCTATGGAGCAAATCTTCACCTGTACCCCAAAACCTAAAATAAAAGTTTAAAAATTATGTAAGAATCTCAGATATTTGTTATTAATAATTATTTATCCTTTTATAATATAGGCCTCCCCCAATTCTTTGACTTAATGTGATATTTATTGCCACTGTTGATTGTACTATGTAGGAATAATTTCTTAGAACATGAAATGCTTTTATTACAGTGCTTTAAAAAAATAGAGGGTTAAAACATTTTATAAACCATATAAATACAATTATAAAGAGAGAAAAAAACTACATAAAAATATACCAGTTTTTTAATAAAAGAAATAATCTTGAGGAAACCAGGCAAGATGGTCAACCAGACATAGCCAGAAAACACCTCTTCCAGCAAGAGGAACCAAAACGCCAAATAAACCATCACACCTCCAACAGACCTTTTGAGAGAAAACACGGAAAGCCGATAGAGGCGACACAGATGCTGGGGTTGAAGAGAGAATAAGCTGGGAAGCCTGCTTGGAGTAACAGGGCCACTAGGATTGCCCCCCAGTTCCTGAACCCAATGAAGGAGTGAGTGAGAAAACCTGGGGTAATAGTACCCCCACGGACCTCTGGTATCCTAGCTATAGGATAAGCTCCCACAACCCCCATAGACCTTTGAACTTGGAGGGGGGCGCTGCCTGGAAAGCAGGTAGATGTGCAGCTTGAACCCTCATGGAGCCCAGAAGGTTTTGCTGTGCAGTACAGCTGTGGCAAAACACAAGCATAGATGCCCATTCCCCAAGCTTCTGCATTTTGGACTGAGTGGTTGAAGCTCCTTTTGTCTGCTGGGCTTGGAGGGAACGGGGCTGCCATTGCTATGGGACTCAAGCATATCTGATCCACATGCCCCCTTGCCTGCTGGTCCCTCCCAAGACAACCTGCCTTTTGACTCCTACAGGATGGTGCCCACAGCACAGCCTTCACTGCCCCATGTGTGTCTTCTTAGCAGTGTGGGAGTAGTTTGCCCCTCAGCACAGCCAGTGCTCGACCTTGAGGGGCCAGAGAACAAATCCATAGGCCTGGTCTCAACTCCCTAGGATTCAAGTACATGGCCCAGAGATATCCAGTTGAGATCTGTAGCTTGAACATGACGAGGAGATGAGTCCCACTCTCAGAACAGAGAGGAGTACAGCGCGAGTTTATGTGCCAGCAGGGGAGCTGGGCATTCCTCCCTTTCCAAGACAAGTCTGGGAAGGGTGTGGCCTGATAGCCAGCCTCAGCTTCTTTCCCAGGGAGCCCCGTGACCCAGAACGCCTCGACTGGCCCAGTGATCTGAATGCAGAAGGCTTGGGACCAGCCTAGCCAGTCGGGCCTGCTCCTAGGGTGCATGCCGAAAGGAGACCCACTGGACTGTGGGAGCACAAGCTGGGCAGGCCCACAGCTGTCTGCCAGGATGAAAACCCAGGGCTGTGGGTGCCATATCTGTTGCACATCCACAGTCCCACCGCGCTGCCCTGGGATCCTCCATCCTTGACCCACTGCCTCACCAAACCACCTGCAAACATATCTCACAATTCGCTCTTACTCTAACAAGCACAGGAGACCAGCAGGCCCCGGAGAGTTGTGGGTCTCCTATGACCTAACCTCCGAAGGGAGATGAGAGTGCAAGCTGCCAAAGCCTCCCTTGGGGCAAAGAAAATGCTGGCACAGAGCTAGTAGTTGAAGGGGACTCCACCAAGGACAGGGAATGAACTTGGAGAGAGAGTCATCTTTTGCCCAACTGCCTCCCCTCCGCAGAGCCCTGCTGTGTCTGTACTGAAATACAAAAGGGGTGCACGACTAAGAGCCTATTTGCTTTCTCTTACTGTTAAACACCACCTACTGGAATGCAGCCGGAATTATACCAAAAATTGCTTCCGCAAGCAAAGCCTATGAAACCCATTGCAGAAACCTATCTCTCTTCACTGGCTATAAACTTAAATGTAAAACCTTAATCTATAAAAATCCTCAATCCCAGCACTTTGGGAGGCCAAGGCGGGCAGATCACCTGAAGTCAGGAGTTCGAGACCAGCCTGGCCAACACGGTGAAAGCCCACCTCTCTAAAAATACAAAAATTAGCTGGGTATGGTGGCGAGCACCTGTAATCCCAGCTACTCTGGATGCTGAGGCAGGAGAATCGCTAGAACCCGGGAGGCAGAGGTTGCAGTGAGCTATCGTGCCACTGCACTCCAGCCTGGGTGACAGAGAAAGACTCCATCTCAAATAAATAAATAAATAAATAAATAAATAAATAAATAAATAAATAAATAAAAAAAAATAAAAATAAAAATCCTCAAAGAAAACCTAGGAAATTTCCTTCTGGACATTGGCCTTGGGAAATAATTTATAACTAGTTTCTCAAAAGCAATTGCAACAAAAACAAAAATTGACACATGGCACCTAACTAAACTAAAGAGCTTCTGCACAGCAAAATAATCTATCAACAGAGTGAACAGAGAGAAAATCTTTACAAACTATGCATCTGACAGAGATCTAATATCCAGAATCTACAGGAATCTATAAGGAACTTAAACAAATCAATAAGAATATAAAAGATAACCAAATTAAAAAATGGACAAAAGAGAAGGACAGATGGACAGACTTCTCAGAAGAGGACGTACAAGCAGCTAACAAATATAAGAAAAAAAGATGCAGTATCACTAATCATCAGAAAAATGCTAATCAAAACCACAATGATATAGCATCTCACAGCAGTCAGAATGGCCATTATTAAAAAGTAAAAAATAAAAAATTTGAGCAGTTGTTGGCGAGGCTGCAGAGAAAGAGGATGCTTATGCCCTGTTGATGGGAATGTAAATCAGTTCAGCCACTGTGGAAAGCAGTTTGGAGAATTCACAAATAACTCAAAATAGAACTATCATTCAACCCAGCAATCCTGTCACTGGGTATATACCTAAAGGAAACTAAATCATTCTGTCAAAAAGACACATGCCCTCGTATGGTCTTCACAGCACTATTCATAATTGCAAAGACAAAGAATCAATGTATTTGCCCATCATTGGTGGATTGGGTAAAGAAAATGTGATACATATATACCATGGAATACTATACAGACATGCAAAAAGAAAGAAATCATATTCTCTGAAGCAAAGTAGATTCAGCTGGAGTCAATCATCCTAAGCGAATTAATGCAGAAACATAAAATAAAATATCACGTTCTTGCTTATAAGTGGGAGCTAAATCTTGGGTACCTATGGACATGAAGAGGGAAACAGTAGACACTAAGGATTCAAAAAGGAGAGAGGGAGAGAAGGGGATAAGGCCTGAAAAACTTCCTATTGTGTACTATGTTCACTATTTGATAGGATCAATAGAAATACCAATCTCAGCATCACACACTATACCACTGCAACAAAATTGCACATGTAGCACCTGAATCTAAAATAAAAATTGAAATTAGAAAAAAAAATCACTAAAGTTGATTCTGAAAATCAAAATCTTGTTTGGATTGTGAATATTTTCTCTACATGCTACTATTCTACAGATTCTGAATACTCTATAATTAACATGTACTACTGTATAATTTAAAAGTAGTCACAATACATTTTCTAAAGTAAGAAAGAAAAAATATTTTAAAGTGATTAGTGCCAATAGAGTAACATTTCTCCATTTCTAGTAGTGTTTACATTACTTTTTTTCACTGTAATTCATAGTAAAAATTCAAAATTCAAAATTTTAAATTATCCAAAAATGAGTAAAGCTTTACATTTAAGGTCATGACACTGAAAAAATCCTTGTAATAAAACTTCATATTATAGAAATGAAGGTCCAACATTGATAATTTTCCGTAGTGTGTGGAGAAAGTTTAGTTGTTTTGCTTTTGTTTGTGTTGAGAAGAAGGTTGATAGGAAGAAAGTAGCAAAGGCTTCACTGAACCTCAGGATTTAAACATACTCTCTAATTTTACCAGAACAAAGTACCTAAGGTAGAAGACATGATCATATGAAACATCTTTAGCTATTGAAATGGAGCTTACTCTCTTCTCATCAAACTTTAATTTCAAAACAGAAAAAAATTATTAAATCAGGTGTAAATACATGTTTCTCAGAAAATGCATAAAAAATGGAGAAAAATTTTCCTCAAGTTTTAGTCCACCTTCAAGAGTCATCCTTTTGCTCAATTGCTGTAATCCTAAAGCTCTTTTAAGTTTTATTTGACTGAATTCTTAATATGCTGAAACCTGAAATTTCTAAGCATTCAAAGCATGGTTGCTTCTGATTTTTTCATTAGTGCCAATATAAAGTGCTTCCCATCAGAGCCCATGAGATTTTATCAGTACTAATCTGCTGTTTCTTCCCTGATGTTTCCGAACTATTGAAAGCTCCTAATTTGTGATAATTAACCTCCTGAGAATAGCGTTTCTCATTTAACCCAGGGAGCAGCCACATCTCTCTGTGCTCAGCTTTGCAACCTCCCAGACAGGTCTTTTTTGGTCTGTATTTCAGGCATCAGGTAAATTATCCACTAATAAACACTGAGGGTTTTTGTAGTGAAAGCCAAAATCATATGGACAGCACCTGTCATGTGGAGCACCAGTTTTCTGTGGTGGTCAAGAACAAATGGCCCAGTTTTTGTTCTTGATTCTTCTTAATGAATATGTGATGTTAAGACAGTTATATAATCTTTCTAGCCTCAGTTTCTCTACATGTAACACTTTCAGGTTACTGTGAGAACTAAGGGACTTAATGTGTATAAAATGTGTAAAATGCTTAGCACCTAAAACACCACCATAATAAGCTCTAGATAGTGGTGCTATCATTATGATAACAAAATTTCATTTTGAAACTGCAGATATGGATAAAATTGGTTTGAAAAAGAAAAGAGGGAAATAATTAATGTAAGAACTGAATAAATTATTTCTCAATATGAAAAAATGTTTTTGAAGATGAAAATCAAAAGTGGGTTCAGAGAATCAGGGACAAGAAGAGAAAAAAAATTTCTTATTCACAATCTTAAAGAAAGCATAGAATATCTAGCATGCTTTAATATAAATATTAAGCTGCTTAATAAGTTCATTAATATTGTCACTCCCTCCAGTTAGAACAAATTTTAGACTACGTATAATTGGCATACAAATATCAAATGGTAACATACATACATGGTTATATATATAATATTCACATTATTGTCAAATTATATATTATAATTAATGAAATATTATAGTTACCATTTCTGTGAGTTGTATCAACTAAATGATTTCACTAAATTTCAGGTGGATCCATGTTGAGTCAAATGACAAGTTGGTAACTTTTTTTTTTAAGATTCACAGCAAAACCTTAGTGAAAGGTAGCAAGATTTCCCATATACCCCTGCCCCACATACATTTATTATAATTGATTAACCTGCGCTGACACATCATTATCACCTGAAGTTCATAGTTTAAATTAAGGTTCACTGTTGGTGTTTTAAATTCTATGGGATTTTTAAAAATATAAAACTCCTGCATGTACAACACGTAAAAGAAAAGCATATTTTGCTGAGACCAAAGGTCAAGGATCGAGCCACCTCTGCTATCTCTGATCCCAGAAGTGACTCCTGGTGCTTCAGGAAATCTTCCAACTATGGCATCAGTTTTAAAAACACTCTTGTAAGACAAAGTACTGTATTTTGAATGAGACGTGTCTGGATATGGCATATCTATATCTCTAGCTCTGTGACTTTGAGTAACTTTAAATTTTCATATTTCACCTTCTGTATTTCCAAAATAGAAATCATACTTAAACCTCACAGGTTTCTGGGAAGGATTTAAATGAGGGACCATATAGGTGACATTTACCGTAACACCTGGCACAAGCAGTAATTCAGTAAATCCTAGATGTCTCTAAGCTTTCTAAATCTTACTTTGAGACTAATGTGATTAATGCCATCTCTATTTTCTCCATAGAACAATGGTGAAATATATCACAAAGCTGGATTAAGAAGTTTTAAAAAACATACAAGTTAGCAATATTTATTATTATTACTACTATCAACAGAGATCATGAAGCACCCCAAAGCGCAGTCTCAAAAGCAGGTTAATTTTGGCATGAGGTAGATCTGCTAATAAATCTCACGTAATTTTCTGAAAAATTATTGATATTAACAGTTACTATTAACTAGTTAGTAGCCATTAATATCAATATATCCTCTAAAAATCTTATCAAATATCTTAAAATCATAGGACAAATTTATTCATATATTAAAATTAATGGCTTTTAAAAAATGGTCAACACAGGCCAGGCGCGGTGGCTCATGCCTGTAATCCCAACACTTTGGGAGGCCAAGGCGGGCGGATCATGAGGTCAGGAGATCAAGACCTTCCTGGCTAACACGGTGAAACCCCATCTCTACTAAAAAATACAAAAAATTAGGCGGGTGTGGTAGCAGGCGCCTGTAGTCCCAGCTACTCGGGAGGCTGAGGCAAGAGAATGGCGTGAACCCGGGAGGCAGAGCTTGCAGTGAGCCCAGATCACACCACTGCACTCCAGCCTGGGCGACAGAGAGAGACTCCGTCTCAAAACAAAAACAACAAACAAAAAAAAAACTGGTCAACACATTTAATACATCCTGAGACAGATCACCATAGAATTAATTTAATAAAAATATTTGGGAAAAGTGTGTAGAATAGAAAGGAGCCTAGGATGTGTTCTTGAGAAGCTCCAGCACCTGGAGGACACTCAGGAGAAGAGTCAATAAAAAGACACCGGAATGACTGAGTGGAAGGCATGGTCATATAAGAGAGATTCTAGGGAAACGGGGTTTACAAAGAATGGAATGATAGTTGTAGTTTCATCCTTTCATCCGTTATATATTAAGCAGCTATTATATCTCATGTGCTTAAGATTCAACAGTGAGCAAGATAAGATCTTTGTGCTAAAGAAACTTACAATTTAGTGAATCAAGTGAAGATTGTTAACACGGAAATGGATAGAAGAAATGTCCACTGAAATAGGCAATTAGGCACACATATCCGAATTTTGTTTAACAAATGTGTAAAATCATTAATTAAACACATTTTTTAAACTGAATGCCTGTTATTTTCCAGGCACTGTTCTAAGTGGGAAACCACAATAAACAAAACAAAATTTCAACAAAGGCCCAAAGCAGGTGGTGCTAGACATGTTGAAAGCATCTGAATTGCTGGGATATAGAAAGTGAGGAAAGAAATCATAGAAGCTGAGGTCACAGAGATAAAGGGTCAGGGTACAGATTGTGAAAGATCATACTGTTACTTAAAATTTCTTAATATTTACCCATTACCTAGTAAATGCACTAATCCAGTTCCTAAGTTTAGCTTGCAAGACCATGCTGGACTGGCCCAATATAATTTTTAATTGATGTCCCACTGTATCACACAGGACACTGTATATTCCAGTGATAGCAATGTTTATATTTTTGCCTCTGTTCTTGCTTTTGCTTATTTTTTCAGATTGTTTTTCCTTTTGAAATAATCTCCCTTTCTGTCCTCAAATCATTTTCCTTAGGAAACTATCTTAGAATTCAAACAGGGTAATAAGATTTAAAATACCATCCAGACATTCTTCTTTCCTACTAAACAATAAGTTCTTTTAGATATGTGATAATGTTTTTTTTCATCTTTACATTCACAATATACTATGGGTTGTTAATTTTATGTTTCAACATGTCTAGGCCATAGGAATAACTGGTTGATCTGTGAGGGATAACTGATGTATCTGTGAGGGTGTTTCTGGAAGAGATTAGCATCTGAATCAGTAGACTAAATAAAGAATATCTGCCTTCACCAAGGTGGGCAGGCATTATCTAATCCATTGAAGACACGAATAAAACAGAAAGGTAGAGGAAGATTGAATTAAGTCAGCCTGACAGAATGAACTGGAACATCAATCTTCTCCTGCCCTTGGCACTGCTGGTTCTCTGACCAGACTGGAATCTATGCCATCTATATCATTAGCTCTCCAGCTCTCAGGCCTTTGAACCACACAACTAGCTTTCTTGAGTCTCCAGCTTGCAGACAGCATAATATGGGAAATCTCAGCCTCAAATACCATGTGTGTAAATATCTTATAATAAAATTATTTCTATATATTTATATAATATATATAAGGTTATATATATGGTTTTATATCTATATGAGGTTATATATAAATTTTACTCTCCTATTGGTTCTGTTTTATCTTGGATATACATGGCATCTGACCCACAGTAGGTATTTAACATAACTCTGACCAAAACTGCATGCCAAAATTAGTTATCAAGAAACACAATTTTTAATTAATAAGCTTTATTTTTAGAACAATTTTAGGTTCACAGCAAAATTGAACAGAAAGTGCACAGTGTTGTCATATACCCCCTTTCTCTACAGACTCACAACATGCCCCTCCATCAATATTCCACACCAGAGTGGTACATTTGTTACAAATTATGAACGTACATTGACATACAATCATCATCCAGAGTTCATAGTTTACATTAGGGCTCACTCTTGCTGTTGTACATCCTTTGGGTATTGACAAATGTATAATGGTGTATATCCACTCCAGTATCATACAGAATAGTATCACTCTCTGAAAATTATCTATGTCTGTCCATTCATCTATCTCTCTCTCCTAACCCCTGGCAAACAACCATTTTATTGCCTCCATAGTTTTACCTGTTTTAGAATGTTGTATTGCTGGATCATATAGTATGTAGTCTTTTATGATTACCTTCTTCCACTTAGTAATATGCATTTATATCTACTTCATGTCCTGTCATGGCTTAATAGCTTTTTTTTTTTTTTTTTTTTTTTTTTTAGTGCCGAATAATATTTCATTTTCTGGATATACCTCACTTTATCTACTTGCTACAGAAGGGCATCCTGCTTACTTTAAAGTTTTGGCAATTAGGAATAAAGCTGCTATAAGCATCCAGGTAAAGGTATTTATGTGAACATAAGTTTTTAATTCACTTGAGTAAATATCAAGAACCATTATTGTTCTATCATATCGTAAGAGTATTTTTAGTTTTGTAAGAAACGCCAAAGTGTCTTTCAAAGTGGCTGTATCATTTTGTAGTCCCTCCAGCAGTGAATGAAAGTTCCTCTTGCTCCACACCCTCACCAGCATTTGATGTTGTCAGTGTTTTGAATTTTGATTATTCTAATTGCTGTATAGTAGAATCTCGATGTTGTTTTAATTTAAAATTCCCTAAAGACATAAGGTGTTGAACATCTTTTCAGATGCTTACTTTTAACTGTATGTCTTTTCTGGCAAGCTGTCTGCTTGTCTTTTGCCCCCTTTTAATGGGATTGTTTGTTATCTTGTTGTTGAGTTTTAAGAGTTCTTTGTATATTTTGTATAACAGCTTTTTATCCTATGTGTCTTTTGCAAATATTTTCTTCAAGTCTGTGGGTTTCCTTCTCATTTTGTTGAAAAAAAACATATATTTTTAAATAAAGAAGATAGATAGAAACACTTTGATGATTAATGAAATTCTTGATAATTATATCTGAGTTATTAAATACTTATTAATTTTAATGACATTTTACATTGTTTACATGTGTTAACTTTCTTAAACTTCAAAAATAAAATAATTGGAAAAGGGAGCAATATACATGTTCATCTTTAGCACCATAAGAAAGAAATTCAAAAGGAAGATAGAGAGCAAAGCTAAAGCTAAAACTTTAAGCAACGAAACTTCTGTCTTTAATTTAACTGCATACAATTTTCAATCAGGAACTTATCTTAGTACTTCATAAACATACTAAATTAGGAAAGAGATGAATGTATATCTGAAAACAAAATAATGCATCATTTTACTGAGAGAGTTTACACAGCTTCAAAGAGCAGATGTTTTGGTTCTATCAAACTGTAGTTGACAAATTTGCTAGCAGTGGGAGTGGAAAATTAGTTTTCATTTTTAGAAATTATTTGATACCATTTACAGACCTTTGCTATTTATCACACTGATTAAAAGCTGTCATTTGCAGCATTTATAGTCTTCAAGTGCATGTCAAAACTGTTTCTATCCAACTCAAATATTCTTCTGAAGGGATATATTAAACCAAACCAGGGTATATATCTTTTCCTTTCTTAAGCAATACATCAAAACTAAGCAGTAAGGTACATTCTAATATTGTATTTAGAATTTCACTGATTAAATCTGGAGAGATGTTTATCTAATACTTACAAACTTGGAAACAACTTTAGACCCAAAGATAAATATAAATAGGTAAGAAATACTGCCTTGGAATGTCATGATAAAATGGCTACAATTTCCATAAAAGCAACAATATCTCAAATCCATTTATCCCATGAGAAAAAAAACTTCATATCATAAAAAGCAAGATAATTCATTGAAGCTTATAAACTGGTAGGTGAAATTTTGTAAGGATTTCTCATGATCACTCAGGGGTTTCTTATATGGATACTGGAAAAATCCATGGAAGGAAAGTCCCCACTCCCCCTCAGGTATTTAATCTCACAGGATTTGCCATCAGCTGAACCATGCATGCACATTTATTTTAGATAGAAACTTTCGAAAAAGTGTATATTTTAAATATGGTTTTTTTCCCCCAATTAACTAAATAACTCTCATTTTGAGGAACGGGTCTGTACCCAGATACTTTTGAATACATTATAAGGTCAGGTATAGTGGCTCATGCACTTTGGGAGGCTAAAGCACGCAGATTACTTGGGGCCAAGAGTTCAAGACCAACCTGGCCAACATGACAAAATCCAGTCTCTACTAAAAATACAAAAATTAGCTGGGCATAGTGGTGCATGTTGGTAATCCCAGCTAGTTGGGAGGCTGAGGCACAAGAATCGCTTGAACCCGGGAGGCAGAATTTGCAGTGACCAGAGATGGTGCCACTGCACTGCAGCCTGGATGACAGAGCAAGACTCCATCTCAAAATAATAATTATGAAGTGAGAGGATCATTTGAGCCAGGAAGACAGAGGTTGGGTTGCAGTGAGCCAAGATCGTGATACTGCATTCCAGCCCGGGTGACAGAGTAAACTCCTGTCTGGAAAATACCTCTGTATGTCTCAGAATTAATAGTTCAAGGGTGTTCAAATAAATTTAAAACACGTCTTCCTTAATCTTTGATTAATAAGACTCAAGTGTTCACCCCAGTCTTGCCCTGGCATTGTCCTTCATTATAGAACATGTAGCTTTCAAAATATGCTATGAGAAAGATGACTAATATGGACTTCAGTAAACTTAAATCAGGGAATATTAAGGACTATAATTTTAATATAAAATTATGAATTACAGTAAAGTCTTGCTGACATATACAAACGTATACATAGCTTTTATGCATGATATATGTAAGTATGTGTATATTTGTATGTTTGTACATCCACATTTAATTTTGTTACAAGATTTGGGCTTGTGTTAGATGAATTTGGGAGAGTTCAAACAATAGTTTTTGAGGGAAAGGGAAATTTTATATATTTTGATGTAAATTTTATTTAGAATATAATATAATGAATAGGATATTACTACTTGCTGTTATCCTTCAGGAAATATTTATACTCAAGTCATTTTAAAAATATCAACCTGTTTCAGGATCTGCATCACAATATTCAAAACTACTTTCATTCAAAGACAGTATGGTAGATAACTTGGTACAGGCTAACTGAAAACAGCTTCTTGCTTATTTATTCAAGAATTAGCCTATGAGTTAGACCGAGTAAATAAGTGAATGCAAAGAGCCAAATGCTACATGTCAATAAAGCTTTGACTCTTAGGAAATTTATATCCCTGAGTAATGCTGGGTTCAGGGACACAGTTGTATCTCTAGATATCTTTAGGATAGATGCATATAGGCTAACTGCATAGATGTGCTCATGTGAGCTCTTTGCCTTATCTCTATAATTTTTCTACTTATTCATTCTTTCTGGGGTATAGGCAGGGCAATGCTCTCTTCTGCTTTAACTTGATTTTTAAATGTTTTTATACATAAACTTATTTGTTCATAAGCCCTTATTTGTTCATAACCACTAGCCTGCAGAATAGGAAAAGTACATATGTGTGTGTATATATATGTATAAGTGAATTGGTGAGTATATATACACGCACACATATTCGCACACAAATACATATGTAAATGTATGCTTATTACAGAGACACATAGACACACAAACACAAACAGTCATATATATACAAATATATAAATATATTGCTTTGAGTAACCATCGTTATGCAGTCAATTTCTCCCATCTCTTCTTCTCATCAAACACACTTGTTCTCTTTAACTCTGTTTCTTGGTATCTTTCTTGCATTTAGAGAAAATCATATGACAATTACAAAGAAATACACAGAAAAACCAAGACTTTTCAGCATATAATGAAAAGTATTGTTATGTAAAAGCAAGACAAACTTGTTTATATGGATGATAATAAACTGAATCAGAAAGTTATCTTTACGACACATGACTGATATAGCTCCCAGACTATAAACCACTGCACAGGCCTATCTGGTATGCAAAATCATGTTCTGTCACCAAATTGAAAAATTTTCTTGAATGTATTCTTGCCTTCCAGACCAGCAAAGCTACTCTAATGAAACGAAAATTATTATTATTATTATTATAGAGACAGGGTCTTGCTCTGTCACCCAGGCTGCAGTTAGCTGTATGATCATAGCTCACTGCAGCCTTGAACTTGTGGGCTCAAACTACCCTCCAACCTCAATGTGCTGAGTGGCTGAGACTACAGGCGTATACCACCTAGCCTGGCCCTGAAACCAAAATTATTCTTTCTATTTTTTTTTTAAAGGGGAGCTATACACTAGATAGATTGATAGATTAATACTAGATAGATATGCATATATACATATCTCTTGTGGTATGTAAGATTTACTAATTCATTTATTTAACAAATATTAATTACTTAGTTTTTGTAAAGAATGCTTCTCAACACTGAGTATGCAGCAGCAGACAAGACAAATTCCCTACTCTCATGAGAAAATATTCTAGTGGGACAGTAGATGATAATAAAGTCAACATGAGGAGATGGGAAGATCATTTTTTTTTTTTTTTTGAGACGGAGTCTCGCTCTGTCGCCCAGGCTGGAGTGCAGTGGCGGGATCTCGGCTCACTGCAAGCTCCGCCTCCCGGGGGAAGATCATTTTATTTAGGGTGACCAAGGACTACATTTCAAGGCAGGTAATGTTTGCACATAGACCTGAAAAACATCACGGCTTAATTCTTGAGTTAGTAAATGGTCAGCATGACAGCTGCTCTCCTAGATATGACCCCTAAGAAGCCATGCTTCCCAGTGTACATGTCCTTGATCCAATTTAGGGTGACTTATGACTGCATTAACCTACTGAACATAGTGACTATGACAAGTCTGGCACTAGCTTTCCAGAAACCGAGTAATGTTCCTTTCTCTCCCTTTGTATGTTTATTATTGAAAGCCCTGAGCTGCCATCTAATAAGTCTTTTTACTTTGCTGGAAAGACCACGTGGAAAGACCATGTGTAGAGGTCATATGAAAGGAGATGCTCTAAGACTACTCTTAGCCAGAATGAGTGAAGTCCAGCTGTACCATCATCCAAGTCAACTGAACAAGGACTCCCACTCTTGCCAACACCCAGGGCCTGCTCTAGGGGCACATGAGTGTGCAGTCATACAAAGGCCTCATGCTTAGAAGGGTCCTGAACTTAGATCAGTCTTGTACCTGGTTCAATGTTCTGCTGTTGCTGCCAAGACATTTTCAATGATTTTTAATCCAGCTAGCCTGCATTTTTACTACACCAGCCATGCAAATTCTGTAGCTGGCTTTACCAACAACTGGCTGTCAACAAGATACTACAAGTGAAGTGTCCATAGCAGAGGGACCATGGAGCTGAATCCAGTCTGAGTACACAGAACCTGAGAGACGAGATGCTTTTTCCTTTAAACAACTAGGTTTAATACAACTGTTGGGTTTATATATAGAAAAAACTCTGAAAGTTTTGTTTGAAAAAAATGAAGTTTTGGAAGTAGTTCCTGATTCTCAGCATTGTGTAGGCCATGCTGCATCCCATTAGACTAGACATGATAAGGAGTGAAAGGGTCTTATCAAATTCATGGTTTATTAAGAATTTAAATACACATTGTATTTCAAAGTGAAGAAATGGAGCTACAAGGATATAAAGCCTTAGTTATATAGTGTCAAAGTAAAAACATCATGATATTTAATATCAGATAAAGAATTTACTGTCCAAGGTCTATGCAAGGTTATAAATTTACTAAAACATCTGTGGGCAATTTTTCCTAATGTAAAGATTGGCATAGAGCCAGAAGCATAGAGTCATTAGTGCTGACTGGAGGAATTGCATCTTGTTAACTAATCTGGATTGTTTCAGTTTCTTCCATAAAGGCGGAAAGGTTGATCATATTATTTACCAGAATTTAATCTATCTGTAAATTTTATAGTCTTTTATAGGAGGTAGAATGTTCCATGGCCACCTTTTCTTCCCAATTATAATAATTTATTTTTTGCCACTTATGCCTCTACCTCTTTATTATCACATGAAGTTGGATTATTTAAAACATTCTCTCCGTCTCAAAGAAAAGAAAATATCAGATTTGCAAGTCTTTCAAAAGAATTTATGTTTCCTTTGCCTCCACTGTCAAATCACTTAATCTTTGTCACTATCTTTAGAGAACACCTAGTTTATATTTCTGCCAGGGAAACCTGTCCACATATAGAAATTGTGAAAGTATCTTGTATGTCTTGTCAACTGCAGTGTAATACACAGTGAACTCTTTATGTTCAGTCCATTTTGATTAAACAAACACTGAATTCATGAGTTGTAGTGTTGTGACTCCCAGATATATGGTCCTATATATTATTGTAAAAATTTTATCTAACCTGTATTCAATCCAATAATAGTATTCTTTATGGATCATTAAATATATTTTAGTTACTATTTTAAAACTTATGTCTGGCATTTTCAACATCATCACATTAGTTATTAATCCAAGATAGACAGTGAGAACTGTACTAATAAAGTAATTATTGTAACATATTTCTGCCTCAGTCTTCTCGTATGTAAAATGAAGTTTTCTCCTATGTGAAATATATGATATATATATATATGGAGAGAAATAAATTCTGTGCAGTCCTAGAGTTATAAAAATTTAAATTAGGCAATGAATTTGGCTTACTTTCAATGTTCAAATTACTTCTTAACTCACGTCAGATAAGTTCATACTCTTCACCCAGGGGTCAAGCACCCGGATGATGTGACCTCCACAGCCCTCTGGCCTCCTCTCCTCCCACTGCCTTCCTCACTTATTGCACTACAGGCAGGCTGACATGCTAAGACTGGAAAATACTAACATGTTTGTCCCTACCCTAGAAGCTTCACACAGTTCTTCCCTCTGACTGGAAGACACTTTCCCTAAACCTTTGTATTGCCTTACTCTACTTACTCCTTTACCATAGAGCGCCTTCATATGTCTCTCCCTGAAAAATCTTGTCCTCACCAGCTCCTCCCTTTGCTATTCCATTACCCTAGTCAGATTTTTATATATATATATATACACACACACACACACATATACACATATATGTTATATATGACATATATATGACATATATGTATATATGACACATATATGACATATGTATATATGACATATAACATATATATACATACATACACATATATATATACACATATATGACCAATTTAGAGTCAATTGCTTCACAAGTAAATAAATGTTTGTCAGTTATATAGATCAACCAAAGAAGTGACAATGTAGAACATAGTTAAATATTACAAGTTAGTTTATCTCTCTTTTCTGCATTGGCTCACTTTGCTATGGAATTTTGCAACTCTGAATGAGAAGTTCTGCCCCATTCCTTGACTCTGGCTCAGTCTTCTTACTTCACTGGCCAATAAGATGTTAGGAAATATGAATAAGCAGAGGCAAGAAAAGTGACTTGTCTTTTTCTGCTTGCAATCTTACTCCTCAGACTTTGTTAGGAGAGCAGACTAATTTGGACTATTCTGCTGAAATGCAAGACATGGACCAGAGATGAGCCCTTTTTATCATCTCAGCTGAGTCGATCCTGAATTAGCCAACCCATGGCTGATTCCAAAACATGTGAGGTAGCCCAGGCAAGACAAGAATAACTCCCTCGACTTGCTCATTCACTGGGTTAAAGTCTCACGAGCTCAGTAACAGTTCATTATTATAGTTTTACTGAAGTTTAGTGGTTGTTTGTAGCATTATTAAGGCAATAGGTAACTCAGAATAGTCAACAGGTTTAACAAAGTTATTTTAATACCTTTATAATTTCATTACAAAAGTAATGCATTCCCCTTGTAACAAGTGAAACAATGCAAAAAAAAAAACACACTAATTATCTTGGCCTACATTCACCTCTTTCATTTACTTCCATGTGAGGAAACTGATATTAACAGTCTTCTGTGCAAATTTTAATGATTTTCCAAATGAAGAATATTTCTAAAAATTAACAAGAATAAGGCATGTAGAATAGTCTGTGTATACTATTCTACTGTTCAAAATATCTTGCAGGTATCTATTTAAAATATTTTGCAGGAAAAAAGGGCGATCCATTGGCTCCTTTATAAAACTTACTCTGATTGCAGGAGCAGAGTGACAGTCTATACAGAGACTGTAGATAAGCAGTGATTCTAATAGACCATGAAAGCTAATGAGGGTTGAGATTACAGTGAGAGGACTGGAAGTAACAAGAGTGGAAGATTAATAAATCCAAGACTCCATTTTTCAAGAATTTAAACATGAGTGGGTGAAATGAAGCACAGAGAGAAAGATATGACTTGTCAATATATGGTTAGTGCAACAGAAGTTTAAAATTAAATTGCACCTTAAATTTGAAATCCACAGCAGTGACAAACTCACAACACAGTGAACAAGCATTATTTTAGCTGCACATACATAGAAATGCAATCTTTCTAAAATTTTAATTTTGCTTTTCTTTTGACTTAATATTTCATGAATGTAATAAAATGCAAGCCTACATAGAATATGCAGTAATTCAAAAACATGATACTGATATATTACATGTAATTAAATTTATCAGAAATATGCTTCTCCTTGTTTATCCATGACATTTTGTCTCATGAATAATAAAAGTAAAATACCAGAAAAAAGAAGCTTTCAATTGTTTTTAAAGCTCAAACTATTCTATTTCTGCTCATTTACTCAAACATTTATTCAACAAAAATGTATTAAGTGTGTGCTACCGTGCTAGGCACTAAGCATAGTTGCTGATATGAAACAGATTTTATCCCTGCTTTTATGAAACTTTCAATTTACTGGAAAAGTGGGTAACAGTATAGGGTGACATGACAGCATATAAGAAGAGGACCCAGGCCATAATTTAAGGCCATCATGATCAAACTTTATAGGGTCTAAAAATCACCTGAATTTGAAATAAATGCAGCTTCTGTCACAGCATAAGTAGTACTCAAGATTTTAGATTTCTAACAAGTCTCTAGTTGATGCCAACACTACTTACCTGTGCAGTACACTTTGATTAAAGGAGATATAGGTATCAAGGGAGGCTTTTCAGAAGAAGCCAGGTATAGTGTAAATCCCATGAGTGAAGAATTATTATCTTGATAAAGGAAGAATAGGCCAATATAGGAAGTCCATGTTCAAATCAAGAAAATTCAAAAATGTATAAAAAGAGCATCTGGGTTATATATCCAGAAGAAGAAAATAGAGAAAGCTGGGGCTGAATGTTTCCTGAGAGCATACAGAAATGCAGAATCTCAGGTCTTACCTTGACCCACCAAATCTGAATCTTCATTTGGGCAAGCTCTCCACATTGTTTATATGTACATTAAATTTAAAGTATCACTTCTCTAGAGAATAGTCTCCAAAATAAGCACAAGTTTATATATTAAGTGCAATCTTTTCTATGGCAATTTTACAAATAATATTAGTTCTTAGACTGTAAGTTGAGTACTTCTAAATAATGATTAAAACGAGAAGTATGTATATAATTATGTACCACAATGACAAAACTAGTAGTACGTTGCCTTTATTCTGAAAAACATTTAATTGGATTATTAGTGATATGGCTGTCATTGTAGCAATCACTCAAACCCCTGCTAAACCATACGTGAATATGCATATTCAAATGTGTTTTAGTTAATTATTAGCTGTCCTTTTCAATTCATCTGACTAGAGAAAAACTCTGAAATTGTGCCTTCTCCTTTTGCCTTTAACAAATATTTAACAATATATATGGCATATTTCAAAAAATATCAAAACAAAACAAAAATGTTTTAAGAAAAAACAAAGGGTGAATTTTTGAACTCCAGCTACTGTCCAATTTGCTATCAGCTATTAGTGGCCTCCTGCCACCTTGAGGGTTGACGCTTGAAATGTGGCCCATGAACTGGCAGGAGAGGCTTCTCCTAAGGATGTGTTAAAAATGAAGAATGTTAGATGTCTCCACTGACCTACTGAGCCTACATCTCAACAAGATCCCTAGGTGATCTGTAGACATGGAGAAGTTTAAAAGAAATGAAGCTTCTAATTCAGTAGTAGTTCAGGAGTGGGGCCTCTGGTTCTACATCTTAGATGAGTTCTGAGGTGATGATGCTGATGCCAGTCCTTGAATCACTCTTCAAGCAACAAGAATGAAAAGCACCGTAGCATTTAACACCCTCAACCATTTTTCTAATGTGCACATTTTTCCCTTTTGTGGTCCTTAATATCACTCACATAGTTCTCTAATTTTCTAAGTTGTTCTTCACAGTTATTTTGGCTGAGTTTTTCTTCTGCATCTGCCCAATATAGATTCTTGGCATTTTTTTCTTCATTCTGTCTTGATTTGATTTTTGTTTGTTTGTTTGTTTGTTTGTTTTTGCTTTTCTGGTAGGCATTCTTGTTACTATCTTATCCATATACATGATCTTAACTTCAAAATAGTTGCTGATGACAGTCTACATTTCTCTTCCGATCTTCAAGTTCATGTTCAACTTCTTTTTTCTGTTGGGAATGCTCTACATATATACCTCAAAGCAGTCAAGCTTAACTTGTTTAAAGTGTAGTTAATTAAGCTCTTTCTAACTAGTCTCTACAAATGAAATATACAACAAAAAATATCATAACTGAACTTCTGAAATTTGAAGACAAAAATCTGAAAGCATCCCCAGGGAAACAACACATTACTTACAGAGAAACATCAGTTTGAATAGCTGCAGTTTTCTCATCTGAAATCATTATAGGCCAGAGGGAAGTAGCACAATAGTTTTCAAGAAGTAGAAGAAAATAATTGTCAACTGCAGGTTTTATAATATCCAGTGAAAATATTTTTCAAGATGAAGGTAGTTGGGCATGGTGGTGCACACTTGTAGTCCCAGCTACTGAGAAGGCTGATCATTTGAGCCCAGTAGTCTGAGTCCAGCCTGTGCAACATAGTGAGACCCAATCTTAAAAAAAATAAAATAAAATGAAAGTAAAATATAGCCATTGTCAGATGAAGAAAAACAAAAATAATTTTATTTGTTATTAACAAATCAGACTGTAAGAATGGCTAAAATAAAGAGAAAGGAAATGATAACAGAAGAATGCTTGGAATTTCAGGAAACAAAAAGACCGTCAGAATGAGTGAATATAAAGGTACTTATAATAAACAATTTTTACTTCTCATGAGTTTCCTAAGCCATATTAGAAGGTAAAGGCAAATATTACAACTTTGTCTAATACAGTGCTAAATATATGTAGAAAAAATACTTAAGACAATTATATTTTAGAAGTGGAGAAGATAACGGGGCCTAAGTGGAAGTAAGGTTTCTACACTTATCTGAAGTGGCAAAATTTCAATACCAGCAGACAGTGATGAGTTACATGTGAATATTTTAATACCCAAAGCAACTACTAAGAAAATTATCCAAATAATTATACTAAAAAACACTATAAAAATCAGGATGCAATCCTAAAGAAGTTCAAATAGCTACAGAAGGTAAGCAAAGAGAAACAAAGGAATGAGTAACAGAGAAAAAAAATCAGAAAATATATTAAAAATACAGGCTTGCCTGGTAACCCAGGACCGTTTGACTTGGAGCTCTTATCCTTTGTACATTTTTGCACTTAGTAATTTTTGTAATTTTGAGATTCCTTACCTCACCCAAAGTTGCTCAGTTTCTAGAGGGTGGAAGCTACCATTTAAAAAAATCATCTCTTTACTGTAAATGCAGTCCACATAGTACCATCTGATTTATGTGTCTAGCAAAGTGCCACTGCCAAAGGGTAGCTCCAGGGGCAGAAATTTAGTCTTTTCACATCCCTGTCATCCATCCACTCCCAAACTCAATTAAATTAATCTATGTAGAAATGTTGTGCATGATATTCAAATGCAGCTTCAAGAGAATTCCCCCAGCTTTTTTCTTACAACAAAGTGTTAGCTTCACAGCTCTTCACACATCAAAATTCACATATAGGAACTCTCAATATGTCCATGAGATTTTTTTTGTGTGTTTATAAAAATGTATGCTGCAATTAGGTATTTTTTAAAGAAATCCAGTGAAAGATTTTTGTATGAGATTTATAATTCAAATGATAATCTTCATATCATACCACAGATGAGATAATTTATAAAGAAAAGTATTTTACTTTTTATGCTTCTGGAGGCTGGAAAATCCAAGTTGAGGGCCTTCTTGCTGCATCATCCCATGATGGAAGGTAGAAGAGAAGGAGAGCAAGAGGGAGCCAAACTCATAATGAGCCTACTACCACCATAAGAAACCCAGTCCTGTGATAAAAATATTAATCCATTAATGAGAGCAGAGCCCTGGTGTCCCACTCATCTCATTTTAAGCCCCACCTCCCAAAATCTTATTTGGGATTTAGTCTCCAACACACAAACTTTGGGGAACACGTTCAAACCACAGCATTCATATATGTAATACATGAGCATTCTCATTACATTGCCTAGTTTTGTTTTTTGCTTTGTTAATCTATCAATAAATTTTTGATTTGTTCCCATAAATTTGATAAAGTGGACTTGATTAACTTATGATGCTTTTTCAGAGCATTTCATATAAGTAATCAGCTGAAATAAAAATATATTTCAAAGAGAAAAAAAAAATGCCAAGGTAGCAAATGCCACTTACATTCAGGAGGATTGCTACTTTTTTTTTAATTGTACTTTCAGTTCTGGGGTACATGTGCAGAACATGCAGGTTTGTTAAATAGGAATACACATTCCATGGTGGTTTGCCACACCCATCAACCGGTCATCTACATTAGTTATTTCTCCTAATGCTATCCCTCCCCTAGCCCCCAGCCCCCGACAGGCCCCGGTGTGATGGCTGGATCCTTCTAAAGGGTTAGAAAATGTTTTCAACATCCAATATCAATATTATTTAACATGAATAGCATAATGTGCTATTCTTTGTGTTTATCTTTAAGATTTTTGTTTTTTTTTTTTTTCGTAACTCCACTGTTTGTTTGATTTTTTCCTCCCTTGGGCCTCATTTCTATATTTTGCTGTGTCTGTTGTCCATTGTCAAGTGGCTTGTTTGGATTAGGTGCCTTTTAAAGCTAAATCTCTTATCATAGTTCAGTGTATACAGAAATTATTTTGTCTCAGTATTTCAGATTTAAAAATGTATAACTACTTAATCTATGTACAAATTACCTGTCCTCAAAGTCCACATCTCTATTGGAAGCTCAAATCTATTCAGTTTTCATGAGCATGTTTGACAGTTTCTTCCATAGATACACTTTAAACTTTTCAAAGTTCAATGAAAAAAATCATAAGAACTTTAATGTTATGTTAATAGATTATGTAGCAAAAACAAGGTTTGAGTTTAAAACAGTTTTGCAAAATAAATAGTTAAAATTGGAGACATTAAACGTTTTATAGCATTTCAAAACACATGCCAAATTTTATAAAGTGTAGGTCTGAGTGTTACATAGTTGTTCATAAAAAGTATCCAAAACTGGAATATAAGCCCTTTTCAATGTTATCCTGGGGTTGTTTAATAGTTCAAGTAGGAGAATGTACTTTTATTTGCCTTTGCTATTTGCTAAGAACCCAGGTGCTCTGACAAAAGACACAACAAATCTAATTGTCACAGGACTCTACCCCACATTACCTATCCTCTTTTCATTTATTGATTATTCCTAGCATGCTCTCAACTCAGAGCCTTTATATTTAGTTTTATCTCTTTCTCCAGATATCCAAATTGCTCCATCCCTTACGTCTGTCAGTTGTTTGTTCCAATGTCATAACTTTACAGGTGCCTTCACTGATTACATTATTAAAAACATAATCACTGATATCCCTCTCTACTTGCTTTATTTTATTTCATAGTCGTATAGCAAATGCAATGTATTTGTGTGTCATATATTTTCCTCTAGTAAAATACAAGCTCTCTGAGGTCAGAAACTCTGCTTGCTTCACCCCAGTACAGAGAGAGTGTGACAGGTGTTTTGATAAATAAATTGTTCTACTGACACTATGCCTTTTGCAGTTACAAGAATGCAAATTATTTCCAATTTCTCCCTTTTGTCTTTCTTTGCTTAATCTCTGTGGTTTCTGATGCATAACTAATTGGCCCTTCTAAAAATTTCTCCTGGCTAAATTTGCTGCCATTTCCTACCCTTTCTAATTCTTCCCTTCAATGTAATAATTCCTACTGAGTAATATAAAGTTTACTACTCCAGCCACACAATCAAATAATTGAAGTTCATTAATCTGCCTGCTCAATCTTAAATAAATGTATGTGTTTATACATTTATCAACTCATATATACATTCATTCCTGAAATATATACTGGATGTATGCTATATGACAGGTCTTGTGCACAAGCAAATTTTAAAACTTAGATTTTTTTTCCTGCTGTGTTGTTGGGAGACTAGCTATGAATATTTAAAGATATTGTTCACATTATATCATCTTTTAAATAGTGGCTGTTAGAATAGCCTTCTTGGTTGTGCTGTGCATAACCAACAGGAGCAGTTTTTTATCTATCTATAATGTGTACAATCATACCAGCAGCTTTGCTGGTAAATGATTTTGGTTTCTCTAATATTATTTTCACACCATTTTTCTATAATTCTATAACTTCTTCATCTAGCCTTCATCATAAATTTACTCACAGTATAAAAGTTATGTGTTTGGCTGGGCGCGGTGGCTCATGCCTGTAATCCCAGCACTTTGAGAGACTGAGTTGGGTGGATCACCTGAGGTCAGGAGTTAGAGGCCAGCCTGGCTAACATGGCAAAAACCCCATCTCTACTAAAAATACAAAAAGTAGCCGGGTGCTGTGCTGCATGTCTGTAGTTCCAGCTACTTGGGAGGCTGAGGCAGGAGAATTGCTTGAACCCAGGAGGGGGAGATTGCAGTGAGCTGAGATTGCATCACTGCACTCCAGCCTGGGTGACAGAGAGACTCCGTCTCAATTAAAAAAGAAAAAGTTATGTATTTATTTTTCCCTTTCACCAATATGATATGAACACTATATGAATATAGATTTGGTCTTTCTATAGCTGATTCCCATTGTCTGGCAAAATGCACAGGAAGTACTTTAAAAATACTTGTGAGGTGAATGAATGATGCATATCATCAAATTATCTTGAAAAAAGAAATATATTTATTTTGAACTTACTTGAAAAAATATTATTCCATGAAACAGAATATTAGTCGATTTTTTCCCATACCCAGATTAAATGTAAGCATAAGTAAAAAGGAAATCTCATTGTTGTACTTGAAGCATTATAGCAATTTAAACCCACTTTCATTCTAACTCTCCCATTTTCTGAAAGTAGCCCTTCACATATTGTTATGAACCAAATGTTTGTGTCTCTCCAAAATTCATACATTGAAGCTCTAACCCCCAATGTGATGATATGAGAAGGTAGAGTCTTTGGAAGCTAATGAGGTTTAGATGAGATCATGAAGTCAGAGCCCCCTTGAAGGGATTAGAGTACTCATAAGAGGAGGAGAAGATAGTAGAGTCTGCTCTCTCAACCATATGAGGATACACCAAGAATCCAGCCTTCTGTAAGCCAGGAAGAGGGTCCTCATTAGAACCTGATTATGCTGCCACTCTAATCTCACATTTTCAGCATACAGAACTGTGGGAAATAACTGTGTATTGTGTAAGTCACGTCTATTGTATGTTGTTATGGCAACCACAGCTAAGATGCATATCCACCATGACATTGATTTGTGTTTTCCTTTTCTCTTGTAGCAGTGTTCCAGGGGAACAATATATATCCCAGTAGTCTTGCATCTATATGTAGTCATGAGATTAGTTCTAGCTATTACAAGATGAATGAAAGTGGTATGCATGGCTTCTAGGCAAGGCATTTTAAGAAATAGGAGTATACCTTCCACACATTGTCTTCCTTCTCTTGTAATTTGGTTCTCCACTAGGCAGATGTGTTTGCATGCTGGCGGTTTATTTGGGAAAATTCTCAGGAATAATGGTTGTGAGGAACTGAAGATAGCAGGATGGACAGAGAGTGGAGCTGAACACTTCCCTGTGCAACCAATCCCACAGCAAGTTCTCCAGCAGAATGGCCTTTCAAAGATGGCGACACCTAGGGCAAAGGAATGGGCTTCGTACTTCTTATGACCAGTCGTCAGTTATGTATATAGCCTCTGGAAAGAAGAGTAACTTTGGATAAGATAATTTTTTTTAAGACCATAGCAATGTCTGAGAGGCACTTAGCTTTGAGTCCTCAAAGGCCAACATTCCAGTTATCAGAACACCACAACATTCACTATCCATTATCCAACACTTGCAGAATGAATTGGGATCTAGTGAATAGTAGAATTATGAGATAGAGGAGTCTGGGTGATTAGACTACTTTGTGAAGAGAAGCTACCAAGTATCATCTACTTGACCGTAATGTATTTTAGCTAATGAAGTCTGCAGTATAACTAACTGCAGTGTAACTGATGCTCATGTTTCAGATAAATTTTGTCAGTTTTTTTTAGAGTAATCCGTTTCTAATATTGTCCTTTTTTAAAAAAATGCCTTTTAAGTTAAAGGAATGAAAACTATGTAGAGTAATTATACAGATGGCATAATGTTTACCAGTGTTGCTGGGAAACTCCTTCGAGAGGCTGTATTTCAGAAGCATAATATACAATGTCATTGATTTAAAATTATTCACCCCTCAGGGGTCTTAAACTACACAGCATTCTCTGCCACAACTGTTTTCATGTGAGGTATTAAAATCTGGTGATTCCACATATGTATTTGTTATTTGAGTAGTAATTCCATTTGCAGGAATAAATGTTTATTACTAAACACAAATTTTTAAGTTTAAAAGTTAAGATTTCATTTAAATTGCTATATGCCTCAAAGGGAGACAATATATACAGGTATGTATGAATGGTTGTTTTTGAGAAATATAATTCTAAATTCTTGTGATTTTGAGTTGGAGCTTTAGCATAAAAATCTATAACTAAAAGAATAATATGTTCTTCAGAACCACTGTTTACTACACAGCATAAATCAAGAATCTGGAATAAATAATTGTCTTGCTTATGTTGCCAGAGGTAATTCCAAATTCTGCATTCTAGGCCAAGTTTATCAAATGATTCGGAGCTGAGTCTTTATCAAGTACATTGAAATGTTTGGGGGATGAGGTGTGCTAATATTTATGCCACAGTAACCACCAGAGTGTTTTTTCCTGACATAAATCATATGGCTTTATTTGTTTAAGCTGAGAAGCCAAAAATATATCAATCCAGTTGGAAATTAGAAAAAATGTAGAGACTTGATTTTCCAAACTCAATTTAACCACTACTCTATAATATAATTGGAGGAAACAATAAATACTGATTAATAATGGAATTAAGCACATGGCTTTTGAAATAAGAGTGGTTCTGGAATCATTGTGTGTGACTGTGGATTTGTCACAGAAACTTAATTTTCTTATTAATAAAATGTGTTAAATTATGCATATCTCCTGTTGAATTTTTAAGTATCAAATAATATGCCTGAAATGCTTTTAAGACAGTGAATCATAGTAAGCTCTCAAAAGATAATCGGTATAGTTATTTTTTATTATAATACTTATTGAAGCACATGTAAAGGCAAACTTTCATTGGAGAGCTGTTCAAAAAATAGCATGCATTTCTTTGACTTCACTGATTTTAATTGTTTTGCTATGGATTAAGACACACCATTAAATATGAGGTGGCTAAAAATTCAATCATCAGGTACCAAGAAGTAAACAATTGTTGGCATTAAAAAAAAGTATAAGTGATTATAAATTGTTGCCTCATTTGCATAATTTCAAAAATAGCTTTTAATTTAAAATGCATTTTTCTAATATTGTAAGAGACAAATGATTAAAGCTACCTGATAATCTGACCAATTTATTGTGTCTATCATGAAAGGATAGACAGAAATATTTGTTTCCTAAGACACAAATAACCTAAGACCCTCACACAAATGTAAAAATAGTTGTACATAATAAAGGTGGGGAGTGAATAATTTAATTATTAATTCTGAAAAATGTATTTACTATTTGGAAGAAAGATTACTTTCAAATTCTACTTCACTGCTAGGGTATGGATATTTATATTCCCACAAAATTCATTGTTGCTATCCTAGCCCCTAAGGTGATGGTAGTAGGAGGTGAGGCTTTTGGGATTTACTAGGTCATGAAGTCAGAACCCTCATGAATGAGGTTAGTGCCCTTATAAAAAGGGCCTGAGGGAGCTCATATGCCCTTTCTGCCATGTGAGAGTACAACTAGAAAGCCTTCATTAGACACTGAAATCTGTAGGTGTGTTGATCTTGGACTTCTCAGCCTCTAGAAATGTGAGAAATAAATTTCTGTTGTTTATTAGCCCCCCAGTTTATAGTATTTTGTTATAGCAGCCAAACTGGACTAAGGCATTCTCTTCTTAAATAATTGAAATTTTTTCAGCTTCTTGAACACCGAATGTTCCTCTTTGAGGTAAATCTCTGAATAAATGTTTTTCCTGTTAGAATGTTCCTTGAAACTCCTATACCTGGTTTTCAGATGTTATCCTGAGACTTCCATAAAAATGCCTTTTCTGATCTCTCTTGAAATCTCAGCTGTCTTTTATATCCAAGCAGAGAGCTTGATTCCTCTCCTTTGCAGCACCTTGGAATGTTGAATTTTCTATGTAGTTTAGTGGTTATCTGATTTCTGTATTTCTCATGTGTAAATTCACAAAGAATGACACCATTTTTATTTTTGAAAACAATTTTCCCCCTGACCCCTAGTACAGTGCCTGGCATTTATTTATCAATAAAAGTTCTAAAATAGTTAGATAAGTAAATAGGGGTTTAAGGGTTAAATAAATCACCAAAAAATTAAAAGAAAATATTGACCTAATGAGAGATAAATACATAATCACATTGAAGATAATATACTTTAAACATATTTGTTCAATGGAGGTGTTTTTAAATATAAAAGTAAGAACCTGTTACAGGTAAATTCAATTGATTTTTCAAACAATAAGTAATTTTTTTTTTTTGTAACAGAAGGTGAATAAAAATCTAAATGTAAATGGAAACCTGAGAGAATGTTTACAACATACACTGCACGGGTTAATATAATGTGTATATAAAGTGTCTCAGTCCATTTGCCTACCATAACAAAATACCATCAACTGGGTAGCTTATAAAGGATAAAAATGTAGTTCTCCCATCTGTGGAGGCTGGAAGTCCAAGATTAAAGAACCAGCAGATTCAGTGTCTGGTGAGAACCTGTATCCTGGTTCATAGATGGCCCCTTCTGATTGTGTTCTCACATGGTAGAAAGGACAAATCAATTATCTGGGGTCTCTTTTATAGGTACTAACCCCATTCATGAGGTTCTGCTTTCATGACCTGATTAACTCCCAAAGTCCTCACATTCTAATACTGATCAACCATTGAGAAAAACAGAAACAAATGACATGAATATGCAATTCACTGAAGAAGGGATATTGACATCGTTTCAATCTATGACCCCATCATCTCATGTTGAATTGTAATCCCTAATATTTGAGATGGGGAGTGGGAGATGACTGAATCATAGGAATGGATTTCTCATGAGTGATTTAGCACCATACTTTTGGTGTTGTCCTCACAATAGTGAGTGAGTTCTTGTGAGATCTGGTTACTTGAAAGTATGTGACACCCTACAAACCTCTTGCTCCTGCTTTCACCATGTGATGTGCCTGCTCCTTCTTTGTCTTCTGCCATGAGTAGAAGCTCCCAAAGGCCTCCCCAGAAGCTGAGCAGATGAACCACCATGCTTACACAGCCTGCAGAACTGTGAGCCAATTAAACCTCTTTTCTTTATAAATTATCCACCTCTATCTCTATCATCTCTATCTCTGTCTCTATCTCTCTATGTCTATATTTATCTCTATCTCCATCTGCCTTTCTCTGTTTTTCTCATAAATCGTCCAAGCTTTGAGCAATGCCTATTAGCTCTACTTCAAATTATGCACTAAATCAAGCTTGTCCAGCTGGCAGCCTGTGGGGCACATTAAGCCCAGGATGGCTTTGAATGCAGCCCAACACAATTTCATAAACTTTCTTAAAACATTTTGAGATTTTTTTGGTGTTTTTTTTTTTTTAGGACATCAGCTATAATTAGTGTTAGCGTATTTTACATGTGGCCCAAGACAATTATTTCATTGTGGCCCAGGGAAGCCTAAAGATTGGACACCCTAATTTGTACTATTCTCTTCCTCCAGTATCACCCTAGTACAGGTCCCTCTTATATCTTGCATGTCTTGCAAATTCCTAACTGGTTCCCCAGATATACTTCTATGTGCTTTCTCTTTATTTTTCACATAGCAAGCAGAGTGCTCTTTCTCCAACTTAGATGTATTATTTCACTTTCTTAGGTGGCCTCTCATCCCACTTAAAGTTCAGCCTCCTAAACACAGCCTACATGTCTTTGTCTGCCCAAGCCCCTCTTCCCCTTATCTTGCTTCAGTCACTCTGGTTTAGTTATCTTTTCTGCATAATGCCAAGTATCGTCCTATATCAGAATCTTTGCAATTGATGTTTTTGCATTTGAGAAATATGGTTCTCAGTTGAGAGAGATAAGTTCACTCAGGCCTCTGTCCAAATGTAACCTCCTCAAAGATTCCTTCCTTGCCCATCCTATGACTGTAGCCATGCACCCTTGACAATAACTTTTTGTCTACATAGCTCTTACTTTTATTCATAACATTTATTACTTCTCAAAACATGTACACATTTATTCTTCATAGTAATACGTCAGTTCAAAATATAATGTGAGGTAATTTATTTAGTTTGTTTCCAAGTCTACCTTCAGTGAGTTCCTAGTATACACTAAAAATTCAAATATTCATTATATTAATGAATGTATGAATTAATAAAGGATTGGATACTTATATTTGGATAAATTTCTGTAATGAGATTCAATGCAATCTTTATACAATTGTTCCTGGAAATGGCTAGGGAAGAGAATCACTTCATAAAATATTATCATCACAATTATACACAATTTATATCTTCAATTTTTGTGCTTCTTTGACTTTCCAATTTTTGAGGAAACATGTTACTTTTTAAAATAATATGTGTATACTTTAGATTATTATATTATTCTTAAATGTTTGCCTAAACATTTGTAACAAGAGTCTGGTTGAAATAGCAGATGACTCCATACTTGGCAATTAGTCTGCTGCAAAGATATATTTTCTAATTGCTCTTTAGGTAAAATAAAGCAAAAATATAGTTTTTTCTTCATGCAGCATGTCTACTTAATTTATTTTTATTATGTTATATTCTAATATTTCTTAATGAGACGTGTGCTCTATCTAATTCTAAATTTGGATTAGTATCTCTACTTTAGCACATGGCATTTGTTGTCTTGATTGTATTTAAGTGAGAGAGACAAAGTAGACTACAGTCAGAGTTATAGTAAACCAAAAATTCAATGCTACCTGAGAATAATACAGTTATATAATTGGGGTTCTGTCATAGATGTGATTTAAAAAAATTATTTGCATTATGTGTTCATCCTAATTAAAAAATCACAATTGCTTCTCCTTTTTTCTTTCTTTATATTATGCAATTTAATAAACTGAGCTTACAAAATCCACTCTTTAAGTGAAATGGATAGTGGAGTAATATTTTATTAATATCAGTCAGGGTTTCTCAACCTCAGATGAGTGATATAGTGAAATTTTGGGCTAAACAATTTTTTGTTGGGAGATAGGATGTTGCTGTCCTGTACATTGCTTGGCAGCATTCTTGGCCTCTCTCAAAGGATGCCAGTAGCAACCTCCTACCCCTACTCACCCAGCTGTGAAAAGCAAAAATATATCCAGATATTCCAAATATCCCCTGTTGAGGAATCACTTTGAGTTGTAAATCACAGATATACATAGAGGAAAAAACAACAATAACAGTAAATCCAGTCAAAGTTTCATTTTGGAAGAAGTAAAATAAGTGCTTATTTATAAACATCTTATGTGTAATTTGCAGTCATGAAAATGGAAAATATTAGCATTGAAGCACTTTACTGACCTTCCAACGTTTATGACTTATTCATTTATAATTCATATGCACATAGACGTGCTCATTCCACTTAAAATGGGCTTCGATTCACAGAAAGGTGCACTTTGGTTCTATTATCAGCTTTTCTTCAATTAAAAGAGATGTCTGAAATTTACTAGTCTCCCATCGAGTCAATATAGTCCATTAAATAGGCATTTTATTTTCCATTTTCTCAAAATAAAGTGTCAATGAAATTAGAAGTTTAATTATGCACTACACTGATATTTCAGTATTTTATCATCTTGCTTGCTTGCTTTTTATTTAATTTAGTTTTACTGCAACACAGGCCACAACCTGTACTTTAGCATGGAACGAGTTCCAGTTCCTCAGAGGCACTTATTTTTTTTCTTATTGTAAGCCTGTCACATTCATTTGTACACCAAATGCTTATTTAGGATAGAGGATTTTGCTTCTTACAGTTTGGGCTAAGCTGATAAGAATTGAATATATTTTTTTGCCTGCTAGCTTGCTTTCAAGGAAGATTAAGAACATAGAAAACATGTTTAATGTATTTTAGCTGAACTCAGGAATCGAGTCAACTGAATCTCAGATATATCCTGTGTTTAAAGATTGCCTCACTCCATAACAAGTATTGATTCAGTCAGAGAAAGACCTCCCTCTGACCAAGTTAGAAAATCTTGTAGAGAATAGAAGAGAATTAAGATGAGGAGAAAAAATCAAATTGTATTACTGGGAGAGAATCCAAATGATTATATAGAATTCCATTTCACTTTTTAAATTCCAATTTGAAGCACAGAGAGATTGAACAGCATACTAAATGACACACACAGCTAATTAATTGTAAAGCAGGAATTTGAAACATTTTTCAAAATCATAGGTCGCCAATTCCCACAAACCACAAAGGGAGGTTGGGGTAAGATTCATTGTAGTATAGTTTTAATTTCAATCATTAAAGGCATAGGCAAATACTTGGAAGGAAATTCCCCAGATAAATTTGCACAACCTTAAGTGATCAAGCTATTGACATGACTTAGTAAAATTACAGGAATACCGCTAATCGGACACAGTGGCAAGTCTAATAAATAAAGTGTGAGGACTATATGCTTATGTTAGTTTTTAATTTACCTAAAAGCTATCTTCCCTGTAACACTAAGAGAACTTTGAAAATGCTTTTAAAAGGAGTTAGCCAGCTTGCTTTAGGCAGACAGTAAAGAAAGGGTCCCTAGAGAACCTCTGACCTGCCCCACAAGTGCTTACGCGAGATGTTTTGTGCAGATAAGGGAACATACACAGGGGGCTTACCTAAACATGCTGGCAGTGGAAAATTCCGTTCCTTAGCACATGCGCAGTAGGGAAAATAAATCAATACGGAGCAGTTCGGTCTAAGGGCCTGCATGCCCACTGGAAGGATGGGGTGGAGCTGCCAGGAATTCCCACCTTAAGCCCTGGTATTCAACTGTGAAGAGGGCAGCCAGCTTTCAGTACTCTTGTCTTTGCTGACTGCTTCCCTTTCACTTAGTACTACTTGACTCACTCTTTGATGTCAGCATGCCTAATCCTTCGTGGTCATAAGACAAGAAGCCAGACCTAGCTGAGCCAAGAAGCAAAAATCCTGCATCACGTTTAAACTCTTTTAAACTAATTAAACTATTGTGTAAATTAGATATATAAATGCATATATAGGTATGTACATATACACATATATAGACATGTGCAAGTCTATATGTGTGTACATATACACTTTTATGAATGTTGCAGTACATGAATTCCATTATGGCTGAATTAAATTAAATTATGTTATATGATTTCTTCCAGTTTTATAATATTTTGTATATCTAAAGGTAATTTCTTTCCACATTAAAACTCTATAGTTATTCCATTCAAGTTTTAGTCTAATGAATTTAATTTGGAAATTTTATTACCTCTCTTTAGAGTGAGAGGGAACTGTACAACTTTTAGAATACCTAGATGTCTTCTGTTTCCTTTGAGCTTCTAATTGCTTTTAGGTTTATCACTCTGTTTTGAAAAAACTAGGTTTCCATTGGATTTGGAATAAAACTGAAAATCCCCATTGTCACTTATGTTATTAATTTGCCATATTTTCCACTTCACTCAGGATCTTCATTTGCAATGGCTGTCTTTCTGTTTTACTGTGCCAAGCCTTTTCCTCCTTCTTTATGTGCACTTGCTCCTTTATCTCATGATCATCTTTGAGGTTTTAATGTAAATGTCACCTACTCAGAGAGCATTTCCTCTATCAACAGAAAATAATTAGTGAGAAAATGGGAAGTTTATTTTGGTTTGCGAGCTACAAATTTCAAGATTACTCTTTGAATGGCTTTGTTTCTTGAACTGAATGTCAATGACTTTGATGTTTTTCATCCAAATAATTCCCAACAATTCTGGGTAATAAATTATAACACATAAGAGAATTTGATTTGATACCAAAAACTGAATCAAAGTGAAACTGTACATTTACTGAGATGAAAGCTGTAACTTCTTCTAATCTTTATTATATAAATGCACGTTGCTTTTAAGTAATTCGGATAAAATCATTATTATTTAAACAAATGCTATCAAATCTAGAGAATAAACAATTATTCTGAGATAAATGCCATGTGGATTTATGACAGGTGTTCCAAAATACAATTTTCCTTCTTGATATCAGAAATTATGAGCTCCAAAAATATTTATTGTGTGAGTAGAAAGCTTCCTATATGTATAGATGACTTTTATGACTCAGTTCCATTTATTATTTTGCTATTCAAGTAACACATTTATGTTTGCTTGATGTATTTTCAGTTTTTAATGAGATAATAGGACCCAAAATATTACTAGGTACTTAAAAATGCTAAAATATTGAACAGACATTTTTACTTGTAATAATAATTCTAGTAATATATAAATTAATTTTAGCCAAATATTTCTGTGAATTATTATATTAACTTACATCTATTGCTTTAAAATAATAAGAATGCGAATACTAGTTTGTTAACTGTGCAAAATATGTAAATAGAAGTACTTAGAGAGCTGCCTATTGATATTACTTAAGTACAATGATAGTATTCCCCTAATATTTTCTCTATTGCCAGGCACTTCACCTGAAATTTTGGCTATTGATGCTACTTGCAAATCATTCTATATGAAATGCATGTACGTGACCCCAAAATGTTTTATATTTAGAATTAAACAGTATCTTGAGAATATGCTATATGACAGCTATTATGATTGATCCTTTCAAATAAATTTTAACATTAATATTATCATACTTGAAACAACCCATTATGAGTTAGGTATTATTTTTTCCCATTTATAGAGATTATGAGATTATGTAGTGTAAAGATGGAGAATCAGAAACTAAAAACAGAACTTGTGATTACAAGATCATTATTCATTTATTAGTGCAATACTCAGTATTGAGAAGTGAGGCATCAGGTAGAAACAACTATCATTTATCAGACTGAAAAAACTAAGATTATCTCTAACATGGAATGCTACAAAGGAGGGGAGGCACAAGTGAGGCACAGAACTGTAGAAATATAGGAAGGTGTTTTACTTGGATTAAAGTTGCCCAAACAAACTTGATATAGTTCAGAACTTTTTGGACCACGAATAAGTAAAAATGCAAGTTGTTGCCCCATTGTCAGCCACCTTTACAGACCCTTCATCAAACAGAATTCCAGGCAATACAACTTGACTATGTGTTTCATTAAAATCACAAAAGAAGATAAGAAGCACTTTCCCCATATTAAATTATCAAAAGCAAAATCTGTTTTTAATCAAAGCATACAACTTAAATCTACAAACTTGAAATCATCATTGGACTATCACTAGTTAGGCTATTTATCTTTATATCTATAAATTTAAACCTTTAATTCAAGCATTTCATGTCTTGAAAATAGATATAAAACTAATTTTTCTAGTGACCAACTTGATACCTATGTATTTTAAACTACTGACGTGATTAATAATTGTTGCTATTTATTCTAGAATGTACCTTTTTCACTACCAAATTAACACTTTGAACTGGAGTAATGGGGATATTCTGACAAGCACTGGAATTCTCAGGTTTATGCTCATTGATTTTGCAAAAGTAAAGCATACCACATAAAACTAGTCAAGTGATCTTTGACAATGGAACAAAAACAATACAGTGGCGCAAAATAGTATTTTCAACAAATGGTGTTGAAATAGCTAGACATCTACATACAAAAATAAATAAATCTTTACACAGACCTTATACCCTTCAGAGAAATCAACTCAAAATAAAAGACCTAAATGTAACATGCAAACCTATGAAACTCTTAGAAGATAATGTAAAAGAAAATCTAGATGACCTTGTGTTTGGCAATGACTTCTAGAAACAAAAACAAAGGCACAATCCATGAAATAAAAAATTAATGAGCTGGACTTAATTAGAATTAAACATTTTTGTTCTTCAAAACAAGAATGAAAACAAAATACTTTCAAAAGAACAAAAAGAAAAGCCAGTGACTTGTAGAAAATATTTACAAAAGGCTTATCTCATAAATAATTATCTAAAATATACAAAAATCTTATATACTCAACAGTAAAAAGTAAACTGATTAACAAATACATCAAAGACCTTAATAGATACCTCGCCTAAGATATACAGATGACGAATAAACACATGAAAAACTGCTTGATGTATGTTATCAGAAAAATGTAAATTAAAACAATAGCAAGATACCCCTACACACCCATTAGAATGGTCAAAATCCAGAAAAGTGACAATACCAAATGCTGGAAAGAATGCATAACAACAGGAACTCTCATACATTGCTAGTAGGAATTCAAGCTCTACGGATACTTTGGAACAGTTTTGCTCCTTATTACAAAACTAAACATACTCTTATTGTATAATCCAGCCATTGCACTCTTTGGTATGAAGTCAGATTAGAAAAAAGCTTAGTCCACAAAAAAGACCTACACACTGATGTTCATAGCAACTTTATTTACAACTGCCCAAACTTGGAAGCAACCAATATGTCCTTTAGAGGTGAATGAATAAATAAACCGTTGTACATCCAAACAATGAAAAAATTATTTAGTGCTGAAAAGAAATGAGCTACCAAGCCATGAAAATACATAGAGGAAACGTAAATATCTATCAGCAAATGAAATAAATTAGTCTGAAAATGCTACACACTATATGATTCTAGTTGTGTGGCATTCTAGAAAGGTAAAACTATCAAAACGGTAAAAATTCAGTGGTTGCCGCGGGTTAGGGGTGAAATTGAGATGAATCGGCAGGGAGCAGAATAATTTTGGGGCTGTGAAACTACTCTGTATGATACACTGGTGGATACATGCCATTATAAATATCCAAAATAGAGAATTTATGACACTGAGAGTGAATTCTAATGTAAACTATAGACCGTGAGTGATGATGATGTATCAGTGTAGGTTCATCGATTGTAACAAATGTATACTGTGGTGGGGGATGTTGATAATGGGGGAGGCTGTCTATATGTGGGATATACAGGGAATCTCTGTACTTTCTGCTTGATTTTTCTGTGAACCTAAAAACTACTTTTTAAAAAGTGTTACCTATTGCAGTGCCTACATAACAGCTGGACACTCATCCTGTTTTGTGCCCAATGCAATGCCCATGTAACATACACTTCCTACTCGGCTTTAACTCTGCTTATTTTTAGGAAACAGGATGTCTATGGTGGTCAGAGGTTCCTTCTTATACAGCTTACTGGACTGCTGAAGAATCTAGCTTCATTATAATCCAATTTTCATACTAAATGACACTCCCAGAGGCACCATGACAGTTTACAATCACCACATCAATGACCTGAAGGGAACAACAAAAAAAAAAGAGGCAGCTCTTTGATTCCAAAAAAAATGTTCACCCCCTCTCAAGAAAAAGCATGAGTTTTCCTCCTCTTCCTCCTAATGCCCATACCCTGTACTAAGAATACCCTATATCTGTAATTTCCCCAAGTGCAAGAGCTAAGAAGTTAATTTATGAGCTACACTCTCACTTATCCAAATTGTTGGCCATTGAATAAAGCTTGCAGTGCTTGATACTCACTGTCCATTTCTGGTATTGATTTCATGACATCAAATGGAAAAGTTGCCACAAAAAAGGAGCTCTTTCCCATTTGGTGTCATGAAAAAAATTCATTGAAAAAAGTAAAGCATTTCTTTAGCATATGAAATTCAATGTCTTCATAAATCTGCTTATTGTCTTAACTATGTTAAGCATTGCAAGACTAACAATTAATTTTTAAAAACCCCATTTGAACCAAATAATTTCTTCATCTTTTCTTTAATGTTGTACAATCCGTTTAAACTGAAGAAAATTTTATATATCTCTTGCCTTAATTCTTTAATAATTAGATTTTTAGATAGTAAACCCATTAGTCACAGCAAGAAAATTGACCACAACAGGCTTGGTTCAACAAGTTTCATTATCTTTTCAGTCCATTCAGAAGCATTATGGAATGGTTTATCAAGATAACTTTGCATTTTCTTAAAGTAAAATGATAAGAGTATTATTATGATATTTTTCAGGTGTGCACCAAGAATAATTTTGCAAACAATTCCCAGTAAGCCCTTGCTTTTTTACATGTTCTATTTTGTCTTAGGTTACTGTCACCAAGTAAGTTTTAGTGGCCAACATCAATACAGGTGTAATTGGCAGGTGACAAAAAGTTTATATAATTAAAACTATAATGACATTTCTGAAGAAACACCAAACTGAAGTCAGAAAATAAAAATAAATGTTAATATACTAAAATAAGAGAGAAAAAATTAGCATAGAGAAATAAAACAAAACTTTTTTTCAGAATATAAACAAAATGGGTAAAATACCAAGTGGTGTTTGGATGTATCGGAGCGCTGTATCACTTGATTTTATCCATTCTTAGGAAGTCCTAGACTTAACCTCAAATTATCTTTGAAATATTCTTAAGCTTAGAACACCCTCCACTCTTGCCTGTATGCTTCCATTTGCCTTATCCCATTTGTTTACCTTAAATATAACTGAAATTTGGCTTTCACTCCTCATTGATCTTCACCTTTTGACAGATCAGATGGCATTCCTCTGCCTGACTGAGTTCTCTCCTTAAAAAGGAGAGAAATTCTCACAATGGTTTTCCTGATATTGCCCTCCATCACTTTCTGTAATTTACAGCATAACCTTGAAATAAATATATATAGCATATATGTACCCTGACACAATTGTGTCACTTGTAATAGTATTTGTAATTGAATTTAAAATATTTTGTCAAGTATGATATCTTACCTGAAAAGCAATATATAGAACCACCAAATGTATTTTCCCCGTATACATCTTTAAAATTCAGCATGAATTTTCAATGCCTCAATTCTTAGTTCAATTTCTAAGCAGTAAGTGAGATGAGATGGTCTAGTCATTTAGAAATCTTGGGGAATAATAGATGAATGATGTACTTTAGCATTTTTTCTAATTAATGCACTATATTATGTAAATTATTACAATCATGTTAGCTAAAATGGCATTGAAAGTAATGCTGAATTGATCACATGCTGTCCCCTTGTGTAATATTTTTTCACATTTTCTTAGTATGATCATTTGATAATGATTTTTTTATCGAGTCCAAGAAATTATTTATTGGTCTCATGTACATCCTTGGAAAGTATGTGAGCCCACCACAGATTACAACTTTGCCCAAAATATTTTTCTAAAATCTTTAGCCCTCTTCTTTTTGACCTTTTGGAAGGAGTAATTCTCTGATAACCATATTTCTCTTTTTAAACATTTTTCTTCTTGAAAGCTTAAAAATTATCTTGCAATCAAAACAGATAATACTCTGGTTGAAGAACTATAAATAAGATCAAAACAAATTAACAATTAGGTAATTGTTTGGGTTCTAATGAGTATTTCCTTTTAAGAGAGGAAACACTGCATTGAAAATATGAGTTTAACCTTTATACAAAGAATGGTATTCAAAATGCTATTAAGTCATTAACTTTGGCAAATAGGCATTTAACCTTTGTCAAAATTCAACAGTGTTTAACCTTTGTGTTTAAAATAGTGCTTCCATTAGGTATGCTTCAATTGCTGCAGATCAAATAGGAAGCAAGCTGCCTCTTGACCTGAAATTTAAACTAATCCTCATGTGACCTTTGCAGGAATTGAAACTAAAGTTTATTGAACTTTATTTTAAAAGAGCAGGGTTTTTGTGTTGTTTTTGTTTTTGTTTTGTTTTTAAGATTTGCAGGCCTTTGCATATCTCACTACCTGCCAGGTGAGGACAATTCCAAAATGCCGCAAGGAAAAGCTGTAGCTGTTGTATTTACATTTTTTTGGAGGCTGCAAACAAAGACAATTCTCTTGAGAAAGTATGTTTTAACAGTATTTCTAGGCAAATTGTGCAAATTCAGGAGATTCAGATTAACATTTATACTTTGGCTTATGGAAAAGTACAATTCTAACATCTTCCCATTTACTCACTGTTAATTTACAGTCATGGAGGAGAAAAGACATAATTTGATTTACCTATTATGGGCACACCAGTTGTGTAGAAAGCATTATTTCAAATCAAAAAGAGCTATTTTCCTCTAACCATTTGCATCAGTCATTGTTAGTAATCCACTGGTACATTTCAAGTAATTTTCCTCTCTAATTAGAGCACACAGCTCTATCTTCTGTGTTTTCTACAACAGATGTGATATTTGCAAGCATCTCAAGGGAAGATATATTTTTCTGAAAGATGCTTACCTGCACAACCAAAAGATTTTGGAGGAGCCGCTGAAAATCTGGACTAAAAAGCACAACTTTCCATAAATAAGAACAAGTGGAAAATGAGTGAACTAAGTCCTGGTGTCTTTAATCGCCTTTTTCCTCTAGTGAGCAGATCTTCAAATAGACATTAGGAGCTATAAATTGGCCTTCCAATGTAAAATCACAAAGAATAAATTATAGGAGAATACGTTTCCATTTTAAAAGAAAATGTGTCTTCTTTTCACAATGTGTCTCTGTAGTCTAGTCTTTACCATTGTAGTGAGATCCATCATTTTACTTGCACTTACATATTCTAAAAGTTTTATATGCAAAAGTTTCCCAAACCTTCAATTTCCAGACAGAGAAAGTAATGCCTTAGAAGGAAATAACTCATAGTGTAAAACTAGAAAGTGTGTACCAGTCAGCACCAGCTCTAAAGTTTTCAAGTAGGTGAAGTTAGTATTGAACATTTAGTGGCCTGCATCTTCTGGGTACCTGCTTCTCTCAATTTTTAGTTCTTTTAGGTTTAATTAATGTCCATTTGAACCTGCTTTTCTACTGTTAGTTACTTAAAAACTATAAATTCCAGAAAGGTTGGTACATGGGTATTTCCAATAACTAGAGCAATACCTGTGACTTGGAGAAGGAAAGCCCCCAAACTGGGGCTTAGCCTAGGAGAGTTATTTGCTTCCCCCAGGAAAGAATTCATGTGTGAGACGATAGTGTTAAGCAGTAATAGTTTATTGAACCACAGCTGTTCCTTACAGAGCAGGGCTACCTCACAGGCAATGCTATCTACATCTGATAGCTGTTGTATTTATATTCCTTTGTACCCATGTTAAATTAGATACAAATTAAGGAGGGGGTAATGCAAAATGAAGAGGTGGGTTCTTTAGAACTTTCTAGTTATGGGGCAGTAACTTCAAGGGCACTGAAGGGGCTGGTAGCTTCCAGGTTGTTACCACAGCATTTGTAAACTATCATGGAACTGATAGGAGTATCATGCTAATGAGCAATGAGGGCGGTTAGGGATTGCTTTCATCACCATCTAATGGCTCCTGGCAGTTTCTTTACTTCATCCTGTCAGGATCGAGAAATAAGTCCTGCCAGTCTTCTACCTCATGCCCTCCTCAGAGATGACATACTCCTCTTTAATCTTAAAGGGGCTCCAGAAGGTCAGAGGTCTGCTCTGTAACTACTTCCTGCTGATATTATGGGTGTAGGCTCTGCCTAGCATTGGGGAGCAAAAATCTGTGGATACCTGATCTAAGAGGCTGAAATGCAGGATATTTTTATTCTCCAGGTTAGAAGATGGGATGAGTTGGAAGCCTTATGCCAGAATAGTCTTCATATAAATTATTGTAGTCTAGAAGACACAAACTTTACTATGAGGTTAAACAAACAAGGAAAAAAAATTAGTAATAATAGCTATCGAAGATCTTAGGAAAGATAAAAATCAAGTGAGAATAATATAATAGGTGCAGTTTATTACTGCACACACTCATCCTTGCCATGTTGTTTATTTGTGTGTTTGCAAAGCAACAGCTTTAAGTTTCCTAGCATTTACAAGTGTGTGTTGTGTCCTGCTCTTAACACCTGTGGGGACTCATAAGAAACAGGTTTAACTCTGGACAGGTGTACCCAGCCTGTGATTCCCTGAAGTTTAACAGCAGTGAAGGTACTTAAAATACCTGATAGGGGCCTTTCTATTTTATTTATAGTTGATCCTTAGGGGATCCTTCTTTTTAATATTTAATAAGACTAAGTCTTCTGGTTGAATAGAGGAGCTATTCTTTTCCTTTGTGCAAAAGGGCAATATTTTATTTTGTAATTTTGAAACACATTTTGAACCTGGCCTAAATTTCAGGTGGGGCATAGTGAAGAATGTCAATCCACTCTTTCCTGTCATGGCCTTAGATTTTCAGAGATTTTTGGGATTCACTTTGGCCAAGGGACTTCCATTAAACATTCTAGACTAGATGGGAATGGAGATAGGTAGGCACTTATTAGCCCTTAAAACTGTTTTAGGCAATATAAGAGCCAAAAACTAAAAGCCAAAAATGAGGTATACAGCAAGAAATATTAAGAGTATAAAATCAAGTTATACTGATACTGAAAGAAGATATTGCTTTTATAGACCTCTATGATAAAATATTTTAGCATCAGGTTATAGCAACGTTTAAAACTGGAGAGAAAAGAGTTAGAGGAGCTGACACAAAAGGTCAAGGAAAGAGTTATCAACTCAGGCCTCCTCAAAAGAGCTGAAAGCAGTGACATAGAGCAACAGTTGAACTTCTGAGATACAAATAAGACAAGCTTTAAAATATACCAATTATAATATTAAAAGCAAAATTTCTTACAATTTAGGAAATCAGTCCCATAAGCGAATTTTATTTTAGCATGTAGAGCATTCTTTAGAAAGTCTATTATAAACAATTTTCTTTTAATTAGAGCTAGCTTAATCACACACAACATTTCTTTCATAAATTCCCTTCCCCAGCGTTATCATGACTTATACCATCTATGACATGCTTGGACTTTCTGACTTGTCCTATAATATATTTATTTCTATTTTTATTTTTTTCTCTATTTACAGGTTGTTAACTGATTTTTAAAATTACTAGTAATTTTACAGTAGGACAAAAATTTGTAATTTGTAATACAACATCCTTTTTATAAATACAATTATTCTTTTTTTATATTTTTTCTTGAAAAAATACATCTTCTATCCATAACTTCCTTTACATCTCTCTTTCCTACTAACTTGTTCCTTTATATTTTGAATCTCCCCTTTAATAACTTCAGAATTAGATAAAAACTTTTCTTATTCCCAACAAAGAATACATATTTTTGGCACATTTTATATAAACTTCAGAGACAAGAAATTCTGAACTGCCTATCAGATATTGGCATTTTATAGATGAGAATGATTCTACAGTTTCAAGATTTTAAACCACATGAAAGCTCTCCATTTAAAGCCATTTTAATTATTCTGAAGCTCACAAACATCAGTGTTTTACCTAGGTAAAAATTAAAGTAAAATTTTAGAAGACACCACATTCCCTTCCAACTAACAAGTTTAAACTAGTCTTATTTGCTTAATTTATGAGCACTCCTTTATTTGTATGCCAATTTGATAGCATGCTAGACACAACACATATCACACAAATGAAGTGACCTATACAAGACAGCTGTATCCAAGTTATTTACAAAATTGAGACCTGTCTACCTGGCAAAATTTTGTTTTCCCTCATAAGTATGAAAGTCAGGAAGAGGCAGAAAAGGAGATCCCATACTACCAAACAAATCAGGCCACTGAAGTTCATTCTAGGTGATAAAGTGAGACCCCATCCTTAAAAAATAAATGAATTAAAAAATGGTGACAAAAAAATCAGCACAGGCTGAAAGAAAATGAATCAGCATAAGAAAATTATTTTTATTTACCTAGAATGTCACAGAAATTGTCTCTATGTTTCCTTAGCTTGACTAGACATTAGACAGGCTTCTTCCTGACCCTAGGACCTGACTCCCTTTGCTTAGAGCATTTAATTTGGAAAGCTTGTCACTGTAAATTCTTTCCTGATCCTTTTTGAGATGTATGTAATGTCTTAAGGAGCTAAGAACCATCTTTTTGAAATGAATTATCAAGAGAGAACTCCTATCTCCTTGTCTCTGTAAGAGACTAGAAGTCTAACTTTGATGTATTCTAATTAGTAAACATAGATGACCTAATCACCGTGGACAATGTTTGCAAGCTCTGAATTAACAGGACATGTTGTACACATTCCATTAATCAGCCTCCAGGTGACATAATGACCTCTGTAACATACTTTTTCATCAGTTTACTCTAGCAATTTATAAACCAACTAAGCTTTGTTCTATGAAGTTGAGTTCAGACTGAGTTCTGGCCTCTCTCTTCTATTGCAATAACCTCAATTAACATCTTCCTTTCTTGTTTAAATTTATCTGGTACAACTTTTGTTTTGAATGTCTATATATGTAATTAAGGGATACGATTTTCACTGAGATAAATGCCTCTGAGTTTGCAGTTGGTTTGATAATAAATTAGAGAATATGTTTAAACCGTCTTAAGTGATGTTTATTGATTTTAGTAAAAACATTTTAGAATGTTGATCCAATTCCCAATAACTAAGGGGTTTTTGCTTTTTGTTTTTTGTTTAGCTTGTTTTCCTTAAGAGCAATTGTTTACCCAAACAGTGCCCCTCCAGACATGGATGTATTAGAAGACTTTAACATATGGAAGTCATGGTTGCTTGGACTTGGAAGGATGCTTAACTTGAAATAGACCAAACAGATTCTCTCTTCCAAAATAATTTTTTAAAAATAGAAAAATATTTAGGTCTATTGGCACTAGAGTAAGATTCATAACTTGTAAAACAAACTTTTTGAAATATCAGCTAAATATAATACACCACAGACCAAATAGAAAAAATAAGAAGAAGTCATAGGGAGTTGGCATAAAATTTATTTGATGTATGGAACTCTTCAGCAATGGTTTCAGTTAGAGGAGTTAATCATTAAAGACCATACTAATAACCCAACCTAGGGACAAGAGTTAGAGATCAATATATATTCTAGAAAGAACTGATATTGCCCCACTTAGCTCCGTCATGGTGACCAGATTGGAGTTGAAGTAATGTAGTAATCCAGTTGTAGTTTCTTTATCTTGACTCCAGTTGGAGACTAAGAACGGAAAAGTTCTTAAGCAAGACAACTTAACAACCATGTAATTGGACCTCCAAGTGTAATTGCATGGATTACCTAAAGCTTGGCTATAAACAGCAATCTAAGGTTAGCATAACTCTTTAACAACACGGGATTCTGATACAATATTTTAAATAGATTCAGAGAGAATATGTAATGAGAGAAAGTTTCCAAACAGCTGGCTGCTAAAGCAAGTCCCCAGCCCTTTTCTTCACTTCCCTTGGGAAAAGAAAGGCTGACTCATAAAATAAAGAATGTACACCCAATCCTCCCACTTAGGTGCCAAGGAGATTTAAATAGTGCCCAAGCAAGCAGAGAAGAGTTTTTGGGACAAATGGTAAGCCCAGAACAAGATAGATGGGAAAAACATTATTATTATTATTATTTTTTTTTAACAAAACACACAAATATATTTTCAATAGCAGCATATTCTTCCATGTTACAAAGTTGCTATAATTTACTAACCCATTCTCCTACATAATATGTCATTTATATTTTAATGACTTTTGTTTGTTTATTCTATTATTAACATTGCTGTATTGAATGTACTTATACATACATCTTTGCACTATTCTGATTTTTTTCTGGGAGGATATTGTTCCAAGAGATAAGTTGGCAAATAAAAAGTGCTACTGCTTTGAATTATTGATACATATGGACAAATTGCCTTTTAGAAACTGCTTTTCACCATCAATATAGCAGAATACCATTTTAAAAATTCAATATTTATAAGCACCATGTTTATTTCAAACATGACACTACGTTCTAGGTTTGGATGCAGAGATGATGAAGAACAAGATAGAAACAGTGTTCCCTGGGACCTTAACCAGCCATGAATAAGCAGGAGATTTTTTTGTGTACAGAAAAATAATGAAAATAAAATGGAGAGTGTTGTTTAGGATAAAATAAAATTATTAAAGAGCCACCATATTTGATATATATCAGGACTATACACATTCTGCCAATTACCCCTCCTCATAATACCTGTCACCTATCACCACCAGCCTTATACAGAGATACAGGTCCTTGCTAAGCAATTCCAAGAGATATGTTACACATTCTTCTGTATGGACTAATGGATAATTGCTGGTTCCACTTGTGAGAAAATGTCATTTCCACAGAGAAATTGACCAACGCAATGCAATCCATGGTGAACCAACAGGGAACTTGATGAAAATTACACTTTTCTTACTCTCACAGAAGAAAAGGACTATCATTTATTTATGTGGACAGGGATTTTCCTTTGAGGGAATGTAAAGATCAAAAATATTATCCAAGATTATTATCTTATCCTGTCAAAAGAGGGCCCTCTATACATAAAATTTAGAATTAATTCATTCAAGTAACAATTTATTTTAACGATCAATAATGTAATACATTTGTAACTAGATATATGAGTAAAAATAAAAAAATTATATTTAAAACTATTAAAGTGGACACAGTCATCTTGTATACCCATACCAGAATAGGTCTTACATGATGTCTTGGTATGGATTCTCATTCCCTGCTGGACATTTGCTGCAAGTATATGCATTTCAGCCATTAGACATCAGTGAAAACAGGCTTAAAATTAATGAGGAGCATTGGAAAGCCTTGCAGTCTGAATTGCTTTCATTGTTTCCCTTAGTAACCTAATAAGAATCAATATTTTTAAAAAACACATTACTAATGGACATGCTAAAAATGTATAAGAACGGCAAATGATAAGTAAAATTAATAGTGTGACATATTTAGAAACTGGGTAATTGCAATGTGGAAGTGATCAATCAACTTAGGATTTTTTGTCAGCTGAATTGATATATAATTATTTTTAAAACTGCATATATTTAAAGTGTATATGTTTTGACATTTGTATATGCCTGTGAATTCACTACCACAGTCAAATAAATGAAAATACCTATCACACACAAAATATTCTTTCTGCTCCTAAATATTACCTTCTTCCTAATCCTTCCTGCTCCCTTTCACCTGTCCCAATACAAGTACCAATCTGCTTTCTGATGTTATAGACTAGTTTGTATTTCTTAGAGTTTTATATAAATGCAATCTTATGCCACATTCTCTTTTATTAAGTGGGCTTTTTCACTCAGTGTAATTATTTTAAGATTTATCTATAAGTTTAAGTTATCAAAAGCTCATTATTTTTCATTTCTGAGTAGTATTTCATTGCAACTATATGTAATAATTTATCCAGTCAACTGTTAAAGGTTATCTGGGTTATTTTGAGTTTTTGGCTATTACATATGTACTAAGTATGAACAATTGTTTAAAATTCTTTTTATGGACAGAGACTATTATTTCTCTTTGGGGAACAGCTAGATGTAAATTGCTTGGGCCATGTGGTAAACATATATGTTTATATACGGGTTTCCTGAAATGGTAAAACTGCTTTCCAGACTAGTTGTAGCACTATATATTCCCACCAACAACTCTAATTCCTGTATATCTCAAAGAAAACTTTTTATGGTCAGCCTGTTTAAGTTATTCTAATAGATTTATAAAATATCTCATTGTAGTTTAATATGCTTATACATAAATAGTGGTCTTTTAAAATTATTTTTCTTTTTTTCTTAACCTTTATTTTAGGTTTGGGGTAGATGTGCTTTGTTTTATAGGTAAACACGTGTTACGAGGGATTGTTGTACATATTATTTTATCACCCAGGTTAAAATTATTTTTTATATACTTACTTGATGTCAGTGTGTACCATCTTTAGTGGTATGTCTGCTTCCATCCTTTGTCCATTTCTATGTTTTTTTACTCATTATTAGTTTTAGGAGATTTTCATATATTCTAGATTCAAGTCCTTTATGATATGATTTTAAAATATTTTCTTCTAGTCAGTAGCTGGGCTTTTCATTCTCTTAACAATGTCTTTTGTGGACTACTCTTTTTATTTTTACAAAGTCTATTTTATCAATTTGTTTTTTAAAGATTGCATTTGTGATGTTTAATATAATAATTCCTTGCTTAACCCATTGATATGGTTTAGCTGTGTCCCCACCCAAATCTCATCCTGAATTGTATTATAGTTCTCATAATCCCCATGTGATGTGGCAGGGACTAGGGGGAGATAATTGAATCATGGGGTGGTTTCCCCTATCCTATTCTCATGATAGTAAGTTCTTACAAGATCTGATGGTTTTATAGGGGCATTCCCCCTTTGCTGGGCACTCACGTCTCTCTCCTGTTGCCATGTGAAGAAGGATGTGTTTGCTTTCCTTTCCACCATGATTGTAAGTTTCCTGAGGCCCCCCAACCCATGCAAAACTGAGTCAATTTTTTTTTATAAATTACCCAGTCTCAGGTATATGTTTATTAGCAATGTGAGAAATGACTAACATATCCATGATCACAAATGATTTTCTATTATGTTTTCCTAGAGCTATTTAATGCTTTAAGGTTTTTATTTAGGTATATGATCAATTTGGGGGTTAATATTTGAATATGGTTCAAGATATGAGTCAAAATTTGTTTTGTTATTTTTATTTTTGTTTTATTGAATATGAATTTCCAATAATTCCACAACACCATTCGTTTTTATCCATTCACCACCAAACTGCCTTTTCATCTTTGTTGAAAATCAGTTATCTTATATATGTGTGTGGATTTATTTCTGACACTAAATAACCCTGTTTCATTTACCTATTTGTTTTTATGCCAATATTGTAATGTATTCCTTACTGAAGGCTTACTAGTTCTTAAATTCAGGTAATGAAAGATCTCTATCTTTAAAAAATATTTTGGTAATTTTAAGTTATTTGCCTATGATATGGTTAGGCTTTGTGGCCCCACCCAAATCTCATCTTGAATTGTAATCCCCTAATTCCCATAATGCCCATGTGTTAAGCCGAAGACCAGGATAAAGTAATTGAATCATGGGGGTAATTTCCCCCATGCTGTTCTCATAATAGTGAGTGAGTGCTCATGAGATCTGATGGTTTTATAAGGGCTCTTCCCCCTTTGCACAGTTCTTCTCCTTCCTGCCACCTTGTGAAGAAGATGCCTTTCCTCCCTTTCACCTTTCACCATGATTGTAAGCTTCCTACAGCCTCCCCAGTCATGCTAAACTGTGAGTCAATTAAACCTCTTTCTTTTAGAAGTCACCCAATTTTGGACAGTTCATTACAGCAGTATGAAAATGGACTAATATAGCATATTTATGTAAAATTTAGAATGAACTTTTCAATTTCTACCATAATATATGCTGCATTTTTTTTTACTGTAATTGCATTTTATCAATAGGTCAATTTGGAGATATTTGATACCTTCATAATGTGCCTTCTGTCCCAAGAACGTGATAAACCTCTTCATTAATCAAAATCTCTAATTTATCTCACCAATATTCTTTCAATTTTTTAGTACACAGGTCTTGTACAACTTTTGTCAGATTTACTTTAAAATTTTTTCATATTTTTTATATTTTCTAAGTGATATTAAAATTTCAAGGTTTGAATTCACATTGCCAGTATGTAGGAATACAACTGATTTTCAAACTCATATATTAGTGTAGTAGTTTTTTTGTATAGTTCACTCATTTTTCTATAGAGGCAATTATGTTATCTGAGAATTAAGACAATTAAAATTTTTTCTTGCTAATTTGAATGTCTTTTTTTTTCTTTTCCTTATTTTATTGAACTGATTAGACCCTCCAATACCATGTTGAATAGAGCTGCTGAGAGCAGACATCCTTGTCTTTTTTGTGGTCTTAGGGGAAAACATCAATGCTTTCATTACTAAACATGATATTAGCTGTAGGGTTTTTTTTTTTTTGTTTCTGTTTTTTAAGAGATGTCTTCAACCAATTTGTAAGGAGTTCTCCTCTTTTCTTAGTTTGTTCAGAATTTTTATCAGGTTTGATGTTTGATTTTTCCAAATAACTTTGCTGCCTCTATTGAGATGATTACATAATTTTTGTTCTTTGGTTTGTTATTGAAGTCAAATACATTGATTAAATTTAAAATACTTCACAAACCTTGCATACCTAGGATAGATTCCACTTGGACATGATATTTTCTTTTAATGCCTTGCTGAATTGAATTTGCTAAAGTTATATTTACAATGTTGAATTGATTACATTAGGAATATTGATATGTGAATTGGTTTGGTATCAAGGTAATACTGGCTTGATAAACTAAATTGGGAATGAATCTGCAAATGTCTGGAAGAGTTTTGTACTATTAGTTTTGTTTCTCCCCTAAATGTTTACATGTTATCTGTACTTGATATTTCTTACCAGCAAAAAAGCTATTTTTTTGTTTGAAAAATTTCTGCTCTTGACCCCTCTTTCTCTTCAACTACTGCTTTGTTTTGCGGCTTTCTCAGACACTTGTCTCTATTTACCTGCTCCAGATTCTTTTACTAAACTGTCTTTAATGTAGTCCTTATTAAATTGTTATTGCTCCTTTTCAAAGAAAGTTGTGGCTGTAAATGTAAACAAAGATTTCCATGTTGCTAAAATTAATGATTATTAATTAGTCTTTTTATCAGTTGACTTTTTCAAGAACTTTATTTTTTTTAAAGAAGTTATAGGTTCACAGAAATATTAAGAGGAGTTGACAGAGATTTTCCGTATCTCCCTTGCTTCCACACATGCATAACCTCCCTCATTATCAACATCCTCCACCGGAGTGGTACATTTGTTACAATTGATGAACCTACATTGACACATGATAATAACCCAAAGCCCATAGTTTACATTACGGTACACTTTTTTTTTTTTTTTTTCTGAGACAGAGTCTCACTGTGTCACCTAAGCTGGAGTGCATTGGTGCAATCACAGCACACTGAACCCTCGACTTCTGAGGCATGAGCTGTCACACCTGGTCCCAACATTACAGTTCACTCTTATGTTGTACATTCTATGGGTTTGGACAGATAAATAATGGCTTGTGTTAATTGTAGTATCATACAGGAATCGTTCAGCATATAGTCTTTTGGTATTGTCTTCTTTTGCTTAGTCATATGCATTTAAAGTTAACCTGTGTCTTTTCATGACTTAATGGCTTATTTCTTTTTAGCACTGAATAATATTCCATTGCCTCAATATCCCACAGTTCTTTTTTTTTTCATTCGCCCACTGAAGGACATTTTGGTTGCTTCCAAGTTTTGACAATTATAAATAAAGCTGCTACAAAACTCTACATAGAGGTTTTTATGAAGATAAAATTTTCAACTCCTTTGGTTAAATACCAAAGAGTGCAATTGTTATGTCATATAATGAGTATGTTTAGTTTTGTAAGAAACTACCCAACTGTCTTTCAAAGTAGCTGTAACATTTTGCTTTCAGCAACAATGAATAAGAGCCCTTTTTCCTCCACAGCTTCATGAGCATTTGATGTTGTCAGTTTTCCAGATTTGGGCCATTTTAACAGATGCACTGTAGTATCTCATGGTTTTAATTTACATTTTTCTGATGACATATGATGTGGACCATCTTGTCATTGCTTATTTCCCATCTGTATAATCTTCTTTAAGTAAAGTGTCTCTTAAGGTCTTCAGCCCATTTGTCAGTCAGATTGTTTGATTATTGTTGAACTTTAAGGGTGCATGATATATTTTAGATAACTGTCCTCTATCATATGTGTCTTTTCCAAATATGCCTTCCCAGTCTGTGCCTTGTTTTCTTGTTATCTAGACATTGTCTTATGCAGAACAGAAATTTTAATTTCATTGAAGTCCAGTTTATCTATTTTTTCTTTCGTGGATTATACCGATGATGCTGTATCTAAAAACTCATCTTCATCCCCACGGTTATCTAGATTTTCTTCCATGTTATTTCTAGGATTTTTATTGTTTTGTGTTTTACATTTAGGTTTATTATTCATTTTGAGTTAATTTTTGTGAAGCATGTAAGTCTCCATCTAGATTCATTTTTTTTTTTTGAATGTGGATGTTCATTTGTTTAGTGAAAAGGCTATTTTTGCTCTACTGTATTGCTTTTTCTTATTTGTCAAAGGTCAGTTGACAATATATTTATGTGAATCTATTTCTGGGTTCTCTGTTCTGTTCCATTGATCTGTATTTCTATTAGTTTGTCCATACCACACTGTCTTTATTACTGAAGCTTTATCATAAGTCTTGAAGTCAGGTAGTGTCAATCTTCTGACTTTGTTCTTCTCTTTCAATATGTGCTGGCTCTTTTGCATTTTTTGGCTCTCCATATAAACTTTAGGGTTCGTTTTTCAATATTCACATAATAACTTGAGATTTTCATTGGAATTTCATTGAATCTACAACCAAGTTGGAAAGAAGTGACATTGTGTCAATATTGAGTCTTTCTACATATGAATATAAAATGTTTCTATATTTATTTAGTTTTTTTATTTCTTTCATGGGAGTTTTTTACTTACCCTCATAATAATCTTGTACATATACTTCTAGATTCATATATAAATATTTCATTATTGGGAATGCTAGTGTAAGTGGTTTTGTGTTTTTTGGTTCAAATTTCACTTGTTCATTGCTAATACATAGAAAAGTGATTGACTTTTGTATAATATATTAACCTTGTATCCTGCAACCATGCTATAATTGCTTATTGGTTCCCAAAGCTTTTCTTAAATCAATTCTTTTGAATTTTCTGCATATGTGATCATGTCTGCTGTGAAAAAAGACAGTTTTATTTTGTCCTTTGCAATCTGCATACCTATTATTCCCTTTTCTTGTCTTACTGCATAAGCTAGTACCTCCAATATGATGTTGAAAATAAGTAGTGAGAGGAGACAGCCTTGCTTTTATCTTAGTGGGAAAGCTTCAAATTCCTCCCCATTAAGTATGATGTTAGCTGTAGGTTTTTTGTAAATATTATTTATCAAGTTGAGAAAGTTACACTCTATTCCGAGTTTACTGAGAGTTTTTATCATAAATGGGTATTGGGTTTTGTAAAGTACTTACTCAGCATCGATTGATATGATTTTTATTTTTTAGCATATTGATATGATGGATTGCATTCATTTATTTTCAAACGTTGAACTAGCCTTGCATATCTTAAAAAAAAATCCCACTTGGTTGTGGTGTATAATTATTTTGATGTATTATTGAATTTAGTTTGTTATTTTGTTTAGCACTTCTGTATCTATATTCATGAGACATGTTGGCTTATAGGTTTTTTTTTTCCTGGCAATGTATTTTTATAATTTTCATACTAGGGTAATGCTAACCTTATAAAGTGAATTAGAAAATCTTCTCTCTGCTTCCATCCTCTGAAAGGCATTGTGTAGAATTGGTATAATTTTTTCCTTAAACATTGGTAGAATTTACTAGTGAACTCATGTGGGGCTACTGCTTTCTGTTTTAGAAGTTTATTAGTTATTGATTCAACTTTTAAAAATAGATATAGGCTTATTTGAATTGTCTACTTTTTCAACTGTATGTTTTGGTATCTATCTTTTGTCGCCTAGGTTACCAAATTTGTATACGTAGACTTAATATCCTCTTGATGTCCATAAGATCTGAAATGATGTCCCCTCTTTAATTTCTGGTATTGTAAATTGTGTCTTCTCCCTTTTTTTCTTTATTAGCCTGGCTGAAGGCTTATTAAATTTATTGATCATTTTAGATAACCAGTTTTTGGTTTTCTTGATTTTCTCCATTGATTTCCTTTTTCAATTTCATTGATTTCTGCTCTAATTCTTATTATGTATTTTCTTCTGCTTATTTTGGACTTAATTTGCTGCTCTTTTTTTGTTTCCTAAGTGTAAACTTAGCATATTCATTTTAGACACTTCTTTTTTTCTGATGTATATGTCCATGGTATAAATTTCATGTGTTGAATTGTCACTGCACTACCTTCACTCATCCCAATAATTTTAACAAATTGTGTTCTCATTTTCATTTAGTTTAAAACATTTTTTATCTCTCCTGTGATTTCTTCTTTGACCAATGTGTTATTTAGAAGTGTGTTTTTAAATCCACATTTATTTTTGGGTTTTCCAGTTGTCTTTCTGTTATTGATTTATAGGCTAAATCCATTGTTTTCTGAGGGCACATTGTAAGACTTCTGTTCTTTAAATTTATTACAGTGTGTTTTATGGCCCAGAATTTGGTCAGTCTTGGTGAATAGTGGTTGAATTTTTGGGAAAGTTTGACCCCATTTATTAGTACCTCCAACTAGCAAAACTTCCTTATTCTTAAACTCATTCAGAAGCATTCAAAACTAAAATTGCACAAATAGAGACATTTTAATTAAAAAATAAATCCTAATTTAGTTGAATATTGTCAGAAGACATGTTCTGTTTTTTATGTTGTTATTTATTGTGACTTGTTTGTGGACTCTACTATCAATTGTTAAAATGTTACATGTTTACCTTAGAGGAATATGTATTTTCTAATTGTTGGATATCAATTTTTATACATGCTCAGCTCTTCTACGACTTTACCAACATTAGGTCTTCTTGGTCTTTCATGTTTCCAAGAAGCATTGTATTAATTATAATGTATAATATATGTGGATACAATAAAATTATATATCATATAAGATTAATAATTAATCAATTTGTCTTTATAGATATCTTTATATATTTTGAGACTGTGTATGCAAAGGCATGTGAATTTTTACTTTTTAATGGTATCATTAATGATTTAAATTTTAATTGTTGCATAATTACCCACTGTATCCTAATAATGATTTTTAACTTTGTAGAACATTAGTTTAACTACACCAATTTCTTGGGGGCTATTCTTTACCTCATATATTATTTCTTCTTATTTTACTATCAAACTATCTGACTATGCATGTGTTAAAACTCTTTTTGTAGACAGCTTATATTTATAATTTATTCTTCTTTCTCAAGTTAAAAAAATTACTATATGATAGAACAAGTTGCGTATATTTCCATGTATTGTGATTAAATTTGAAACCACATTTTCAAAATACTTATGCCTTCTTTTGAATATTGTTTTCCTTCCTTCTAATGATTATTTTTAAAAATAACATTACTCATGTAGTATTTGGAAGGTTATGCCCTCTTTTTTTATTTAAAAGGTACAATTTACTTTATGTAAGAAATAAATAAGAAGTTTTACCCTCTTGAGGTGCAATGCAATTTCTTACACCACTTTAAATCAGAGCACCTCTATGTAGTTTTTCATAACTATTCATAACTTCGTGTTTAATGATAGCTTATTTTTATATCCCTATATCTAAAAATTACCATGATATGGAAGAGAGGATTAAAGACATGGAGTCGATATTTCATCACTTAGTATTTATTTATATTTACATACATGTTTTCTTTCCTTTGTTTATTGGTCTTTCTTTCACCTTAGAAATTCCTTCTGGAATTATGATTATTTTTTCTTTTTCTTGACATACATTCTCTATTAACTCATTTAGTGAAGATTCTAACTACTGTGCCTGTTACATCCTAATTACTTAACTAATGTCTGTTTCTTTAATAAATTATTAATTATAACTCTCATCAGAATGATGCAATAGTTAAAGCAAATAGACAAGAGAAAGGAAGTCTCTCACTGTATGCATGTGTTAGCATTTATAAAACATTCAAGGGTAGTATCTTACTCAAACTCTCTATAAAGAAGAGATATAGTAAGAAACCCAGAATATTTACTAAATGTCATGCTGCTATATGTTTAAACTGTGAGGAATGTCATGCTGCTATATATTTAAACCATAAAGATATATAATACAAGGTGGGAGGGTGCTCTTAGAGCACCAGATAATATGATTTTATTTGAAATACCCAACCTCTGTTCCTCAGCTTCCTTTTCTCAAAAAATGAGGGTGGAACAATAGCACCTACCATATAAGATTGCAGCAACAATTCAATGAGTGCATACATTAAAGGAACTTGGAGAATGCGTGCATAGCATAAAGTCATTTTAAGAAAATTATTTCAAACTTGTAAGTAGATGAAAAAAAGACTGCATGCCCTTTCAGTGCTTATTGCAGCATTGTCTAACAGTCTCCAACAAAGGATTATTTTCTTCCCTTTAGTTTAGAGGCCACAGAATGCACGTTTGTTTGAATTTATACTTACCATTTATTAAGGTTCAAAATCTGTTAAGTTAGATGTTAGTTTTTGGTTTTTGTCCAGTAATGATGTAAGTGACTTATGCTTAATTAATAGTATAACCTTCAAAGATCATGGTTTATTACCCTTTAAGATGTTAGCCAGTATTGTTTCTAATTTAGCAAACTTATTCAGCACGCCTTTTAAGACTGACTATATAATCCTCTTTTCTTTGAATTGTACTTTTAAGAAGTTTTACTTTCCTAATGGTTTTCCCACTAATAAGTTGAATAAATATTCGATCCATGTTCGTGCTATATTTGTATGTCATATTTTTAACTAAAATAAATTATTCTTTGACACATTCAGTAAATATTAGCTATTTTATTATCATTAATCTTTCTAGATTGATAAACTTAGCAGATTAGAATACGGTAATGAGAAAATCACAAACTCAATTTTACTTCATTTGATTTGTATTAATAAAAATATAATTAGTTTTTTAATTAACTTCCTTTTAAACATTTGTGTCATTTATCCTAAAGGAAATGGTTGTAGAGAGTACAGAACTTTCAGCATGACAATTTCTTGTTTTAGGAGAAATCCAAAATGTTAAGTCTCCTTGATGCTTAGATTATTATAAGAAAAAAAGAAATTGTTAACATATGATCAAAATAAATTACAAGTTAAACTTTTAAACGTATGTAGAAATAAGTTCATGTGTATATATATGAATATGTTGAAATATTTATTTGTTGAAATTAAGCATTAAGCCATCACATAGAATTTGGAAATAAAAGCTGCAAAGTATATGAATTACTTTTGTATGCCCATATTAATGGTAGCATCAGATAGAGGGTTGGATTAGAGATACTTTTCAACCAGAAAATAACCTGTTATTTCCGCAAGTGATAATAAAATATGGAAGCTTTTTTGTTGGTTTAAAAATTAATTGAAAGTTCTGCCCATTGTTTCATGTAACTGGCAAAATTACCTAGTCTCCATTTTGAACTAAATGTGTTTAGTCTTTGATCACTTAAAGTGTTGGTCATACCATGTCACTCTAGCCTGGATGGTAGAGTGAGACCCTCTCTCAAAAACAAAAATATAAATAAGAATAAAGAGTTAGTAGTAAAAAGCAGACAAACAAATAGAGTAATATTGATCTTTGTAAAGGATGATAGTTAATGCCTTACTTCTGCCCCATAACCCAACACAATATTGTATTTAAACTGAGTATCTCAGGGTTGTTGTTTGCCTCTCTGCAAGGCTTCAGCATTCAATATTGTTGCTGTAGTATCAAGTAATAGAAGGTAAACCTGTAATATCTTTTTGCTACAATATAACAAAATATGCCTCATTACAGTTATGTTGATAATCAAATTTCCTCTGTGTTTGAGAGTTAAATACTACATATTTGGTTGATTAATGTATAAGAATGCATGATTACTAATTTATATACTTTTAGTGGAATTTTTCATTTAGGGGATTCCAATATCTTCTCATTACTCATCAGATAAAATTCATACTCCCAACATAGCCTATGAAGTTCTAGCAGACATGGTTTCTACTTTTTTTTTTTCCTGCAGCATCCATTATCTGTTGTTCTCTAATTTTCAACAATACAAGTAAGTGTTTTAATCCTTTTGGTTCTCAGAGCATGTCAATCTTATTCCTGCCCCCAAATTTGGCTCTTGTGTTCGCTCTGCTTACTACAGGCAACTCCTAAATCTGTGTACAGCTAGATCTCCCTTATTGTTGACACCTCAGCTCATCTGTCACTTTCTGAGATGGTTTCTTGGATTATACCTTTTAAACTCACACTAGTAAATATCGTATCAGCCTATGCACTTCTTTCGTGGTCCTCAGCACAAATCACTTTATTGTTTGCTCCTTTTATTCTTCTGCCAACTGAACTATAAACTCAGTGGGCTAAAAGATCTAGTCTGCATTTTTATTATTTTATCCTCAGTATCAAGGATATGTGAATTACCCAACTATTTAATGAATGTTGAATGAATTTAACAACAACTTATACAAACTACACTTTTAATATATGCAGCAATAATTACTGAATGGTGACACTTCTGTAAACATTTTAAAAATATATGTATTAATTCTGTTTTTAGTAATGTGAAGATTATTTTTGATAAAGTAAGCTAAGTGTACAAGGATAACAAAAAGTAATTTTAGCTTAATATTGAAACATGTTTAAGTTGTTTTGACTTGTGTGTTCCTTAAAATAGGAACATTTTATTCATACATCTTTAATTTTTAGTAACCATGACTAGTGACGTGTTAAGCTTTTATGATTGATAGATTTGCAATTTTGGTATTTTAATCCACTTATGAAATAGCTTGATGTAAGCTAAGTTCAGAGGATAAGCAAATTCTGTCTTCAAGTTTTTTTAGAATTGTTTTCCTGACTAGCTATGAGTGTATAAGATTCTTGCTTCACTTTAGTGATAAATTTTTAAATGTTTAATATCCATCTCTCTCTTAACACTCAACTGCCTGAGGGCAACACTATCTTCATATCTTTATAATACGTTGTAATATTTGTTATATGTGACCCAGGTTCTATGTTTATCATACCCATTCCCTCATTTACTTTTCAGAGGTATTTCATAAGATAGGTGCTACTTTTACCATCCAGTTACCTATAGAAGGGGAAACTAAGACCTACACAACTATAAGCAAAGTATTCAAGTTCTCGTGTACCATGTGCATGTACCTTATGAGAACTTGAATACTTTGCTTATAGTAATCTATATGCAATTGTTCTAGAAAGTGTATTACCAACATATGTTTCTAGGATGTAACACTTATTTAATAATTGTGTATTAAATTGAATTAGAAATATGACCAGGGTTTTGTGTGTGTGTGTGTGTGTGTGTGTGTGTGTGTCTGTCTGTCTGTCTGCATATCTCCAATTTCTTTGTTTTGTTTAGAGAATGGACAGTTAATTGAAGTTCTCATGCAGGCCCACACAGCTTCTGTCTTATTCTGTCTTATTCTTTTTTATGCAGCTATAACAGAATACCTTAGCATGAGTAATGTATAAATAATAAAAATGTATGTCTTACAGTCCTGCAGGTTGAAAAATCCAAGATCATGGCACTGGCAGGTTTTGTGTCTGCTGAGGGCCTGATCTTCACTTCCAAGATGGTGGCTCGAGTGCTGCCTTCTCCAGGATACAGGAATACTGTTCCTCACATGGAAGAAGTGAAAGATCAATGAATCCACTCTTGCAAGCCAATTTTTGCTCTGTTTGTTTGTTTTTGAGACAAGGTCTCACTCTGTCACCCTAGAGGTTGGAGTGCAGTGGCACAATCTCTTCTCCCTGCGACCTCCACTTCCCTGCTCAAGTGATCCTCCCACCTCAGCCTCCCAAATAACTGGAACTACAAGCGATGACTACCAAAAAATGTCTAATTTGTTTGTTTGTTTGTTTTTGCTAGAGACTGGCTTTTGCTATGTCAGCCAGGCTGGTCTCGAACTCCCAGGCTCAGCCTATCCACCTGCCTGGGTCTCCCAAAGAGCTTGGATTATAGACATGACCCACTGCATCCAGCCACAAGCCCATTTTATAATGGCATTATTCCATTCATGAGGTCAGAGCCCTTGTGACCTGAACTCTTATCCTTAGGCCACAAATTCTAATGCTGTTGCATTAGGAATTAACTTTCTGACACATGAATTTTAAGGAAGACAAAAACATTCAAACTACAGCAGATTTTATTCTATATGTAATTGTTCAAGAAAGTGAATTACTGTACATGAATATAAGGAGTTTTTTCACTAAGAACTCTCAAAATAGTAAAAACAGAGGAATAAAAACAGAACAAGGGTAACTGAGACTAAACTAGCAAGACACCTTCAAAGAAGCCACAATAGTTCAGAGAACTAAAACATGGATTCAAGATTTATGGAAACTTAAAAAAAAGAGCTTGACAATTTTATAAAGACTGAATAGGAATATAATTAATCCAAGAATTTCCTTTATGGCCTGAAAGGTGACATAATAATAATACAAACAAACACTTATGCAGCATTTATTATGAACAGTGCTTTTCAAGATCATTTAATTCTGTCAACAATTCTGTGTAGCAAATAATATGATTTTTTTTATAGAAGAGAATAGGGGTGACAAGGGAAGCATGGTGGCTGATTATTAACATTACACTGGAATCTTCCACAGAGTAAAATATTGTGTGTAAACAAGCAAAGATATTTGAGTTACAGATTTAATTCAATACTTTAGTGTTGCATGATATCTTAATGAAGGAAACCCAAAATTCTGTAATCAAGAAAGATAAATTTTAATGCTTCATAGATAGATTTATTATTCAAAAGATTAATACAACAATATGTTGGCCAAATACAGCCCCCATTGCAAAGTAGTATTAACAAATACGTGCAGAAAACTAACACTTTACCCACATACATTGATTTAGATTTTTTCCAGAAAGTTTAATTTCATATAAATATTTTACCACTTTATATTAGGTTGCTCCAAAAGTAATTCTGGTTTTTGCTAATAGGTATGAATTTTCAGTCGAATATTTGCAAGGAATACTAGATTCTGCAACTAATGCTTTATAGGGAAAATAGTCACTAACATAGAAGAACAAAAACTCTATTTTAAAGTTAGCCCATATGTCTGACTCTTCAAAAAAATTTTTACTACTGCACTGACAGGTGAAATTTCTTTCGTGCTGGGGGGATGTAGGGGAAAGAATCACAAAGTTTTTACAGATTTATTTCCTTTCCAGATTCTATTTGCAAAGCAAGGCTTACAAAAGTTTTTTAATATAGATTTAAGTTTTCCATGATAGTGGGAAAGTTTTCAAGATAGCTCTATAAACATAATCTCCTAAATCTGATGAGTCTCTGCTAGACATGAAAAAAAATACATTGTCTTTCACATCTTTCTGTGCTAAGAATTTAGGCTGCAAAGAAAATTTAAAGGCGAAATTCTTATGTGAACTTATTTATTCTATATAATTATTAGACTTCATTTTGTCTAATCATTATTGATCATTTAATAAAATCAGTTGGGGATAAAATAATTCTCTATGTCTCATTGGTTTTCTGTGCTATTTTACTCTACATTCAATAAAAAGAAAAATATATAAATAACATTTATCACATACTCCATTAAGTCTAACATATGCTAGCAGAGCACACTGCAGTCAAATTGTGTATGTCTGTGTAAAATTGGTGCTGTTCCTTCACTAAAAAACATCTAGTAAATGAAACTATAGTCCAACAAGTAGACTTATTTTGGCTTTGCATTGAAATGAAACAAGCGTACAGATTCTAAATTCACAGTCCTTTTTGGCTAAAAAGTCCACACTTTATAATTAATGCATTATTTTGGTTTATGTTGCTCTTTGTTCAGTTATTAAAGTCCTGTTATCACAGCACACAAAGCAGACATTATGCATTTTAAAGCTAAGCAACAAGTATACTATTTTAGCAGTTTATAAGGAAAAAAAAGGACTGTGTATTAAGCTTTGTAAAGTTGTGGCCATCTGGAATATCAGGATGAAATTTGGTCTTCATATTTGCATCATGCAAAGGTTAGCCATATTTTCTGTTTCTAAACTTCCTCTCACAGGGAATTAGATATACACATTTTATGCAGTCTTTTCACCTGTCATGATGTGCACAAAGTGTATTAACATACGGATGGGGGAACAACATGATAGTTAAAGCAATAGTTTGTGGTTTCGGTCTTCATTGGAAATCCAATGGGGATTGGGATGTTAAATACTGAGCCAGGTCTACACAGAGTACATTTCTTTAGCTTCCCGGCTATTACTGCTGGGTCATCTTGCTAGTGTACTGTGTGGGCTAAGTACCTTATTTCAATTCCTTAGAACAAGGTTTCTGAAAATATCTGTGGTAAGGGACCACTTAAAAAATTTCTAAACTCTCAGAAATTTATACTTTTCTGAATTACAATGAAAATAAATTATTAAATATAAGTGGAAAATACCCACAAAGACATGAAAGAAACAAGTTCTATTTTGTTAATATTAGATTCAGTCAACATAAAATTACTTTGTCAGTGTACAAGGTACTCTAAATTTTTAAATATACTTACTCTCAATTTGGACACCCAGATCAATCTGTTTGGTGTATACTTGTATCTCATTGTGGTTTTTATTTATATTTTCCTGATGGCATATATTACTAAGCATGTTTTCATATGCTTGTTGGACATTTGAAAATCTTCTATTGTGAAGTATTTATTCAAGTTGTTTGCACATTTACAAATGTTGCATTGTCTTCTTATTATTGAGTTGAAGTTATTTATATAATCTGAATATAAGTACAATGTAATATACATATGTTGAAAATAATTTCTCCCAGTCTCTGGCTTGTCTTTTTTTTTTTTTTTCTGTGTCCACGGAGTCTTTTACAAAACAGAAGTTTTAAATTTTGTTGATGTCTAACTTGACGAGGTGTTATTTTAGGTTTTTATTTGTTGTCTTCCACCTAAGAGATGTTTACCAAACTAAAGGACAAAAAGATTTTCTCTTATAATTTCACCTAGAAATTTTACAGTTTTTGCCTTTGTGTTTAGGTCTATAATTCATTTCAACTTATATATTATGAGGTAAAGGTTGAGATTAATTTTCCCCACAAATACATCCAGTATTTACAGCATTACTTGTAAAGTTGATGATCATTTCTCCATTTTTATGCTAGTATTTTTGCTAAAAAATAATCAACTACCATATATATGTGTATCTTTTTCTGAACTCTATACATTTAATCTATCTACATGTATCTTCTTATGCCAAGACCTAACTCTCTTGATTACTCTAGTCTTAGGCTAAGTGTTTAAATCAGGCAACGCCAGTCTTCCCATTTGTTTTTCCAGAAGTGCTTTGGCTATTTTATATTGTTTCCTTTGCTGTACAAATTTTAGAATCATTTGTCAAATGTAAAAGAAAAATAAAGTCTGCCTGGATTTTGACTGGGGTTGCATTGAATCTATAGATCATCTGGAAAAAAAAAACTGAAAATATTATTGAGATTTTCCATCTGTGTACATGATATATTTCTACATTTAGTAGTTCTTTATCGGTTTCTAGCAAAAAATGTATAGCTTTCTGTGTAGGTATTTTACATACACTTTTTTAAATAAATACCTAAATGTTTCCTAATTCTAAATAGCATTTTGGATTATATTTTACATTTTACTTTCTAAATTGTTCATTGCTAGTATATAGCAAAACAGTTGATGGCTATATATAAATCATGTATCACTTGACTTAGCTAAGCTCATGTTCAATAGTTCTAGTAATCTTTTTCTATACATCATTTTGGATGTTCTATACTTAATCTGTGGACACTGTGTATTGCTGCCATAGAATTCTTCAATGAAAGACTTCCTACCTAGGTGTTAGGAATGCTCTTGGCAGTCAGTTGGCCAAGTCAGGCAAGTTCTTTCAGGCATTGCCTCAGCTGAAGTCAGTCCAATTTGCTTAAAGGTAAACTTCTTCCTGGGGCAGTATAAAAGTTTGACCACCTCGTCATAACTAATAAAATGGCATTTTAACTCTGCAGATCCCATGGGTTTACTTAAGTCTTTCTTGATTTTTTAATCTCAGGATGGTTTATCCTCCAACCCAGTGCTATTTCCTGGAACTCCCCTTCATAGATATTGATTTGAGAGCTGTTTCCTCAAAAAAGTTTCTGCATACTAAAATCCATCTAAGGATCTGCTTCTTAGGAAACCTAACCTGTAACCATGATCCTGTTTTTTTTTTTGTGAATTAACAGAGGGATTTTCTCGTTCTTTCTAAGATTTATGCCTTGTATTTTTTTCCCCCTTATTGTGTGTGCTGTGGCATCTTCTCTAATGTTGAATTGAGGTTGTGAAAGGGATTATAGTAGACTTTTTCATAATCACAGGGGGAAAGTGTTATGTCATTCAATTATGTATATGTTAGCTGTAGGTTTTTAATTGTTTCCCTTCATCACACTAAGAAAAGTTCACTATACTGCTTATTTGGTGAGGCATTTCATTATGAGTGAGTTATTCAAGATATGTTGCTAAATTTCTAAATACTTGAGGTTTTCTATATATCTTTTTCTAATTTATTGAGAGCTGGACTTGGTGAATGTTAGCTATTGAATGCCTGGATGGTATAATCGTCCTTTAAAATGTGTTGATTTTTGTTTTGACAGCCAGTTAAGTTACCTGTGGATCAGCTTCAGCCTTTCAAACTCTTGTTTTTGATGTTTGTTTGGAAGACATAGATTTTCCTTTTTGGTTAGTTTAGCTTTACTCTGAAGATATAAATTTTCTGCAGGTTCTATTGAATCTGCGTTGATTTTCAATATGTTTCCCCCAGTCTGCTTAGTTGGAACTAAAATGTCTACCAACCCTTTGTGACCTTCAGGTATTTCTTTGGTTATAGCTCCTCATAGGTCTTCATTGTCTGGCCTTGTGGAAATTCTCCTTCCCAATGCTCAGCCTAGTATTCAACAGAAGACTCAAGTTTACTTCATGCAGATTTCTGAAACATGTTCCCAGCTTCACTTCAGTTGGTTGGTACTGTGATCTGCAAATTCTAGCCACCTCAGCTTCCCTCAACTATAATCTGTTTCCCAAACTCAGTGAGATCACAATACCATTCTTCTTTCTTTGTGTTTGGATTTCCTGTCCGTGCTACAGAGTAGAAATACCCGAGCTTCTAGAAGACCAGCAACACTGTAGAACTTTATCCTACTCTCAGGAATCACTTGGAGTTTGGAAGAAACACAACATTGTGTCTGATGAGGAAAATAATTTAATTTCTAGGAAGTGGCCTTAGGGTACAACTGTTAATGTGTGACATTGCCATATGTACGTTTCTAATAGCATGAGAGAGGGGTCATATATATGGCATTATCTTTGAAAGGCATTTAGGAAATGGAGAGATTCTTAGGATTTTGTTAAATATTCAAAAATCAGTTTTTAAATTAGTTTTTAATTCCACCAATCTTTTTACTCAAAATATGAATGTGAATTTTTTTAACAGCCATTCTTATTAAAATGTAAGTCACATGCAAATTTGATTTCCAAGAGGAAGAGTGAGAACCAATGAGGATGAGGATGAAAGCTTTCATTTTTCATATTGTTGTTATTATTACTCTTACCTAAAAGTCTTGCTGCTTAGTCTTTCTTTACTTTCCTTCTGAACTTTCTCATAAACCTTGTAGGACATTCACACTCATTTTATTTTTAACACCTTTGACAAACTCTAATTCTATGAAAAGAGAGAGATACAGGAGTTATGACCCTCAGTTCTAGAGTCTAAAATATAGTCTACTTGAAAGAACACACAACATACCTCTAGTGTTAGACGTTTTTTTTTAGGTTGGCTTTGTTTGATTTCCAGCTGAGTTCTTCAAGTGGATCAGAGAGCAGTCGAATTAATTGGTGCTTCTCTGAACCAAATAGCAGTGCCTATGGCTAGTTGCCCTTCCCAGATCATTGTGACATTGAGCCTTATGATGCTATTATGTGAGTGTTCTCTGGCTGTGGCTGTCCTGGGTCATAACCTGATTTTGATAGCAACAATTACTGATCCTTCAAATGTCAAGATTCAGACCTTATGTATTTTCTGACAATAATGTACTACCGAAGAAAAGCTTCAGGGAACAGTCATGTAAGATTCTTCATTTCTAATGGTATATTTATAGGTTTGATATTTTGAAATACAATTGAAGTAATAATTGCCAATGGCAGAGGTGGCTGTTAGAATGCATTTTGCATGTTTTACATTAAAATAAACAGAAAAGGCCCGGCGCGGTAGTTCATGCCTGTAATCCCAGCACTTTGGAAGGCTGAGGTGGGTGGATCACGAGGTCAGAAGTTCGAGACCAGTCTGACCAACATGGTGAAACCCTATCTCTACTAAAAATGCAAAAATTAGCCAGGCGTGGTGGTGCGTGCCTGTAATCCCAGCTACTCAGGAGGCTGAGGCAGGAGAATTCCTTGAACCCAGGAGGCGGAGGTTGCAGTGAGCTGAGATCTCGCCACTGCACGCCAGCCTGGGCAACAGAGTGAGACTCCATCTCAAAACAAAACAAAACAAAAAGCAAAAACAAAAAAACAGAAAAACAAGTTAATTTTATATAGCAGTTTGCCCGAGTCTGAAGGTAAGACTAGGATAATTTGAACATTCACAAGACACTTTTGTGGCTCGTTCATAACCAGTCCTTCAAAAGTCTTAGCTATCCTTCAAAAAATTTGCTGCAGAAATTCTAGATGCCTTTTGAATTTATAGAGAGTGAGGTAGCAAGAGGAGGGAACAGCTGCCGCATATGCTCTACAAACTTCCTTTCAGAAAGTGACTTCATTCCCCATGAGAATCGGCCTTTGGCACAACTGCCAATTTTTTCTTAGATAAAAATGTCATAAGCTATCCAGTTTTAAAATTGGGCAAAAGACTTGAATATGTTATTCTCCAAAGAAGATCTACAAATAGTCACCAAGCATATAAAAATGTGGTTAATATCATGAATCATAAGATAAATGCAAATCAAAAACACAATGAAATGTCATCTCACACACCTTACTTAGGAGGGCCATTATCAAAGTAACAGAATGTAGCAAGTATTAGCAAGGATACAGAGAAATTGGAACCCATGAGCACCACTGATGGGAATGTAAAATGATACAGCCATTAAGGGAAACAGAATGGAGGTTCCACAAAAAATTAAAATGGTATTAACAATATGACCGAGCAATCCGACTTTTGTGTCTATATCAAAAAGAATTCAGAGCAGAATCTTGAAGTCATATTTGAAGATCCATGTTCTTGCAGCATTATTCACAATAGCCGAGAGGTAAAAGCAACCAAAATGTTCATTGACCAATGACTGGATAAAGAAAATGTGGTATATACATACAATGGAGAATCTCGCAGACTTCAAAAGAAGCACAGGCTGCCACAAAAATAAACCTCAAGGACATTATGCTAAGTGAACTAAGCCAGTCACAAAAGAACAATACTGTATGCTTTCACTTACATGAAGTATCTAAAGTGGTTAAAAATTATAGAATTGGAAAGTAGAAAGGTGGTTGCCAAGGCCTGAGAGAAGAGGGAAAGGTGAATGAGTGTTTAATGGGTATAGTTTCAGTTTTGCAAGATACGTAGTTCTACAGCTCTGTTGCACAGCAATGTGAATATCATTACTACTAAACTGTATACTTAAAAATGGTTAAGACGGTAAAGTTAAAGTAATGCATTTTTTATCATAATAAAAAATAACAGGCTTATATGATACATAATAATTGAAATTAGGAGAAATTTTGAGTGTTTGAAAGGAACTACACTATCAACAATAATAATACAATTTTTTGCCTTTCTTTTTAATGGCTGGCACATGCTGTACATGCTGAGATCACATTTTGGACAATAAATACACTAAACTTGTGTTCTAAAGTTGATTACAGAAGTTATTACTTGCCATGTTACCCAGAGAATTTCATCTTAACCATCTTTTTTTTTTTTTAATTTGTATAGCAAACTATCCTGACCAAGTCACTCTCTTTTCAACTTCTTTATATCTGAATTTGGTCATCCTTATTTCTTTCCTGCATGAGTATTTTCCTGGCTCACTTCAGCTACCACTGTCCACACTGGTAGACTAGAGAATAGTAAAAGTCACCATCTAGGGATGAAACTTTTTCTTCTCACCCCAATTCTTTCACACTTCTGTTGTTTTTAATAATCATCTTATATATAGATAGATTCTCAATTTAATTAAAATATATTGAATTCTGCAATATACTGAGTGCTGCACACAATACTTGGAAATTAGAGATAAGTAAAGATTAATCTTTGCTTTTTAGCAGTGGTAGAATCTCGTAGGCAAACAGATAATTATAGTATCATGGGTAAATGTTATGATAGATAGAAGTATATACTGCTAAAATAAACCTAAAAATTTAACTTAAGTTTACCTTGAAGAAAGAAAGACCAGGGAAAACACCCAAAAGGGGATAACACTTGATACACAGGTCTCATGTAGCATTCATTCTTGGTTGAAAAAGAAATCCATTGAAATCCATACTCTAAATAATGTCTAAACTCTTTAACCCATCTTTCATTCCGGCATTGAGTTACTTTCTCACATCCTGTCCTTCAGCATGATAGAATTCTGTAAATTTGGCTACATGAGCCTAATACTTTCTTATAACTATAATTTTCTGCATAACATTTTTTCAACTTAAAATATTTATCCTGTGTCTGTATGTTCAAATTCTACTCCTCTTTAAGGTGCAAGTTTACATCATCCAGAAAATGTACTGCAGACTGACCTTGAAATTACACATTGCAGGAAGTCATTCTTCAGCCCGTACCTCCTTTTGACTTTTTATTGTGCTTACCTTTTGGGGAAATTTTCCTATAAATTTTTTTTTTCAGGGTCTTAAGCCCTTTCTCCTGCGATTTAAGTGGGGGAAAAAAACTTATATTAAAATCTGTCTTAATTTTAATAGTATTATCAATAATGTTAATTTGCTCCGGGATAAAATATAAATAAATAAGTAAATTGATACAAATTGCAGTCCACTTGAGGGCAAAGTTATTGTCTTATTCATTTTGTAACTTCCAGTTTCCTCACAAAGTAACTTCTCTGTTGCAGCATATTAATGAGCAGTTAAGTTAATGTTTTCTCTCTATAAACCTACCTCCTGCAGCATTTTTTTTTTTTTTTTTTTGTGACGGAGTTTTGCTCTTCTTGCCCAAGCTGGAGTGCAATGACATGACTTCGGCTCACTGCAACCTCCCCCTCCTGGGTTCAAGTGATTCTCCTGCCTCAGCTTCCAGAGTAGCTGGGATTGGCCCGCGCCACCACCACTCCTGGCTAATTTTTTGTATTTTTAGTAGAAACAGGGTTTCACCATGTTAGCCAGGCTGGCTTCGAACTCCTGACCTCAGATGATCTGCCTGCCTCAGACTCCCAAAGTGCTGAGATTACAAGCGTGAGCCACTGCACCTGGGCCAGATTTTTTTTCTTTTCTTTTCTTTCTTTTTTCCTTATAGAACTGCTACATTGCTAAATAAGCAATCATTAAATGCTTTAATCAATTTACCCAGCTTTGAATTTCTTGACTAGTATCATTCTGAGGATGTATCTTTTTTTTCTTTTCATTTCTTTAGTATTTTGCTCTCAACTTTGTTACTACTCAGGTCACTGATTTTCATGATTAAATAATGTTCTAACCCATACTGTGTTATAAATATATCCATCAATATTTTGCTTTATAACATCAGTCCTCATACAAAAGTGGGAAATTTAAGTACATGTATCTGAAATAAAAGGCTTAAGAAACACATTTCTTCTGTGTGTGAACAAGGAGAACGTACAAATTAATATGCCACTCCTCTACCCCATCTTAATTTCATCTTCAGCAGCTGACTCAGTCTACTTCCTGCAGGAACACTTGATTGTGAGCTTCCTTCTTAGTCAGCTTTATATTTCCTCATTCCCTTTTTTTTGATCTTCTTTTGTATTTTTAATGATTCTGAGAAAATAAACTGATTTTCTGCCTCCAAAACACTTTCTTTGTATTTGTTCAAAACTGTCTATCTTAAAGTTTTCTTCCAGGTTAGCAACTTTCTTTTTGAACTACATGTTGGGTCAAGACATCTACATCTTAAGAAAAACTAAACCAGCCAAATGCTTTACAATTACCCCTGATATACGATCTCACTTCTCTTTATTAATATCTTAAAGAAACATTAGATTTTCCCATGTTCTTTCCCCTTGTATTTGCTAGTCAATTAATTTCAGTGTCCTTTCCTATCAGCTACACTAGTGAACCTTCTCACACCAAAACCACTAATGATTTCTAATTGCCAGACCTTTGGAAGCTTGTTATATTTAAAACTATATTCATTCTATTAAAAACTATATTGTTTGACATCGTTGTTTGGCATCCATATATGAATTTTATTTTATTTTTAATGACAAAACTGTCTCCCCTTTTTCTTCTGACTTTTCCTTTCTTATGTTTTATTTTGTCTCTTACCCTTAACTTTGACAAAGGAAATCTCTAAAAGAATGGACTCTGGTAATGATAATAGAAATGCAAACAGTGAGATGCTTGCCTTTGTTTGATCAGTCTTGACAAGATGTAGAATTATGAGTTTATTACAGAATAAAGTTGCTAAATATTTTATTTATATTCACTAGTTGTTTGACCTTGAGCAAACAGAACTTTCTCTTCCTCATTTGTAAAATTCCATCATCATCATCATCATATTTGCCTCATAGGGCTATTGTGAGAATTACAAAATCAAACATGTAATGTGTTCAGAACAATAGTTGAAACAAGGCAAACATGCAATACATTTTGGTTATTATTAATTGTTGTCATACCTGCAAAATGGAATGGAAGATAAGTGAATGTGTGTATACAATAAGAATAGTTTCAAATTTAGAGTAGATTATTATTTTAATTCTTTTTGTACAGGGAAATTTACTTGAATTATTTTCTATTTTAGATAAGCAGATGTTTTAGATAAGCAGATGTTTTAGATAATCATCTAGATGAAGCCTTTTATTTTGGAGAAGATGAAACTGAGGTAAAAAGAGTAAAAATGTCATGTCTAGGTCTTATAAATAGTTTTGGGATTTTTCTATGTGTAGTATTCTGCTACTGAAGCTGTACGGGTCTGCAGCAACCTCAATTCTTGCCTCCTCAGAAGGAAAATTTTGACTGAGGGGAATAAAGCAGAAGGCAAGTTTTAGAACAGGAATGACAGTTTATTAAAAAGCTTTAGAGCAGGACCAGAAGTAATGAAAGAACAGCTGGAAGAGGGCCAAGTGGGCAACTTGGGAGATCAAGTGTGCAATTTGACCTTCCGACTTGAATTTTTTTTTTTTTTTTTTTTTTTGAGGGAGTCTCTCTCTGTCACCAGACTGGAGTTCAGTGACGCGATCTCAGCTCACTGCAAACGTGCAACCTCCGCCTCCTGGGTTCAAGCAATTCTCCTGCGTCAGCCTCCTGAACAGCTGGGATTACAGGCGCCCATCACGAAGCCCCCCTAACTTTTGTATTTTTAGTAGAGACAGGGTTTCACCCTGTTGGCCAGGATGGTTTCCATCTCTTGACCTCGTAATCCGCCCGCCTCAGCCTCCCAAAGTGCTGGGATTATAGGTGTGAGCCACCATGCCCGGCCCTGACTTGGGTTTTTGTATGTTGGCATGCTTGCAGGATCTTGCATGCCTTATTCCCTGATTCTTCCCTTGGGGTAGGCTGTGTGCATGAGCTTGGACTCCTAGCATGTGGGAGGGGTGCATGCACAGTGTGTTTACTGGAGTTGCACGCATGCTCACTTGAGTCATTCTTCCCTTACCAGTTAAATGTCTCTGAGATGTCATACACTTTGCCTCTCAATGGGCATGCTTGAGCCCACTAGCCCAACTCCTGAGATCTTATCAGGAAACTGCTGATCAGCTTCAGAATTTTTCTGTCCATTGGGAGACTGCTTTTCCCTGGTGCCAGCTGCTACCAATTATTATTTTAGAAAGGCAGTTAACAACTCCCTGACCATCACCTGATGGTTGCCTGGCATTCCTGGTACAAGGCTAGGGGAAGCCCTCTCATGCCCTGCTCATGCCTGACTAGCTACCTATTGTAACAATTCCATTGAATAGAAAATGTATGCCAACTTGCTCACAATTAGATGATAAATTAAAAGTGAATTAATGAATATACTTAGAGTGTTATTATTTTGGGTCACTGTATCCCTCCTTGCTTATGCTTTAAAGAACTCTCTAACTTAAAGAACTCTCTTCCTTGCACTACTGCAGGAATTGTCAGGGACAGGGGGAAGAAGATTGAAGAAGCTTTAATTTAACAAAATAGATTGAAAGAAAAGGACACAACATAGTGAAACCCCATCTCTACTAAAAATACAAAAAATTAACTGGGAATGGTGGTGCCTGCTTGTAATCCCAGCTACTTAGGAAGCTGAGGCAGTAGAATCGCTTGAATCCAGGAGGCGGAGGTTGCAGTGAGCCAAGATCATGCCACACTGCACTCCAGACGGCAACAGAGCGAGACTTTGTCAAAAAAAAAAAGCCAAATATTTTGTAAAAATCTATACTACAGTCTTTTATTTCTAGTTTTCACCTGTTTTTACATCCATTTCATAGTCATGGTTGTTACAGGCATTAAAAATTAAAAGCAAATGCCTCACTTGAGAGCTACTTTATAAGCAGCCCTCATTCTTAGAAATTCATGAGGATCCATGTATTTGCATTTCCTTAGAAACAATGACAGCATTGCAAGGTTTGCATGCTATTATGATGGCTCTTGTAGATGCCATTGCTAGCCCAGACAGTGCCAGTCATGACAAATTCCGTGGACTGAATGATCACCAAATAGGAGGAAAGAAAGTGACTACAGTCTGTTTTTGTTGTTTGTACTTTCTTATGAAAATTTTTGCCTTAGCTTTTTCTGTTAGGAGGCTGCTGTTCTTAGGGCTAGGACCAGCTGCTTCCCTCTATCACAGTTGAAAATCATCATTTCCTCCACTGAGGTGAAATATTATTGAACCTAGCACCTTATATTCTGCTTATTTCTCATGATATGCCCTAAGAATAGTGAAGTACTGTTAGTAAAATTATCTTAAAATAAGTTAGTAAACTGCAGAAAGGGGAAAATAAAATGTCTTGATCTTCAATGTTGGCTTTAATGCATAATCTGAATATATTCCCAACAAAATTGTGTTATGTTTTGTTGTTAAGTTTGAAATTTTTTTCTGTCTAGTGTGGTGGATGGATGATGCAGTTATAACTGAGCTCTATTTTTCTTTAAAATGGTTAATATTATCCCTATATCAAAAAGAAGGTAAATTACAGTTATTTGGAAATTTACATTATGTAAAAAGATATGGATGTTGCTAAGAACATGACTCAACTCCTGCATTTTATTATTTTCAAGTAAATATGAAATTATAGTAAAATCCTATTGGAAAAAAATGATACACACTAACTAACCTTGAACTGTGAAAGGGTGCTCGACCAGCAGCAACCTGGAAATGTTGTCCAAGAGTCTATATAAACTTAGCTAAAGAACAGTAAAACATTCTTAGCTAGTTAGAAGAAATAGCAATGCAACACAAATTAACTGATTAAATCTACTATAGCATTTTTAAAAATGTTGGCCTCATGCTAAATTAAAGAGTAATAAAGTATAAGTTTAAAAAATTCACATGTCAATATTCTAATATGAAACTATAATTAATTGTATAAACTTTTACTGACTAATGTGGAAGTTGTGACACTAGCTGGCAAATACTACAACTCATTTAGCATTAGTGGTGATACGTATATTTAAATCTTCAGCGTAAGAGTGAAGAAATCATAGTTTGTATAAATAATGTCAGCATTAATAACAATTTCTTGGATATTTGATGTATTCAATAGTTTTTGTCACAGTGCTTCTTGGAACTTGAGGTATTTGAGCTCAGAAATTCAATTTCTAATGAAATAGATGAATACAATGTACTTTATTTTTTGTAAAACTATATTGCTAAGTTTTTAGAATTAAAATATTATGTTTGTGTCTGATGCTGAAAAATTTCTCTGATCTACATTTATAATATAGAGAATAAAAGCATAATATGTATGATAATTATTTCCTAATAATACAAGTTAAATTAAGCACAGTGATTTTTTTTTTCCAAAGATGTCTCTCTTAATCTTTAATGCTTTTGCCTTCTGTCATAATTGCAAAACAGATTTTTCCCATTGTATTCATCTGACTCTCACAAACCCATAATTTTATCTTTAACAAATGCATTCATTATCAACTTTAAAATTGACTATTAAGGGAGAGATTTTTAAAGTGCCATTAATATTACAGAATCCTTTTGATATTTATTAAATCATTATAGCTTTAACAGAAGTATTAAAAAGTTGATTTATTTTTATGGAGAGAGAATGAAAGGAAAAAGAAGGAAGGAAGGAAAGAAGGAAGGGAGGGAGGGAGAAAGGGAGGGAGAGAGGGAGGAAAAGGAGGAAAGCAAGGAAGGAGGAAAGGAGGGTTGATGTTGTGTACAGTGTTGCCAGGCAAAAATCTAGACATGAAAGCAGACTTGTAATTTGAGTATCCTATAAATGTCTGTTTCTATGAGTTTTAAATATGACAAAAGCAAATGAGTGAAAGACTACACTCTAAGTAATAATACTCAAATGGAAAGAAAATAATACTTTCTATTTAATTTAAATAGAGCAAACAGTTTAAAATTCATATGTACTTTTCCATGGAAATCAGATGTGATAATTTGTTGAAAATGTCATTTATAGACAGTAAAGAACACTGACGATCTCAGAGTCTGAACTAAAGTTCAGTCTGAGGAGCCTGAATCTTAACAGTTGTTTCCAGTGTTTAGAACTGTGGAGGTTCTGTGATTTTTATCCCACAGACAAGCCAGCAATTTAGCCTGCCAAAGTTTTATGGACATTGTCAGAAGACATAAGATGAGTTGGCAGACACAAAGGGCAGTTTCTTTCTCAGAGCAATAACAGTAGCCAGTTATCAACATTTTGTGTTTGCTTCCTGAGCTCAATTCCCACAGGGCTATACAATGAATGCCCCCGTGATATATTGTGCTCACGGTGAAGTGAATCATAGGAAAAGATCTCAAACTTGGGGTATACCAAATTTATAATGGATGATTAGCTTGCCTAAGCTTTGCCACAGGAAGACATTATGTTTATTACATTGGACAGTTGACCACCCATCCTTAGCTCAAGAGGAAGACTAACTATATCTCTACCTCCCGAAGCTGTTTTCTTAAACAGAATTCTGGAATATATAGTCTGAATAAAGGTAGTTAGTGGAGAAACTTTCCCCAGCAACCAAGAAACCCTGAAAGAGGATGGTATAATGGATTTTCACAATGGGATCGTTCTCCAGCTGATGAGCAATGATGACCACATCCTTAGACATAAGAGAGCAATGCAGTTGTTAAAATATTCATCAAACAAGAACTGAGATATTATACTGGTGAAATAAATTGTATTGGCAAGTACAGTGTAAGATAGATACAAATATGGTGAGAGAGTAATTGTAAATCAAATGGAACTGGATTTTTTTAAGCTCAGAGCACTTTATGCTCTAGATAAATACAATGAAAGGCTAATAAATTAACTAAAAATTTACTGTGGAAGCCAGAGGATCTACTCGGCCACATCTAAAGGGACTTATCTCCCACAGTTAGCAGGCTGAGAAAACAGAGCCCCAAGATTTAGTCACAAGCATGTTAAAGCTCTTGGGCAGCTCTGATATGTAAAGGTCAGAATCTTAATTATGAAAGAATGAGATCCTGTGACATGTGATTGGAACACCTGAGTTGACAAACTTAAAAATTTTGAACCCTCTCCAGATTCTCCTAATACTGCAGAAGTAGCCTACCCATATCTACTAAGATCTGGGTATATTCCCTTAGTTGAAGATGATGCAGGACAAAAGGTGGCCCTGCCCCAACAAACTGTTTCTATCTCGCCTCTATCCTTTACACACATATCTAAGGTTAAGTCACTCAGGGAAGTGCTGAAACTAAGAGAAAAAGGAAGGAAACGTACTATACCATGAAAAAAGCACAATATATTGCTTACCTCTATCAGCAGAAGCCAGGAGTGCAAGACATTTGGGGTTATTTTCTGATGACGCTGAATTAAACAGGCAGTGCAAGGGGGTTGAAGATGAGTTTGGGAAAGGGAGAGTTTATCAGTGTGAGAACTTTTCCTTTTCTTTTCTGGAACTCAAAATTTAATGGCCTGGCAAGAACCTTGGGAAATGAAAAAACATAGTATTTACATGGTTCCTAGAATCGTGGAAAATTTTATGGGCTAAAATAAGTGAATTGAAGATGCCAGAACTACTGTGGCAGAAAGTTAAAAAAAGGAACAAAAGACTCAGAGAAGTGGGATGCCAGATTGCATATGCTATGTAATGTTGGAAAATAGGCCAAAAAAATATTTTCCCTGGAGGAGTTGGAGGACAATTTTACCAAAGCAATAAAGAATATGCTGTTGAGAATGACATCAGCATCACTGAGAATCTCATATGTGACTCTCTTCTTTAGGCCAGGGCTGAAGGTAAGAAATTGTATTAGAGAACTAGCCTTCCTGATAGCAATGTGTATGAGAAGATCCTCCAGAAATAGAGACTAGGAGGTGGTACATTATTGTCAAAATCCAGGTGAGCACAATTAACATAGTGTGAGCAAGGTTGTATGGAAGGTAGCCTTGCTCTCAAAGGAAGAAGTCTTTCACTTGGTTTAATAGCAAGAAACCTATTGAATGGTAAGCTATGGCAGCCATCTGGGCTCTTTGGACTCGACCGTACCAAGGTACCGGCAGGCAAGAAGAAGTTTTCATTTTTGCATGGATAATTAATGCTGATTATTAGGCAGAATTAAGGCTGCTGTTAAAGAATATGGTTAGAGAGGAATAATAACTTCAGCATCTCTTGGGATAGCATGGCCCAATTTTGATATAGTTTCACAAGTTCATTTGCCACAGCCTAGAACAGCACAGCGATCAGTAGTACAGACAGCTCAGAGATGAAGTTCTTGGTTATCGCAACAGGCAGGCCACCCAGATCAGCAGAGTTGCTGAGATTGAAAAGGGATGCAGAATGGGGAGTAGAAGAAGGAAATACACTTTATCGGTTGCAGCCTCAAGGCTAGGGATTGACTGAGGTGGGCTGAAATGCCATCACTCCCAAGGTTATGCTTTCTTTCAGAGAAGGCCTGAATCCAATTACTAGCCGATGCATGTTATTAAGGACCAGCCCCAACTACGGACATCTCTGAGTGCCATGTCAGCTTCAGAGCTGAGGTCTTTTTGCCATAGCACTGCAGCCCAATTTCTCCATCCAAGCAATCCTTGTTTTTCCCCTTCCCTAAGGTATTATTCCTGAGATTATTTTCCAATTATTTTTTGTATGTATTAATCTCTGTCTCAGAGTCTGCTTTCCAGAAAATCCAACCTATAACAGCCTTCAAGAACAAAGATACCTCTGATTACTCCAAAGATTGTGTTCTCATAAAGTCATTTTCAAAGGCAGAAAAAAATGGAGTGTTGGAAACAGTGAGGTCATCAGTTAGAAGACTATTATACCAATCCACCTGAGGAAAAAAAAAGTCTTGAAGCAAAGTTTATGTAGATAGAAACTTTAAAGATGGAGATTTAAGGCTAATCTGGAAGGCTGTCCAACAGGTATCACTAATATGTTGGAAATCATGTATAAAAGATTAATAAGATGGGAATATTGATACATATATTTTCAATCAAAGGCAAATATTTTCTCAAAATAGTTGAGCTCATATTTTCGTTTTTTTCCTTGCTAATAAAAATATTTTCTTGTCATGGCCAGGCGCAGTGGCTCACCCCTGTAATCCCAGCACTTTGGGAGGCCAAGGTGGGGGGATCACGAGGTCAGGAGATCGAGACCGTCCTGGTTAACACGGTGAAACCCCGTCTCTACTAAAAACACAAAAAATTAGCCGGGCGTGGTGGTGGGCGCTGGTAGTCCCAGCTACTCGGGAGGCTGAGGCAGGAGAATGGCGTGAACCCAGGAGGCGGAGCTTGCAGTGAGCCGAGATCGCGCCACTGCACTACAGCCTGGGTGACAGAGCGAGACTCCGTCTCAAAAAAAAAAAAAAAAACTTCTTGTCACAAGAACAACTGTAATAATAATAATAATTAACAGAGTTTGACTTCTTCAAGACAAACCTGTGTCTTAGGAGTTTACATATAATACCCATGTCATCAAAGAATCTTTCCATGAATTCTCCAGGAAATTACTTTTACGTAATATTGCTTTGTTGGCATATCACTCTTTTTCAGGACACCAATATTATGTAGCATATATACTTATCAATCCCCTTACTAGCAACCTTCTCATGCATGTTTCTGTTAAAAAATTCAATTAGCAAGAAATGCTATAAATGAGCCAAAACCAGGCAATTCAAATTAAAGACTAAATTATTTCTGATGATTAAACCTCAAACTGTTTTTGGTCTTCATGTCACTCATTGTGACTGAAAAGACAGAGATATCAGAATCATAGCTGTTAGTTCTTTACATCTGCTGCTCTAATTGCTTCTCATGTGAAAGTTCATGTCAATGTTAACAAATTGTGACTGCTCAGGTCGGTGTCCATTTATAATCTACATAAATGTATCTGTAATTTTTACTTGTTTTGGTAGGCAATTAATCTATATAATCATTTTGTGAATCCCCAAAATTGAGTCACTCATTGTTGATGATTATACTTCATTATGACAATTAAAGTGCACTGTTTACTGGGCTGTAATGCTGTTAGACTATAAGTCTTGAGACTGTGAAATTCAAGTACTTGATGGCCATAATTTGCACATAAAACATAATCAAATTAGCAATGTAATATTTATGTTTATTGACTTTAGGACAATACTATTTACTCCAATTTGTGATCAATTAACCAATCAAAACTGCATTTTTGGTTTTGATAATAAATGAAAAACAGATGAGATATTATGAGATGATGCTTTAGGAAATACCTCATGCAATTTTATGGCTCTGCCAGATTGCCATACCAGCATCTGGGCCTAGAGACTGTGATTTTATCAACTGAGAAAAAGGGAGGAAAGTAAAACCATAGTTACTAGCAGAACTGTGAAAAATAAATCATCAAAGCTACCATTTAAAAAATATATGGAGTACATATTTATTAAAATTACATGACTGGTACTAGAACAATAAGTAATAAGTTTTAATTTATAATATTATGATTTTGTGGAACAATAAAATCAGATTAGGAATTTCGGAAAGCAAACGTGATTTTCCAAAATACTGTTATCTTGGCATCCTTAATCAAAGAAGAAAAATTAATAAACTTCTAGAAAATACCCTAACTTGTCTATGCATTTAGAACTTTTAACTATATATAGCTATGTGTATGTATAATGAGATAACATCATAGTGAATTTGGGGGAAGGAAAACATTCTTTGACCTCAATGGGAGGGTAAAGAATATACCAGTATTCCTAGTCTTTTTCTGTCCCTTCACTCATTCCAGCTCTGAGAAAAACAAGTAAACTGGCACCTGAAAATTTCCAGAAGAAATTGTGTACTCTTTCTCCATTATATGTATTATGCAGAGGCAACTCATCATTCATCCAACTCTGCCTGGAAAAGGGTAAACCAACTTCTATAATTTTGTGGTTTGGTACTAAGATGCCCATGTTTCAATAATGGCAAACTGAATCCAGCAGCATATCAGAAAGCTTACCATAATCAAGTATGCTTTATCCCTAAGATGCAAGGTTGGCTCAACATATACAAATCAACAAAGGTGATACATCACATAAACAGAACTAAAGACAAAAACCACATGCTCATCTCAATAGATGCAGAAAAGGCTTTCAATGAAAACCAATAAACCTTCATGTTAAAAATTCTCAATAAACTAGGTATTGAAGGAACATATCTCAAAATAATAAGAGCCATGTATGACGAACCCACAGACAATATCATACTGTATAGGCAAAGGCTGGAAGCATTTCCCTTGAAAACCAGCACAAGTCAAGGATGCCCTTTCTCACCACTCCTATTCAATATACCATTGGAAGTCCTGGCCAGAGCAGTCGGGCAAGAGAAAGAGGTAAAGAGCATCCAAATAGGAAGTGAGAAAGTCAAACTATTTCTGCTTGCAGACAACATAATTCTTCATCTAGAAACCTCCCTGTCTTAGACCAAAAGCTTCTTAAGATGATAAACAATTTCAGTGAAGTCTCAGGATACAAAATCAGTGTACAAAAATCAGTAGCATTCCTATACACCAACAACAGTCAAGCTGCGAGCAAAATCAGGAACACAATCTCATTCACAACTACCACAAAAAGAAGAAAATACCTAAGAATACAGCTAACCAGGAAGGTGAAAGTTCTCTACAACAAGAATTAACAAAACAGCACTCAAGTAAATCAGAGATGACACAAACAAATGGAAAAACATTCCATGCTCAAGGATAGAAAGAATCGATACTGCTAAAATGGCCATACTGCCCAAAGCAATTTAGAAATTCAATGCTATTTCTATCAAACTACCAATGACGATTTTCACAGAACTAGAAAAAATATGGTAAAATTTATATGGAACCATAAAGGAACCTGGATAGCCAAGGCATTCCTAAGCAAGAAGAACAAAGCTGGAGTCATCATGTTACCTGACTTCAAACTATGCTATAGGGATACAGTAACCAAAACAGCATGGTACTTGTACTAAAACTGACACATAAACCAATCGAACAAGTAGAGAGCACAGAAATAAAGCCACATACCTACAACCATCTGATCTTTGACAAAAACAAGCAATAGAAAAAGGACTCCCTATTCAATAAATGGTTCTGGGACAACTGGCTAGCCATACACATATGCAGAAGATTGAAAGTAGACTTCTTCCTTATACCACATACAAAATTCAACTCAAGATAGACTAATTACTTAACCGCAAAACCCAAAACTACAAAAACCCTGGGAGACAACCTAGGCAATATCATTCTGAACATAGGAATAAGCAAAGATTTCACGATGAAGATGCCAAAAACAATTTCAATTAAATGAAAAGTTGGCAAATGGGATCTAATTAAAGAGCTTCTGCACAGCAAAAGAAACTATCAACAGAGTTAACAGACAACCTACAGAATAGGAGAAAAATATTTGTAAACTATGCATCTGACAAAGGTCTAATATACAGAATCGATAAGAAACTTAAATTTACAAGCAAAAAAATACAACACTATTAAAAAGTGAGCAAAGGACATGTACAGACACTTTTCAAAAGAAGACATGCATGTGGCCAACAGCTATATGAAAGCAAGCTCAGCATTACTGATTATTAGATAAATGCAAATCAAAACCACAATGAGATCCCATTTCACACCAGTCAGAATGGCTATTACTAAAAAGTCAAAAAATAAACATATGCTGGTGAGATTGCAGTGAAAAACAACACTTATACACTGTTGGGGGGAGTGTAAATTAGTTCAGCCATTGTGGAAGACAGTGTGGCAATTCCTCAAAGACCTAAAAACAGAATTACCATTTAACCCAGTAATCTCATTACTAGGTATACACCCAAAGGAATAAAAATTATTCTATCATAAAGAGACATGCACATGTATATTTATTGCAGCACTATTCACAATAGCAAAAACATGGAACCAACCTAAGTGCCCATCAGTGGTAGACTAGATAAAGAAAATGTGATACATATACATCACAGAATACTATGTAGCCATAATAAGGAATGAGACCCTGTCCTTTGTAGGAACATGAATGGATCTGGAGATCATTATTCTTTGCAAACTAACACAGGAACAGAAAAACAACTACCACATGTTCTCACTTAAAAATGGGAGCTAAGTGATGAGAGGGGAACTAGAGACACCGGGACCTGCTTGAGGGTGGAGGGTGAGAGGAGGGAGAGTATAAGGAAAAATAATTAATGGGTACTAGACTTAATACCTGAGTTATGAAATAATCTGTACACAAGGTTAACTATATAGCAAAAACCTGCACATATACCCTTGAACTTATATTAAAACTAAAATAAAAGAAACGATGCCTGTGTTTGTCAAATGCCTAAATGATGGTCTCCAGCAGTTCTCTCAATAACAAAATACACACAGTATTTGATCTTTACTAGCTTATCTCCTGTCAGAGTTCTTCATTCTGGAAAAAGGTGTGCTATAGACAGAATCCTGTAATTGTGACTGGAAATATGTCTGCTAAACTCAGATGGCTAGGTCTAAATCCCAGCTCCCTACCTACTAGACCTATGAATCTAGTTAATTCACTTACATCATTTCTATTAGTTTCTTCACATGCTAAATGACATTTTAATAGTACCTGACATTTTCAGGCACATAATAAGCATTTGACAAATATTACTTTTATCCATTAGATGTGTTTTATGATCTCAGTTATACAAGTTCTTCAATACTCAAAAATAAATTAGAATTTATAGTGCTTAATATATCAAGAAAATGGAACAAACTCTTCAAAATATAATTAACCTATATTGGGATAAAAATACTTTCCAGATGTTTTTCAATTTACTGCAAAGGAGCAGGGGAGAAAACCCTGATTCTCAGTAATCTTCAGTTAAGTTTGCATTGTATTTAAAAGGTAAGTAAATATAACTTTCTGAGATTAGACAAGGACAATAAAAGAGTAATGCTTTCTAGTTAAAACCACTGCAATATGACAGAATCCAATTTACTTCCTCACTTTGTGGGCTTTTGAAGAAAAGGCAATGTAAATAGATTTTTTTCTTTAAAATAACAAAAATGCTTTTAATAAATAGAATGTGTGAAAAATTGTGAGATTTTTAAATGGAACATTTTCACAGTAAAATCTAATCTCATCATCAGTTTCACACAGCAGAAGGTAGTTAAAATATATGCTAACTGTGCTTAAAAATGGCAGTGTTAGGAAATAATAACAATGTCTTCCAAAATATTTTTTCTTTCAAATTCAGAGTGTTTACAGGAGGGCTGATTATATTTGCTAAATTATAAAATATAAGTGTGTGCAAAAGAAAAGATGTAAAACATTAAAAATTAAATTCATTCCAGAAGAGTGAATCCATTCTCTAAATACTGTTTTTAATTTATATTTCATGCTTTATGGAAAATTTTCATATTTAAACAGAATTGAATTTTTTTCATTCAAGATGAAATACAATTTTTTAATTGAATTATTTATATTTCTTGGAAATTTGTAAAGTACTTGCTTCCCCATACTCTTTTGAAAATAGTAGTATACTTTGGAGAAAACATGTGAGGCATTCTTTTTGCCTCTAGCCTCATCAAACACATGCTCAACCATTTCTTCTCACCTGAATGTTACAGCAAATGTTTCAAGTACCAAGATCTAAAAGTGAATAAATTAATTTAATAGCTTGTCTACTATAAATTTAAGAATGAGTTAAGTTCTCCAACATAGTTATTTGATAGCAGAAGAGCTTTAACAATTCTATGCTCCCTTCTCATTCATTGAATGATGTAATTGTAACATCCATAATGTTTTATTATTAGAAACTAGTATGTATACACTCACACACACAGATTCATACATGTATACGATATCTCCAGTATAACTTCTGTCACATGGTTGCTCTAGAAATGTCAGTTAATTCGATAAATAATTATACAGTTTTGCTTCTGAGTGGAGTATAGATGCTTCAGCAAGTCAGCAATTCTACCAAGGTCTGTTAGAAAAGCTAGATAAACCAAAGAAATGACATTTTGAGAGAAGGCAGATTAGGATTCAGCTGGAACTACAAAGAGGTGTGAACCATGGGAAGATGATAGGAGCTCAGCAGCTGATATTGCCCTGGGGGTATTTCAGAGACTAGGCAAAGACAAGAGTGAGAGAAACCAAAATGACACAGCTGGGGACAGAAAACCAACAGAGTTTTTCAGGGATATATTGGTTGAGATAGTCATAGCCTTTTTTTTCCCTAGGACATCTGCTGAAATTTGAGGCTTCAAAACTTGATCAGGAAACTAAAATCCTAAGTGAAAAGACATTAAAAGCTGAGCAGAGTTATTTTCAATTTTGTAAAACAAAAGTTAGAGGGGCCATAAAGAACACTCAGGACTCTTATATGAAAACGACTGAGAGCTAGTAGAAACCCAGAGGTAGAGTAGCATTGTTGGGGTTGCAACCCAGCTGAGAGTCAGCACAGCTGCTGGCTGGATTATCAACTACCACTCTATCAAGTCTAATGGAGAGAAAATGATACTTTCTCTGGAAGAATATGACACTATTTGAGGCCTTTATATTTTCATATGGCCATGCTACATGAAGAAATAAAAAAAAGCAAAAATGCCAAGAGATACCATAGTTCCATATGACCAAAAACCGTGACAAAATCAGGCCCCAAGAAAAAATAGTTTAAAAAATTATTCAGATATCATAGATGGGTGAAAAAGGCTTTAAATATCTATGATTAATATATTCAAGAAAATAGACCAAAAGATGGAGAAAGCAGCTAAAAATAAAGATTTTACCATAAAGTTGGAATACATAGCAACAAATCAGATAAACCTAACAGAACCTAAAAAATAAGTAACCGAAATTCATCTAATGGGTGAATTTCAAAGCAAATTAGCCTCCAGTGAAGAATGAAATAGACAAAGAGATATAAAAATATCAATCTATAGCAATTGTGTAAACTAAACTGCAGAGGGGAGATAGGAGTGAAAATATGTAAAAATGTGTTAAACACATGTGGGAGTCAAGTAAAAGGTAAAACATACATGTAATTGGAGTTTCAGAGAGAAAGAAGAGAGTAAATGGTACCAAACATTATTTGATGGGGTACCCTAATTTGAAGAATTATCAAAAACTGTTGAAAAACAGTATCACAAATTTGAGACATTCTGGAAACTCCAAAGAAGATAAACAAAAGGATAACTGCATGTATGCTTATAGTAGTAAGACCACTGAAGACAAAGCAGAAAAGAAAAATCTAATAAGCAGCTATAAATAATGGAAGTAATAGAAGGAGGATAAGAGCAGGAGACAAAAAACAGAAGGAAGGAAAGGGAGAAAATAAAAAGGAAGGAAGGATGGAAGGAAGGAAGGGAGGGAAGAAGGGAGGGAGGGAGGAAGGGAGGGAGGGAGGGAAGGAGGAAGGGAGGAGGGAGGCTCATAAACATAAAAGAAGCAATTTCTTCCAGTAGGAATAATGGAAACCATGGGCAATGAAATAATATATTCAAAGAGCTTAAAATTCATTAATCTGTAATTATATACCAAATTAGAATATTCTTGAAGACAATGACTCAGTAAGTACATTTTTACACAAACTGAGAGAATTCTTTGTTGAAAATAAATGAAGAATGACAGACACTCTAGGTAAATTAGTAATATATGGATTGAGCAAAACAATAATACTAATGTGTTAAAAATATAGCTCTCACTAAACAGTTTTGTTTTCCCTTGAAAACCTTGTGCTAACATTAGAAGACTTTTAGTGAGAAACATTGCTGTTCATTATGGTGGACAAACTTTCTTATGCATTCATTCCCAGACAAGGATTCTCAAACAATATTCATATACAGAAAAATCAATTTAATAAAAACAACTTTCTGAAAGTATTCAAAATTTGCAAGTAAATAAATACGTTGTCTGAATAAAATCAAATGAAATCAGTTTTATTTTACTTTACAAGGGAGAAAGAGAAGACTTGATAATGGATGGAGGTTGACAGAGAAAGGATTGGTGACAGTCATTCCTTCAAAGTGGGAGAGTAGGAGATTCTGCATTTAATCAGGCATTCAACACCAGAATCAGAATACATTATTATAATTTTTTTTGCTTTCAGAATAAGCAGATAAAACTTTACTCATTATGTTCACATCATACATCAATGTGTGTGTTTTAAATCATTTAAAGCACACATAATTTGCTTTAAATACTCAATTATTCATCTCATTTTTTCAATATTCCACTGACATATTGGGGTCTTACGGTTATCTTGTTTTAAAACTGCACTTGAATCTTAAATGTAGCATAAAAAATACTTCTAGAGCAAAATAAAGATTATCATGTGAGTTTGTTGAAACATAGCTCATGAATGCAACAGACTGAAGAGTCATTAAAAAGATACTTTTTCTTTCAATTTTGCTCTTGGGAAAATAATTCGAATATTTTTCAACGTAATATTCTTTGTCTAGAAGCTGTTGTTTTGAGATAATTTGTTAATTTATTTTACCTAAAATTATATATACAGTATTACTTTATGTGAAAATGACATTTAAAATTTTATTCAAAGAGTGCTATAACTTTTTAAAATCTGTTGGTATAGTCTTTAACTGAATGATCCATCAGGTCAGATGGATATAAATTTATAGATGAAAGATACATAAAAATAAAATGCAAAGCAGAGAGTATAAATGTCCTTTAAATGTTACAGTATTCTAGCATTATCCAAAGAGGAGTAGAAGAAATAATTGTTACATGATAATCAGTAAAGGGTGCTGATGGTAATATCTAGGATAACTACTAAAACAATAGTGAAAGTATTCATAGCTAACAATGCAGGGAAATTGAAAGGTAGAAATATGTGATTGATCCAAAAGAAGCAGAGAAAATAGAAAAATGTGTTTTAAATAACAGAAAGCAAATAGCAGTGTGATAGATACAAAATTCCATGTATAAATACTTAAATTGAATAGGCAAAAATCTTCCAATTAAAATGTAATTTTATGGTGCTATCACAACTTTCTGTCAGGTGTCCTCATTTATCTTTTTGCAAACCTGGCACTCTGTTTTCTAGGGATTTTAGTACAACTTTGTAGGTTTTACAGGCAAGAAGCCTCCATTTGTAGAAACCCATTTTTGTCATTGTTTCCTTATAGTGTTCTCAAGAGCCCAAATTTCTAGAGTATACAAACCCAGAAATTACATATTTGATTTGAAAAAAAAAAAAGGCTTCAGTAACTAGTAACTTCTTCACAATGATATGAAAGAGAAAATAATATTAATATCAAAATTAATTAATACTTTATTTTTAAAGCTTTGGACACATCAAGAACAAATAAAGATGACTTCTATTAACCCCAGCTAATATCTTATGCATAATAGTCAGGATTTTTTTTTTCAGCTGTGGATTCCTGTCCTTAGACAAGAATTAATGTTTTTTCATAATTCAGGACGTAAAAAAAGGGACAGATGTCTGCTAATTTAGAGACAACTCCAAAGAGGCATTATTTTTAAGATCTAGAAAAGTGTTACAAATTAATCACCAATATCTTAAGTTCTATATAAAGACATTTAGATTTTTATTTTATTTAATTTTTTAGAGATAGGGTCTTGCTTTGTTGCCCAGGCTGGAATACAGTGGCGTGATCATAGCTAACTGCATTCTCAAACTCAGCTCGAGCAATCCCCCCTCCTCAGCCTCCCAAGCATAGGACTATAAGTATGTGCCACTAAGCCTGGCTAATTTAAAAATTTTTAAATTATACTTTAAGTTCTGGGCTACATGTGCAGAACGTGCGGGTTTGTTACATAGGTATACACGTGCTATGGTGCTTTGCTGCACCCATCAACCCGTCATCTACATTAGGCATTTCTCCTAATGCTATGACTCCCATAGCCCCCCACCCCCCAAGAGGCCCCAGTGTGTGATGTTCCCCTCCCTATGCCCATGTGTTCTCATTGTTAAACTCCCACTTATGAGTGAGAACATGCAGTGTTTGGTTTTCTATTCCCGTGTCAGTTTGCTGAGAATGATGGTTTCCAGCTTCATCCATGTCCCTGCAAAGGACATTAACTAATCCTTTTTTATGGCTGCCTAGTATTCCATGGTGTATATGTGCCACATTTTCTTTATCCAGTCTATTATTGATGGGCATTTGGGTTGCTTCCAAGTTTTTGCTATTGTGAATAGTGCTGCAATAAACATACGTGTACATATGCCTTTATAGTAGAATGATTTATAATCCTTTGGTTATATACCCAGTAATGGGATTGCTGGGTCAAATGGTATTTCTCGTTCTAGATCCTTGAGGAATCAACACACTGTCGGCCACAATGGTTGAAATAGTTTACGCTCCCACCATCAGTGTAAAAGCATTTCTGGTTCTCCCCATCCTCTCCAGCATGTGTTGTTTTCTGACTTTTTAGTGATCACCATTCTAACTGGTGTGAGATGGTATCTCACTGTGGTTTTGATTTGCATTTATCTAATGACCAGTGATGATGAGCTTTTTTTCATGTTTGTTGGCTGCATAAATGTCGTCTTTTGAGAAGTGTCTGTTCATATCCTTCGCCCACGTTTTCATGGTTTTTTTTTCTTGTAAATTTTTTTAAGTTCCTTGTAGATTCTGGATATTAGCCCTTTGTCAGATGAGTAGATTACAAAAATTTTCTCCCATTCTGTAGGTTGCCTGTTCACTCTGATGATAGTTTCTTTCACTATGCAGAAGCTCTTTACATTTGTCAATTTTGGCTTTTGTTGCTATTGCTTTTGGCATTTTAGTCATGAAGTCTTTGCCCATGCCTGTGTCCTGAATGGTATTGCCTAGGTTTTTTTCTAGGGTTTTTATGATTTTAGGTCTTACATTTAAGTCTTTAATCCATCTTGAGTTGATTTTTGTATAAGGTGTAAGGAGGGGGTCCAGTTTCAGTTTTCGGCATATGGCTAGCCAGTTTTCCCCATACCATTTATTAAATAGGGAATCCTTTCCCCATTGCTTGTTTTTCTCAGGTTTTGTCAAAAATCAGATGGTTGTAGATGTGTGGCATTATTTCGGAGGACTCTGTTCTGTTCTATTGGTCTATATATCTGTTTTGATACCAGTACTATGCTGTTTTTGTTACTGAAGTCTTGCAGTATTGTTCAAAGTCAGGTAGCATTATGCCTCCAGCTTGGTTATTTTTGCTTAGGATTGTCTTGGCCATATGGGCTCTTTTTTTGTTCCATATGCAGTTTAAAGTAGTTTTCTCTAATTCTGTGAAGAAAGTCAGTGGTAGCTTGATGGGGATAGAATTCAATCTATAAATTACATTGGGCAGTATGGCCATTTTCACGATATTGATGCTTTCTATCCATGAGCATGGAATGTTTTTCCATTTGTTTGTATCCTCTCTTATTTCCTTGAGCAGTGGTTTGTAGTCCTCCTTGAAGAGGTCCTTCACATCCCTTGTAAGTTGTATTCCTAGGTATTTTTGTAGCAATTGTGAATGGGAGTTCACTCATGATTTGGCTCTCTATTATCGGTGTATAGGAATGCTTGTGATTTTTGCCCATTGATTTTGTATCCTGACACTTTGCTGAAGTTGCTTATCAGCTTAAGGAGATTTTGGACTGAGATGATGGGTTTTCTAAATATGCAATCATGTCATCTGCAAACAGAAACATTTTGACTTTGTCTCTTCCTATTTGAATACCCTTTATTTCTTTCTCTTGCCTGATTTCCCTGGCCAGAACTTCCAATACTATGTTGAAAAGGAGTGGTGAGAGAGGGCATCTTTGTCTTGTGTTGGTTTTCAAAGGGAATGCTTCCAGCTTTTCCCATTCAGTACAATATTGGCAGTGGGTTTGTCATAAATAGCTCTTATTATTTTGGATACATTCCATCAATACCTAGTTTATTGAGAGTTTTTAGCATGAAAGGGTGTTGCATTTTATCAAAGGACTTTTCTGCATCTATTGAGAAAATCATGTGGTTTTTGTGGTTGGTTCTGTTTATATGATGGATTACATTTATTGATTTGCATATGTTGAAGCAGCCTTGCATCCCAGGGATGAAGCTGACTTGATTGTGGTGGATAAGCTTTCTGATGTGCTGCTGGATTCGGTTTGCCTCTATATTATTGAGAATTTTCGCATCGATGTTCATCAGGGATATTGGCCTGAAATTTTCTTTTTTTGTTATGTCTCTGCCAGGTTTTGATATCAGGATGATGCCGGCCTCATAAAATGAGTTAGGGAGGAGTCCCTCTTTTTCTATTGTTTGGGATATTTTCAGAAGGAATGGTACCAGCTCCACTTTGTACCTCTGGTAGAATTCATCTGTGAATCCGTCTGGTCCTGGGCTTTTTTCGGTTGGTAGGCTGTTAATTACTGACTCAATTTCAGAACTTGTTATTGGTCTATTCAGGGTTTTGACTTCTTCCTGGTTTAGTCTTGGGAGAGTGTAAGTGTCCAGGAATTTATCCATTTCTGCTAGATTTTCTGGTTTATTTGAGTCTAGGTGTTTATATTATTCTCTGATGGTAGTTTGTATTTTTGTGGGGTCATTGGTGATATCTCCTTTATCACTTTTTATTGTGTCTATTTGATTCTTCTCTCTTTTCTTCTTTATTAGTCTGGCTAGTGGTCTAGCTATTTTGTTAATCTTTTCAAAAAACCAGCTCCTGGATTCATTGATTCTTTGCAGGGCTTTTTTTGTGTCTCAATTTCCCTCAGTTCTGTTCTGATCTTAGTTATTTCTTGTCTTCTGCTAGCTTTTGAATTTGTTTGCTCTTGCTTCTCTAGTTCTTTTAGTTGTGATGTTAGGGTGTTGATTTTAGATCCTTCCTTTCTCCTGTGGGCATTTAGTGCTATAAATTTCCCTGTAAACACTGCTTTAGCTGTGTCTCAGAGATTCTGGTATGTTGTGTCTTTGTTCTCATTGGTTTCAAAGAAATTAGTTATTTCTGCCTTAATTTCGTTATTTACTCAGTAGTCATTCAGGAGCAGGTTGTTCAGTTTCCATGTAGTTGTGCAGTTTTGAGTGAGTTTCATAGTCCTGAATTCTAACTTGATTGCACTGTGGTCTGCGAGAGTGTTTGTTATGATTTCCGTTCTTTTGCATGTGCTGAGGAGTGTTTTACTTCCAATTATGTGGTCAATTTTAGAGTAAGTGCATTGTAGTGCTGAGAAGAATGTGTATTCTGCTGATTTAGGGTAGAGATTGCTGTAGACGTGTATTAGGTCTGCTTGGTCCAGAGCTGAGTTCAAGTCCTGAATATCCTTGTTAATTTTCTGTCTTGTTGATTGGTCTAATATTGACAGTGCGGTGTTAAAATCTCCCACTATTATTGTGCGGGAGTCTAAGTCTCTTTGTAGGTCTCTAAGAACTTTCTTTATGAATCTGGGTGCTCCTGTATTGGGTGCATATATATTTAGAATACTTAGTTCTTCTTCTTGTGTTGATTCCTTTACCATTATGTAATTCCCTTCTTTGTCTTTTTTGATCTTTGTTAAAGTCTGTTTTATCAGAGACTAGGATTGCAACTCCTGCTTTTTGCTTTCCATTTACTTGGTAAATATTCCTCCGTCCCTTTATTCTGAGCTTATGTGTGCCTTTGCACATGAGGTATGTCTCCTGAATACAGCACACCAATGGGTCTTGACTGTTTATGCAGTTTGCCAATCTGTGTCTTTTAATTAGGGCATTTAGCCCATTTACATTTAAGGTTAATATTGTTATGTGTGAATTTGATCCTGTCATTATGATGCTAGCTGGTTATTTTGCCCTTTTTTTTGCAGGGAGGGGGACGGAGTCTCACTCTGTCACCCAGGCTGGAATGCAGTGGCACGATCTTGGCTCACTGCACCCTCCGCCTCCAGGGTACAAGCAATTCTCTGCCTCACCCTCCCAAGTAGCTGGGATTACAGGCATCTGCCACCTTGCCTGGCTAATTTTTGTATTTTTAGTAGAGATGGGGTTTCACCATGTTGGCCAGGCTGGTCTCCAACTCCTGACCTTGTGATCCACCCACCTCAGCCTCCCAAAGTGGTGGGATTACAGGCGTAAGCCACTGCACCCGGCCTATTTTGCCCATAAGTTGATGCAGTTTCTTCATATTGTCAATGGTCTTTACAATTTGATACATTTTTGCAGTGGCTGGTACCGGTTTTTCCTTTCCATATTTAGTGCATCGTTCAAGAGCTCTTGTAAGGTAGGCCTGGTGGTGACAAAATCTGTCAGCATTTGCTTTTCTGTAAAGGATTTTATTTCTCCTTCACTTATGAAGCTTAGTTTGGCTGGATATGAAATTCTGGGTTGAAAATTCTTTTCTTTAAGAATGTTGAATATTGGCCCCCACTCTCTCCTGGCTGTAGGTTTTCTGCAGAGAGATCCACTGCTAGTCTGATGAGCTTCCCTTTGTGGGTAACCAAACCTTTCTCTCTGGCTACCCTTAACAGTTTTTCCTTCAGTTGAAGCTTGGTGAATCTAATGATGATGTATCTTGGGGTTGCTCTTCTCGAGGAGTATCTTTGAGGGGTTCTCTGTATTTCCTGAATTTGAATGTTGGCTTGCCTTTCTAGGCTGGGGAAGTTCTCCTGGATAATATCCTGAACAGTGTTTTCCAATTTGGCACCATTCTCCCCATCACTTTCAGGTACAGCAATCAAACTTAGGTTTGGTCTTTTCACATAGTCCCATATTTCTTGGAGGCTTTGTTCTTTCCTGTTCATTCTTTTTTCTCTAATCTTGTCTTCATGCTTTATTTCATTAAGTTGATTTTTAATCTCTGATATCCTTTCTTCCACTTGATTGATTTGGCTATTGATACTTGTGTATGCTTCACGAAGTTCTCGTGCTGGGTTTTTCAGCTCCACGAGGTCATTTATCTTCCTCTCTAAGCTTGTTATTCTAGTTAGCAATTCATCTAACTTTTTTTCAATGTTCTTAGCTTCCTTGCATTGGGTTAGAACATGCCCCTTTTGCTTGGAGGAGTTTGTTATTACCCACCTTCTGAAGCCTACTTCTGTCAATTCATCAAACTCATGCTCTGTCCAGTTTTGTTCCCTTGCTGGAGAGGAGTTGGCATCCTTTGGAAAAGAAGAGGCATTCTGGTTTTTGGAATTCTCAGCCTTTTTGCACTGGTTTTTCCTCATCTTCATGGATTTACCCACCTTTGGTATTTGATGTTGGTATTTGGGAAGCTTCAGATGGGGTTTTTCTGTGGATGTCCTTCCTGTTGATGTTGATGCTATTCCTTTCTGTTTGTTAGCTTTCCTTCTAACAGTCAGGTTCCTCTGCTGTAGGTCTGCTGGAGTTGGCTGGAGGTCCACTCCAGACCCTGTTTGCCTCAGTATCAACAGTGGAGGCTGCAGAACAGCAAAGATTGCTGCCTGTTCCTTCCTCTGGAAGCTTCATCCCAGAATGGCACCTGCCAGATGCCAGCCGGAACTCTCCTGTATGAGGTGTCTGTCGACCCCTCCTGGGAGGTGTCTCCCAGTCAAGAGGCACGGGGGTCAGCGACCCACTTGAGGAGGCAGTCTGTCCCTTAGCCGAGCTGGAATGCTGTGCTGGGAGATCTGCTACTCTCTTCAAAGCCAGCATGCAGGAAGGTTTAAGTCTGCCGAAGCTGCACCCATAGCCACCCCTCCCAGCAACTTTCATTTTTAAGTTACAAGTTTTTAGTGGATTATCAGAGTACAAGCTCATTTTATCTGCAAATATAGTTTTACTTTTCCTTTTCAATTTGGATTTTATTTTGTTTTCTGGCCTAATTGTCCTAATCCTAACTAAAACTTCTAGTATAATGTTAAATAGATGTGTCAAGAGCAGATATACTTATCTTGTTGCGATCTTAGGAGGAAACATTTGGCCTTTTACCATTAAGTTTGATATTAGCTTTGGATTTTCACAGAAGCCCATTATCAGGCTGAGGAAGTTCCCTTCTATTCCTGGTTTCTTAAGAGTTTTTGTCATTAAATGCCATTGGATTTTGCAAAGTGTTTTTTTTCTTAATATATCTATTGAGATGATTGTATGTTTTTTATTCTACTGCTGTAGTATATTACATTAATTGACTTCCAGGTGTTGAAACAGTCTTGCATTCCTGAGGTAAATCCTGCCTGGTTATAGTATATTATATGTTTTATGTATTGCTGGATTTTGTTCATTAGCGTTTTGCTGAGGATTTTTTCCATCTGTTTTTGTTGAAGATATTCTTCTGCATTTTTGTTTTCTTTTTCTTTTTTTTTGATGCTTTTGTCTGGTTTTGTTATTAAGGTAATACTAGCTTCAAAGAATAAACTGGGAAGTGTATTCCCTTTTATTTTTTTTGCAAGAGTTTGTAAATAATTGTATTAATTCAACTTTAAAAGTTTCATAGAGGCATTCTTGGCTAGAGGATTTTGTTGCTGTTGTCATTGTTTCCTGGGGTGGTAGTTTTGATTACTAACTTAATCTCTTTACTTGATAAGATTTTATATTTTTCCTTGACTCTTTTTGCTAATTTGAATCTTTCTTAGAATTTGTCCAGTTCATACAAAATATCTAAATTTTGGTATATAATTGTTCATAGGTACTTTTGTAATAATTTTTTATTTCTTTAAGTTTAGTGTCCTTTTAAAAAATTCATTAATACTTGACTAGTTTCTCTTTCTTGTTGGTCGGTCTGTCTAAATTGTGGCCACTGTTGATGTGTTCAAGGAAACAATTTTTGGCTTTGTTGAGGTTCTCAATTGTTTTTCTATTTTGTATTTCACTAATTTGTATATCCCTAATACTTTCTTGTGGTTGCTCTAGTTTTAATTTGCTCTTCTTTTTTCAGTGCCTATGGTGGCAGGTTAGAGAATGTTATTTTTGAGTATGAGAACTACTTTTACTGCATCACATAAGAGATGTTATGTGTTCTTAAAGTATTTTATCTTCTTTTAAAGTATTTTCTAATTTATCTCATTATTTCTTCTTGGACCCATTGATTATTTAAGAGCATGCTGTTTAATTTCCACATATTTCTGAGTTTCCCAAATTTTCCTATTGCTGATTTATGATTTTACTCAATTATTATCTGAAAATATACTTTGTATTGTTCCAATGTTTAAATTCATTGAGGTCTATTTTATGGCCTGGGATATGGTATTCCTGGACAATGTTGCATGTGCACTTGAGAATCCACTGTTGTTACAGTGTTCCTTAAATATCTAAGCAGTCTAGTTATTGTATAGATTTGTTCCAGTGTTCTATTTCTTTGTTGATCTTCTGCCTAGTCATTTTATCCATTTGTTAAAGTGAGTATTAAAGGCTACAAGAAGTATGTTAAATTGCCTATGTAATCTTCATTTTTGGGAGTTTCTATATCAATGGATTTTGATGTCTTTTCATCACACATACATATGCTTATAATTGTTACCTATTTTTGAGATATTGGCCCTTTTATTTTTATAAAATATCTCTCTTTACTTCTGTAACCCCTTTTGTTTTAAAGTCTATTTTTTTCTATATTAATATAACAATTCCAGCTTTCTTGTGGTTACTGCCTGCATAATATAACTTTTCCATCCTTTTTTTTTCTATGAATTTTCATCTTTGGATCTAAAGTATGTCTCCTGCAGACAACATGTAGATGGATCTTGTTTATTTAATTTGTTTTTCCTCCAGTCTGACAATCTCTGTCTTTTATTTGAGTATTTAAATTCATTTTCACTTGAGATTACTAGTATAGTTAAATTTACATCCATCATTTTACTTCAGTTTTCTGTATACCTTATGTCTTTTCATTCCTCTATTCCTCCTTTACTGCTTTCTTTTGAATTAGGTATTTTTTATATAACATTTAATTTTAATTTTAATAATATTTTATCTATATTTTTTCAGTGTTTCCCTTAATTGCTACTTTAGAGTTTACTGTATACATCTTATCAGACTCATTTTACATGGATAACAATTCTAGTGACATATATGTTAATATAAATTTCACTTTTGTTCACTTTTGTATACTTCGACTCTCCTTTTTGTGCTATAATTGCTGTACACATTACATCTATATATGCTATATACCCAATAATTTATGGTTATAACTCTTACTTGATGCTATGATTTGTTGTTTTGTCCTCTCCAAAGTTCATGTTGAGACTCAATTTCAATGTGACAGCATTAAGAGCAGGAACCTTGAGGACGTGATTAGGCTATTAGGACTCTGTCCTCATTGATGGTATGAGTGTCTCATAAAAGGGCTGGAGGAATTAGGACCCTTTGCCATTTCATCCTTTTCACCATTTGAAAATACAGCATTCATCCCCTCTGAGGATATTCAAGGCACCTCAGCAGACACCAAACCTGCCAGCAAATTGATCTTAAACTTCCAGCCTGCAGAATTATGAGAAATAAAGTTCTTTACAAATTTCTCAGTCTCTGATATATATATATACGTGTATATATATATGTGTATTTATATATATATGTGTATATATATATGTGTGTATATATATATATATATATATATATATATATATATCAGCACGAACAGACTAACACACTTGACATAATTTTATGTCTTTAAAAAAAAGAGATAAAAAGAAACGTACTATGTCTTTACAGCTTTTGTTATATTAACAGTCTTATTTATTATTTCAGGTCTTTTCATTTGTTCAGCATTTGAAACTTCTTCCTGACACCAGAAGGGCTCTTCTTAGCTGTCTTTTTCCTGGGTTATTCCTGGTAAACTAGCTGACCTTTGTTTCAAAGCATATGTCTCTAATAAAGTGCCAGTCCTTCTTATTTGCTTTTTACCATCTCTTCATTGTTTTTCAAAGTATCCTTATGGTTGAATTTCCCCCAAACTCTTCTTGTGGGAAAAGTTTTATCACTCTTCTGCTGTATGTTCTGCCCCTTCCTTTGGGCAAAACTTGTGAGCTTTGGCTCTGGTGATTGCAGCAAAGAGAGCAACATTCTCCTCTCGGAGTGACAGCCCTACTTTGAGACTGGGTCACTGGGATGAGGAGTAGCCATTGGTAATCTCAGCTTGCCACTCCTGGAATGAGAACTTTGCCTTACAGACAAACCAGAAAGAAGACAATCAGGGCCCAGTGTTCTCAGTGTGTTGCACCCAAACAGTCCTCATTCCATGAATTAGAGCTGGTAGGAAGAAGTGACATCTCACTTCTTGGCCACATTCAACAAAAGCTTAACCTCAAGAACAGGTAGTGGCAGCAGGTGGGGGTTGAAATGAAAAATTCTGATGTACTGTTACTCTCAGAAACATACTGTAGCCCCCCAATGGCGTCTAGTAAAAGTCCTGTGTTCTTGGCTACATTGCCTTGAGTAGAGTTTATATCAAGATAGGCTGTGAGAAGAGAGGTAAGAATGGGTTGTGGATCAAATGCAAAAATACTCTCACTGTTCTTAGTGAGTATCAATAGATTTTCTTGAATAAATACTTCATCATTTTCTATGTACCGATATGACTTTTCAAGTGACATAGATGATGGTTGTTTTATAATTTTCAACACTTTCACTGGAAAAAAGATCCATGGAGCTCTTCACATTGCCATTCTAGAGGTGGGACTTCTGCATTTATTTCTTATGCAAGGAAATTCGGGTTTTTTTAAGTTAATTTCTCTTCTTTCTTCTAAAATATGCTTTGGAATCTCACTCTCTACAGCAAATTGGGTCCAGTATATTTCTTTCTCCAAGAGAAGTCTGCTAGATACTCAAATAATTTTTGTTTTATATTGTTAGGTTAGAAAGGTTGTTTTGTTGTTAAACAAAAGGCAATAGGAAGATCAACATGAAACCCTCACATTCATTGTATGAATATTATCTTTTCATTCAGAAAGAGTTACAATATATTTGAGTGCTCATGAAGCTTTAAAAAGAAGTGGATTAAGTAATCAGTCTCCCTAGACAAAAAAAAGCACATGATATTTTGGTATTCCCCAACTTTTATTATTTGACTTTCATGTTCTAGCAAATAACTTTCAACAATTTGTCAACTTATTTGCACAGTCATTTATATTTTATATTATTAATTCCATTATTTATGCATGTGTTGAATAGACTTTGCTTTAATATATAGAGTAGATGTCGACACATTCGAATTTGTAACAAAGTGAAAAATTACTTTGATACATATTTCTTTTTTTTCTGACAAAATTCTGAAGTGCTTTTCCATCTCTTCTAAAACAACATATAGAAAACATTTTTTCTCATTATTAAATATATGACTCAGACTACAGCAAAACTAATTGGCTATAAAGCAAACCTTTAAAAGAGAATAGTTTGATGAAAACTATAAGCATTCTTAGTTATACATAAGATCACACAGAGCCAATTTAACTTTTTTTTTCCAGATTTATGTCCCAATTTAAAACTTTGATTCCTACTGTCTAAGCATTGTGGATAAAAGTATGAGATAATTAATTACTCCTGACATCCAAATTTTGTGATCATAGTAACAGACATTCCTTTGAAAAAAATAACTTGAAAATTTTCTGGTAAATGTTATGTTGGTGTGTGGGTGTAGAGTTTCATTTTCAAAACAAGCTCTCACATATCAAAGTTAAGTGTTTTAATTATCTTGTAAGACTATGTCCTTGGATGCTATGCTGTATGCCAATATTTATACATGTTGAATATACTTAACTTTCATTTAACTTACTAGCCATAATGCTTAACTTTAACCAGAGATTCCTTACTAACTCTGATGAATGTTGGTAGAAAATATGCTGAAAGTAAAATATAATGTTAGAATAATTTTTAATAAAGGGATAAAAGGAAAGACGCTAGCGGAAGAGCTGGCACCACAGAAAGCAAAGTCACATTCTGGATCCAAGCATCCTTTCCGTGAGCAAAGAACAAGCAAATTGAATCCACGAGACAGGGAGCAGAAGCAAGCGAGTGAAGAGAAAGTACACTTTTTTTTTTGTTTTTGTTTTTTGTTTGTTTTCTCATGAGAAGAGTTACTAGTAGTAGAAATAAGTTCTATGAATGAGACCAGAAAGACATAAGTAGAATATCTGGACCCTCTGTATAGGATAGGTAGTTATTATATTGTGTGTTCTGGAGGTAAGATTTATATAAATTCAAGCCTACAATAGTATCAAGGCCTATTAAGCAAACGTCCATTAGACAGCAAGAAAGACTAAGAGGCTTTCAAACTACAAGTGTCAATAGTTAAATGTAAAGCAAATATATAGACATTTGATACTATGACAAAAAATAATATGAGAGGTTTATCATGATATAATTTAATATTTTGTTCTTCAGTTTAGTAATTATACAAAGCTGCATACTAGTTTTTCAAAACTTAACCAATCCTCTTTAAATATATTTCTGTGAAATTTCTTGCTATCCTTGGGATACAGTTTAGAGTGTAAACTCATTTTGTAGGATTTTTTTTTTTAAATCATGAAACAACATAGCGATAAATTTAAATAGTTTTGCCAGTTGAATCATGTATGTGATAAAAAGGCTTTATATTTCTGATTCCTGAATCAGGGCATGAGAGTACAAATCATAAATCAAGTATTCTTATGTCTGTTGTATAATTATAGAAGAATAATGCCCAAACCTTTTTTGAATGAGGGTATGTCATGAGCATCAAAAGGGAAAAAAAAGTATGAAAATCCCTAAGAGTTTTACTCTGGAGAGTCATATAGATTGTGCATTCTTTAGCTAACATTTTAAAACAAATATCTGAAATCACTTGCTTAACCCCTTTGAATAATGTACTATTGCCCTTAAGAGAAATTCGGTAATCTACTAAAGGTCCTTTTCATATAGCCCTGACTTCTGTCTCCAGTCACGTGTCCTTACTGGTGTCTATGACCCAAACAAACTAGTCGTCTCTCGATTTCACTAAGGTGTTCTGCATTCTTTCTTCTCACAGCTTTTATGTCTATTGCTGCTTCTTTAAGGCATACTTCTCTAATATTTACGAGCTACGGTCTATTATTTTGAATCTGTTTAATGGTTTATTTTCAGGGAGACAAGGGTAAATTTTGCTGCTGTATATTCCCATAGTATTGAGGTCTTCTCTATTAAAAACTCATCAGGCTAAAAATCGTTTGTGATTCCCATTTATTTACCTGCTAGATTCTAAATTCCATGAGAACTGGAAATGCAACCCTTTTATTTACCTGTGTATCTCAAACTTTGTATTCTTCCTGTGAGATACTCATGTATTTATTAAAATGAATGAAATTTTTATGTCTATAGACTGCATTACCAATACCTCTTGCACTATGAAATTTTCCTTAATTTCAAAAAAGCCTAACATTGTTTTTTTCTCATTTATATAGTTTGAAATTCTTTTCTGGCAATAATGTTTCACCTATAAAAAGACCTATTAAAATTTATTTAATAATAAGGGGAGGGATAAAATAACTATGCATTTTTTGTTGAAAGCACAGTTTTGTCTGATACTTTAATTATGCTATCTAATTTAACCTTTCATAAATGCCTAGAATATGAGAATATCATCCATGATTTAAATACCAATTCCCAAAATTTACAGCTGTCAAATGGAAGACTCAGGTTTGTGCTATGCCACATTTTCTCTTCTTTCCTTTTTGTGATGGTCTTCCAAATTGTGGAGAAAGAAAACATTTCTATTTGTGATTGCTTCTGCTAGTTATTTCTGCAAAACAAACTACTGAAATTCAGTGGCATGATGCAATAACCATTTTGTCATCCTCATATATTCTGGGGTCAGGGGGTTGAAAATGCAAAGTGGGGTGACATTTCTGTGGTCTACAATATTTGGGCTTCTGAGAAGTCCTAGATGTCTAGGAATGAATTAAACGTTGGACATGAAATCTTCTGAAAGCTTCTTCATTTACATATTTGGCTCCTGCATTGGTATGACTTAAAGGCTGGGCTCAAAATAATCTCTTAACCAGAGTGTCTGAATATTGCTTCTTCATGTAACTTGAACTTCCTCACAGCATGGAATCATACAGGTAGCTTGCCTGAGTGTTTCAGTTAATGGGTCAATTTATTGCCTTTAAAAATCTTGCCTCAGAAGTCACATAGAATTACTTTAATGGTCAGTTGGTTTAAGCAATCACAGCCTCTCTGACTTCAGGGGGAAGAAACATGATGTCTACCCTTTGATGTGAGGACATTGAAAGTATTCGTGGCTATATTTTAAAAATGCCACAGTTATCTTCCTTTTAAAGAGATGCCATATCCTTACTATCAGCAATAGAATCAGGATTTGAAAATAGTTTTTATGCTACATATGCATTTTTATCATCATTCTTGTTATTATAATCTTTTTCAGAAAGGGTGAAGGGGTAAGGATTATGTTTCATTCCTTCTCAAATTTTGTGCTCTATAAGTATTTTTATTTTTTGTCCATAATAGATTATGGTACAATCGTAACTCAAAACTAGACTGTAGAAACAGAAAAAATATAAGTTTTCACATCCAAGCTGTGGATAAGATATTCAAATATAAAAAAGATTTTGAATTTGTTTTAAAAATTAAGTCTTCTAATTTTGTAAAAAGAACTAAGATAATTGTCCACTAATCACCCATTGAATCTCCTCCTTAATTCTACTTTCACAAAAGTAGAATTATGATTAATTTGGATTTCTATGGAAATCTATGATTAATTTGGATTTCAGAGGAAGAAAATATAGCTTGAGGAAAATGGATTGTGAAGCAATCTGAATGCTAACTACCATAAAATGCTTATTACTTGAAAAATGAGGATATTGTATGAATTTTCACTAGTCAATTGGTAGCAAAAACAAAATTTAAATGATTGTAAATATGTCATATTTAAAACTATCTTGTAAAGATGTTATGTACAGAGATATTATATGTTACTAGCTTCTGGATTCAGAAAAATATCTAACTGGAACAGGTTTAAGTTGGGTAATTGTAGTGTGTCTAATAATTTTAATACAAGGTAAAAACATTTTCTGTTTAAAATTAGCTTTAATATTAAGTTAGGCTTTATTTATATTTTGAAAATTTAAGGACTCTTGAATATTCTTAAGTAAATTGTAATTTAATGCAATTGTAGTTATACTCAGCAGTATAGTTACACTTGATTAAAGCCATTATAAAGGAAATGTAATCCCATACTGATGGTCTTTACATTTCTTTGGGTTAAAGATCAGTTTATTTCATTGAGATTACAGTTCAGGAGAAAGGTTATTGACTACATGTATCTATAGTATTGTCTAAGCAACAGTTAGGAGTTTAGTTTGCATGTTTATTATTTTTGAGAGTACATCAATGTAATGAAATGTATTTAAAATTGTACCCATATATACATAATTATATATATATATATTTTTTACAGCAGTGTTTTTCCTTGGAGCTGATTCAATCAAATTGCAGAAGAGACACTTCTAATTTGTTATTGGGAAGTACAAGCTAGGATTATTGTTTTCCTGAAAGTTTGTGACTAGCAATGATCTCTTACAGACATGGGGGTCTGGACACTTGGACCTTAAATTGGAAGTGGTTAAAAAATTGTTATCCAAAGAATGAAACGGTCTGTTTGCCAAGACTTTTTGTTTTGTTGTGTTTTGTTTGTTTTTTTGAGACGGAATCTTGCTCTGTCACCCAGACTTGAGTGCAGTGGTGCGATCTCAGCTCACTGTAACCTCCGCCTCCCTGGTTCAAGCAATTCTCCCACCTCAGCTTCCTGAGTAGCTGGGATTACAGGCAGCCGTGATCATGCCCAGCTAATTTTGTAGTTTTAGTAGAGATGGTGTTTCACTATGTTGGTCAGGCTAGTCTTGAACTCCCGACCTCAATCAATCCATTGCCTCAGCCTCCCAAAGTGCTGGGATTACAGGCGTGTGCCACCGGGCCCAGCTGCCAAGTCTTTTTGTGTTAGAATTGCTATTGAATATATCCGGTGTTTTCACTCAAGAAAATACTGAAAAGCCATTTTAGGGTAAAAGAACCTTTCTCAGAACTATCACTGTACACATCTTCCTGTTTCACTGATCCCTCTTCTCTCCTTTAGGTTTAACCTTTTGTGATAGCTCTTTACACATCTTTTCCTTCTGGGGTCATTGAAGATGTGTTCTGTCTTATTGATGTCTGTTACCACTAAGTACTTCTTATCCCTAAACAGGTGGTTTGATTTTATGACCACCCAGGCAACTCTAAGTAAGATGCAAGCATGTGCTACTTTCCCCTATTCTACACTCTTAAACTTCAAACAACAATTCCCTCTTCTGTCCGCATCTTCCAATAAGGATATAGACTTAGAACTTTTAAAATCGATGGATAATCACTCTTTACTGCAAGAGTGGAATACTATATTTGACCATGATTATAGGCAAGATCACCTAAACAGAATGGATAACTTTAACTCTACAATGTGTGTTTAAGTACTCACTAGGCACTCTCCTAGTAGTGTCTCTACTTGACAGAGAAAAGTATAGAAGAAAAATGAACAGCTTCATTCTCATGATTTATAATATGTCATCATAAATATGAGGTCCTTCATTTCTGTTAAGTAGAAAACCAAGATGATACTGCTTTCAGAAAACCATCTGTCCATGTTCATCTATATCGACAAACTTCCAGGCAATTTGCATTGGCACAAGCTGTTATTTCTGTCTTTGCCAATGTTTAACAATGTCAGGTGATTCTACTTCTTCCCAGGCAGCAAATTCTATAAAATTCTCAATGACATATTTGATACTCTGGAAAGATAATATTTTTATTCTTCACAGGGTAGAACATGCATTACAAATTCTGTAATCAGTAAAATACATGCAATGAAATGGTTTCAATTTCATGTATGAATAATTTTTATGATGGTTATCTAATAAACTAAAATATTTATATTTCAATTAGTGTTTTACTTAATACTTTGTATTCCTTCCTTTTAATCAATCAGAAAAGAGATATTACCTGTCCAAAGGAAGCTTAGCTATGTATTATGCATTGGAGACTACATTAAGGAATTCACTAGGCAATGAGTTCTAGATGTTAAAAGAGGCATTAATTTAAAAAAGAATATTAAAAATGTGAAATTTTAAAATCCTCAGTCTTAGGTATTTCAGGATTGGTACTGGTAAACTAAAAGACATGTGAATAAAAAGTTTAAAGAAGAAAATACTGTGTTGACTGAACAATATTTATTTTTTCCCAAATGACTAAGCTTTCAAATCAGGGACTAATCATGAAGAACCACATGACTTATTTTTAAATTAAAAACCATATTGAAATATCTTTTTCTGGTTGAAGAGAGTTTTATTCTAAAAAGAAAAAATGTCTATGAAGCAAAAAAAAAAAGAAAACATATGCTCTCTTTTCTTATGTTTGCTCAAGCAGAATTTACCTCTGTGACTCATACAATTGGTGCTATAATTATGTACAGATATATTTTGATACTTTGAATAATCTATAAAATTCCCTAAATGAAAATTATTTTAGATTAAACATGATTTTAATGATCAAGACAGCTTTTTTTATAAGCAAGTTAGATTATATTGCTTATGAAAGTTAGTTTTTTATATTTTTATTCCATGGGTCATGCAAAAAATCATGCTAGACAATGAAAGGATATCTTGTTTTCTCCTTCTTTTTGCCTTATTACCATTTTTTTCTGTGCTTAATTCTACCTTTGCTATATAGTTTGGAAATATAAAGAATTACAAGAATTGCTCAGATGTCTTTTTCAAACCTCCAGGTTGCCAATATATTCACCTCATCACTCTTCTCTGATACCCACACATTCCTCTATGATCCTACTGAGCAGTATGTTTATTGTAAAATCTAACAGACCACCCAACTATGGTTTGCAACATCATACCATCACGGGTCTTGTACACAACATATTAGAAAATTGGATTTTTATATATCAGAATAGAAATATATTTCATACATATTTGAGTCATTCTGTTATATTTTTAAACAAATCATATTTTATTTAATTGAACCCACATGATTTTTACTATGATGTAATTACTCATTGACCACCAAGTCTACAGACAGCCTCTACCAGAATCAAGACACACATCAGTAAATGATTTTGTATATCTTTTGAAATCTGGGGTGCTCAATTTGATCCACGCAGATTACCTTAATTAGTATACATCTATTGGTCATTGGTATACTTTTTAAAATGAGATATTAAAATTATACAAATATCTATAAGTTCTCTACGACATCTTTTCCTAGCAGGATTTTACAGCAGGCAGAGGAGGTTGCCAGTAGGTAGACAAAACAAAAAATAGAAACAATTCTTCTTAAGCATACTTTTTTTACATGTCATAACATGAATCTACTATAATTTTTTTTATTTTTACTTTTGTATTCTGAAAAATGTTAAAATTGTTTATTACCACTGTCTCTCTGTTCTTTCCTAATAATGTCCTTTTCCTCTATTGTCAGCATTTAAAAAAACATTCTTGATCTCTCTAGAAAATTCTGCTGACAAATTAAGTGGCAGCTAGAACAAGAGGAGATTTAAAGAATTATGGATGATAATGAAAACAATGAAGTGCATATTTGGCATGGGCATGTTGCATGTTGACAATATATCATTGCATAAATATTTGAAATACTTTTTCTTTATGAAGTAATTTTCATCAAGATTGAAGCTATTGAATATATTTGCTGTAAAATATTTTGTATAAAATATATTTATATTGCTTTGAGATGAGCAGATATTTGCAGTGAAACTGTCCTTGGCTAGAGATGTTATGTTCATATTATTTTAATTTTGTCTTATAACTGTCATTGGCAAAAATGGATCTAATTCCTTAGGTCTTTTCTCTTCTCTTTCCCCCAATCACACACAACTGAAAGATGCTAGATGTTAACAATTCTGCTAAAGTAGTCTTCTAAAATTATTTTTCATGTATGTCTAGAGAAAAAAAAAGTACAAATATTCAGGAAAGATTTTTCTTCAAGGTGTCAAGAGTAGAACATACATTTTTTTCCAATAAATTTCTAAAGCTATATTTTAGAAATCAAAAAAGAAATATTTGCATTAAAACCATTATTCCCTTAAATTTTAGAGGATTCTGTTTGACTTTGGCATGAATAAAGTCCATTCTCTTATTTGCAGTGCTATTAGATATGAGGAGTTTTAGCAGAGATCCTGGAACAACTGCTGCCTATCAGGATGTGAAATCAATGACATGGAGTCCTGTAGAAACTATTTACTTTGCTATATCTCCTCAATATATGTATATACAAACAAGATCTTTGGCACTGGCTTGAAATCCACAGCAAGAGGTACACCAGGAAGCATCAAAAACTATTAAGTATATACAAAAATAGTTGACTGAATACCTCAGTTAGCAATGTTAACAGAGTTTGTGTCCCAGAACCATTAGATTTTGCTACCCACAATTATCAGACCAAATTGAAGTAATATGAACACAACATCTCCACTCAAGGACAGTATCTTTGCAAATATCTGCTCATTTCAAAGCAATATAAATATGTTTTATACAAAATGGCAGATAATAAATGTATTTGATAGCTTAAATCTTGATGCCAATTACTTCATAAAGGAGCAAATATTGTCAAATATTTATATAATGATGTATCATCAACATGCAGTTTGTGTTCCTTTAACGTAGTAAATGCTTTCTTCTGAGAGAAAAGGGGCCTTGATTCTTCTATTTATTCATTCTTGCTGGAAAATTTTGCAAATATAGGAAGAAGAATGAACCTCATATATATATATATATATATATATATATATATATATATATATATACATATACACACACACACATACATATACATTTTTTTTTTTACGAAGTTTTTGCTCTTGTTGCCCACCCTGGAGTGCAATGGCACGATCTCGGCTCACTGCAACTTCCGCCTCCTGGGTTCAAGTGATTCTCCTGACCCAGCCTCCCGAGTAGCTGGGGATTATAGGTATGCGCCACCACTCGCGGCTAATTTTGTATCTTTAGTAGAGACCGGGTTTCTCCACGTTGATCAGGTGGTCTCAAGCTCCCAACCTCAGGAGATCCGCCCGCCTTGGCCTGCCAAAGTGCTGGGATTACAGGCGTGAGCCACCGTGCCCGGCCGAACCTAATAATTTTTTAGACCCTCTTTCGTGCAAGCCAGACATTGTCCTAAGCATTTTACAGACACTATCTCACGTATATGTTTGGAAGTTATCCCTATGAAAGCTAATGTTTCTAAACTGTGAAAGATACCTTATTTGCTCCTTTAAATTCATGTGCCACTTTTTTTTCCATTACCTTTTTTAACGTCCATTATGTCTTCTGGGTCCTCTGACTTCTAAATGGCCTCAGCTAATGGTGAGCCTTTAACAGGAGCTGCGAAGGATGAAGTTAGACCAATATACTAATTCATCTTGCTTCTTCCCTGTGAGTAGCTACATCTTTAACCACTGATTCAAACAAAGCACAGACCGTACAGGATGTTTTGCTTCTGATTTTGATCTCCTTCAGATGTGCTTGTGGTAAGGAAATGGCTGCTAGGAAGTGACAGGTTACTTCACTATCCTTTGTGGTATCTCTACCCCAACCCTAAGGCATCCATTTGTAAATTAACCCTTCAAGAATTATGCTAGTCTCAGTGTTCTATGTGTACTGTTTATGAACTGACATCTGTGTAAACTATTGAGAATTCGAGAAGCTTAACTCAGACATTGTTTGGACATCTTGTGGAAATAGAGGGTGTGTCTCCACATTTCTATGAATATTAATAGGGTTGATTTTTACTCTGTTGATTTTTAGCTTCTTTAAAGGTAATTTGTATTTTTTATACTTTTTTATTTATCATATGACTATTAATTGCTCCCAGGTAATGTGGACTAAAAGGGCTTTCTTACTTAGTTTACACACTCATGCACACACATACATAGACAGATATGTATGCACACACGTGAGACATTTGCAATTGTAAAACCTGCTACGGAGTGAAAACTAAAGGGCATAGGCAAAATGCCATGGCTTACCTACAACTACAAGGTGGATATTAGATACTTATCTTTTGTTCTTTCTTCATAGAATTGCTTTGACTGCTCAGGCTTTTAGGGACTCCAAATGAATTTTAGAATTTTTTTTTTTCTAATTCTGTGAAAAATGACATTCATAGTTTCGTAGGGATAGCATTGAATCTGTAGATTGCTTTGGACAGTATGGCCATTTTAACAATATTGATTCTTCCAATTCATGAGCATGGAACAATTTTGCATTTGTATCATCTATGAGTTCTTTTACCAGTGTTTTATAGTTTTCTTCTTAGAGATCTTTTGCCTCCTTGGTTAGATGTATTTCTAGGTATTTTAATTTTTGTAACTACTTTAAATGAGATTGTGTTCTTGTTTTCAATCTTAGCTTGAACGTTATTGGGGTACACAAATGTGACTGATTTTTGTACACTGGTTTTGTATCCTGAAGCCTTCCTGAAATAATTTATCAGTTCCAGGAGCCTTTTGTAGGAGTCTTTAGGTGTAGAATAATATCAGGTGAAGAGAGATATTTTGACTTCTTTTTCTATTTGGATGCCTTTTTATTTTTTTTTCTCTTGCTGATTCCTCTCGCTAGCAGTTTCAGAACTATGTTGAACAGGAGCGGTGAGAGTGGCCATCCATATTTTGTTCCAGCTCTCAAGGGAATGCTTCCAGTTTTTGCCTGTTCAGTATGATGTCAGTCATGGGTTTGTCACAGATGGCTGTTATTAGGGAGCATGTTCCTTTAATATCTAGTGTCTTGAGAATTTTTATCATCAACAAATGTTGGATTTTATTGAAATATTTTTCTGCATCTCTTGAGATGGTCATTTTTTTTTGTTTTAATTCTGTTTATGTGGTAAATCACATTTATTAAATCCCACATGTTGAACCAACCTTGCATCCCAGGAATGAAGCCTACTTGCTCTTGGTGAATTAACTGATGTGCTATTGAATTTGGTTTCCTAGTAATTTGTTGAAGATTTTTACATCTCTATTAATCAGAGATATTGGCCTATAGTTTTCTTTGTTGTTGTTGTGTCTTTGCCAGGCATTGATATTAGGGTGATGCTGGCTTTGTAAAATGACTTGTGTGGGAGTCCTTTCTTCTGAATTTTTTGAAATAGTTTCAGTAGAATTTGTAACAACTCTTCTACATACATCTGATAGAATTTGGCTGTGAATCCACTTGGTCCAGAATTGTTTTGATTAGTAGTTTTTTTTTTTTAAATCACTGATTCAGTGTCAGAACTCAATTTGGTCTGTTGCAGTGTTTCAATATCTTTCCGATTCAATCTTGGAAGATTGCATGGTCCCAGGAATTTATTTCTTCTAGATTTTCTAGTTTGTGTGCATAGAAGTGCTTTTAATAGTCTCTGAGGATCTTTTGTATTTCTGTGTGATTGGTAGTAATGTCACCTCTGTCATTTCTGATTGTGCATAATTAGACCTTCCCTCTGTTCTGTTAACCTAGCTAGTGGTCTAACAATCCTGTTTATATTTTCAAAAAATAAACTTTTGGTTTTGTTAATTCTTTGTATGGGTTTTGGGATCTCAATTTCATTCAGCTCCACAATGATTTTAGTTACTACTTCTCTTCTGCCAGCTTTGGAGTTAGCTTGTTATTCTTTTTCTAGTTCCTCTAGATGTGATGTTAGATCATTAGTTTGTGATCTTCCTAAATTTTTGAGGTAGGTATTTAGCTATAAATTTTCCTCTTAACACTGCTTTCACCATGTCCCAGAAATTTTAATATGCTGTGTCTCTCTTCACTTATTTCAAAGGGTATTTTTCATTTCTGCCGACATTTTGTTGTTTGCCTGAAAGTTATTCAGGAGCAGGTTGTTTAATTTCCTTGCAAATTTGTGATTTGAAGATATCTTCTTGGCATTGATTTATATTTTTTCCTCTGTGTTCCGAGAATGTGGTTGGTATGACTTCTATGTATTTTTTAATTTATTGAGACTTGCTTTATGGCTGAGCATGTGGTCCATCTTGAAATGTGTTCTATATACAGATTCGAAAAATGTGTATTTTGTCATTGATGAATGGAAAATTCTGTAGATGTCTATTAGGTCCAGCTGACCAAATGTCAAGCTTAAGTCCAGAATTTCTTTGTTAGTTTTCTGCCTTGATGATTGGTCTAATACTGTTGGTAAGTTGTTGAAGTTTCCCACAATTATTTTGTGGGCTGTCTAGGGCTCTTTGTAGATCTAGAAGTATGTGTTTTATGAATATGGGTGCTCCAATATTGGGTGCATATATAATTAAGATAGCTTAGTCTTCTTGTTGAATTGAACCCTTTATCATTATGTAATGACTTTCTTTGCTCTTTTTTACTGTTATTGGTTTGAAGTCTGTTTTATCTGATGTAAGAATAGTAACTCCTGCACTTTTGTTTTCCATGTGTGCGGTAGATCTTTCTCCAACCCTTTACTTAGAGCTCATGGATGCCATTACATGTGAGATGGGTCTCTTGAAGACAACAGATAGATGGGTCTTGGTTTTTTTTTTTTAATGTTGATCATATTTTAGAAAGGTATTGAGAAAAGTTTTCTTCCTGATAAATGTCATACTTTAGTAACTAGCAACTTGAGATTCACATCACAGAATTTGCCTTAGAGGTTGAGCAATAATAGCCTTTTTTTGACTAGGCTTGTAGCTTCTCTAAAAATTCAGCATCTGGCCAGGCGCAATGACTCACACCTGTAATCCCAGCATTTTGGGAGGCCAAGGCAGGTGGATCACAAGGTCAGGAGATCAAGACCTTCCTGGCTAACACAGTGAAACCTTGTTTCTCCTCAAAAATGCAAAAAATTAGCCTGGTGTGGTGGCGGGCACCTGTAGTCCCAGCTACTCGGGAGGCTGAGGCAGGAGAATGGTGTGAACCCGGGAGGCAGAGCTTGCAGTGAGCCAAGATTGCGCCTCTGCACTCCAGCTGGGGCAATAGAGTGAGACTCCGTCTCAAAAAAAAAAAAGAAAAGAAAAGAAAAAAAAAATTCAACACCTAAAAATTTACACTTTCTTCTAGTCAATTTCTTTCTATTTGCATCATAAATTAATAACAAAAGGGGTAGATATTTTATTGAGCCATGGTCCCTGAATCAAAACCACAATCTGGAGGTTTCCATCTCGTAATAAAAGAAGTTAAAACCCAGTACATGTTGCTAGATGTCATTTAAATGATCTTCATTCTTCTCTGTCCAAGAGCAATGTGAAGTATTAGGCCAGAGACAGAGATATAAATAATCTTTTCCCAAGCACCCCCATGCTGGTCACAGAAGCTGGCTCTTTAAAGTTTGAGTAACTGTCACTTTGTCAGGCATGGTTATAAAGTTGCTAGAAAGAACTAGTAAGGAGCATTAATATCAGATTTCCCCAGATGCCAATTTTGTTTTCTGCTGTATCTCCCTCCTCTTTGAATTTCCTCATACAATATTTCATCTAAAATGGAGAATTCAGCTTTCTTAGTCTTATAATAAACACATTTATCTGTCTTGATTTGATACAACTTCTCTTGGCAAGCATATTCTTTTTTTTTCTTTTCTTTTACAAATAGTCTGGCATTTTATAACAAGACACATTAAAATATCTTTATAGATAGGTGTTGTGGGAAGTCAGGGACCCCAAACGGAGGGACTGGCTGAAGCATGGCAGAAGGTGGATTGTGAAGATTTCATGGACATTTATTAGTTCCCCAAATTAATACTTTTATGCCTGTCTTTACTGCAATCTCTAAACATAAATTGTAAAGATTTCATGGACACTTATCACTTCCCCAATCAATACCCTTGTGATTTCCTATGCCTGTCTTTAATCTCTTAATCCTGTCAGCTGAGGAGGATGTATGTCACCTCAGGACCCTGTAATAATTTCATTAACTGCACAAATTGTACAGCATGTGTGTTTAAGCAATATGAAATCTGGGCACCTTGAAAAAAGAACAGGATAACAGCAATTGTTCAGGGAATAAGAGAGATAACCTTAAACTCTGACCGCCGGTGAGCCGAGCGGAACAGAGCCATATTTCTCTTCTTTCAAAAGCAAATGGGAGAAATATCACTGAATTCTTTTTCTCAGCAAGGAACATCCCTGAGAAAGAGAATGCGTGCCTGGGGGTAGGCCTATGAATGGCCCCCCTGGGGGTAGCCGTCTCTTATGGTTGAGACTGCAGGGGTGAAATAGACCCCAGTCTCCCATAACACTCCCAGGCTTATTAGGAAGAGGAAATTCCTGCCTAATAAATTTTGGTCAGACCGGTTGATCTCAAAAACCCTGTCTCCTGATAAGATGTTATCAATAACAATGGTGCCTGAAACTTCATTAGCAATTTTAATTTCTCCTCGGTCCGGTGGTCCTGTGATCTCGCCCTGCCTCCACTTGTCTTGTTATATTCTATTACCTTGTAAAGTACTTGATGTCTGTCACCCACACCTATTCGCACACTCCCTCCCCTTTTGAAAATCGCTAATAAAAACTTGCTGGTTTTTGCAGCTTGTGGGGCATCGTGGAACCTAACAACATGTGATGTCTCCCCCAGATGCCCAGCTTTAAAATTTCTATCTTTTGTACTCTCTCCCTTTATTTCTCAAGCTGGCCAATGCTTAAGGAAAATAGAAAAGAACCTATGTGAATATCAGGGCAGGTTCCCCAATAGATAGGCACATGATCTGATATCTGAGCTTTAGCAGTTGACTCTTTAATATTTAATGTATATCATTCAACACATATTATTCACTTCCTACTTGGAAATTAAACACTTTCCTGCTACATTTTTCATCCCAATTAATAAATCTAATTGTACATGCTAAAGTTTATTACTTGCAACACTCCTTTAACAAGTACAACTGACTCAGGAACATATGGTAAAAATACTACTTAACTCTCTTAATAACCAGCTTATAACCAATGTGAGCAAGTAAATATTTAAGAATCATCTCTCCACCAGGCACCATGGCTCACCCCTGTAATCCCAGCACTTTAGGAGGCTGAGGTAGGTGGATCACGAGGTCAGGAGATCAAGACCATCCTGGCTAACACTGTGAAACCCTGTCTCTACTAAAAATACAAAAAAAAAAATTAGCCAGGCATGGTGGCGGGCACCTGCAGTCCCAGCTACTCAGGAGGCTGAGGCAGGAGAATGGCGTGAACCTGGGAGGCGGAGCTTGCAGTGAGCCGAGATCACGCCACTGCACTCCAGCCTGGGCGACAAAAAAAAAAAAAAAAAAGAATTATCTCTCAAAAAAGTTTTATATGCAACTTTTTTTATGTTTTACTAATATAAAGATGCATAGTATATAATGCACAAGTAATAAAATATTAGTTCCCTTTTCATGGGGAGTTTTTGTTAATTTTTGCCAAACTCTTAAATCCATAGATAGCTGACTGCAATTAGCAAATGAATAGAGTTTCAATATGAATATTGTTTACTATTTTTATTTACATTAGTGGTAAGATAAAAGTAAAATTAATTAAAACCTTTACTTGTGGCCGGGCGCGGTGGCTCATGCCTGTAATCCCAGCACTTTGGGAGGCCGAGGCGGGCGGATCACAAGGTCAGGAGATCGAGACCATCCCAGCTAAAACGGTGAAACCCCGTCTCTACTAAAAATACAAAAAATTAGCCGGGCATAGTGGCGGGCGCCTGTAGTCCCAGCTACTTGGGAGGCTGAGGCAGGAGAATGGCGTGAACCCGGGAGGCGGAGCTTGCAGTGAGCCGAGATCCCGCCACTGCACTCCAGCCTGGGCGACAGAGCGAGACTCCGTCTCAAAAAAAAAAAAAAAAAAAACCTTTACTTGTTCACCAATGATACAATCACTTTTCTGAGAATCATAATTTTTTAATACAAGGATAATATGTCCTTGTATGTTGGGGTGGTTCACAATGTAATGGTTACAGACACAATTTAAAAAATAATTTGCATTATTAACATACTTTTATTCATTATTTTTACTTTTATTAATTCTATTAATTCTACACAATCAACAAAATATTAAATCGAACCCTGATATGTGGTATTAATTTTCATGCTGTAAATACTCTCTTCATGACTGAATTACAAGCTACAACCTGAGGCCACTAATAGGAAGTTGGAGACATGCACATTAGCTTGCCATTGTACAGTGTTGCCATGATACAAACTTCATCTATGTAAATATTTTCGGTAGCATAAATCACAGCAAAATATAGCGAAATACTTAGGAAGTGATGAATTTAAATAATTTATTTTCCTTGTTTTACATATAATTTAATTATAAATTAACATGTTTATTTTTAATAATTTCTGTGTCTAAAAATGACCTCAAAAAATTTCTAAAAATTTAATAGATGGATCTCATAAGTTGATATGAGATAGCTCTCAAACACAATTGTGTATAACTAAAAAGTCTAGAATTATAGCTAGTTTTAGAGTCAGGAAATAAAATGATGTGGTCGGAATTTTATTTCTCTCATCTAGGGAATAGCTAAGATTTAATTTTAAGTCTAGATTGGGTCACATGTTCATATCTGGACAAATTAATTACAACCATCCAGTTGGAATACACTAGTCAGAACTGGGTCATGGACAACTTCTAGAATTTGCCGATTTATCAGGTTCACCTAAACCTCATTGATTCAAACTTAAAAACATTATTCCATCAAATAAAATTGGCAAAAAGAACTGCTAAACATTTATTGCATACTCTTTCCAAAAATATACACCTACAGTATAAAATACTAACTAGTAATGAGAATATGTTTATTGAAAATTTACTATATTTCAAACACTGTGCTAAAAACTTTTATACATTATCTCATTAGATAAAATAATACAACTTAATCATTCATATTATTTATTTTCATTTTAAATATGAGTAAGTCTCTAGTTATATTTTTCTATTTAAGATCACTTATGGAAAGTATTAGGATGGTGCAAAAGCAATTGTGGTTTTGCCACTAAAAGCAATGGCAGATTACTTTTACTTTGTAATGGTGGATTGTAATATGTGTTAAAATCTGTATTCCAATCTTGACTCCAAAACTTACATTTTACATATAGAATGCAACACACTTAGTGAACCCCACATTCTCATCATTAAAAGTCCATTCACTTTTGTTAATGGCCCTTTTGATCATAGTGTCATAGAATATTTTAGCTGCAGAACAAAGCTACCCATTGCCTAGAACATGAAAATAAGTGAGAGGTACTGTCAATCTAGGATAAAAAGAGTAAGAACATGGTTCAAATGTATGAAGAATGTCTTCTTTAGGAGATCAATAAATAGTAAGTTGATTGACAAAAACATGTGATTGACTAAGTTTGAATAATGAAAAAAGAGAAGACTAGAGTGGCAAGTAATGGGCTGAAGCTGGGGACACATGAAAAATTAGTAGAAAAAACGTATTGAAAGAAAAAGTTGCAAATGCCATTATTTTTATTTATTTTAGGTCTATAGGCTTGATTAAGCTTTTCTTCCCAAATCCATGTATTCCAGGTAGATACAGTGAACTTCATTAGATTTGCTTCCCATAGTTTGTAATCATTGTTTAATTGGGGATTTTTCTGCTACTGCAAATATCATATGGAATCCCAGTCATCTCTTAGTGTCTTTTTTAAAAATGAATTTGCCAATATTTTATAGGTAATACAAGTCCAGAATGGTAAAATTATCCAATAAAGGCAAGCCAACTAATCAATTAATCTGAAAATAAAATTGTCACCTGAAATTCTACTATGTAGGAGTCACTGCTGTTAAAATTAGGGCCCTCCACTATTGTGGGGCCAATTTAGTTCTATACACTTTCTGATACTCTCAACTGTGTCACTATAACATGTATCCCTTGTCCCGAACACCGAGTCTTTTTCTTATTCTTCTACTCTCTCAAATTCTTAAAATTAGACCCAATATTGTCTGAAGGAAGAACATGGGGCTGGGAATTAGGATGTTATCAATGAAAATGATGTAATCTAAAGGTCACTGGATATATTTAGATATATATTAACATAGATGAAATATGGCTAGCAACATAGTTAGAAGCATAAGATATTGTGAACAGAAAATAAGAAGAAGATGAAGTTATCTAAAATAGGAAGTATAAAAAAAATCAAGGACATCGGAAGTGAGCCTGGGGGAGCAAAGTTTACTCTATTTTTTAAATAATAATTTTCTTTATTTCTTTTAATAATATATTCTTTAGAAATTATAAGGCTAGGTATTAAAACTTGTGATATCAGTGTGCTCAAATTATGTCTACCCATTGGAGAGTCTCACTTTTATCTTTTCAATTTATATTTTAGAAAAATTACTTGTCCCTGTTTAAATGTATATTCATCTCAATATAAAATACATAAATAAAATGATATAGTAGACTCAATACTTTAAAAAAACTTAAATTCTAACATTCTGTAGTTCTTCCACATCTCATTTGCAAAACAAGTAACTGATTTTTAAATTAACCCCCCATAAATAGGTTAAATTTATTTTTAAATTTGCCCTCCACAGAAAAGAGTTGTAGCATTTTATTTTCAAGATGCAATATCAATCTAGATATTGAAATAACCTTGTCATTGGCAGATATTCTAACAGATGAACTAACCACTAATTTTTGCCTATGATTTATAGCAATTTTATTTGAATCTGTAGGATGTAAGACACTTTTTACGCTGAACATGTCACCAAACAGTACAAGACTTTAAGCTAAAAGTAGCTAGGAAATATACAGGGACTCTTAAGGTGTTTGAAACAAAGATTTCACGAGGCTTATCCTCAGGTGAAAGAAAAAATACATCATTTCTTCATTTCCAATAATGTCAGAATAGATAGGCCATTATTGCACACATAACTGAGTCTGTAAGAATGAATTATCCCAAGTGAAATCCTCTAAAAGCTTACTTAACTCTATAGGATGAAAATTTGCAAGTGAGAAAAGTTGCAAAGCAAGTCTTGGGGGAAGGAACAGAGTATCAACATCACAATGAAATCTGCATTTGCCATTTTAAGTCAGATCCTGTAACAGGACTTAGAGAAGCCTGCTGTGTTTAAAAATGATATTTTGCTCTTGTGTGTATATTTTTCAGCATTGAAATAATCAGTCCTCTTTCAAATATAATTTGATAGGATAATTAAAGTACCCCACTAGCACAACTTTTGGAGCTAAGCTTTTCCTTTTTCTAGTGCACTTAGAAATTTTTTCACCTGTATTTGATAGCCCAGACCAATTGACTTAGAATTCCCTGCCTGATATTGTGAAGAATTTACTTCTATTTATGTCTTTTAACACATAAAATGTTCTAAACTGTCACCTCTAATTATGGTAGCATGTAGGCAATGAAGCCTAACAAGACATCTGACTCAACTAGATGTGACACATCAGTATTACAATACATCAAATTTGGTATAATGCCCTTTCTTCACTTTATAAAATATTTCATTTTGCTTTTTCATATTTTTTGCTTTTCTTTTTAGATTCAGTAATATATAAAAACATCATGTTTTAAAATTTAGTAAACCCAAGCCCTAACACCTTGAAGTAATTAACAAATAAGACAACATGTCTGTGCCTGTGCATATGCATTTAAACATATTTATTAATACAATCATGTTGGAGGGCTTGATTTACACAGCATCTTTTTTTTAATTTATCTGTGAATTTTATTGTTTCTAAATATGGATTGCACAAAGCCCTCAAGTCACAGTAACCTTCTCTAATATGAATCAACTTTCTTTTTTTATTTTATTTTATTTTATTATTATTATACTTTAAGTTTTAGGGTACATGTGCACAATGTGCAGGTTAGTTACATATGTATACATGTGCCATGCTGGTGTGCTGCACCCATTAACTCATCATTTAGCATTAGGTATATCTCCTAATGCTATCCCTCCCCCCTCCCCCCACCCCACAACAGTCCCCAGAGTGTGATGTTCCCCTTCCTGTGTCCATGTGTTCTCATTGTTCAATTCCCACCTATGAGTGAGAACATGTGGTGTTTGGTTTTTGTCCTTGCGATAGTTTACTGAGAATGATGATTTCCAATTTCATCCATGTCCCTACAAAGGACATGAGCTCATCATTTTTTATGGCTGCATAGTATTCCATGGTGTATATATGCCACATTTTCTTAATCCAGTCTATCATTGTTGGACATTTGGGTTGGTTCCAAGTCTTTGCTATTATGAATAGTGCTGCAATAAACATACGTGTGCATGTGTCTTTATAGCAGCATGATTTATAGTCCTTTGGGTATATACCCAGTAATGGGACGGCTGGGTCAAATGGTATTTCTAGTTCTAGATCCCTGACGAATTGCCACACTGACTTCCACAATGGTTGAACTAGTTTACAGTCCCACCAACAGTGTAAAAGTGTTCCTATTTCTCCACATCCTCTCCAGCACCTGTTGTTTCCTGACTTTTTAATGATTGCCATTCTAACTGGTGTGAGATGGTATCTCATTGTGGTTTTGATTTGCATTTCTCTGATGGCCAGTGATAGTGGGCATTTTTTCATGTGTTTTTTGGCTGCATGAAATGTCTTCTTTTGAGAAGTGTCTGTTCATGTCCTTCGCCCACTTTTTGATGGGGTTTGTTTTTTTCTTGTAAATTTGTTGGAGTTCATTGTAGATTCTGGATATTAGCCCTTTGTCAGATGAGTAGGTTGTGAAAATTTTCTCCCATTTTGTAGGTTGCCTGTTCACTCTGATGGTAGTTTCTTTTACACAGCATCTTTTAGATATTCAGGTTACTTCGGAGCAGCCTAAACTTTTGACCTTTAACAATGTTCTTGCAAGCCAGTCATTCAATTCTACTGGAATGAGATTAAAACAATCCAAGTATGGCTGTGTATTCATATGCTTCTCCTTGTGTCCCTCTTCCCTTCCACCACCCCAAGGCTCTGGTAAAGAAATTTTTGTTTTTGTTCTCCAGACTCCTTATATAGGTCTAATCTATTACTCTTTATTCACCAATGTCTCTATATTGTAGTGACTAATTTCTTATTATTCCTCTACCGAGACTCTTCTGCAAAATTCTTGAGAAAATGAATTCATTAAGTCTTTTTACATTGTGGTTGCAGTTTATGGTTGGCCCTTAGATTTCAGGATTCAAGTCTACCATTCACAGCCTAGAGAGACAAACATGATAGCAGTTGTTTTCTTTTGGATAAAGGAGTTAAGATTTCTTCCATATAAACAGTTGGGGAAAAAGCAGACATATTTATTAGGCCCTATTTAAGAGTTTATTGACTCTATTTAAAAAAGTCGTTAAAAACTTCAAAAAAAAAAAAAAGCAAAGACAGTGTGGAAGGAGCTTTCAATGGTGAATATTCAACATTGAAACTTGAACATTAAAGCTTGAACATTGGCTTACAAACACACCAACAAAACAGTTATTATATGTATGTAACTTTGACTATATGAATTTACATGCCAACTTGTAGATTTCTCTTTGTAGAAAAGAAAACATGAAAGATAAATATACTGTTTTATAGGCCATTAACAAGTGCTGTATTTTATCTAGCAGTCTTATTTTAACATTTCTCCCCAAATTATCTTTATATGCCAGTTCCACAAAATGTCTTTTAAACCAGTTTTACCTTCTTTTTGGTTCTCTCATTGATGAGTTGTATATAATCTTAAAATATGTTTATCCTATGTTTGTGTGAAAATCATCTTTTTAATATTAAGCTTCTAACTTTTGGTTATGTCCCAGATAACAGATAAAAAGAAGTGATTATACTTGAAGCATTTTTTATTCCAATTAATCTTCATAATAAATCTATTAAATTTAGCTCAAGAAATATTTGTGGAATGACTACTTATACAGGTAATGTGATAGCACCTGAAAGGGGAAAGGTTTCCTTGTCCCCCTTGCAGGGCATGTGACAGGGGAAGTGGCTTGCTTCTTCAGTGCCCTGCTGCTCAAACCTCTCGAGGAGGATACAGATGGGCAGGCTGTGGGGCTCCAACCCCACGGCAGTGTCTAGGGGTGAATGTTTACAGCTCCTGAAGCACCAGTGGGCGAGTGTCATAGTTTTTAGTGTTGATGTCTATAGGCTTGTGTTAACCACCTCAATTACACCCTCTACCTTGTTGCAAGGACAGAGGGCTTTCTGTACCCCAGGTTCTTGCCTTGATGTACTGGAAGAATTGGCTCACACCTGGACTTGGAGAATAGGTGCAAGGATTTATTTAGTGGCAGTGGCTCTCAGCAGATGGGGGAGCCAGAAGGGAGATGGTTTTTCCCTGGTGTGGGGCCGTGGAGCTTCTCCAACTGTTCTGGCCAAATTCTGCATCATTCTGCTGGTCAATGCCCTGCTGGCCTGCCGGTGTGTTCCACCTGGGTGCTCCTCTTGACATCCTCTTGACGTCTAGTCACTTGTGTGTCTGCCTGCTAGAGTTTCGGGGATTTTTATAGGCACAGGATGGGGGCATAGCGGCCCAGGGTGGTCTTAGGGAATGCAACATTTGGGCAGAAGGCAGGGGAAGCCTTACCCAGGGACCATGCCCTCCTTTACCCAGCACTTCCCTTCCCCACTTCCGTATCATTTAAAGGGACCATTCCCTTCCCTTCCCAGCATGCGCATATCACAGTTACTCACAAAAAGTGTCTGCCATCTGGTCACCACTCTAAGAGATCCATATAAGAAAATTTAAAAGAAGATATACAAGATAATAAATGATAAACATTTATAGTTATAATAAAGTGGATCATAAGAAAGGTGAAAGGCTGTAGAAACTGATGAAATAAAAATAGCTTTATCTACAAATCCAGACAATATACCATTCCTACTAAAAATTAAGTACATATTCAACTTATGTTAAAAATAACTTTGCAACCACTCTTCTACTCTCGATGAAATCAACTTTTCTGTCAAATTTAAAGAATGATACTGTATAACATTTCTCACTAACCACATTTTTTCAACTTTTTTCTTTCTATTCTAACAACCCTTTAATTTTCTGAACATTCTTGGCCAGTGCCTCTTACTTAATGCACCAAGCATTCAACAGTCAGCTACTTGGAATGTGACTGATATGGTGGATATGGATGTTTCCACTGCCATTAAGGACATTAGTTGTAACTGAACAGTAACCACAGACAAAAAGCCTTATGAGAAAATAACTAGTTCTCCCCAATTTAACACTCTCAGTAAAAACCAGCCATGATTTCATAATGTAATATTCTTTATTTTGTTATAAATATGAAAAAAAATCAGATTCATAATACATTTGTCTTGAATTGTTTTTACTCATAAAGAAGAATTTTATCAAGAATGCTCATCACTTTTACTGCCTCAGCTTTCTATTAGGCATGATTTTAGATGCAAAAATGTTTCTTAAACTAGGTTTTATATTGATCTCTCATTATACTCAAGCACTCCCTAACATAAAAACCTCACAAGTACATAGTAAGTTTGAAGATAACAGATTTATAATTTTGATTTTCAACAGAAAGTACTTTATCCTAATTTTCTTAGAAGAGAATAGCATATTCAGAAATGAAAAATAGTTTTCACTTTTTAATGAAACTAGTTAAAAATATTTAACTGACTCTCATAAGGGAAAGGTATTTTGTAGTACTTAAGACAAAAATGATATACTTGTAAATATTACAGATATATTTTAAAGTTGACAAAGTAATCTCAGCATTTTAAGTTATAATCTGTCAAAGACAAAATTATGACACAACAGAGGATCCAAGATGATAGGTCTGATCTGTCAGTCATCAAGGTTTATAACAAAGAGTATAGATTGAAGCAGATCAAGCATGAAGTCCAAGAAAATCGTCTAATGCTCTCTTGTGTTGGCAAATTCCAAAGGTGTGGAGATTATAAAATTAGAAAGTGGCTAGTGAATAGTTTGAGAGGCAGTGGGCTCATCAACGGAGACATGACATAAATGACAGAATTACTTTACAAAAGGAAAATGGACATTTTTCGGAGACTACCATCCCACCTATAATTGCTTTAACCAGTGCACAAATGACTTCCTAAGATGACAGGTATCAATCTTTCATCAACCTTTCTCTGCAGTGATGCATAAAACAGATAGTGTTAAGGTATCCAATGGAAGTGGCAGGGTAAATAACATAGGACATAATAATATAAAATCACTGCAATACTTATTCCACTGTTAGGAAAAAAAGATAACAAAAAATAACATACCAGATTACTGGCGTTGAGGTTGAGCATGACTTTGCGGGAATGACCGGGGCCTAAAATATGCCTCTTATTTATTTTAATGGGTATTTATGAAGCCACAACTCTGTTCATATATTAGACAAGCTGTTGGAGAAAAAAGAATGAGAAAAGAGAGGTGTGGTCCCTCCCTGCTGTCACAAAGTTTACTCAAGTAACATGTACTCAAGCAAGCAAGCAACATAGCATATTGCAATAGTGTTTCAATAGGAAAATACAAGTTAACTGCAGCAGCACATTTAGGAGAAAACAATTTTCCAGGAAGGATTTTCAGAGACATAGTTATTACAGGAGTAATTACTCATCATACTTAATACATGTATACATTTATAATAGGTTCTACTTTTGTGTACTACAATTCAAATATGCCAACTTATTTTCTTTAGTCTATATGAGTCTATCTTGCCCCATTACTCCTACTATATAAAAAAAGAGAAGAAAAATACATACATACATATGCATGTACACACCTATGTGTATATGATAACTCAGTCTCTACTGATTTAAAAATAGTTTATGCTAATCAATTCAAATGTTCTTTCAAAGTCGACCAAAATTAATAGCCGCTGCTCAGAAATCATACATAAATCTAAAGTCTTCATGCTTATGCTGTACCATCATGAATTTTTGTTTAAGGAAATCAATATTTTATGCCAAAAATAGTATGCTTCTTAGAAAATAATTGAAAGAAGGAAATTCATTATATAACAGAAGAGTAGCAGTTGATTGAGACAAGGAAATTGTTATATGCATGAGTTAAAATGCTTAATTGTGTTGGATCCTATATCAGAACTAATTTCCTCTCTTTTTAGGTTAGCATTGAGGTGAGTCTCTTGATGATAAAGCCATATCATCACCTGTTTTACTCTAAACAAAGACATTTATAAAAATGGAAAACCTGATTATATTTCATAGTATTAAGACAGATTCTTGTGTAAGAGTGTTATTAATTTTTACAATGCTCCTAATGTCAGCTTAGGTAAAATTAATTAGAACAACCATATCTTAGGAAAATAGAGTCAATGAACAAAGATTATCACATATTTAAAGGAAATAAGAGCAGATGAAAGCTGTTCCTGAGGAATGAAGTAAAGAGAGTTTGAGACAGTGGCAGATGGAACAGGAAGAAAAAAATAAGATAAAATGGTGACATCTGTTAAAATCGTTTTGGAAGAGTCATTTACACACTATGGATGAAGAGCAATTTATTCCTGGAAAATGCTTGTTGCCCAGGTTGTGCAAATTCACAGTTATGGATAGATTTAGTTATTGATCAATCATACTGCTTTCGAGAATTTTAATGTTTTGATTTCTTAAAAAATTCCTACGTATATAAACAAAGTCCATTTACTTGATGGCATTATATTAGCCTTAGGATATTTGGAGGACTTGCATCCTTGCAGACAAGGGCATTCCAGATGTCAGATGTTTTCAGGACAACCCTCTCACCCAGTGAGACAGATTGTATGTTTTTTCCACTGTGGCTTGCTCCTACTATTTATTTCTATTTCCTTCAGCCCAGAAAGGATTATTGTAATATATCAAGTTCAGCAGCATTTTTTAAATTCTTACATTAATCTATTTAAATTGAGGTTCTATTTTACCTCAAACATATCTATTACCTGTATTTATCTATCCAATCGAGAGTTCTTGCCACGTAATTGTTTTTAAAAAACATTCTTCAATTCCCCTGAAGTTTTTAAGAGATCTTTGCTTGCTGGTTAGAATAATCCTCAAGTTTTTCTAATCATAGCACTTTTATTTTCTCATTCTTCTGATTAAAATTCTGTCCTCTTCATTTACAAAGGTGCATATATTTGGAACTGTCATATCCAATGAATGAAATGTAATTAGAAAACCTAGAAATAATATTTGAAATAATTATTACAAAGCATTTTTTAATTTGTTAATTTTTCCAGATTTCTCTAAAAAGCAAATGCAAATAGGAAAGAAACAAGAACTGGGCTTTCATATATTTTCCAATCTGAGCTGATTTCAAGACTTGAAGATTAAGTAGTGGTAAACAAGAGAAAATAAAGTTAAAATAAGGAGGATGATAAATGTAGAAGTTATCAAAGATTACAATTTTTTAAAATCTCAAAGCTTTTGTTTAAAGAGATGCCCATCAAAGGCATTTGTGTCAAAAAGAAAATGAATAAAGCTGAAATGAAATTAGAATCAACAAGAAAATATCAGAGCTGGAAGGACATTAATAAATCCATAGTAAAAACAGCATTATACAGATGAAAAAAAAAAAGTCAGGGGTCAAGAAACTTAATTGATTTGTCTAAGGTCACGTTACTATGTCAATTCATTTCCAAGACCAGTGTTTCTCCAAATAGAGATTAATGAAAAGAAGAAAGAAAAAGAAGAAAGAAGAAAAAGCAGATCTCCACTTTTTTTTTTTTTCCCACCTGGAGGTCCTGATTCATTTGGTGTGGAACGGAGCATCCAAATTTCCTGTTTTCTTGGCTAACAGCAGAAAACTATTAAATAGAAAAAAATATGATGTGAACTAAGTGGTAGAAAAAAATAAAGGAAAAAAAAAACCAAGAGACTTTGTTTTTGGCAGTTTTTTTATTATACATATATCTCCCTCAGCAGCCACATAAGGAGGGATGGCTGGGTCTTTCTCCATTCTTTGGGCAAGTATATTTCAAAATATGTTTGAGACTATCACATCCAAATCACCAGACAGGAGATCATAGCTATTCCCAGGCTTTTTTCAATGTAACTTAATAAAAATCTCTGTGAATAGTTCCCCAAATTCTTCATTTTTAACAAGCTCCCCACTTATGGAGCTGTCTCCTTGAGTGCAGGAAGGATGGGCTGTTTTACTTTATAACTGGGACACCGAGTACAGATCCTGGTTCATAAGAGGTGCCTAGAAAATATGTGATTGGTAAATAGTTAAACTGAATTAATAACTATAGTAAGTAGTAAAGCTTAATAAATGCTAATTTTTTAAAACAAAATTGTACATATCTACTACTAGATATAGATTCCGGTTGGTGTTCATTTACCAAAGTGTTGGTTTTTACACTTTTCCAAAAAATGTCAGTTGCTATTCTGTACTCTATACAATCAGAAGGGAGTCAGTTTGAGCACATAAAAATGACATAATATTCTGCAGTATCAAGAATACACGGCTTGATACTTCAGATTTATTTTTATCTTTGAACTATATTAATCTAACAAGTAATTATAAAAAAAGAGATTTTAATAATTGAAACAAACATACTAATTATGATAAAAGTAAACATGTAATGTAGCTGTAGGTTGAAATAAACTTGAAACAGTCTAGTTTCTGTATACCTTTTGCTTTCCCCAGGAACTATTTCTGCAAAATATTCACTAGGCTGCAGAGATAACCCACATAGACTATGTTATTAATATGCAATCTTCCTTCCTGAAACAGTTTACATATGCAGTATACAGCATCTGGACCTTGTAATTGAATTTTCGAAGTTTGCTGTGGTTTGGGAACTGCATATGGGTCAGTAATCATTATCCAGACACCATCATTTATAGTACACATATAATTAATCAACTCATTAATTATGGAAAAAGAGTCTCAGGGAAGGCTAGTACACCTATTTCTTAAACAAATATGTTACCCTTGAGCTGTAAAGGTGGCATTTCCATTAGCCATTGCCTTAGATTATTGTTAGATATTTGTTCTGGGATCTTTTAAAACAAGGCCCATAAGAAGAGTCAATATAAAAATCTTTCGGACATAAGGCCCATCATATATATTCACAGAATTTAATCACTTTCTGGTTAACTCACTGCTCAAGTCAGCTTTGGATCTTTATCTTCTGAAGCTAATGTCAATAACACTTTATTTTTAATTTAACTAAATTCAGCCAACTGTAGGAGAAACAAGTCATGCTTCTTCTTTTTATTATTAGTTTTAGTAGATGGTTGCCAGGGCAAAATTGGTAATTAGGGACAGAAAAGTATTCTTCAAATTTTTTTTTCTTGTTACACATTTGTAAACCCAGGAGGTTGTTAAATGGAGATACTTTATAGATGCAGAAAGGAAGAAAAAAAAAGTCAGTAAATATATCTTCTCACATTCTTGGCTCATTAGCTAACCTGACCAATTTCCTTTCCTCTTCGTCAATCCCATCTTTTTTGCTATTTTTTTCCCTACTGTGAGCAATTTATCTTCATGTTGCACTGACTCACATGACCTACAAAAATCCTTGTAAAAAAACACACAACATTAATAAGAAAAAGAGGCTAATTGTGTAAGATAAATGCCAAGCTAAAATAATGATAAAATATAATTTGATTTCAGCTTAAGGAAGAGAGAGGAAGGGCTGTTTAATAGAGTTTTTGCTAAATATACGGTGAGCTTAAGGAAGAGGAACAGCTGTTTGCCATCTTCGCTGAAGTCAGATGTAGCTTAGACTTAATATGAGAGACATGAAGAAGAGATTTTTGTCTGTAGATTTCTAATGGAATTTTAGTCAGAGGACCATGTAACCATAGAATTTTATTTCTTGTAAGATGTAGAGACATATGAGATAATTTATGAGCCATTCAACTTAAAGGTAGGAGGAAAGATCAATTGGTATTTTAAGGGTTCTTCTTTTCCAATACCACATTGTCCTGACTTCTTTGAGCCTCAGTTTTCCATCTCTGAGCTCCTTTGCTTTGAAGTTGTAAAATACCACAGAGATCAAGGCTTACACTTTTAGCTGTTTGGGGCAATGTCTGGTAGAGCATGAGCAATGACCAAGAGTAAGCTGAGATCCTGAAGTTTTAGAGTTGTCTCTTTTGTCTCAAAATTTAACCCTTTCAAGTGCTTTTAGTGGAAGATTGTGCATGCAAGAGACATCTCCTTCTTACTTATTATCTAGACCTTGTCTATATCAATTAGATATATTTCTATCTCACTGAGGTACACTCCCAAATACTAAATTTGCCCCAGTTCTCCATGTGCCCTTGTTTCATGGCCAGTTGTGAAATTTTGTTCTCCATACTGCTAAGAAAATAAATGTACAATGTGATAAGTGGTGTTATGTAAAATGTGGGAGTTGTAGACTGAATAAAGCATCTGGGCAAAGAAAACATAATAAAGTTAACAAAATGCTTCAAGATTGTTTTAAATGGTTATAAAGAGGAAACAGAACATAAAAATATGGTATGTGAAGGTAAAGAATTTCATGGAGGTTTTCAACTACACTTTAGCTATGGATATCTTTTTTTTTTTTTTACAAGAAAGCTTTTGAGCTACTTTAACATGGACCTTAGATAAGCACTGAAGTTCAATTGGAAAAACAGTAGGAAATTTGAAGCTTCTACTAAACCTCAGGGCATGTGGAAATAGTTTCAGGAACCATGCATTTCTGCTCACATAACCAGTTTTAAAACCATAGCCCTCAATGTTACAGTCAAATTTTGAAGTAGCAAAAGGGCATAATTATATTTACATTGATACCTTTAATATATAGCAATATATGATTTCTTCAAACCACATAAATGTAGACCATTAGTATTCCCTTTATGTCTTTTGCCTTAAACCAGCTACCATCAAAACACAATGTAATTCCAGTAAGACCATGAGAAAAGAAGGGAAGTGGTATTCTGGCCCCCTAATTCGGAACAGTAGGGAGGGAATTATCACCTGTCACTCCATGTATATGCAGGGCCGATTAAACCATGCAAGAATTTCTAAGATGAATAAGTAGCTAACAACATCCTGTTTCTTCTATTTAAATTAATGAAAAAAAGTTTTGAGATTTATTTTAGGGCTTATTACCCTTTTCTTCTTAAAATATCCATTTCTACCATCTCTGGAGATCTACTACCTTACTTATCCCTTAAGTCTCTGCTTTTATTAGTCAATGTTCATAATTGGAAGTATCTTTCCACCTCCGTCTTTCCTTAAAGATTAAACATTTTGTGAAGAACAGGGCTCATGATTGGTGAATACTCATATATCTATGTTAACTTATATGGGACAACATATTAATTGTTAAAATATAAATGTATCGTACAAGACTTTTTGATATTGGAGGCTTCACCCACGAGTCCAAAGACACACCTATTATACAACTTACATTTTCACAGCTAATGGCCCATATCTAAAAATGTAAAATTGAAGTATATCTTTAATAATTTTGCTTTTGAATAATTATAATTATATTTTCAGTGCTTCTGGAATCTGTTTTGTTTTCATCTTTTTTATTCCATTAAAAAGCTCACAGATTTTAGGAATTTGGATGTGTGTTATACCAGTCTAGATAATAAATGCTGATTACAATTAAAATACTAGGTCAAGTGAAAATTGGAACCAAGTTTAAAATTATTTTTATATCTCTTCACACTTAGCCAGCAAAATACCCATGCTAGATAAGATTATTGTTCAAAATTATTGCTGTCTTCATCAAAGCAGCTCATATATTCCTTGCTAATACCATATAACACCCACTGCTTCTCTGTGGGAGGAATATACTTCACACCGCTACTGTCAGGGTTGAGGATGTGACTTAGCTGGTGCATTTGTCAGCTTGTGCTGTAATAAGAAACTACTGTAGACTAGGAGGCTAAAACAACATTGATTTCTCACAGTTCTGGAGGTTGGAAGCCTGGGATCAAAGTGCCTGTAGGCTTGTTTTCTCCCCAAGCCTATCTCCTTGGCTTGCAGATGGTTACCTTCTTTTTGTGTCCTTGCATGGCCTTTTTTCTGGGTCCACACATCCCTGGTGTCTCTTGCTTTCTTCTTAAAAGGGCACTAGTCCTGGCTGGCCACGGTGGCTCATGCCTGTAATCCCAGCTCTTTGGGAGGCCGAGGCAGGCAGATCATGAGGTCAGGAGATCGAGACCACGGTGAAACCCCGCCTCTACTAAAAATACAAAAAATTAGCCGGGCGTGGTGGCGGGTGCCTGTAGTCCCAGCTACTCGGGAGGGTGAGGCAGGAGAATGGCGTGAACCCAGGAGGCGGAGCTTGCAGTGAGCCGAGATCTCACCACTGCACTCCAGCCTGGGGCGACAGAGCGAGATTCCATCTCGAAAAAAAAAGGACACTAGTCCTATTGGATTAGGGCCCCACCTTTATGACCACATTTAACCTTAATTGCCTCCTTAAAGGCCTATCCTTGAATACACTCACATGGGCTGTTATATGCTTCAGCATGTGAATTTTGGGGGGACAAAATTTAGTCCATAATACCTGGGCTAATGGAACATGATTTAAAGTTTTTGCAAATTCTGAGTAAAAGATGAAAGATCCATTTAATGGTTGCTACAGCTCTCTTCCCTCTGCCATGAGGCCACCATGTACTCAAACAAGGCTGCCTCTTTACCCTGGGCTCTGGATTAAACAGGACATTGAACAGAGCGGTAGTCTACTTGTTACCACCACGTAAGGAGAAAATCAAGTAAATCTTTTTGTTTTCACCATTATGATTTCGAGACTTTCATGTCTCTTGATATCACAACTTAGCCCAGCAAGAGCTAAGTAATAAAGTAATCATTACTTATAAATAGAAAGCTTTTATTAAATTATGTGGCTTTGGTTTTGGAGTCGGGCTCAAGGCAGCAAGGGATTTATTATTAAAGGTTGAATAAAATGCAGTAACAAACCATTTGGTAAAACTATTAGCTGCAAGTACCTAAAAGGCGATTGATTAAGCAAACAGGCTCCTGGTGATGTTACTAGCATATCACTCTCTCCCCCAACCACTAATTAGCTACATTTACTAGAGCTACAAAAAGTGCTACAAGAAAAAGATGAGCTCAGAAAAGCATTGGCCAGCTTAGAAGAATTAAAAGAGAAAAAATCCAGAAATTATCGGACTTGCAGGATTAAGATGTAAGTATTTTTCATATCCAACTTATAAAAGATAAATTAAGAAATGCTTTGAGTGACAAGTCCAATTAGGAGTCAGTCTTTGATTTAGACAAAATCCAGAGAATAGCTTTCATATCCTCATTGAAACCAACTAATTAAGCAACATGCCATAATTCCTTTCAGTTGGACAAAAGAGCTCCATGGAAAGAGACCAAGGATGGACTTTTACATGAATGTCTGGTAGTTTAATAAAACTATTTTAATTTAGAGATAGGCTTGCATATGCAAAATATCATGGATGTAACTACAGGTATGTTAAGATGACTATAAATAAGAAAATCAATTTTAAAAATTCCATTGCAGTTTTAGAGAATGGTTCTGCCAACAGGGACACAGTACTGGATTCAAATGGACTATGGCAATTTAGGACTTAAAATGACTTTGGAACATCTAATATTCTGCAGACAGAATAAAGGTTGGAAAATGTATTCTAATCTCCCTTGCTCCCTCAGAAGGAGGACATATTTTCTAGAGTCCTCTTCAGATTTTTTAATGGAAGATAAAGGAAAAGGAATAACCGCTCAAATGTTGTAGTCAAGCATTTTGGAGAATAAGAGATAGGGGAGCTACTGATGGGGAGCATAGTTAGGGACTTTGATGAAACATTAAGACTTCAGGTAAGATTTCAGAATGACCTGGTCTTCTCTGAGCATTCTAGTCTACTATTTGAGAATGAAAGCTTGTGAGTATGTGTGTATAATCGTATGTGTGTATGTGTGTATGTATATGTGAATGCATGAGAGAAAGAGAGAGAGAGACTCAGAGAGAATAGTTATTTTAAAACAGACTCATATTTTTTTCACGATTTCATAATATGGTATATACTATTATAGTTTTTGCATTATTTGAAATTTACCTGTGTCAGTGTAGATTTTGTTAAAATTATTCTTTTTTTCTCTTATCTCACTCTCTTTCAATTCATCTCTCTCTCTTTCTCTCTGTCACATAACACACACACATGCACACACACACACACACAGAGAGATGGATTTTTGTAACAAAGAAGGAAACACAACTTTGGGCTAAGCAGCTAAATTAATAGGTTGGCTGAGTTGACAATGACCTTCATAGAGAAATCTAAAGGAGAGGGAAGGTAGCATTCTCTGTCCAAAGAGTGAAACCTTTGTCAATTATTTTATGGTATGTTATTTTTTTCTTTCTTTGTTTTTTTGAATGTTTGATATCTATTTGACTTTCAGTTGTACCAACTAATATTCACACGGCCTTGTAAAAAATAAGATCTTTATTATAACTTTAAATCTGTTAGGTCCTGAGTTCAAGACTCTTCAGGAACAGAATGGAGGATAGTATGTGGGTGTAGAGTCTAAGATTCTCAAAGAAAAAAGGAAGACAAGAGACAGAATGGGGAAGTTGGTAGACATCTTCAAGCTCATATTTTTGTCTGTGTTTGGAGGTATTTATAAATGGAAGTTTCTAAATCCTCTTGTTCTTGAAATTGTGTATATTTGGAACTACTTTTCAGTTTCTCATCCTCAAAAAATACTTTAAGAGGACACATTTATAAATACCTTATATAAATCAAAATCTAAAATTTTATTTTTATGTGTTAAATATTTATTTGTTGTTTACTCATTTATGTTGACACCATAGTGGTGTTTAGTTTATTATGCTGCTGAAGTAGCTTCTTAGTACATGATGGGATATATTTAATACTGCAGAACATTTCTGTACTAGACATCACACTGCCTAAGTTCTGCTTATGGGCAAAATCAAAGTCTACTCCTCTACAATGAGGAGATTAATGGGAATTCAAAGAGTAAAAAACATATTACATCCAAGTTCCTTGTTACACTAAGCTCATCTGAGAATCATTTTTCAGCTACCTGTTGAGTAAGTTGTTTATTGTTAGGGGCCTCTGTTGAAGAGGAAAGGAGTGATTGTAACTGAAGGTGTTTATCTGGGAAGGTTCTGGGAATTTGAGAAAGATGAGATCCCAGCACTGAGCCAGTGGGAATGGAATTCAGTGATTGGAAGGCAGCATAATGGGAAATAAGATATAATGAAGGAGAGAAAGCCAACAGAAGTAGGAACATGGAACAAGCTTTAAACAATTGCTAGGAGAAAGCAAACTAGGCCATTGTATCAATGTGCCTATGCAATGTTATTGTAGCTTGCAAAATTACAAAAAGTAAGAACCTCCTTTAGAGAGATTGCACAGGGACATTAAGTTTTAAGTAGCATAATCAAATTCAATAAGGCAAAAATAGAAACTGCATTTCATCTTACAATTAGTTTCAAAATTAAATCAGACATCTATGCTATCAGACTGACTATATATCACATACTTAAACTCAAATTAATGAGTATTTATTGATGGCTTGCTATATACATGTAATAAATTATAGTAAATAAAGAAATGAGAGTAAGACAGACTCAGATTTTCAGAAAATTACCTTTTAACTTGTGGGGACATAAATCAATGTTTGGATAACTGAAAAAACAAGGTATGCCAAGTTCCACATTAGGTATACAAAGAGATAATTAAAGAGATCCAGTGGAGGAAAACAGCTTATCTAGTAGGAACACAAAAATTTTTTTAAAAGATGATATTTGCTTGGAAATAAAAAAAGAAAAACCTATATACTAAAAAGAAAAATGGTGGATATACATTGTATGCAGGAAAAAATATGTAAACAAGTTCAAGAATTAGAAGAGTGAATATATTTGTTCTAATTTGTCAAAATAATTACACATATATGCATATATAATTATATATTTTCCATATATATACATATACACACACACGCTACATATATATATATATATGCTCATGTAGTTGGGACTCCTGCAACTCATGTAGTTGGGACTATATACATATATAAATATAGTGTGAGTGTGTGTATGTGTGTGTGTGTGTGTGTGTGTCTGTGTGTGTGTGTATCAATGGCAAAGGACTGATTAAAATGATTGAGATTTATAGTATTTATTCCCCTCATTACCCATTTCCAAACTAATAATAAAGTCTACTCTCATAAACACATAAAACAAGTTGGGAAAATAAAAAATCACTCTTCTCATTGCAGTGATAACATATTTATTCTTTTATTTCTTTAACCATGAAAAAAACATTTTGTACTTTTCACATAACAGAAAATGTATATAAACTACTGGCATAAACAAAGTAAAGTTCCTGTTTTTACAAAGTTCATATTCTATTGAGAAAATAGAGTAACTGATGAAGAGAATAGAGCTATTTGACAAATGATAAAGTCTTTCTAAGGAAATAACACTTAAATGGAAAACTTAATGTAATGAATCCAGTATAGGAAGAGCCAACAAAAGAATATTTCAGAATTCGGGAAGAAATACAGAGTTGTTAGTGTGAGGAAATATGCTATGGCAATTCACAGGAAACAATAACTATGATATTCCAACTCTTCACATCAAGTGGTGGAGTCAATTTCCCCTCTACTTGAACGTGGGCTGACTTTGTGACTTTCTTTAGCAAAAAGAATATGGTGGAAGTGACTATGTGCCAGTTATAAGATGAGGCCTTGACACTGCAACTCTTGTAGTTGGGACTCCTGCTATTTCCATGACAACAAGCCCAAACTAGCCTGTTGGAAGATAAAACATTATGCAGAACTTAGTTTATTTATCTCATTTGTGCAAGCCATGGACCCAAAACTTATATGAGAAAGCTCAGCCAAGAAGAGCCAAAGTGAAATGCAGCTGATTTGTTAGATGATCATGGTTGCATGATCAAGTCCAGCCAAGATCAATCTAGCTTGACCAAGATCAAAAGAACTGCAGACCCAATATATAGAATTTTGGAGCAACAAGGAATTGTTATTTTAAGTGACTAAATTTTAAGGCAAGTTGTTAATCAGCAATAGATAATTGATACAATATCTTAATAGATTTTTAATTTCACATTATAAGAAATTTCAAATTGGTTCACTCTGTATACCAGTATCACCAAAGACCCAGATGTCCTGCCAGCTTCAGCATATTTCTGCTTGTTTTTTCATTTATTTTTTGTCTTTACACTGACAGTCTTTCTTACAAGATGACTGATACATTTCAAAGCACCATTTCTTGTTATAATGGCACTCCAGGTAGGAAGAAAAGATACTTCTTTTCCTCATTTCTCTTTTTTTTAATTTCAGGAAAATAAACTCTTACCCAGAAGTCACTCAGCACACTTCTGGCCAAAATTGAATCATTTACCTACTGAAATCCATCATATATAAAATAAATTGATAGGAAATTGACCAAGTTTTAATGTTATGATTTACTCCATAGGCATGCTGTCACTTAAAAAAATTAATCACCTAACATTAAAGAAGATGATAAAGAAAACTGATAGAAAAACAAAACACTAACACATTAAAATTTTTAAAATGCTAATTACTCTGAAGTCTGCATGCAAGTTAAGATGCACGTTGGAGAAGAGGGCAGGATCCATTCATACAAAGAACCATAATAAAGATTTTGGATTTTTAAATAAGTGAGAGAAAATTATAGCAGCAATTAAGGAGAGTGGTGAATGGATTATAGGTGAGAAAAAGAAGAGGACAATCAGAGAAAAAAAGGAAACTAATTAGGATACTATGTTCCTAAGTCCGAGTGAGAGAATATGACTAGTGTGACATAGACTAGACTAGGAAAGCTATAAGTAGCCAAAAGTGTCTGGATTTGTTATGAGTTTTAGGGGCTGACTTGCTCCTGAAGCACTTTCTGTCAGGGAAACATACCACTCAGGATTTATTCCACTGTTTGTGTCACTGGAGTTCATGGTTTGGCCATTTCCTAAAACTGACTGCTACTGGGGCAAGGTTTGGGAGAGGGAGGAGTGTACTGAGAACGTTAAATGTAAAACACCCATTAGACATTTAAGTGGAGCTGTTCAGAAAGCAATTTGATACATGAACCTGTATCAACTGAGGATTTAGTACTGGAAATACTGATTGAAGGTTCAGTATATTGACAGTATTTCAAGTACTGGGCGAGAATCAAGTTACACAGGAGAAAGTAGATAAAGACTGCATCTACTAGCATTACTTCTCCAAACTCATCTCTCATTACCTAAAGTTGTACAGTTGTACAATATACAGCCTCAAACTTTATTTGTTAAATAGAATCCTAAAGTAAAACATGGGTTCAAAGGTTAACATGCTGCCCACTTTCAAATTTTATTGATTTACTGCTATTTTATAAAATGCCTTAGAGGATGTAAAAGAGTTACTAAAGCTTAAAGCTTTTTTTTTTTTTTTTTTTTTTTTTGAGGCGGAGTCTTGTTCTGTTGCCCAGGCTGGAGTGCAGTGGCGCGATCTCACCTCACTGCAACCTCCACCTCCCGGATTCAAGCAATTCTCTTGCCTCAGCCTCCTGAGTAGCTTGGACTACAGGAGCCTGCAACCATGCCAGGATAATTTTTGTATTTTTAGTAGAGACGGAGTTTCACCATATTGGCCAGGCTCGTCTCAAACTTCTGACCTTGTAATCCACCCTCCTCTGCCTCCCAAAGTGCTGAGATTACAAATGTGAGCCACTGCGCCTGGCCCCTAAAACTTTTAAATATTGCTGTGATTTGCTTCTTGGGAGCATTTAGCTCAGTAAGTACCAGATCAACCCACCAATTTGTGATATTGTTTAATACATGTGAATATCACCATTCCAGGGAAATTTACAGTATCAAGCTTTGCAAGGGAATAATTAGACATATCTTAGGAGCTTTTATTTTACTTTATTTCTTATATATGGTGACTTAAAGCAGTGTAACAATATGCTGTGATAGTACACTGTTATCGAAATTTTAAAAAATAGTCTATGTTTGCATAATTAAGACCAGTTCAATTTTGCAAGCATGTGGGGCAAGTCTTCTCTATTTCTATGGAACCCAAATTTAAACTTTGTTCACTTACAACTATATGAATATATAATTCCTCCCATCTTCATTGCTCTCACAGATTTATAACTGCTTCATGTAATTTTCCTTAGATTAATTTATGCAGAATTATTTAAAAACTAAAAACAATTTGTTATAAGTGTTTATTAATTGAATTTATATTCATAATTTTTGATACAAAATCACTTAAAAATTAATAGCACACATATGATCCCGCAATTCCACTTCCAAATATATGTTTAAAAGTATTAAAAGCATGGACTCAAATGGAAATTTTTACACCAATGTTCACAGCAGCATTATTCAAAACAGCCAAAAGGTGGAAGCTATCCAAATGTCCATCAACAGATAAACAAAATGTCCATCAGTGGATAAACAAAATGTGGTATATACATGCAAGAGATTACTACTGAGCCTTAAAGAGAAATGAAATTCTGATAAAGACTACAACATGAATGAATCTTGAATACATTATGCTAAGTGAAATAAACCAGAACCAGAGGCAAAAGGCAACTATTGTTTCACTTATCTGAAGTGCATAAAATAGTCAAATACATAGATACAGGAAGTAGAATAGAGGTTACAAGGGGCTGGAAGCAGATGGGAATGGGAAGTTGTCTAATGGGTACAGAGCTTCAGTTTGGGAATATGAAAAAGACGTGGAGATGCATAGTAGTAGTGATGGTTGCACAATGTAGTGAATGCACTTAATGACACTAAAGTGTACATTAAAAAGTGGATAAATAGTTAATTTTATGTTATGTATATTTTATCACACAAAAAATGTAACAGCACAAAATGACCTAGATCAGTTCGTATGTGGTACAGTATTATTTTTCTCCTTTCTCTTTTCTAGTTTGAAGTGGGCTTTACTATCAATAAATCAGCTTTTACAAAATAGATTTGGCTTATTTTCTTTGTAAAATACCCCTACATCCCATTGATAACTGTTACTGATTTTATTTTCACATAGTCTAAATGTATTGTATACATAATAATAAAATATTAGATTATCCAATATCCCTTTACTAATAGCATATCTGTTCCAGTATTTCATGAAACCATTGCTACTGTCTCATGGAACCACTCACTGGTCATAATCACTTGGTTATAAGCCCTAAAATGGCTGGCACCACAACAGTGTAGTGCATTATTGTACCTGCAGTGCTTAACACAGCTCCATTCACATAATAGTTGCTTAAGGAGTACCTGCTTACAAAAATGAACACACTAATGATGAGTTTATTTCTTGTCCTTATTTTCTTTTTCTCTCACCATAAAATATCTTGCTTCACCTTTTCAAATGGAGTGTTATATGTGGTAGAAAAGAAAAACAGGAGAAGAGGATGAAAAACATATTATAGAGAAGCAATGAGAACCCAGCTGAGGGGTGGTAATAAACAGGGTCTTGCTGAAAACTGCATGGAACATTTCAAGGTAATCATATATTATAAAAAGAGAAAAAAATCTAAGACTAAGTTAAAAGCAGCAGATTTTCCTAAATATGAAAAGTAATAGTTGTATTCTACTCTACCCTCTCTTAGTAATATTATCCAAAATCTTTTTCCAATTATGGGCACCAGATATAAAGAGAGGCATTGACCAGCTTCCTGAATTGAATGAAGTTGGATGTGTTTTCACAGTGCCAATTCAGTTTGACAAGTGGGAAAGAGATGTTTGCTGAGCAGGGAAAGAATATTTGAAGTCCAGAGGAATTGATTACACAGATGACCCCAAGAACCAAGGTGAATGAGGCTGTACATATGGGATGCACCTTTCCTTTGCACTTTGAAAACTGGAATATTGCTTTGATTGTTCTGACGAAGTACAATCATTCTCAATGTTCTTTAAAACTTCTATTAGGATTCATAAGGTCCAGGAGGCTGGTAAGCAATTATTGGCATCTTGTGTTCATTTCCCTGACAATTTCATAACCCTTATTTACCTGCCCAGCCATGTGATCCCATTCAAAAGTCCATGCTTCTCTCCTGCATAATAACTTAATAACTCGATTTCCTGGATCCAACCATTTGTAAACTTCCTCACATAATATTGTTTATAAATCAGTGAAACAGAAATAGTAAATATTTGAACATTTTATAAAGTTAAATTAAGATAATTTAGTTATCAAGGGAAGCAACAGTCTTATTAAACTTTCTGATCAGACAGTATCTGTTACGTTTTACTCTTGGGATACAAATTTTAAGAGACACTTTGGTAAATTAGACAGTGTCTAGAAAAACAAAGTATCTGAAAGAGAAGACAGAAGAAATGACTGACTAGATTAGGAATATTAACCTTGAAAAGGCAATACTTAAATGACATGGTAGCAGCATTCAAATATTTGAATTGCTTTTGAATAGCAGGAACAATGAATCCATTCTGTCACCTCGAAGTAACATACTAAGAAGGATGGTTGAAAATTATAAAAGAAGATTAATTTGACTTATAATAAGAATGATGTTTTTAAATATTTTGATCTTCCAGAAGTAAAACATTTAGCTTTATGAGGTGAATTCACCAAAAGTTCAAAGTTTTAGCCATGATCAGGTTACTATAGATGCAAGATTATGAGAAATAGATTTTAATAGATTATAAGTGGGATATTGGAGCATATTTTATAATGTATTTTATTTTTACTATAACTTAATAATATTGATATCATTATTTATGCTGTATATATAGAAAATGAGACCAAAACTCTAAGTAGCTAGACAAGTCTATAGCAGTAATGAGTGGTAGAATCTGAATTTCAGTTGAGTTCTCTAGACCACAAAAATTTTCCTTTGAACTGCATGCTATACAGCACTGGAAAACATTAGAAAGAAGAGAAACAAAATGGCAATAGCAATGTTCTCTGGGTGGCAGAATTAAATTTTTACACTTTTACTTACATGTATTAAAAAAATTTTCCCAAGTAAATATTTATTATATTAAATAAAAGTATGGCTATATTGTGTGTTAAGGCAGAAATAAGAAGAATGCCTTATTTCAACTAATCTCTTCTAATTGCAAGTATTTTATTTTATTTAGGAATTTGTCTTCCAAATACATTATTTCAGCTTTTTATTTTGAAATAATATAAATCAAGAGAAAAATAGCAAGATTCAAAGAACTTATGCATAGTAGGAGTTTCCCTGTTATAATTTAATTACATTTATTTTTACTTCTGTCTCTTCTCTCTGTATGTGTGTGTATATATTTTATGTACATGCATATCTATCTATCTATTTATCTATCTATCTATCTATCTATCAGTCATGTACCTATATGCCTTCCTGTCACTACCTCTAAAGTTCTACTTCAACACCACGGGATTCATTCAAATCTTCTTTCTATTTTTATAAATTTCTTCATTGCTAAAAAATATGGCTCCCATTTTCATCAGACCATTATTTATTTATCTGATCAATCATTGTATATGTGACCAACATCCCAAACACAACTACCATTTCCTTAGTCGGAGCCCAACTGGCCCCTACCATGCCACTTTTCACCTCAGTCAGGGCCTACTCCATCTACCTCATCAAACAAAAGTAGTGCTTAATTTTGCCAAATTTGCAGCCTGGTTAGGGGCTAGCAAGATACAAAGAAGAAAGGGAGGCTACCTCTCAGTATACATTTGATTTTTAAAATATTTTATATATTCTCTTCTTTAAACATTTTCTTCCAGGAACGTGTATTATCCAGATGTTGGATCTTTGCTATCCAGGGTTTAAAACTTCACACCTTTTATAATTTTCATCTCTACTTTTCTTTTCCATTGTCATAGGACTTATTTATTTATTTATTTATTTTTGAGACAGTGTCTGGCTTTGTTGCCCAGCCTGGAGTGCAGTGGTGCAATCTCGGCTCACTGCAACCTCCGCCTCCCGGGTTCAAGCAATTTTCCCACCCCAGTCACCTGAGTAGCCAGGATTTCAGGCACCCACGACCAGGCCCGGCTAATTTTTGTATTTTTAGTAGAGACAGGGTTTCACCATGTTGCTCAGGCTGGTGTCAAACTCCTGACCTCAGGTGATCCACTTGCTTCGGCCTCCCAAAGTGCTGGGATTACAGGTGTGAGCCACTGTGCCCAGCCTCCTCATAGGACTTTTAAAATGAGTATTTTAAAAGTGGGAGTATTCCACACCAATAATTTGATTACCTGAAGTTTCCATTGTGTTTATGATTGACTTCAATAATTTAATTTTAATTTTGCTATTACATTGTGGTTAACTTGCAGAACTTCCTTACATCAACACTTGTTTCAATAGAAATGAAACTTTTCTCATTGAGTCTTATTTTGTTCTTTTCCAGTGGTCTCTTGATTTTGTCTTAAAGTGATTGAGTAGATATATTATTTTTTTCTTTTTTTACTGGCAATCATATTCAGAGTTATACTGTTTTTGCCATATTCTTATGTTTAGTATATTTTATGTATCTGTGTTTGGTAAATATAATATGTATATACATATTTACAGTAAATATAATATGTACATACATATTTACAGTAAATATAAAAAAGTACATATTTGTTTATACTTTTCTAAAGAGTTTTGTATAAATGTAATGTCTTTTAAGAATCAAGATGAAAATTACTTATCTTTTTTTTATGATGCACCTGAGAATTCTAAAATTTTCTGCTACAGAGCAGAACAATTTGTAGAACTTCACTCCCAATTGCTGCTGTTTGGCAAGTATTCTATTAATGAAGCCTTTCAATTTTGATAGAAAAAATCAGAACTTTCTTCTTCTGTTGCCTGGAAATGATATTTATCTCAGATGTCATACGTGAAAAGTCACATTTTCTTCCACGTACTGCACTTCCCTTGCTCCTTGCCTATATTCCTGTCTACTTGTCTAGAGGCACAGTTGGTGTAATGGTGACTGCTCACACAGGCTTTCAAGGAGCCTGTTAAGCACACTTCTTTCCAACTCCCTGTTCATGAATGATACACTGGTGGCTTAAACAGGAACATTGTGGAAATATTTACAGTATGAGAGAGGCAAATACTACAAATGAGAGCTTGCATTTCTGCAAAGCCTATTGTTAAACAGTCACAAGAACACCACCAGATCAACACCTTTCCCTACCTCCTATTAAAACAAAGGGATTTCTGTGTTTAAGAGGGGTTTCTGCTCTGAAATATGCAAGGTGTAGTTCTCATTCAATGTCCATACAAATAGTAGAACAAAAAATCCTTCACCAATTCAATAATTTGACTATGTGTCTTAATTTGTATGCTATTATAATCACAAAGATTTTCTTTTCATAAAAAAGCTGAGAGGCTAAAAAATGGGAGAAGATTTAAAATAATTTTTTTCTGGGATTTCTAATCTAGCAACATTTTAACTTAAAAGCTTTAATTAAAATTATTTTATGACTTTTTCTATAATTTATCAATAGAAGTGATTTGTTACAGTTATCCTTCAAAATGCAAATGCAAAAGCGTTATTATGTAAATCAAACACCTACCTGTTAGGTACAAAGGAGCTGGAAGTTGCAACATTCTACTAGGTATTTCTTTTCTGCCTTTTACTTTTTCATGGTTATAAATTTCTGGATATTGAAGACAACAAAATTTATTTAGTTTTTAACTTTCCAGACATGATTAATCCACATTCTGTTCCTTTTAAATAATACAATAATTCATTTATTATCAAATATTTGTTTACTGTCTAATCTAACAAAGATATTCTTCTTATTGAAAAGGTGCGGATGCAACAAGTATTCAGGGCTTCGTGGTGTTATCATTCTCTTTGGGAATTTTCAGTTTAGATTATTATTTACTTGTTTATTTTGAGAAAATGGCTTTACTTCACTTTTTTTTAATCCACCCATCTCTAAAATCTGATTCTGCTGTGGCATTTTGTCATTGACAATACATTCAGCTTTTACATTGTAACTTGCTTTAGGCAAAGGCAATAAAGACAACATCAGCTGAATCATCTTAAAAATATGAAAGAATATCTCTCTCCAAACCTCTGTGGCATACAATTTGCTTCCACATAAACAGTCCTCTTTTAAAATAAATGTACCAGGTAACATGACTATATATACAGATACTTGTTTATTCATTTTGCTTACATCAAAATGTGTGTAAAATATCTATAAGGAATATATTTAAGGTATATGTATTTAGCAGTTTTTCTTCTTACAATGAACTTTGTTTTACAAGGACCTTTGGTTGGTCTCACTGGGTACTTTTTAAGGTCAGTAATGTTAATGAATACCATGCAGAAATCTTGTTGCAGGTATTCTGTATTTCTGAATTCATTTTTTTGTGTAAGTAAGAGAGAGTGCTTGTGTGTGTATTTGTGTGTATTTGTGTTTAATAACAGAGGCATAAGAACAGGAACAATAGTGTTTACTTATCTATGGTTATACTGCAATCAAAAGATACATGTATGCAAAATAAAACTACTCTCTGATCTGAGTGCTCTTTATAACCTTTCCCTGTAAACATTAGAAAATCTAGAAAGAAAATATAACATTTCAAAAATGTATAAGTGATCCTACCAAAATAAAAGAAGAAAGAAAGAAAAAAAATCTTCAGATATTATAAATAGAGACAAACCAACAACAGATTTGTGGGCTTATGAGTTGAGAAGACGAGGCCACTGGTCAGTGTGGGAAGGGGCAGAAGAGAGTGTGACCTAAACTAAATCTAAGCTCTAAAAAACAAACTATGATTTGTAACTGTAATGTGTAGAGTGGGAGTAAAACCTTTTCATAGTGGTGGGGCTTTCAAAAAATTCTACATTCAAGAAAAGGAGAATAAACCATTACTGTTTGTTCAGGGAGGTGGCACAAGGTTTATCTCTACCCAAATTCTGGATAGACAAATAAAAGTCTACTGTGAAAAACAAAGAAATCATTAAAAACCAAGTGTACATCAACTATAGAGCTTAAATCTAAATTATAAGCCTTCTTCATGGAGGAGAACACGAGGACAAAATTTAACATAAAATTCATAAGGCACTTTGCTAAAAACAAAACAAAACCACAACAATAACTACTGTGAAAGGACGTAGCCATAACCTGAAAAACATTTTGTCTCATCATACAAAACAAACATCTGCCAAAAATGAGTTTACATTAAAAACTTACGGCTGTGCGCGGTGGCTCATGCCTATAATCCCAGCATTTTGGGAGGCCGAGGCAGGCAGATCACCTGAGGTCAGGAGTTCGAGACCAGCCTGACCAACATGGAGAAACCCCATCTCTACTAAAAATACAACATTAGCTGGGCATGGTGGCACATGCCTGTAACCTCAGCTACTCAGGAGGCTGAGGCAGGAGAATCACTTGAACTCGGGAGATGGAGGTTGAGGTGAGCTGAGATCGCGCCATTGCACTCTAGCCTGGGCAACAAGAATGAACAACTCCTTCTCGAAAAAAAAAAAAAAGAAGAAAAGAAAAAGAAAAAGAAAAACTTACAAGCCATTGTGATCAGAATCAGTAAGAGAAACAAGTAGGAAAATTAGTCCTTCAATTCTCAAATGTATAAGGTAATGGGACAATCTGAAAATGATTACCAAGTGTATCTTGTACCTGGCCACTTCTTATAGTCATCACTACTACAGTCCATTCTAAGCAACTATCATCTCTCACCCAAATTATTGAGAGGTCCTAAGTCATTGTTACTGCTTCCACAGTGCCAACTATGAAGTGTTCTCATCTTAACAGGCAAAGAAAACATGCTAAAACTTTAGTCACATAAACCCTTTTCTCAGAACCTTCTGGTAGTTTTCTTGCTCACAAATAGCAAGAACTGAGATTTTAGCAATGGCTTAAAATGTCTGACATGCTATGCCCCCTACCTCTTGCCTCCCTCATTTCATTTTCTGTTTCTCTTCCCTTCGTTTGCATCCCACAAGCCACACTGAACTCCTTGCTATTCCGTGAGTATGTGAGGCATCCTACCAGGTCAGGACCTTTGCATTTGCTGTCCTTTCTGCTTGATACACTTTCCCATTGGATTTCTCTCAATTCCTTCAAATATTTACTCAACTGTCTCCTTCTCAGTGAGGTCTTGTTCCTACCCAATCCATAATCCGAAACTCTAACCCAATGCCCAACTCCGTCTTTACTCTTTGAGCTTTCTTTTTTCCTATTTTACATACTATTTAATAAATCATATATTATACGTACATATTTCCTTATTGTCTTTCTGCTAGAAGCTAAATTTAATGAAGTTCAATTTTTCTATTTTATTCTTTGTGTTTGGGAGCACCAAGAACAAATCCTAAAATATTTGCATCCAATATACTCAATAAATATACATTGTAACAATAATTATGCAAGAGTTTATAAACATATAAAGTAAATTTGTATACTAACTCCAAACAATTAAAAACCATCATAAAACCATTAGAATAGCAAAAAAACATAGAAAACTTAAAGGTAATCTACTAGGTGATGGAAAAGCTCACTACGAAAAATTATACAATTTTATTAAAAGAGATAAAAGATGAAAATAAATAGAAATACGAATAATTTCCATGAGTTGGAAGAGTTTACACAATAAAGATGAAAATTTTTCCCAATTAATCTCTGAACTCAATGTAATTTCAATCAATATACAAACATGATTTTTCCAGGGTTACGATATATAAATTCAATCTAAATTCTATACAGATGATAAATGTAGCAAGATGGCCAAGATTTGTTTCAATTAGATAAAAACAGTAGTGAGAAGGCAGGATGTGTGGACCTGCTCTAACAAACATATCTTTCAAATAAAGAATATTTAATATAGGTACTAGTTTGGCGGAGATAGAAAAATAATGCCTTAGAAGAAAAAGTGAAGCTAGAAACATGTTCAGATATTTTTTAGAAACTGATGCGTGTGGTAGGCAGAAAACTAGTCCCCCAAATATGCCCATGTCCTTATCCCTGCAATATGTGCATATGTTACCATACATGGCAAAAGGGACTTTGCAGATGTGATTAAGGTTAAGATTTTGAGATAAGAAAATTATCCTAGATTATCTGGATGAGTTCAATGTAATAAATAATAAAGATCCTTCTAAGTGAAAGAAGGAGGCAGAAGTGTCAAAGAAGGAGATGTCATGATGGAAGCAGAAACCAGAATGATACCACTGCTAACTGGAAGGCAGCCACAAAGCAAAGAACAAAGGAGACCTCCAGAACGTGGAAGAGTCAGGGAAACACCTTCTCCTCTAGGTCCTCCCGAAGGACTACAGCTCTGCATACTCATTGATCTTAGCCCACTGAAACCCATTTTGGACTCCTGAATTTCATACCTGTAAGATTATAATCGGTATTGTTTTAAACCAAACAGTGTATGCTAATTTGTTAAAGCAGCAATAGGAAACTAATACAGTTTAGGATAAAAAGATATTACAGTTTGTTAGAAATGGGATGAATGATTTGATCATAAATACTTCCTTGTGAAAAGCAAAACTTTAAAATTTAGGTATTAGAAAATATCTTTATGGCATTCAGGCAGAGGAGAATTTACTAAATAAGATACAGAAAGTACAAATCAAGACAGTAGATCTTGATAATCACAAATGAATGATAAAAAGATGGCATCTGTTTGTCAAAAGCCACCATATCAAAACAAAAATAAAAGCTATAAATGGACTGTATTAGTCTGTTTTTATACTGCTATAAAGAACTGCCCAAGACTGGGTAATTTATAAAGGAAAGAGGTCTAATTGACTCACAGTTTAGCATGGCTGGGAAGTCCTCAGGAAACTTACAATCATGGCAGAAGGTGAAGGAGAAGCAAAATACCTTCTTCACAAGGCAGCAGGAAGGAGAAGTGCTGACCAAAGTGGGAAGAGCCCCTTATAAAACCATCAGATCTTGTGAGAACTCACTATCACAAGAACAGTATGGGGGAAACCACCCCCATGATTCAATTAAGTCCACCTGGTCTCTCTTGACACGTGGGGAGTATGGGGATTACAATTCAAGATGAAGTTTGGGTGGAGACACACTGCTTAACCATATCATGAACTGAAGTGAAATGCATAATAAAATGGAAAAATAATGATTTTTCAGACTATAGTAATGCCTACAATATTGAGCCAAAAATATAAAAAAGATTTTCATCAGAAATAAAACACATGGCTAATGAATATATAAAAAATTGCTCAAATTCAAAGTAGTCATGAAAATCAATTTGAAAGTTATAACAAAATAACATTCCCTCATCTTAAATTTATAAATATTTACAATGTATTGAAATTAACTTTTTTTTCATAGCATAAACCCAACTGGTCATGATGTATTTTTTTAAATATTTTTTCAGATGCCTATTTGATATTTATTTCTATTTTATACTGTGGTCAGAGAATATACTAGAGTAATTTTTGTTTGTTTATTTTGATATTTTGTCCTTATAATTGAACATTTTACTTATTTTATGCCTGTGTAGTGTTTTAAATTGTGTACTAGAAATTTGTAGTGTGGATAATCAAAATATGCTACCCCATAAACCAATTTGGTGTAATGATTATTTTGAGCTGAAGGCATTTAAGGTCCAACAGATACAGAAAGAAGTCTTGGCGTTTCCATTATCTAATTAAGAGCAGAATCTTCTGAGAAGTTATAACCCACTATTAATTCCTTTTCCCCAGGGAAGTTTTGTGGCCTTGAGGAAGATGAAGTCAGCAATGAGATGAACCTACAGAAACCTTTCTCCTCAGTGAGTCCATCATATTTGTACTCTCCCACTGTTTGCTGCCCCTGAAAGCCTAAAACCCTTTTTCTTTCCTTTGTTATTTCTCTATACATTCATCATTCTTTGTTGGGATGCTGTGTCAATCCCAAGTTCTAACCACCTTTTCGAATGACTAATCATTGAGTGCAGGTGTGAATACACTCTGTTTACTTTGTCCTTGTTAATCTGTCCTTTGTCAATATAATTTGCAGAGCCATATCTGGAAAACCTAGAAGGATAGAGGAAGAGGTTTTCTTTTTTCCCTCCACTGCAATAGACTCTGTATGTTCAAATCATGACAAAGACTCCAGACTGGGTCACCCATGCAGATCTTGTAATGGATTGATTTTAGACTTCATTAGGACAGGCCTAGAGGAGTCTTTCACAGTGTGGTCCTTATTCTTGAAGGCACAAAGTTTTAGTGTCCAAGGTGGATACCACAGTATTAACAGTCTCTACACCGTGGCTATGCTGGAATTTTAATGTATTCCAGCAAAGTTCAACATCTAGGAATTTTTTCATCATTCTTAGTCTTATAGCAGTCACTGTCTGCTAAGACCTTCAAATACTTAGCTCAGCCCTTAGCCAAAGAATAGCAGAAAACAATCTCCCACTGTCTACTCTTTGTATTACCATCCTTCTCTCTGGTGCCACACCTCCCAGTTTCTAAGCACCTCAGCAGCAGTGAATGCTGATCTCTGCCTGTTTTGCCCAGTGCCCCCACTCTGCTCTGATTTGCACCAGCTCCTTGCAGCAAAGTTGGGAAAATATTCCCAGGTAGAGAGGCAGGCAAATGTAGCGTTTGTTTCATGAGAATCCTCTCCTCAGGAGGATCATAGTCCTACACTGCTTTTGTTCAATGACTGAAGTTACTTTATACAGTTATTCAAGGGCTATAGTTGTTTATGTCAGGAGGTGTAACTCTGTGCCAGAATTTACAGAAGCCAATTTATTTGCTTCTGAACATATTTTATAAAATTTTTAAATGAATACTTACGTATATCTAATTTACATGAAGTTCAGTGTTAAGTATGTGAAGATATTATGGTTAACAATATGGGCATGGTTCCTGACCTAATGGGATTTGCCAATTAGTAAATTTAATGCAATTATATGAATATATTCATATGTTTAGTCTCAATAAATTATGTTGCTTTTATTGAGGATCATGTCAGTAACTAATATGATTATCTTCCTAAGTTTGAAGGGAATAACTGATGTCAAATAGTTACCTGTAAGGATTCCCACTTAATCAAAGAACTTAAAAGAAAAGGGACTAGAAGAAGTGTGTGTGTGTGTTTTAATCAATGTGTGTGTTATTTTTCTAAATATCTGTTAGTACTATATCATCATGTGGAGAATACAGCACATTTTAATAAGACTATTTCAGTTTTTCAAGTATCATCTATTTCACTGTAAATAATAACCTACAACATCATTTCACCAATACTGATAATCACATACACAACTTTTTAAAATGTTGAATTTATTTAATTAAATCTGTAGCCTTTGTTTGGAACAAGAGTTTAATTTCTTAAGCTGGGCATGCTGTTTATTTATTTCACTGAATGGAAGTATATTACGGGCATTTCAAGAGAAATAAATGCAATGTATTGCACAAGAAATTAATCATAAACATGATTTCTATATAAAGAATTCCCACAGAAAATCCTGTTAGACTTGCAACTTTTTTGTTAATAATACACATGTTTCATCCAGGGAACAAAATCAAGATTAATTGAATGGGAATATCCAAGTTTAAGACTGCAATAGAATCATGACTTAATTAACATCAAAATCTCATGGTGTCCTTCAAGTGACACCATAAAGAAATATCAGTAGAAAGGAGATTGAAATTAATTAAACATCACAGTGAATAATAACCCACATATGCTTTTAGTAAAATAAGCTGCAGGTTAAGTTAAACAAGAAGAAATTAGGAATTTCACTTACTTGTGGATAAAGTAGACATTTGTTGTTTGATAATATTGTGGGAATATTTGTATTGAAACATACATAATTGTTTCTTTTTAACTTATGCCTAATTATTTTACTAATTTATCAAGAAGTCTTGTATTACAGTATTATCCTTTATTTTCCCCGTATTTTACACCAAGGAATACTTGAGGCAAAAAGGATTAGAAAACACACAATGTAATATTACAATCATATTTCTGAGTCTTTGGTCCAGCACAAAGTTATGTGACTGAATGTGCATGGTCTTCAAAATTTCCAACAATAGAATCTAATTAATTGTCTTAATCAAAGTTTGACCTTGGAAAAATTGGCTATTCCACTTACCAGCTTCATTGACTTCAGCAAGCTGGTTAACATTTCTGCTTCATTTTCTTCATCAATGCAAAATGAATACTGTTATTTATATTTAGCATTAACAAAACAGAAAATAAGAGAAATAATGAAAATATGTATTGTTTTTCTCTTTTTGATAAGTGTCCTCTCCACTACTCTTCCTTCTCTTTGTGAAAAGAAGAGATTTGAATTACAATTGCTCACTTTTTTCTTTCTCTTTTATTCTCTCTCACTCTCTTTGATGTACATATTTAGATATATTTTATATCTAATTTCAATATTTTATTGCAAGCCTAAAAATCTGCATTGTTGCCTGTTTCTATATTGAGCCAATGATTTAAATGTAGACTTATTGTTGGCCACATTCTTTATTGATATTCAAACGTCATCTTTCAAACTCAAACAAAAATTATCCTATTTGCTTGGCAACTTCTCAAAGGGAATGCTCTGCTTTATTCGGTCTTTTGGCTTTGGTCCTCAAATTGGTCTCCCTCAAGCCCCACTGTATCCCTTGTGTCTCTTTCTATACATGTAGTGCTCACCCATCTCCTCTCAAAGGAATCCAATTCTACCTTGTCTCAGAGTCCAGCTCAAATTCCTTTCTGACTGACTGCTAGTACTTACTGACAGATGCTCATATAGACATTTTCCAATTATATGTCCTATTTCTCTAGGACTGAAATATAAGTCACTTGAAATTAGTCTATGAGTTAGGGTCTTTTGGTTTTAAGTAACAAGGAATTAACTTTGCCCAACTTTAGCAAAAAAAAGAAAAAAAAGAGAGAGAGATAATTTATTGGCAATATATTGGGAAGCATATTGTATTTATTGGATAGATTACCCACTTGTAAACAGGTTAGAAAACAGAACAGATGGCCAGGTGCTATGGCTCACACCTGTAATCCTAGAACTTTGGGAGGCCGAGGCAGGCGGATAACCTGAGGTCACGAGTTTGAGGCCAGCTGGACCAACATAGAGAAACCCTGTCTCTACTAAAAATACAAAATTAACTGGTCATGGTGGCTCATGCCTGTAATCCCAGCTACTCAGGAGGATAAGGCGGGAGAATTGCTTGAACCCGGGAGGCAGAGGTTGCGGTGAGCCAAGATCACATCGTTGCACTCCAGCCTGGGCAACAAGAGTGAAACTCCATCTCAAAAGCAAAAAACAAAAATAAACAAACAAACAAAAGCAGAACAGACACTGCCTGGCTGGCTGCCTTCCGGGTATAAGTTCAGCACTACTGCTGAACTTACCCTTGCCCTTCAATTTCTCAGGAGTGGGTTAGTTATCTTGGGAGTGGATCCCTGATAAAAGGGTGAGTTTGGCCTTCGCTTGTCAAACTTCCAATCATTTTTACCAATGTATTTGGTAAAAATGATTCTATAGGAAGGAACATTGTTGGTAAAGGCAGAAGAGGAAAAAGTTACTGGGGCAATGTCTAGAGTTGGCTAGAGGTTGTGGCATGTATTACCCAAGTAAAATGTATGGCAATTTCCCTTTAATCTCTCCATTAAAAATTCAGTCCCGGGGGAAAAATTAGTTAAGTTAGCTGAGTTTATATTGCATTATTTTCCCCCTATTTCTGTACCAGGAAAACCAGAAGACATTTTTTGACCAAGATAGCTTCCAGATCCTTTTAAACTTCTGAAATGATAGGATAGAGCTATTTGTTTACTAAACCACCAAGACTGCACACAATGTTAGGAAGGAAATTCCCATAAAGGAAATTAATATGCTCTTAATAAAAAAAATGCTAAAAAAGAAGAAAAAGAATAAACACTAATAAATGTATGAGACAAATTTTTTGTTCATATTTTAAATACGAGCTTTTCATTGGGGCTATAACTCAATGAGATACTATGAGTTCATATTGTGTTGCTGTAACAGACTATAACAGACTGAGTAACTTAAAAGCAGGGTCGGGGGTCGGGGGGGTGGGCTCACATCTGTAATCCCAGCACTTTGGGAGGCCAAGACAGGCAGATCACCTGAAGGCAGGAGTTCCAGACCAGCCTGGACAACATGGTGATGTCTCTACTAAAAATACCAAAATTAGCTGGGTGTTGTGACAAGTGCCTGTAATCCCAGCTAATGCGGAGGCTGAGGCAGAATTGCTTGAACCGGGAAGACTGAGACTGTGCCACTGCACTCCAGCCTGGGTGAGAGAGTGTGACTCCATCTCAAAAAAAAAAAAAAAAAAATCATAATTCTGGAAGCTGGAAAGCCCAATATCAAGGTGTCAGCATTTGAGTACCTGGTGTAGACCTTCTTGCTGCATCATCCCATGGCAGAAGGTGAAAGGGCAAGAGAAAGAGAAAGGAGGTCAAACTCACCCTTTTATCAGGGATCCACTCCCAGGATAACTAACCCACTCCTGAGAGAATCGTGTTAATTTATTCATGAAGGTGGAGCCTTTATGACCTAATCACCACTTGAAGGAGCTACTTCTCAATACTGTTTAATTAAGGATTAAGTTCCCAATGCGTGAATTTTGGGAAACAAATTTGAACCATATCAGATGCCACTTCTGCACTGTTATTAGTAAATACACTACTTAATGTGTTTAGAGAGTGGTTGTTGAGGGAACCCAGAAGAGAGTTACTAAAAACAGGCAAGGGTAGCAAGGAACACTTTTAGATGTTGTAACACATTACCTAAAGGAAGTAATACCTGGTATTTATTATCTAATACTCAATAAGTTTATTCTTGATAAGTCAATGAATGTGTCTATTTGGAAGTGTTGACTAGAAAGCTTATAACTAGTTCAGTTTATAATCCATAGTCATATCAGCCATTGTTAGAGGCAGACTAGTAATCAATAAAATCTGACTAATCTAAGAAGATATGCTCACTTCTCCCACCACATCATTTTTTTCTACCACTACCACCACTTATATAATCCGCCTTCTCACCTGTTATTATAGATGAACTATTTCCACTCCTATTTAATGCCATACATTTTACTTGGGTACTACGTGCCACAACCTCTAGCCAACTCTAGACATTGCCCCAGCAACTCTTTCCTCTTCTGCCTTTACCAACAATGTTCCTTCCTATAGAATCATTTTTACCAATGTATATTTTAGACTGAATAATTCTCCCTAACATATCCACATCTTAATCCCTAGAAACTGTAAATATATTACCTTATATGGAAAAATAGACTTGGCGGATGTGGTTAAAGGTTTTAAAATGAGGGATTATCCAGGTGGATGCGATGTAATCACAGGACTCCCTATAAGAGGAAGATAAGAGATCAGAGGGAGAGAAAGCCATGTGATGTTAAACACAGAGAGACATTGAAGATACAATGCTACTGGCTTTGAAGACAGAGGAAGGGGCCGTGAGCCAGAGAATGCAAAGGATAGAGCCCTAAAACCTGGAAAAGGCAAGCAAATTTATTCTTCCTCAGAGATTTCAAAAAGAATCATCCCTGTCAGCACCTTGCTTTTAGCCCTGTATGACTTATGTCATATTTCTGACATCCAGAACTGTAAGAGAATAAATTTCTGTTGCTTTAGGCCACTACATTTGTAGTAATTTGTTACAGAGCAACAGAAAAATATTATACTGCACAAGCATGCTTTTATCACTGTGTATTTTGAAAAAAAAATGCAAAAAAACTTTATGTAAACTAAAGTTTCTCCATTTGCTACCACCCAATTTCTATAACCCCTCTTAGTGGCAACAACAACAAAGTCTCTTCAAAAGACTTGTTTGTTCCTTCTGTCTTCAACTTATCTCCTCCCATTCACTCCTTAACTCACACCAATCAGGTTTTCATGCTCATTTCTCATGTTAAGGTTGGTGTTGGCTTACACATTGCTAAATCCAATGGTCTGCAATTCAGTCCTCATTTACTATAATCTCTTGGCAGAATTTGATAATCAGTTTTGGTATATTTTCTTTAATTGGGTTGAGAGAGAAAATAATCTTCTTGTTTTCATTACTAAGTCATTCATAAATTATTCTTGATACCATTTTTTCTATTCTTCTTAAATCTTAATATTAAAGTATTCCCGGACTCCATCCTTAATACCATTTTTTATATAGTCTCCCTCATTTGGTGATTATATGGAGTGCACTGGCTTCAAATGCCATCTCTGTGCCTGAAACTCACTATTTATGTCTGTACCTCAGATCCCTCCTCTAAATTTCAGCTTCATATATACAAATTTCTACTTAAACATTAAGCAGTTATCTCAAACTCAATAAGTACAAATCTGAACTCCTGAACTTCCTTTCCCACATACCCCAAATTGATTTTCTAGTAGCCTTTCTGGTCTCAGTTGATAACAAATGCACCCAATCCCTTGCTCAGGCCAAAAACTTTAAATTATCTTTATTTATTTTTCTCATAGCGTATCCAATTTGCTAGACTGTCCCTTCTCAATCCTTTATCATCTTTGTTCAATTCATCATTATTGCTCCTATATTGTTTGAATAACTGACTGTTCTACTTCAATTCTTTTATCCCTGCAAGTTGATTCTTGGAAGCCAGAGCAACCCTCTGTCCTAAATTTTGTGGTCTTTCCCCTTCCCTCAGAGCATAAGTCAGAATATTCAACAAGGAACCAAATAATGTACACTTTCTTCTCCATACCCTTAATTCTCTGAGCTTATCTCCTACTACAGTTTCACTTGCTTATTCTAGTTCATTCCCACTGCTGCCTTGACCTTTGTCCAATATACTGCACACTTCTGCCTTGGTGACTTTGTACTGACTGCGAGTTTTTCCATCTGGAATAATGGTTATTTATTAATAATAAATAATATTTATTAACTCCACTCATAATTATTTATGATGCTAACCTATTTGGAGCCTTTTCTCAAATTTTATCTTGTCAATAAGTTTTAATCTGACCATTTTATTTTACATTGCTATCTCAATTTCTACCCTATATTCATCCAAATACTTATTGCATTAAATAATGCACACATCCAGAAACAAATCTTGGTCTGGAAGGTTGTACTCTAGAGAAAACTTATAGATTAATAACTTAAAACATATACCAAATATAATAATGATGTAATGATGCAGAGAGACCCAATCCAGAAAGCTCTTCATTGCAACTCAAGCAGATTTATAGCAACACACTAACCCATTCATAGTTTCTTCTACCTTTAGTAATGAAAGCATTCTGCCTTAGCAATGAAAAGTACATGCAAGAAAAGAGCAAGTAAACAAGCATTTTCATGGTGGATATTTTCCATTTTAAGTAGGCAATAGAGAGAGTGAAATTAAAAAGCTAAAATCTCCTAGTAGGTAGGAGAATCACACTTATTCTCATGTCTGTGTGACTCCAAAAGGACTTCTGTTTACAAATGATGAATTATAGCATCATTAAAACTCAATAAAATCTTTTATGATAATGTTGATTTTGAGGTATGCATATTACATACACACATACATGGAATTATATATTATTTTCATAGGCAAGTCCTGAACGCTAAGAGGCATGCATAGTTGTACTAAATATTTACTTTGAAAAATCCATTACAAGCTATCAAGTAAATAATAACTATCTTAAAATGCCTGCAATTAGGCATTTACACAATAATCCATAATGACTCCAATGGAGTGTTCACGTAGGATAGAGTAAGTAATGCACAGCGTGTTAGTGATTAGGTATTTACATAATAGTGTATAACAGCTCTGAAGAAACCATCACAGACTATCAACTAAATGAAGCAGATTTTTGAAATATGTAATTTACTATTTACTTAATTTTGTCAGTCTTGTAAATACATGTAATAACCATCCTTTTCTCTTTTGATAGATACTAAGCACTGAGAAACTATGCAAAAGTTTAAACTACAACTTTTTTCCTATGTTTTTGCTCCCCCTTACAATACACTCTGAGCATCTGTCTAAATTTGCTTTCTCCACTTCTACATTTCCAATTCTGCTTTTAGCACACTACAAGCATACTTTCATGCCTATTGGTCTGCTGAAACCAGTCTTAGCAAGGTCTCCTCTTGCCAAATCCATTATTTATTTTCAGCTCTCATCTTACTCGAATTATCAGCAGTTAACACATTTGATCATGTGGCTTTTTCTTGATTCAATTCCATAACTGGTCCTTAAGAATTATGTATTTTCTTATTTCACTGGCACCTCCTTCCAAATCCCATTAGAAGACTTGTCCTCTCACTGACTTTAGTGCTGCAGAGTACTAGGTTTAATTATATACTCTTTTCTATCTTTAGTAACCCAAAATATCTCAATAAACCCTTTGAATTTATATACCATTTATCATTTAATAACCTGCATTTGTATGTCTGAGCCCCACTTGTGAGTAGTATCTGCCTACTTGAAATCTCCATGTGGATGTTTGCTAAGTAGTGTGGTATAGGGATTAGGGATGATTTCTGCCAAAAAAAAAAAAAAAAGCTCAGCAATACAGATTAGATATATTCTAGAAACCATATAAACGCCCTATTGAGATAGGTGCTGAAAATAGAAGGGGTTTCAATTCCCTTTCTTGCACATTATGCTCATGTGAAGTCAAACTACCTGTGGCTTCTTGAAACTCTGGGCTTTCTCATTTTTGACACTTCACTGATGCCCCTCTCAGGGCATTTTACAAAAATGTTATCTGTGCTCGTCTTACCTACCAGGCTCTAATGATTCTATGTTTTGAAGGTGATAGAGGAATGTGCAATGATCTTTCCATGGCCTAGAAACCCATGCTGCTATAAATGTGCAATGATGCAGAGATACTTTTTATAGAAAAGAGAGTGAGATTACTAATTTTTTTCTCAACTTTTGATAGATTGTTTTTTATTTTCATCTTTTTTCTTTCTTTTATCTTTTATAGTTATATAAAGTCGGCCTCATAATCAAATTAAATTCAATTAGCTGGATTGTCTAAGCAATTTACTGGCATTCTTGGGACATGGGAATTGATATTTAGTATTCTGAAAACCTGATTCTGATTCCAAATAAGACTCATCTAGATTAAATACAGAACTGAAAATGCTAAAAACATTACACCTGGGAATCACATCATCATATTCATAAATTAATCCAAGCTTTGATGTTCTTTGGACTTTGTATTCTCAATTCAGTGTTACCACTGAATGAGTATTCATATGCAACCATATGGTTTTAAATAGTTATAATGCTTTTTTGATTATACAATTTCTGAATATTTCTATACTTAGGAGATATGTTATGAATAAATTTCTACATATTTTCCATCAAAATAGCAGTAATTTTTAAAGTAGTTTATTAGGTTAAAATTGATGTTCTATTAAGTTCAGCATGTGTAAACCTTTAATGATTTAATGACATTTGCTTATTAACTACATAGAAAAATTACAGATTTTTTGAAGCTAATAGATGAATATTGAATTTAGTTAAAATTTATTTAAACTATTATAGACAATTGTAAGACTTTTTTTCACACTATTCTATAACAAGAGGTTAGTGTTAAGGGCATAAAATAAGAATATTTTCATTGCACCGAAATACTGCAGTAAAAGAATTATATTTCTCCAGGTGTTTAAATATCTAAAAGGTTGAGGCTATTTTGTCTTTAATGCATATCGGTATCTATGTTAAGGTACTTGCAATGTTACTCTGTCAATATGTTCATTAATGGGAAAATATAATAAATTTAAAAGTATGAAGTATTTAATTAATGCCTTCATGATACTGACCCGAAAAAAGTGGGTTTAAAAATCACAAGCACTAAAAAATCACAAGCACTATATTTGATTGGCTGCTCGAGTGTTACTGAGTAAGACTACAATGCCTCTGTTTTTCAAATTATGAATCTTATTAGCTGAATGAAATAAATTTACTGGATTCTCCCCAGCATTAAAATATAAATTAATACAGTAGAATAAGGTATAGTAGAATAGAAAATATCCTAGCTTACTGGTTAAGTGTAAGCATTATTTTGTACCGTTCTTGTTTCACATGCATATGTATGTTCACGTCTGCACCTGGACCTTATGTAAATATTTTTTTCTTGGTTTCAATTAACATATTTTGAGAAATACTTATTTAGGTTTTGTGTATATCTTTACAGTCCCTGTTCCTTTAAACTTTAAGTTAATTTTGCAATCTATGACAGAGTAAAGACACACGTTTGATAAGCAATACATAAATATTTGAAAATTATCCGTTTTGAAGGACAGTTAGAGAATAAGAGAAACTTTCTAAGAAGATATCGTCAATTGGCCAGAATTATGACACTTGTACATGTTTGTAACGATTACTTTGCAAGGAGAGTAGATTAACATGATTGTAATACCTCTATTAAGGTTTAACTGCTTGAGACTGGAGAGAGTCCCAGTCTCTTGGGAAGAAAACCACTGTTAAGGAATGAACACAATTGGTGTTCTACTGGAAATCAGAAAAGGTGGTCAATGTCTGTTGGCCAGACGAAGAACAATGTCTGACAAAACATAGCTGAATGGCAGACATTTTAAGAGCTTCATTAAGGAATACTGTACATGAAATAAAATGTATACATTGCAAGGATGTTATTTAATGTGTTTTAAAATGTACATAGAGTGGTGCAATCATATAGAACATTTTCATCACCCCGAAAAGTGGATTTTTGCTCTTTTTGGTCAGTACCTTTCTTCCATCCTTGCGCCCAAGCTACCATTAACACAGCTTCTAGTTTTTCATATACATGGAACCATACAGTATATATCCTTTTGTGTCTGGTTTCTTTTTAGCATGCTTTTGAGATTTATTGATGGTGCCTTTACCTTGAGTTTGTTTGTTTTTTATTGGTGAGTAGTATTCTAATTCATGGTATACCACAATTAAATAACAAATTATCCATTTGTTAGTGATGTTTATTTGGGTTATTTTTTATTTCTTTCTAGTGAATAAATATATAATGAATATATGGATATGACCATTTATTATGGGCATATATTTGTGATTATTTGGAAAAATACCTTAAAATCAGTTTGTTGGGTCACATAATAAATATATATTTAACTTTATAAAGAACTGCCAACTGTTTCTTTAAGAAATACTTTATTTTGAATTGCCACACGAGTTCAAAATACTCTTACATCTCAAAAATCTTTGCTGTTGTCAGTATTTTAAATTTGAAGCATTCTAATGAATTTTTTTGTGTTTTTTACTGTGGTTCAATATTGCATTGCCCTAAGGGCTAATGATATTCCAGTGATCATAAAATCACCTGGGGATAATTGACTTTGTGTCTTCGGCTTTTATTCCATTCCCAGTTTTTTGAGTTCTTGTTTTACCGTGAAATAATGCTGAATTATTTACAAACAAATTTTCATGATTCTGTTGAGATAATCGTTATTTTCTTATTTAGTTAGTAAATATGCTGAAATATATTGATTCATTTTGGGTTAGACTACTCTGTATTCTTAGGATGAATCTTAATTCATTATGTTGTTTTTTCCCCTACTATACTGTAATATTTAATTTGTTAAAATATTGTTAAGTATATGTTATTAATCATTCTGAAGAATACAAGTCTGTTTTCTTTTATATAAGGTATTTTTTCTGATTTTGGGTATGAGAATAATGCTGCCCTCATTAAATAAGTTGGATAGTGTTTCCTTCTTTTATCTTCCGAAAGAATTTGTGTAGAGTTAGTGTTGTGATTTATGTAGAATTGTGTTGATTAGTTATCTTTTAAAAAATGTTTGATAGAAATCACCAATTAAATCACCTTGGCCCAGATTTTAATTACTAGGGAAGAATTTCATCTACTAAATCTTAATAATCATAATCATAATAACATAATAAGGCTATTCAGATTATTTCTTCTTGAACAAGTTTTAGTGTTTTCAAGAAATTTTTTCATTTCAACTAAGTGGAATTTATTGACATGTGTATTCATTATAATAATCATGGTCATTAATTGTCTAAAAGAGCTTGTTGTAAGGTTTTCTCTTTTATTTCTGATATTGGTGACTCATATTTTCTTTTGTTTCCTTGAACAGTTAGGCTAGAGGTTTATTAATTTTATTGATATTTACAAAGAATTAGCTTTCAGTCTCACTTTCTTCCTTTGTCCATTTTCTATTTTATTGATTTTTCTCTTCTATCTTTATTATAAACTTACTTTTTGCTTATCTTAGACCTAATTTTCTCTTCAATTCTTATTTTTTAAGTTGTAAGTTTATATTAAGCATTGCTTTGTCTTTATCCTCCAAATTTTTGTTTTACTTTTAGTTTAGAATACATATAATTTCTTTTGTGATTTCATTTATTATTTTTTCTGGCCAAGGTTTATTTATAACTATACTGGTTAATGTTCAAATATTTAAAAATATTTTCAGATTTTTGTCAATATCTATTTTAATAATATTTGGGTCCAAGTACATACTTAGTATAAATATATTGTAAAATGTATTGAGACATATTTTATGGCTTAAAATTTGATTGATCTTGGTGAATGTTATATGTACACTTGAAAATAATACTTTTTATTGTGAAAAGCTTTCCATAAATGTTAATGTATTTAATCTCATCGATAATATTTTTATTATAATATTTAAAGTGTTGTTTTTCTAGTTTCATTAACTACTGGAGGAGTATTACAGTTTCCTAATGTAATTGTGAATTTTTCAAGTTATTTTAATTTTATCAGTGTTTGATATACTGTGTGTGTATATATATATATATATATATATGTGGACTTACCAGTTTGTAGATCTATCTAGTATTACTTTCCTTCTGCTTGCAAAAATGCTTTCAAATTCCCTGCACTATGTCGACAATAAATTCCCTAGGCTTTTGTTCATCTGAAAAAAAAGCCATTATTTTAAAAATATATTTTCACTGGATATAGAATTCTAGGTCACAAATTTTGTATGCATGTTTGTTTTTCCAGTATGTTAAATATTTGGTTCTACTGGCTTCTGGATTGAATAGTTTCTGATAAATAGTGTGCTGTCATTTGTGCATATATTTATTCCTGTGTGCATAATGTCTCTCTCTCTCTCTTTTTTTTTTGTTTTTGTTTTCTTGGCAATAGGATTATAATGTGCCAAGACATGGTTTTCTTTATGATTCTTCTGCTTGAATTTTTAGAGTAAACTTTCAAAATGCTTACTGGGCCAAGCACAGTGGCCCATACCTGAAATCCCAGAATTTTGGGAGGCCAAGGCGGGAGGATAACCTGAGACCAGGAGATCAAGACCAGCCTGGGCAACATAGCGAGACCTCATTGCTATTAAAAAGAAAAATACTAGCTGAGCATAATGTTGCTTACTTGTAGTCCCAGCTACTCAGTAGGCTCAGGAAGGAACACATCTTGAGCCCAGGAGTTCAAGGTTTCAGTGAGCAATAATCATGCCACTGCACTCCAGCCTGAGCAACAGAGTGAGACCGTGTCTCAAACAAAACAAAACAAAAACAAAAATGCACCCTGATTTCAATACTTACTTCAAAGCTATAGTAAACAAGACATTGTGATATGTGATACAGGGTAAAAGATAGACACGTAGATTAATGGAACAGAAAAACAAAGCCACCTACACATATATGGTGAGTTGAATGTCAACAATATTGTAAGATGGATAGGCTTTTCAACAAATGATGCTAAAAAATTTTGGACATTGCAGAATAAAGATCTCAACTGAGAACTCATATTAACTCAAATGGATCATTTGCTCAAGTAAAAATCTAAATTATATAATTTATTGAAAGAAACATAGAAAACAGCATTGAGACCTTGGATTACTCAAATATTTCTGTGACGTGACAACAAAATCATGAGCCATAAAACAAAAATGTTGACAAGTTGGATTTTATCAAGATTAAAAAACTTTGGAATTTTAAAAGATACTGTCAAATTGAGAAAATAGGAGAAATTGAGTCAGAGATAAAAATTGCACAACTATCTAATAAAGGATAGAATAGAATAAATGTGCATACATGTGTGTGTGTGAATATATGTGTGTATATATGTGTATAAATATGTGTGTATATATGTATATATATGTGTATGTTTATATACACAACATGCACACACATGCACACACAGTCATTATAATTAACATTATAGTTAACAGCCATTATAATGAATGTGGGAAGGATGTTATCAACAAGTGGACACCAAATGTCTGAAGCTGAAAAATATCTATTTAAAATGGAAAGGTTTTACAGTGATATTGGGTTTATATCATAAATATGTGTGAAAACACTAACAAAAATTTTTCGCAGAGTTTTTTTTTTCTAACCTATCTTCTCCATTTTCCTTTTGCTGTATGAGACCTATGACCTTTCTATGCCATATCTATTTAGCTTGCCTCTCAAAGTTACAGTGAGTGTTTGTCTTTTGTTCTATTTTTCAGCATCAGGATCAGGAGGTACCTGAATCAGTGTCTTGTAGCCTATAGTGTCTGAGAATGATAGATTGATGGATAAGGGTAGTCTTCATGCTGTCTATATGTGCTGCTTACTCTTTCCCAGAAATTACATTGTTCTCTGTCTCCCTCCCCGTCTCTCTCTTCTTGTAATTCATAGATTGCGGGCCTGTTCTTAGGCAAGATAAAGTGTATCCAAAAGGCTACATGATATGTGGAGGACTGTAGGAAGAGTAATAAGTGAAGTTTGTATGTGATCTTTTGGTCTTTTCTTGCTCCGACATTTACCTGCTGGCAGGGCTTTTGGGGACAGCTAGCTTGAGCCTTGATGTTGGACAATGTTGTTGGTATCTCTGCTATATTTGCTAGTTTAGCTGACTTCCTTCTGATACTTTAGATAGATAAACACTCTTGGACATAACAATATATTTTCTGAGCCTTTTCTATTCTGAATAATTTATATTTGCTATTGAAATCTGACCAAAAAGAGAATGTACAATTTTCTTCTGTGAAATTATAATATACTCTAAAGCTGCTTCTCTCCATAATTATGGAAAATTCTGATTCGATTTTTTAACTAAAGATCAGAGATTTTGCCTTCCAGGGTTTTGTGAACCTTAGAAAAAAAATATGACAGACACCTGTCACACTGACTATTGCTAAATTAATGTTGCTTTTTGTTATTTTTAAGAAGCATTTTGATGTAGCACAAAAAGTACAAATTTGTGGGCCACATGGCTCTTAAGTTGAATATCAGCTTCTCCATTTACTAGTTTCATTGCATTTTTGAGTTTTTGCACTCTGTCCTCTAAACTAAATATTCTAGTAATTATGCATTCCTTAAATAATTCAATTTCATGTAAATACTGAGATAATACAAGAAAAACACAATAGAGATTTTAGAATGTGCTATGTACCTGACAGATATTATTTTTTCTTCCTTACCACAAGTAGATATTTTTTCAGTAATCAAACTCTTGTGAAAAAGGGAACCTCAGTAAAAAATTGAATTTAAATTCACCAGACTTTAAAAAATGGTCTTTGCACATGCTGCATTAGAATAAACAGGTTATATTGCAATTTTTGTCCTTGCCTTATAATTTTTAGAGCTAATATTTTTATTGAAATTATCAGTGCTAATTTAGTCATTCTTGACATGTATTAGTTCAGCAATAATAGAGGGGAAGAAACTTTCATCCCTATTCTAAGTAAAAATAGAATATTCTGACATTATTGGAAAAGGAAATCTCACAAGAATACAAAAACAGCAGTGACCTAGAGGCATCCAGTAAAGGCATATATGATATTAAATACAATTTTTATTGAACAGTGATATGCTTTGGCTGTGTCCCCACCAAAATCTCATATTAAATTGTAGTTCCCATAATTCCCATGTTTCATGGGAGGGACCCAGTGGGAGGTAATTGAATCATGGGATCTTTCCAGTGCTGTTCTCGTGATAGTGAATAAGTCTCACGAGGCCTGATGGTTTTTTAGGGTGGAGTTCCCCTGCATATGCTCTCTATTGCCTGCTGTCATGTAAGACATATGTTGCTTCCCCTTCACCTTCTGCCATGACTGTGAGGCCTCCCCAGCAATGTGGAACTGTGAGTCAATTAAACCTCTTTTCTTTACAAATTACCCAGTCTCTGATTTGTCTTTATTAGCAGCATGAGAACAGGCTAATAGACACAGGCTCCTAAAAGTTGATATAATTTTCATGGTAAGAACTTTGATCAGTAGACAGATGCATGGTTTATAGGATACACTCACTCAAAAACCATAATTACTAATCTCCCTTTTTCCTACTTTTCTAGAATGTATCCATTGTTCATTAGCATTTGAAATGGAAACATATTGTTATAAGCTATAGATACATTATTTTCCCCAAAATCTTTTTCTGCATTTAATACACGGTCACAAGAAAATACATTCATTTCATTTCTGCTGACCTAAATGTGAAATGGAGTTTAAAAAAATGTAGCTCATATTCCCTGATATTAGGTTGGTGAAACTAAGTAACTGAATAGCTACTGCACCCGTATTCTCATTCCAATACAAAGATTTGAATTTATTATCTTTTAAAACATTTTTTATAATTTCAATAATTTAACAAAATAATTTGGAGGACTCAGAAAGCAATGTGTCAAATCTTATTGTCTGTATAACCTGTAAGTGCCTCCACACTTTTTGGTCAACAAAGGTGAACTTTATTTACATGATAAGAAAGTGAATAATTAAATGCAGATGGCACTAATAAGATTTGTGAATGCTGTATTTCATATTCAAGCTAGCATTAAAGTTGAAAATATATGATTTCTTGGAGAATTGGAAGACTGATCAGCTGGGAGCACTGCAGCTGGTGAGGGTTGCTAGAGCATTCATTGGTCTAGTTATTTTGCTGGTGTTCTAGGAAACTGGAGATGCATTGAAAAGTTAAGCAGGAGACCTTCCTTAGTAACATTGCCGAAATGGTTGGACTTGTACAAACACATTAGTACTTATAAATTATTTTATATATTTTTGTTGTTCTCTGTCATTATCTCTGAACGTAAAGCCAGACCATTCCATTTAATTTTTCATTCCAAGGCTTTTTCTTTTTCCAGTTTCTCAAGGGTAATTGAGGCAAAGACCCTGACAGAATATTTTATGGGGGTGGGAGTCGGAGAGATGCAGGGTTACTTACTTGAGGTGAAAATAGAAGTAAGCCAACAACAGCCGAGTGTGATGGCTCATGCCTGTAATCCCAACATTTTAGGAGGCCAAGGTGGATGGATCACTGGATCTCAGGAGTTAGAGACCAGTCTGGCCAACATGGCAAAAACCTGTCTCTACTAACAATACAAAAAATTATCTGGGTGTAGTGGCACACACCTGTAATTCCAACTACTCGGGAGGCTGAGGCAGGAGAATTGCTTGAACCCGGGAGGTGGAGGCTGTAGTTAGGTATGATCATGCCACTGCACTCCAGCCTGGGAGACAAAGCGAGACCCTGTCAAAAAAATAAAAATAAAAAAATAAGTAAAGCACGAGAGACCTGTAAAGGATGACTGTGTTCAGTACAGTAATGTTCTCAAGACGGTAATTGGTAGTGGAACATCCGCCCTGAGGGCTTAAGAAGATGTCTGTAGGAGGAGTCAAAAGGAATCTATCCCTACACTGTGATGAAAACACCCTGGTTCTAGAAATGAGATATTTGAAAGGGAGTCATGTTTATTTAAGCTAGGACAAAAATCCCTATAATATACACACTCATATACAGATGACCCTTAAACAACACAGGGTTTAGGGGAGCTGTGTATTTAAGTCTCACAACTTAACTATTAATAGCCTACTGTTGAGCAGAAGCCTTACAGATGACAAACAATATATTAGCACATATTTTGTATGTTATATGTATTATATACTGTATCCTTACGATAAAGCAAGCTAGAGAAAAGAAAACATATTAAGAAAATTGTAGGAAAGAAAAAATATATTTACTATCCATTAAGTGAAAGTGGATCATGATATAGGTCTTCAACTTCATCGCCTTCATGTTGAATAGGCTGAAGAGAAGCAGGAAGAGGAGACCATTGGTCTTGCTGTCTCAGGGGTGTTAGAGGCTGACGAAAATTCACGTATAAGTGGTGACCCACACAGTTCAAATTTATGTTGTTCAAGGGTCACCTGTATTCTATTAATTCTATTACAAATGAATAGAAATATGATTTATACTTGCAGTTTATATTTGTAGTCACAGGCTCCTGAGCCACCACAAACTTGTTGTTTGAAGTGTTCCGTGTTTGTACACAGTGCAAATACTCATTCTTTCACGGTTTATTAGTGGAATTTTTAGATTTCTCTTTTAAAGCACTATGCCAGTTTCCACCTTAATGATATCAAGTTTTGATTTTCTCATCTTAATTATTTTGCATGGGAATGATTCACATCCCAGATATATTTCTCTGTTACATTCATTTTCACGTCATATGAACTGAGACCAAAACATTCTAAACTTTTTGTAAGGTTTAATTATCTATCAGATTTTACCTGTGTTACTTCCTTTGGGTATAATAATGGAAGAGTAGTACATAGAAAAATATGGTTTATGGTTATTTCTTCTGTTCTCTTTAACATCACTTAAATATTGCACTCTTTTATAAAATTACACCTTGAAAGTAATATAAGCAAACACTAATATATGCAGAGGAAATTGACAAGTTTTATAAGAGAACTTAACACTTTCCCATATGGGGAATAACTGAAGGAAAGGAATGGTAAACCGAAGAAAAGTGAATTCCTAAGGAGTCATAAAAAATGTACTAAATGTACCAAATATGTAGAAGTACTTATCTTTCTGTCTTTTCTTCATAGTTTTAATATTACTGTATATGTGAGACAAAATGTTTGAGAGAGTTAGGCATTTTTATTTCTATTTGCCTCTAGAAAGTTGCATAAATCTGTGGTGTTGGGCTTTTTGTACTTATTGGTGTGTGTGTGTGTGTGTGTCCCACTGAATTATGAATAATGAGCTTATTGAGGTTGGCAACCTCATCCTGTACAGCTACCTAAGTGACCCTGTGGGGGAGAATGATATAGCAACGTACTCTTCCTCTTTCTCAACATCATCAATGTCAACATTATCAGCATCATCTTCATCATAAAAAACATGAGTAACAAGCTCATTTTGGGGTAGGTATTGATGACAGCCCTTCACATGTCATTTTAGGGTAGGTATTAATGACAGCCCTTTACCATAGGCATAAATATTAGCAAAATAGGGGCCTATTTACATTTTCTTGCAGGTTTTTGCTGTACTACGCAAGTACCTTAAAGCCACATACTCATAGATTCAAGTATATGACAGTCACAAAATACAAGGTAGGTATTTTTAACCAAATCTATCTATAAATCCAGAGATATGATAGATGGTCAGTATGGGTATTTTTTTTAAATAAATAAGTGAAAGACAATAAATGAATAAATCTTGCAGGTTTTTTTTTCAACTGTGTACCTTATCCATGAGACTCTCATCTATTGGTGATACTAATTACTATTTTCTTCTTCATTATTTTTGTCCAAATCTTTTGTTAATTTTATTATCCCAAATACAGATCTGTGTATTTTAGTTCTGTATATTGTTCATCCAAATATGTTAATGTTGGTGGTATTTCCTTTGTCTTTATGCCATCTAAATATAAATGAATGAAACAAGTGTAAAAGCAATAAAAATGTTGAGGTAATGCCTTCAACAAGTTAACTGTATTTGAGTTAACTTGTGTTTCCTCAAAAGATCCAGCTGTATAGAAGAGTGAATATGCAGATTTAGGGCACAAGGTGTAACAATAAACAGAGAGCCTTTTCCTGGACCTAAAGATATTTTGTGGCATGCATCTCCCCTATGTTGTCTGTTTCTTTTTTATTTCAGAGTTAGAATTACGCTGAAACACTATAACTTTGTCTCTTTCCTTTACTTCCTTTCTTGGTGTTTCCTTCAAAACATTTCTATGAATATGCACTATTCTTTTTCTTCTGTTTGTAAGCAAAACATAGACCCCAGTGTCTGAAATTCAGATATTTTTAGCATATTATAGGTATCAGCAAGATATAGAGCTTCACTTTCTGTGTCTCTGTCTCTGCCATTCCAGCACGCTTCCTCTTTGTAAGACATTCCTTGGAACTGTGTGCTTATACAAATAAATTTAAAACATTTTTTTATCCGTATAAGACAGACTTCAAAGTTCCATGTGCCTGTAATGAGATTAGAATAAAAAACGATGACAGACACCTGGTTTATATTTGCAGTTATAATCCATCGCTTCTATTTTAATGTGAGAAAGATTTCATATGGGATTTGTTTCTCTCAAACATCAGGCACCAATTTCTTTTTTCTGTGCAGATAACACAACAGCAACATTTATATTTTTATTTCCTAGGAGAGATACAATAAAAAGTAAAAAACAAAATAGGGTCTCATTTGGACAATAAGTACACACTATGCCAGCTGGGACCGTCTGTAGGGAGACAGAATGGGTCAACACATCATCTCATCAGCATTTCTTTTCTCCAGCAAATTCACCTGACTTGGCTACAGAGGAAACAGACTAGATGAGGCCTTTTATAACCGATTCTATTACTAAGAAGATAGCTTTTTAATTTAGTGTCCTAATTAAGTTTTATTTTCAAATGTAATATTACTATCTTCAGCAAACCTTTGTAGAGGACGGTTTCATTGATGAGATATTTATTATCAGGAGGCAGTGTTGTACAGTGGGGAGATAATGGGGGTTAGAATGGGGCAGACCCCAGTATAAATCCTGGTTGGTCCACTTACATTATCAGGGTATATTAATTTATAGTAATTAATATTACTATATTAATTTATAGTAATTGCCATTGACTGAATGGTAGGCATATGGCACATTGTGTAAAAGTTTTACATGTATTATCTCATTTATCTTAGATTCAGAGTATAATAAAGGCTTTATATGTATGAAAAAAATGAAAAAGCAAAAAAACTGACAGTGGTTGAGTCAATTGTCTTGACAGCCATTTTTTGCTAAAGAGCAAAGGTGACATTTAAATTCTGGCATTCCGACTCCAGGTTCCCCTTTGATGGAAATAGTAATAGCAAATACACAACTTATTGGTTTCTTTAACAGAAGTAGAAATAGATGATAACTTGACATGCTTGCATAAGTGACTAGGAACTTAAATCTTTGAAATCTTTCTTTTTCTTAAGATAATTTAGAACAAATGGCCAGGCCCTTGATAAAAGTATTATCTACAGTAAAATGACCTTATCCTGTGACATGACAATACTTTATTTCAGTACAATTCTTCAAACATTGATATTAACAATAAAGGCATGTATTAATCAACTATAAAGTAATATTTGAAAAACATTTTTCAAAGATATCTATTTTCCACATTTCAAATATCATGCCATTCAGGATTATAACTTTTTTTTTTAAACATCTAACATACTAAAGTTGCCAATGAAACATTCACAAGAGTGAAAGAGAAAAGTTCATATAAAATAAAATTCCAAACTTGGCATGCTGGACTGTAGCGCTAGATTGACCATAAGTATAGATCTTTGTGCTTAGAAGGCTAATTCAAGTGTGGTGTCTCATGCAATTAATCAACATATTCATATTCTGGAAAGGTTATAGTAGGGATGATGCTAGCTGTTCATAATTTTATGAGAATACTTATTACTGCTTCTTTGGAAATCAGTTTTCCATTGAAACAATATCCTGTTTAAATTTTCATGAACAAATTTGTATCTATTGAGATAGTTCCAGTTTTTAAAAAAAGTTACGATTTTTACTTGCAGTTGGATTTGTATTTTTAAAATGCATGCTGATTGATATTATTAAGATTCATCATTCCGGAACTCTTTTCAAAATAAGTGTGTTCAGCTACAATTCTATATAATTTTTGGCTGGATAACTAATTCATGTCATTGAACTTTTTTTTCCTAATTTATACTATTATATGCCTGGTTTCATTGCTGACATTTTTAGCAAAGGGAAATGATTATTCTTTCTTTAGTATGTTATGAAAAAGTAAAAATAATTGTCTTTATTTTTGTGTTTCAAATGATGCAGTGTTAATTCCTAAAAGCACCTGATTTGGTTTTATCTGTGGCATGACTTTATGTGGGAAATGGGGAATTTAGGTAATTCTTTTGACTGGAATGACAAAAGATTCCATATACCAAATTTTTTAGATAATTAAAAGCTTTCTTTTTCTCACATTTTGGGTATAACATCACTAATTATATAATTATTTTACTCTTTATAAGCACCTTATCATGTTTTGAAGTTTATGTAAAATACAACACATAAATTATGAATCAAACCATCAATACTACTAAATTCCTTGAAAGCAAGTGATTTAATATTATTGTTTATCACCTTTTACATATCTTGTATTGCGAGTTATATAACTTTTTCTTAAAGTTCTTTATGACTTATTCATAACTTATCCGTTCATTTGTCTATTTAATATATACGTCAAAGTTTATACATTCAAGAGGAATTTACGTAACAGTAACACCACTTAAGAATAACACTGGCTATTATGATTATATAACCTTGACTTAATTCTAAAATCTCCACTTTTCCATTAATCTTATAATAGTTAAAAATATTGGACTTGACAGCAATTGGCCTTGACAGATTAAAGTCTCTTTAGAATTTTTCACCATAATTTTTGTTGTCACAACTAAGTGAAACAATGGGTCACAACCTTGGTAGGTATGCAATAATAAGATCACTCTCTCCAGATTCCCACCTTATTTATTTTATATATCATTGTTAGTTCTATCTTTCTAAACCACTATTTGTCTTGAGCTCTTCCCTTGCTCAAAAGTATTTTATCCAATAGCTTTTTATCTTTATGACATTAGATTTCAAGATATTTTGTAGGTCCAGAGAGATCCCAGCACTCATACTTGAGTATGAGTCTAAAAGCCAACCCCCTCCCCACCCCAAGATGTTGTTTTGCCAAAGAAAATGTTTCTTTCAGATACAAAAAAAAAAAAAAAAAAAAAAATTCAGTCTGTAGGACCAACTACTTGAAAAATATGTAGGGATTCACTTGTATGAGAAGTAGAGGTAATAAAATATGAAGTTTGAAAATACGTTGAGCCATCAAAGGCATTTTCTGCTCAGAGAAATGAAGTAGGGATTCAGTGATATAGACAAATCCTAGAAATTTATTTGAAGTAGAATGGCCATTGTGTGTAAGGCTACAACCAGGATGTGTTTTTTGTATATCTAAAGGCTCCTGTGTGTCCTTGCTGAATTTCAGTTATTAAATTAATTGCCAAAATTAAGCAACTTGGACAGCGCTGGTTGGTGATGGCTGCTACAATAAGTAAGCATACTACAGTAGAAATTTCTATCATCTGGCTGGCCCTATCAATTTTATCCCCAGATACTATCTCCATTCTACATATATCCTTTGGTCCTCCCATGCAGCTGATCAAATTTTATCCCATGCAGAGGCTTCCTTGATTACTTTTCCACCCTAGAATTTGATTTTTTTTATTACACGTATCATTTACAATTGTTGTAGGATATATTTTTCTTCCCATTTAGCTGCCTCACAGAAATCATACACATTTTAACTTACTCTGAACAATGTAGTATGAATAGAAGTCATAGATAGCAGGAGATTTAAGAGCCACTGTTGATTTTTATCCTTGTTTGTTCACTGAAGCATTGTAGCTGGAATGCCAGCTGGAATGTCAAATGGGGTCTGCCCCCTTGCCTAAATCCTGGAATAAAGAATGCATGGAGCAAAGCCATCGCTTTGCCACAGGAACATGTAATATTAACGAGTTAAACTTTTGTGGAAATAATACTAGGAGGTTCTTTGACTTTTTATTACTACAACATAATTTATCTAAAGATGACTGATAGACCTATTGACTCAAGTTATTAATTTTAGTTCTCAATAGACTTTTGTTGCTAGAAACTAACCCACACTATTTAGCCCTTAATGTCTCCTATACTTTGCTTGTATTTCTTGAATTTTGTGTACTATTTAATTTTTACCACTGTATAAAGTTTTATATTTTCAAAATTAAATCTTCAGTAGATAATGTGATAATGCAAAAGTCTCAAAGTTAGTACTTTATAAAGCTAGGATTTGAATCTAGGTTTAGATCATTTGAACACTATGCAATTTGCTATATCACACATAGATGTTAAAGTATTTTTTAAGTTATTTATAATTTTTTGTAAAGATAGGGTCTTGCTATGTTGCCCAGGCTGGTTTCAAACTCTTAGTCTCAAGTGATTCTCCCCACATTGGCCTCCTAAATTGTTGGAATTACAGGTGTGAGCCACTGCACCAGACTTAAGGTATTTGTTGAATGAGGAAGTTAATGGAAGAATGAATTAATGTATAATTTAATGCCGTGAACTAGAAATGCAGAGAAGAAGAATATAATTCCCATGCAATTAAATAGCTCATAATCTGTGGGAGAAGGCTTAAAGTAAATTTGCATTACAGTAAAATGTAGTAGGGAAATGAGAAGCGTATGAACATGGTTCAAAGAGACACCTGCTGAAAATTTCACACATTATCTCATTTCTTTAGTTTTCTTAATCATCTCGTGCAGTAAGGTATATCTACCTTTCTTGAAGAACTCAAGTTTATGACAGTTAAAAAAATAAAACTGGTTTAACTACAACTCTGGCCAAATCCAAATTTAATTTACTCAAAAACTCATGTTTAGATTTTTGGGTACAAATAGTCTGCTAGATACCTTTGATAAATAGGTGTTGAGTTTTAGATGATTCAAATTGCTTCATATACTCAATTCATTTTTCCTTGGTAACTTTCAATATAGTCTGAGCAAAATTGTGTGAACTGTTTGCTCTCTGCCCTGGCAACTTGCTTTCTGAGTCAATTCATGATGAAGTCCAGCCAGAAAAGTCAGAACCCACTTCAAATAGATGTGGAAGTACTTTGTAAACTGTCCAGTATGATCCTAAGGTCATTGTGTATCTTTATTAACCTTAGTCTGAGAAACCATAATCATGTATGAAGAAATTCATAATATGGTAGAAAAAGACAGAATAGAATAAAATAGATTTGTTTCTCTTTTAAGGGCTGGCCAGTCACAAGTTATTTAGGTTATTCAATTTCATTTACCCATCACAATATTAAGGGTAAAATAAGACAAAAATATTGTGTTTCTTTGGTCTTTTTAAGTGCTCTATTAAAACTTACCACATAAATATCAAATAGTATTTCAGTGTAAAACTGATATAAAGCGCTGCTCTTATTTACATAAATAATACAATATTAATGATGCAGCCAATGAAATTATTTATTACACTCAATTTACCTCAGTGAGTGAATGACAACCTTCTCCCATTAGGACAATTCAAGTAACAAATTGATCATGTGCAATGCATTTCATGGGTCAAGAGATAGTATGTGTCATATAAGCACTACTGTCAGAAAACCTTCCCTGGAGAGTTAATATATATTCACTGCACCAATGTTCACAGTGCTTTGAGTTGGCAAATAGACTCACATTTTTTTTTTGCCCAATATATTCTATGACGATGAATCCTAAGTTGAAACTGATTTTTAACTGCATAGAGATATTTGTTCATGAAAAGGTATGTTTAGGGGAAAATGCAATTTTAGTCAAATTAAAATATTAATTCAGTATAGAAGTTATACCATTTAAAATAAAGATGAATTACAATATTATAGAATTAAAAAGGACTTTCCTAAAATGAAACTCTTTTAAAATAATTGATAATGCAAATTCTGCTAAATTGTTCAAGTTTGTAAATTATTCCTAGGAAATAAGATATATATTTTTTCCTAAGGAAAAACTAACTCTTAAAGTGCTTTAGTATGTTGCAAAAGATATTTGCTAATTTGAATATCAATTGCTATGCTTATAAAGAAATTCTGGTGATATTAGCAATCATCCCTAATATTTGCACTTAACTTCACAGTTTATAAAGATCCTATGCCTGTATTACTTCAGTTCATCTTAATTGGAACTTCAAGTATGAATAGATGTCCAACACATATTTCAACATGAATTAAAGCCCTCCTATTTAATGAAGAGAAACCTATTGATCAGTTTGTTCTTGTTCCATTGAGATTGAAAACTCTCTCACTTGTGGTTCCTGGTCTGTTTTTAGGAGCTTTGAATAATACATTTATCTGATTCTCCTGTACAGGAAAACTATAGAAAGTAAGTAAATAATCATAGTAATAAATGTGAGTATTTCCAGGTATAATACTAAGAACTATAGAAAAATTAGCACATTAAATGCACACTAAAAACACATGAGATGGAAGTAAATACTATTATTAATCCATTTAGTGAATTAGGACCCTGAAACTAGGAGACCTCAAGAAATGTGTTCAAAATCTCACAGCTACTAAAAACAGAGATGCAACTGGGAACCCAGTTCTTCTATCAGTAGGTGTGTGTGTATCGGGGAGTGGGGAGGTGGTGAGCCAGTAAGCCTGCTAGACAAATTCTAAATGAGCTACAATCTCTACAATCTCTATTTTTCAAACTTTGTTTTCTTTTAAAATTTCTAGTGAGCACGTTAGACTTTGCCTTACATCAGCACTTTCATGATGACATTTATAAGCCCATATCATCATTCTTCAAAGTCAGTCCTTTTGACTCAGTAGTCAGTTCTGTTGTATAGTCTAGGATCCATTTCATATCAAATTTAAATTGCCTTAATAGGCCTGTTGTAACAGTATACATTTTTGTAGTTTTAGAATTCAGCCAGAGCTTTTCATGAACATTAGGCTCAATTATTCATGAAGCTTTTCAAGGAAAAATGCTAAGTCTAAGTGACTTCAAACAAACAAATGTTTTATGAAAGTTTGTGTTTCTTTCTTCTTTTTATAGCTTTTTATCAGAATAGTGTATAGAGAGATCTTAAGCAATATGGTTTAGTTCACCAATAAATATAGATTGATTTTCCTCAGTATAAACCAAGTTCTGAGACAATAAAAGCACATGAGACCTACTTGGTATCTTGCTTGTATGAATAACAAAATATTAAGATAGCCAAGAATATATTTTTTCAATAAATTACTTGTTTCTTATGACAAAAACATTACCTGTGCAAGGTCTGGAAAACTTCAGAAAGGTAAATTATTCAAAATATCACTTACAAAATACACATTGTTATCAACACATGGTTGGTTGCGTATAGTTTTTCTTTTTGTAATTTAATCAAAGTGATGAATATAAAATAAATGATAATAACCTTCCTTGTACTTTTTAACTGTGCATTTTTAAATAAACTTTTCTTATGTTATTAAATGTTCTTTGAAAATATATTAATGATTTTATGCTAGTGTGTTCTGTGAATAAATCATTACACATGTAGTCCAATTTCTTACTATTGGACTGTTTTGGATTTTCAAACAATTATACACTTAAACTTTATTTATGTTTATTTTCTTTGGAAGTGGTTCACTTCTTAGGTTAAAAAGTACGTATGTAAGCCTCCAAATAAAATAAAAAATTGCTTTTCAGAAAAATGTTATTTATTTACAAAAAACATTTTAAACCTTTAAGTAATATTGTACAAATTGCATAAAACATTTTAACTTCTGAGAAGCTTCTGAGACATATAGTCTTGTCTTGTTTCAACCAATCCAACTTCTTATAAAATCTAGAACTTCGATTAAGTTAGTATTTCCTGACTTCATCTGTATTGTTTCCTGGCTTTTAAACATTATTATAAATTTAACCTATAGATCCTCAATCCCTTGACAGTCAATAACCTGAACCCAGAGATATCAAACTCAAGTGCTATATTCAGATAACATTCTTTCACAAGACAACCAGACACTACTGAATTCACATGCACATGAATTTGAATTATGTGGAAATTTCAAAATATTCCTAAGTATTAGGTTAATATTAGAATTTGGTTGGTGCAAAAGTAATTGCTTTTAACCGAATTTGTTGGCTGGTTAGCTGCAATTACTTTTGCAACAACTTAATATTAAATAACTAAGAATACCAAGCCTAGATTAAAGGATTACAACTTTTAAATTTTAATAATAGTTCAATATTATAAATTAGTCGAACGTGAATTTGTAAGAAAATTTAACACTAAATTCCTAAACCCCCCCAACACACACACACACATATATATAATATTCAACTGTACTACTTCAAATTTAATTTTCACTTATACACATTTAGAAAATAAGAATAATCACATACTTGAGAGGATATACATAAAAATTTTGCATGGTTCATTGATTGTTGGACTTTTAGACATTTTGTATATTTAGAGAAAGATACAGTGTAGAGGAATTTAGCAGTTTGACCACTTGGAAAGTTAATTACTATAAAAACTTGACTTATTCACTCTTCACGCATCAAGTATATTTTCCATAAGAACTGACTGATGTTAATAATGCCTCAAAAACTCTTAGGTTTTATTTTTGCTTTTGTTTTTAGATAGTCACTTTCCAAACAGAAGAAATTGAAGTATAAATGTAAACACCAAATCCCTATATATTTACACTCACAAACACACATTTTCTTGGCAGTAACACATATACATTTTTTATATATATATAGCTGTGGGTCTCTCTCTCTGTTACTCTCTATATATCTATATATATTTGTTTATTTTGTATATGTATATAAAGTATATATTTATACAGCACATCTTATTGATAGCCTTTGACATTACTGGATTATATAGAAACTATATGTTTTGTGACCAGTACTAGCATGAACTACTTCAATCTTTTTTTGGCTGCCAACATGTTTAAGCATTTCAAATTATTGAAGTGAGGCAATAATAAAATTCTTCTAATAATCAAGAAAAATAGCAATCAGAGCATATCACAAAATTTTTTCATTCTGTTTTAATAGTTTTGATTTTTATTTAGAAAAAATAGCTCTTTAGAGAAGGGTGTTAATAGTCAAAGGAGGAAGATAATTAGTTTACACATTGTTAAGGGTAAAACAGAAATTTTATTTTATATATATTTATTAATTTCAAAAATAATTAATTTTTCACAAAAATTATTTACTACCAGAATGGAAGATATTATCAGAAATCAGGAACATATTATCTGTGTCCTATTGTTATCAATAAAGACACAGCTCAGAGTTTAATTTGCTTTCCCTAATTTACACAGCTAACTGTATATAGAGCCAGAATTCAACCTATGACTTTGTCCTTTATGACATTTGAGCTATAGCAAATTCTTTCTTTTGACAACTGGAAACCTAAACAGAAGCAAGTGCACAGCCAGTGAGACTACTGACGACATGTTTCTACATAGGTCTCTATTGTTACTGAGGGCATATTTTTCCATTTGGTACCACTTCAGTAGTAATCTCATCTAGTCTCATGGAATTAAAAACATCTATACATCCTTACTCCTTAACATTTTTTGTTAATTTCAGACTACTCTATTTTACTTAATCAACCTTCACATTTGGACATTTGGATATCTTATAGTCATTTTAAACTTAATATGCAAAAAATTGAGTTCCTGATCTTCTGTTCAGAAACCTGTCTTATTCCATATTTTTTTATTTTAGTTAGTAACTCCTTTATTCTTCTAGGTCTATTCCATAATTTTTTTTATTTTAGTTAGTAACTCCTTATATTCTTTTTGGTACTAAGATGTAAAAACCATAGGGTCATTCTTGACACCTCTTTTTCTCTCACATTAAATAACTAATTCATTAATAATTTCTGCTGGCTTTATGTTCAAAATATAACCATAATGCAACCACTCCTCACGACCTCCTCTCCTATCATTCCGGTCCAAGCTTATATTGGTTCTCACTCAAATTATTCCAATAGCCTCCTAAGTAGTATTACTATATTGATTTCTCTTCAGTGCTGTGTGCTGCATAAGTGATTCTTCTAAAACAGAAAGAAAAAAAAATCTTCGTTTTTTTTTTTTGGCAGAAAACCTTACAATGACAATGAATCATAATAAAGCTATGAGTGGCAATAAATTCTGACTCTTTTTAACCTCTCTGACTTCTATCCTGTGACTCATCCTTTGATATGAGTTAAAGCCAAATGGACTTCTTTTTCTCTTTCCATAAAAAAAGCGCAGGGAGACAGGGATTTTAGCTAAAATAGGTCTTAGTGAATACCCAAAGTGTCCTCTTCACTTTACTCTTCAATTACCCTACTTTATTTCCTTAACAGAACATACAGTATTCTGTAATTATCATGTTTATTTATTATCTATTTACCGCTTTGAGCAACCAATATTTTACTTCTTATTCCAAGTGTGTCTCAGCCTTCCTTATCAGTATAAGATAAAGAGAGCACAGTGGAGTCACCAGGCTTTCATAATACCTATAATTCTCATCCACATCTTTAAACCAAAGAATTATCTCCTTTTGCTAGAATCTAAAACTTTGGCTTTTACCCTTGTCCATATGGTTCACTCAGAAATACTAATTGGAAAAATTAAGGTAATATGAGTCTACTGATACATAATTACTTCCAATGACCACGTATATTGGAATAACTGTATGTGTATTTAGATGCTGTTTTATAGGTTTGCAGAAAATATAACAATAGATTTCTACCTAACACCTCTAATGAGCATTCTACAGTGTTACCTCTTCCAGGGACTGTATTTAGTTATCTTTTCTTATCATGCCTTTTTATTATTGAAAAATTATATATAACATGTAATAAAATTATATATGCAATATAGTAAAATATAGTAAAAAGTATATATGCATATATATTTTTTCCTGTGATAATCTGGTGATGCTTTGTAAGTTTAATCAGTCCTGAGTGTTTCTAAACCACTGCAATGGTAGTTTGCATTAAAGGAGAAAGATTGAGCTCAACTCCAAATATAGAATGGGCAAGTGAAAATTTATAGCCGAGGAGCAGGATAAGGATCAGTGCATGGCAAGTTAATAAGTGGGAACATCATAATTGTAGAGGATTCTAGTGAAGATGACCTAAGAGAATTCTTGCTGAAGAAAGGCCAGGGTGATCAGACATCATCTAGGGGATGGTAAAGGATGAGGTCCCTTATCAGATATTGAGAGTGATCAGACATCAAGGGTGGGGGTTTCTCACTAAATGAACTTAGCAGTAGTCTTTGCTAAAACTGGATTTTATAAGGAAGTGAACAGATGGACCTAGAAGAAGGTTTAGGATCCCGACTAAAGTTTAGTCAAGCAAAGACTCTTCTCCAGGGAAGACAGCATTCCAGACACACATGGTACAGCCAGTGTGTGCAGCCAGTTGCCCCCCTGGGAGATGTGACTGGCCTTAGTCTAGCATTAGCAGTGAGGCCACGGAGGCTTGTGTGAAGTTTGGAAGAATTGAGTATTAGACGATGTTGTCATTTTCAAAACTTTGGCTTTTACTCTAGAAGTGATGGGAAACTCATGGAGGGATTTGGACAGAGCAGACATAATTTGACCGACATGATCACATACATTTTCATTGACTGAGTGAATTTATCAAACCATTTAATTCGAAGCCCATAATAGATGAAGGACTTAGTTAAGAATGAAAGCCTAATTAGTTGCAAACCAGTACTAGAACCCAAATCTGGTTCTTACTTTTACCCTTATATAAAATTTTAGGGTTTTCCAAAGGACAATGCTTGCATCTTTTATCCCTCTAATACGTCCTGCATTTCTCAAGTCCCAAGAGCAAAACAAATTAATTTCTATTTTGTTGTTATATAAATGCCATCTGCTTTCAAATCATGAGCTTTTGCAGACACAGAAATTTTATCTTTTGAAAAATCTCAATGTCTTCTTCAAATAAATAATCTTCCTGAATATTGCTATTTGCCCTTTAAAAATAGATTTACTTTTATATAAGAAAGATTTCAGAAATATGTATAGTGTGATAAAAAGAAAGTGTAATAGAATTCAAAATAAGGAAAATACTTTTTCCTAAAATGTCAGAAAACCCCAGTGTAATGGCAGGATAGAAAACTAGCCTTTAGAGACCAATAATTATTGACCCATATTTCTGAGAAGCAGCATTTAATTGAACTCCTCTTACTAACTCCATTTCCTGGAATGAACAGAGGCCCTTGTCCTCAGCTCTAAATAACATTACATCAAAATAAATGTTATTACTTAGACATCTCTTTGCAAGCATTTTGTTAGCCTTTATTGGTACTGTAGTTCATATTTAAATCTTTTATCTGTCATTTTCATTTCTTGGACAGGCTACTCTAATACATTTTCTCTTATTCTACAAGCAGTATAAAGTAAGTTTAGTGTGCAGTAAAACTATATTTGCCAAGAAAGATATTGGATGAGGATGTTGAGTTCTATTCACATGCACTATGTATGCCAGGACATATGGTCGAGAAGATAAAAGGAAATTCTATTGTACCTTAATCATTAAATACCACGTTTCTCACTGAGCAGCAGGGCAAAATACACGGAAAACCCATGGGTCATTGTAAATGGACAGATTCCTAAAACTGTAATTCTACCTTTTGAACAATAGAAAAATGAATTTCACCATCACTTAAAATTAATTTGTAAACCTGGGACTTTTCAGTCCAGTCTAGTTTCTTTCTTGATTACCAATGCAGTTGTAGTTCTGTTTCACCGTATTGAATCTATAAGTTAAAACCAATCATCTTACTTTGGTCTTTATTGTTAAAATGATATCTGATGCATCAGTGATTGAAATTTCAGAGTTAACAAGATAAAAATGGTTCAAATGTTGGCTCTAGCATCTGTTAGTACTTTACTCACTCTAATACATTTTCACCTGAGAAAAGAAAGAACAATTATGATAGCTGCCATATAAATGTATTTTAAGGGTTAAATGAGATAATCCATAAAAGTCCTTGGCAGATTGCTTAGCATATAGCAAGTGATCAATAAATGTTAGCTAGTAGTAGTAGTAATAGTAGTAGTAGATTAAGTACTTTTAGTAGTTTTTTACGTGGTTTAAGTGGTGGCATTTTGTGATTGAGATAAGCTGGTGATTTTAATAATATTTTAACTTATAAATGAGTAGTATTGAGATTTTAGAATAAAAAATCAGAAATATACATGATACCAATAACAAGCCCTCTTGCCCTCTGTCTTTCTCCCTCTTCCTCTTCCTCATCTTTTTTCCTTCCTTTCCTCTTCTAGAGTTTCGTAGCTATTCATGACACTTTAGTTTCCATATGAATTTTAGAATTTGTTAATATGCATAAGAAAAGTGTCAGCTATTTGAAAAAGATTGCAATGAATAATTAGATCAATTTTATGAGAAAGTTTATAAATTTTGAGCCTTTCAGCTCCATTATTGTGGCTTATTCCTCAGTTTAATTTGTTTAAAATATCTTTAAAATTTTATTTTGAATAGCAGATTTACTTATCTTTTATTAGTTTTATTAGTAATTTTTGATCATTGTAATGCTATTGTAAAAAGTATTTGTTTTTGTTATTTTTGTTGCCCATACACATATATATTGATATATATTTTCTATATATACCTATCAATTTTCTATATATTGGTACATGTGATTTTTCTATGCTAATCTTATCTCCATGAGCACTTAGAATGTCATTTATTTATGCTAATATATTGACTATAATATCTTTTGGGTTTTCTATGAAGACGAACTATTTTCTAAAATAATAACAGACTTGTTTGTCCTTTAAGTCTCTATATCTATAGCTCTTATTGTTTTCTTATGTTAGAGCATTGGTGGGACCTTCAAGTTTATTGAATAGATGTGTTGAATGAGTGCATTTTTGTCATTTTCACAATTTCAAAGAAAAGACTTTCAACCTTTCATTATGTTTGATGTAGATTTTTAAAAAACATGCTTTATGACAGCAACAACAGTGTTCCCTTTTCTAACTTATGTATTCAATTAATAATACCTGTTAATTTCATAAATGCTTTTCTGCATTTATTGAGATAATCATATGATATATCTCTTTAATTATGTTAATGTGGATATTGCTTGAATATCAGATTTTAAACTTAATTTGCAAATTATCTTTTGGATTTTTTGATCGTATTTATTTGCACATATACTTTGTTTTATTAGTTACTGCTCTTTAATATGCCCTATCTTATTTACCATTTTAATATAATTCTAGATTTGATTGGAAACTTTCTAAAGAGTTTTTGTGTCTATTTTCATTAATGATATTAAAATTTGTTTTTTTTTAGATTTTCCCAAAAATATTACAGTAGTATCCCAAAATGAGATGTTTGCTCTACTTTCTTTTTCTTATTTCTGAAAGTATTTATGGAATATTTTATGTTTTTCTATTTGATTGTTTGGTAGGCTGTATTAATAAAGCCATTTGGGCTGGAATTTTTCTTCATAAAATGCTTTTAATTAATGACTGAACTGCTCTATTAGTTCCACATATGTTGAAGTTGCATGCTATTATTTATGTCATATTTAGTAAGTGGAATTTGTCCATTTTATTTAAATATTCCAAATGTATTGGCATATGAGATTTTTTGTTTTTTACAAATAATACCCGTTTCTTTTATTTCTTTTTTAAGATTATGTTGTACAATAGACCTCTTGAACTTATTCCTTCTATTTTCTTATTAACTTCTAACACATCTTAGATGCTGTCTTCCATTGTACTCTTGACCTTGGAGTTTTAAAGAGTTCTCACCATTTTCTTGATCAGTTTGTGAGAGTTTTTTCTGTCCCTTGGTATTCATATCATAAAATGGGGAAAATAGTATTCATAGGAATAGTATAATGATTAAAGATTATTTAACATACAAAGAACTTAGTTCTTGGAACTTAGTAAGTTCTCAATATAGGTTACTTCATGACTAGTACTTCTATAATTATTAATTCTTCATCTCTTTCACAGTCTTACTAGGACCTTCTATAGCATAAGACAAAGAAGAATACATGTTTAAAAGAAATGCAACACATGGGTGCTGCCTGCAAATCAGAAAGAAGATAAAGCCAATTCACAAAGGAGCACCAGTGCCTTAGAAAGCTGTTTGCTAGAAAGCTCTTCAATAACTAGACTTTTCTATATTGAACCTGTAGACAATGAGATAAGACAACAGAATTTTGATGTGCCAAGGAAGTACAACAACCTCACTGTAGGCTGTTATGATAATGTGTACTTACCTCTTCTTAATTCTTTCTCACTATAGAGTGATAGCAGAAAAGAGAGGAAGATACCTGGAAGATATACCTAAGAAATACTTGGGAAGTATATGGAAATGGGTACTTTTTCTCCTCTTTGAACAATCAATTCATTCAAAACTCCAGTGTTATCCTGAGCTACTAGGAGAAGCGTTAAAAATAAACCTGATTTGATCTTAAAAAACAAGCAAATAAAAACAGACAATGGGACACTTTTTCTTAATAATAATTGAGACTTACCCTATGGAAAATGTAGATTTTAATACATTAAATTTGTTAGCAGGTATAGTTGATTAGATAGATCAACAGATAGATAAAGATAAATATTTTTTATGCACCATAAATGCACGCAAACATATACACATGCATATTTGGGATATCACAGCAATAGTATGCATCTTAGTCTAGTTTGGGCTGCTATAACAAAATATGTGGGACAGGGTAATTTATGAAGAACAGAAATTTATTTCTCATAGTTCTGGAGGCTGGGCAGTTTAGAATCAAGGCTCCAGCATTTGTTGTCTGGTGAGGGCTGCTGTCTGCTTCTAAGATGGTGCTTTGTTGCTGTGTCCTAACATGGCCAAAGGCAGAAAAGCAAAAAGGGCCTAGCTAGTTCCCTCCAGCCCTTATATAAGGCCTCTCATGCCATTAATGAGGGTTCTGCTCTCATGACATAATCACCTCTTAAAAGCCCTGTCTCTTAATACTGTTACCTTGAGGATTAAGTTTTAACATGAATTTTGGGAGCACATTCAACCATAGCAGTGTGAGAGGGAAGGTTAAATGTCTTAGTTAATGTTGATTTCTGTAACAAATAAAATCTTTAAAATAATAATAAGTGTTCATTTAGTATCACTTAAATTCAAAAAGCGTGTTTCTATCTTCAAATCAGTAATCAAAATTTCATATATCTTCTATGTAAAGGCTCCCTTTTGTCTTAGAAAATATTTTTTCCTTCTGGCCACTGGCTATCATCTTCTCGTATATTAGAAACACACCCTGGTTGCAATGGAATCTGCCCAAAATCCAGTCCAGTCATTGCCCCAGCTCAAAGTTTTAAGTCATTAGGTGATATATAGTCCTTTCCTCTTCCAACTGTTTGTATCCTGAAATTTATAAATTCTCTCTATTCTCTTTTTTATGTTTACAAATTGTCTAGTCAATGCTCGTGAATTTCCAGTAAAATATGTCTAAAGGTGAAAGTAAAAGCCAACATATATTATCACTTCAATTACTTCTCTTGCAGCTATAGGCAATGTGAACTGCCTCACAAGTCATGGCAGTAATACCTTTAATGTATACTGTATCACTACATATGATGGTTTTGCATCTCTTCGGCCTCCAATATGTTTCCTTGTTTTCATCTACCCTATTATGAAGTCAATATCACATATTTTAAGAGTTATTTTTATACCTTCATCTCATCTAGTTCTGCATTAGCCAAAGTAACATCAGAGAAATCAAATCTAACCCCTGTAATCTCTGTGGCTGCAGTCAGTAGAAGTGCCTTCATCACTTACATAAGGAGCGAAAGGATGGTTCTGGTCAATAGGTTGGTCTCTTCTTATCAGTGCTTCAGGGTCTCTTGTTACTTTCCTATGAAATCTCTACCATTATAGATATGGTGGTTTTCAATGGAAGGGCAAGTGAGAGAGAACCATACATGGGTAATACCAATGGGCCTTGCTAGATGTGGTACACATCATTTCCATGCATTTGATATCTAGAACCCAGTAAAGTGGTCACTCAATAACACAGCCATATTTAACAAAAAATAAAGGTTGTGAAGAATAGATTTGATATTTGTACAAGATAAAGATAAGAAGTGTTTGGTGAACCATTAGCTGCTGTCTTCACTTTTTTTTTTTTTTTCTGAGTTTGAGACAGAATCTCCCTCTGTTGCCAGGGCTGGAGCGCGATCTCAGCTCACTACAACTTCAGCCTCCTGGGTTCATTAGATTATCTTGCCTCAGCCTCCCAAATAGCTGGGATTATAGGCACATGCCACCATGCACAGCTAATTTTTCTATTTTTAGTAGAGACAGGGTTTCACCATTTTAGTCAGACTGGCCTCGAACTCCTGACCTCAAATGATCCACCTGCCTCAGTCTCCCAAAGTGCTGAGATTACAGGTATGAGCCACTGTGTCCGGCCCACAATAGGCTGTTAAGTTCTAGATATTTATTTGAGATGTGTAAGTTTTAACTTAGTGGCAATATCAGCTAGACTGTAGCTTCTGTAAAGGCAGAAATTGCATCTGACTTTTATATAACTATAATCCTAGCATTTAGCTTGTGCTATAAAATGTGCTATTTTTTTTAAAAAAAAGTAGTCATTATTTAAGAATATTCATAAAAGTGGCAAATATTTGGCATAGCTGCTTGTGAGGCAAAGGGAAGGGGATCAAAATGCATGTGAAAATAGATGGTTCATGGGACTAGGGATATCAGTAAGATTTGATGATGAGTAGATCACTGACATGGAATTAAAACTTACCTAGATGAGGACTGATGTTCATGAGATGAAAAGAATGAACAGGAATCAATTTGAAGAGACCCAAAAATCCATTTCTTTACTTGCATAGAATTTTGTGTGCATACTAATAACTATTTCTATATATGATTCCTTTATTTATTTGCTTTTAAAAATTATTTTGTAAGCTTTCTTCCAATACATAATTAAGATCACTTGAAGTTAGTGACGGTCATTTAAAAAATATCACCGGCTCATAATGGCTATTTCAGATGTGTGTGTGTGTATTACTATTTATATTTTCAATTTTCACACCTGTAAAATATACATGTAGGAGATAATTTGCAGCAATGTTAACTATTAAGGTAATATCTGTAAGATTTTGCTTGTACTACTCAACATAATACACACACACACACACACACACACACATATTGCATATGCAATGAACACTTTCAGTTGATTGAAAATTCAAAAAAATTAAAAACCATAAATAAAAAAAGAAATATTAAACTCACATTTTATTAGCATAAGGACTTGAAGAATGAGAAACTGTTAATTTTATAGTCATTGATAATTTTTATATTTCAGAAACAAAACATTCCCCTTTAAAATATACATAATGCAAAAATTGCACCATACAACATCAACTTGACATTTTTCTATACCCCAAAGTTCATTAAGTAAGTTTTATTGGAAAGCACAATCACTGCACGTGGTATGCTATAAGGTATCACAATGAACAAGGATATTGCACTTCACTGATTGAGATAGAGTCCCCTCATTAATGGGAAAAGAAGCAGTAATTTCATAGCTTTGGGAATTGTTGTAACATGGATAGCCTGATATTACAATTTTGTCATACATATTTTAGTGCATCTTGGCATCAAACACATTGTTTCATGTAGTAAATTCTTCGGAATACTTGACTTCAACAGAGGTGAAATGAAAAATGTACCTGAAGTCCAGAGTGTCTGCCATGTAATTAGTTCCCTTGCTGCTGGGATGGTAGAATGTGAAATTATGGCTCATATATCTGCTGAATCAGTCTTTCTGGTCCAATCTTAGTATTATTACTACTAATCCTTTTCTCTTTCCTTGGCTGTTCACAGTCCCATGAGGCTTTTCAATCAAGAGTCTCAATAAAAGACTGAGCAGCTCCACATGGCTGTGCAGCGGTGAATGTAGAATGGGTTATTGGGAAGAATATTCAGACAGAAGAGAACTAATAGATTCTGTGCCTTCAAAGGCTGTAATTTCAAGTGATAATTAGAGGACATCACAAAAGAGACTCATGTCCAGTGGTACAATATGCTCTACAATTGAAATTTCTCCTAAAATAAAGAATGAATCCTATCCAGGTTTTGGGAGAAAGAAAACAAAACACCATAAATCATCTTGACTTTATTTGCATCTTAATGTCAAAATCTTGCCAACAACTGAAAACGAATTCTTAATATGGATGTTTCAAAAGTCAAAAACAACAAAAAAAAGTTTTAATCGTTTTTTGGAAAAGTTTATGAGCATCTAACTCAGTGAAAGTTTATAGCTGTGAAATCAGACAGATGTGGTTTTGAATTCTGTCACCTAGATTGTATGTGAACTTGAACAAAAAACTTACTATTTATATTTTCCCTTTTCTCAACTGTAAAATACAGATGTAGGAAATAATTTGCCGCAATTTTAACTATTAAGATAATGTTTATAAGACTTTTGCATTTACTACTCAACATAGTGTAGCTGCTCAATGTATTGCAGGTATTTATTTTTATATATTTTAAATTCAAGTGAGACTGAAAATAATTTAGTAAATTCTACATGCTGTGAAACAATTTTTTGCCATGTGTGGTTGGGACTCTCTATTGCCTGCTCCTTTGCTCCTAAGAACATCTCATTTGGATTTTTTTTTTTTTTTTTGCACTGATCCCTGAACTGGGTTTCTACATCTTGGTTTACAAATTTGAACTGAAGACCTGTTTGAATTAGAACCAATTCCTTGAATCCTAGAGCAAGAGAAGTTGGAGTTTAACAACGAGAACACATGGACACAGGGAGGGGAACATCACACACGGGGGCCTTTTGAGGGATTTAGGGGTAGGGGAGGGATAGCATTAGGAGAAATACCTAATGTAGATGACGGTTTGATGGGTGCAGCAAACCACCATAGCACATCTATACCTATGTAACAAACCTGCACATTCTGTACATGTATCTCAGAACTTAAATTGTAATAATAATAATAATAATGTTGGAGTTCAAAACCCTGAATTCTGTTCATTACGGTTTGCTAGAATAGGATTTTTAAGCAAACAAAGCCGATATTTTTGAGCTACATGTAGTCTTATGATTCTCTTTTGTTTTTCTGACCCAGGTCTTTCTTCTAAAAAAGTGTCTGTTTTATCCACCTTATTTAGAGTAACTGTTTAATTTAGTCTCCCTGATTTAATAGTGGGACCACCTAATTCTTTTTTTTTTTTCGTATTTAAGTCAAAGATGGTGAGTTAAGGGTTAAGAAAAAAATACTTGTGTATTTTCTAGATTCTCGTGCTTTTGATAAACGAGTATTTTTTCTATATTAAAAAAATCATATTACTATGGTTTTATTTTCTGTGGCCTTAAGTTGAATGGTTAAATAATAAATATACATTTACTAGAAAAAATATGTTGGCTTTAAATAAACATAAACCAAATATATAGGATCATTAATATTCAAATTAGAATATGCATAGAAAAAATGTAGGTGGTGAAATAGGTGTTTTGCAATTTAAAAATGGTGAAAATTAAAAATATCTTCTTTTAAAAGACTGGCATGTAACCTATCACTGGGATTCTTATGAAATATTAATTGTGTACAGGTTGAGGGAGATATGCTGCAAAACAAAGTGGGTGACAGACATGCTTGTACTGCTTTGTCCTCACCAAAGTATTCCCTCTTGCCTTATAGCGTACATAAAATATTCTAATTTTATCTTATTGTCTGGCTCTTCTATAGAAATGCAGTAGTTTCTTCTGGTTATAAGATCATGCTTTTAAGATAGATCTAATTATCTTCCTTTTCTCTATTTTTTTTTCAAGTCTTTTCCCCTCTGGTATTCTATACCTGCCTGGAGACTATTGATAAACATAAAAAAATGTTTTCAAAAAGCAAAGCTAAGTTTATTATACCTACTGAAGGAAGCAAGAACTATCTTGAGAGTCTTTGTCATGTCTCAAATTGGGGAAATTAGGGAAGAATACGTGTTAAGTTTTAGGGCCAGAGAGGATCTTAAAAATCGGACAATTGGTTGGAAAAACTGAAAGTTTATGACAAAGTAGTTTTGGGTTGGTCAATTCAGTGAGACAAAGGTCTTGAACTGAGAGCTGTCATGATCAAGCTGTTAACATTAGAAAGAAAATGATTTCAATCATTTAAACTCACCACCTTCTAGGAGCAAACATTTTCTAAAGTAAGTAGTTAAGTTTTCTGTTGTTGTTGTACCAGTATTGTTTAACACATAAAAAAGAAAATTGCTATGAAGAATAAAGCAAATTAGTGTAACATGTCAAATACTTAGAGATATAATTATGGATCACTATGAAGTGGGCAGTGAGAGGATGCAAGACAAATATATTATGAATATTTTGGCTGTTAGATTATTTCACTGCTTGAGTGATTGAGAACAAGAAAATTAGAATAATTCTTTAGTCAAGTGGTTTTAGAGACTGAGAATTGGAAGAAACATTTACTCAGAGCTGATTTGTTTTGAAAGTGACAAAACCTATATCCACCTAGTTCACTGTGATGGTTAATTTTATGTGTCAACTTGACTGGGCTACAGGGTGCCCATATATTTCGATAAGTTTATTCTTGATGTGTCTGTGAAGGTGTATCTGGATAAGATTGACATTTAAATTAATAAACTGAATAAAGCAACTTTTCCTCCCCATTGTGGATGTGCCTCATTCAATCCATTGAGGGCCTGAATAAAAGAAAAAATCTGAGTAAGGGAATATTCACTCTCTCTGCCTGACTCTTTGAGCTGAGACATCCATTCATCTTTTTCTGCCTTTAGACTCAGACTCAGACTAGAACTTATACTGGTTCTCAGGCCTTTGGATTCATACTAGAACTATATTGTTGACTCTCCTTGGTCTCCAGTTTGCAGACTGCAAATACTGAGATATCAATATAGTGTAGATAGATATTAGCATTAGATATAGATACACATGTACACATATCTCATTGGTCTATTTTCCTGCAAACTCCTGGCTAATACAGATTTTGATAATGGGAGTAAAGTAATAGGCATTTTAGTCAACTCTGGCTGCCATAACAAAAATGCCATAGACTGGGTGTCTTGAACGATGGAAATTTATTTTTCACAGTTCTGGAGGCTAGGAAATCCAAAATTAAAGTGCCAGCAGAATTTGATTCTTGTGAGGGTTCTCTTCCTGGTTTACAGGCCTTCCCACTCATCCTCACATGGTGGGAAGAGAGAGAGAGAGAGAAAGAGAGAGAGAGGCACAGAGAGAAAGAGAGTACAAGCTCCCTGGTGTCTCTTCTTTGAAGAGTCCTAATCTCTTCATGAGTAGTCCACCCTCATGACCTTATATGAATCTAATTATTTTCCAAAGTCCTCATCTCCAAATACCATCACATTGGGGGTTAGGCTTCAACATATGAATTTTGAGGATGTAGTGCATTCCATAGCACTCACATAAGAAATTTTGTAGAACATAAGGTTAAAGAATATTTTCCTAGAAGCCCAAAAGAAGTATAATAAATTAAGCACATATGCTTCATCTGAACTCAAAAGCTATGAAAAACAGAAGATATTCTCTTGTCTCACTGGGATTCTTATCCTCTCACCTCAATTTATTTTATTCTACCTCTTCCATCATCCTCTTACTCAACATTACCTTATTTTGTTTTCCCTTGACAGGTTGAATATAACTTTCAAAAAACACTACCCATAAATATACAGTTTTCTTGTACTTACCAGAAAAATGAAACTGATTTCTCAAATTAATCTTCTATTTTGGAGTCATAAGTGTTAGAACCTATGCAGCCTGAAAAATTGAATGGATTTCCATATTGTGGTACCTTGGTGAAATCACCAGTGGTTGGAAATATGAGGTCAGATATTCCACCTAGACAAAAGAACTCAAGAGCTAAGCAACGAATAACAGATGTGCCTAATACAGATAATGTGCACATTAGTTTCCCTCTGATTGCAGATGTGAGAATAAATTTTACCTGGCAGAACATTATGGATTTGGAAGATCTTGCAGAGATCAGGTCCACACACAGCATGCACAAACTGTCAGAACTGAAGCAAACTCTTCAGTTCCTATCTAATACATTATGGGATACCTTACATTTAATCTTGTTCAATCAATTTATCTTATGGTTAAAGTAACTATCCCAGAGAAATAAAGTGTCTTACTTCAAGTTTAAGAACAAAATAGTGAATAAAATGAGATTAGAACCAAGATCACATGACATGTGGGATAACTCTCATTCCAGTATACCATGTGTGATGCTAAAGATCTTTTAGCCAATTCATATGTGTATATCCATGTGAATGCTTATGATGTGCATACACATGCACATGTGTGTATATATGTGTGTTTTTACATACACATTTCATTGGCCATTTTATAATTCTGATAGATTAGAGATTTAGATATTTAAAAACTATGCATACTAAATAAAATGTAAAAGCTTAGTTTTATCATCTTGTAATTGGGAGAGCACTCCAGGTATGATGAAAGCTTTGAAACCACATATCATTTGAGAAATTAAATCTTATGTTTTAAAAACTTTCATGGCAAAAGGAAAATAAACTGAATATAAATAAGCAATTAGAAATATAACAAGACAAAATTTTAAAGAAATATAATAAATATAACAAAGAAAAGTATTTCTAAATAGCTCCTGAAAAAAGGGTTAATAATAATTTTATATGTAAACTCTAATAAAAATACTAAATTCCATTTTAAAAAACTGGCTAAATGATGTGAATATGCAATCCTTACAAGAGAGTCAAATGGCCAGTATCTATAAAAAAGTGTTCTCATTTGCTGATAATCTTGGAAATGTAAAATAATAAAAAAGTTTTTTTTTTTTTGAAACGGAGTCTCGTTCTGTCACCAGGCTGGAGTGCAGTGGTGTGATCTCAGCTCACTGCAAGCTCTGCCTCCCGGGTTCACGCCATTCTCCTGCCTCAGCCTCCCGAGTAGATGGGATTACAGGTGCCCACCACCATGCCCCGCTAATTTTTTTTTTATTTTTAGTAGATACAGGGTTTCACCGTGTTAGCCAGGATGGTCTCGATGTCCTGACCTTGTGATCCGCCTGCCTCGGCCTCCCAAAGTGCTGGGATTACAGGCAAAAATATGTTTTTATCTATCAAATCAGCAAACAAATATAATACCCAGTATTGAAAGCATCACAACTTCATTTTTTTCCCAATTTAAATGCTACCTTATTTTAATGAGGGTTTTTTTTTTTTTTTTGCTCTGAATCTGCCTATTTTTGGACTTCATATGAATTAAACTATTTCTTTATATAGCTCTTTTTGGTAAACATTACATTGATTAGATTTATACATACTAGTGCATGTAATGCTATTTGGCATTCTGTTGAAATGTTAAAATCTATTTAAATTTCCAATGAGTTGTTTATGAATAGTTTTTTGGGTTACTTCTAATTATTTTGTTCTGAGAATAGTTGCAATGAACATAATTGCACTTTTTATTGGTAAAGAAGTGGATGGATTTCTATTGGGAATATCCATATAAGAAATTACTGTATCATTCATTTGTATAATTGAGTTTTAATGATTTCTGAAGTGGTTATACCAATTTTCACTCCTAAGAACAGTGTATAAAATTTCTTGATGTGTCACATGCCCTCCAAAATGTTTTTTTTTTTTAAATATTAGCAATCTTCCTGTGTATGTAAGGGTATTTAAACTTGGTTCTAATTCACATTTTACTGATTACTAAAGAGAATAATCATGATTTCATGACTTTATTAATCATTTAGTTAGACTCAGAAAATACTTGTCCAAATATCTTAACGATTTTTCTATTGGATTGTTTCTCTTCTAAATTATTCAGCACATGTATATCCATATCCATATCTTTCATCTACCCAGTTATCAATTGATGTATATATCTTTATATATATTTTTATATATCTAAAGAGATAGATATATTTATATATTTATTTATTTTGCTTAGTTAAAATACTTTTATTATATTTTATTATATTTGTATCTGATTATAGCTTTAATATACTTGTATTTCCTTGTATTTTACTTCCTAAATTTGTTGTTTGATTGAAATAAATTTGTATTGGTAATGCAATGTCACCCAAGTATATTTTTTCATCAACTTCCCCTTAGTTGGAAGCAAAGAAAGCCTGCAGCCTCTGTAAGTCTAGACAAGACAAGAAAAAGTATGATGGCTGGAGAAGCTGAAGTAGAATGAGGCAACATCTTAACCCACTGTCATAAACATTACATAATTTGCAATTACACAAAATGATATGACCATGTGAAATACTGTTAGTGCCTCTTCCGAGTCTTGGAAGGGGCCTATGTAAATGAGGAGCCCTGATGATTAAGCTTCATTAGCTCTATGGTTCATCTGCCTCTTCTCAACAGTAAATATATTTACTTTGTTATATCTCCCCTACCAGAATAAAAACTCTAGATAATAAGGAATATTTACCTTTTATCCAACTGTTGTATTCCCATAGCCTAGAAAAATATTAGACACAGAAGAGGCCCTTATAAACGTTGGCTAGAAGAATGAGTGAACATAACAAACAGTAAAAATAGGTATCAGGAACACAGAGAACCCAATGAATGAGGTGTTTAATGCCATTAAGAATTTTGTATCCAAGACAGATCATAGAGAAACTTATTATACTTTACGTTCTTTTGATATTAATAATATCATTTCACTTTTAGTCCTATTTTCCTCTTCTGCAAAAATGAGGTAATTGCACTGTATTAGTTTCTTCTTGTGCTGCTATGAAGAAATATCTGAGACTGGGTAATTTATAAAAGAAAGAGGTTTAATTGACTCACAGTTCAGCATGGCTGGAGAGGGCTCAGGAAACTTACAATCATGGCAGAATACGTCCTTCTTCACATGGCAACAGGAAGGAGAAGTGCCAAGTAATAGGGTAACCATGTCATGCACTAACAGCTAAGCCCTCTTTTAGCACTATGTTTCATTTTCTAAATCTTATTCTACCACCTGGGAGCTATGATTCTCCATTTCTTCTGGTGATAAAATATTTTAAGGACCACTGAAATACTTTATATGACACTGCAATAAAATTAAAAGTAGTGCATTTGAATAAGTATATATCAAAAAATTGCAGTGAGTGCTAATATATGTTAATTCCTCAATAAATGATAGTTAAGTTGGACATGTTACTGGACAAATGAGCCAAGTATAGTCAAGTAGTGTTTGATGCTCACCCCATAATGATGTTTAAAGTCATTGATAGAGTTTACAGTCCTTTCATCTGAAACAATATTGCAAGAAGGTTTTCCTGAAGGGCAGGGAAGAAAGAAGAGGAAGAAGATAAGTTTACTTCAGGTTTGAAAATTCATTTCCTGAAGCAGTCAGAAATAAAAGAGCACAAGTTAATTTAATACAGTCTCTGATCTATTTTCAGTCAGGTAGAGTCAGTTTATAAGAGAGTAAGGCAGGAAGAGGAAAAAAATCATTCAGACCAAGTTATGTTTTCTTTCTGCCTGAGGGATTGGGTTTAAGGAAACCCGCTGAGCATGTTTTTCTGTATGTAATACCTTGGAAAAGGAATAGGAGTAGGTAAAATGCAGGAATTATTCAGTGGAATTTTTATTGCAACATGAAATTAGCTCTCCAAATTAAGTGCTTTTTGGAAGTGAAACATTGCCCTATTGATGTAGAAGTGGGGGGAAGCGATATGCTTCATGCGAAAGTAAATTCTGGCTTAAAACCATTAGTCATGAATACCATTCCGGCGTTCAGTTTCAAATAATGTAGACTCTTCAGAGGTTGTCTTTATGGAGGAAATAAACATTTCTATAATAAACTTAATAGTTTTCATTGACCTCATTTAAATAACAATATGATTTACTTTAAAAGTTATCTTGAATAAAATTGAAACACTGTCTCCTATAGAGATAGTATTTCTTATACCTATTGAATGGAGTTGTCACTATCATTTTTTTAGACTCCATGTAAATACTGTTAATAGTCAGGATATTGGCATCAAATAGGGAAATACATAAAGAGTATTGTTCTTACAGCAAGAGTAAAGGCAGAGATTTTGTGAACCGATTTCAGCCCTTGAGCTAATATCCTATAGTACTCATAATCATTCTCAGACACCTTGAGTATGATAATATTTGGTTTGGTTTTGGTCTAAACTGTGATTTCTTGTTCTAAACTATGATTAATTCAACTATGATTGAATTAATTGTCTTTGAATCACACATTAAACAAAGTAAAATAAAAATTTAGCAATTATTTGTTAAATGGCAGTTCACTGCATATCTTTCCACTTCATGTATTTATTCATTTAATGGATATTTTTTGAATGTCTACCATTTGCAAGCTTTGGTCTAGGGCCCCAGTTGAACATATACTACATTGTTTCATTGTGTCTTCTATGTCCTCAACCTCATACTCCAGCCCAGTACTCAAATTCATGTTTCAGTTGTGTCTAAGCTGAAGCACCACCACTGAGATCTTAAAATACTTTTATTGCATTTAGTTAGCTAGAACATTTCAATTTTGTGTTTTATATATTTGAGTTTGAGTAGGTATTCTTAAATCTTATTTTGTATTATTTGAACAAAGTAAATATGATTATTATTATAAAATCTATGTCTAAAAACTTTAATATCTGTGGGTGTTTGTTCAGGGTTATCCAGAGGGACGGAACTAATAGGATATATGTAAATATGAAAGTGAGTTTATTAGGGAGAATTGGCTGACACGATCACAAGACAAAATCCCACAGTAGGCCGTCTACAAGCTAGGGAAAAATAAGCCAGTAGTGGCTCTGTCTGAGTCCAAAAGCCTCAAAAACAGGGAAGTTGACAGTGCAGCCTTCAGTCTGTGGCTGAAGGCCCAAGAGCCCCAACAAAGCACTGGGGTAAGTCCCAGAGTCCAAAGGCCAAAGAAGCTGGAGTCTGATGTCCAAGGGTGAGAGGAACAAAGGAAGCATTCCATATGGGAGAAAGAAGGTAGCCAGAAGACTCAGCAAGCCAGCTTATTTCATCTTCTTCCACCTGTTTTGTTCTAGCCATGCTGGCAGCTGAATGATGGTGCCTACCCACATTGAGGGTGGGTCTTCCTCCCCAGTCCATTGGCTCAAATGTCAGTCTCCTCTGGCAATACCCTCACGGACACACTCAGACAAAATACTTTACCAGCCATCTAGGCATCCGTCAATAGAATCGAGTTGACACCTAATATTAACCATCACAGTGGGCTTATTTGTTTTATTATTGGTTTTTCAATAATTTTTCATATCTCTGTGTTTCAGTTCTGTGTTTTGGGGGTGTGTGTGTGTGTGTGTGTGTGTGTATACACTGAGTGGAGGAGTGTATGTATGCTGAGTGTGGGGATAACTACAGGACTAGATAAAATAATTTTCTTCCAAAAATATGTACATTAAATTCTGCTGCTTTTCTTTGGAATTAAAAAAATCCGCCATACAACAATTCAATTTCAAGAGAGGAAATGATTACAAGCTGAGCTACAGTCCCTGTAAGGACCCATCTATTTGTGATTCTCACTTTTTCCTAGATTATAGGCTTTTGAGTACCAATCTGTAGCTGGGCTACATCCCTTTATTCCTCAGTTGTCATAAGTAAAGCTCTTTTCATTTTTAAAGTAGTCTTCCCCAGAATCAACACAGACCTCCAGGGGAAAAGCTACTCCCAAACCAGGCTCATCTCCCCAGGCTTTTGTCTAGCCCTGAATCTTGGTCATTTTTCACTACCTTGTTAGTTGTTTGCCTTTAAGAAGATAATTTTCATAATTTTTTACTGCATCTTTAAATTTTATTTTCATATTTCTTATTGCTTCTTTAAATTATATTCTGTTAAAATGTTGGTCTTTAATTACTTATTGGAGGACCTACTGAAACTCTCTTACCTCTTTATATATAGAGATAATAATTTTAAAATAAATTCTATTTTTACATCCCTTTAAGATTTACAGATAAAATGAGAAGATAGTACAGAGTTCCCATATATCCCACATCTATATTCCCCTGTTATTGTCTTATGTTAGTCTGCTACATTTGTTACAATTAATAAACCAATCTTGACACATCATCATGATCTAAATTTCATACTTTATTTAGATTTCCTGTTTTTACCCCTTGTCCTTTTTCTGTTCTAACATCTTATCTGAGATACCCCATTGCAATTAGTTGTCATACCGTCTTTGACAAGTCTTAGAGTTTCTTGATAGTTTCTCAGACTTCCATTGTTTTTGAATATTTTGAGAGTTTTAAAGAGTACTTGTCCAGCATTTCTTAGAATACTCCAATATTGGAATTGGTATTTTTTTTTCATAGTTAGACTAGAGTCATAAAATTTGGGAAGGAAGACCACATAAAAGTGCCATTTTCATTTCATCATATCAAGGGTACATACTATTAACATGATAAACCGCTGTTTATGTTGACCTTGATCACTTGGTTGAGGCAGCATTTTTCAGCCTTTTTCACTGAAAGTTTATTCTTTTCACCCTTTCCATACTGTAGTCTTTGGAAGGACATCGTCACACTTAGAGTATGAAGAAATAGGCTCCAAATCCTTGAGGTCAAAGTCTCTAGATAAATTATTTGGAATTCTTCTGCATGAATAATTTGTTACTTTATTTGGTTATGTTGCTATAGATTTATGAATATTTAAACTTTGGGTTATAGTTCAATGCTTCTTTATCTATTTTGTACTCAAATTGTTCCGGATCAGGCCTTTGGGAGTTATTTCCTAGGTCCCTTTGACATTCCCCCATCAATGTAAATATACTTTGGAGTGCTTCCTTATTTATGGCACTACAAGATGTTTCAGCCTTATTTTGTATATTTCCTGTTCCTGTCCTAGCATGAGTAATTTCTCTAAGTATTCTGGTTTCTTTATTTAGAGAATGAAGAAAGCAGTCTTAGCATTAGATGGGCTTGATGATACTAGCCCATCATTGCTTCTAGAACCTCTAAGCTGACAGAACAAGGAAATATATGTGTTTATGCTAACCCATATATATGTACATATCTAGAAATTAATTTATATGTAGTCATTTATATTTATATTAAGCAAAGGCTGAGTTCATCTTGATGTCTCCAGCTGTAATCCATTATCACATGGATCATTCCAGTCTTCTTTTTTTATTTTTTATTTTTTTTGAGACCGAGTTTCAGTCTTGTTGCCCAGGCTGGAGTGCAAAGGCACGATCTCAGCTTACCACAACCTCCGCCTCCCGGGTTCAAGCAGTTCTCCTGCCTCAGCCTCCCAAGTACCTGGGATTACAGGCATGTACCACCACGCCTGGCTAATTTTGTATTTTTAGTAGAGACAGGGTTTCCCTGTGTTGGTCAGGCTGGTCTCGAACTTCTGACCTCAGGTGATCTGCCCGCCTCATCCTCCCAAAGTGCTGGGATTACAGGCAGAAGTCACCACGCCCAGTGGACCATTATAGCCTTCTTCTCTGGCTTATCAGTAAACTGACACCCCAACAGTGAGAAACTTGGCGTCTGCCACCCACCATTCATTTACTTAAATTTTCAATTTCAGTATACCTGTATAATCTCTTGATTTATTTTTAAATTTTATTATCTTAGCAATTCATTTTTATCCTTTGTACTACTACAGTCAACTTAAATAGTGGACAATTAGCTACAGAGACAAGATTTTAAGTGATAAATTTTGATTTTCACCCTTAAGAAAATAATTCATTCTTCACATATATGCATTAGTGCACGTCAAAATTTTACAAAACATAGAAAGCCAAATTAGTGTCGACAGGATTGTTGATAATCAATAAAGGGCTTAATAGAATACAAAATATAATTTGAAAAATTTTTTTTGCATGTTACATTTTTGGAGATCTAGAGATAGTCACATGTTATATTAATAAGTAGACTCAAAATTTAATCTTAATGTTTCATTTACAGAATCCAAAATTTAAAAGCATAGTCAGTAATAAAATATTTTTCACTACAGCATAGAGCTAAATAAAAATACACTAGTATAAATGTATTTCTACATTGGGAGTCATTTCATTAAAATCAATTATTATCTATTGAGCAATGGACAAAAATCCATACAATGAAATTATCAACCAAAACAAAGCTAAAATATCTATATTAATATAAGACAAAGTAAACTTCAGAACAAGAAATAATATCTTATATCTTGGCATGGAAGAGGATATTACCTGTGTGGGTGCATTGGATCATGCCTTAATCACAGCTCTTGGGTGGCTGAGGCAGGAGTATGAGACCATCCTGGGCAACATGGTGAGACCCTTTCTGTGCTTAATAAATAATAATAATTTTAAAAATAAATAAAAAGAAAAAAGGAAAGGACATTATCTGAAAAGAATGATTCTACAAGACATATCAATCCTAAATGTGCATATTTCTAAAAACAGTGTCCAGACACATGAAGAAAAAAAGAAAGAAAAGAGAAAGAAAGAAGGAAAGAAAGAAAGAAAGAAAGAAAGAAAGAAGAAAGAAAGAAAGAAAGAAAGAAAGAAAGAAAGAAAGAAAGAAAGAAAGAAAGAAAGAAAACCAAAAAGTTATATAGGTAAATCCATAGCTTGAAATTTCAACAGAGCTTTCTCAGCAATGACAGAACAATTACACAGACATATTCAGTAACGTTATAGATGACCTTTATAAAATCATCAGAAAACTTGAACTAATTGACATTTATAGGACATTCTACCCAACAACAGCAGTGCACATGGAACATTAAACACTATACATCTTGGCCACAAAACCAATTTTATTGCAAAGGTATCATGCAAAGTATGTCTTGAGCCATAATAGAAGTAAATTAGACATCAATAATAAAAAGATATTAAAAATATCCTAATATTTGGCAATTAAAGAGCATAATTCTATATAACTCTGGAGTCAAAAAGAATACGTAAAGAGAAATTTAAAAGTATTTAGACCATCATAAAAATGAAAATACAACCAATCGAATATATGGGATGCAGCTTACATTCTGTTGAGAGGAACATTTATAGCACTAAATGTTTTTTATTAGAAAGAAGACAGTTTTAAAATAAGTAACATAAGCATTCATCTTTAAAAAACTAAGAGGACAACAGGTTAAATCCGAAGCAAACAGGAGCAAGAAATTAAATATGAACTAGAAATCATTAAAAATTAAAAAAGAAAAAGAATAAAGAAAATCAAAAAGCGCTGATTTCACCACTGTGCAATATATTCATGTAACAAAATTATACTTGTGCCCTACAAATTTATACAAATAGAAAAAGGGGAAAAATCAATCAAATGAAAAGTTGGGCCCAGTGTGGTGGCTCACGCCTGTAATCCCAGCACTTTGAGAGGCTGAGGCAGATGGATCACGAGATCATGAGATTGAGACCATCCTGGCTAACACTGTGAAACCCCGTCTCTACTAAAAATACAAAAAATTAGCCGGGCGTGGTGTCGGGTGCCTGTAGTCCCAGCTACTCGGGAGGCTGAGGCAGGAGAATGGCGTGAACCTGGAAGACGGAGCTTGCAGGGAGCAGAGATCACGCCACTGTGCTCCAGCCTGGGCGACAGAGCAAGACTCCGTCTTAAAAAAAAAAAAAAAAGAAAGAAAAAAAGTTGGGTATTTGAAAATATTCATAACATTGATGAATTCTTAGCCAAACTGACCAAGAGAAATAATCAAAAGACTTACATCTCTAATAGCAGGGAAAAGAAGAGACACTGCTAGTGAACCCATAGACATCAAGAGCAAAGTAAAACAATTCCAAAAACAACTCGATGCCCTCAAATTTGACAATTTAGGTAAAATAAGTGAATTTCTTAATGTATACATGCTACCAAAGTCATGTAAGACAAAACAGATAAACTGAATAAGTCCTACATTTATTTTTTAAATTATCAATAACCACCAAACTCTTTAAAATATATATATATTACACTTACACTTTCAGGTATCATTTGGACAATAGAGGCAATTCCTTATATGTGTAATTTGTATTATAGCTTACACTGTCATGTAGTAAAACTACCTTTTTCTAGTGCACAGTTTTATGCATTTTAACAGATGTATAAATTTGTATAACTACCATCTCGGTGATGATACAAAATAACCTCCCTTTTGCTGTCCCTTTTTGTCATATCTGCCCCATGATTAACTCTTGGCAACCTCTGATTTTTTTTTTTTCCCATTACTATGGTTAAGTTTATTCAAGAATATACCATACATAAGATCATAAGTTTTGGTATCTATGGCGAGGGCTTCTCTCATTCAGCTTAATGACTTTAAGGTTTCTGCAAGTTGTTGTGTATACCAGTTAATATGTTTATAACTGACTTGTATTCCATTGTATGCATCTTCAACAGTAATTTTATTCATTTATCTATTGTCTTAATCAGTTCATGCTGTTCCAAACGAATACTATAGACTGGGTGGCTTAAACAACAATTTATTTCTTACAGTTCTGGGGGGCCACAAAGTCCAAAATTAAGGCACTAAAAGATTTGGTGTCTGGTAAGAGCCCACTTCCTGGGTCCATAGATGGCTGTCTTCTCACTGTGTCCTCATATGGCAGAAAGAGAGCTAGAGAACTCTCTGGTTGTCTCTTTTATAAGGACACAAATATCTCTGGTGACAATCCACCCTCATGACTTATCTCCTGCTATGGCTTGAATGTGCCCTCAAAACGTTTACCTGTTGCAGACTTAATCCCCAATGCAATAGTGCTGGGAGGTGTGGCCTAATAAGAGGCGATTATGTCATGAGGGTGGAGCCCTTACGAGTGGATTAATGTCAGTATTGGCAAGAGTTGGTGGTTAAAATGAGTGTGGTTCCTGATACCTCTTTCTACCTCTTGTGCTTGCTTTCACCTTCAACCCTTCCACCATGGGATGACCCTCTCCAGATGCTGAATCCATGTTTTCAGACCTTCCAGTCTCTGGGAAACATGAGCTACATAAACTATTCTTTATAAATTACCCAGTCTGTGTTATTCTGTTGTAGATGCATAAAATGAACTAAGAGATCTCAAAAAGGCCCCACCTCTTAATACAATCATATTAGGGGTTAAGATTTCAAAATATGAATTTGGAGTGGGGGACACACTTAGTTCATAACACTCATTGAAGAAAATTTGAGTTGTTTTCAGTTTTACATTTATGTAAAAGATTTTGTGTAAATATAAGTTTTTATTTCTCTAGGGTAAATACCTAGGAATGGAATTACTTGGTCATATAATCAGTGAATTGTTTGAATTTAAAATAAATTGAGACTGTTTGCTGGAATGACTGTAGGGTTTTATATTCTGACTAGTAATATATGGTATTTCCATTTGCTCTGCATCAATTACAGTACTAGATATTGTTGACTTTAAAAAAAAATAGCCATTCTCATATGTACATGGATTTAGCTTGCATTTTTTGTTGAAGATCTTTTTCTGAGATTTTTGTATCATCCATACATCCTCTTTACAAAAGTCTTGACAAACGTTTTACTCATTTTTTAAATTTGGCTACTTGTTTTCTTACTGTTGAGTTTTGAGAGGTTTTTTTGTATAGTTTGATGCAAATCCATTGTTGGATATATGACTGAAATATTTTCTCCAAGTCTGAGTTTGATGAAGTCCAATTTTTCAGTTTTTTTTTCTTTTATGGATTTATTTTGGTGACACTTTAAAAAATTCCATGCCTAATTCCAGTTCATAAAGATTTTTACCTGTTTTGTTTTCATAGTCTTACAGATTTATGTATTACATTTGGATCTATGATCCATGTGTAATAATTTTATTTTTAATAATGTATGAGTGATATGTATCTATATATATATCAATGCTTTAAAAAATATATAGGTACACCCATTGTTCTATCACCATTTGATGAAAGGACTATTATTTCTCCACTGAATAACATTGGGGCAGGAGGAATTTCTCTGTAGCTGCTGAAGAGTATGAGAAAGCAGACAAATGAAAGAAATCTACTCATGCACCCCCCATAGACACCCAGCAAGTTATTCCTTGAAAGGTGACCTAGGCAGACGATCCCATTTTCTACAACATCCCCTAAATTCTTCTTCCTGTCATTTACATTCCACCATAGAACCTCTTATATAACCCCTTTCATTCTATAAAAATACAAAATTATTTCCATGCTAAACTGAAATTTTCAAAAGTTACAGCTTGGCATTAATACGTTGGAGTAGGGGTAATCAGCAGCTGAGTATGTGTGATAAAGTTCATCTCTCATGTGTTCCAGGCTTCTTACCCTCATAGAGAACACAACATGGCTTAATATCTTAATAGACTATTCTGCCATGCTCTTTCATTGGTAAACAATCGGACTTGAAAAATCATTGCTTACATTCTCTGCCTGTGTTACTACATCCTTTCCCAACCACGGAGGAGACATCTTTCTAATACGTACATCTTGTCCTGAATCAGTTTTCCACCAGCACAAATATTTCCATGTGAAAGCCAATAGGGGTGTGTGAAGGACAGTCTCTTAAGAATATCTAAGGGCAGTATATATTAAAAATCAATCCCTTCCTTTTTACAAAAGAAGATTCTATGGAAAACTTTCTTTAATCAAAAATTTATTTTAGCCCAGAACATTAAGCCTGGGAGAAAAAATATTTTGGATCTGGAGAATCATTTAATTTGCATTAACTAATTTGAAGAACAACTATTTTTGGCTTAATGTCAACTAAATCAATACTCATTCTTATTCAGTATACAGAGCTCTTCCCATGATCCAAAATTTTAGTGTGTTTCCCTCATCTTCGAGGTAATTGCCTTACTCTATGGTCTCAGGAAGCAAGATCTCAGATATGAAGAGGCACCCTCCATTTTTGTTGCTGCCCTCTGCCTGAAGCCTTTATCTCTTCTTTTCAGGATACTGAATGTCTGTTGATTTAAAAAAAAAAAAAAAAAAAAAAGAGAGAGAGAGAGAGGAGATAGAGCCTGAGACTAACTTCCTTTTGGATCGAGGTTGACTTCATTTCTTTTTATTACTTTGATTTTCTGAGGCTCACTGTCAGCCATTTTAGAGGTCTCTCTAGAATTCCACCAATATGCAGTCCAGAAATGTTTAAAGAGACAAACTTGTCTTCACTTCACACTGGTTACCATACATGTCAGGCTTCATGTTCAAACCTGCATTACCCTTGCCAACACAGTTCTGTTGTGAACATATCAAGTTTGGACTTAAGTATTTTTGTCTTATATAGAAGATTCAGTTTTCAGTCTCCGGAGATGCGCCATGTACCCCTACTGGTTTAGGGTCCTCAGAAATCCAACGTTCTCCCTGGACTCTCAGAAGCAACTCAAATTCATCTTCTGGTATTTCTGCCATTAAGCATATTTCACTCCTCTAACCTGACAAGCAACTAGGTACATACTTGCCACTTATCTCTTCCACTATAGTTTCCTCTCAAGGTCTAGAACTCGTTAAAGACATGTAGCAACAGTGCTCTGAGGCAAAAAAAAAAACAGAGCCGTGTGAGGACAGAAAAAACTACCTTTCATTCTGCTTTTCTCCAGAGAATCTGAGATGGAAATATTGTTTGTAACAGATTTTACCATTTTCTCATTATAATTGATTGCTAAAATAATTTTTCTGTAGCTCACCTTTCTTCTGTCTTCACTATACACTTATCACTAGTTATCATTTAATTCTTCATCACCACCATTACTAGAATGGTTACTATATACCTCTTACCTTACTAAGTGGTTTTTATTTATTTTAATCCTCATAACAACTCTATGAGTTAAATTTGACTATTATTCCCATAATAAAGATAAGGAAATTGAGGACAAGAGATTTGAGTTGCTTATCTAAGATTACGTAATGAATATGTAATACAAAAAGGAGTCTGTGCTCTCAGCCATTGCAGCAGATTGCATTTTTACACCCTAATTTTTAGCGAGTCACTAGAAGGGAATTGAACAAAATTATGAATTCAAGAACAAGACAAACTATGCTTATTACTGAGGACCTTTATTTATTTTTATTTTTATTTATTTATTGATATATTCATTTTTTGAGATGGAGTTTTGCTTTTGTTGCCCAGGCTGGAGTGCAATGGTGTGATCTCAGCTCACAGCAGCCTCCACCTCCTGGGTTCAAGCAGTTCTCCTGCTTCAGCCTCCTGGGTAGCTGGGATTACAGGCATATGCCACCATGCCAGGCTAATTTTATATTTTTAGCAGAGACGGGGTTTCACCGTGTTGGCCAGGCTGGTCTCGAACTCTTGACCTCAGGTGATCCACCCACCTTGGCCTCTGAAAGTGCAGGGATTACAGGTGTGAGCCACCACGCCCGGCCTGAGAACCTTTGAATGAATGTATACTTTAATTCTGTTACTGAACTGTGATTAAAAGATCCACCAAAACTGTTCAAATGAGATGCAAATAAATGCTTACTAAGTTTATAAAGCTGGAACAATGACCATCAGATGAAACCAACCCTATCTCGTCTGCATCTTTGTACCCAAGTCCTTAAGAGAAGAGTTATCCTCGGCTGTATTCACAGGAAAGTAATTATCTAGGTGCTTGCCAGTAAGCTGGGAGCTGAGGAGAATCATGAAAGAAAGTTCCCCCCTCCTTGGCTAGGGAGCATACCTTGTTGCCCTCTGTAAGCTATGAACAGAAACACAAGTTCCTTACTTCCCCTGTTATAATTTGTTTTTTAGATAGAAGTATTTATTAAAAGTTTTAAGAACTTTGGACACCAACCAGAAGGCTTTCTTGTAAACATTCTATTATTAAGCTTCCCCAGCTGCATGTTAAAACCTTTGTGGTCCACAGAGGTATATCTACGTTCCAGCTGCACTAGGTAACAACAGTGGCAAATTTTGAGGTTTAATTAAAGAATACTTATCATAGATGCATGGTACGAGAATGTTGGATGACAAAACCCTGGTGTTGTGAAATTAATTGTATCACCATAGTGGACCCAGTGCATGTGGAAAACTTGAACCCAAAGAAACAACTCATTAATCTTCACAAGCTCTCCCTAGGTAAAGGAGTTATTTTCTGCATTTACAACAAGCTTTCAAAAGGTAACCTTTGAGGGATTTTCCCCCCTCCTTATATCAATTGTTTATGCTGCAGAAATAAATTAAAACTAAGAAACACTAAATGTTAACAAATGCAAAACAATTTTAGTTAGCTCCATTCTTCAAATACCTGCAAAAATACTTTTCAAAAAAAGCTTTTGTACAGTTTTCAGCTATTATTTATTTGGCATAAACAATGAGCCATCCACACACTGAGAGTCTTACCTGTGTTATTTTTTAATAGCATAACATTTCTACTTTTTGATGCCACTATCCTTATTCTGTAGATGGAAAAACTGAGGTATATATATTGGCTATGTAACATACTCAGTGTTAGTCAATAGCTGTGGAATCTGGTTATGAATTCAAGCTCTATTAGTTAAAACTCACTGTAAAACCCAGAGTTGTAAACAAAACAAACAAGCAAACAAACCAGCAATATTTCCAGGAGAGAGAAAATGCAAGAGAAATTTGATGAAGTATTAGTGATTAGATATTTAAAATGCTTTTGTTTCAGGTGATGGCCTTGTGGCTGAAATTATTTTAAGTTTTTCTCCTTAAGAATCTCTGAATAATGTTTCAATCTAATTGTAAACACAATAAGATAACAACATCTATTAAAAACAGCTATGTACTGATGAAAGTATAATTTTAACTTTGATAACTATTATAATTGATAACACATTATCTCTGGACAACTAATAACACATAAAGAAGATGTAAAAATTGTGAGAGACGAGGTCAGGAGATCAAGACCATCCTGGCTAACACAGTGAAACCCCGTCTCTACTAAAAATACAAAAAATTAGCCAGGCGAGGTGGCGGGTGCCTGTAGTCCCAGCTACTTGGGAGGCTGAGGCAGGAGAATGGTGTGAACCCAGGAGGCAGAGCTTGCAGTGAGCCGAGATCGAGCCACTGCACTACAGCTGGGAGACAGAGCGAGACTCCACCTCAGAAAAAAAATTGTGAGAGAAAGCATGTTTTGGCAATTATGTTTTTTTCACCTGTGTATAGAGTTATGGGAATTTAAATTCAATGGAATCCTTAGCTTCATACAACAGTTAAGCTACTACTAATAGTGAGATATCTATCTTCTATTTCCTATCAGCTTCTTTGTACTTAGCATTTTTCTTAGTTACCGTATACAGAATAGTTACTGAGATCACAAATATTAGACTCAAGAGCTTATGATTTCTAGGAAAATAGAGGTATGATAGCCCATAGCTCATAATCAGGGCTGACATGCATCAAGTTTGCACCAAGATATTTTTAATAGTTTTCCATAGGGTCCATTCGGATTGGTCAAGCCTATGTTTTATCTGCTATTAAATATTGACTACTTCTGCTTATGATTAAAATAATATAAAAAATACCATGCAAATAATTAAGACTCTCCAGTACAGCAATTGCTGTAGACCTCTGTCATAATAATTAAGATATATTAGAAATTTTGCATCTACTTTTTTCCTCCCTATAATACTAGGAGCTTTCTGTAGATAGACAAAATGCCTTATCAATGTTTTTGTTCTTATAGACTTACACAGTGTTTATCATATAGTTAGTATGTGTTCCATAGGCATACAATGAAGTGAACATTAAACTACACAAAATTCAAGCCTGCTGTAATCTTATCTCTAGGAATAATGATTATTACAATTCTATATTTTTATGAATATCAGAATTGCCAGAGTGAGTTAAAATATTTTTAAATGCTAGTCAACCTTTATTTTTAGCTTCTTTTTTGTACTTGTGAATCCAATTTGAGAGCATTATGAGCTTAAGGGAAGGTGTTTATACAGAGGTAGTATCCTGATAATAAATTTCCTAGCATAGCAATGAGTCTTTAGTATGCTGTAGTAAATACTTATAATAGTATGCTGATTGTGGTACTGAATTTGACCCTATATTCTAATCTCCCTTTTCCAATTTCTTTCCATTTTCTTTGTGTCATCAGTCTTTGATCAGTTACATTTTCAATAAACGTAACATTTATGATTTTTAAAAACCTTACCCGATTTAACTATGGAATTTATATATGACAATACAAAATATGTAAGGACAAGGCCTTTGTCCTATTCATTGCTGTATCACTGAGAGTTTATGAAACATTTGGCACATGGAAGGTGCTCAATGAATAATTGATTATAAAAGTCTTCTACCAGTTTTTCTTGTTAAGATATTAATGAGATTCCCAAGAAAATGGTAACTGATTTCACAAATTCAAACTTAGTTATTCTGGTCAGGAATGTGTCTCTATACTTCCCCAAACTACTGTTCACTTCCCTCTAAGTCACTCTCTGTCATCTTGAAACTGACGTCTGTTAAGTTGATGCTACTTTACCTCTTCACCCAAATTATGAGCATAGACATAGTTTCGAATCTGTGTCCTAGATATGGAGAACTTCATGTTGGTACACACCTTCAGAATTACCTTTTTAGCCTCTGAGTTTTAAATAAAATTTATCGAGCTGCTTCTGTATATTTACACAAAAAAGGGCATATACTGTGTAATAAAATTCCATTTATTTAAATTGTTTATTAGTTAAATATAGTGCCCTTGCATCCAGGGAAGCAATGTGAATCACAAAAATACCAAGCCATAGTGAAGACAAAGTTATTAAGCTTGCAGTCACCTTGAGATCACAACTGTAGAGAAGAATGGGGGCTCTTGAGCTGGAAGATGAAACATGTTACTTGCCTTAAAATTCTTTCTTATTATATATTTAACATATAATCAAGAAATAACCATAAGTATACTCAGTCATGCAACCGAAACCGCTGCTCTGCTTGTGGAGTAGCCATTCTTTTGTTTCTTTACTTCTCTAATAAACTTGGTTTCACTTTATGGACTTGCCTGGAATTCTTTCTTGCACCAGATCAAGAACTCTGTCTTGGGGTCTGGATCGGACCCCTTTCTAGTAACAGTACTGCCACTGTTGTCATCAGAAAAAGCTTTATGTACAGAAAGATGTCAAGCTCATACTGGCTGATACAAAGTTTGAAATGTATTACTGGCAATATATTCTCAGTCGTTTACTTGAAATGATGGACTCATTTCATTCAACTTTTAATAAAATGTCTGTTCAATATGCAGGCCTGTGTAGCTACGGTTTGTTAACAATTATTTCAAGAATTCTATTCCATGGAAGAAGCAGCTAGTTCAGCTCTTAACTCAAATAATTGCCTAATTGGTTTTCTTTGGAACTGCCATCATACTTCAGTGTGCAGCAGAAGTGCTGTGTGCCTACACCCAGAACATTGATATGTACACAAGGATTGAGGTTTAATCAAATAACACAGTTTTTTTTTTTGTTTTGTTTTGTTTTTTTGATGGAGTCTCACTCTGTCTCCCAGGCTGGAGTGCAGTGGCACGAACTCGGCTCACTTCAACCTCCTCCTCCCAGGTTCAGGCCTTTCTCCTGTCTCAGCCTCCCAAGTAGCTGGGACTACAGTCTCCCGCCACCACGCCTGGCTAATTTTTGTATCAAATAACACTTTTAAATAATTCATCAAGAATATTCTTAAATAAAAGTGGTATTTTATTTTTGTGAGCATGAGGTGGTAAAGAACACAATGACTACCAGTACAGTTTTAGGCCTACACCATGATTTATGCTAATATGTCAGTAGTTTTACACAGCATTGCTTTTGCTCCATTGTGTAAATTGCTGCACAATACAAAAAAATCAATAAATAAAAAGCAAAAAAAAAAAGTCTTAGTATGCATATAAATAAATTATAAACTTGGGGCCATTATAATGAAAACAACTCCAGGAATTCCAGGGGTCCACAGATTGCGCTCTGAAATCTCCTGCTGTAGATGACATATTGATGGTGGCTTTGTAAAGAAGACAGTGTGTTTCAAAGTAATATAAAATTTTAAGACAGAATCTACTAAATGGCCGTTTTTAGTCTCAACGTATCAAGGGTTTAACAAATTTTGAAGTTAACAATGAGAAATAGTGACAATTTTGGAAAAGTGAGTGAATTAAAATTCCAGGAAGAAGTTTAGCAAGTAACCGGAGGAAGAAACCAGGAGAATCACTGAAGAAAGCTGCTCATTTTAAAAGTCGAAGAAAAGAAACCAGTGCCTCCAAAATTCTAAGCACTTTTCATATAATTTCTTTAAGCAAACTAATCGTTATCATTTACTTGTATCATTGCTTTATAAAATAATTATTTTGCTTTGTTTCATTTTGCTTTCCACAATACAGAAAATCATTTCATTATTTAGTACTACTTAATGTTGTCCACCATATACTATTGAAATTAAAAAAAATCTATCACATGCATCCAAATATTTAAAAAATTTCAGAAAAGCATTTTTATAGAAGAGCTGCATTGGTGATAGGTTGCTTTTTTCTCTTCCTTCCTGCATAATAGCCAAGTCTTATTTTGATACATCATGGATGTTTCATGTCATTGAATGATCTCCATCATCCTTTCTTATGACATCATATAATTTTATTTATAGACATAATATATATTTTACCTAAATTACAGTTTGAATATATTTTTAAATAAACAATGAACAGATAATTTACGATAGAAAAAGTACAAATTTTCCACATACATGAAATCATACTTAACCTGACTGAAATTCAATAGAACACAAATCAAAACAGTAATGAATTCTATTTTTCTTTATATGAACAACTTTTTTTTTAAGCCATAAAATTTATTGTCAAGGAACAAGAAGAAAATAAGGACTCTCATAAACTGGTTCTAAGAATATAAAATTTTACAACCTTTCTAGAGGGCAGTGTTTTGTATTTTGTGATGCATATAAAATGTTAAGATATACTTAGCTTTTCATTAGTTCATTGAATAATTTCTCAACAGATATGTATTGTTATGCTATGATTTTGTGTATATATGTATACAAAACTATATTGTTGCTGCCCTAATGCATTTAAAGTCCTGTATAAAAACATGTCTGTGCATAACTATATAATACAAATCATTTTGAAGGATGCTCACATGTTGTCGTAATGGAGAAGAGAACAGAGAACAGAGGTACCTCTTTAAAGAAGATATTCAAGGCAGGTCTGAGACCTGTAAGAGGGGAAGGAGCCAGCCATGGTAAAAAGCCTTGGAAAAAAATTCTAGCCAGAGGAGACATTAATGCAAAGTCTCTGGGGTAGAAGAGTTTCCAATCTTTGAGAAACTAAAAACATAATAAGCTTTGGAAAATATGCAAAAGTGAAAGCAAATATAGGCCAACAGAAAGAGCTTGGGCTCTATTCTAAGCCCTGTGCAGAGCTGAGGTCTTTCTTCTACTTGGCCTTCTTCTTGCTTCTGATGTTCAATTGTTCCCCAAGTAGGAATGAAAAAAGTCCCTCGCTTTTCTAAGGGTTCAAGCAGTTTAGTTGTCTGACAGGTACAGTGCTTTCCAGATCTGGTCACATGACAGGCAGATCTTGCAGGAATTCTCTGCTTTATCCCTGCCCATATAACAATTTCCCTGTTAATGATACACCCAGACTGTGCTAGTATTATTTGCATCGCATCCCTATGGAATTATTTTCTTTTACAAATTTATAGAGATGGCATGATGCAGAGCAGATCTGAACTAGTTTGCCACATATTCAATCTGTGACTTTCCGGCGTGGCTGTCATGGGAGTGCACCATGCACAGTGCCCTTTGAGAGAACCTGCTGCTCCCTTTCAAAGGTCTTCAGTGCATCCTTAGTGTCAGGCCTCTGAGCCCAAGCTAAGCCATCATATCCCCTGTGACCTGCAAGTATACATCCAGATGGCCTGAAGCAAGTGAAGAATCACAAAAGAAGTGAAAATGGCGGGTTCCTGCCTTAACTGATAACATTCCACCATTGTGATTTGTTCCTGCCCCACCTTAACTGAGCAATTAACCCTGTGAAAGTCCTTCTTCTGGCTCAGAAGTTCCCCCACTGAGCACCTCGTGACCCCCGGCCCTGCCCACAAGAGAAAAACTCCCTTTGACTGTACTTTTCCACTACCCACCCAAATCCTATAAAACGGCCCCACCCCTATCTCCCTTTGCTGACTCCTTTTTTGGGCTCAGCCCGCCTGCACCCAGGTGAAATAAACAGCCTTGTTGCTCACACAAAGCCTGTTTGGTGGTCTCTTCACACAGACATGCATGACACTTAGGTTTTGATTCTTTGTTGTTGTTCAGAGTAAAATATACAAGAAGAGATAAAGAAAATGTCAAAAGATGTTAATAATTGATAAACAGTTTAATATTGTTTGTTTTCTGATTCTTTCAACTCTTCTACAGGTGTAGGTTTTAAAATAAAATTTGAAGGGAAAAAAAGTTGTTTTCAACTTCTGCAACTTCAGATCCGTTGTAGTGTTCATGCCCAGACATGCCCAAGCAGCTGCCAGCCAATGACTGAGCACCATAGGGGCACTAAGTGTGGCTCTTCCTGCCAAATGTGGACTCCCCTAATGAGCAACTTGGCTCTGAAGCTCCCATCAGCCTGGGTGAGACTGTCTCCAAGCTGTACTGCAGTCTGAGGCTCTTCCTACCAAATTCACTTTGCTGTTCCTTTATTCCCAACTTTGGGAGGCTTTTACCAGCTCCTTCTCCTTTTTATGTTTACCTTCACCGACCTTTCCCCTAAGAAATACTGTCTGAAGTACTTTCTTCTTGGCATATTCTTCTCAAAGGACTCAAGTGTGACTAACCCTTTAGAGTACAGAATGAAGATCCAAGCTACATGCTGAAAACGAGAGTGAGTCAAAAGCCTTTCTATTTCTTTTCTGGCTGTCCATGTTACCCCACAGGTTGGCATGTACATTTAACACGATTATGTTTCTAAATTTAACTCCATCACTCTTTCTACTTAATGTAAATTCAGTTTGAATATACTTAATTCGAACTCTCATCCTGTTGTCCTCCTAAAGGTAGATAGGAATGTGTTGAGTGAAAGATGAAAGAGTTGATATTACTTGGACAGTTATCACCTTTTAAAATTATAATATTCCACTAATTTCTGATAATTAATTAGTATACATTCCTGACCATATAAATACATTTAAAGTCTATGCTGTTCTTTTGTACATTGGCAATTGTCTCTTTTTTATTTGCTGATACTGATATAGCTAAGTATTTATTTGATTCTTTGTATATTAAATAAAAGAGAATATTTGAGTCTCAAGTAAAAGCCAAAATATGCAGTACCATGATATCACAGTTAGTGATCTAACACAAAAGAAAATTTATATTTTTTCCAAATATCCACAATATTAGTAACTTTGAATAAACTACAGAACATTTTTAGAGTGTAAAGAACATATTTATTATATGAACCAAATAATATTGATATTATTATTAGGGCTTTGAATGTACCACTCAAACCCAATGGTCCAAAGAATAAGACCCACAAAGTCCAACAACACTGACATTTCAGCAAATAATTATTAACCCACAAACATATCCCACACACTTTTTTAGGAGATGTGGGAGTAATATAGGAAAGTAATAGAAGGTTCAGTCAAAACCACTTATAATATAATGGTACAAATGTATAAATGGAAGGATAGGATGTAATAAAATTAATCATTACAATTTTCAAATACCTATGAAACCCAGGATAAAGAGCATGTGAAGATACTGGGGAAACATTCAGGTAAACTATCAAGAATACAGTTTCAATGGAGTGGCATAATTCAAATTGCACAGGATGAGGAGGAAATGAATATAGAGAAAATGCGGTGATGAAGCTCTGATAATTTCCCAATATGCAAGTAGAGAAAAGAAAGTGTAAAATAGAGTGCCAACTGTGAGGGAGAAGGAAAATGAGCTATATGTTTTAAGCTTTAAGCCTCAGAATTTGCCCAGTCTTTCTCCTGACTTCATTTTATTGTATGGATATAGTCCATAAAGATTAACTGACTTTCCCAGGTCATATGCCTGTTTAAGATTAGGCTGCTATTTTAGTCATGAAGTCTTTGCCCATGCCTATGTCCTGAACGGTACTGCCTAGGTTTTCTTCTAGGGTTTTTATGGTTTTAGGTCTTACATTGAGGTCTTTAATAAATCTTGAGTTAATTTTTGTATAAGATGTAAGGAAGGGGTCCAGTTTCAGTTTCTGCATGTGGCTAGCCAGTTTACCAAACACCATTTATTAAATAGGGAATCCTTTCCCCATTACTTGCTTTTGTCAGATTTGTCAAAGATCAGATGGTTGCATATGTGTGGCGTTATATCTGAGGCCTCTCTTCTGTTCAATTGGTCTATATATCTGTTTTGGTACTAGTACCATGCAGTTTTGATTACTGTAGGCTTGTAGTATCGTTTGAAGCCAGGTAGCGTGATACCTCCAGCTTTGTTCTTTTTGCTTAGGATTGTCTTGGCTATACCAAAAGCAATGGCAACAAAAGCCAAAATTGACAAATGGGATCTAATTAAAGTAAAGAGCTTCTGCACAGCAAAAGAAACTATCATCAGAGTGAACAAGCAACCTATAGAATGGGAGAAAATTTTTGCAATGTATCCATCTGATGAATGGCTAATATCCAGAATCTACAAGGAACTTAAAAACATTTACAAGAAAAAAACAGACAACCTCATCAAAAAGTGGCCAAAAGATATGAACAGACACTTCTCAAAAGAAGACACTTATGTGGCCAACAGTTACATGAAAAAAAGTTCACCATCACTGGTCATGAGAGAAATGGAAATCAAAATCATAATGAGATACCATTTCACACCAGTTAGAATGGTGATCATTAAAAAGTCAGGAAACAACAGATACTGGAGAGGATGGGGAGAAATAGGAACACTTTTACACTGTTGGTGGGAATTCAAATTAGTTCAACCATTGTGGAAGACACTATGGCGATTCCTCAAGGATCTAGAACCAGAAATACCATTTGACCCAGCAACCCCTTTACTGAGTATATACCCAAAGGATTACAAATCATCATTCTACTATAAAGACACATGTACACTTATATTTATTGCAGCACTATTCACAACAGCAAAGACTTGGAACCAACCCAAATACCCATCAATGATAGACTGGATAAAGAAAATGTGGCACATATAAACCACGGAATACTATGCAGTCATAACAAAGGATGAGTTCATATCCTTTGCAGGGACATTGATGAAGCTGGAAACCATCATTCTTAGCAAGCTAACACAGAAACAGAAAACCAAACACCATATGTTCTCATTCATAAGTGGGAGTTGAACAATGAGAACACATGGACACACAGAGGGGAACATCACACACTGGGGCCTTTTGGGGCTTGGAGGGCTAGGAGAAGGACAGTATTAGGAGAAACACCTAATGTAGGTGACGGGCTTTTGGGTGCAGCAAGTCACCATGGCATGTGTATACCTATGTAACAAACTTGCACTTTCTGCAGATGTATCCCGGAACTTAAAATATATATTTAAAAAATAATAATAAATATTAAAAAAATAAAAGATTTGGTTGGTAATAGAACCTGTTCTCCCATTTTATCTCAGTGCTTGTTCTACTATACAATGCTACAAGGGCCTAACATAAAATATCATTATGCTCAAAAGTTGTTATTTTTATTATAATAATTTTTATGGCACTTGGTATAATATAGAGTATATCCTTGGCTCATCAGTTAAGCATATAGACTCCAATTATAGATATTCCAAAATTCAGCAATATTTCAGCTCCTTCTCCTTCTGTAATAAACAAAATTGACTCTTCCTTCAGTATTTCCTTGCCCAATGAACAAAGATAGCTTTTCACGTTTCTCTGTTTGACTTTTCATGTCATGCCTCAGTATCCTGCTGCCTTATGGAGGCTGGATATGAGGAAAGGATCTATGTGCCACGATTTCTGTAAATTCAGATGTTGGTTGGTCTCTGGATAGCCTTAGCCAACCATCTTTCTCTCCCCTCGCCTACTTGTGTAGAGTTCTGAGAGTAATTGTAGAATGTGCTAACAAACAATGAAATATCCTGAGACAGGGAAGAACTACCCAGGACAGTTCACCCTATCACCCTATCCCCTTATCCTGAGATAGGGAAGAAAAGACCAGGACATCTGGGCTTTGTTCCTGTCTCCCATAGAAGCAGGATATCCCTCAAAGCTTTACCCAGTGAGTCACATTTTTCCTGAGGCATGTAACCCTGAACAGGCTTCCTTTTGGAGTCCCTCACTGGCAGCGCAAGTGGGGCACACACATTTGAGACTCCATCCACCCTAGGCAGCTTTCTGAAGATTGGAGGACCAGTTCACAATGAGTCCTAGTGTTACTGGGGGTCCTTGCTCACAGAGCTTCCAAGATGGTGGCGAGCCTCTTCCAAGATGGTGGCGGGCCGCTTCCAAGATGGTGGCAAGCCTCGTATTCTCTGACATGGGGTTCTGGGCCTTACGGATTCCAAGGAATGGAATCTTGGGCCATGTGGTGAGTGTTATAGCTCTATTAGAAGCTGTGGGTCACGGAAGAGAACTGTGGAACCCAGTGACTAGTGTTCAGCTCGATTAGGACAAACCCAGGCACTTAGCCATGCAGGAACAATGGCAAACCTTTAGCCCAATCAGGAGTGGCAATGGGCACCTCGCTGGATCAGGAGCACAGCGGACACCCTGCTGGATCGAGAAGAATGGAAGTCAGTGGTGGGTCTGCGACAGTGGCAAAACATCAGTGGTGGACGGCAAGCGAAAGCTCAGCTCGAGCTGTAACAAACATGGACCAGAAGAGTGCAGTTGCAAGATTTAATAGAGTGAAATAGAATGAAAACAGAGCTCCCATACAAGGGGAGGGGACCCAAAGGGTGTTGCCATTGCCGGCTGGAATGCCTGGGTTTATATGCAGATCATTGTCCCTCCCACTGTGCTCTCAGGCAACAGATGATTGGCTATTTCTTTACCTCCTGTTGTTGCCTAATTAGCATTTTAGTGAGCTCTCCTTACTATCTGATTGGTCATGTGTGAGCTAAGTTGCAAGCCCTGTGTTTAAAGGTAGAAATGGTCACCTTCCCAGCTAGGCTTAGGGATTCTTAGTCAGCCTAGGAAATCTAGCTAGTCTTGTCTGTCATTCCCACCTCTCAACAGGAAAACCCAAATGCTGCTGGGGAGGTTGGCCGATGACCGCTTTAACTGCTTCGTGCTGAATTGGGGCGTAGTGGGGTGGTGCAGTTGAGATTTCCTCAGGAGGGGTGACTTTGATGTCATTAACATCAGAGCATGGGCTAGTAGGCCAGTCCAAGGGTCCGTGGTAGATCTTAGTCATGGATTGCATCTGGGACTCCATTTGAAGAACGATTTGTAGTTTTACATCTTCGATTCTGGAAGAGACAAACTTAACAAGGAAGTTAAAGATACAGGGATTGAAATGTATGGCTTGCAGTGCAGGGGATTATTTCTTTGGCACACTTTACAGGTCCTGACTATCTGCTTGATAGTTTTGAAAAGCCCTGGTCCAGTAAATAAAAATGTGGCCATCTGATGAGTGCTATCAATGCCTAAGTGAAAGGTATGTTGAAGGGTTTTAACTAATTTTCATTGGTTAACTGCAGGCAAAAGGATTTTTCCTTCTTTGGTGGCTAGCCATCCTGAGGGGAGAAAACTATGTCCTCATGAGGTTCCCCATTCTATTTCTCCTCCTGAGTATTGGGGCTTGGTTTCCCAGAGGGGATTACCCCATACTAGGGGCCCTTCTATAAGCATTTCTAATGGAGGGTCCTGCTTTGTGGCTCTTTTGGCTTCAGTATCCGCTTGGCGGTTCTCTTCTATTTTCCTTTCCTTTCCTTTCTGATGACCCCAGCAGTAAGACCGCCACCTCTTTAGGTTTCTATACAGCCAATAATAATCTCCTAATGGCTTCCTGATGTTTGATAGGTGTTCCCTCAGAAGTTAGGAATTCCCTTTCTCTCCATATTGCTGCATGGGCATGGAGGACTAGGTAAGCATACTTAGAGTCTGTATATGTATTTACCCTTTTCCTTTCTCCTAATTCTAGTGCCTGAGTGAGGGCTATTCTGCCAGCTGAGCACTAGTTCCTGGAGTGAGGGGATTACTTTCAAGGATTCCATTATCACTGACCACTGCATACCTCGCTGGAAGCTCTGTGAGCAAGGACCCCCGGTAACACTAGGCTTCCGTTGTCCTTTGCTGGCTATCTGTACTTAGTAAATTTGCTTCGTGTACCTTGTGGATAAGTGCGTCCTGTTTCACTGGACAGACATTTTTAGAAAGTGCACAGTGAATTTGTTTCTCATCATGTAATGCCAAAGGTTCTTGCCTTAGCCACGCCAAATAATTGGTGAGGTGGCTGCCCATGGGGAATGATGGAGACACTGACCAAGAGCAAAAAAAGCCATAGGCTTTATTGAGCAGAGTGACAGTACAAAGCTTCCACAGCATGGAAGAGGTCCCGAGCGGTAGCCAGTGTTACATTCTTCAATCACCTTTTAAACTCTTTAAGGCAGGAAATACGTGAGGTGGGCAGATGTTACCAGAGCGAGAAACAAAGACAATTAACATGTCTCAGATCTTGAGGAAAACCAGAATTGCAACTTAGGTTTTATCTACTTTATGACCCTGCATCGGCAAAGGAGACAGGATCTCACAGGACTTTACAAAGTATGTTTACAAGGAATTGGAATTGGAAGCATAGATAAGGTCCACTGGTCACAGACAAATGGGCAATTAACATTCATTTTAGTTTCAGGGGAGGGGGAAGAGAGAGAGGGAGAGAGGACACAGGGAAGCTTACAGCAAAATTTTCACTGTTTATAGCTTTCTTGGGGAAGAAAACACATGCACAAATTCTGATATTAGGAATATTTTAAGCATATGTCTTCAATATTATTCATCCAGGACCAAAGTAAGTCCTGATGCAGGAAATGAGTGAGTTTCACAGCTTTCTGAGCCCCTACTCTACCCAGGAAGCCTAGCTGGCCCCTCCTTTCAATCAGATGCTAAAGAATATAAAATTCCAATGTAATGCTAGTGAAGAGGCACCAGGATCAAAGATAAATCATTAACAATGAGGTGATTCTTAAATGTTATTCCAAGAGATATTTCCTTTAGCTTCAACTCAGTGTAGCTACGTTGAAATGGAGTTACAATTTGGAGAGTAAATTTGGCTTGTAAAGTTTTGTGAAAGTCTCTCTCTAAATTTATCTGAGATTTTGCTTGACTCACACCACGTGGGGAGTGTTACCAGTGGATGGTGACCAGGTTCTTGGTGTCTTGAACAAAGAATCAGACAAAACATACAAACAAAGCAAGGAAAGAATGAAGCAACAAAAGCAGAAACTTATTGAAAATGAAAGTACGCTCCACAGTTTGGGAGCGGGCCCAAGCATAGGGGCTCGAGGGCCCCGTACAGAATTTTGGGGGGATTTAATACACTGTAGAGGTTTCCATTGGTTACTTGGTATATGCCCTATGTAAATGAAGAGGATGAAGTAAAGTTACAAAGTCATTTACTCAGGGAACGCCCTATGCAAATGGAGAGGATAGTTCCTGTCATAGCTGAAGTGTGAATCCGCCTTATGTTTCCTGCCTTCAGACCCTATTTTCATGCCTCAGGGAGGATCGTGTAACCATAACATTTCCCGAATTTCTGCCTTCAATAGTTATTGTCATTATTTACACTGTTCTTAGGGCAACAGAAGTTCCTGTGTCTGCTTCCCAAACACTTAAAATATAAATTGAAAAAGTTTGGAGTCACTTATCTTCTCTCTCCATCTACATATTGATAGAAAAAGTGCAGCAAAGAGCAGAGTTGAGAATAGACATAATAATATAAAATAATAAGTTCTGCTAATTTTTAGCCCTGTACCCTATCACTGGTACATCTGATTCATTTGAGCTTTAGAAACAAATTGGTCAATTAACCAGTGGGTCATTTGTTTAAGATACAATTTATTTCAAAGAAAATGACTTTTAGTTTATATCCTTAATGCTTTACAAAATTTGAGATTTTTTTGAGAGAATGGGTTATACAAAGAAATATTTAAATTTGCATTGTTAAAAGAAATGGATTTTTTTCTAGAGAAATTTATTGTGACATTTTATATCATAGAATTGTATTTCATCCTATAGGCTAGTGTTTTCCTAAACTATAGTTGGATTCTATGTATAAGGACAGTCCTCGCAATTTATCTGTTTTGGCTAAGAAGCGAGCATTGTGTGAATATAGCCATTGCTGAAAGATGGGAGAGTATTCAGTGATGCAGCTATACATGTTGGATTATTTCATCTTGATATATAAATATCTATTTCTATATATTAATTGTAAATAGAGATCAACAGACTTAAATTTAAAAGAAATGAACCTTATTCCAGTTGCCACTCTGTTTTTCATCATAAGTTACTAAATTCCTACATTTATTATGTTTTAAATGTGGTGAATAGGAAAATAGTATCTTAGGACACCTGGCAACATATTTAGCATCTCAAATTTTTTGATATCAATATCTGACAATGGAAATAATTTTGAAAACTCTAGAAGGATACTGTAGTAGTTCAATGCCATGCAATTCCTTCATTTCTGCATAAACCAATCTAGTCTGCTTTTGGCAGCCATACTCCTTCAGGAAGATACAGATCCTGATTGTAAAAGTTATTAACTGTTCTTTTATAAGGCTTTACAATTGACAAGGCACAGTTTAATAGATGTGATCTCTTCTAATCCTTATAACAGTGCTATGGTTTAGTGATCAGAAAACAGAATTAGCTATTTGTAAAACCAGAATGCAAAGCTGTGTATTCTGAATATGTATGTGATCAGTATCATTTTCACTGCATCGTGATGAAGGAAACAGAAATAAGTTGTGATGACAAATGGAATGAAGATATAGATTAAGTAATCCTAATTTTAATCACAAAGTACAATAACTGTAAACCAAGCAATTCTCTAAGCAAATTATTATGTGGTACAATAATCGAAGTTCTTAGGGACTAGTGAGTTTTCAAGCTCTGCACTTCAATGCTAAAAACTATTATTTAATAAGATTAAATTTAATGATAAAATTTTTTATTTCCTTTTTTATTTGTGCAAATTTATGTGGTACATGAGAAGACTTTTAGATGAGTTGAATGCATAGTGATCAAGGGGGGTTATTTAGGATATCATTGCCCAAGTACAATTTATTTTTAAGTATAGTCAACCTGCTGTGCTATCAAACATTGGATTTATTCCTTCTTACTGTATGTTTCTGCCTTTTAGCACATTTATTTTCATCCTTTCCCCTCCCCTCTACTCAGGCTTCCCAATATCTGATCTATTTTTCCACTCTCCACCTCCATGTGTTCAAATCTTTTTAGCGCCCACATATACATGAGAATGTAAATGAGGAGTTAATGGGTGCAGCACACCAACATGGCACATGTATACATATGTAACAAACCTGCACATTGTGCACATGTACCCTAGAACTTAAAGTATAATTAAAAAAAAAAAAGAGAGAATGTAACCAAATGCAGGTCCAGGCACTCAGCACTTGCAGAGCCAGGTAACAAGAGTGAAGTATCATAGGAAGAAAGTGACTTTTTATCAAAACTAGTAATGTGAAAGTGGCCAGAGTTACATCCAAAGTAACCACTTGAAATTTCTGGGGAGAAGGCAAGGGATTAAAAAGGGAAACTTGTTATATGAGGCATGCAGGAATTGTGCTGAGTACAAGGTCTGTGTGTCTTTCTTCGGTGGCTTATCTTAGGTTTCAGTTCACCTGAAGTGCCTGCTGGCATCATCTCAAGAGTGGCTGGGTTGTTGACTAGATGCCCTTTTTGCAGGCTAGGTCTCCAGGCTTAGTCTGTGTATTTCAAGATTAGCAACCGGAACATCTAAGTAAGCACATAATTAGATACTAGCATACAGTTAGATAAATGTGAAGGAAATATACAGTGTGCAAGGGAGGGATATGAAATCTATTTTAAGGTTAAGAAGAAAAGCTTCTGCAGTTTGTTTCAAGGTTAGATGGAGAATAGGAAGAAAAGAGAAAAGGGAAAAAATGTTTTAAAATGCATTTTGGAGTTAAGCTACTTACAATAACATGCAATGCTTGACTTTTTATGCATGGTTTATTTCACTGAAGATAATGACCTCCAGTTTCATCCATGTTTCTGCAAAGGACATGATTTTATTCTCTTTTTAATAGCTAAAGAATATTCCATTGTGTATTTATATTACGTTTTCTTCATCCATTCATCCCTTGATGGACACCTAGGCTGATCCCATATCTTTGCTCTTGTGAATAGTGCTGCAATAAACATGGGGTATAGGTATCCCTTTGTTATACCAATTTCTTCTCTTTTGGGTAGATACCGAGTAGTGGGATTGCTGAATTGAATGATAATTCTGCTTTTAGTTTTTTGAAAAATATCCATACTGTTTTTCTTAGTGGCTGTACTAGTTTACATTCCTTCCAGCAGTGTCTAAGAATTTCCTTTTCTCCACATCCTTGCCAACATCTGTTTTTTGTTTTTTTGTTTTTTTTGTTTTTTCTTTTTGACTTTTCAATAACAGACATTCTGACTCCAGTAAGATGAACTCTCATTGTGGTTTTGCTTTGTATTTCTGTGATGATTAGTGATATTGAGCATAAGAATTATCATTTGATAAGATTAATTTCTATGGTATGAAATTCTTAAAGTGTCAGAATAGATATAAAAAGCAGTTTATGAAATGTAGAGTACTATTTGAAATATCAAAATTGGAAGTTGTGATGGTTAATACTGAGTGTCAACTTGATTGGATTGAAAGATGCAAAGTATTGATCCTGGGTGTGTCTGTGACGGTGTTGCCAAAGGATATTAAAATTTGAGTTAGTGGTCTGGGAAAGGCAGATTCACCCTTAATCTGGGTGGGCACCATCTAATCAGCTATCAGCACAGCCAGGATATAAAGCAGGCAGAATAACATGAAAAGACTAGACTGGCCTAGCTTCCCAGCCTATATCTTTCTCCCATGCTGGATGCTTCCTGCCCTTGTACATTGGACTTAAAGTTCTTCAATGTTGGGACTCAGACTGGCTTCCTTGCACTTCAGCCTGCAGACAACCTATTGTGGGACCTTGTGATTGTGTGAGTTTAATACTTCTTAATAAACTCATGAACTGCCTCCCAAGTAGCTGGGACTACAGGTGCGTGCCACCATACCCGCCTAATTTTGTACTTTTAGTAGAGACAGGATTTCACCATGTTGTCTAGGCACATCTTGAACTCCTGACCTTGTGAGGAGTTAAGTGCTGGGATTACAGGCATGAGCCACCACTCCAGATCTCTACTTATTTTATTTTATTTTTTTATTTTTTATTTTTTTTGGGACAGAGTCTCACTCTGTCACCCAGGCTGGAGTGCAGTGGCGCGATCTCTGCTCACTGCAAGCTCCGCCTCCCAGGTTCACGCCATTCCCCTGCCTCAGCCTCCCGAGTAGCTGGGACTACAGGTGCCCACCACCATGCCTGGCTAATTTTTTGTATTTTTAGTAGAGACAGGGTTTCACCGTGTTAGCCAGGATGGTCTTGATGTCCTGACCTTGTGATCTGCCCACCTCGGCCTCCCAAAGTGCTGGGATTACAGGCGTGAGCCACTGTGCCTGGCCCTGACCTCTATTTCAAATAGTATGGAGAACACTGATAGTCTTTGGCATGAATTGTTTAGAGAGTTATGCAAAATAAATGCATTTGACACTCTTGATTCACTGCTCATAAGAGGCAAGGAGTTTAGTGACTCCGAACATAACACCTTTGACAATATATGCAGAACCAAGAAACATAATATGAAGCTTGTTGGTTGCTCCTAAGTTCACTGGACAAAGTGATGAAAGAAAATATGAACTCAGGGATTCTAACTCCTGGTTTCAGAAGCAGATACAGAGTCTCAAATCTTCTAATATTGCCCTGAGTGAGAGTCTTATCTCCTGTGGAGAAAAAGCTGAAATTGTGGAAAAACTGACCCAAGCTCTTACCTTGCGAGTGGCTGACCTGCAACAAAAGGTGTATGGACAGCCTCACCAGGTGTCCACTGTTAAAGTGAGGGTATTGATTGGAAAAGAATGGGACTCTGCAACTTGGAATGGGGTTGTGTGGGAAGACCCTGATGAAGCTGGGACACTGAGCTTTTAAACTCTGATGAACCTTTTTTGTGAGAAGAAACAGCTTTTCCATCCCCAGTAGTGGCATAATCCCCTCCCCAACCCACGACCCATGCTGCCATCAACATTTCCGCCTTTGTCTGAGGAGATAAACCCTGTGCTGCCTAGGACAACAGTGATGGCCTCCCTCAAGGCAGTTGCCAGGCAAGATAATGTTGATTCTCCCCAACACCACTGTTTGCTTCTAAATTTATAAGTAGACTAAATTCCTGGTGGGCCCCTAGAGGTGAGGTTGAGAGTGTGACCCATGAGGAGGGGTGGTACACTTGAAAAGAACTGCTTATGTTTTCTAATTTATATAAGCAGAAATCTAGAGAATAGGCATGAGAATGAATATTAAGGGTGTGGTTTATTGGTGGAAGTAACATAGAGTTAAATCAGGCTGAATTTATTGATTTCAGCCCACTAAGTAGGGATTCTGCATTTAATGTTGGGGCTTGGGGAGTTAAAAGAGGTTCTAATAGTTTATTTGCTTGGTTAGCTGAAATATGGATTAAAAAATAGCCCACTGTAAGCCAACTGGAAATGCCTGATCTCTCTTGGTTTAATGTAGAGGAAGGGATCCAAAGGCTTAGGGAGATTGGAATGGTAGAGTGAATTAGTCACTTTAGACCTACTCATCCCAGCTGGGAGGGTCTAGAAAATTTACCCTTGACCAATGCTTTGCAAAATAGATTTGTGAGGGCAGCACCTTCATCTCTGAAGAGCCCTAAAATTACTCTTCTCTGTATGTCAGCTCTACCAGTAGGGACTACAGTCACCCAACTACAAAATTTAAATACAATGGGAATAATCAGATCCCGAGGTGGCAGGGCCAAGTGGCGGCACTCAAACATCAAAGGCAAGTTGGGTATAGCTACCATAATGGACAGCAGAGGCAAGGCAGCAGGCAGAATAGTCTGACTCATGTAGAGTTCTGGCATTGGCTAATTAATCACGGTGTTCCCAGAAGTGAAATTGATAGGAACCTTACTGCATTCCTGCTTAATTTATATAAGAAGAAAACTTCCAGGTCAAATGAACAAAAGGCTAATTTAAATGATAAAAACAGAGCCACTGCCCCTCAATCAATGTCCAGACTTGAGCCAGTTTAGAGACCCAGAACCCCTTGAGTGAGGGAGAGGCCAGGTCCCTTTGAGGAAGGACCTCACTACACCACTGATAATTTATGCTGTTAATCTTTCTCCCATTCTTCCCCAAGGAAACTTCCAGCCTTTTACAAGGGTAACTGTGCATTGGGGAAAGGGAAATGATCAGACATTTTGGGGACTGCTGGCCACTGACTCTGAGCTGATGCTGATTTCAGGAGGCTCAAAACATCATTGTGGTCCTCCAGTTAAAGTAGGGGCTTATGGAGATCAGGTAATTAATGAAGTTTTAGCTCAGGTCCAACTTACAGTGGGTCCAGTGGGTCCCTGGACTCATCCTATGGTCATTTCCCCATTGCTAGAATGCACAATTCACATAGACATACTTAACAACTGGAAGAACCCCCACATTGGCTCCCTGACTGGTAGGATGAAGGCTATTATGGTGGGAAAGGCCAAATGGATGCCATTAGAGCTGCCTTTACCTAGAAAAATAGTAAACCAAAAACAATTTCGTGTCCCTGGAGGGATTGTGGAGATTAGTGCCACCATCAAGGACTTGAAAGATGCTGGTGTCGTGATTCCCACGTCATCCCAGTTCAACTCTCCTGTTTGGCCTGAGCAGAAGACAGATGGATCTTGAAGAATGACAGTGGATTATCATAAGCTTAACCAAGTGGTGACTCCAATTGCAGCTGCTGTACCAGATGTGGTTTCATTCATTGAGCAAATTAACACATCTCCTGGTATCTGGTATGCAGCCATTGACTTGGCAAATGTCTTTTTCTCCATTCCTGTCCATAAGGCCCACCAGAAGCAATCTGTCTTCTGCTGGCAAGGCCAGGAATATACCTTTACTGTCCTACCTCAGGTGCATATCAACTGTCCAGCTTTGTGTCATAATCCTATTCTGAGAGATTTTGATCACTTTTCCCTTCCACAAGATATCACACTGGTCCATTACATTGATGACATTATGCTGATTGGTTCCAGTGAGCAAGAAGTAGCAAACATACTAGACTTATTATGAGACATTTGCATGCCAGAGGATGGAAAATAAATTCAAGGATCTTCTACCTAAGTAAAATTTCTAGGGGTCCAGTGGCCTGTCGAGATATTCCTTCTAAGGTGTAGAATATGTTGCTGCATTTGGTCCCTCCTACAACCAAGAAAGAGACACAACACCTAGAGGTCCTATTTGGATTTTGGAGGCAACACATTCCTCATTTGGGTGTGTTACTCAGGCCCATTTGTTAAGTGACTCAAAAGGCCGCCAGTTTTGAGTGGAGTCCAGAACAGGAGAAGGCTCTCCAACAGGTCAAGCTGCTGTGAAGGCTGCTCTGCCACTTGGGCCCTATGACCCAGAAGATCCAATGGTGCTTGAAGTGTCAGTGGCAGATAGGGATGCTGTTTGGAGTCTTTGGCAGGCCCCATAGATGAATCATAGTGGAAGCCTCTAGGATTTTGAAGCAAGGCCCTGCCATCTTCTGCAGGTAACTGCTCTCCTTTTGAGAGACAGCTCTTGGCCTGCTATTGGGCTTTGGTGGAAACTGAACGTTTGACTGTGGGTCCTCAAGTCAACATGCAACCTGAACTACCTATCATGAACTGGATGCTTTCTGGCCTATCTAGCCATAAAGTTGGTTGTGCACAGCAGTGTTCCATCATCAAATAAAAGTGTTATATACATGATTGGTTTCGAGTAGGTCCTGAAGGCACAAGTAAATTAAACGAGAAAGTTGCTCAAATGCCCATGGTCTCCACTCCTGCCACCCTGCCTTCTCTCTCCCAGCCTGCACAATGGCCTCATGGGGAGTTTACTAAGATCAGATGACAGAGGAAAAGAAGACTAGGGACTAGTCCACAGATGATTGAGCATGATATGCAGGCACCACCCAAAAGTGGGCGGCTGCAACACTACATCCCCTTTCTAGGACATCCCTGAAGGATGGCAGTGAAGAGAAATCTTCCTAGTGGGCAGAACTAGAAGCAGTGCACATGGTTGTGCATTTTGCCTGCAAGGAGAAATGGCCAGATGTGTGATTACATACTGATTCATGGGCTGTAGCCAGTGGTTTGACTGGATGGTCAGGGGCTTGGAAAAAGCATGATTGGAAAATTGGTGACAAAGAAATTTGAGGAAGAGGTATGTAGATGGACCTCTCTCAGTGGACAAAAACTGTGAAAATAATTGTATCCCATGGGAGTCCTCACCAGTGGGTGATCTCAGCAGAGGAGGATTTTAATATTCAAGTGGATTGAATGATGCTTTCTGTGGACACCACTCAGCCTCTTTCCTCAGCCACCCCGTCATCACCCAATGGACCCATGAACAAAGTGACCATGATGGCAGGAATGTAGGTTATGCATGGGATCAGAAACATGGACTTCCACTCACCAAGGCTAACCTGGTTATGGCCATTGGTGAATGCTCAGTTTACCAGCAGCAGAGACTAACACTGAGCCCTCAATATGGCACCATTCCTCAGGGTAATCAGCCAGCAACCTGGTGGAAGGTTGATTATATTGTACCTCTTCCATAATGAAAGGGCAGGAGTTTGTCCTCACTGAAATAGACACTTACTGTGGATATGGGCTTGCCTATCCTGCATCCAGTGCTTTTCCCAAGACTACCATCCATGGACTCGTGGAATGCCTCATCCGCTGACATGGTATTCCTCACAGCATTGCCTCTGACAAAGGCACTCACTATATGGCTAAAGAAGCGTGGCAGTAGGCTCATGCCCATAGACTTCACTAGTTTTACCATATTCCCCATCATCCTGAAGCAGCTGGAATGATACAACAGTGGAATGGCCTTTTGAAGTCACTATTACAATGCCAACTAGGTGGCAATACTTTACAGGGCTGGGGCAAAGTTTTTCAGAGGGCTGTGTATACTCTGAATCAGCATCCAATATATGATACATTTTTTCTCATAGCCAGGATTCACAAGTCCAGGAATCAAAGGGTGGAAATGGAAGTGGCACCACTCACCATCACCCCTAGTGATCCACTAGTAAAATTTTTGCTTCCTGTTCCCATGACATTACATTCTGCTGGCCTAGAGGTCTTAGTTCTAGAGGGAGAAATGCTGCCACTAGGAGACACAACAACAATTTCATTAAACCTGAAGTTAAGATTGCTTTCTGGACACTTTGGGATCCTCCTACCTTTAAGTCAACAGGCTAAGAAAGGAGTTAAAGTGTTGGCTGGTGGGATTGACATGAACTACCAAGATAAAATCAGTCTACTACTCCACAAGGGAGGTAAGGAAGAGTATGCATGGAATACAGGAGATCCATTAGGGCATCTCTGAGTATTACCATGCCCTGTGATTAAGGTCAATGGGAAACTACAACAGCCCAATTCAGGCAGGACTACAGATGGCCCAGACCCTTCAGGGAGAAAGGTTGGGGTAACTCCACCAGGAAAAAAAAAAACATGACCTGCTGAGGTACTTGCTGACGGCAAAGGGAATACAGAATGGGGAGTAGAAAACAGTAGTCATCAATACCAGCTATGACAACATGACCAGCTGTAGAAATGAGGACTGTAACTATCATAAGTATTTTCTCCTCCTTTTGTTAAAATATGTTGTTCATGTATACACTTCTACTTAGAAAATATTTTCATTGTATTTCCTTTTTGCTTTATCATGTGACCTAAGATTTATTTACTTCATATCAGCCTTTAATCATTGTTAATTTTATCTAATAATGTCAACTTGATTGGATTGAAGGATGCAAAGCATTGATCCCAGGTATATCTGTGAGGGTGTTGCCAAAGGATATTAAAATTTGTCTTAGTGGGCTAGGAAAGGCAGATCTACTCTTAGTCTGGGTGGGTACCATTTAGTCAGCTGCCAGTGGCACTAGGATATAAAGCAGGCAGAATAACGTGAAAAGACTAGACTAGACTGGCTTAGCCTCCCAGCCTACATCTTTCTCCTAAGCTGGATGCTTCCTGCTCTTGATTGGTCTTGAAGTTCTTCAGCTTTGGAACTTGGACTGGCTTCCTTGCTCCTCAGCTTTCAGACGGCCTACTGTGGACCTTTTGATTGTGTAAGATGGCCTAATGTGGGATCTTTTGATTGTGTAAGATGGCCTATTGTGGGATCTTTTGATTGTGTAAGTTTAATACTCCTTATAAACTCCCATATATATATAACAGGATATATATGTATATAATAGGATATATAGATATATATATATATATGGGCGTTTATTAAGGAGTATTAAACTTCACAATAAATATATAAATTTATATATAATATAAATATATATTATATTAGAAATATATATTATGAATATTTGAATATATATTTACATAATATAAATATATAATATATAAATATATATTATGAATATTTAAATATAAATTTATATATAAAATAATGTATAATATTATAAATATATATTATGAATATTTAAATATATATTTATATTATAATATATATTTATATGTATTTATTGTATAAGTTTATATATGTATATATCCTATTATATACATATACATCCTTTTATATATATATGTACACGTATATCTATCCTATTAGTTCTCTCCCTCCAGAGAATCCTAATATAGAAGTTATTTTTTAAGTTCTAGGATCATATCTGAAATGGATTACAAATTAATAATCTTGATGTTTACAACCTTTTTCCGTTCTCTTTCTTCTTCAAAATCAAATGATGTCACTGACTGATACCTTTTTTGCTCATGGTAGATATAATCACCTCCAGAAAAACTGCTTTTCATATTTTTCTATCTTATTATGAGCTCATTCCTACCAGGTAGGGCAGTGGGGCATATTGAAAAGTTTCCTAGCTATAGTATAATATAGTATAATAAGCTTAGTTTCAAAACTTGCCTCTGCCACTTATCATCTTTATACTCTTGAACAATTTACTTAGTATTTTTAGTATCAGTCTCACTATCCATAATGTGGTGATTACACTGCTTATCTCACAGGAGTGTAAAAGTTAAATGTCTAAAGTTCACGTGATGTTTGCTTGATTAATATTAAATTGTTACTCAGTAATGGTGGTTCTGAATTTTGGGAAGTAGAATGAACTTTTATTGACAATGCTTATTCGAAAGTCTTGTTCTTTGTTCACATTATGTAATTTAATTGTATATGAACACCTCTCTGTGAAAACACTATTCAGAGTCACAGGGGAGATTAGAAGCCTTCTCAGCAGAAGAGAGAGTACAGTGTCCTGGTCATGAACAAGTACTTTGGTGCTAAATGGTTTGGCTTCATATTCCAGGTACACTCTTTCTCACTGTGTGTCTATTAATATGGTCATTTTCTCAGTGTCCTCATCTTAAAAAGATGATGTATAATAGTACTGTATCATGACTTTATGGGTTGGAAGAGTAAAATACTACATGTATGTGCTCAACACAGTATACACATATGACAGTTCATAACAATGATTATTATAATTTCAACCAGATCACAATGAAAAGCAAATACCTTTCTCAAAGAAGTAATATTATTTTGTCTATTTTTTAAAATATAGAGATGGAGTCTTGCTATATCATCCAGGCTGGTATCAAACTCCTGGCATCAAGCCATCCAGCCACGTTGGCCTCCCAATGTGCTCAGATCACAGGCATGAGCCACCACACCCAGCCTATTATTTTTTCTAAATGCACTAAAATGGCTTTAATCAGTTGAATGTAGGAGAATTGGAAAATTATACAAGTACATATGTATACATGCATTTATTATTTGGAATAAAGGAAAGATCATTTCCCTTGTTTTTCAGGATAAGTTAGAAGCAATACAACAGAAACAATTACAAATGCATACATTTATATGTATGTATGTATACACTAAGCACTTCTTTTTTTTTTTCCATTTAGGTTCTTAGGTGTTAAAAAATCAGGTACTCCACTTGCTATTGCATTATACATAATTATTATGTTTTGTCAGATAGAGTTCTTGCTTCCAAGGAATTTAAGCTTATAAGAGGAGACAAAATTTGTGTACAGTTGACCAAAGAACAAAAAGGAAGTGGAAATTGTAATACGAGGCATATAAATTATTATGCTAGTAGAATAGATTTGTATGTTTGTGTATAACTGAAATTAGCTTAGTGTCAGTGTTTATGGAGTACAGTTATAATAATATACTAATTATTTGATCCCTCTAATGTTTATAAATATTTGGGTTGTTTATGCTTTTGGCTAATACAGACATTAACTTATGAATGTTCTTGTATATGGTTTTTGTTACATATAGGCATGAAGTTTTCTACTGATTCTCAACAGGGGTGATTCCTCCCCTTCCCCAGAAGACATTTTGACATCTGTTGACATTTATGTATGTTACAACTGTAAAGAGTGGTTACTGTGGATGCATAACTGGGTAGAGGACAGAGATGTGGAAAAACATCCTTCAGTCATAAGACAGCTCCCCAAAACAAAAAATCATTCTCCCCAAAATGTCAATCATGACATGGTTGAGAAACTTGCTTTAGGGTGTCTATCTGTGAAACCTTGAGATCTAGCAGATTAAGTCCTCACACTTTAATTCTTCTTTCAGTATATACTGCTCTGTTACACTTTATATTTTTATATAAAATTTGAATCAACATTGATTTTTGTATTAAAATGACTAGAAATTTTAAGATTACACTAAAACCATAGATCAGTTTGTGAAAAATTGATGTCTTTGAAAAATGAGTATTCAATCTATGACTCTATTGTGTCTTTCAACTTATGCACGTTTAAAAAATTCTCTCAATATTATTTTAAATTTTTTTCATAGAAATATTGTGTGTTTATGGTTGGTTACATTTGTGCCTAGGTATTTGGTGTTTTATGATATTTAAAAGTCATCTATTTTAAATTACATTTTAAATTTTTTATGCCTTTTTTTCTAATTGGCCTTGCACCTATCTTTTATAATGTGTTAAGCTTAACACTTTTCTTATAGATTGTTTGTATTTTCTATGAAAGATATTATGTCATATGTGAAAATTACTCTTTTATAACTTTTTCCTTAATCCTTTTTTTTTTGTCTTATGGTACTGGCTATAATGTCTAGTAAAATATCAATGAAATGTTTTAGGAGTCATACTTCTTTTACTTCTAGTATTATAATTTTTGATATGTATGATACTGTTTCAGTATTTCATTCGTTTTTTTCCCTCTGTAATTCAATCTGAATATTTTCTTTTGACCTATAGAGCAACTAATTCTATCCTCAACTAAGTGTAATCTGCTATTACACCATCTTTTGAGTTCTTCTTTCAAGGTCTTACATATAAATTTTCACAATAAAATTTTCATTTGCTTTATTTTATTGCTTCCAGTTCTCCATCAAAGTTTTTACTCTAACTTGTTGATATTTGTGAAGCCATAGAGACTACTTGATTTAAAATTCATGACCCTTATCGCCATTATCTGGATCTTAATGTGACTGTCTTACCTGGGTTTTCTCTGTGTGGTGATGTGATTTGATTTCCTCATATGCTTGGTTAGTTTTTCTATTATTTTGTTTTGTTTTTGCTGAGTGGCAATCATTAGAGATATAAAAATTTAGAGATAATTTGAAGTTTTGTATGAGATATTCCTCAGAAGTGTAATTAAGTTTGCTTTGCCAGGGTGTTAGCCTAAGGGCAATGATCACTATAATCAAGTAAAGGATTAAATAATTGGAACTGGAGGTCTAGTGTCTGGGAGGACTGATCTATTTCCAGTTTTCCCTTATTCCCAGTGAGTAGGCCTTCTGAGACCAACTTAAAATTTTAGTTGTTAGCAAGGACTTTTCTTCATAACTAGATTAGCACTTTAATTTTTTGTTCTTCCAGCCCTGTCAGTAAGAAAAATGTTCTGTGAATTTCTACATATTATAAATACATATTAAATGACAGCTCTTATTAGAGCTTGTGTTAATATTTTAGTATCAGCCACTTCACAAGTACTTGTGGCTTACCCCAATCTAATTAGGTAAATAGTATGACTTCGGCTGCATGACTATCTCTAGGCCCTACTCAAGTGAGACTGTGCTTACTGATATATTATGTTTTCCTGGAAAATACTATCTCAATAATTGATGGGACTGAATCTGCACTTAACAGGCATCACAGACTTTAATTTTGAAAGGCTTGGGAAGCAGAATGTGACAAACAACGGGATGGGGTGGAAGTTGGCTTTTTAACATTTTAAATGTACATAGTTATATAAATGCATATAGTTATATGTTAAAAAGCAACATTTTCTCTATTGAGTTCTCAGTGTTCAGAATAGAAACCAGAACAAATTAAAATTATGTAATGAAGCAAAGATGTTTTTCTCAGCCAGGAAATCATTTGCCTTGTTTTCTTTCCCCATGATGATTCACAGCAGAAGAAAAGATGTAAAACTGCTAATATGAAATTAGCCAATTAGAAACAGAATGTTGGAACCCAGCAGTTTATGTGTGTTGCTTCCAGTTGTCTTCCTATTTGCTTTAAAAAATATTTTGGCATAGAAAAAGCTGTCATCTTCCTCCGGTTGATTCAATCTTATATCACTTCTCAAAAAATAGATGAAGCTGAAACTCTCAATCTACCTATACCGTAAAAGGAAGTTAGTGGTAAAACCTTGTTTTTCTTCAAGTTGGTTATTTTTAAAAATATATTTTCTGTCTGCTATCTTAAGCATATTTATCTTTTTCTGTACTTTTTATAGGGGTAGGGGAGCAAATTCCAGTTATCCATAATTACATAGTTACATGGAATAAATTACTTTCTATTTTAAAATCTTAACTTTAAACACCTACAGGCCTCGAAGGTCTGCATGCTTTTATTGGTATCCTATTGGTGATGTATGCTCATGTTGCTATCAGTTACCGTCTATGTGTAGAGTAGCTTCATAGTCTGAACTGAGAAGTTGCCTTGTCTATGAAGTATTTATGGTCTTCTATTCCTGTTACCAGAAAGGGGTCCTGATCCAGACCTCAAGAGAGGGTTCTTGGACCTGGCACAAAAGAGAATTCAAGTTTATTAGGAAAGTAAAGGAAGAAAGAATGGCTACTCCATAGGCAGAGCAGTGGCACAGGCTGCTCGACTGAGTATACTTTTAGTTATTTCTTGATTATATGCTAAACGAGGGGTGAATTATTCATGAGTTTTCCAGGAAAGGGGTAACCAATTCTCAGAACTGAGGGTTCCTCCCCCTTTTAGACAATATAGTGTAGCTTCCAGAAATTGCCATGGCATTTGTAAACTGTCATGACTCTGGTGGGAGGGTCTTTTGGCATGCTAATATATTATAATTAGCATATAATGAGCAGTGAGGATGACCAGAGGTCACTTTCATCACCATCTTGATTTTGGTAGGTTTTGGCCAGCCCCTTTAATGCAGCCTGTTTTATAAGCAAGGTGCTTATGACCTGTATCTTGTCCTGACTTTCTATCTCATTCTGTGACTTAGAATGCCTAACCTCCTGAGAATGCAGCCCAGTAGGTTTCAGCCTCACTTTACCCAGCCCCTATTCAAGATAGAGTTGCTCTTACTCAAACGCCTCTGACATTCCTGCCAGTAGTTACCACTGTATTTCAAGGCTGAGTCAGCGTTCCTCATGGTAACATACTGAATCTCGCTCAAGTTTGAAAAAGAGTATCTCAAACTAATCAGCTAGCAGTGTGATGCTATTACAAAGCAGATAAGTATAGCATCTTGACAAAAATTTCCATGTCTGGATTAATCCACTATTTGGGATATGAAGTATTTATGATCTTCTATAATATATCTTTCAAGAATTTACCAAAGTGCATTTTATCTAACACTCTTCTTCAAATCTATATAACTGTTGTCTCTCATTTCTCCTATATTCAATTTCACATTGCCAACTGCTACTTATTTGGATGAGTGATTGCTACCTCTAGATCACATAACTGAAATAAAAGTCATCATATTTCACACCATCAATAAAAAAATTTAACTTCTTATTTTTCTGTTTCTAGCAAATTTACCAATATTCAATTCAATTAAAATCATTCAATCTTGTTGGGCATGTGTGAGGTACAAATAATTCTTTAAAATATATTGTTATCTATCTTTCTAATCATGCAGCATGCAATTTTAAGTCATAGGGTCAGCCTTTTCTAACTGATGGGCTTAGAATATTAAGGCAGGCAATGCTCATTTGCCAGAGAATCTCTGGAATATACAACCTGAGCTTTACCTTGTCACTGGCACATGGTTCTCAAAAGATGCAATTATTTTCTAGGTGTCCTGTGGCACTCATGAAAATGTCCAGAGCCCTTAAGATGCAATCATAATTAATGAAGTCCCCTGGCAATTTTTATATGTGAGCAAGATCACAAGATATTAGACAATGATTCACCATGATCTTTACTCACCAGTGATAATAATGGCATAGAACAGCTGCTATGTATTCATAGAAACATACTGCAATTACCTCCTTTTGTTCAGGTAGAATGTGTTGTTTGGCACAATTAGTGTTTCATTCACTGATTGATCAAGATTAACAGGATTTTTAGTGTCATATAGTTTATATTTTTCCTCTTTATTATGGCCTGTCTTTGGGAGAAATTACTTAACAGTTGTTTGTATTCTGCAATGGTCAATATATGCAAAAACTGAGTGAAATCCTACTGTGTGTAAAGCTCTTGCCTTCAAGGAAATTTTCTGTCATTAAAATGTGCCACACTAGTAAATAGGAAGCAAAATAAAATGTAACATTACTAATTTAGAGATGATTAGCTATATTTCTTCTAGCAGATAACAAAATGGTGCTGTAATCTACATTATAGATCTTAAGAATGTGACTCCAATCATAAAAATATGAAAACAGTCACTTTTTTTCTTTCTAGAGTTTAATGCAATGTGTTCTGTTCAAAAGAACACAATCAGAAGAAGAAATGGGTAAATTTCGGTACTCAAAAATTTTTCAGTTTACTTCTCTGAGCTTCAAAGAATTCAATTTTCTTTTCTTTTCTTTTCTTTTTTTTTCACTCCTGGTGATCACGAACAGTGAAAAGCGCCAATAATAATTGAGGTACTTGCACTGCTGCAAATTTTTAAGTGGAAACTCTTGCCAACAAACACCAGCTGTACTGTGATCTTTTACTGCTGTCTTATTTCACTATTCAACAGCTTCCTTCTCCCCTCCTATCCTAACTTGGAATATGTAGTGAGAATTTCAGACCTCAGTACATATTTTGGAGTGTCTTAAAAATTATACAGTTGCCATGATAAGGAAATTTTAGATAAGCACCAACAGAGAAAAAAATAAAAGTCCTCATAGCATCCGTTTAATTACTTCCACATTCAAAGCGCAGGCAGGGATCCTATTTGCATCAAATCTGTTAGAACAATGATCAGTTCTGGCAGACATTATTAAATGGTTGTGCAAACTAACCAACTCCATAAGATGTCGCTGCAGAACTAAGACCTCAAACCACTGACAAATAGACCAAATGAAACAAAAAAACTCCCGAATTTTGATAAATTTTTAAATCAAGCTTTCTGAGAATTTCACTAAGATATTGGTTTTACAATCCTTATTATAAAAACAACATAACTAATTTCCTTCTCCTGCTGCCTAGTTTGGTTTTGCACTTAATGTTTAGACATTTCTTTTATAATAGACAAGATAAAACTTATATTTGCTTATTATAAGCACAAGAGGATTTGCTAATTCATTAATTTGAATAATTTTATGTTAAATGAGTCATATATCCTATAGCTTTGAACCCTGTTTTCCCATCAGTTATCTGGGATATAACTTTATTTCAGATATTGCGAAGGCAAGAAATGGAAAATAAACCATTAACAGCTTTGGAATCCAATGTTTCTGACCTACTGAATTGTTCTTAAGCAAGATGACAGTGCAATGCTGAGTAAAATGAATGTGGAAAACACAGGCAGAGCACACACATTCTTATTCCCTGGCTCAAATGCTTAAATTCTGTCATTTCTTGTGACCCAGTCTAGATCTTCTGACTATGAACCTCCTGACCAGGAATCTCCTGACCATAAATTCCCTGCCTTCTTTCTCCTTGCGTAATAAAACCAATAACACTAGAGCAGCAAAATAAAAACAAGTCTCATGCATGCAGGAAGCTTATAACTCAAGATTTTTCACATCTGTATTAACCCCTGTGAAGTTGGTGAGTCAAGTTTAAAATCAATACCACTTTAGCAGTCAGAATTTAGCAGTCAGAATTTATTCCCAAGGTTTCACACAAAATACAGGATGGAAACATAACAAATTTGGCATTAATTATAGAATCATAATTCTTTCCATCAAACTCTCTTCTTAACACATAGAAGGCACTGACTAAAATCTCTTTCTTAAGTCTTCTTGTGAGTTAATAGATGTTACAAGCAGTCCTTTTCTAAATATACATGTGATGAGTCTCTTATTTTTGACACTTTTCTTACTCTCTGCTAAGCTACAGAACACCTCTTCTTACCATCCCATTTCTGGCCATAACAAACCTACTTTTTAGAATAGTATAAAGAAGATTTGTTTGGACTTTTTATTCTATTGACCTTTTTAAGGTTGTTTCATAACAATATACTCATCAAGATTCCTCATTGTAAAGCAAAGAAACATTTTCTCATTAACTTAAGAAGAAAAGAAATATATTGAAAGGACAACAGAAAGATCATAGAAAAATGAATTTGGCCAGGTGTGATGGCTCACACATGTAATACCACCACTGTGGAAGTTTAAGGCAGAAAGATTGCTTGGGGCCAGGAGTTTGAGACCAGTCTGGCAGTATAGTGAGATGCCCCACACCCCCATCTCTACAAAAAAAATTTAAAAATTAGCTAGGCATGGTGGTGTGCACCTGTAACCCCAGCTACTCAGGAGGCTGATGTGAGATGATAGCTTGAGCCCATGAGGCTGAAGCTGCAATCCTGACACTTTACTCCAGCCTGGATGATAGAGAAACATCTTGATTCAAAAAAAAAAATAGTGAAGGAACTGTCGTGGGTGGGAATTGCCCCACAGGAATCATACAATCATGCAGAGCAGTGGTCTTCTCAAGACCCTGAGAAGTTGGTCCCTGGAACCCCTACACCACATTCAGGTGCCATCCTTATTCTCCCTCTGCTATTCCTTGGGACTCCAAAGCTTTTCCTTCATCCCAGGTAGTTTGAAGGACGCCTACCTTTTCAGTACTCTCTAAAAATGTAATACCTTAAGTAGGAGCCTATGCTTGGTTATGCTTAGCTCACTTGAGAGACCTATAATAAAAGCCAACTCTTAATTTTCCATAGATGCTCAGGAGGTAAGTATGGGCTTCTGTCTCCATGACACACTTTAAAAGCCTTCTACTTAAAAGATATAGTAAAAAAAAAAAATAAAAGGAATTCAAAATGAGTAAGGGATTATTAGATATGAGACCAAAGAAATAAAATAAAACATTTGTTGGCAACCATGTGGCTTTCGGGCTAAATGTCTTTCTAAGACATCTATCTGGCAAGAGGCCCTTGTACAAGTGGGTCCTTGATAAGAGGTTACAGAGCATATCCTTTTTAGTTTGGGGATTCTGAATAAAAACTAATTAAGACTTAAATATCTGTTAAATTTTTCAGGCTTCCATAGCAAGTGACCATCACGGCATAGAATAAAAGTCAATGCTGGAATTCATAAAGGTTAGAAGAGCCCCATGATTTTCTTCTTGGACTTGTGAAGGCAACTTCACATTTTCACACCTTGAATCTGTAGCCAAAGCTACTACTAGTGTGATTGTGCCCAAGGTCTAGTTGCTAGGAGGCAGTATGAAAGGAGATTTTCTTGTTTGAAACATATAAAAATAGGCTCCAAGCCTATTTTGATATTCTATATATTCAAGATACAGAATATAGAGAGATAGTCAATATATTCTAATTATATATTAAAGAATAAGGCACAGATTCATAAAACTAAAGTAGACTGGGAATAAATATTTAAAATATTGTCTTTGTTTCCTTCAATTCTTTTTATATTTGATAGAGATTTGTCATTTTACTTAAAAGTTTTCATCAACTTTATTTTATACCATGTTTAACAACATATTTGCTGATAATTGTTTATAAATATTTTCAACTATAAGAAGCTCTCTATTATGAACATAAATTCTGTTCCTATATAAATTTTAGTGATGATTTACAGTTTAGAACTATTTTTTATTAAACATTTAATGACAAAATTGTTTAAATTTATTGTATACAACATGACATTTTGAAATATATAACATATATATATATATATATACACATTGAGCTAATTCATATATTTATTTCCTAACAAAGTTACATTTTTTGTGGTAAGATTATTGAAAATCTACTCTCATGGAGATTTTTAGACTACCATATACTGCTATTAACTATAGTCACCATGCTGTACAGTACATCTGTGGAATTTTTCATCTTATCTAACTGAAATTTTATATCCTTTGACCAACATCTAGTCAAACCACTCATTCCCTCCTATCTCAGCCATTGGTATCTACCATTCTACTCTCTGTTTCTATGGGTTCAACTTTTTGAGACTTCTAATGCAAGTGAGATCATGTGGCATTTGTCTTTCTGTGTCCGGTTTATTTCACTTAACATAATGTCTTCCAGGTTTATCCATGTTGTCACAAATGACAAGACTTCCTTCTTTTGTTTTTGAGATGGAGTCTCATTCTGTCGCCCAGGCTGGAGTGCAGTGGGGTGATCTTGGCTCATGGCAAACTCCGCCTCCCAGGTTCAAGCAATTATCTTGCCTCAGCCTCCTGAGTAGCTGGGATTACAGGCATGCACCACCACACTCGGCTAATCTTTGTATTTTTAGTAGACATGGGGTTTCACCATGTTGGCCAGGCTGGTCTCCAACTCCTGACCTCAGGTGATCTGCCTGCCTCTGCCTCCCAAAGTGCTGGGATTACAGATGTAAGCCACAGCACCTGGCCAAGATTTCCTTGTTAAAAAACAAGGCCAGGTGCGGTGTCTCACACCTGTGAGGCTAAAAAGCACTCCAATGAGCATATACCACATTTTCTTTATCCATTCATTTATTGATGAACACTTAGGTTGATTCTATATTTTGGCTATTGTGAATAATGCTGCGATGAATGTGGGAGTGCAGGTATTTTTTCAACATACTGATTGCATTTCCTTTGGACATATACCCAGAAGTGAGATTGCAGAATCATGTGGCAGTTCTATTTTAATCGTTTTTCCTTTTAGTTTTAGTTGACATGTAACAGTTGTATATTTATGGAATACAGAGTAATATTTCAATACTTGTATATAATGTGTAATAATCAAATCAGAGTAATTAGGATATTTATCACCTCAAACATTTATCATTTCTGTGTGCTGTGTAAGTTCAAAATCCTGTCTTCTAGCTTCTTGAAAATATAAATTATTATTAATCATATTCACTCTGCAGTGCTATAGAACACTAGAGAACTTACATTTCTCTTATAGCTGTAACTTCAAATCTGTTAACTAAAAGTTCCTTATTCTTTTCTGTCTCCTACCATATTTTGAATTTTTTAGAAACCTGCATATTTTCTTTTCTTTTCTTTATTTCTTTCCTTCTTTCTTTCTTTTTTTTCTCTCTTTCTTCTTTCTCTCTCTTCTCTTTCTTTTCTTTCTTTCTTTCTTCCTTCCTTCCTTCCTTCCTTCCTTCCTTCCTTCCGTCCTTCCTTCCTTCCTTCCTTTCTCTCTCTCTCTCTCTCTCTCTCTTTCTTTCTTTCATTTGTTTTTTGTAGACAGAGTTGCACTCTGTCACCCAGGCTGGAGTGCAGTGGTGCAATCTTGGCTCACTGCAACCTCTACCTTCTGGGTCCAAGTGATTCTCCTGCCTCAGCCTCCCTAGTAGCTGGGATTACAGGCACGTGCCACCAAGCCCGGCTGATTTTTGTACTTTTAGTAGAGACAACTTTTAATCATGTTGGCCTGGCTGGTTTTGAACTCCTGACCTCTGATGATCCATCCACCTCACATCCCAAAGTGATGGGATTACAGATGTGAGCCACTGCACCCAGCCAAAACCTGCATATTGTTTTTCACAGTGGCTGTAATAATTACATTCTCACAACTGTGTGTCAGCATTTTCATTTCTCCATATTAATAAAGAAATTAAAGAAGCTGTAAATAAATTTAAAGATATTCATGTTTAAGGGTTGGAAGAATTAATATTGTTAAAATTTTCATATGACCCAAGTGATCTACAGATTTGATGCAATCCTTATCAAAATTCTGATGACATTTTTCACAGAAATAGAAAAAAAATTAAAATTTTTTTGTGAAGCCACAAAGGACTCCAAATAGACAAAGTAATCTTGAGCAAAAAGAACAAGGCTGGAGGCATCATGGTACTTGGCATCAATATACACTACAAAGCTATAGTAATCAAAACAGGATGGTACTGGCATAAAAAACAGAGAGACAGAACAATGGGACAGAATAGAAAGCCCAGAACAAAATTCATGTATTTAAAGTCAGCAGATTGTTGACAGAGTTGGCAAGAACACACAATGGGGAAAGGATAGTCTCTTCAATAAATGGTGTTGGGTAAACTGGATATCACAGGCAGAAGAATGAAATTAGTCCCTCATCTCACATCACACACAAAAGCAAACTCAAAATTAAGTACAGACTTAAATGCAAGAACCAAAACTAGAAAACTCCTGGAAGAAAACATAGAGGAAATACTCTATGACATTGGTCTAGGCAATGAGTTTTTTTGGATATGACAAAAAAGCATAGGCAACAAAAGCAAAAATAGACAAGTGGGATTATATCAAACTAAAAGCTTCTACACAGCAAAGGAAACAATAAAAAAAGTTAAGACGCAATCTAGGGAACAGGAGAACATTTGCAACTCATACATCTGTTAAGGGATTAATATTCAAAATATATAGATAATTCAACTTAATAGCAAGAAAACAAATAACCTGATTTTAAAATGAGCAAAGGAACTTAATAGGCATTTCACAAAAGAAGACATACAAGTGGCCAACAGGTATGTGAAAACATAACATCACTAATCATCAGGGAAGCGTAAATTAAAACCATGATGAGATATTACTTCACACTTGTTAGATTTAGTGAGTACTGAAGGTCAAAATCTTCTTCAAGCACACTGTGGAGACTGTGTTAGGGCTTTCCCATCACTCTCTGGAGCTTTGGATTTAGAAGCCCTCCCTTCACCCGTGGTAATAAAAATTGTCGGTATTCTTAGTGCAGATTTAAACAAGTTCACCTGTTCCTCCATGGACTGAATAAAGATCAGCTCAAGGAATAAAAATTATTTCAACTGATTTATTTAGTTTTCAATTTTCTCACTGGACTACTACATGGAAAAAAGCACTTTGAAGTTGCTTCTTTCTAAAGATGTGACTGTATATATTGCCACAGAAGGAGAGAAAAATAGATAATCCTCACAGGAAGACAGGGTAACACAGAAATTCGTTGCATATTGTGATTTTTTCTGTCTTTCACTTATAGGTCTTAAACTTAATAGTTAATATTTTATTTTACAGGTTTTTATCCTGAGAAAAGAGGTGGATTGTGTGTCCTTTCCTGCAAAAAAATTGAAGGGAATAAAAATGTTAAATCGTGTCTTTAAATATAAGGCTTATATTTTTATGAACCTTGCTTTGATTCACCTTAATTTTTTTGCTCATTTTCAAGATAGAAAAGAAATAATTGCTTATTTTCTTATTCACATTTACACATCTCTATTTCCACAACATTCATCATTTTTTGCCACAAATATAAGCCATGTAAGTTGGCTTTCTTAATACTTAATATTTCATTTGAAATGAGACATAATGCTGTAGAGCATTAATAGAAAAATATTAGAATTTAAGGTCTTCTGATTGCATGAGAGAATTTAAAAACTACCAAATATGAGTTGAAGTTATTAGTGTATGCAGCAGTGGAGGTGATGCTGATCAGTTACCAGACTTCCAATTTCACACTACTCTAGTACATTCTTTGGTAAATTTAGTGGAAGAAAGAACAAACCAACCAGAAGCAATCTAATGCAGTCAAACAAATGTCTATTTAATCAATGTCGGCTTCTTAGAAGATGCTAAAAACAATGCCACGTGCTAAGTTTTTGCAGAGTCAGGAGTTAACATGATTATGTTCCTGTGGGTCACCACATGTTGTCCTCACCATCATCGTTTCCTGTAGAAATAAAATGCCTAAGGGTTACCACAGGCTGATAGACATAGCATGCCAAATTACACACTGCATCACACCATCTGCCAAACCACAGATTCTTAGGATGTTGCAGCACTGCTGAAAAAAAACAAAACAAAACAGTCTTGTGATTATGAGTACTTTAGAGAAGACAGGTATTTTCTGATCTACTCTCTGGGATCATTTTGATGGAACTGATGATAAAGTACATATGACAGGGTGTGAGTGCCAATGAATCCTAATTAGGGGAAATATCTAAACGCCCAGCCCTGAAGAACTCACTAAGTTTAACAGAAGGATGTCTGGATTCAGCTAGTGCCATTTGTTCTATTCTCATTCTTAATTAGCATCAAGGAATTTAATTAGAAGTATAGCATATGAGAATCATAAGGATGCAACAGATAGAAGAAACCAAAGATGTCTCTGGTCCAGCTGCTTCATTTTTTCCCAGTAAGTTGGAGAAAATGTGGGGAAAGGGGTAGACTATTAGGGCCTAGAAAGTACAGAGCTCAAATGAAAACATATATGTTTGTAGGCATGCTCAAAAATACAGACACACATGGAGAATATTTATTAAACATATTATTCTTTTATTTAAGAATTGTCCACTTCTGGGCGCGGTGGCTCATGCCTATAATCCTAACACTTTGGGAGGCTGAGGTGGGCAGATTGCCTGAGCTCAGGGGTTTGAAATCAGCCTGGGCAATACGTTGAAACCCTGTCTCTACTAAAAATCCAAAAAAATTAGCCAAGCGTCATGGCGTGTGCCTGTAGTCACAGCTACTCAGGAGGCTGAGGCAGGAGAATTGCTTGAACCTGGGAGGTGGAGGTTGCAGTGAGCCGAAATCGGCCACTGCACTCTGGCCTGGGTGACAGAGCATGACTCCATCTGACAAAAACAAAACACAAACAAACAGACAAAAAAAACTGTCCACTTCCTACATATTCTGGTGATGAATATGCTGACAAAGAAATAACATGAATAAAGTAGATCCTTATTAGTGTGCTATTTTTTTCTGTCTTCTTAGAACCCCTCCATAAAATATGGTGCAACACAGTCAACTGATCATCATCATAAAATTTTATTATTCATTCAATAAATATTTTTGAGAAACATCTATGCACCAGAAACCTACACTGGGTAGGAAATAAAATGTGCAGGAGGGACGAAAAAAAAATAGAAATCTGTTGCATCAGTGGAAGAACACTGAGAGTTAGAGAATGCCTAGATATGTTATTACATATTCTACTAAAAAGTACACACCAATAAAACTGAGATCTCTACCATTAATTCTAGCTTTTCTGAGCAACTGCTTACGTGACCATCAATATACAGTCAGGCAAAAGTGCTAAGTTGGAAATCAGGAGTTCTATATTCTAGTCTTAGTTTTGCTAGTACATTAGCTGAATGAAAAAGGACAAATCTAATATCAGTTCATTTGTTTAAACATTGGCTAAGTTATATAATTTTTAAGGATTTTTATGTCTCTAATATTTGTTAATTTTATAAATTTGATGTGTTTGTACCAGGGCAGCCCAAGTTATATAAAAATGTAAGGGCTTTAAAGAGAGACTCCTTTTCATGGCTTATTAATATTTTTAGGTTCAAATTCTGGCTTAACTATAGACACAACTGTCTTTTCTTCTTTTCTTTTTCTTTCTTTTCTTTTTTTTTTTTTTTTTTTTTTTTTTTCTTTTTTTGAGAGGAATTCTCACTCTGTCTGCCAGGCTGGAATTCAGTGGCACAATCTTGGCTTACTGTCACCTCCGCCAACCAAGTTCAAGCTATCCTCCCGCCTCAGCCTCCCACATAGCTGGGACTACAGGCACAAAAAACCACCCGGCTAATTTTTTATTTTTAGTAGATACAGGGTTTCACCATGTGGTCCAGGCTGGTCTCAAACCCCTGACTTCAAGTGATCCATCTGTCTCTGCCTCCCAAAGTACTGGGATTACAGGCCTGAGCCACTGTGCCTAGCCCACCTCTTTTAATTGCACTTAACTTTATTGTGTGTTTCAGATACTGAGTTTTTTACAAGTTGAAGGTTTGTGGCAACACTGTGTCAAGCAAATCTATTAGCACCATTTTCCCAACAGCATGTGCTCACTTCATGTCTCTGTGTCACATTTTGGTAATTATCACAATATTTCAAACTTTGTATTATTTTTATGTCTGTTATGGTGATCTTTGACATTACTATTATAATTATTTGGGGACATTACAAACAATGCTCATATAAGATGAACTTAGTTGAGAAGTCCATGTGTTCAGACTGCTCCACCGCATAGCAGTTTCCCCATCTCTCTTTGTCTTCTCAGGCCTCCCTACTCCCAGAGACACCACACATTAAAATTATGCAAGTTAACCACCATACAGTGTCCTCCTATGAAGTGTTCATATGAAAAGAAGAGTCACAATCATTCATTTTAAATCAAAAGCTAGAAATGAGTATGGTTAGTGAGAAAGGCACATTGAAAGACAAGACAGGCCAAAAGCTAAGACTCTTGCACCAGTTAGCTAAGTTGTGAATGCAATAAAAAAGTTCTTGAAGGAAATTGAAAGTGCTACTCCAGTGAATACATGAATGATAGTGAGTAAAATAGTGTTATTGCTGATACAAAGAAAGTTTTAGTCATCTGGATAGAAGATCAAACCGATCACAATATTCCCTTAAGCCAAAGCCTAATCTAGAACCAGGCTCCTAACTCTTCAATTCTATGAAGGCTAAGAAAGATGAGGAAGCTGCAGAAGAAATGTTTGAAGCTAGAAACGGTTAGTTCATGAGATTTAATCAAAGAAATTGTCTCCATAACATAAATGTTCAAAGTCAAGCAGCAAATGCTGATGGAGAAGCTGCAGCAAGGTTTCTGGAAAATTTAGCTAAGATAGTGATGAATGTGAGTACGCTAAGCAACACATTTTTCCATGTAGAGAAAACACCCTTCTATTGTAAGAATATACCATTTAGGACTTTCATTGCTAGAGAGAAGTCAAGGCCTGGCTTCAAAGCTTTCATAGATAGGCTGGCTTTTTGTTAGGGACTATTGCAGCTGGTAACTTAAGCTAAGACCAATGATTATTGATCATTCTGAACTCCTCAGGCCTGGAAGAATTACACTCAATCTGCTTGGCCTATACTCTATAAATAGAATAGCAAAGCCTGGATAACAGCACATCTGTTTACAGAACACCTTATTGAATATTTTTAACTCACTGTTGAGACCCACACCTGAGAAATAAAAGATTATTTTCAAAATATTACTATTTGTTGGCAATGTACCTAATTACCCAGGAGCTCTAATGGAGACGTACAAGGAGATTAATTCAATTTTCATACCTGCTAACACAACATCCACTCTGTATACCATTGATCAAAAAGTAATTTTGAATTTCAAGTCTTATTTCTTAAGAAACACATTTTTTAAGGCTATAGCTGTCATGAGTAGTGATTCCCCTAATGGATCTGGGCAAAATAAATTGAAAACATTCTAGAAAGCATTCATCATTCTAGATGCCATTAAGAACATTTGTAATTCATAGAAAAAGGTCAAAATATCGACATTAACAGGAGTTTGCAAAAAGTTGATTCCAACTCTTAAGGATAACTTTGAGGGGTTCAAGACTTATGTGAAGGTAATAATGTGGTGAAAACAGTGAAAGAACTAGAATTAGACGTGGAAAGTGAATATGTTACTGAATTTCTACAATTTCATGATATAAATTGAACAGATGAGGAGTTGCTTCTTATGGATAAGCAAAGAAAGTGGTTTACTAATATGGAATTTAAGCCTGGTGAAGATGCCATGAACATTGTTGAAATGATGACAAAGAATTTAGAATAATCCATAAACTTAATTGATAAAGCAGCAGCAGAGTTATACAGGATTGACCCCAATTTTGAAAGAAGTTCTATTGTAGGCAAGATGACATAAAACAACATTTTGTGCTACAGATAAATATTTTGTGAAAAGTACAGTCAATCAGCTTGGCAAACTTTGTCTTCTTATTTAAGAAAATGCCAGTCACCCCAACCTTCAGCAGCCAGCACCCTGACCAGGCAGTGGTCATCAACATTGAAGCAAGACTTTCCACTAGCAAAAAGATTACAACTTGTTGAAGGCTCAGATGATTCTTAGCATTTTTTAGCAACAAAAAATTTTCAACTTAAGGTATGTACATTCTTTTTTGACATAATATTATTGCATACTTAATAGATTATAGTGCAAACATAACTTTTATATACCCAGGGGAACAAAAATATTTTTGTGACTTGCATTATTGTGAAATTTACTTTACTGTAGGGGTCTGGAACTGAATCCTCAATATCTCTGAGGTATTCCTGTAATTCTGCCTGTTTCTTTTTTTTGTCCTTAAGCCTGGAGTTATATGCTGAATGATGTGCTGAAAAATATTTTGGGTTCAATTTCAGTCATTAAAATTTAGTCTATTAAGTCAAGTAATGTTGTGGATGAGTAGGTACCAAATAAAATTGTGTCTATATAAATTTTTCAAATGGAAAATTAAATGGATTTGATAGGTGGTCTTTAAACCAGGTAGAAGAAAAAATTTCAAATGAATTTCTTATGTATTTCTAATATTTCTAATTTACAAAGTAAAATCATAAATTAAACTGTCTTCTGCAATAAAAGGCAAACACTCAATTTAACAGAATTTACAAATAACTGACCATGTAATTGGCATTCTGCACAATGTTGTGGTAGATATAATAATTGTTGACATCTGATATGGTTTTTCTGTCTCCTCACCCAAATCTCATAATGAATTGTAGCTCGCATAATTCCCATATGTTATGGGAGAGACTTAGTGGGAGGTAATTGAATCATGGGGGCGGTTTTCCCCATACTGTTCTCATGGTATACTGAATAAGTCTCACGAGTTATAATGGTTTTTTTAAGGGGAAGCCTCTTTCACTTGGTTCTCATTCTCTCTCTTCCTGGCTGCCATGTAAGATGTGACTTGCTCCTCCTTACCTTCCACCAGGATTGTGAGACCTCCCCAGCCATATGGAAATATGAGTCCATTAAAACATCTTTCCTTTATAAATTCCCAGTCTTGGGTATGGCTTTATCAGCAATGTGAAAACGGATTCATACAGTAAATTGGTACTGGGACTGTGACAGTGCTGTAAAGATACCTGAAAATGGGGATGTGACTTTGGAACTGGGTAACAGGCAGAGGTTGGAAGAGTTTGGAGGGCTTAGTAGACCACAGGAAAATACAGAAAAGTTTGGAACTTCCTAGAGACTTATTGAATGGCTTTGACCAAAATGCTGATAATGATATGGACAATGAAATCGAGGCTGAGGTGGTTTCAGATGGAGATGAGAAACTTGTTGGGAATGGGAGTATAGGTGACTCTTGCTATATTTTAGCAAAGAGACTGGTAGCATTTTGCCCCTGCTCTAGAAATCTGTGGAATTTTCAACTTGAGAGAGATGATTTAGGGTATCTGGTGGAAGAAATTTCTAAGAAGTAAAGCATTAAAAGGTGACTTGGGTGCTGTCAAAAGCATTTCGTTATAAAAAGAAAATAGAGGATAAAAGTTTGGAAAATATATAGCCTGACAATGCAGTATAAAATAAAAACCCATTTTCTGAAGAGAGATTCAAGCCAGCTGCAGAAATTTGCATAAGTAATGAGGACCCAAATGTTAATTGCAAAGACAATGGGAGAAATGTCTCCAGGGCATGTCAAAGACCTTTGTGACAGCCCTTCCTATCACAGGCCTGAAGAACAAGAAGGAATAAATGGTTTGGTGCCCTGTATCCCAGCTGATCTAGCCATGGCTAAAAGGGCCACAGTCCAGACCGGGCCATGGCTTCAGAGGGTGCAATCCCCAAGCCTTGGCAGCTTCCACATGGTGTTGAGCCTGCTGGTGCCAAAAAGTCAAGAATTAAGGTTTGGGAACCTCCACCTAGATGTCAGAGGATGTATGGAATGCCGGGATGTCCAGGCTGAAGTTTGTTGCAGGAGTGGGGCCCTCATGGAGAACCTTTGCTAGGGTAGCGCTAACGGGAAATGTGGGGTTGAAGCCCCAGCAGAGTCTCCACTGGACCACTGCCTAGTGGAGCTGTGGGAAGAGGGCCACTGTCCTCAATGACCCGGAATGGCAAATCTACCAACAGTTTGCACTGTACACCTGGAAAAGCCGCAGGCACTCAAAACTAGCCCATAAAAGCAGCTTGGTGGGGGACTGGGGTGCAAAGCCATGGGGCAGAGGTGCCCAAGGCCATGGAATCCCACCTTTTACATCAGCGTGACCTGGATGTGAGACATGGAGTCAAAGGAGATCATTTTGAAACTTTAAAATTTGACTTCCCCACTGGATTTTGGACTTGTCTGGGGCCTGTAACCCCTTTGTTTTGGCTAATTTCTCCCATTTGGAATAACTGTATTTACCCAATGCTTGTATCCCCATTGTATCTAGGAAGTAACTAACTTGATTTTGATTTTACAGGCTGATAGGCAGAAGGAACTTGCCCTTTTGAGTTAACTTTTGAGTTAATGCTAAAATGAGTTAAAACTTTGGGGGACTGTTGGGAAAACATGATTGGTTTTGAAATGTGAGGACATGAGTTTTGTGAGGTGCCAGGGTAGAATGATATAGTTTGGCTGTTTCTCTGCCCAAAATCTCACCTTGAATTGTAGCTTACATAATTCTCACGTGTTGTGGGAGGAACCCAGTGGGAGATAATTGAATCACGGGGGCGGTTTTCCTCATGCTGTTCTTGTGGTAGTGAGTAAGTGCCATGAGATCTGATGATTTCATAATGGGTTTCCCCTTTCACTTGGCTATCATTATTCTGGCTTGTCTGCTGGCATGTAAGACATGCCTTTCTCCTTCCACCATGATTGAGGCCTCCCCAGTCATGTGGAATTGTGAGTCTATTAAACCTCTTTCCTTTATAAATTACCCAGTCTCAGGTAAGTCTTTATCAGCAGTGTGAAAATGGAATAATACAACATTTATTTGGTAGAGATAATTGTTACCATGTCTGAGAATTTATTATATTTCAGGACTCTTTTCAGTGAATTACATATATTAACTTATTTAATTCTTCCAATCTCATGAGTCAATGATGGGTTTAGTAGATCTATACAAAGCAGTATAGAAGCAAAAGCTGTTTAATTATGAGATGATTTGAAACATTCTACTTAATTCATTTGGTTCTGTGGCAAGCAGTTTTCTGAAATGGGGTGTATAGGTTTTTGGAGTATGTATATATAAAGACTTTAGCAATAAATCAATCTGGTTTTTTTAGAAAGATAAAGCCATAAACTCTTTTGCTGAATGAGTGATCTCAAATGTTTCATCTTTAAAAATTTTAATATACTTTTTATTAATTTAATGGTATCATTTTTGGTTTAGAAGTAAATAATTGTAGCAAGAAAATAAAAAAATTCACATGGAAGAAGAAAATAAATAAATGTTGGAGGCATTTTTGTTTTTGTTGATAAGATTATAAAAGGAGTGTGTTAAATTTAAGATAACAAAGAAAAAGGCTACCAGAATGAAACTATTGTTTGTTATTATAAAACATTCCTAGTTTAAAGACTGAGATGTTTAGAAGCATAAAAATAATTCAGCAAAAATAATACTAAAGTAAAATAAGACACTGAGAAAAACATTATACTGAGAAATAATTCATATATGATATTTAAAAAATAAACACACACTTTAAAGTATATATATTTAAACTGATACAATTTAATTTTTCAATTTTATAGAAAAATCAATTAGTATTCATTAAAAGCTAACATTACAAAACTTGTGAAAAAAATGATTGAAGAAAATGTCTTGCATAAAGAATACAGAAAAAGAAAAAACAAAACTTTCTCCCTTAAGAAACAACATAACTTGATAACATAAACACAATAAGAATACAATAAAAAAACTGAGGATATAAAAAGGAATAAATTAAAATATATTATTGATACAGATAATTTTAGCTAAAATTTAAAGGAATTGGGTCAATTATAAGTTAGTGTTGAACAAAAACTTTGAAATAGTTTTTAATGATAAAGCTTATTCTCAATACTTTCAAAATTACTATAAACATAACACAGATATAACTACTTTATCGTAAACAACAACAAAGTAGTGAATGACGTAAAAAAGATGACATAGTAGGAAGTTATAGACTTCATTTTCTCCCAGAAGCGCCAATTTACAATGATGTGTAAACTAAAATACCTTAATGAGACGTCCTGAATCCAGTTCAGAAGTCCTGGTGTCTCACGTGAACACAAAGCCAAGATCAGCTACATTAGAATGATTAAGAAATGCATTTTAATTTAACTCACATCAGCCCCTCCTACAAGACAGCTTATCTCAGAATTGAGAGAGAGTGCCCCAGTCCACCTCTGTTCCCTTTGTGGGAAAGAGAGAATGGAGTGTTTATCCAATGTCCCTGCTTTTTTATTTGATACCCTATATGTCATTTCCTTTCTCACCTCACTTACGGCACTGCCAAAACCAACATAGTTTAGTTCCTTGGGGGCACCTTAAATAAAGGAAGAGGTTGAGTGACTTTCTATGTCCCGCATAGCTTTGCAAAACTGAAAGAAGTTACAGCATCTGAGGCTTCCCCTCAAGGAGGGAGAAGAGTGGAGTGTGCCTCCAACATCCTGGCTTATGAAACAGTAGTCAGACACCACAGTGGAAAAGATAGTACAAGTACCAGAAAAAAATAATCTCATATATTTCTCTAATTATGAATCAAATACACACATCTGGAGAAGACATATTTGTAGATAAAGTTTAAGAGGCATCCAGAATCTCTAACCAGGCTCATTGGTGATTGGTGACGGATTTTACTTTTCTTTTCTTTCTTTCTTTCTTTCTTTTTTTTTTTTTTTTTTTTAAAGAATTTCACTCTGTCACCCAAGCTGGAGTGCAGTGGAGTGATCTTGGTTCACTTCAACCTCCACCTCCTGGATCCAAGTGATTCTCCTCCCTCAGCCACCCTAGTAGCTGGGATTACAGGCGCCCACCACATAACCCAGAAAATTTTTTATATTTTTAGTAGAGACAGGGTTTCATCATGTTGGCCAGGCTGGTCTCAAACTCCTGACCTCGTGATTCGCCCACCTCAGTCCCCAAAGTGTTAGGATTACAGGTGTGAGCCACCTTGCCTGGCCCAGGATTTTTCTTATTAAAGCCAGTTTGTAAAGATGGGAGAAGTGGCTGTTTCTTCAACTGGACAGACACCAACACATAATTACACAAAACAAATAATTAAGAAAATATGACCCAGTGTAAGGAACACAATAAATCTCCAGCAATCAACCTAAAGAGATAAAAATCTACAAATTACCTGACAAATAATTCAAAATAATAATATTAAAGAAGCTCAGTGAGTTAAAAGAGAAAAAGTAGACAACTAAACAAAATCAGGAAAATCAAGAAACAAAACAAAATGAGAATATCAACAAAGAAATAAAAACTATAAAAAAGAACTAAACAAAAATCCTAGAAATAAAAAATACAATAACTTATAAAAATACATTAGAAGGGTTCAGCAGCAGACAGATCAAGCAGAAAAAGGGGTCAGCAATATTTCAAAATAGATTATTATAAATTATCCAGTTAATGAAGAAAAAAGGAAAATAAATGAAAAGGACCCCCCCCCCCCAAAAAAAAATTAAAGGACTATGGGACACCACCAAGTCAATGAATAAAAACGTTATGAGATTCTCAGGAGGTGAAAAAAGGAACAGCCTATGTTAAAAAAAAAATGGATAAAAATTTCCCAATTCTGAGGAGAGAAATAAATTGACAGATTCACGAAGCCTGATGGCCTCAGATAAAATGAAATCAAATAATTATACACAGAGAAACATTATAATGAAATTGTTAAAACTTAAAGACTAAAATAAAGTTTTGAAATTACCTAGAGAAAAATGAATTATAGCATAAAGAAAAACCTCCACATGTCTATCAGTGGACTTATCAATAGAAAATTTTCAGGACAGAAGGAAGTGAAATATGTCAAAATGCAGAAAGAAAAAAAAGCCAATCAAGAATATTACAATCAGTAAAACCATCATTCAAAAATAGAGATAAATGTTTTCCCAGACAAACAAATACTGAGGCAATTCTACAACTACCTTACTAAATGCTAAGAGGAGATCTTCATGTTAAAAGGACACTAAACTGTAACACAAAAGTATATGAAAGTATAAATTCACTGGTAAATATATAAACAAACACAAGATACTGTAACACCGTAATGGTGGTGCTCATATAAGTTAATTCTACTGTAAAAGATAAAGACAAACCTATTTAAAATAAAAATAATTTTGAAAATATGTTATAAATAAACAATATAAATAGATGTAAATTATGATATCAGTAACTTAAAGTGTGGGAGAGAAAGTAAAATGTAACAATTTTTGTATTTGATTGAAGTTAGGTTGTTGCCAGCTTAAAATAGGCTGTTATAAGATCATTTATGTGTGCTTTACCAAAACACAAAGAAAACATCTCTAGAAATTACACAAAAGATAAAAGAAGTATTGATGAATAATTAACACAAAAATGTCAACATATCACAAGGGAAGATGTCACAAAAGGAAAAGAAGGTGGAGAGAAATATAAGGCAAACAGGTCATAATTAACAAAATGGCAATACTAAGTCCTTTCTTGTTAATAATTACTTTAAACATAAATAGATTAAACTCCCCAATACAAAATATAGAGTGGCTGAATGGAATTAAAATAAAATTTAAAAGATCCAAAGATATTGTATATATAAGAGGCTTACTTTACCTTTAAGAACACATATAGCAGAAATTCAAAGGGGGGAAAAAGATATTCAACAGAAATTATAGTTGTATTTATAACAGAAAATAAGACTTGAAGTCAAAAACCATTACAAAAGACAAAGAAGGTTGTCATATAATTATAAAAAATCAATTCATTAGGAAGATATAACAATAATAAATATATGTGCACCTAACATCAGAGAACATACTTATAAATAGCAAACATGGACAGAACTGTAGAGAGAAATAAACAGCAATCCAATAGCAGTAAAGGACTTCAACACTATATTTTCAAAACAGATCATCCAGACAGATGACCAAATATGGAGACTGTATTAGTCCATTCTCTTGCTGCTAATAAAAAGCATACCAGAGACTGGGTAATTTATAAAGAAAAAGAGGTTTAGTTGATTCATGGTGCCCCAGGGTTGGGGGAGGCCTCAGGTAATTTACAATCATGGCAGAAGAGGAAGCAAACACATCTTTCTTCACATGGTGGCAGGAAGGAGAAGTTCTGAGCAAAGAGAGAAAAGCCCCTCATAAAATCATCAGATCTCATGAGAACTCAGTCACTATCACAATATTAAATGAGAAGATTAAATTCATAATAAAAAAACCTCCCAACAAAGAAAAGACCTGGACCAGATGTCTTCAGGGTTAAATGCTATTAAATATTTAAAGAATAATTAGCATCAACCCGTCACAAAGTCTTCCAAGAATTTGGAAAACAAGGAACATTTTCAAACTCATTTTATGAAGCAAGCATTACCCTGATACCAATGCCAGGAAAACTACAAGAAAATAAAAGTATATGCCAATATCCCTGATGAATACAGATGTAAAAATCCTCAACAAAATACTAGCAAAGCAAATTCAACAGTATGTTTGATATGGTTTAGCTTTTTGTCCTTACCCAAATCTCATCTTGAATTGTTAAAGCCAGGTGTTAAGGGAGGAAACTGGTGGGAAGTGATTGGATTACAGAGGTGGTTCCTCTGATAGTGGTGAGTTCTAATGAGAACAGATGTTTTTAAAAGTGTCTGGCAGTTCCCCTGCTCATTTCTCCTTTCTGCAACCTAGTGAGAAAGGTGCCTTGCTTCCCTTTTGCCTTCGCCATGATTGTAAGTTTCCTGAGATTTTGCCGTGCAAGTTGAACGGTGAGTCAATTAAACCTCTTTCCTCAATAAATTATCCAGTCTTGGGAAGTTCTTTCTAGCAGTGTGAAAATGGCCTAATACAATATTAAATGCATGGTACACCATGACCAAGTGGCATTATTCCCAGGATGCAAGAATAGTCCCAAATATACAAACCAATTAAGGTGATATACCACATTAACAGAATGAAAAATAAAAAAAAAAATCACATGATCATCTCAAAATATTGACAAAGTTCAACACCCTTTAAATATTAAAAACTCTCAAAAACATAAGAAAAATAATTTACCTAAACATAATAAAGGCAATATGTAATAGATATTCAGCTAATATCTTACCCTGTGGGAAAAAAATAAAGTTATCTAAATCAGAAAGGAAGAAGTAAAATTTATCTGTTAGAGGATGACCTTATCTTTTATCTATAAGACACTAAAGATAGCACAAAAATCTATTAGAACTAAAAAATAAAGTTAGTAAAATTACAGGATACAAAATCAATCTACAAAAACTAGTTGCAATCAACAAACTACACAGGAAATTAAGAAAACAATTCCACTTACAATACAATAAAAAATAAAATATGTAGTGTGTTAGTCTATTCTCATGCTGCTGTAAAGAACTGCCCGAGACTGGGTAATTTATAAAGGAAAGAGGTTTAATTTGCTCACAGTTTATCATGGATAGGGAGACCTGAGGAAACTTACAATCATGGCAGAAGGCAAAGAGAAGCAAGCATCTTCTTCTCAAGGTGGCACCAGTGTGTGTGTGTGTGTGTGAGAGAGAGAGAGAGAGACAGAGAGAGAGCACATGGAAAACTTCCACTTTTAAACCATCAGATCTCATGAAAGCACCTGCATTATCATGAGAACAGCATGAGCGAACCCACCCCCATGATTCAGTTGCCTCTGCCTGGGCTCTCCCATGAGATGTGGGGATTATGGGGATTATGGGAATTCGAATTCAAGATAAGATTTGGGTGGGAACACAAAGCCTAACCATATCACTTAGAAATAAACTTAACCAAGGAGGGAAAATATTTGTTCTCTGAAAATTACAAACATTGATGAAAAACTTAAAGACACTAATCATTGGAAAGACATCTTGTGTTAACAGATTGAAAGACTTACTATTGTTAAAATGTCCATATTATCGAATGAAATCTACAGATTTGATGCAACCCCAATCAAAATCTCAATGCCACTTTTTACAGAAATAGAAAAAAATCCCCAAATTCATTTGGAATCACAAAAGACCCCTAATAGTTAAACAGTTATTGAGAAAGAAGATAAAAACTGCAGGCACTGTACTTCCTGATTTCAAATATATTACAAAGCTACAGTATTCAAACAGTATAGTGCTGGCATAAAAACCAGTGTACAGAACAATGGAACAGAAGAGAGAAATCAGAAATAAGCCCAGTAGTGTACAGTTCACTGATCTTCAACAAGAATGTCAGGAATACGGAATAAGGAAATGATAATTTCTTCAGCAAACGGTGCTAGAAAACTTCACATACTAAAGAATGAAATTAGGCCTGTGTATTACACCATATACAAAAATCAACTCAAAATGAATTAAAGACAAATGTAAGACATGCAACTGTAAAACATCTTAGATTAAAGCATAGGAAATAAATGTCTATGATATTTGTCTTTTCAATGATTTCTTAAATATAATACCAAAAGCAAAAGGCAACAAAAGCAAAAATGCATAAATGGGACTAAATAAAATTACAAAGCTTCTACACAGCAAAAAATAATAATCAACAGAGTAAAAATGTAACTATGTATCTGATAAGTGGTCATATCCAAAAATATAAAGAGCTCCTACAACTCAATAGCAAAAATGCCTATTAACCTGATTTTTTCAATTGGCATAGTCCTTGAATAGACATTTCTCTAAAGATAATATAGAAATAGCCAACAGATATATGAAATGATATTCAACATCAATAATAGTCAAGGACATACAAATCAAAAACCACAGTGAGATATGACCTTATACTTGCTAGAATGGCTTTTATCAAAAATAAAATAAAATTAAATTGAAGACAGCAAGTATTGTCAAGGATGTGAAGAAATTCTAATTCAGTATGCTGATTCTTCAAAAAATTAAAAATAGAACTATCATATGATCCAGAAATTCTACTTCTGACTATATATCCAGAAGAATTAAAATCTGTATGTTGAAGATATATCTGCACCCCCATGTTCCTTGCACTATTATTCATAAAGACCAAGACATAGAAATAACCCATTGCACCAATGAATAAATTAACATAGAAAATGTGATATATAAACAAGGGAATATTATTCATCCTTAACAAATAAAGAAATCCTGCCATATGCAACAACATGGATGAAACTGAAGACAGCATATTAAGTGAAATAAGTTAGTCATAGAAATACTGCATGATTCTGCTTATGTAAGGTATCAAAAACAGTCAAACTCATAGAAACAAAGAGTGGAATACTGATTTCCTGGAGTTGAGGGGAGGAAAAAATGTGAAATTGCTGGTTAATGGGTATAAGATTTCAGTTAAGCAAGATGAGTAAGTTCTAGAGTTCTGCTGTACAACATTGTGCTGTAGTTAACAATACTGCATTGCATGCTTAAACATTTGTTAAGAGAGTAGATCTTGCGGTAAGTAAATGTTCTTACCTTAATAAAAACAAATGGCAAAAATTTTTCAATTTTATTTTAGTATGAAGCAACATGAATTATATATAAAAAAGTAGATAAATTGTCATCTGTGTTTTTGGCTGATATTGTTTTCTGAGTATATAATATCTATAATGATTATTATATTTCCCTGTAAACAAAAAATTGATAGAAACTATTAAGTATTGAGAATGCATAGAAACATGGAATTGCATCATATTTCCCTGTAAAACAAAAAATTGATAAAAACTATTAAGTATTGAGAATGCACAGAAGGTTGGAATTGTATCAGATGACTTAATTATTGCTTGCCTCATACTGCCTTTTCCATTTTTACCATAAAATCTTTTATACATCTTTGTTTTACTGGAAAAATGAATAATTAAAAGAAAGTTTGTATAGGAAAAATAAAGCCTACCAATCAGTTTGAGTTTTTTATCTGCTTCTAAAATCTCACAATATTTATTTTTAAATACAAAAATCAAAACACTTGCAAAAACATTCTTTTTCTATCTCATCATAAGGGGAATTTTTAAATAGATCATGATGTTTCATGGTGAGAAAGGACAAGCTATATTATGGCTCAGATAATTTTTAAAAAGTTCAATTGGCAGCAGAAGCTATAGGAATGCTTCTTCACAATAATGAAAGGTAACATAAAATAACTTTGCCTCATATATGAGGCATTTTACCTTGTTTGATGGAGACAAAAATTGACCCAAGAATTAATGAGACAATAACCACTTTTGAATGAAGCAGACTCTACCACTCCTGAAAAGATTCCTTGCAATCATCTTAGATAAAGAAAATGAGAAATGAACCCAGAACTCTGGAGGGCAACAGGAGTAAAATGGAAATTATTTATTAACTCTAATCAAGTCATCAACACATCTTACCTTGACTAATTCAGAAGTTACAAGTATATTCCAGTCTCTACTATTGTCCTCTTAAAAACAGTTGTCAAAATAGCTATCTGAGTAATCTGTTCAAAATGAAAATTAGATTATATTCCTGTTCTGCTTTTACATTTGCTGTGACTTTTTATAAAATCTAAAGTATTGAACCTAATTTATAATATAAAGCCCCACATGAACTGGTGTCAGCCTAACTCCATAAGTTTGTCCCTTGCCACTTTCTTTCTTACATACTGTACTCAGAAGGCCACACTTGCATTTTCAGTGTCCTTGGATTCATCATATTCTTTTTGTATCATGACCTTTCTTGCTTGAGGGCTTTTGCATTTTTTTTCCTATTGTTTTTTTTTTTGTTTTTTTTTTTTTTGAGACGGAGTCTCGCTCTGTTGCCCAGGCCGGACTGCGGACTGCAGTGGCGCAATCTCGGCTCACTGCAAGCTCCGCTTCCCGGGTTCACGCCATTCTCCTGCCTCAGCCTCCCCAGTAGCTGGGACTACAGGCGCCCGCCACCGTGCCCGGCTAATTTTTTGTATTTTTAGTAGAGACGGGGTTTCACCTTGTTAGCCAGGATGATCTCGATCTCCTGACCTCATGATCCACCCGCCTCGGCCTCCCAAAGTGCTGGGATTACAGGTGTGAGCCACCACGCCGGGCCTCCTATTGTTTTAATGGTCTTCCTTCTGACTTTGTTTGATGACTTTTTCAGCAGATCTCAGCTTAAATGTTTCAACTTTAGAGAGGTGCCAAGACCAGCTCAGTCGTGGAGAACCTGACCCAGTGGCGCTAGAGGAATTCAAGACTCACACACAGAAATATAGAGTGTGGAGTGGGAAACTGGGAAACTGGCGGACTCACAGCCTTCAGAGCTGACAGTCCCGAACAGAGTTTGACCCGCATATTTACTGACAGCAAGCCAGTGATAAGCATTATTTCTATAGATTATAGATTAACTAAAAGTATTCCTTAACGGGAAACAAAGGGATGGGCCGAAAACAAGGAATGGGCTCTGGCTAGTTATCTGCAGCAGGAACATGTCCTTAAGGCACAGATCACTCATGCTATTGTTTGTGCCTTAGGAATGCCTTAAGCGGTTTTCTGCCCTGGGTGGGCCAGGTGTTCCTTGCTCTCATTCCAGTAAACCCACAACCTTTGCCATGGGTATCATGGCCATCATGAACATGTCACAGTGCTGCAGAGATTTTGTTTATGGCCAGTTTTGGGGCCAGTTTGTGGCCAGATTTGGGGACCTGTTTTCAACAGAGAGGCATTTCCTCACCAAGATATCTAAATTATTTTTTAGACATCTTTATGCCATGTTACCATGTTAATGTTAAATATCAGCATGTTATGAAGGGTTATTTCTTTATTTATTATCTGTATTTGTCAGCTTGACAATGGCAACCAATAATCTCAAGTCACAGTGACTTATAACAATAATGGTTTATTTCTCTGTCACATTACATGTATGCTACCAGAGGCTGCAGTTATGGTCTTATGGCTCTATGGAAATCTATGGCAATCTGTGGGTAAGATATAGCTCTGTTCCATTAGTTATTTCATCTTAGGCATCAAGTTGAAATCTCATTCTTATGTAGATATGTATATCCTTTTAACAGAGAGAGAGAGACTTGTGACACTATTGAAAACTTCTGTTTGGACATGGTTCACATTATATCCACTCATATTCCATTGTTCAGAATAAGCCCCATGACTAAAACCAGAACCAATGAGATCAGGAGACATCTATCTAGCTTTCTATATCATATCTTTACCTATATCTGTACCTATATATGTGTATCTGTGTCTCCCATGGGATACATGGGCAAGTCACATGGAAATAATGGAGATGTATAATCTTCTTTTAAAAGAGAAAAATGAAAAAGTGCAAACAATAATATAATTGATCAATAGTGTTTTAGCCACTTGAATATAAATTCTACTAAAGCAGGTCCTTTCTTCCTCTTGTACATTGCTGTAACTCCAGAATCCAGCATTATCTGACATACATATTTGTTTAACTAATACACATATGGAAAGTAAATTATATGTGAATATTCCCTGTTCCATCATCCTGCAGTCCATAAACCTGTCATCCCATTGCCAATTAGACAAAGGTATATGATGGCTTTTATGGCAGATAATTTTTTCCTCCCAACAGGAGGGTAAAATGAGTATGGGAGCAGATTCCAGGATGGGAAATTCAGCTAACCTTGCTGCCATTGTATTGTAGATTAAATGGAAAATATAATGCTGTAAGTAAGCCATCATGAATAACTAAGGCATTAAGTGTCTACTAAATACAATATTTAGTTTCAGTAACCAATCTGGCCTATAGTGATAGCCATGCATTATCACATTCTTACAATGTGTTAGATACCACACTGAGCAATTTTCCTATGTTGTGCCTTATATAATATTTATACCAATTGTTTGAGATGTATCATTCCCATCCAAGAGAAAAACAAATCAAGTAGGGTAGGTGCACCCAATAGACAGTAATATGAAGCAGAGCTGAGATTTGAACTACAGATATCTTAATTTAAAATGAACCATTGTTTACTAATGTCATCTATTTAATAATTTAAAAAATTAGCTTACTAGGTAAAAAGAAAATGATTTATTTAACAAAGATGCTGATTTTTTTGAAAGAGAGATTAATGACTATATAAAATTGACAGGAATTAAGAATTCATTTCTGATACTTCTCTATTACAGCCAGTTGTACTTATTCATGAACATAGTGCCTGCTTCCATAATTATAATTGAAAAATTCCACCTTGTGCTAACTCTTTCTCCATCCCTTGTCAAACTTCGGGTCTTCAAGAAAAATCCAGCTGTCTCTAACGTACACATATTTGATTACATGTAAATTTAACAAAAAGAAATAAAAAGGATAAACAAAATGAAAAGATTAACATGAAACAACTTGAAATATTCAAATCTCGTCTCAATGTAGCAAAAGCAAACAAATAAAAAACCTGAATGATTTTATTTGCTACCTTGAAATAGGATATATCTGGTTCAAAAAGACAATATTTAAAATGTATAAAAATGAGAACCAATTTCTTTTTTAGATAAATTGTAAGAGTTTCTGTCTAAATCAGGTTGTCAGCATGTTTCTTTTTACACTTGAATACACAGATAGACACACAACTTTTCTCGTAGTATCTACATGGTTTGCCTCTATTAATACTAAACACACCCATCTGATTTCCCATTTCAACAACTTCTTTGTCGTGTGATTTAATAGGAAAAGTGGAGTTCCTTTTTATTCCTCTCTCTTTTGTTAAAATTTTATTGTAAGCAACTGTTTTGCTCACTGCAATAATGAGGATGTCTTGAAAAGAAATCATGAGGATGTGAATTATGATCAATAATGGGGGTGGGCTACTTTTTTATTTAGAACTATTCAGAATCTAGTAAAAAGAAATTATATGATTGTCTCTATGGAAAATAAAAAATCCATAATGCAGATGAGTGTTTGTAGAGTGACTCCCTTAGAATTTGCTAAGTATAAATTACATAGCAAATCTTTGCTTATCTGAATATTTAAGAATTTTATTTGGCATTTTCCAGCTATTTTTATTCACAGATGTTTGTAAGAAAGTTAGCACAAAATTCTTTCAAAAAATATTAGTATCTATCTTTTAAAAATAATTTCAGTTGTTTCTAAATTGGGCTTTATTCACGTGTACTCAGACAAATATGAAGAAATGGAGAAACATTTTTGAGTTCCTGTTACAGACTGGGTATTTTGTATATCCTACACCATTTAATCTTCAAAAAAAATCCTCCTGGTAGGTATTTTTAGCTTCATTTCTTGCAGATGAGAGAAATTTGGCTCACAGAAGTTATGTTATGGGAATACAATTACACTAGTCTAATCAAGACTCCACATTTCCTGTTGACAAGTATTTCAACGGCCTTAGGAGAAATGAGTCGGCAACTGTTTTTAGCCCTTGCTCCAAATCATCTGTGCCATAGCAACACAGTTTAGTCTAAGGTGATCTTACATACCAAAATTGTGTCTTTTTGATGTTGCAAAGAAAATACATTTTCTAATCTCTCTGGATTGTAGTGAGAATGCATTGGCCCCTTTTCACCAAAAAAGTGTGGCTCATAAGCATGACAGAGAAACAAATCAGTAAAAAAAGAATTGTGATTTCAGGGAGTTCAAATAAATTGGAAATATTTTAGAAAAATTTTTGAGATAATGTAACAGCAGTAATAGAAGTGCTCATTAGCTTTCCAGAGCACTCCTTGTTTATGTCCATCTTAATAGATGATAAAGTGAGAAAGAGGAGTAGACTAGGAAGAAAAAGAGTGAGTAGCTCTTTCTTTCCATACTATAATGTTTTAGTGAAATACAGTGATAAGCTTCTGTAAGGCTTGGGGTAGAAAGAGAGTATGAGCAAGACTTTGAAATGATGTCACACCAGGATTGCTAAAGTGGTATGTAACATATGTAAACAGACCAAACAGACAAGCATGTACAATGCCAACTTACTTTAATGCCAAAGCCCTGGCATGTAAATGTGCTATGTACAGAAGCAAGGAAGAGAGCTTCTGCATTGCTTATCACTTATGTCAAAGAGGATCCTTTCACTTAAGACACCCAAGTGCAACTTGCAGCTCCTGGATCCTCAGAGCTGGAGTAAGTGAGAAAGGTACAGTGTTTTCTATTTATGTATTTATTTATTTGTTTTTTCAAGTTTCCAAGGCCTTCCAAATAATAGGCAGCATTATGAATATTCCACTATATCTTCACTTTTGTGTTTTTAGCATAGGGTTATTTCTGCCATGTTAACATTAAACTTTGGAATGTGAGCCTGGATAGTGTTACCATACTAGCATATTATTCATGATTATCGCCTACACAATAATCTTAACATGCCATTCTTTTTGTTCTAGAACTGCTTTTAGACCTTTAATGATAATCATTTCAAACGAAGTCATCTATTTTTCATCACTTCATTCACTTGCCTTTCTTCAATCATATGCAGGTTCATTTCCACTGAAGTTCACTTTAAATACCACTTTTATTACTTAATTCATTGGGCACTTTCAACCTATGACAGGAGATAAGAAAAGCACATGAATAATTAAAATGTAAGATCATGTGTTATAAGTGCAGATGAGAGATAGAAATTATATGTTATCTGAGTGTGCAAATAGTTTCTTTGACAAAAGAAGTGATTAGGAATGGCATCGTCAAGAAAATAGCATTTTAACTGAACTTAAAAAAAGAGGTAATGTATACAGGGACAGTGTTGCAAGCACAAGGCTAACAGAAAAAGAAATTAGAAAAGTGTCCAAATCAACCACGTATTTTGACTTGATCTGAAATAAGGGAATAGAAAGAAACAATGGGACAAAATTGAAAGTTGTAGGTGGCCTTAATCTCCAATTTTATCTCTAAGACTTTAGCTCTTATTGTGTAGGATTTAAAGCAGGGAAACATGTATTTCTGGATTTTGGAAGGTCTTTGAGTCCAGAAGTTGATGGGTTAATTATTTTATTCTACCTAGACAGGTAGAAGTCAGTTAGAATTATAGATTTATATCTAGAAATGAAAAAGCCAGATCAAGATAAATAGTCGGCTAGTTCTAAGTCTTTGCTATTGTGAATAGTGCCACAGTAAACATAGGAGTGCATTTGACTTTATAGTAGAATTATTTATAATCCATTGGGTATATAGCCAGTAATGGGATTGCTGGGTCAAATAGTATTTCTAGTTCTAGATCCTTGAGGAATCACCACACTGTCTTCCACAATGGTTGAACTAATTTACACTCCAACAGTGTAAAAGTGTTCCTATTTCTCCACATCCTCTCCAGCATCTGTTTTTTCCTGACTTTTTAATGATCGCCATTCTAGCTGGCATGAGATGGTATCTCATTGTGGTTTCGATTTGTATTTCTCTAATGACCAGTGATGATGTGCATTTTTTCACATATTTGTTGGCTGCATAAGTGTCTTCTTTTGAGAAGTGTCTGTTGATATCCTTTGCCCACTTTTTGATGGGGTTGTTTTTTTCTTGTACAGTTGTTTAAGTTCTTTGTAGATTCTGGATATTAGCCCTTTGTCAGATGGATAGATTGCAAAAATTTTCTCCCATTCTATAGGTTGCCTGTTCAATCTGATGATAGTTTCTTTTGCTGTGCAGAGCTCTTTAGTTTAATTAGATTCCATTTGTCAATTTTGGCTTTTGTTGACATTGTTTTTGGTGTTTTAGACATGAAGTCTTTGCCCATGCCTATGTCCTGAATGGTACTGCCCAGGTTTTCTTCTAGGATTTTTGATGGAGATTATTTTAAGATTGAAAATAATTGATAGATTGAGAAGTGAGGATGACATATGTTGAACATTTCAGGAGATATGCATTCAGTTTTCTGCATATGGCTATCCAGTTTTCCCAACACCAATTATTATATAGGAAATCTTTTCCCCATTGCTTGTTTGTGTCAGGTTTGTCAAAGATCAGATGGTTGTAGATGTGTGCTGTTATTTCTGAGGCCTCTGTTCTGTTCCATTCGTCAATATATCTGTTTTGGTACTAGTGCCATGCTGTTTTGGTTACTGTAGCCTTATAGTATAGTTTGAAGTCAGGTAGCGTGATGCCTCCAGCTTTTTTCTTTTTGCCTAAGATTGTCTTGGCTGTGCCGGCTCTTTTTTGGTTCCATATGAAGTTTAAAGTAGTTTTTTCCAATTCTGTGAAGCAAGTCAGTTGTAGCTTGAGGGAAATAGCATTGAATCTATAAATTTAAATTTATAACTTTATTTTCTAAGTTGTAAGTTACCTATGCATCCTCAAGCAGTTTTGTGTTCTCACTATCTTAGAAAATAAAGTTAAAGGCTGAGTTCATTTTCACAGGCAAAATATGCAGAGAGGAACCATGAAGGCATGGCTGGGGCTAAAGGATATGGCCAGAAATAATGAAGGGCAGTTTGAAACAAAAATTCAGAGGAAGACATGACCAGAAATAATTGAGACATGCAAGCGTTTCCTAGGAATTCTCAGAAATCTTCAGAAGGACAAATTTTTGTGCAACAGATGGGGTCTTTATATAATTTAGATATTAAAGTATAGGATATGCAGAAACATTGGGACATACGATATGCACTTTGGGGAACATCAGCTGAAACTACCTCTTTTAATGTGCTGCTGTATACACAATTTGTGGATAGAAACACAAATCTTATACATTTGAAGAACACAAACAATATTTCCAAAGTGAAATTTCATCTGACAGATTTTCATCTTCTATTTTTATCTGACTCCAGTGGTTGACTGATTAGAGACAATCTTATGTAACATGACTTTTCTCTTTCCACTTGAACTCTCTTCTTGTGGAATACCTAGAAGGATACCACCAGAAGAGTTTTAGAGTTATAGCATAATGACCAAGACAGATTAAAATACACACAAATAACAACTTTCTATTTTAAACATTTTTAATTGGAATAATGTGCCTCCAAAACAAGTTACTAAAATACACTTACTGTATATTGCTAATTCTGAAAAATGTGTTAACATATAATTGCGAAGTTTCTGTAATTTAAATAAGCTTCCAGATAACGTGCTTATGGGGGGAAATCTCAGGAGATCTTCTTAAAGATTAGGTAATATTACACAGTTAAAATGTTCTACGTATGCATGTATCTATAATCGTATGTACGGTTGCAAGGATTGATGAATAAATCTATTTATCTTTGTGTGTGCATGAATGTGTATGTGTGTGTCAATATGTATATTGATCAAGTCTATAAATTGAGTGGAAAATTTATCATTAGATATTGTATTCAGTGGATATTTATAATTTTACTGATAATGATATTATAGAAAACACTGGGAGCACTTGGAAAGTTATACACATTAGATTCTTTTTAATTTGTAGTTCAGCCTATACCCACACATATAAGCTTTATATATAAAGTTTTTCTTTCTAGATTTTCTGTATGAGAAACAGCAATGACTTGATTATTCCTTCACCCTTTCCTAAACACTCAAGACTTTGTTGCCTTTGTGTTACCTAAGACAATTCTGACTTTTCTCCTTCTCTTTCTCTCTCTCTTTTCTTTCCTTCTCATCCCTTCCTTTCTCTTTCCTTTCCTTGAATGTTTACTGAAAAAACTTAAATGACTTTCAGAGTGGCAGAGTCATTCAAGTTCAGCATATGGAGCTATGCTAATGTTATTTGTATTGGATTGCATAGCTTTCTTAAGGTGAGTTTTGTAAATTCATTAGACTTAATATCTTGTAATTAGCCAATTATTTAGAGAGATAAGTGATATGATTTAGCTGTGTCCCCACCCAAATCTCATCTTGAATTGTAGCTCCCATAGTTCCTACATAGTTGTGGGAGGGACCTGGTGGGAGATAATTGAATCATGGGGTGTTTCCCCCATACTGTTCTCGTGGTAGTGAATAAATCTCACAAAAGCTAATGTTTTTATAAGGGGTTCCCCTTTTGCTTAGCTCTTGTTCTCTATTCTCTGCTGCCATGAAAGACATGCATTTTGCCTTATGCCATGATTGTGAGGCCTCCCCAGACACATGGAACTGTGAGTCCATTAAAAATCATTTTCTTCATAAATTACCCAGTCTCAGGTATATCTTTGTCAGCAGTGTGAAAATGGACTAATATCATAAGTGACTTCTTTATTATCTCCAACTTTTCCTCCCATCTGTAAAGGCACTAAAAATTAACGTTTATTCACAATTTCCCCAGGGCATAGTCTGAACATTAATGTGTTTCTTCTCATGCTCTCAATTTTCACTTCCACTTTCTTTGTCTTTTCAGAAAGGGTAGCATATCATAGAACATAAAAGGTAAAATTCAGAGTTAGAAAACAATAGTTACCTGAATGTATACATGAAGGTTAAATCTGTATTAGTGGGGGTTTTCTAGAGGGACAGAGCTAAGAGATATAGATATATCTCATATATATATATATATATATGAGATATGTATAATTATAATTATATAATATATATATAACTTTCTTTTCTAAAGAAAGGAAAGTTAACATGCAACATATATATATACACATATATATAAATATACACATATATACACATACACACACACACACACACACATATATGTATATATATATGGGAGTTTATACAGCAGTATTAACTCACACGATTACAAGGTCCCACAATAGGCCCTCTGCAAGCTAAGGAGCATGGAAGCCAGTCCGAGTCCCAAAGCTGAGGAACTTGGAGTCTGACATTCTAGGGCAGAAAGCACCCAGCATGGGAGAAAGATGTAGACTGGGAAGCTAACCCAGCCTAGCCTTTTCATGTTTTTCTGCCTGCTTTATATTCTAGCAGTGCTGGCAGCTGATTAGATGGTGCCTACTCAGATTAAGGATGGGTCTGCCTTTCTCAGCCCACTGACTCAGATGCTAATCTCCTTTGGCAAGACCCCCACAGACACACCCAGGATCAATACTTTGCTTCCTTCAATCCAATCAAATTGACCCTCAGTATTAACTATCACACTGAATATTAAAAATATTTAGTTCTCTCTTTTTCTTTCTTTTTAGGTTGCTAAAATGCTAAGAAAAAGTTCTTTTATTAGCAAGACCCCCACAGACACACCCAGGATCAATACTTTGCTTCCTTCAATCCAATCAAATTGACGCTCAGTATTAACTATCACACTGAATATTAAAAATATTTAGTTCTCTCTTTTTCTTTTTAGGTTGCTAAAATGCTAAGAAAAAGTTCTTTTATTAGATACATTCTAATTCAACACACTAGAATGTTAGGGAGAACTTTACTTAATCTCATGGGTAATGTTCTGTAGGTTGAAGTTGAACTGAAAGATTTTTAGCTAAAGCAACAGCTGCTTTGTTCTCCAAGTAGGTCTTTGAAATTTAACAATTTGAAAAGAGAAAACAACAAGTTGTTTGAAATGCAAGCTAGAAAATAGCTCTTAATTTTCTTTTAAAAAGGTATAGTCAGTTTAAAAAAAATAAAAGCTTTATAATGTACAGATTTTGGAGGTTTTTAAAATTCAAAAATACAAGATTGTTTGATTGTAACCATTGAATATATCTAATTCCAGATCATCTGAATATTCCATTTATTCTACATTACAAACAATTCCCTAAAATGTAACTAAAAATTTGTACGAAGGAGCATGCATTATTCAAACATGCTGAGTTACACAGAACTTCATTTTGCCAATGTTTTTAATCAGACAGTAAAATAAAATAGAATGCAAGAATAGAGCAAAGTGGTCAGGAATGTGTTTTCTACAGCTAGAATTTGTGGGATCAAATGCTGGCTCCACCGGGATTTGGACAAGTAACTAAGTCTTTCTGTACCTCAATATTCTAATCTACAAAAAAAGAATAGATCATAGAGTGAATATCAGAGTAAAATATGTATTTCAATTAAAATGTTCAGAATAGAATTCAGTGCATATTTCATGATATATAAAGGTTGCTAATATAAGTTACAATGGAGACCAGACATGAAGAATCCTTGAGCAGACAAAGCTAGTTAGTCTGCACAAGTGAATTTAATCTTACTTGGTTTGCAAATACAGGTGAAACTTAACTTGAGCTTTTTTTTGTAAATGGTTGTATCAAAAAACAACCAGAAAACAACTTATTTATTACTTTAGAATAGCATCCTATCATATTAACAGAACTTAAGCTCAATCAATCAGAAGCAGCCAGCAAACTTATGTAACTCACAACTTTCCAGCAAGATAGACCAAATAAGGTAACTTTATAATTGGAAACAATCTAATATTTTCTTCTGTATTCACCCTGTAAAAGCCGGTCCCTTGTGACTTTTCACTAGAGCCTTTACTTTAAATCATTACTGCTTTGGAGTTGCCCAACTCATAAATTGCTGTTTACTCAAATAAACTCTTTAAAATGTTATTTGACTTTAGTTTACCTTTTTAATAAAATGAATGTATTATTTTTTATTTTAACCTAAATTCTAAAATGTACAAATATAACTATCTAAGGGGGACAACTAAGCAAAACATTAAAGGTAATTGAAATATACTAATACTGATTTGCAGAAATGCTCAAGTTTTTGATGACTGGGCTTCAAGTCATGACCGGCCCTATAGCATTTTGTTTAAGTGTGCTCAATCTTCTACACTTAAATATGCCTCCCTACGCAGGTATGCAGTTAATATAAACTGTCCTTGGGATTCTCCAAATTTATTTTTACTGATCAAATTTCGCTTGCTCTGATGTCTTAATTCTTTAGTACTTTATTAATGTTAGATTGATAAAATAATCAAAAAATAAATTTATATATAGCTTCTATATTTTAACTGGATATTTTTAGGGACAATGGAGTCATACCCCATTTAGCATCTATTCCTTTATTTATTCATTATTTCAAATAGCACTAATGTAGAGCTGATTATGTTCTGGAGTTTGTATTGCATTTAAGGAAACTCAAAGCCAAATTTTTCTACTTTATTTGGTGGAAAATTCAAGGATCCAAGCATGAAATCTAAGTTACAGCACATAAGCAGATAACTGCCTTTTTTAAATCTCTTACTCTCACTTTTGCCAAGATTGTCAAAAATTTTATATTCTGACCATCTGAAATGTAACTTTCATGGTGCCCATTGTCAACACCAAAAGTTTAAGCCCACACATTCTCGCTGTAGAAAACACATTCCTGACCATTTTGCTCTATTGGAACATTATTCAAGTTGTTTATCTGCAAGAATAAAATTAACTAGCCAGTTATATCTGTACCACATCAGATATTGTTATTTTATTTCTCCACATAAATGTATTGTATGATTATTATTATTTTTTATTTTAACAAAAAAACTGTTGATACCAAGGCTCTCCTGAGTAGATATAAGCACTGGTAAAATCCATATGGTCATTTTATTTCAGTCATATACCTGTTTATTTGTATGTAGTATGAGATCACAGGTAAATGCATCTAATTTTTATTCAGATAATTTTCCTTAAAATTATCACTTAAGCCACTAAACCAGTTATAAATATTATTTTGGTAGACTATACCTCCCCATCACATAGTTGAAATATAATTTACTTAGTACCCATCATAATGGGATTTTAGATGAAAACTATCTGAATATGCACAAATTATTTAACAATTAATTTAATTGCTCAATTAGGAATATGTTGTTATGACATTTATTAAAAATTTAAAAAATGTGAATTTCCGAGTTAAGCTTTTGAATCTAAATCCCCAATGAAAACCAATAATACATAATTCACTTTTTGTAGATAATGTATTTCATACACATCTTTGATTAAATTAGACAATAATTTAGTGTGGTAATTTTAACACTTTCAGCATTATAATGCTGATATAAGTGGATATAAATACAAGTTGTCAGCTTAGTGTAGTATATTCAACATATCTGTAGCTTGGGATTAACTATGAAAAAAATTCAAAAGTTCTAGCCATTTTGGTTGTGCATAAAGAAGGTGAAATAATAAAAGATAAATGGCCTCTTCACCTCTCTGTACTTCTGCTGTCTTTTCTGTCAAGTGGGTATAATAATAATGATAATAATTCTCACTTTCAAAACCATAGCAGTTTTGACATTTTACACTACTTGCAAGCTAACTGTTTGTCCTGTCATAGTTTCATTTATCCTTTGTGTTAATATATTTATGTTCCTATAAAGAAAATACCTGAGATTGGGTAATTCATAAAAAGAAAAGAGGTTTATTTGGCTCATGGTTCTGCAGGCTATGCAAGCATGGCACCAGCATTTGCTCAGCTACTAGTGAGGCCTCAGGACACTTACAATCATGGTGGAATGCAAAAGGGAAGCCCACATATCACATGGCAAGAGAGGAGGCAAGACAGAGTGAGGGAAGGTCCCAGACTCTTTTTTTCTTTCTTTCTTTTTTTTCTTTTTCTTTCTTTTTCTTTTTTTTTTTTTTACAATCAGGCTTTGCACTAACTCATTGCCACAAAGGAGGCATCAAATAATTTATGAGAAGTCCACCCCCATGACCCAAACACCTCCCACCTTCAACACTGGCAATCACATTTCAACATGAGATTTGGAAGGGACAAGAGATTTCCAGGTCAGAGGCTAAGAATGATTTGTTATACATAAAAATAACAGTAGCCAGATTATCACCATTTTTGTGTTTGTTCCCTGAACCTTGGTTTTCACAAAGCTATGCAAAGAGAGCCACATGACCCTTATACACTAAGGATTATATTGCAGGAGAGAAACCTTGATTTCAGGTAACCTGAATCTTTAGAATGGGCTATAAGTACGCCTACATCTTTAGCTTTGGAAGGAGACATTATCTATATTAAACTGGACTGTAAACATGTGCATTCGTTACCCTGTAGAAAGACACTATCTCTGTCTTCCAAGTCTGTGTTCTACATAAATATCCTTGAAAGATAATTCAGTAAAAAGGACAGTTCTTCACTTATAGGATAGGCAGACTCATAATGAGCTGTCTCCTAGGGTTTTTCTCATAGATTTCCTATGAGATTTAAGTTTACATGTGTCTGTGTGAGTACTTATATATGACTTTAGAATAATTCCTGTCATGTTAAGCATAAAATGAATGTTATTATTATTATAGTTATCATTATCCAATTCATCCAATAAATGTTCTCAAAAGTGCATTCAAAGGAATTTTAAATGTTGTTTTCAATCAAATAACCACCTAAAAATTAACTTAGAACTGATTAGGATGACCAGTTTTGAGTATATATTTTAAAGGTAATGACTTAGTCTTTGGTAAACTGGAAGACTTTCCCTGAGAAAGTCATTTTTAATTTGAGATCAGAAACATAAACAGAACAAGGCAAACAGATTTGGGAATGGTGAACATTCCAAGCACAAAGATCAAGCGTTTCTAAGTTTGGAAGGAGCATAGTGGCATCCAGAATAAAAGCAAACAGATGTGGCTTGAACGTTGAAGCCACTAAAAGAGGTCAAGTGAAAGGCTAGAGATCTGGATTAACCTTGGTTAGGCATACCTTTATGGTCATGTCAATATTTTGATCTTGATCCTTTGGACAAAGTAGTAGTATAAGCAAGAGAAAGCATACTTCTGCTTCCATGCCAAATCAACCAGGATTGCAATTCAGCTACTTTTATATATCTAATCACTATTCACCTTCATTCTTCACAGAAAACTGAGTGCATAATAAATTGTGGCTTCTTTTCTTCCCTTTAGACTCAATGAAGTGGAAGTAAATATGTTCTCCATGAATAATGTAAACACAATTTTCAGACAAGTTTAAGCCTAAGAATACTGGACGGAAAAGAACAGCAAAGTGCTGATTGATTTTTAGAATTACACATGAATATTGTTTTTTAATAGAAATTATAATACTTTCTACTTGAAAATATTGAATTATTTTCAAAAGAAAAGAAAACAATGAAGGGTCTATTTTGGTGAAGTACACACAAGAGGAAAATGACTTTTTCAACTGAGTTCCCACTTTTTAAACTTTAATTGAGCAGTTAAAGAACCATATGGATTGCAAGCAGCCTGACTGAACAGATTCAGGATTAAAGTTTGGGCTTTGAAACTATTGTTAACTGTACTAACTGCTGAGCGGGCTAAATTTTGAATTTACTTTAAAGTCTCTAGAGGCCAAGGAAGTTTTATTATATTGATTTCAGTAACTCTAGAGAATTAAGTCTCTACATTGGGGAGAGAGTATAGAAGAGGAATTTATACTTTTATTAAATAAATGGACATACATAATTTGAATGTAGAGAATGAGGGTCACATATAATCCCTCTGTGGGAAAATATGGGAACTTTTCTATACTATATAACATTTTAGGGGCACAGGACATTTTACTAGTATATTATAATCTAAGAGTACAGAAATATACTTAAAATAAATTATTGTTATTCATACTTTAAACTTTTCACCTGGCTATTGCAAGTACTTCATGACAAGTAGCCAATAGTTTTCTGAACTTCTGCCACCATTAAGAAGACCACCAAGACTGCTATGAAGATTATAGAAGGACAAGAGATAACTAGAAATCCATCATGAAATCATAAAAGAACCACTGGGGGCTAACCATCCACTCGCAATAAAAAAATGTAGTGGTGCTATTGGTTCTAGATAAATATGCACAGCAATAAGAGAACTAGTTTAATATAAGTTAGTAAGTCAGCACAGGAAAAAGGAACAAGACTAGTCATATTATTAGAAAACCAAGCTAATAGTGTTTAAAAGCTTTCTAGACTTCACCCATATTTGAGATACAGTATTTATATTAATTTTACCCATGATGCTCTTGGAAGGATTCTTTGTAGAATGACAACAAGCTTTACAACACTTAGGTGAACTCTCAAGTCATATCCTTTGATATGTATGTCACTAACTATTTTTAAAATACATGTTAAAAATCATGTCATCTGATTATAGATATGTCAATAAACCAGATAAATAGAATAGGGCTGTAAAGTATTAATTAAGAGTGTCAATTATAATTGTTAATTTATCAGATATGTATAGGGTGCTAATATTAAGCTGGCTCCTGGAAGTATACAAAAATAAATGACACAATATTTACCTTTAAGAAAGATACTAATAGGAACATAACATGCATACACCAATAACTATGAAATCTAATGATAAAAGTGATACATCCTCAGGATATTTCATTTAGTTGTGTTAGCCTCGTGTCCCTCATTCGTGCAAAAATCAGAATTGTTACTATTAGCATATTATTAATATTAAGGTATACTTTTAATATCTGTCTTATTAAACTTATCAAGCTATAGCTTTATAGCCAACAAAAATATTAATTACTCTCTTGTTCTATTTAAGCCCTTTCAAATGATGTTTGAATATATCATGTAGTGGCCCCTCTCCTGTATCTAGATAGAGTGCATCTGTCTCAAATGTCTCCAACCCCTTCCAAAACTTCACTTTCAATCATCACGCCTGTTGTGGTAAGCAGATTTTTAAGATAACCCACAGAATTTCCACACCCTTGTACATTGCCCTTCCCTTGAATGCAGGTAGAACCTGTAAATATGATTCTATATCACTATTGTGATTAAGTTACTTACTAATCAGTTGACTTTGAGTTGATAAAAAGAGAGATCATCTGGAAGGACCAGATCTAATCAGGTGAGTCTGTGAAAGGGGCACTGTGTCTAGGGCCATACCACCCTGAATGCATGCCTGATCTTGTCTGAAAGAGACATTGGATCCTTTCTGAAGCCAGATAAATCCAAAGCATGAGAGAGGCAATGGGAGCACTCATGCAACAAAGAACTGCAGGCAGTCTCCAGATGCTGAGGGTGGCTCCAGGCCAACAGCTAGCAAAACAACAGGACCCTCAGTCCTACAACCATAAGGACCAGAGAACTGTCAACAACCAAATGAGCTTAAATGAGAACACCGAGCTCTAGAAAAGAACATAGTCAAGCTGGAATCTTGATTGAAACTTTGTAAGACCCAGACATAGAATCTAGTTCAAATATGTCCAGGCTTCAGACCAACACAAACTGTAAAATAATAAACTTCTGTTGCTTTTAGTTGCTAATGTTATGGTAATTAGTTATGTAACAACAATTTTCCTAAAACACTTGTTCCTATCACTAAACCACCAGCAGACCTTCCAGACTATTTGGTAGCTAGCTGTTTTCAGTTTATCCCTATTTCTTGATTTTTCACCTATTCAACCTCTAAGCTAATTTTTCTATGCACATCAACCCTTCTTAGTTGAGTCAGTGGCCTGTTAGCCATTCTCCTCAGGGGCTACAACTTGGCTAAATTGTCTCATGTTTTTATTACCCTCCAGAACCTCTCCCCTCAAGAATAAATCAAGCTGTTATCTCTTACCATCTTATACCTTTCAGAATGGCCATTATTAAAAAGTCAATTTTTAATAACAGATGCTGTTATGGATACAGTGAAAGAGGAATTCTTATACACTGTTGTTGGGAATTAAATTAATACAATCCCTATGAAAAACAGAATGGAATTTCTCCAATAACTATAAGTAGACCTACTATTTGACCCATCAATCCCATTACTAGATGTCTACCAAAAGAAAATAAGTCATTATATCAAAAAGACACTCACATTCATATGTTTATTGCAGCACAATGAACAATTGCAATGCTATGGAATGAATGTAAGTGCCCATCAATCAATGAGTGGATAAAGAAAATGTGATACACACACACACACACACACACACACACACACGCCATGGAATACTACTCATCCATAAAAAAAGAAGAAACAGCATCTTTAATGGAACGGGAGGCCATTATTCTAAGTGACGTGACTCAGGAACAGAAAACCAAATGCAGTATATATTCTCACTTGTAAGTGGGAACTATTCTATGGGTATGCAGAGGCATAAATAATAATATATGAACATTGGAGACTCAGAATGGGGGAGGGTGGGAGAGGAGTGGGGGATGAAATATTACCAATCAGGTACAATATACACTAAAATCCCAGACTTTGCCACTGTATAATTCATCAATTAATCCATGCAACCAGAAACCACCTGTACCCCTAAAACAATTGGAATTTAAATAAAACCTCTTATCTCTGCTAGAGGTCTAGGGGTTCATCATGGCAGAAGATGTGTGTGTGTGTGTGTGTGTGTGTAATTTTGCATTTTTGTTGTGCTTCTGTCATATGGCTTGTGATTGTACAGCCCTACTTAAACGCGCTATTTAGTTTCATCTTTTACATTTTGAGAGCTACTTACTTCAGTATTAGTCTCTCAGGGACATTATTTATGCTTGATTCAAGTGTTTACATTGCTTTTATTGTGACTGTTTTTTGTTACAGTGATGAATCAAGACCCATATTTTTCTGGTTTCTCTTTAGATAATCTAAATTCATACAGCAGAAGTTTTTAAAATGAAAGCAATTAAGAGAGGGAGGGAGGAGGAGATGTAGGAAATTTCAGTCTCTTCTCTATTTCTCAAATATTTTAAAAGGTGTAATCCACACTCCTCCCTGTAACACAGTTCATTTTCCTGCTGCCCAGTTCTCTCTCAGCCCATACTACCCAAATCTCTGATTCTCCAATGCCAAGATTCCACCCCAATATTTTGAACCTTAGAGAAGGGCTCTTTTCTTCTCCCTTAGGTATCTCACAACTTTTGTTATGCTGAACAGTCTACCTTGCCTTACTAAATCTTTTCCTTTCTTCTTAGTTTTTCTGATCTTATCTCTTTCTGTTCAATTTTAGATTCTGTGCTCCAAAATTACAGCAATCTGTCTGATATTCTCCTCAAAAAGAAAGTGGGACACTGTGGGAACAAGTTTCTTGAGCAAAACAATGCTGTGGTTTTCTTGTTTGTATCGAGTAAAGGAGAAGTATAGGCCGGTAATAAACTACTGAAAGAGATATTATTTTATTTTTTACTTCCCTATCTGAGAAAATTCACTTAAATATTTCAGATTAATAATTATATTTGCAGGTAAAACATACTTCACCTAATAGACAATGCATAACTCAAAGGATTCATGTTTTGAATAGAAGTCTCTGTGATACTTTTTCAACATGGTAGAGCTCTTGGTAATGCTTCTCATCCAGTAAAACAGCAAGTTAAGTGTTCCATTCTCAATTATGTTGATGTCATGTACTGCTCAGAAGCATGAATATAAGGCCTGAGCCTTCTAGTATATTTACAGAGAGCAAGTTACCAGAATGAACCACAGAGAAACTGGCTTGGTTTGCGTCCTCATTCAAGTAACCAGATTTCACAAATATTCTCCAAAAGTCTTAAGCAACCAGAGACTTTCCTAGCCAAAACTTCGTCTTAGTTGTGATGTTCCAGTTTAAATTCTGCATGCAAGCTCCTGCTGATAGATACCAATTAGAATTTAGAATTCATACAAAACAAGAAATAAAAGAAAATAAAAATAAAACAAAATAATAGCAGTGTGCAAAATGTTAAGTAAAGCATTCCAGAGGCACTTATTTTTTTCTACTCTTTTTGAAAGGGTTTAGCCAGTGAAATTCCCTATGAAAAATTAAGACAGTGAGAGAAATATAGGATGACTGACCATCTTTCTTCTAGCCTCACAGACTGGCTGTCCTCATTCATTCCTGGGCATAAAACAAGGTAACTATTGGAGGGATTAAGTCTATACTTTATCTTTAAAGCAAGGATAATAGCCCTTTCTAAAACTAAATCACCTTTGTAAAACTAATGAAAGACCACAGGGTAGGATTATGAGAGGGTCCTGCATTCTACTAAGATGTAGGCATAGTTTCTATAATCCCTTACTGCTCAGGAGTCGTGTGGCCAGAGGCCACAATATGTGTGACTTCTCCAATTGTTCCTGTAGATAACATCACAATTTTATAACCTATTATTAGTCTTTTGGGATGCTTTTCAGACTTTTGCATTCTGTCAAGTGGCTGACCCCACCTGAATGCATAATTTATGACTCAACCAGTCCTATATAGCCACAGCCAGAGACAGACTCAGCCCAAGAAGACCATTTTCCTCACTCATGATTCAATCCACAACCAATCAGCAGCACCCATTCCCTGGTCCCCTGCCCTCTAAACTGTCTTTGAAAAACCCTAACTTCTGAGCCTTTGGGAAGACTGATTTAAGTGATAACTCCAGTTCTTCTGCATGGTTGTCCTCACATCAACTCAATTCTTTTTTACTGCAATACTGCTCTCTCGGTTAATTGGTTTTGTGTATGCAGTGGGCAAGAAGAAACTGTCAAGTGATTACATCAGAAGACACTTAGATATCAAAGTCTGCCTTAGTAATAAAACACATATTTGTAGAAAACAAGAATGATAACATCCATATTATCTATCTAAAAAAGAAGAAAATGAAATAACAAAACATTGCACTGGTCACATAAAAGCCATTCAATCTCAATATTAACTAATGTTTTGCTGCGTTTAACATGCTGATGAAAAAAAGCAAACTCTATAAAATATTTAAAGAAGTTTGTTCTGAGCCAAATATAAGTGACCATGGTCCAAGGTATATTCTCGAGACGTCCTGAGAACATGTGCCCAACGTGGTTAGGTTACAGCTTGTTTTTTTATATATTTTGGGGAGACATAAGACATTAAAACAGGACAATTCAAAGCAGTGACTTACACTTCACAGGTGGATTAAAAGACTTTCTGACTGGCAATTGGTTGCCAGATTCTGACCTGGAATCAATAGAAAGGAGTCTCTGGCTTAAGATAAGGGTCTGGGGAGATCAAGATTCTTATTTTGCAGATGAGGTATCATAGGTGACCACCCTTAGAGGCAATAGATGGCAATTTTTTTTCATACAGATATGTAAAACGTGCTAGACTCTCAGCTAATGTCTTCAGGATCAGAGAAAGACCTGGAAAGAAAAGGCGGTTCTCTACAGAAGGTAAATGTCCCCAGCAAGAGACAGTTTGGCAGGGCCATTTTAAAATACATCAAAAAATATATTTTGGAGTAAAATAGTTGGATTTCTTTTAGGGCCTGCTATCTAGGTTTCTTTGAAATCCTCTTGGCTGAAAGAAGGCATTCATTTGGTCAGTTTGGGGGCTTAGAATTTTATTTTGGTCTATAAATACATTGATTTCCATATATATTTGTGTGTAAACCTATATGTGTACGTGTACATATATGTATACACATGTTATATGTACTTATAGGTATTATATGTGTATGTATAGTTTGTGAGCTAGTGCATTAGCTGTATATGCAAATTACACACAGGATGGCAGAATACTGTTTGTAAAACAAGTAAGCCTGCTGGGTTTAATCATCACAAACAATAAGTCTCTTTAAATCTGCTACTAAGAGCATTTTGGTGTCTTTTATTAGTGGATGTATAAAGACATCTTTGAATTTTTAAAATCCATTTGCTGCTGCTTTTCTTACAAGTGTTGGTACAGCACTATTCTGACTGACCTAAATTCTCTAGATTATTTTAATATTATGCAGTTCCTGTTTTTACTACTGAAAGAATGCACCCGAGCAATGGAGTTGTAAGATTAGTAATTGCTATTTCTTCCTAAAAGTACAGTCAAATATATGCTTTTCCAAAGCATCCCATTCTGAGAATCACCTCTATGTCTGGATCAAATAAATCTACTAGCTTGCTTCCCTCCTGCATTAAACAAAGTAGCCCACTATTTGCTACTATACTGGGACACTCTCATCATCTCCCTTAACTGGAGACTGCAGCTTTTCTCAGAACTGATGGACCTTCAAAAAGTACGTTATCTGTGTATGTGACCAGAGTAAAAAGGGGCAAACTTTCAAGTTCTGTTATACAAATAACTCATCCGTGTAAAACGTACCAGCCAAAATTTTCACTTTTTAATTCCAAACTCACTTTTTCCATGACTTAAAGTTATGTTTAATAGATTTATTATTTTATTTCTAGTGTACTGATGGTACTAGGAATAATGATTGGTGGGTACTTGTAAGTGTGAGTGTGTGTGTGAAATGAAAGTTATTATTCAGTGTTTTCAACATTGTCCACAGATCAAAAGCAACTGTGTTTGCAGCAGCAATTGTCATTTTAACTGTCTGGCTATCTTTGACTGCCTCTTCAGTTTGAATTGTATCCATTTGTTTCATTAAAAAGATGCCTGGGTTGTATTATTCTCCTCTCTCTCTCTCTCTCTCTCTCTCTATATATATATATATAGTAGAATATATACTACTGCTACTGTTGTGAGTAATAAACTGACCTTTGTCTCTGACCCTGGAATCTCAAGACTTCTACCAACACCCATGGAACTGTAACAGGCCTGCTAAATAGCCGGTAAGCAGGTTAAATCTCCAAACTGAAAGATTTTGGCAGACTGTGACAAAAAGTCTAAGTTCAATTTCAGTGTTTGTGATCAATATCTCTTTGATATTACTATTTGATATTAATATTTGATATATATTATATATAGTATTTTTAAATTTGTAAATATCATAATGCTATCTCACACACACACACACACACACACACACACACTTGCATCATCATGTTCCCTAGCCTACAGCTCCCCAAGTTTTACTAAGTAGTGAGTCTCCTAAGGAGTAACTAGATAGTTGTCAGGCATCTGTATAGATGCACTTAAAAATATAAAAAGATTTCATATGAATAGTTTTGGTTTTAGTAGCCAGAAAATCCTAGGTATATTTCCACTGTGATATATTTATTAGACCTTGAGAAAGTTACTTACATCAACTTGACATGTATGTCTCATCTGTAACATTAGCATAATGATGAGTGACTGTCTTTCAGTTTATAATATTTTATAATATTTTAAAGAGAAAATAGACAACAGAAAGTTACAAATGAAAAGTATAAGGCCTCTAGCAAGAAGCTAGAAGATACAAGATAAAGACCTTAAAATTATAGTGAGAAGTCCTCTGGACTGTGTTGGAGACAGTTGTGTTTCTGCACCTCTTTTGAGCAAAGACACTGATTCCATTTGTACCAGAGGATCTTTTCACAAATACGTAGATAGTAAACAGTCATAGAAGGTGGAGAGAATGTCTCTGTCTGGAGCAAATAACTGGTTTGCTCACTGTCCAGCGTAATAATGATAGTATCTCCCTCAGGAAAAAATTATGCAAGCTTACTGCTCATTATAAAATATTTGACTCACCTAAACTTGGGTCTCCCCCACTGTAACACAATGCACTACATAAGCAGATGTCACATGACTTACGTTGTGTTACCCTATAGATAACAGAGCTTCATAAAAAAGCATACATGTTGATGCTCTGGGCTACTGCTACTGTTGTGAGTAATAAATTGACCTGTGTCTCTGACCCCAGAATCTCAAGACTTCTACCAACACCCACGGAACTGTAACAGGCCTGCTAAACAGCAGGTAAGCAGATTAAATCTCCAAACTGAAAGATTTTGGCAGACTGTGACAAAAAGTCTAAGTTCAACTTCAGTGTTTGTGATCAGTAACTCTTTGAATTAGAACAAATTACTTAAATAATCAGGTATTAAGTTTTTCATATTATGGATAAGTAATTGACTTAATGCTTTTTAAATTATATCAAGATTTAGAGACTATGATCCAAGAAATGGAATCCCTGACAAATAAGGGAAGACGTAAAAAGAGATAGAGTTGGACTTATTGAACTTTCTTTTTAATGGGATGGTTGCAATATCATTTAGTAGATATGTGATCTGGGGAAGTAAATTAATTGTTTAAATAAATTTTTAAATGTCATAATGCTATCATTAGAGCTAAAGGTTTTCAATTTAATATTTCATTCAGTTTATCATAAAAACAAGTCTGAGACTCAATTCTATCAATCATGCTAGCATTTATTTACAAGGCACCACACAGGAGTCACAAAAATTGTACCATGTGTTTTATCAGTTCCAAAATCTCTTTCATTGTCTTGTATTATACTGTCATTTTAAATGAAAAGTTCACTAAAATAAATTGCCAAAATATTTTAGTAAGAGTATTCAGCTCAAAGTATGGTCAAGTTCAGGCATCAAGACTACTCAGAGTAAAAGGCAAAACAAAAGCAAGAAACAGAAACAAAGAATAGATAATACCAATAAAAATATATAGCAAAATGGTATATTAAACCCAAAACTGTCGACAATAAAATAAATAATATACATTATTTAAGCACTATAGTTATTTGACAGAAATTATAATATTTGATAAAATGTAAGAGCTATGTATGTACTGGCAAAAATAAAACCCCTTCAAATATAAAAGCTAAAAGAGATTAAATGTAAAAGGCTGATTAAAATAAACAAACAATTGCCCACTAACACAAATAAAAATAAATCTTCATTGATTTTAATAATGTCAGGCAAAGTAGATTCCAAAGTAAAGAATAATACTAGGGATAAAGACAATCATTTTGTTGTAGTAAAGGGACATCCTAAATCATCTAGAAACATAACAGCATCAAGAAAATGTAACAATCCTAAGTGGTTATACACCTAATAACACAGCTTCAAAATACATGAAGTAAAGTAGTTGGGAATTTCAAAAGTCCTTTCTCAGTAATTAATGTAATAGATAGAGAGAAAATCAATCAGTATATGACCTACATAAAAAACACTAATCAACAATCTTGCCCAATTATGGCATTATTAGGCCAAACCATTAAACAGCAGAAGAACACAGATTCTTTTCAAATGCATATAGAAATTTTGCCAAGGTAAGCCATATTTTGGCTCATACTATAGGTCTCAATACAACTAAAAGGATTCAAATAATATACAGTATATTATCTGATTACAGTATGTTAATTTTCTGCAAATTGATTTATAGATGCAGCATAACCCAACCAAAACCCCAGTAGTCTTTGTAGAAATTGAAAACTAAATTGATTCTAAAATTTTTATAAAAGTACATAGGATCTAGAATAGCCAAAAGAAACTTAAAGTAGGAGATTAACGATAGAAGACCTATGATCTTTGATTTCAAGACTTATTAAGCTATGACAATATGGAAAATTTGATGTTGGAATAAAGATAATAAAAAATGATCAATGGAGCAAATAAAGAGCCCAGGAATAGATTCACATGCATATGATAAACTGATTTTGGAAAAATATATCAAAACATTTCAATGAGAAATAAATACCTTCTTCAAAAGTGAGGCTAGAACCTTTGAATAGTTCAGATTGAAAAAAAATGAACGTCAACTCTTACCTTACATTGTATAAAATATTAACTCAAAATGGATAATATATCTAAATATAACAGCTAGGATAATAAAACTCCTAACAGCAAGCTTCTAAAAGAAAACCTGAAAATATTATCTAGGAGAAAATTTTATTGACTATAGTTTGACAAAGATTTCTTAAATAGATATCAAATGCACAAACTCTTGAAATAATAGTAATAAATTGCATTTTGTAAAATACGAACGTCTATTTTCTTACAAACACTGTTAAATAAATGAAAATGCAAGCTGCAGATTTGAAGAAACCATGTGAAAAACAAATATCTGACAAAGATTTTGTACTTAGAATACAGAGTCCTCTTACAATGTGATAAGGCCAATAGCCTAATTTAAAATGAGCAATTAATTTGAACAAACACTTTACCAAAAAATCTAAACAGCAAAAAATCACGAAAAGGTGTATAACATCATGGTTTATTAGAATATATAAACTAAAGCCACAATGGGTTTCCACTTCATATTCAATCCATAATAAAATTAAGAAGAAAGCTTATCAAGTGTGTAGAACAACTGAAAACCTCAAACACATCTAGTCGGAATGGAAGTGATACAACCACTTTGCATAACTCTTTGGCAATTATTTAAAAAGTTAAACCTACTCCTGTCATATGACCTACCCATCCCACTAATAGATATTTACCCAAGGGAAATAAAACATCTGTAGAAAGACTTTTGCATGAATGTTCATAGCAGCCTAACTTGTAATAGCCTCAAATTGGAAAAAAAAAAAAAACAAAAACAATATCTATCAATAGGTGAACAGATACAAATTCTTGGCATATGCATACAGTGGGACACCATGCATGGATAAATCTCAAAATAATGACATGGTAAGAAAAATAATGCCATATATTTGCTTATCTTTTTAATGTCATATCAAAATTATGATTGGCATAAAAAAGATAAACAAAAACAAATACAGATGATATAACACTATTTTTATAAAATTCTAGTAAATTCAAACTTGTCTACAGTGACAGAAAGCAGATCAATCATTATCTTAGGATTAGGAAGTGTGGGAGGGAGTGGAAGGCACTTGGAAAGGCTGGAGGAAGGAATTACAAAATGGTATCAGGACACTTTTTCAGTGCTGCATAGGCTCATTGTATGAATAATTATCCACTTTCACTTTGTGCAGTTCTTGTGTGCCAATTACACCTTAATAAAGCTGGATACAAAGGGGAAGAAATAATATTCTATATATAACATCTTGTCAGAATCAAGTGTATCTCATTCCGAAGAGAATTGACTACTGGGCTATCTAGAGTCTTCTATCCTGCTCATACAAGGATGAAGTATGTCCAAAATTAGTTATGTAAGTTAACAGTTTCTAGTGTTGTCCAGACATCAAGATAGCTGAAAAAAATTAAAAATTTTAGGGCCATCTCTTGAGTATAGACCTCAGATTAGAAGCCTTTAATAGGTAGCTGACAGGCCACTGGACAAGTATTTCTCTTAGAAAAAACAGTCACCCCTACATTATAGCATTAAAGATTAAACTTTGTGTGGACTCTCTCTCTCTTTCCTGTTAATGCCTAGGTATTCTAAAGTAAATTATAAAACAACAAAATCACCTTTACATAATTTTAATTTATCTTAGCCTTGTTTTTTCAGCTCGATTAAAAAAAATCATTTAAACCACTGTGCAGATCAAAAGAGATAATGTATAGAAAGCATGAGTGCATTTTAAGTATTCAATACTTACTATTATTTAAAAGAGACTAAACTGCTATACTATAGCAAAGAAAATGAGCTCATGAAATATTCTGTTTCTGTAATTCTAAGTTCTGGGAGTTTCTGCAGTTGTCCGGAAATTACTTCTGTGACCTCAGTGTGGGCTATTTATAATGAGGAAAAGTATGAACGTTTTTTTTTCTCATGTCTTTATTTTCTGATATAGAAGAGAAAGCTGCCTCTATTATATTATGCTCAAAAGAAACAATTTATTTTTACAGCCCAGTGGTTTCAACCTGGCTGAATATTAGAATCAAATGGGGAATTTTTAGAATGCCTGTAGCTGGGTTCCGTCCCAGATCTTAGACTCTCTGAGGGTGTGGCCCTGCCTCAATATTTTGAAGATCATCCTGAGGATTCTTAATGGCCAAAGATGATTAAGAATGACCAAGTAATAATTTCCATTAAGAGCTTGGCTCCGGGCGCGGTGGCTCATGCCTGTAATCCCAGGACTTTGGGAGGCCGAGGCGGGCGTATCACGAGGTCAGGGGATCAAGACCATCCTGGCTAACCCGGTGAAACCCCGTCTCCACTAAAAATACAAAAAATTAGCTGGGCATGTTGGCGGGCGCCTGTAGTCCCAGCTACTCGGGAGGCTGAGGCAGGAGAATGGCGGGAACCCGGGAGGCGGAGCTTGCAGTGAACCGAGATTGCGCCACTGCACTCCAGCCTGGGCGACAGGGTGAGACTCCGTCTCAAAAAAAAAAAAGAGCTTGGCTCCTTCCATAGAGAGGAACACACACACTCACGATGCAAATAAAGTTAGATAAAATGTTAGATTAGTTTTGTGACTTTTTTGAATCATTATTTTTCCCTGCTAATAAGTTGGCATTTTCCTAACATGTTCTGCTTATTGACTCTCTGTAAGTTGTCTACATGTTCTAAAGAGTTAACTACAGGCATAGCACATTAGATCATTTTTTGACAGTGTGCCTTAAAACATTTATTAAATTTATTAAACCGTACTTACTGTGAGTACATCAAACCCCAAACTAAAATTAAATCAAAAGGAGTCAATCCTGGGGACTGGTAACAGATGCTAGCCATTCTACTTAATTGTCTAGCAGCATATGCAGAAAGAGGCAATCTCCAAGGCAACTGAGACATAAAACTACACAAAGATTTGATTTGATGTTTGCTATGGTTTGAATGCTTATGTTCCCTCAAAATCTATAGGCTGAAAACCTAAACCCAAAGAAATGGTATTAATAAGGGAGGCCTCTGGGACATGATTAGGTGATGAGGGTGGAGCCCCTCTTGAATGGGATTAGTGCCCTCATAGAAAAGGCCCGAAAAAGCTACCACACCCTTTCAACTAGGTGAGGACACAGCTGGAAGGTGCCATCTATAAATCAGCAAAGCGGCCCTCACCAGACACTGAATCTGCCAGCGCCTTGATCTTGGACTTCCTAGTGTCTATAACTGTGAGAAATGAATTTCTATATTTTATAAACTACCCAGTTTATGGTATTTTGTTATGGCAGCCAAAATGGACTAAGACAATGTTAATTGGAGTCAACGTCTTGAATTTCACAATGAAGAAGAAAAAATTTTTAAAAAATAGGAAGTTATTCTAAACGATAGGTAAGTGTAGGTAATGTAAGATTTGGTGGTAATAATTTATAAAAATTACTTTTGGTAATTTCTTAGGTTTAAAGGCCTGATCGGCAGGACATGGTGGCTAAGGCCTGTAGTCTCAGAATTTTGGGAGGCCAAAGTGGACAGATTGCTTGAGCCCAAAAGTTCAAGACCAGCTTATGCAAAAATGGTGAAATTTCATCTCTACAAAAAATACAAAAATGAGTTGGGTGTCGTGGCCTCTGCCTGTAGTCCCAGCTACTTGGGAGGCTGAGGCAGGAGAATCTTTTGACCCTGGGAGGGCAAGCCTGCAGTGAGTGGTGATAGCACCATGGCACTTCAGCTTGGGTGACAGAGCAAGATCTTCTCTCAAAAAAATAAAAAGCCCAGATCAAGATCCAAGCTGGGTATTATGCTACTGATATGATATATGGACTCAACTTTAACATATATATATATATATATATTTATATATATATATATATATATATGATTTTTGTATATATTTTAGACACTTATGTTGTTCACTTTGAAGGGTCTGCCCAAAGCTGTAGTCCGAAGACATTGTCCATTGTCCATTACTTACTGGTTGTGAAGGTGTAGTGAAGAATGACTAGTCTCAATGAAGTGAATTACTGTTTCACAGTGAGAAGCACTGTGATTACTCTCTATAAAGAAGTAAAAGCAAGCAAATTAATAAATTTTAAAATTTCCTTTGCCCAGTTAATAGCCAACACATAAGAAAAAGATAAGGTCCTGTAGAAACAATGGAGAATTGCAAAGGGAAGTTTATATTGTGAGTACTTCATTATATACTGAGTACTTCATTGTGAGAAGAAGTATGTTTTACTCTAAATCCAACCTCACAGACATCCTCTTCATGAGAGATCATCATTATAACTTCAGTAATAGATTTATCTACACTATTTCCTACTTTGTCATTGTGGGAATAGTGTGATGTATACCTTATTCTTTTTACACCATAGTCAGAGACAAACTGACTACTCAGGCATTGTATCATTTATTGTTTTTGGGGTAACAAACTACTAAAAAACTTAGTTCCTTGAAGTTAACAATTGCTTATTGAGCTTGAATCTGAAAGTTAACAATTTGAGTTCGGCTAAGCCAAGTAATATTTCTGCTGGTCTCATCCATTTATATGTGGTCAGCTTCTGGTCAGCTTGGCAGATCTGTTACAAGAGGTTGACTGGATGACAGCTGAGCCAGCAGGAGCCACTGGGCACAACCTTCCTCATTTACCAGTCTAATCCAGTCTCATTCATGTGATGGCAAAATGTCCCGAAAACAGCAAGTAATGATAAGTCACAATGTACAAATGCTTTTTTAAAGTCTATGTATGCTTTGCAATTAACAATTCCCCATGAACATGACCAGTAGGGATTCAATGGGTGGAGAAGGAGACTCCATCTCTTGATAGAAGGGGAAAATTGTGATTATTTTTGCAGTCTCTCATATTTCTCCTTCTGTAAATAGTCATTTATAATTCTTTTCCATGCAAAATATATTCACCACCCTCCCTAGATTCTCAAATTCTCATTCAGGATTGGAGTCTAGGATCATATAATGCACTCATATCCTGATACAGTTTCTCTTCATCCAGGAAAAACTTGCTTTCCACTCTCTGAATAGGTTAGTATCTCTCCCATTTCTTGTACTTCCATGCTGCCTTTTTATTTATTTATTTTCCATTGGCTAGAGTGCATTTTTAGTATTTATTTGACTGTGTGATTTCATTCTAGAATTAATACAAGGGCAGGGTCAGTATTTCATATATTTCTGCACATCCAATATTGATGGTCATGTTCTATAGACATTTTTGAATGAAAGAGTGGATGAATAAATAAATGAAAACAATTGATAGCCTAATAATTCAAGGTGTCATTTTTTATAAAATTTGCTGTAAGCTATTTTTTGCAAAAGTAATATTCAAAATTCAGCCTTATAAAATCAAAAAGAGCTAAAGGCTCAAAATGATTATATTCAAATGAATCTCTAGTTAGCTTGTATTATGCCATTTTGAATTTTGCTTTGCACAGCTTGGTAATGCAGAAATTTTTTTTAAGTTTGCAGGCACAAGAAGAAAGAATTGATCAATTTAGAATGTATCAAAGGTCCTACCTGTAACTTTTTCTGATTTCCGAAGATATTTTATTAACTCGATGTTATTGTTCAGATCATTTTTGGCCATCTGTCATCACAGAAGGTGTAAAAACAAATGCTAATTGGTAATACAGTAAAGCTTTTTAGCTTTATTTCCCTGCCATTTTAAACCAGAAGACTCAGGAACACTGAAGTTTATTTGAAAATATTAAAAGAGATTCAGAATTTAAAAACAACTCTGTGTGAGTATTTTTAATGTAAAGCAGTGGTGGGCATTTCTTTGTGTTTCAGTGCATGTTTGCAACTGCAGTTGACCCTTAAAAAACATGGGTTTAAACTGTGTGTATTCACTTACATGCAGATTTTTGCCAATACATACATTGGGCAACTTTTTGGAGAGATTTGTGACAATTTGAAAAAACTCACAGATAAACAACATAGTCTAAAAATACATAAAAAAATAAAAAGAAATGCATGAATGCACAAAATACATGTAGATATTAGTCTACTTTATCATTTAGTACCATAAAATATACACAAACCTATTATTAAAACATCAAAATTTATCAAAACTTATGCATAGAAACATAGACCTTACATAGTGCCAATCACAATTGGGAAAAATGTAAACAAACACAATAATTCAGTATTAAATTATAATTGCATAAATTACCTGTAGCGCACACCGCACTAATGTAATAATTTCACAGCCACTTCCTGCTTCTGTGGCAGTGAGCTCTAGTATCACGAGACTCTGCTTTAAAAGCTGTGTGACGCTAATCATCACTGCATAAACGGTCCCTCTCCAGTAAATTGCATGTCGTAGTAAAAAGTTATCTGTCATTGTTCTCACACATTTTTTGCAATATTTAGTGCAATATTGTAAACCTTGAGAAACACCATGAGACCCATGCGATGTGCCACTAGTGATGCTGGAAGTGCTCCCAAGAAGCAGAGAAATGTCATGACATTATAAGAAAAGTTGAATTGCCTGGTATGTACTGTAGATTGAGGTCTGCAGCTGCAGTTGCCTGTCATTTACACATAATGAATCCAGCCTAAGGACCATTGTGAAAAAGAAAAGAAAATTTGTGAAGTCCATGTCGCAGCTATTTCAGCAGGTGTGAAAACCTTGCACTTTTTGTAAAACACAAAATATGTGTTAACCAGCTGTTTATATTATTGCTAAGGCTTCTGGTCAAGAGTAGGCTATTAGTAGTTAATTTTTGAGGGAGTCAAAAATTTTATGATAATTTTAAACTGCAGGTAAAGGGACCAGCATCCCTAACCCGCATGCTGTTTTAGAGTCAATTATCAATGTTTACCTCTGTTTCTATTAGAGCATATATATAAGTGGCCAAACTTATTCCCGTATGTTTCTGAATCACTTTATTATCATGGTATTCCTATGGCCATATATAGGACTTTGCATATTTCTTTCCATAATGGAAATATTAAGTTATTTATGTATACATTATTTTTGCATGCACTTGTTTATTAAATATGAAAGGATTTGTTAAAAGATTGTGGAGGGTTTCAGAAGATAACACTATTTTTAAGGACACTTAAAAATTATATGGCTGTAGCATACTTCATATTATGTGACTACTTTTGGGCGGAACTTACAGTTGGATTTACCTATGGACCCACTTCTGTATATCTGTCTTTATAGAAACTCTTTGGCTTATGTGGCAGTTCTGGCTATCAGAATATTTTCAATAATTTTATTTATTTTTGAAGTTTTAAGGTAGCTGATAGAAAACAAATTTTAGAACTCGGAAGATTTGTGTTCTAATTGTTTCTTTATCATTTTCTCAGCAGCCTTGAGTGAGCTATTTACCAAATGTCAATAAACTAACACCTCACATAAAATAGTTGTTACAATGCTATGCAAATGCATACCTGTGCTGAATACTAATACCACTCTGAATATATGTGAGAAGCTGGACAAAGTATTAATATATTACACCACTGAACCTCATTTTTCTAATCAGTTCTGTTAAAAGGAAAACTTTAGCCGAATTAAATTTAAATGAGTTTAATTGAGCAATGAACAATTTGTGAATTGGGCAGACCCCCAGAATCACGTCAAATTCAGAGAATCTCCAGAGCAGTCACGTGGTGGAAGAAGATTTATGGAGAGTAAAAAGAAAATTACTGTACAGAAAATGGAAGTGAGTTACAGAAACAACTGGATTGGTTGCAGGTCAGCGTTTGCCATATCTGAACATGGTATGAACAGTTGCCTACATTTGATTAGCTAAAAATTCAGTGATTGGCACAGGTGTTGGCTAGGGTCGTTTTACACCTCCACTTGTTATAGTTCATGATGTGGAGAAAAACCTTTAGGTCGAACTTAAATATGTAAGGAGGCAGCTTTAGGATAAACTTGATTTAACAGTTCAATTACTATGCTGTAACTACTTACCGGAGTATGTGACACTTAAAAAAATCATGTAAGGATTCCATGAAATGAAGGAACTTAAGTGGAAAACACAGTCCTTGGCATGTAGAAGGTATTGAATAAATCTTAGTAACTCCATTTCCTTATAAAGAGTAGAGAAAGAGATAGAATGCATATAGCTTTCAAGTAAGAGTATCAATACCACTACAAACGAAAACCTATTATAGAATACCAGGAAATAAAAGTATAGTATTTTAAAAATATCCATCTTTAAAATTAAGTAAACAAATGAAAGTATAGCATTTTCCAAATATCCATCTTTAAAATTGAGTAAAGAGCAATGAAGGTAAAAATAAGAATCAAAAACTTTTACCATATGCTACTAGTATCTTAATTACAGTATACATTTTTAAGATTAGATTAACTTTCTTCTATTAAAAATCCAGAACTAAATACTGAAAAATAACCTATCACTCATGGATACTTGGAGGCATCATTCCTTAGGTATTCTTGAAGACAGCATAAAGAAAATTACTGCTGTAATTCTATTATCTCTCATTATCTATAACCACCAACAAACATTCTTTCTAAGACACTCCATCACTAGTATATGTAATGTTTTCTTTTTTTATTATACTTTAAGTTCTGGGATACATGTACAGAACATGCAGGTTTGTTACATAGGTATACACGTGCCATGTTGGTTTGCTGCAACCATCAACCCATCTTCTACATTAGGTATTTCTCCTAATGCTATCCCTCCCCAGCCCCCTACACTCTGGGAGGCCCCTGTGTATGATGTTCCCCTCCCTGTGTCCATGTGTTTTCATTGTTCAACTCCCACTTATGAGAGAGAACACGTGCTGTTTGGTTTTCTGTTCCCATGTTAGTTTGCTGAGATTGATGGTTTCCAGCTTCACCCATGTTTCTGCAAAGAACATGAACTCATCCTTTTTTATGGCTGCATAGTATTCCATGGTGTATATGTGCCACATTTTCTTTATCTGGTCTCATTGATGGGCTTTTGGGTTGGTTCCAAGTCTTTGCTATTGTGAATTGTGCTTCAATAAACATACCTAAAAACCATAAAACCCTAGAAGAAAACCTAGGCAATACCATTCAGGACATAGGCATGGGCAAAGACTTCATGACTAAAACAACAAAAGCAATGGCAACAAAAGTCAAAATTGACAGATTGGATCTATGTAAACTAAAGAGCTTCTGTACAGCAAAAGAAACTATCATCAGAGTGAACAGGCAACCTACGGAATGGGAGAAAATTTTTTTTGTTTTTAAATATTTGACCCCTTCACACTTAGCTAAGAAAGCCCTTCTTATCTCTCCCCTTACATGTCAATGCTAACCTAGTAGAAGTAAGCACCCCATAGATACTCAAAATATCTATGTCAGTGAATTGGCAGGAAACATTTCCTAAAGCTCACTAAGAAATGTATGCATCAAAACAACTAATTAGAATATATACATATATTAAAGAGAAATTTATTTACTACAGAACAAATAAGCATATAGGATTTGCTGATATAAGACACATGCATATGGGGTTACTTCAAAATTGATAGCAAACCTTGACCTTCATCTTCTTCCTGGTACATTTTAAAGAGCATTTGAAGCCAGAGAGAAAGGCCAGGTTACCTACAAAGGGAAGCTCATTGGACTAACAGTGGATCTCTCTGCAAAAACCCCACAAGCCAGAAGACAGTGGGGCCCTAATTCAATATTTTTAAAGAAAAAAATTTTCAACCTAGAATTTTATATCCATCCAAACTAAGTTTCATAAGTGAAGGAGAAATAAAATCCTTTACAAACAAGCAAATGCTAAGGAATTTTGTCACCACCAGTCCTGCCTTACAAGAGCTCCTGAAGGAAGCACTAAATATGGAAAGGAAAAGCTGGTACCAGCCACTTCAAAAACACACCAACATATAAAGACCAGCCACACCATGAAGAAACTGCATCAACTAATGTGTGAAATATCCAGCTAGTATCATGATGACAGGATCAAATTCACATATAACAATATTAACCTTAAATGTAAATGGGCTAAATGCCGCAATTAAAAGGCACAGACTGGAAAGTTGGATAACAAGTCAAGACCCATTGTTGTACTGTATTCAGGAGATGAATCTCATGTGCAAAGACACATATAGCCTCAAAATAAAGGATGGAGGAATGTTTACCAAGCAAATGGAAGGCAAAAAAAAAAAAGCAGAAGTTGCAATCCTAATCTCAGATAAAACAGACTTTAAACCAACAAAGATCAGAAAAGACAGAGAAGGGCATTACATAATGGTAAAGGGAACAATGCAACAAGAAGTGTTAACTATCTTAAATATATGTGCACCCAATGCAGGAGCACCCACATTCATAAAACAAGTTCTTACAGACCTACAAAGAGACTTAGACTCCCACACAATAATAGTGGGAGAGTTTAACACCCCACTGTCAATATTAGACAGATCAACAAGACAGATCATTAACAAGGATATTCAGCACTTGAACTCAGCTCTGGATCAAGCAGACCTAATAGATATCTACAGAACTCTCCACTCCAAATCAACAAAATATAAATTCTTTTCAGCACCACATAGCATTTACTCTAAAACTGACCACATAATTGGAAGTAAAATGTTCCTCAGCAAATGCAAAAGAACAGAAATCATAACAAACAGCCCCTCTGACCACAGTGCAACCAAATTAGAACTCAGGATTAACCAACTCACTCAAAACCACAAAACTACATGGAAACTGAACAACCTGTTCCTGAATGATTACTAGGTAAATAATGAAATTCAAGTAGAAATAACAAAGTTCTTTGAAACCAATGAGAAAAAAGAGACAATGTACCAGATTCTCTGGGATACAGCTAAAGCAGTGTTTAGAGGGAATTTTATAGCACCAAATACCCACATCAGAAAGTGAAAAAGATCTAAAATTGACACCCTAACATCACAATTAAGAAAACCAGAGAAACAAGAGCAAACAAATTCAAAAACTAGCAGAATACAAGAAATAACTAAGATCAGAGCAGAACTGAAGGAGAGAGAGACACACAAAATCCTTCAAAAAATTAATGAATCCAGGAGCTGGTTTTTTGAAAAGATTAACAAAATAGATAGACTGCTAGCCAGACTGCTAAAGAAGAAAAGAGAGAAGAATCAAATAGACACATTAAAAAATTATAAAGGGGATATCACCATTGATCCTTCAGAAATAAAAACTACCATCAGAGAATACTATAAAGACTTCTATGCAAATCAACCAGAAAACCTGGAAAAAAATGGTTAAATTCCTGACACATACACCCTCCCAAGACTAAACAAAGAAAAAGTCAAAATCCCTGAATAGACTAGTAACAAGTTCTGAAATTGAGGCAGTAATTAATACCCTAACAACCAAAAAAAAAAAAAAAGCCCAAGACAGATGGATTCACAACTGAATTTTCCCAGAGGTACAAACAGGAGCTAGTACCATTCCATCTGAAATGATTCCAAACAATAGAAAAAGAGGAACTCCTCCCTAACTCATTTTATGAGGCCAACATCATCCTGATTCTAAAATCTGTCAGAGACACAACAACAACAACAAAATTTCAGGCCAATATCCCTGAGGAACATTGATGCAAAAATTCTCAGTGAAATACTGACAAACTGAATCCAGCAGCACATCAAAAAGCTTATCCACCACAATCAAGTTGGCTTCATCCCTGGGATGCAAGGCTGGTTCAACAAACACAAATCAATAAACGTAATCCATCACATAAACAGAACCAATGACAAAAACCACATGATTATCTCAACAGATGCAGAAAAGGCCTTCGATAAAATTCAACACCCATTCATACTAAAAACACTCAATAAACTAGATATTGATGGAACATATCTCAAGATAATAAGAGCTATTTATGACAAACTCATAGCCAATATCATTCTGAATGGGCAAAAGCTAGAAGTATTCCCTCTGAAAACTGGCACAAGACAAAGATGCCCTCTCTACCACTTCTACTCAACATAATATTGGAAATTCTGAACAGAGCAATCAGGCAAGAGAAATAAATAAATGGTATTCAAATAGGAAAAGAGGAAGTCAAATTGTCTCTTTTTGCAGACAACATGATTGTATATTTAGAAAACCCTATTATCTCAGCCCAAAACTCCTTAAGCTGATAAGCAACTTCAGCAAAGTCTCAGGATACAAAATCAATGTGCAAAAATCACAAGCATTCCTATACACCAATAATAGATAAACAGAGAGCCAGATCATGAGTAAATTCCCATTCAGAATTGCTACAAAGAGAATAGAATACCTAGGAATACAACTTACAAGGGATGTGAGGGACCTCTTCAAGGAGAACTACAAACCATTGCTCAGGGAAATAAAAGATGACACAAACAAATGGAAAAAAATGCATGCTCATGGATAGGAAGAATCAATATCATGAAAATGGCCTTGCTGCCCAAAGTAACTTACAGATTCAATGCTATTCCCATCAAGCTACCATTGACTTTCTTCACAGAACTAGAAAAAAACTACTTCACATTTCATATGGAACCAAAAAAGAGCCTGTATAACAAAGACATCCTAAGCAAAAAGAGCAAAGCTGGAGGCATCATGCCACCTGACTTTAAACTATACTACAAGGCTGCAGTAACCAAAACAGCATGGTACTGGTAACAAAACAGATATATAAGCCAAAGGAACAGAACAGAGGCCTCAGAAATAACACCATACATCTACAATCATCGACAAACCTGACAAAAACAAGTAATGAAGAAATGATTTCCTGTTTAATAAATGGTGCTGGGAAAGCTGGCTAGCCATATGCAGAAAACAGAAACTGGACCCCTTCCTTACACCTTATACAAAAATTAACTCAGGATGGATGAAAAACTTAAATCTAAAACCTAAAACCATAAAAACCCTAGAAGAAAACCTAGGCAATACCATTCAGGACATAGGCATGTGTAAAGACTTCATGACTAAAACACCAAAAGCAATTGCAAAAAAAGCCAAAATTGACAAATGGATCTAATTAAATTATAGAGCTTCTGATCAGCAAAAGAAACTATCATCAGAGTGAACAGGCAATTTACAGAATGGGAGAAAATTTTTGCAATCTATCCATCTGACAAAGGTCTAATATCCAGAATCTACAAGAAACTTAAACAAATTTACAAGAAAAAAACAACCCCATCAAAGAGTGGGCAAAAGATATGAACAGACACTTCTCAAAAGAAGACATTTATATGACCAACAAACATATAAAGAAAAGCTCAGTGTCACTGGTCATTAGAGAAATGCAAATCAAAACCACAATGAGATACCATCTCATGCCAGTTAGAATGGTGATGATTAAAAAGTCTAGAAACAACAGATGCTGGTGAGGATGTGGAGAAACAGGAACATTTTTACACTGATTGCAGGAGTGTAAATTAGTTCAACCATTGTGGAAATCAGTGTGGCAATTCCTCAAGGATCTAGAACTAGAAATACCATTTGACCCAGCAATCTCATTACTGGATATACACCCAAAGGTTTATAAATCATTCTACTATAAAGATGCATTCACAAGTATGTTTATTGTATCACTATTCACAATAGCAAAGACTTGGAAGCAACCCAAATGCCCATCAATGATAGATTGGATAAAGAAAATGTGGCACATATATCCTATGGAATACTATGCAGCCATGAAAAAGAATGAGTTCCTATCCTTTGCAGGGACATGGATGAAGCTTAAAGCCATCATTCTCAGCAAACTGACACATGAATAGAAAACCAAACAGTACATGTTCTCACTCATAACTCGGAGTTGAACAATGAAGACACACGGACACAGGGAGGGGAACATCACACACTGGGGCCTGTACAGAAGTAGTGGGAAGGGGAAGGAGAACATTAGGACAAATATCTAATGCATGTGGGGCTTAAAACCTAGATGACAGCTTGATAGGTGCAGCAAACCACATGGCAAATATATACCTATGTAATGAACCTGCACATTCAGCACTTGTATCCCAGAACTTAAATAAAATAAAATAAAATATTAATACATATTTTAAAAAAGGAAAGCTGGAATTACAAATGGAACCTGAAGATCTGACTGAATTGCTGCAATTTTATAACAAAACTTGAATGGATGAAAAAAGAAGAAAAATTACATTCTAAGTATTTCTTTTTCTTATTTATACTCTTATTTTTTCAGGTTGCATTTTACTTATTCAACTAGATGATTTAGAAAGCAGTTAATTTACATATTAAACAACATGGTCTAATGATAATGGATTCCTTACACTAACTGTCTTATTGTCACATTTCCTTTAATATGCCATCACAAGTGACTTTTATTTAGCATAGTAAGCAATATTGCTAATGGTGTAAAGAAGTAAACAAAAGAACAAGAAAAACCAAAATTGGATTTCTTTTTATCTAAAGTATTTTGTCTAATGGCTTAAAAAAGTTTCTCTGGATAAAGGATGCAGATAAAAATATACTATTCTATTTCTTTGTAAGGAAAGTGACTAGATAAGAAAATAGTCTCTTCATATGCTTAACCTTCATCTCCAGGCATGTGAAATTTTCCAGGTTGTCATAGGTTGGAATAGCATGACTGAACTCCAAGAAATCTTGCATCTCCTTTCATACACTAGTGAAACAAATGAGGCAGTGGCTATTATGAATGTTTTTCAGAAAGATACTTGTATTTGAGAACAAAACAGGGGATTCGCTCTGTAGAGTCATAAAAAGTATTAAAAATCATAAACATATATTTATTTTTTACTTTAATAATATTGATTAAAAATGCAAACTAATGAATTAAATTGTATTCTGTGATACAAATATAACTTTTAAAAGAAATATAAATACTGAGATGAAATAAGACTGTGGCTTATTTTTTTTTAAAGAAAACCTCAGCCTTTATTATTAAAATCAGCCACATATTGCTCTCCTTATATATTATATTGCTCTCCTTATGTCTTGGTACCCAATTGTTATTATTTTTATATTTATGCAAGTTCACTTGTATGTAGCTCATCTAAACACTTACTTTACTAACAATTCTCAACCACAAAAACACCATTCCCAGAGTCACTCCAAAGAATCTTCTGATCACTTGGGTAATTGATTGTCAAATTGCTCCCCTCACATCTACCCTCAATAGAATTCCAACTACAAATCTACCTCTGTGTTTTAGGTAGAAAAACCCTAATCCTGGGGACTGTGAAATTGTTGATATATCACTTCCATGATTAGGTTATATGGCACGGGTGACCTTAAACATAGGAAACTAATCTAGGTGAGCTTAATCTAATCATGCAAGTCTTTTAAGTGCAGAATTTTCTGGCCAGTACCAGAAGTCAAAAACCTTCCAAGCATGAAGTAGATTTGACCCATCTTTGGTGGCTTTGAAGAGTGTGATGGGACAAGGAAGACTAGCAGCCTGTAGAAGTTAGGAACAACCCCCAGCTGAATCAGCAAGAAAAAAAAAATCCTCAGTACTACAACCACAAGGAACTTAATTTGTCCAGGAATCTAAATGAGTGAGTGTGGAAGCAGATTATTCTTCAGTGCTTACAGTTAAGAGCCCAGGCAGGCTGACATCTTAATAAAAATTAAGGTTGCCAGCATGGCACCGTGCCTCACGCCTGTAATCCCAGGACTTTGGGAGGCCCATGCGGGTGGATCACAAGGTGAGGAGATTGAGACCATACTGGCTAACACGGTGAAACCCTGTCTCTACTAAAAATACAAAAAATTAGCCAGGTGTGGTGACGGGCACCTGTAGTCCCAGCTACTCGGGAGGCTGAGACAGCAGAATGGCGTGAACCCGGGAGGCGGAGCTTGAAGTGAGCCGAGATCGCGCCACTGCACTCCAGCCTGGGTGACAGAGCGAGACTCCGTCTCAAATAAATAAATAAATAAACGAAATAAAATAAATTAAAAAATAAGATTTTGCCATACTCTGGGCAAAGAACCCAATTGCGCCCATCGAAATTTCTGCCCTACTTAACTGTGAGATAATAAATGCGTGTTGAAGTGGCTAGTTTTTGGTAATTTTTGTTGCTTAGCTGGTTATTTTCAAAAATTTTTGGAGCAGATTCTATTTTCTAAATGAAACTTGTGTAGAAAGTATGCAAAAGTTGTACCAGGATATCTTAGATTAAAAACACAGTTATTTCTACACATCAATACAGATCCTCACTTTATCCCATGTGGTCCCAACAATGAACTCGAGGAATTTTAGAAACCCAGTAGAATACTTTAACATGAGAATTTGTATTATTTAAATCTTGAATACCAGAACCAAAGATTAGAGGAGTTCTGTTTGTTTGTTTTTGTATTTTGAGACAGAATTTCACTCTTGTTACCCAGCCTACAGGGCAATGGCGTTATGTTGACTCACTGCAACCTCCGCCTCCCAGGTTCAAGTGATTCTCCTGCCTCAGCCTCCTGAGTAGCTGGGATTACAGGTGACCACCAGCACACCCTGCATATATATATATATATATATATATATATATATATATATATATATATATATAAATATATGAGTGAGTGAGTGTGGAAGCAGATTATTTTATATATGTGTGTGTGTATGTGTATGTATGTGTGTATATATATATATATATATATATTTTTTTTTTTTTTTTGTATTTTTAGTAGAGCCGGGGTTTCACCACGTTGACCAGGCTGGTCTTGAAACCCTGACCTCAGGTAATCCACCCGCCTTGGCATCCCAGAGTGCTGGAATTATAGGAGTGAGCCACTGCGTCTGTCCTCTAGAGGAGTTTCAAATGAAAAGTTTATTCCATTTACTCCAGGTTTAGGATACAAGTGACTCTTAATTAGCTACTTGGATTTATCAAAGTCTAGACGCAGTGTTTAGCTATATCTTAACTAATAGCTCCTATGGCCAAATTCTGGCAACAGCTACTTGTACTTCTCATCGTAAACAGAAAATACCCTTCTGCCAGCTCTAAACCGAACAAAAACATAAGAGTAAGCATGTGATGGCATCTATCCCACATTGTAATGATTTCTTGCCAAGCTGAAGAGCAGGCAAAAATACAATCTTCCCACACAATTCCTGAAAAACATGGACTTTTCCATGAGTGGATTTCATCACTAAAAAGAAAAGAAAAAGATTCTTAACAATTATGTTGTAGCAGAGGCATCAACTGTTTGTAAAAAAGATCCTGAAGAAAACAAATAGAATGGGAAAGTAGGCAATTCTTAAATTTAAAACTCTCTTTAGTTTAAAAACTAGAGCATGCCTTTTAGATGATACTCAGAGGAATGCCTGAGTGGGATAATTTATTTTTACAATGATTAGTGGGCCAGTTATTAGCATTTGACATTTATTGGCAAATATTCCCTAAGCTGAATTTGTACGTGTAGAATTTCTCTTTCCATGCCTAGCACATTTCTCTGTTTTCTTTTCACTGCAAGGTGTTTGTTGAGCTTCTCAAACAGAAGTTTCATGTAATAGATAATCAACTGAATAAATTCTGCGGGATATTTTCCCTGTATGATAGAGCATTGCCGCATAGCAAAACAGTACAGCGCTTGCTTTGGCAGAAATACTGTTGGCACCTACTTGTAAATGTTCTAGTTTGCAAGCATTTCTATCAGAGCTTCAAGCACCTATTAGTCATCTGTTTTGGATATTTTTAATAATAATTACACCTTCCATGTAGCACTCCTAAATATATGATCTCTCTATACACTTTAACAATGTTTAAAGTAGGTAAATCCCATTCCTATTTCATTTGCTCTGGAAGAAATTATGAAAAAACCTATTAAATGAGCAATAGAGGCCACTGTGTGTCCCATCTAGTGTACCCTTCTGGGTTATTTGACTTGATAAAAAGCTGTATCTTTTGTTGTCTTTGAACTTTTTACAACTCTTTAAGTTATAGAGAAATAAAACCTGACAGTAATCAGTAATGTCAATGATACTTATCCATAGAAATTGAAAAAAATATTATCTAGTGAATGCAGCTGATATTTGCCCTGTGGATATTGACCAGTTTTGCATCTATTGGTAAATTCATTTCAGTATTCCTAATTGCCTATATAAGTGTTTTCTGAATTCTCGTTTGAATCAGTTGTAGCATCTTATTAATTCCCTCGTTAATTAATTACTGTATTGGTTTTGTATTGCTACATAACCATTACCACAAACTTAGCACAAACCACACAAATGAATTATTTTACATTTTTTTTAAACTTTCCATTGTTAGCAGTCTGGGTATAGCCTGACTGAGCTCTCTTTTCAGGTAATCAATGCATAGGCTAAGGCTGCCATTTTTTTCGAGGCCCAGGGTCCTTTTCCAAGGGCACTGAGTGTTTGCAGAATTCAATGAGTGGGTAAAAAATGCACTGCAATTAAAACCCTGGAAAACAAGAAAAAGAATATAAGCTAAAAAGGCCTTGGTAAGACTTAACTATTCCAAGATGCTTATATTGTAAGTAATAGAGGTTACAATATTAAATATGTTTAGAATTTAATATGCTCCTTAAACGGCAAGAGTAACAAATTCTAAAATATATAGAGTGCATATAACTTCCAAACAAGTACAGGGGAAAAAATGGGATGAGAAATAAAATAAACGTAAAACATCAAATTAATCTAAAAGATGTTAAGAAAGGGAGAAAAAAGAGAATAAATAGAAATCAGATAATATGGTAGTACAAATAAATGTAAATGAACTAAACTCACTAGTTAAAAAAATGTTCACAATAGTGGCTTAAAAACATGTCAGTTCCATGAGGTACAATTAAAATTAAAAGGTTGAAAGTCAAATAATGTAAAAATATGTTTTTGGAGAATTACTTAAAATATAATATCTGATAAAATAGTTATAATTTTAAAAAGTTATTGGAAATTAAGAGGATTACTCTATAGCAATGAAAAGTTCAACTCATCAGTAAGACGTAATTTTAAACATATATGTATGAAATAGCATAGCTTCAAAATATAGAGGCAAACATTTAACAAAACTGCAAGGAGAAAGTGACAAACCTTTTACTAAAGTAAGATATTACATTATCCACGATAACTGATAGATCTATCAGACAGGTAATCAGTAAGCATTGGAGCATTTCCACACTAAAAATGTTTGATTTAACTGGTATAAATAGAATATTGTACCCCAGCTTTGCAGGAACCATTTTCTTCTTGTGTATAGATGGAATCGCTTAAGAAAATGTATCTCCTCCTATAATATAAAACATCTCAATAAATCTCAAAGAATTGGGATCAAGTCAATGTGAACCCTGCACCACGTCATACCCCCATTCTCTAGGGCGTGGTATGAAGCCAGCCTCCTTCAATATCGGTAACATCATACAGATTCAGATAGAGCAGAGGGGGCGAGGAAATGGTGGTGGAGTATTTTTTGTTTTGTGACACTCTGAAACTAAGTTGTAAAATTTGAATAGTAAAATTACACCCAAGTTTTCTGGGTCTGAAGGCCTGATATGTTGAGGACAAGATTGGAGAGTAGAGAGAAGGGAGATATGAAATATGAATATCTACTTTAACAAGGGTAGAGGAAAACATATACTCCTGCATGGGCAAATAAGGTAACCATTTCCCGCTTCATTTCTAATACATCCTCCACCATTTAGTTTCATAAAGATGAAAAATGTTTGCATATATTACTTAAAAATAATAATTATTATCTAATATGTTAACTAAATAATTAAAGGATATCTATGTACAATTCAACCCATGTTGATGCGGGCACAAAAAACTACAAACACTGCCTTCAGATAATCATCTCTATAATATTCAGACATGTCAATATTATTGTTTCCTACCAAGTTTCTTTGCTGTTTTAATAGATTGAACTGCATAAATGTTCAAACACCTTTGTTATGACACCTAACACACTTTATGATGTGAACACAACCCATGTGTCTAATCTCAACCACTATTTCTGTCCATAATTTGTGCCCTAGTAACTGAATGTAGTATATTCACTTAGTAGTCGGGACCCAGTGAGACTAAATATGTGTATATATATTCTGAGAAATAAAACCTCTATTCTGAGAAATAAAACCAGTTCCCAGCATAGGATAGCCACTCAATAAAATAATATCTGTTTAATAAATAAATATGGGTACTCAGTGAGTCTTTGATGTAAACTGCCAGTTCCTTCTCACTCTTGAAAACCTTCAATCAGTAAAATGAATTCCTTTTATGTTGAACCCAGAATCTAACTTGGTTTGCATTTTATCTACTTGTCTGTGGCATTGATGTGAGGCTCCCAGAAAAGACATGTTGAACTGGTAGCTATGTTTGGAAAAAAACAAAAAAAGCCTAGATTTCTAAGATAAACTTTCTGTCACAGAGGTAGAAGAAACAGCATGCATGACAGTCAGACTTTGAAGTCAATCTGTTTGAATTCCGGTCATATTAGGTGTGTGACTTAAATTATGCAATCTCTATGTTGCCTATTGTGTAGCATTGTTAAAATTAAATTAGTTAAGATATGTATATATTCATGATTCGTGTCTACACATGTACCTATGTGTACAGATAGATATCTAGATAAACACATAAATATAGAAATAGATACAAAACATGCCCTTAAACCATGCTTGGACATTATATAAAGGTTTTGTTATTATTATCAATCATAGTTTTAATATTTTTATTGAAAGCATCTGGTAACTTTGAGCTTTTGTACTTTATTTTGCAGCTAGATTTCTGGTTCCTGTGGTTTTGTTAGCCTTCACTAGCCTGCAATGAAATGTTTATTTATTTCAAAGCCCATGTATTCAGTTTTTCTTCAATTTTAAATTAAAAAAAGAAAACATTAATATACAGAAGAGATGCAATTTATCTGCTTTGAGAAAATATTAAAGAAACTAGAAGGTATATAAAAAACCAGCCCTAAATAATGATAAAATAGATGTATCCTCTATAAAAATGTAGACTAAACTACTGAATCATTCATGGTTATTTCATTTTCAGAGAAATTCATGAACATATTCAGGTACACTTATTCACTTATTTGTGGATTAATTTTCAATTTATTTCATTCTTCAATATACTCTACCCTATGACACATGCTTGCTTTATTTATTATTTAAAGAAAGCTGTGCTTTTTTCCTATTTATTTCACCAACTCAATGATTCAAATAATCAGTCACTCATAAAAAAGCAACTTTTGCAATTTAAGGTAAATTATACTTTAAATAAGCTAAACAGCATTTATACTTCAGTCAGTCTTTAATGATAAGACTGATCCTTCATCTAGCTCTACTTTTAAACCAGGAACAGCAGCACATGTAAAATAAAAGGAATAACTCCACATAAAAAAATATTACAGTGTCTTGGGAAGTACAGTTCAAAATATACCCTAAGGAATAATGAACATTTCCCTATCTATTTCAAAATTACATGAATCACAATAAAGAATAACACAATCCTGAACAATGTGTGAACACCACCAGTACATAGCTTTGCACCTTGTTGCACTTGGGGATTCAAGAGCTGGTGGAGTTTCTTTTTTATTAAATTGTTAGCTACCAAGCTTTCTTAAACCTTGATAAATAGCCCCAATCCTAAGCATAAATTAAGGGGATAAGAGGTGCTATTTTGTTTATTTTCTTCATGAACACACAAGCTCCTTTAGCTTAAATGAGTTCAACTAGGCTCAAGAAAAATTATACACATGCATACACACACACACACACAAATATTACGTCTTTAAACACCAATACATTTAATATGTATCTCTATTTATATAAAAAACATTTGCCAATACAGAAATTCTAACACAGAAGGTAAACAAGCCACATGTCAATTAATTTCTCTGCTAAAAATTACCACTTTACTATATAAACCTACCCATTTGTTAATTAAAAACTCAGGCTTCCTTTATAAGTTATTTGAAATTAAAAACTGCTCTGAAAATATGATCAATGGTTATTTTCTAAATTTAGCTTTAATGAGCTGAGCAGCATTATTCATTAGCTTATTGTTTGGGTTTATAAATTTCATTTTAATAAAATACCATAATAATGAATTCACTATGTAATGGAACATAGCACATAGAAGTAGTGTCTACTATTTCAATAAATTCTTTTGTCAAGAGAAGCCAGGAAACCTCAGAATAGCAAAGACGCTTTCTTAAGGAAAATGATCCTAAAATTTAAGAATAGTGTTTCCTAAGCTACAAATTGGGAATGTCTTTTTACAAGTAAGCTGGAAACTGCCTCTTGATTTGGACTCATCTTTTTCCTTGTTCCAGTTACTTTTGTTCTCCCTGTTTTCTTTTTATCAAGTCGTTTTAAATGTGCATGTACCTCGAAAAATGAAGTATACCAAATTCTTGGCACTTCTTTTTCATCACTTAGCCTGTTTTTCACTATTCCATGGAGATCTGGAAAGAAGGAAATGCTACTTTTATCCAGGCTCCTGAAATCATCATGATAATAATCATAAACACAATTCAAGCATGCCATCATGTTAATAAAATTTCATTTTTGTGCTAAATTTAATAATTGCATAGCAAAGATTTTAATTCCAGGTTTTACCAAGAAGACAGAATATACAATATACAATTAATGATATTTGAAATTTCACAGCTTAAAAATTTTACAAGCATTTTGAGGCTTATATTTCCTCTCCATGGAAGGCCTATTGAAAAACAATACATTCTCATATGTTTGAAAATATCTAAATGTAATTCCAACTGATGCAGGAAATATATTAATGATTTCTTAAGCTTTCTACAATTCATGTGGCTCCAATATTCCATATATGTACACACAGTTCATATTACTCTCAATATCATTTGTATCAAAAGCAATTTACAAAAAAATACTCAATGTGGTACTTGGTATTTCAATGTGAAAATTGTTGGAAAGATTTAAAAAAAGAAATTCTTCAGGCATAATCACTACTATATGAAAGAGGTTTATTGTCACCAGGGAGTCAGTCTTTCATTCAGTAACGATGGCTTTGCAAAAGTCAATTAGCCTCCCTTTTTCTCATATTTTTAATTTACAAAATGAGGAAAACATTCTTAATAATACTGCAGGTGGTTGATAATGATCATATGATATTCAGTGTTTGAAAGTTATCAAAATGTAACTTATTGTGATTATTATTGATACATTCCGATACTATATTTGCAATGCTCCATCCTCCATTGTTATTTATTTATTTATTTATTCAGATGGCCTCTCGCTCTATCACCCAGGCTGGAGTGCAGTGGCACAATCTTGGCTCACTGCAGCCTACAACTCCCAGGTTCAAGTGATTCTCCTGCCTCAGCCTCCCGAGTAGCTGGGATTACAGGCCCCTGCCACCATGCCCAGCAAATTTTTGTATTTTTAGTAGAGATGGGGTTTCACCATGTTGGTCAGGTTGATCTTGAACTCCTGACCTAGTGATTTGCCCACCTTGGCCTCTCAAAGTGCTGGGATTACAGATGTGAGCCACCAAGCCCTGTCCCCTCATTGTCTTTCTGTCTTCCACTAGTGGGTCTCCTAAACTAAATGTGTACTATGAATTTATCCTTGACTCCTCCCTTTCTCCCACATTCCACATCCAATCCAGGGGACCAAATGTTCACATTATTTCTGACATCCAGCACCTCTCCTCCTCCCTGTGACCACTCCTAAAATTTAGATCTAAGTCACATTATTTATTTACTAGATTATGGAAAATGCTTGCCAACTGTTCAGCCTGTTTCAACCCTAACTTCTCTTAGTCTATTTTCAAACCCATACCCAGAGCTATCCTTTTAAAACACAAATCAAATCATGCCCTCTACTTAAAATGTTGCAATAGATTTTATTTCCATGCTGATGAAATACAAAGTCATCACTACTGTGATCTGACAAACTTTACCCACGCGTTGTTTCTCTGAACTCATCTCTCCTGCCTGACTGCACTCCACCTGTCCGTTAAACAAGCTAGTTCTGATTTTGCTCCTGGGATTATACACTTGTGATTTCCTCTTTCCGGTTTGTTCTTCCCCATGACGTATACATCACTTGATTCACTGCTTCACATCTTTGCTCAAAGGTCCGTTTTTCAAGGAAGATTCAGCAATCTCAATTCTTGCACCGCCATTGTAACTAATATCTTTTGCATTCTTTTGTTTGTTTCTCCACAGCAATTAATAGCTAATATACCAGATCCTTTTAGAATTTGTTTATTGAAAGCAAAGTTCTCCAATGGAGGGATTGATTTTTGTGTATGTGTTTTATTCACAACTGTATCTCCAACAGGTGGAACAGATCTGTAAATATTTGTTAAATGAATCAATAAATTTCTCAAAAAATGGAGTTTTTTTTTTTTTTTTCTGCTGAGATTCCTGTGTTAGTTTCCAAACAGGTAATTGCTGCTATAAGCAAACATCACAAACTGGGTGCCTTAACACCACACAAACCTTAACAGTTGTGTAGGTTAGAAGACTAACATAGGTTTTATTGGCCTAAAATCAAGGCGTCAGCAGGTCTGCATTTCTTTCTCATATCTCGAGGGGCAAATTCATCTCCTTGCTCTTTCCAAACATCTAGAGACCACTCACATTCCATGCCTCTTTCTATCTTCAAAGCTAGCAATGTTACATCTCCCAGACTATTCTTCTGTAGTTACTTCTTCTGACTTTGACCTCCTTTTCCTCCTTCTCTCACTTTTAAGAAACCTTATGATTACATTGTGCCTACCTGGATGATCCAGGATACTCACTCTATTTCAAGGTCAGCTAACTGGCAAATGTAATTTCATGAAAAGATTTAACTCTTCCTTCTCATGCATCTTAAGATAAGCACATGTTCTGGTAATTAAAATGTGGGCCTCTTTGGGTGGCCATTATTCTTCCTACCCCAGTTATCTTCTACATGTTCTCTTGAATATTTCTCCTCCTCCTTGAGGACCTTGATTCAACTCTCACCTTTCCACTGTGACTGCTGTGCTAAGATCCCCAGTGACTTTCCAGCAGACACATTTAAAGGGCACTCTTTCATCTTCATATTGTTTTACACATCTGCAATGTATGAAGACTAGAGATCAAGCAATTCTTTTAACTTTCTTATCGAAGCTGTCTTCAATCTTGCTTTCTGTGGAAAAAAAAAATCTCCCCTGTTTTTTCCTTAACCAGTCTGACAATGGTAAAATTAAGAATAACAAGAATGATAAATGAACATTTTTGTTCATATATCTTCTATTTAAATGTTGGAGTTTCTCTATTGTTCTAAACTTGAAAGCTTTCTTTGTGATACTGTGATCACTGGGCATCTACTTTTATACGTATAACTTAATAATAAACATCTCTGATAAGCACTAGAATTGTTTCCCACTGATTTTGAATATCTTTACAGATATTTTAGAATATCTAAAGGGCCTTTGATATATGTCAAAATGTGTTATTCACTCCCCAAATCTTTTTGTTTCCTTTTTGTATGTATCACCTCTGCTTAATAGCATCAGGATATTCCAAATTACCTATACCAAAAGCATGAAAGTCATTATGTCTTGCAGCCTCTTCATTTTCTCTCTCTTTATTTATATAATTTATAACACTTTAACATAACCTGAATGTTTTACCCTTGTGTTCTTTCTTTCTGTGGATTTATTCAAGTTTTCAACATTTCTCTCATAACGTAGGTTTCATTGCCTTCAGTTTTCTTTACTTTATATTTAAAGTTCATATATGATGTTCTATGGTGGGCAGGCCTAGGCAAACCCCAAAGGTCTGAGGAAGCTGAGAAACCAAAGAAAGAGGCTGACATATCCAGTTTTTCAGAAAGAAATATTTATGAACAGAAGCCATCTTTGTATCTAGGGCAGCAGCAAGACAAGATGGTGGATCCCTGCACCATTATCCCCTAGACCCAGAGCTCATAGGCCTGAGGAAAGAAGAGTGTAGGACAATTGTAGGGAAAGGCAAGAATGCTACATGAATCTGTCTAAGAGCAGAATTTATGATTAAGCTTGTTTTGACATAATGGTAGGATTTACAGTAAGTACGTGCTCTTATACAAGAAACAGTAGATAAAGTAGAAATTTTAGAGGCCTTCCTGGAACTGGGGTCAAACAGAAGTCAACATGGTGGATTATCATCCACGACAGAGATGCTTTAACCTCCACACATGACTACAATAGTGTTTCTAGATTATAGCTCTAATCACAATATTGAACTGTTTAAAACGTACAGGAGAAAGGCCTAATTATTTTTGTGTAATATATGAACCTCTCATAGACCAGCTTTGTTTTTCTTGACAGCTTCTACTTCAACTTCTCTATCTTGGTACATCCTTGCTCTAATTCTGTGAGCTACATGAAGTTCACAAGTATGCACCATTGTTTTAAATGTTATTCCATTTTTTTCTAATGTTGTTTTTTAAAAAATCAGCTCAAATAGCATGTCTATGGAAAAATGTCCTGAACTCTCTGTGAAAATGTATTTAATTTCTCCTCTGAGTTCCTCAGCTGCTTTGTTCATTCTTCTGTTATAATAGTCGAATAATTTGTTTATGTTTCAACTTCCAGACCATCAGTCTTGTGAGGAAATAGGCTGTTATTTTTGACTCTTGAACATTTAGTAAGATAATTAATGCAGAATACTGGCTTGATGAATATTTGCTGAATTCATTATTTTTATTTTTTTTCTACATACTAATGGAAAAAAAGAACTGATAAATGGTCTTGTAAAACAGTGGAAAAGGATTATTATATTTTATAAACAAATCAATCATCTTTCTTCAGTTCCCATAGTCTATGGCCCAAGTACCAATCACATAACTCAAAGTCACCAACCTTATCAAACCCATCCTTTTTTTTTAAGCTGTTACATATTAAGATGAAAATTTTTATAATTTTGCTACTTAACAGCTATGGTTTTTAACTTACGGTTACTTTTCTCTCCTTGTAATATCTGGTAACATCTGGAGACATTTTTGTTTGTGACAAATGGGGAGATGCTACTGGCATCTAGTGGTAGAGGCTAGGGACGCTGCTAAACATTGTGCAATGGAAAGGACAACCTTCTACAACAAAGACTTATCCAGCCCAAAATGTCAATAGTGTCACAATTGAGAAACTGTTCTACAGTATATCTCCCTCAGGGCATTATCTATATCCAAATCTAAAGAGAATAATCAACTTGTTTTGGTACAAACATCTATATCTGTCTATCTATATTTATTTTTTTCCTCATTCTGTGCTTTTTTTAATCTAGCTGCAGAAATAAACTACAATTTTCTTAAAGGGCAAAACATAACTTTTCGAGAATGCTACAGTTTTCATTTCTTAAATTTATATGACCTACATACGCTTCCGTGTTTTTAAATTTTAGTGCATTCCTGTTTATAAAGACTAAACATTATTTTAAAAAGTAACTCACGAATTAGCATCCAAGATGAGTTCATTTATTTCAAAAGAGAAAAAAAACACATTATGCCTTAAGTCATCTCTCAGAGATGTTATTATAACATCACGTGAATGAAAATTAATTAGTACTTTGTTGCTACATTAAACTTCCTTTTGTAAGCTATAAGTAGAGATCATTTCTTCTACTAAACATATAATAAGAAAAATGAAACATAGCCTTATTCCAAGTTTAGGAACAATAAAATGACAAAATAGAAAGCTCTTCTTCAGTGTCTACACCTGCATGTGTCTTTTTTCCCAAAGCGTCCTATATTACTGAAGGTGACATATTCAATGCAGAAATACTGTGCTGAAATTTAATAAAAAGACATACCAACGAAAGAAAGATTAGACTTTGCCTTATTTTTCCATGATTTATGAAGCATATTTATAAAAGCTTGCAGATTTCCCGTAGCCTACAGAAGGGCACAGACACTTCAGCTTGATGTATCCTGAAGTCATATTGACCATTTATAGTACAATATAACATTCAGTATTAATTTGTTCATTTAAGATCACTTATTGTGTATGATATTTTGCAGATAGACAATGAGCTCAAGCCAATCTCTACCTTTATACAATCACATATGGGAAACAGACAAGTTAGCGGGCACTATATACTATGGTAAGTGCTACAGAAACACATTGAAAGGTGTGGCAGATGCTATGGAAATCCCTCCCAATAGCCATTATTTCCTTATTCCTTACTATAAGAAACTGGTTTCTGTTCAGGAACTGATGGCACATGCACTCAGGGAAACTGGTTCTCTTTCCAGCTCCTGGAAGAAATGTTGATTAGGCAAAGCCCATAATAACCATCCTTTCCTCTTGCAGTGATTAGCTCACACATGGTCATGTGATATAACTATGGCTAATGAGACAAAATATAAAGTTAGATTTTAGGGATCTGGTAGAAGATTTCCTTTCTGATAAAAAAAGGAGAATGTGAGGAACACTGCCTCTTTCCCTGCTGCCAGATGGGTTTTGTGAGGACATGAAAACTGGAGCTTCCATGCCATTGCATTTTTTATCATTAGGGCATCAGCCTTAGCTTGAAAGCCAAAATGCTGAGGATGGTGGGGGAGAATGATGAAGGATCCTGGCCCTTGATGAGCTGGTACTGCCTTACACAAGATTTCTTTAATCAACTCTTCTTTTCAAAGCTGATTGTAATTGTATCTTCTGTTTCTTACAGCTGAAAGTGTCATAGCTGACAAAAATACCTAAGTGAAGTCTGGAGAGATCAGATAAGTCCTCCCAAAATAAATACAATCAGCCTGTACCATCGAACTAGTTGGAGATACTTCTTTAGTTTCTGCTTCGCTATGTCCACAGCCAATAGCACAGATGCAATGATGAAAACTGAATGAGGGAGCGACATGTACTACAGGCAGAGTGCAATGTGATAATTCACATTGCAATGTTCATGGAATTCTTTCAAAATCAGAGACTCTATAATGTTGCAATATTTGGAAACAAAGAGAAAAAAACAGAATTATTAAATAACCAACCCCATATGTGTAATCATTAACTTAAACATCATTCTAAATAATAAGAAACATTTAGGGACATCAAATTTCTCAAGATAGATAACAGAAACAAAGGTTGCAAACAGAATTACCAAGAGACCTGTAGCTACTGCCTAAAATGCACCTGAAATTGACTGTATAGTTTTATTTCCGGAAAAATCTAGCCATGAGGTGCAGGACACAGAAAGATGCGAAAGTGGGTGTGGAATGATGGAGAGATTTACATCTATTCTCACTGAATCTACAAATATGACTCCAACTACTCAGACATTCCTTCCTTCAAACTAACATGGGCTATTTCATATTGCCTTTGTATAGGAATATATGACATCTAAGAGCACAATCATTTTACATTTCCTTTTCTTGGTGCATACTCTGATACTAGTACACATTAAGATACTTATCTCAACCTTGCTCTCCTGTTCCTTGACCAACTGTATTTGTACTATCGTGGCAGAGTCCAGCTCCAGTTCTCAGCAAAAACACAGTGATTAATGGTGGATGTTTTCCACCACTTTGTAGCCACTACATGAAATTGACCCATTGACAAGGTGAACACGTTTTTTCTTTCATCTGAATCAGGACCCCTCTGTGAGTGAAAAGAGACGTTATAAACTTAACTGGAATAACTGGAATTGACTAAGACCACCCAAGACCTGTTTAGCCTATGTGGAAAAAAAAATTATCTCAACATCTTACTACCGGTTTTTAAATTTCACACATTTTCAGTAGAAAATCTATTCTCAAATATTCTGAAATATTTAATAAAATATATTTTAATAATCATTTTAGGAAATTAACCTCTCTATATAATAATACATTTTGTTTGGAAATGTCAAGATTGGTTGGAATTCTTAGGAAAGCTTTAGGGAAGAGGTGGAATTTGAAATAAATCTTGCAAAATGTGTTAGGCTGAAGGGGTAGGGAAAGTATCAGTGATAGGGGTATGAATCAATGTAAACAAAATGAGAGAAAAGGAATATTATCAGTAGCAAACCAATCATTTCAAACTGTGTCTAGTAATACGTATAACCTTCATAAAAATGCATGGTTATTTATCGATTTACAATGTGCAGAGGACTTTATATGCTAACCATTTGATATTTAATTAAATACATACTTATTTTTCATAAGTAGAGCAGTTATAATTATCCCATAATCATATTTAAAGAAATGGGGTCTTAAAAATAAAGCATTTATTCAAAATGACAGGATGTTAGTGATATAGGCAAAAAAAAAGTAAAAGAAAAAATTGCAAAATCCAGTGCCTCTTCTACTCTGTAGAATCACTTCTCTAATAATAAAAAATAGTAATTGTCTCCAATGGGTAAGAAATTTAAGGAAAATAATTCTGTCGCAGTTATGTGAGAGAAAAAGAAAAATCTGAAATCCATGAAAAGAAAATAATGAGGTCAGTAATAGAGGTGGCTGTGAGCAAGGGTAAAGTTTTTAAGGCAGTGAGGGCAAAAGGTGGGTATTGATATGCCATAATTGTGGTATTAAGCTTCTAATAATGAAACATATAGAAATTGTTGACCCTAATTAATTTCCAGTTGGCTTTTATATTTACGATGAGAGTGTATTTATCTATTTAAATAAAGAGCAACTGAAGATGCAGCTGTTTAATGCAGAAAATACTGTGGTCTTGTGGACCAGAAATTAGACTGGGCTCCAGTCCCTTTTCAGCTATTAAATCTGGTGCATCTTAAACAGATTGCATGAGAATAGGAACTAAAAAAGATTTACTGGCCCCTTAAACACTTTTTCCTCCATAGCCCTCCATCTTTAACTGAACCTTGAAAAACCTTAAGGTCTACTCTCAAATGATATTAATATTTCTCGAAAAAAACTTGTGACACATAGAGAATAAATGGACAAAAGGTCAAAATCACATCATATAGAACAAATCACTGTATGTGCAGTAAGAAGAAAGGCATATCATCAAGTGGGTGTTTATGAGTTTATAATTGTGGGTACCAAACTATTACTGAATTTGTTTAAATGTAATGATAGGTTGTGCATGATTGTGTGCCCTTATCCTACTAGTTAGCTCATGACTGGGCAGCACAAATCCCTTATTTTCAGATGCACAAGGAAAATGATGATATTTCTTGCATGAGCAATTTTGTGCTTCATTGCTCCTAATTGCATGCTTAAACTTCACTTTTTAAAAGCTTACAATGTCTTAGAAAAAAAAAGGTCAATATGTGAGGTCTTACTGAAATACAAAAAAAAAAATTGAAGAAAAAAAAAGAGATCTGCTGCTTGAAGGAATAACTCATTTAAAAACACAAGTTCATGCATTGAAATTAAGTACAAGCCTAGCCTATAGGTGATTCAAAAAATTCTATTACACAAAAGAGTAGTTGAAATAAGTAACAAACTGCCAAAGTCAATAATAGAAGCAAAGTGGTATAAATCAGCTCAAGAGGGAACTAAATCAATTTAAAAGTAAGAAACCAAAGGTACTGCCTTGATTCTTAAAGCAAGAAAAAAATCTAAATCAGCTTGTGCAGTTTATCTCTGTGTTTGAAATAGTCCTTTTTGTAGCTAAAATAATTTACAATCATTTAGGAATTGATTTTAATTTATTATATTTGCTTTTAAAAACCTATATTATTTATTTATCTAAATTAACCTCTCTGAGGGCAGAGCCTCTGACTATATTTTCATTGTTTTAAGAAATGGGGTCTTACCCTTCACAGAGGGTAATACGTAGCAAAGAGCAGATCCTGTTATTAGTAAATAAATGTAATGAAGAAATGAAGAAAAACAGTTGTTCGTGACATATGAGATATTTGACCAAAATATTAACTGATTAAGGATGCTTAGATAAACTCTAGCACACAAAAGCAAGGGCTTTATATTGCTATTTGAATAATATCAAATCCAGAGCACTGTGGCACAAAACAAATCTTGTCTTTCAAACCACGACCTCTTTTACTTCTGGTGTATCAGGTGTATCAGTTCTTTTGGTTTACTCTACCCTCCATGTTTCTACAGTAGTTCACTCATTTATAACTTTTTTCTTTCTAAAAGAATTGAGAGTAATGATTGCTTTTATTGTAGTATAGAGATCACTTGTCAACTCTTGCTGCCATATTGTCTTTAGTGAGTTCTTGGAGAAGACAAGAAGACACTAGGTACCATACTTTCATTAAAAGCATTCCTTAGCTTTGTGATGCCCTCATTGTCTGACAGAATTGGATGATCTTTCATAAGCTTCTCATTTGCTACTTATTAAGCACTAGGTAGAAAGAGCCTGGTAAATTCTAGAAGGTGCTTATTTAAAATCAGGCAAAAAGGATGATTTACAAATTTGCATGTTGCCTGGATTCCCCCTTTATAACTTGTTTTTAAGGTAATTTCAAAATTAGGCTGGCTTTATTTCACACTACTTAATTTTCAATTGGCTTTTGTTTTGGTTTTATGTGTTTTCAGTTGTAATGAATCTAAATAGTATGAAACTGCCTATGTTTATTTGTAATATTTTGAGGTATAAATTTTATTACTCAATTTATTAACAGTAACAGCCACTTTACTTTGAAGAGAATATGTAGCCTTCATTTGAAGGCATTTTAGGCTAGGTTATTTTGTTGGTGCACAAAACGTAGCAGTGTTATGGGTTTAGATACACATTCAGCTCTTTAAACACAGGACACTATGTTTCCCTTCCCTGTCCATCTGTTTAAGTATTGAACAGCTGTTTTCTATAGATCTACATTTGATTAAACTCCAAAAAAGTAATTATATGAATATACTTCATTAATAATATTAACCACATTATAAATAAATAAATAAATATTTAATCACCCTTTCTGTCTCTTTTTATGAGCACATTTTAAAGGAATAAGAGCAGATTAATACTGGAAGTACACAGCAAAGAAGGATATCTCCATCCCTGGCCTCTATACCGTTTGTATCAAGGTTTGAGTTGACATTTTCAGTACCTTTTTATTACAATAAAAAACATTTGTTATACTGCTTTTGTTTCAGTGCTAGAATTTTTAGCAGAATATTTACAATGAATGTATTTAGGGATCTTAAATTCTAGGACAGTTCAACAACTATGTAACTGATATGTTTATGAAAATATAAAGATACTAAAATAAAACAACACAAAAGAATTAAACATTAAATTATAATGACTAGAATACAACAAGAGGATAAATTCATTATAGACATAAAGTGAATACACAAAAGCACAGTGTCTTTCCTGCTTAGTAAAAAAGTACATGACAGTCCAATAAATTTAAAAGGAACCAAACATAAATTCTATGGAACTACACCTTTTACTCACAACTGGCTTTCAATTATGCATGCTAAAACAGAGGACTCAGGGGACGAAATCAGATGGATTCACAGCTGTAATCTTATTCTAAGTAAGCTAAAAATAAGGAGGAGTAGGTATTTATTGTAACTCAAGAATGGGTGGGAAATAAAATATTTGGCTTCACTATACTTTCCTTGTAGCTTTTCCATGCTAAGTAGTCCTTCCATGTTATAAAGATTCCAACTTTTAGAGTAGAAAAAAGGAGAAGATTAATTTTAAATTGTATTTTACATGGCTTTTCTGTTGCCCTTTTTCAACAGATCCATGCTCAATCTTCTCTGCCCAATTGTCTGACTGTTATGGATAGTATTATCAGGATTCCTTTGCAGGCCAGCTTCCAGCTGGGTTTCACTAAAGAAAAAGAGGTTAGGTTATCTTCTCCAATTCGGGCTTGGTTCGAATTTGGTTCTGGCAGTGGCTGTGTTTTTCCACAACTATAATTCATTGATGAAAGATTCTTCTCACTATTACTAGCCTCTAGAAAACTCAATTTCCCTTATTGTTTTGCTAAAGCCTCTCACATATCTATAAATAAGCCCTCATTGAAATCCTATCAGTTGGGCCATCTGAGAGAACAAAAACCTGAGAGAGTAGCTGGTTGCAAGTGTTCCACCAGGAAGCAGAAGCTGAGATGGGATTCTGAAACTAGACTGGTCCCATATTAGTCAAGCATATGGGTGATATCCTTTGCTGGGGAATGCAGAACAGCCTTAATTTGTCATTCATTGGCACCAGACTTAGTCAAATTAGTTTTGTTGGCGACATGGCCAACTGGCTACACAATTTGTGGGGCTCAGTGCAAAATAAGATACTGAGCCCTTTGTTTAAAAATTATTAAGAATTTTAAGCCAGTAACAAATGACAACTGAGCATTAAAAGAAGTACAGGACCTTATAAGTACAGAACACTGTGGGACTGTTATAGACTGCATGCCTTTGAGGTTGATCCCAGGTAGTGGCTTGGGTTGAAGTACCAATGGAGAGCAAAGGTTTATGTAATCCACAGTTGATAGCATTTGATCAATATGACAGTCATACTGATTACAGACTGTGGGGTGGGATGTCTGTCTTTAACTATTCTTGAGAACTTACAAAAGAAAAAAAAACAAGTGATAATCTGTGGGCCCTTAATTTCCAATTATAGACATATGAGGAAAAGCAGAAAGCTTTCATGATAATCTTAAAACAATCTCTTGTCTCATAGCTATAAGAAAGGCATGCCAAAGACCAGAATCCAAATCAAACTGCAGGTTAAAGATTGCAACACCAGTAAATGTGCAACTTTCAAGTCACTTATGCCTAGAATAGGTCACTGTTTAAAAGCAAATCAGATTTGAAGACTTGGTTTAGGGGCATTTTGGTAGCTAGAGCCAAAATTGTGAATCTTTTCTCCAAATATTCTTAAACTTTATTTCCAGCAGGTGTTTATTTTTGTAAAGATACATTCCCATTATCACTCACTGCCTCTGGTCTTAGACTCCAGACTGGGAAATGCAAGGTTTCTACAGAAGATAGCCTGTACATCAAAGAAAATTACAAGATCTTGTCACCCTTAAGGATGTCAAATCAAATAACACAGTGTATTAAGTTGAACTGGGCCAAATTTATCAAAGCAGTAGGTCTAATTCAGAATTTGGCATTTAATATGTTGACCTGTGCACTGGAGAGTGGGTTTAAGAAGTTGATTTTTTAGCATATTAAAGCTTGAAATAAACAATTACCTACAGCCTGTGAAAGTAAGATTCTGAAACAAAATGTACTTGTGGCCATTTGCAGAGTAACTAGGCACTGAGAAACTGGAAGGGCAAATATCTCCTAAGATTAGTAGGTAGTGGATCTGAGTAAATGCTGTGACCCATTGCAGTGAATCTGACAGAGGACATGCAATAGATGGTCCAGTGGCCCATCCCATGGTTAGAGCTTGGGTTCCTGAATGTGTTGTTAAAAGCGGGACACTAAACAAGTAGCAAGATTGTGTGATTGTTCCCTGACTCTTCCTAAGGTATCAGAGACCAAATGAAAGCCATTAGAATGTTATTTGTCAAAATTAAACAATACCATATTTAATAAGAAAACACAATTAAAATAAAACAATACCATATTTAATAGGAAAATGCAGTCAAAAGAAAACTATACCATGTCTAAAAGGAAAATACAGACCCTACTGCTATTTCCAAACATGTGGAAGGATCAAGGATGATTGGTTATTTTATCTCTTTGGCTGGTTAAAAAAAAAGTTTGATCGATCTTGAAAAGTAGCTGTGTATTTTCATAAACTTGGAAAGAATACTACCCTTTATGGAAGGTTCAGGTGCTATACCATTACTGAAAAAATTAGCATACTCCCTGATAGCTGGCATAAAACTACTTATCTGGGGAAAAAAATGTTTGTTGTTTGTTTTTCTATCAATTTAATAAGAAACATTGGTAACTTTTTTTTTTAACCTTCATTCAAATCTATGTTCAGTGTCCTTCTATTTGTCATAATGTAGTCTAAAGAGACCTCAGTTACCTTGATGCCGCTATAGGTAGGAGAAGCGAGTAGCTTAGGTAACTTAAATAAGACACATTAATACTTTAGAATGAGAAATGAACTCCATAAAATTTTAGGTGAAAACATTATTGTTAAATTTTCTAGGAGTCCAGTAGTCTCTCAGGTATCTCTTCTAAAGTAAAAGACAAATTGCTCTCTTTTGTTCCATCCACTGCACATAATGAGAATTGAGGGGAATCTTTGAATTTAGGATGTAACAAATTTGGCATATGGATGGGATTCTCATCAGCTACCTATTAATCGATGTGGTCTCCAACATTAAATAAGGATGAGGAAGGAATGCCTCGAGCAGGTCCAGATGTTCTGTCCTTACGATTAGTGGACACAATGGTATTTGATGATGAATCTACAGCAGATAAGAAGACTATATGGAGTCTCTCAAAAAATCTACTGGGAAAATCATAGTCCAGATTCTTAGAGTGTTGGAGCAAAGCTATGCTCCCTGTTTTTTTTGTTTGTTTGTTTGTTTGTTTTGCTAAAAACTGTCTTTCTCTAGTAGTAGCTCAGGACTTATACCTGTGATTCAGTAGAAAAATTAATGCTTAATCTAGGACACTAAGTACATTGATACACTGCCTATCACAAACTAAGTGGCATATGATACATCAGACCATTAAGTAGAACTTATGCTATAGCATAAAAAGAAACCATTCATATGACACCACGTTCAAGCAGGTCACAAAGGCACAATGAAGATTCAAAAGTAGGCATCTTCAATTCTTATGGTAATTAGTTTTGATGTTTTGCCATTTCCTTCTAAAACAACACTTATAACTTCTTTTTTTAATAGAAAAGGAAAAAAAGGCATGACATTAAAGAGGCTTCTGAACAATATACTGAACAGAAGTTGTGATGAGAAATTTTCCCAGAGTGAAAAATTTAAACACAAGATATTTTGTTTTCCACTTCGATTAGAAGAAAAGATGGCCTGAGGAATGGATCTATTAATAATTGCCTTCTATATAATGATTAATAGATTGCCAAGCCACTCAGTGACATATGTAGAGTACATTGAAAAGATTGTTGAAGATGAGATCTGGAAAAAGGTATGTAGATAAACTTCTTGAAATAGCTGCTGATGTCTTCCACTCTTAATAATCAGTTAGATAAAATGAACAATCCTTGGAATGCTAATTTTCTTGCTCCATCTGCTTTGCTGCTTCTTCAATGAACACATTTATAAAGTGGTTATAGCAAAGGATAGAGGCAAAATTGTGTAAGCATAATTTCAACAAGCTGTGTTTCATCCAACCAAGACTGATTTGACTACCACACATTTTGAGTGCCCAACTTGCAAATAGCAGAGAGAAAGTGAGTTTCCAATTTGATGCCTGTATTAGTCCATTTTCCCACTGCTATAAAGATACTACTTGAGGCTGTGTAAATTATGATTGGAAGAGGTTTAATTGACTCACTGTTTCACACAGTTGAGGAGGCCTCAGGATACTTACAGTCATGGGGGAAGGTGAAGAGGAAGCAAGCACATATTACATGGTAGCAGGAGAGAGAGAGGTCAGGGGAAACTGCCATTTATAAAAACATCAGATCTCGTGAGAGCTCCCTTACTATCATGACAGCAGCATGGAGGAAACTGCTCCCATGATCCAGTCACCTCCCACCAGGTTCCTCCGTCAACACATGGGAATTATTATTCGAGATGAGATTTGGGTGGGGATATGAAGCCAAATCATACCAATACCACTTTGCAGGTACACCTATTAACCACCTAACAAAGGATGATTGCATTAGACCCCTTTATTTCTTGAAGAGGCAGTCATTCATTCTTTTGGTAATACATAACTAATCTAAATATGTTTTTTCTCTCCATGCCTTAAACAATTCTGTGTGTATTACTATTAAAGAACTTACAAATTGCTTCATTCATTATCATGTTACCCTGTATACCATTGCCTGTGACAAAGAAACATTTTTATCATGATATGATTGAGGAAATAGGTCCTTCCCTGTGCAGTTACCCTCATGATGTACCTCACACCCAGAAGCAGTCAAGTTGATAGAAGAGTGGAATGGCCTACTGAAATCTCACTCATGATACTAGCTGGGAAAAATATTTTGAGTAGCTGGAGTTCTATTCTACAGAATATGATATATGTATGAAGACAGCAACCAATATATGGCACTTTTTCCGTAGGCAGAACTGAGCTGAATAGGCAGTAAAAAGTGAAGGTAAGCATGTCGTAATTATGCTTACTAAGCTACTTTTATTATTATTATTATTATTATTATTATTATTATTATTATTCGTAGTAGTAGTAGTAGTATTTCCTTCCTTTCCCATAACTTGGAGGTCCTACTTGCAAAGGAAGAAAAGTTTCCACTAGGAAATACAGCCCTAATTTTATTAAACTCATTTTAGGAAGTGCCCCATGGGTACTTTGGACTTCTCATGTATCAAAAATGAAAATAAGGCAGTTACTCTTCAGGCAGGTAGGACTGATCTTGAAGACCAAGAGGAAATTAGATTGTTGCTAAACAGTGAGCATGGGGAGAAGTAAATCAATAAAGATAGGACCAGTAAAAAGTAGACCTTGTGAAACTGAAAGATTTGGGTTACTCAATGTAAAGAACCTGATCAAATCAAAATGCTGATAGAGAATAAGGGGGATATGGAAGATATGGAATGATGGAAACAACTGTTGTTTTTGCATTGGGTTAGATTTCTTCTATATATTTGAACTAAAACAAAATATTGCAATAGATTGAATGTGAAAGTATATATGAAAATCTACATGTTTTCAATTAAGCAAAACATTAAAGCAATTTGAAAAAATGCAATATGATGCAGTTATTTCAATTGATATTATATTTTTGAGAATATAATTATTTTCAGTAAATATGTAACATAATAGGTTTATTCATTTCAAATTAAGAAATAAATATTTTAACAATCAATTATAACTTTAATGCAGTAAATATTAATATATTTATCCCACATAAACAAAAGCATTTATTATCCTCAGCTTTTTAAAATATGTGGAGTGTGCTTTTTTTAAGTAGATCGGGGAGTTCTTAGAGAAAAAACTTTGAAAATTGAGTTAAAAATCTGAGTTAAAGTATCTGAATAGAAGTTTGTTTCCTAATAGAATCCTTATTGATATAAGTGCTTTTTAACCAGGAGAATTTTTACATTTACTATAAAAAAATATATAAAATATATTTTTCTTAAATTAAAAAACAAATTTTATAGGGGAATCACATATACAAAAAAAAGTTATTCAAGAAGTGTCAAAACAGATGTCCTATTGAAACCTAACACAGTCTAGGAAAAGGCTTCGAAAGCTAAGAATTGAGATTCAGTTTGGAAAGTATATGACAATTAGAGTCTTCCTCTTGATGGACTAGGTAGTAGCTATTAACTTTATGTCCATTTGAAGACAAATGCCTATTCTACGAAGGCAGTAGAATAGACATTACATCATGGCGACCAAGAGATCAATAATAAATATAGCAGAGTTTGCTTCATAGGAGAAAGAGGCAAGAGATATCAAAGGAATTTTGCTATAATAATAAAGATCCTTTCAGATGATTAAAATAATTATATTATAACAAAAAGACAATTGCAATTAAAATAAGTTAAGTAAGAAGACTACACATCCATGAATAGTGAGGACAATGTTGTAAAAAGGTTGATGATATACATCCAAAGTCTTTGTCTGCCATTTTATCCTTGCATTCTTAGTAATTTTTTAATAAGTTATTAGAATTGCTTTGTACATCCCTGCTATATATAATGCATGCTTTGAATATTAAAATTTTAATCATTGCATGTATTTAATCATTGTAAAGCTAAGCAAATAGAAAAACCAATAGGTGCTGATGACATACTATGCCTTGTGTAAGGCAAGTGTATTAGTCCATTCTCACACTGTTATAATGATATTACCTGAGACTGGGTAATTTATAAAGAAAAGAGGTTTGGCCTAGCACAGTGGCTCACACCTGTAATCCCAGCACTTTGGAAGGCTGAGGTGGGTGGATCACCTGAGGTCAGGAGTTCAAGACCAGCCTAGCCAACATGGTGAAAACTTGTCTCTACTAAAAATACAAAAATTAGCCAGGTGTGGTGGTGGGCGCCCGTAATCCCAGCTACTTGGGAGGGTGAGGCAGGACAATTGCTTGAACCTTGGAGGTAGAGGTTGCAGTAAGCCAACCTCACACCACTGCACTCCAGCCTGGGCAGCAAGAGTGAAACTCCATCCGCAAAAAAAAAAAAAAAAAAAAAAAAAAAAAAAAAAAAGAGGTTTAATTTATTCACAGTACTGCATGGCTGGGGAAGCCTCAGAAAACATGCAGTCATGGCAAAAGGTGAAAGGGAAGTAAGGTATGTCTGGCAGGAGAGGGAGTTTGGGGGAAAACTGTCACTTTTAAAACCTTCAGATCTCATGATAACTCTGTTACTATCACAAGAACAGCATGGGGGAAACCACCCCATGATTCAATCACCACCTCTCACCAGATCCCTCCCTTGACATATGAGGATTAAAATTCCAGATGAAATTTGGGTGGGGACACAGAGCCAAACCACATTATTCTGCCTCTTGCTCTTCCCAAACCTGATGTCATTTTTACATTTTGAAACCAATCAGGCCTTCCTAACATCCTCCAAAGTCTTAACTCACTCCAACACTAACTCAAAAGTCCACTGTCCAAAGTCTCATCTGAAACAAGGCAAGTCCCTTCTGCCTATGAGATTGTAAAATCAAAAACAAGTTAGTTACTTCAAAGATACAATGAGGGTACAAGCATTGGGTAAATGTTCCCATTCCAAATGGGAGAAATTGGCCAAAAAAGGGGCCACAAACCCCTAGGCAAGTCCAAAACCTGGAAGCACACTCATTAAATCTTAAAGCTTCAAAATAATCTCCTTTGATTTTATGTTTCATGTTCAGGGCACAGTGATGCAAGGGGTAGGTTTCTAAGGCCTTGGAAGCTCTTCCCCTGTGGCTTTGCAAGGTACAGCCCCCATGGCTGCATTCACTAGCTGGTGTTGAGTGCCAGCAGCTTTTCTAGGTGCACAGTACAAGCTGTTGGTAGATCTATCATTCTGGAGTCTGGAAGATGGTGGCCCACTTCTCACAGCTTCACTAGGCAGTGCCCCAGTGAGGACTCTGTTTGGGGGCTCCAGCCTCATATTTCCCCTCTCCATTGCCCTAGTAGAGGGCAATGAGGGCTCTACTCCTGTCCATGAGGGCTCCGCCCCTGCAGCAGACTTCTGCCTGGACATTCAGGTGTTTCTATCTATCCTTTGAAATCTAAGTGGAGGTTCCCAAAACTCAACTATTGTCTTCTGCTCACCCACAGGCCAAACACCATGTGAAAGCCACCAAAGCTTAGGGTTTACACCCTCTGAAGTAACAGCCTGAGCTGTACCTTGGCCCCTTTTAGCCATGACTGGAGCTGGAGTGACTGGGATGCAGGCATCATGTTCCAGGGCTGCACAGAGGAGGGGGGCCATGGTCCTGGTCCACAAAACCATTTTTTTCCTCCTAGGCCTCAAGGCTTGTTATGGGAGGTGCTGCTGTGAAGATCCCTGACATGCCCTGGAGATATTGTCCCCATTGTTTTGGCTATTAACATTTGGCTCTGTGTTACTTATGCAAATTTGTGTAGCTGGCTTGACTTCCTCCTCAGAAAATGGGTTTTTCTTTTCTACTACATGATCAGGCTGCAAATTTTCCAAGCTCTATGTTCTGCTTCCCTTTTAAACATAAGTTTTGATTTCATTCCAGCTCTTTGTGAATGTACATAGTTGAACACTTTCAGAATAAGAAAGATCACCTCTTGAATGTTTTGCTGTTTAGGAATTTCTTCCACCAGGTACCCTAAATCATCTCTCTCAAATTTAAAGTTCCACTGATTTCTAGTGAAGGGGAAAAATGCCATCAGTCACTTTGCTAAAGCATAGTAAGTGTGATATTTACTCCAATTTCCACTAAGTTTATTATCTCCACCTGAGATCACCTCAGTCTGGACTTCATTGTTCATATCACTATCAACATTTTGGTTAAAATCACTCAATGAGCCTCTAGGAAATTCCAAACTTTCCCACATCTTCCTGTCTTCTTCTGAGGCCTCTAAACTGTTCCAAACTCTGCCTGTTACCCATTTCCAAAGTCTCTTCCACATTTTTAGTTTATCTTTATAGCAGCACCCCACTCTGTAGGTACCAATTCTCTGATTTAGTCAGGTTTCACGCTGGTATAAAAAATACTACCTGAGACTGGGTAATTTATAAATAAAAAAAAGGTTTAATCAACTCACAGTTCGGCATGGCTGTGGAGGCCTCAGGAAATGTATTATCATGGCATAAGTAGAAGGAAAAGAAAGTACCTTCTTCACAAAGCAGTAGGAGAGAGAGAGGGCAGGGGAAACTGCCACTTTTAAAATCATCAGATCTTCTGAGAACTCCCTCATTATCATAAGAACACTATGGAGGAAACTGCCCCCATGGGGCCTCCCACCAGGCCCCTCCCTAGACACATGGGGTTTACAATTCCAGATGAGATTTGGGTGGAGACACAGAACCAAACTATATCAGAAAGATTAGGCAATTCGGTAGTCCCTTTGTATCTGTAGTTCTGCTTTCTATGGTTCCAGTTATCCATGGTCACCCATGTCTGAAAATATGAAATGAAAAACTTCAGAAATAAACAATCCATAAATTTCAAATTGCTAAAATCTATGGTAAGAATAACTTTTTTAGTCATGAAATCATGAAGAAAAGAAAAAAATTGTGTTGGTTTTGCTGTTGCACCTCAAGCTACAAAAATTATAGGTAAAGTCCGTGTTAAGTGCTTAGTTTGAATGAAAAAAATATTAAATTTGTAGGTGAAAGACATGAAGAGAAATATGTTCTCATTGACAGCAATCAAGTTCGTTACTATCTGTGTTTGCTGGCATCTGCTAGGGGTCTTGGAACCTATTTTTCTCAGATAAGGGGAGACTATCATATTCAAACCATCCCAACACTTCCACTGGGGGGGAATGTCTAGAGAACACAAAACAGTTATAAATTTTTTAAATGAATTTTGAATTCTAAGAGTATTCAGTGGGAAATCATGAGGTATGTGGCTAACAAGAAGAGGTAAATTCGCTGGGCGTGGTAGCTCATGCAGCACTTTGGGAGGCTGAGGTGGGCAGATCATGAGGTCAGGAGATCGAGACCATCCTGGCTAACACGGTGAAACCCCGTCTCTACTAAAAATACAAAAAATTAGCCAGGCGTGGTGGCAGGCGCCTGTAGTACCAGCTACTCGGGAGGCTGAGGCAAGAAAACGGTGTGAACCCAGGAGGCGGAGCTTACAGTGAGCTGAGATCACGCCACTGCACTCCAGTCTGGGCAGCAGAGTGAGGCTCCATCTCAAAAAAATAAATAAATAAATAAAAAAGAAAAGGTAAATTCTTACACTTGTATTTTGAGAGTTGGACAAATTAGAGATAAGAACCAGAGTAAGCAATATATGCCCATGGCTTTCCCAAACACCTTATACAAGTATTTACAAAATCGATATTTCAGGAACCCTTTCCCAAAAGAGTTTTCTTTTGTTTACCCTCTGTCACTATGCATGGCATTCTTTGAGTAAAGGAGCAGCATTTTATTTTATTATCCTGGGTCTGAGAAATTATTGGATAAGAACAGGGTCTTTGAATTTTAGGTTTCCTGGATTAAACCACATTGCACTTCTTAGTAACTGTGTGACTCTGTATAACTTCCCTGAATCATCTGTGCATAAGTTTTGTTGTGGGTTGAAACTGTCATGGTGATAGTATCTATCTCATAGCTATTATCTTATTTGTAGTAAATTAAATAATCCTGATGCAAGTTTATTTGACTTAAATTTTCATTTTAATAAGAGTAAATTGCAACAGATACTTTTATGGGAGCAAGTTTGGCTGACAGAAAATGCAAATCAGAAGTAAAAACTTTTTTCCTGAAATTAGGAGAGATTAGAGGAACAGATAACACACAATGAATTCTGAAGATGATAAAAGAGATTAAAATACATGTATGCACACATGCTTATATAAATTAGGTGTTGTCTAAGCACAAACCACAAAACTAGTATCATGCTATAGTGGATATTGACTTATTTCTCACATACGTGTGGATTTTAGTTGATCTTGGCTGAATCTGGTTCGGTTGTTCTAAGCGCTTATTTAGGCTCTATCTTGAATCTCAAGTAAGCTGGGATTTCAGCTGTAGTCTAAGCTTGGCTGAGGCATCATTTTTGAAGCACCAGCATGCTTCCTTCTTCCTATGACTAGGGAAGGATCACAAAAATATGTACTTTTCATAGACATGGCAGAATTGTGAGAAAAAAAGGTCTAGTCTCACAAGTTCTATGTCACATCACACCTGCAAGCCTGTAATTGGCCAAAGCAGATGTAATGGTTTGAATATTGGCCTACGAAAAACATGTGTCCATGACCAAGAACCTGTGAGTTTGAGATTATTTGGAAAAAGAGTATTGAAGATGTAATTCAGTTAAAGAACTCTAGGTTAGATATGGCTGGGCCTTAAATCCAGTGACAAATGTCTGAAACAGAGAGAAGACACAGACATAGAGGAGAAGAGCAGGTGAAGACAGATACAGAGATTGGAATGATGCATCAACAAACCAATGAATGCCTGCAGCCACGAGAAAGACAGAGATATGAAAAAATCCTCTTCTAGAGCCTCTACAAGTGTGCAACCCTACCAACACCTTGATTTTGCATTTATACCATGCGTAACTTGAGAGAATAACCTTTTGCTACTTTAAGTCCCTGAATATGTGGTCATTTGTTATGGCAGCCCTAAGAAAAAAATAAAGCAAGTAACGTTTTGAGCATAGTTTCAAGTAGGTAGGATAGTAGGCTCTGTTTACAGGGAAAGAGCACCGCAAAGTTGCATGGCAAAAGGATAGTCGGCAAAGTTGCATGGCAAAGGGAGGCTTGTAGAATTGAGGTAATTAACTCAGTCCACTACGTCTACCAGCACTCAGACCCCACTCCCAAGGAAATGGAAAAACCTCATAGCGCTTATGGTTTTTGCAAAGTTCTATGAAGCATTAAAAATAAACTTCTATCATATATTCCAATGCAATATCACTTGATGCACTTTTGATTCATTATATATTTTGTAGAAAGACTCAGAGGGGTCCCCTGTGACACCTGCCTCCTGGTATTTCCATTTCTTTTAATCTTCTTCCTTCAAATGTAGGTGGAACCTGTGACTTGTTTCTAACCAATAAAAGATGGCAAATATGACAGGTTGTACTTCCATGATTATGTTACCTTATATAAGTGTCCATATTGCTAGCAGATTTCATCTAGAGATTTCTCCCTTGTTGACTTTGAAGAAGTAAGCATTCATGTTAGGAAACTTACATGGTATATGCTGAGGCCAGCATCTAAGACCCTGGGGAAGCCTCTAGCCATCAGCCAGAAAGAAGTCAGGACAGTTCCACAGCCACATGGAGATGAACTCTGCCAACAACCTGAGTGACTCTGGAAGTGGTCCTTCCCAGGCTCCAGATGAGGACACAGTTCAGGTGACACCTTCATGGTAGCCCAAGCTGAGGACTCAGCTTAGCTGATCCCTGGGTTTCTGACTCACAGAAACTGTGAGATAAACTGTTCTGTTTTTTTGTTTGTTTTTTATCACTGGATTTTTTGTATATGTTTTTGTTTTTGTTTTTTAATTATACTTTAAGTTCTGTGATATATGTTCAGAACGTGCACGTTTGTTACATAGGTATACATGTGCCTTGGTGGTTTGCTGTGCCCATCAACCCATCATCTACATTAGGTATTTCTCCTAATGCTATCCCTCCCCTAGCCCCCGACCCTGCAACAGGCCCTGGTGTGTGATGTTACCATCCCTGTGTTCATGTGTTCTCGATGTTCAACTCCCACTTGTAAGTGAGAACATGTAGCATTTTGTTTTCTGTTCTTGTGTTAGTTTGCTGAGGATGATGGCTTCCAGGTTCATCCATGTCCCTTCAAAGGACATGAACTCATCCTTTTTCATGGCTGCACAGTATTCCATGGTGTATATGTGCCACATTTTCTTTATCCAGTCTATCATTGATGGGCATTTGGGTTGGTTGCAAGTCTTTGCTATTGTGAATAGTGCTGCAGTAAACATATGTGTGCATGTGTCTTTATAGTAGAATAATTTATAATCCTTTGAATATATACCCAGTAATGGGATTGCTGGGCCAAATGGTATTTCTGGTTCCAGATCTTTGATGAATTGCCACACTGTCTTCCCTAATGATTGAACTAATTTACACTCCCACCAACAGTGTAAAACTGTTCCTACTTCTCCACATCCTCTCCAGCATGTGTTGTTTCATGACTTTTTAATGATTGCCATTCTAACTGGCATGAGATATTATCTCATTCTGGTTTTGATTTGCATTTCTCTAATGACCAGTGATGATGAGCATTTTTTCATATGTTTGTTGGCTGCATAAATGTCTTCTTTTGAGAAGTGTCTGTTCATATCCTTCACCCACTTTTTGAAGGGGTTGTCTTTTTCTTGTAAATTTGTTTAATTTCCGTGATGAAAACACCAAAAGCAATGGCAACAGAAGCCAAAATTGACAAACGATATCTAATTAAACTAAAGAGCTTCTGCACAGCAAAAGAAACTATCATCAGAGTGAACATGCAACCTACAGAATGGGAAAAAATTTTGCTATCTATCCATTGAACAAAGGGCTAATATCCAGAATCTACAAGGAATGTGTTCTTTTTTAAGCTTCTAAGTTTGTAACTATTTATTAAGGAGTAATAAACAAATTATATGACATGAAAAGGGCTATTTTCAAGTTTTTAAATCATATGATATTAGTGTTAATATGTAGGAAATGAGTACAGCATAAGTAATAGATTTAAGATCCCTTTGTTTCTAAATCTGGCACAGTAATTTAAATTAAAAAAGCAATGATATACCTGGCAGGTGTGCAAGAGAGGAACATTGCAGTTCATCATTAGAAAAATATATCCTGAAAAGAGCAAGTTTATTTAGGCTAGTGATAAAAGGCTTGGAAAAAAATAATGAGCTCTCTTCAAAAATCTGGAGATATCTTCAGTGCAAGGTACATAATATTATTTTGTACTGCTATTGAGAGCAAAGCCATAACTAATGAATAAAGATCATAGAAATGCAGTTAACTCTGTAAGTGCTAGATCTGGACAATTAGAGAATTGACTATAAGGTCCAATGGTAAGTCTTTTGTTCCTGGAGAAATTTAAGCAATAACTGAATGAACAACTATCCTTATTATTACAAGGGAATATAATAGAGGGAGAAAGAGAGGGAGAAAAATACTAGATATAGGTAGATAGATAGATAGATAGATAATGGGTGAATGAATGAATGAATAGATAGATAGATAGGTAAACGGGATAATGAGATAGAGGGAAATATAACAGTCCTATAGTTGGAGAGGTGGATGACAGTTAGATAAACTGGCAGGTGGAGTTGTGGATAGATGGACAGAACAGATAAATAGGTGATAGATAGACAAATAGATCTGCCTAGGTACATAGATGAAGTAGATTGTCCAAGTTGTTCTCTGCTCTTTTTGTCCTTGAGCCATGAAAAATTTCAAGTGTTTTTTCACACTGGTTCTTGCTGTGGGGATGAAAACACTGCAATTGGTACAAACTACTTTGCTAAAAGCCTCGGAAGTACACTGTGTACCATAAGTAGGAGGGAGTGATAGACCCTTTTATCAATCAATCTCATTCCTCTCAATGGCTGATATATTTCTTTTCTAAACTAATTTGTTTGTTGGATGGTGAGTGAATTACAAGCAGCACACATTGGAATGCTTACTCTATCAAAACAGAAGTCAGCTGCTTTCTACAATGATGGCTCATGCCAGCTGGCTAAAGAATGACATTGGCTCCAGCTGTGTTTTGAAGCCACACATTTCATGTTTTGCAGTCCAATCAGATGCACTGGCAGTGAATAAAATGGCTCCAGAAAATATAAGAAAGGATGAAATGAATAGGAGAAAAAGCATAATGCTAAGCACTGATATAAATTCCATTCAGAATTCAACTTAACCAATGACATTACAGACACATATTTACTTAATAGAATGAAAGTGTTATTTCAGTTTCTATGTAGCTTTTCATAAGTAGATTTCAATGCCGTATATATGTATATATATATGTGTGTGTGTGTGTGTGTGTGTTCATTTATTTATAAGTTGAGCAAGTTAGAAGTATGACATGAAAAGATGCCATGTTTGTATTTTAGTCTCACTTGAATTTTAGAAAATTACTCATATTTAATTAGAGTTTAAAAAATGCATTCAACTTCTAATTTTAATTAATTTAATGTTATAAAAACAGTGATGCCTTTATATTTTTGAGTAAGCAAATATGACTGTAAAATATGTATATCCACCAACTCTGTACTCTCTCCATTCCCTTCTGTTTTCATTCATGTTTTCAAGTATTGAGCACCTACAGTGTGCCAGGAACTATGGATACTAACAGCGATGTGCTATGACCATTAATCTCCTGAAGTTACAATCTGAAAGCAGCACAGAAAGAAATATCAGTGATAGGTGATATGTGGTAGAATAGAGATGTTCGTTATACGGCAAAAGTTTAAATGAAGGGAATGATCAATTCACTCTTCTGGTACTGGGGAACACTGGTTAGATAAAATAATTTTGCCATGCTCTCTAACATGAGAAGGCATGACCAAGGAGAAAAAAAGAAGCATAGCAGGAAGAGATGTCAGGCCAAACAGACAGCATAACAAGTAGTTTAGATGTCATGGTTATTTGAAGGGTAAGTGAGTAAAATGATATATCTTCTTGTCTATGGAGATCTTTTGATAAAGCTCTGAATGAAATGGAGAGAGATGGAATATGAAGAGGGAGAGGAGAAAAATGACAGAAGAGGAAAAGTAAGTAGACTAAGCTAGAAAGTGAGCAAGTGGGAATAAAGAGAACTAAGAATAGGAAGAAGGCTTACATAGATGCGCAGAATTGAAAAAAATTGTTTGTCTCTTCCTTAGAGCATTTTCTTCAATTTAGATAAAAGGGCAATGCAGTCATATGTTTCATGTAGTGACTATGTGTTAATGTTTCATTTTTTCACTCAAAGTAAATCATTAGAAAAACAACACCTACTAATGTGATTTCTAGGCTTAATTTGATGGAATCCCTTACTGATACTACAAGATTTTCAAGAGAACCCTTAAGACTTCAATTACTTATTGCTTATATACACTTATACATTCATTTATTCTCCTATTACATAATTCATCCATTCATTAAAATATGTTTTGTGAGCCTTTTTGAATCCAGGAAAAATGTCAAATTCTAGGGATATGTCAGTGCTTTCTAACTAAATTGCCTTTTTTAACGAAAGTGATATCAGACTTAAGAAGATGGAAATTAAGAATACAAAGTTTCAGATCCCTTTGCTTGCCATTTGAAATTATCATCACCTCTTGCTGTACTTACTTTCATGGGCACTGATTCTTACTTTGCCTCTGGAGAATTCTGATTTGACCAAAATGACTACGTTCCATCTTTCTGAATGCAAATTCAGACATTTGTGTAATATGGTGTTGTGGGTTGATTCTCTTTGTGGCTTAGTTTAGGTCACTTTGCCAAAACCCTTAATTGAATAAAATTGTTATCCCTATATTTATCTAATTATAATAATCAGTGCCCTTAATTTTTACACCAACTATTCTCCATAAGCTGCCACAGGAAGGTAATGGCAATTGAAAAGCTACAAAGAGGTGGGAATAATTACTGTGACCTGCTTGTCACCGGAGCAAATTCTATTAATCCTCAGAGAAAGTCCTGCCAATCCAGCAACGTTTTTTTCCCCACAGGGAGGGTAAAGCTCCTCATCTTTTTTCCTGCCTCCTCTAAAGTGCTGCCCTATATTTACTGTTGCAACTGCGTTATTGGCCACTGACCTGATGTTTTTCTCCTGCCTGCCAAATGGTTAGGAAACCACAGGCAGGCTGTGTCCTTTTCTGGAAGCAAAATTACAAGACGCAAACATCCGGCTGAGAATAAGTAAATTACCTTGGTCAATTGATTTACAATTTATCTGGGGGAAGGTTTTGATAAAGATACATAAAGGGAAGTAAAATTTATCACATTGACATAAAGCCCAGACCTCACTGCTTTTGCAAAAAGTGTCCACATTCCGCACTCCAGTAGGCAGGTTAACTCAGCCTTTCAGCTTATTGGGCTTTTCCATTTCCAACAATTTTGTTTATGATTTGGGATTTAAATAATCTTCTGCTTAAGGCCCCATGTCTCCAATGGAGTAGTGCCTCCTGCACATGACAACAGTAGTCCCATAGTCTCCTGGGTGTGCTTTGGAACCCATAACCCAGCCCCTTCCTTTGATTCCTCCTGTTCTCCAGCAGGTGGTAGACAAGCAGTGCCATGACTACTTATATTAACTGCCAGAAAATGTGGGAATGGGAACTGGACTTGTTTTTCCTCAGGCACAGAATAGATGAGAATGCATTAGGCTTTTACTACTCTCTCCCTAACTTATTCTGGCCATCACTTGCCCTTTTAAAGTAATATATTAAATTACATTTTTTGCAAAACATTACAAAGTCTGGTCCAGTAGCATTATTTTTAAATACAAATACATTGCCATAATAAAAATAGAAAAACGTTTTCTGATAGATGGACATTTTTTGGTTGTGAGGAAGGTATATACTTTGAGAAAGTCAAGTAGAAAGAACACAATGCTACATGATAGAGTGCAAGATCATGTCCTTTTTCTCTCATCTTATCTTTATTTAACTGTGCTTAATAATGCATGACAGGTAGAGATGCTTGCTAAATGTATGTTAAATTTACCTTGTAAATTTTATTGCTGGGATTAGAGAGACAGAGAGAGAAAAAGACCAATAAGATATGGCATATTTAGAAATGTAATCAAGGATTGTCCTTACATTTTAAACTTTACAGCATTACTATGGAGAATGGAACTTTCATATTGTTCAGGTGACAGACCTTTTTCTTATGGGAAAAAAATGGAGTCATACACTTCTTATTAAGAAGAGACAAGCAAATCAAACCAATATCCTTTTGGTTAACACTTATTACACTAAAAAAATTCTTGATATTGTATGATAAATCATCATGCAACTTTCTTTTACTTGAAAATATAAGATTAAGTGTCTGAAAGATTAAAAAGCAAAGATTTAAATAATTTGCAATAACAAAAGTTTGGTATCTCCCAATATCCCCCCAGACTGTTCTGACTTCTCTATAATTAAGATTCACTAAAAACCTTTGCTCTCTCTAGAGAGTAGTAAAATCATTATTAACAATGAAAAAGAGAACACAAACAATTGTCTTGACCATAATCATTCTTTGCCCTCTGTAGCTGTGTTTCAATCTATTCCAAATCTTCAACCCCCATCACACTCCTCATGTCAGTTACTTGGCTCCCATCTACTTTTTTGTGTACAAGTTTGACCTTAACTGAAATGCTTGCCTATATCCTTAAATTACATTTTTATGTATGGTTTCATCCTCAGTTTAAAAATCTGGACTTTAACTTCACCTTCCAATGGCCTAAGAATTTCTTGCAAATGGTAAGCACTTAGCATCTCATTATATTAAAATGTATTGATCCTGTATCTGCCATGCTCTATAACAAAATTAGGTGTGACTCTGTCTTACCTTCTCAGATTTAGCCTTTTCTCTTGATTGTTAGCTGATATTCTGGAATGTGACCTGACTTTGTTGGCAGGAACTGTGATACTTCCATAGCAAATTTAAATGTGCAAACCATCTGTTTATGCTCTCTAGTCTGTGTCCATGCTATTGATTTCATCTCCAAGTTATACCACCCATCTTCCCTCAAATGCCTGTTAAGTCCATAATCCATATGGCATAAGGCAGGACATATTAATGAGGAAACTGTTTTTCTTGAATTTAACCTCAGTAAATTGGATTGCAGGTAGTAAGATTTAAAGGAAAGGAATTTCCTTAAGATGTACCTGTCTCTTGGTAAAACCAGGACATTCTTTAATAGCTTAAGTGCCCATTTTATCTCTCTTTTTCTAATAGACATGTAAGGTTCACTGCTTGACAGAGAAAAGAAAACCAATGCAGGTGGCTCAGTAGCAACAGCATCTGTGGTGATAGGATTGAGGGTGACAATGTTGAACTTTACTAAGACTTGTGATCCTAGAAAATAATGAAGGTTAATAAAACTCTCCCACCTTTTTTGTGTTCTTGGTCAAGGTTTACAGACGGTAAGGAAACTCTCTTTTCCATATTACTTAGGTAAGACTCACGGATGCCCATTTTGTTTACCTATGACAAAGCCAGACACACACACACACACACACACACACACACACACACACACGTACACACACCAAATTCCCATTTTTAGAATAATGAGTGAAGAATTGAACTGAACGGTTTGGCCCCACTGATCAACTAAACTTTGGTTTAAATTCTCTTCTTCCCTCATGCCCCTGCATTTTGATCCAACACAGCCTGAACCTGCACACAACCCATCTTTAATACCCTTTCCCAAAATAGGCTGTCTCAGTGTATTATCTTCACTGACCTCCCATCTGATTTTTCCACCCTTGTTTGTACCACTTCCCCAATCTGGTTTCCTAGTCTTATTATTCTTCTTTACAAAACAAAAGCTCCTTTTTGTCTAACCTTTTCAAGGCTGGCAGATCTCTCAGTCAAAACATTCTCCCTATTACTTACAATAGGTTTTTTTTTTCTCTGTTGCAAGAGTCAGGTCTAGAGTCTGACTTTTATCCTATAGTTTTTGGTGCTGAGACTCAGATTAAGATTGGGGCTCACCACTGGACCTCACCACCTCATACTGATTATGGTGCCCTGTCTGACCTTTGAACTCCTTTCCTGCTAGACTATTTGAGGATCTTTTAATGAGATCAACTCTGAAAGCAATGCTACAGGCATCTTTTCTGTTACAAAGGAATTACTTTAATTTTTTCAAGCAAACTGGTTATTCTCGTTGTCCCTTACGTGAGGCCTCTTCTGATTTTCTCTGGCTTCTCACACCTGGGGGCATGCAGGGGAATCTCTCCTTTGACCCCACGATTTTCAGAGGGGTTCCTTGGCTCTTGGATCTGGGGATCCTGTGAGGAAATAACCAAGTGGGATTCCTCCCCAGCTTTAAAGTTTCCCCATCCCTTTGATTTAACTATCTGTTAATCCCTTCAGTAATTCTCTTTCAGGCACCTTCTCCCACTGACTATATGCTTTGCTATCATATGCTTTTGCTCTGACTATATTTGCTTTACAGCACTAATTCAGTTAAATGTCTTCAGAAATGGTGAATTATTTACAAAAGACAAATTAGGACTAAAATAGCCCCTTTGGTAAACTTGGGATCTCCTTGAACTGGCTCATCTAACAGCCCCAGCCCTCTAGCTTCTTCTTCCTCCTTTACTCCATCTGCCACCTTTCCACGAGTCCCTCTGAGTCCGTTGATCTGGCCCTTTTCAACACCTACTTCTACCTCCTCCACCACTCTATCCACCTTTGCCAGGTCTTTCTCTACCTACTCTAGTTCCTCAATTCCCTATAATCATTTGGGTTTAAGTCCTCTTCCCTGTGAGGGTCTCTTGGGGGATTAGATAATCCCAAAAGCAACCACCAGAGGCTGATAAAGCCAGTTGGAAAGAGTCTAGATATTTTGTTCACTTAGGTGGGCTTTGGAGACACGCAGATGGCCAGCTGGTCTCTCTTCAGTCCCTTGTCTGAAATTTAATTCATGTATTCCATAAGATTATACATCATGGCCAATTGGGGAGAGCAGGTAAAGTCAATTTGTCACATGCTTCCGAAAAACATTTCTGGTAAAAAATATAAAGATGGTGAAAGGACAAGAGTCAGTTTTTTACATAAACCAGTGATTATGTATTTCTGTGTTTATGACTGAAACATCATAAAGACAGAAATACAAATTTTTAGAATTGAAGCTATAAGCTCTTTATGTGTGTACATATATATACATATTTAGTATTTTTCTGCCTTCAGATGGCATTAACAAATTCAATTATACAATGCCTCAAAGAGTTTTATTATGATTTGTTTAGACATAATCAAATACTTATAAAAGTATTCTGAAAATTTCAGAAAGTAATAAAAGTAAACTTATTTTGACATTTTATTTCAATAGTAATTATATATTATACTATCGTAACCAAGCAGTTTAGCTTCAAAACGCATTTAATTTTTTTCTTCTATCTTATTTCTCCTTCCACCCTACTTTCAAGATATAACCTTGAAGCAAACTGCAGAAACCTTTTTTCCTTCTTAGTCTTAAAATACAGCCTTGAAGCGTACTTTGAAACTCCATGTCTTTCCCTTTCCCACCATACACTCCCTCACGTCATGCACATTATCTAACTATACGCTTGTTAAATTTATACCATACACACTTAACTATGTGCTTGCTTAGAAGTTCCAGGGGCTAATTTTGAGACAGACTAAGCATGGAGACCCAGTTGCAAAATTCCAGGTAACCCAGCCATTGTTGAGATGATACTAGCCTGTGTTCTGGGTTTGAGTCTTAATCATGACTCAAAATAGCCACGGCAACATAGAGACTGGCACCCAGCACCATTCCTACATGCCTCCCATTCCAAGTTGCCTTTGTAAGCCCCTCTTCAGCCTCAAGTATAAAACAGTTTCTTTAAGATAGTAGCCTTTGCCATTTCCTCACTGCTAGCTCCGCAATGAGGTCACTTGCCTTCCAGTGTACTTCCTCCTTGTTTATTGGCTTTACAAGTGGCAGCAGCCAAGCTTGCTTTTGCTTACAGTATGTCAGCTTAGAGATAGTTTCCAAGAGGTTTTAGCAACTTAAGGGCTTAGACTTACGTTAAATTAAGTACATAAGTTACGCAGGATGTGTCTTTGATAAGGAAAAAGTGTAATTTTTCTAGCTAAATAACTGTTAACTCTGGAATGAAAAAGAGGAATGTATAGAACAATAACTGAGTGGATATGGAGAGTGGTAGATGATTTGCAGAAAGAGAATTTCATTTGCCATGGTCAAAGATGGCTGAGGTTTGATAGGTTTGTTTATAAAAAATTTAAAACAAAATTTAGTATGAAGTAGGTTTTTCTTTACCTTCTGAGTAATCTTCCTGGAAGGCAAAGATTCTGTGTCTTACCAAACTAATTTCTTGTGCTTTATGTTGACTTATCATGTCCTTGATTATTTAAGAGAACAAAGTATCTGCAATTTTAAAAATAAGTATTTATATTTTCAATTATGTTACCTCCTATTTATTTTTAAAATTTGTTATTGTCACTTTGGTAATCCCGTTTCACAACTTTTGACATTTTACCTTTCCGAAATAGAATTTCAAATGATATTCTTTGCACTTAAAACTGTCTTTGAGATTTCCTACAGGAGCCCTGCAAAACCACAAATCATTTTTTCTTTCACTTTGCAAAACAAGAAGTGTTAAAAATAATTAGATTTATTTAATATATTATGAGATGCATGGGAAGCTTTGTCACACCAGAAGAGATGCTTAACCTTTTCTAGGTAAAATTTGTACAGGTAAAATATTGGTATTATAAGTATTTCAGAAATTGTATAAAGTTCCTAGAGATTTGACAATGTCCTTGTTGCCCATTATGTGTTTTTATTTATCAGAATCTTAATGCTGCTTTGCCTGATATTAGACCCCTGTAGTACAATGCTTCAGTCATAATTTCTGTTACGTTTTAAAATGTTGCACATCACAGAAGCAAACAAATGTTTTTGTCTATTGCCTTACTTTGTAATAAGTTATTTAGCTCTTTGAATTCTTTAGTAATATAGAGATAGTTTTTGTTTTGATTTGTTTTACTCTAATCCTTTCCTGAATGTGCTGACAACCAATAATAGGCCATTGTGATGCATCTTCAAAATAAAATTTAAAAAAAAATGCCATCTCAGGGATCCAGGTAAAGAGCATGCCAGGTACGCTCAGGCCCAGGCTTCTTGATGGCAATGCTTAAGTAACTTTGAGACTCTACAACTAGATGGAGTCAGGATTTTCAGAGTTCTAGTTGAAAAGCTGGTGGATTCATTAGACTGATAGCCCAAGATGGAGTGGAAAAAGAGTCAATTGAATAAACAAATGAGAGATAATTATGAATTTTGTTTGAAATACTACTGACGCTTTCATGTTCATTTTTTTGGATATAAGGAGTCTCTTTGTCTTTTCTCTTGAGCCATCTGCAACACATAATAATTTAGTCTACTATGCTTTCGTAAATGAAGTGAAACATTTATGTTCTCCCTCTGTCTGCTTCTTCCACAATTTAGAATCTCTTATATTCTTATTTACATGGCAATATAATTATTTGAATATGTTGGGAAAGAATCTAGTTTTCTTGTTAACTGAACATAATTGGAAACCTTAGTTATGCAACCAAGGCTTTGAATGGAATCTCTTATTTGCGAATGATACTTGATTCAGATATGACTAGACACTTTAAGAAACCCAGAATGGCTTTCTGGAGTCAACACTTACCAAGCCTTCTGGGAAAAACTGACCTAGCACCTGAACTTACATGCCTTCCAGCATTATAGATAAGTAAGCAAGTAACATTTTGGCAGGCTTAGTTAGAGATTTTATGATTATTTTAAGCCATTGAGAAAAAAGGTTTTTTTTCTGAGCTTATCCATGAAAACTTCCAACAAAGTAAAATGTAAAACGTCCATATGTTAAATTACTCTTATTATTCTACTTATTTAAACAATAAGGCCAAATATAGTAAGATCAGACTTATTCTGTGAGAAAGAATAATCTTTCTTTGGTACTACCTTTGATCAAAATAGTGGGAGACTACAGGGAGGAATTTTGTGTTTTAATGGAAAACTATAGCATACTCTAGCAGATTATCAAATCGTGGCCCTGTTCATTGTCTTTGAGATATTTTGCCCCTCTTGCAATTTTCCAGTTAACTGATGAATAGGTGGGGGAAAAAAGAAAACAGTTTTATAACTTAAGTGTAAATTAGACTGAATCTTGTCATCTTGCACACATTGTCTATTCTTACTCAAACTTCAATTCTTCTACTTTCTCTCAATATCTGACTACCACCCTCCAAACAAACATATATAATTTTTCTTTCTCCCTCTTGACTTGATGACAAAAACTAAAACCTGACTTTTCAGATCCTAATTGAAACTTTAGGTTGCCTTGTTTTTTTTGTTGTTGTTGTTTGTTTTTTTCTTTTTTTTTAATTATTATTATTATACTTTAAGTTTTAGGGTACATGTGCACATTGTGCAGGTTAGTTACATATGTATACATGTGCCATGCTGGTGCACTGCACCCACCAACTCGTCATCTAGCATTAGGTATATCTCCCAATGCTATCCCTCCCCCCTCCCCCCACCCCACAACAGTCCCCAGAGTGTGATGTTCCCCTTCCTGTGTCCATGTGTTCCCATTGTTCAATTCCCACCTACGAGTGAGAATATGCGGTGTTTGGTTTTTTGTTCTTGCGACAGTTTACTGAGAACGATGATTTCCAATTTCATCCATGTCCCTACAAAGGACATGAACTCATCATTTTTTATGGCTGCATAGTATTCCATGGTGTATATGTGCCACATTTCCTTAATCCAGTCTATCATTGTTGGACATTTGAGTTGGTTCCAAGTCTTTGCTATTGTGATTAATGCTGCAATAAACATACATGTGCATGTGTCTTTATAGCAGCATGATTTATAGTCCTTTGGGTATATAACCAGTAATGGGATGGCTGGGTCAAATGGTATTTCCAGTTCTAGATCCCTGAGGAATCACCACACTGACTTCCACAATGGTTGAACTAGTTTACAGTCCCACCAACAGTGTGTAAAAGTGTTCCTATTTCTCCACATCCTCTCCAGCACCTGTTGTTTCCTGACTTTTTAATGATTGCCATTCTAACTGGTGTGAGAGGGTATCTCATTGTGGTTTTGATTTGCATTTCTCTGATGGCCAGTGATGATGAGCATTTTTTCATGTGTTTTTTGGCTGCATAAATGTCTTTTTTGAGAAGTGTCTGTTCATGTCCTTTGCCCACTTTTTGATGCGGTTGTTTGTTTTTTTCTTGTAAATTTGTTTGAGTTCATTGTATATTCTGGATATTAGCCCTTTGTCAGATGAGTAGGTTGCGAAAATTTTCTCCCATTTTGTAGGTTGCCTGTTCACTCTGATGGTAGTTTCTTTTGCTGTGCAGAAGCTCTTTAGTTTAATTAGATCCCATTTGTCAATTTTGTCTTTTGTTGCCATTGCTTTTGGTGTTAAGTTGCCTTGTAACTTAACTCTTCCACCAGATCTGAAAAAGCATAATAAAAAGCCCAAAAAGTCAATATATACTTCCAACGACTCACCACTGCAGTGGACCATGCATGGGCTTGATTTGTCTCTGGAGTAGCTGCTGCCTGAAAATCAGTGAAGGGTAATACAATTTTCCCCAAAGCTTTTGTGTTAAAAAACAAGGCTTAATACAAATACACCCCCAATTTCTTTATGACTTAGGTAAGACCCATGAACGCTCCCTTGGTTACCTATGACAAATCCAGACACAGACCTCCAAATTCTTACTGTTTACCTGGTACATGAAGAACTGAACTATTTTGCCTTCACTGATCACTTGTAGCAAAATGCTTGCTAACCAGACATTTATTAAGTATATCTCCTCAAACAGAACTCTTAGTTTTGATTCATTCTTATCTGACCCAACATACTATAGTACCTTACTGACTTCTCCAAAAACAGGCTGATTCCAGGGAAAATTATTCTCTGATCAGCTATCCCATCTATCACTATTTATCCTACTTCTCCAAATGTGTCTTTTTTCCAGTCTTTTTTACTCCTTTTCAAAAGAAAATCTTTTTTTCTGCCTTTCCACTGGGAATATTGCAGATCTCATCTTCATTGCATTTTCTCTATTATGATAGTTCCTTCCCCACCCATTGCTTCTATTCTTTTGTGTATAATTTATCCTTACCTAAGCCTAGAGCTTGTTTTGTATTTGACAAGAGAAATGGAATATGTATTAATCTTAGGATTGGGTATGGCTTCAAGTTTGGTCTGATACAATAATCAAAATTATCCTAAAAATCCATTAATAGATCTGCTTTTCAGATCAATACATTTCTTAATAAACAACATAATCAATTGTTCTACATAATTGGATAGTTTGTTATTTCTTCCATTGTGCATTAATGGGTTGGCATGAATACAGAGGCCATGTGAAAATGTATTTCTTCAAATTGTAAAATCATACTCAGTACTATAAAATGCCCACAGGAAAAATTAGTACATGAATACTTAGAAAAACAACCTTTTAATATTTTCCATCTCACTCTGGATATGTGCGCACTGACTAAAATATAACTTTAAATAAGTTAAACACAGTTTGTGATGGGATTCCACTGTATGGGAAGCTGCTTTTGCTGAAATATGGAACGATAGGTTCATAGCTCCACCTACTAAAGTTTCCTGCTTCCTCTTAATGCCTATGAATTTCTAAATTCGATTAAGCATAAATTTATACTCTCTAATCTAGCTCAGCCACTCATTCAATAATCCAATATTACCTTTCATACATGAGGGAAAATGCATCCTCACTTTTCCGGTGTCATACATATTCTGTTTATGTTTTTTTTTTTTAAGTCATATGAGCTTCATTATATACAAAACTTATACATTGGTGCTGCTTTGGGGCCTGTTGAAAACTGCTTTAAACAAGGCTTAGAATTGCCAGTTCTTGTGAAGAAAGTCAGTATGCCCCAGAATTAGAAATAGGTAAAGGCTATATTTCTCCTTTTGCATATTTTGCTAGGAGGTGACATACTGCACTGATAATACTTAGATTAAATTCTGTCAAAACAACAAGCATTAATTAGCAATCAAGAACAAAAATCACTCTTTCACCTTCTGATGTAAGCTCAGGGAGGTCCCTGTTCTCTGTCCTCAAGCACTCTAAAAAAACTTTCATGAGGGTGAAATTCTGACACACCCAACCAAAAGAAACTCAAGAACTAAGAATACCACAGCGAAGGCTTTTACAGGGCTTGCTGAATTCTCTTATTTGTAAACTGAAACTTTCTAGGAAATCTCATAACTTAAAGACAACTCACTTCGTCAACAGACAATTGTTTCTAACATCCCTTATGTCATTGAGTAAATCCCTAGGCACAAATTTAGTTTGTAAAATCTACAGTTTTGCCTATCCAACCTGGATGAAGACATGTAATTGCGTCTTTCAAAAACTGCTTTAAGAGTCTTGCACTGTACCTTTCTGATTAAGATGCTAACTTCCTTACCTTATACAATAATTTATTCAGAATTATTTTGAAGTGATCCAGACACAGTTAAAACAATAGCCTCAATGAATCTAATATTAAATTAACAGATGTCCCAAGTGCCAGAAAATTACTTTAGCAGGCATTGGGTATCGATTCCAATTTTGTCTAAAAAAAATTTAGCCTAATTTTTTTTACGTATTGATTTGGTTATAGCTAACCATGTAGGTTTCCCTAGAGAAAGGAATGGAGCCTAAGTAACAAGAAATTCTGTCCAGGGATATTTTACACCATTTAAATATCTCATTTCTCACATCTTATTTGCACCCTCAAAATTTATAGTTAAGTCTAAAATTTGTTAGTTTCTTTAAAAAATCCAAATTTTTATAAAGTAAATTAATGGAAGTTATAATGAAAATTATAATGTATCATATCTTCTGCCTTTCTCACTAGTAAAATGATACTTTAAGGGTCTAATGAGTCTTTGAGAATTTTTGGCAAAGTATTAATTATTTGTAAGAAGAAAAATAATGCCAGCATATTATAATTTGAGTAATTATATTTTCAAGTCAATTTTTCCTATCTTTTTTGGCATCTACACTCTGTTTTTGATTTGTGATCATTTAGACTTTATGTTCACAAGTTATATGATTTCAGAATGCTGTATATTTGTTCTCACTGAATAAATATTAAGGATACTTTTGTTTATTAAGTGAAGTGCAAATTAGTTTCTATTTCTGTAAAATAAATAATGCATTTTAACTCAGTCTATGTTGTTTCATTTTTATGTTCCATTGCAAGAAATAAGAAAATATTACAATAACTATCTTGAATACATAGATATTGATTATTTTAGAACATCAAATTGTTATGAAATTTTCAAAATATTGTGTGCTAAAACCATAGCAAATGCTACAATTTATATCTGGGAGGAGTAACGTAGTCTATAATATATGTCATGAACACTGTTGATTTCTAAGTAAACACCATTAAAACAAATTTATGAATATTTTAAGATTTGTATTTATAAATATTTTGATCTGTAAGCACAAACTGAGCACCCAAAAACACTGCAGCACTTGATAAGGCAAATATTTATCAGGAGACTTTTTTTTCTGTGTGCATTATTTATTTTCAGATAAGTAAGATCAGCATGCTTTGAAGGAGCTCATCCTAAAGTGTCAAGGCACTAGGTAACAAATCCATGGCTGTTTAAATGATTGTTTTTCCCTGAGAGAAAATATATTTTGGTTTGGAGACCTAACTTCATTATGCTTCAGTACATACTGAGTGAAAAACACAATTTCCGTCATTAATGTGTTTATAAAAGCTTTTTGTTGTCTGCACTGAAAAGTCAGTCGGTTGACTTATTTTCTTGTGATGTATTGTCTGGCAGTAAAAGCTAATGCACTCTATAGCATCGGTAGGCTTGCACATTTTAACTAAATTTTTAAAGAGGAACACATCTAGCTGTATTATTAATTATTATAAATTATATTACCACACATCAGTCAGAAATGGATATGAATTTGTTTTTGTAAACTAAGAACACCAATATCTCTTCGTACATATTTCACACTAGTCAAGGATAGATTTCAATGATTCACTACATTGATGACTGCTATTTGTGCTTTTCAAGTTCTACTGAATTTTCCTGTCTATTATTTTGTTTTCAATACAGATACTTACAGGTAAATTAGAACAACTAATATTTGAAATACTAATATTGGTATATTTTTCCTATAATAAGGTAAACAAAGATTTTTAGCTAATTAAAATTTATTATTTATAAACACTCTTAAATATATGTATTTTTCCTAGCTATGGTTACATACCTAAGATTGTATACCTTGTGGATCATGTTACAATTTAAGTTAACCCTTCCTCTTAATATGTACACAACACACACAAACACATACATGCATGAAAACACACAGACATCTTTTTGATAGAGGTTCAAGACTACAGTATCTCTTTTTTTTTTTTTTGAGACAGAATGTCACTCTATCACCCAGGCTGGAGTGCAGTAGTACAATCTTGGCTCACTGCAACCTCTATCTCCCAGTTCAAGTGATTCTCATGCCTCAGTCTCCCAAGTAGCTGTGATTACAGGTGCATGCTACCTCACCTGCTAATTTTTGTATTGTTAGTAGAGACTGGGTTTCACCACGTTGGCCAGGCTGGTCTCGAACTCCTGACTTCAGGTCAAAATTGCAGTATCTTAATCTCTAGTTGGGTTCTTTGGTCACCTGGTTGGTATGGATGCTTTTTCAAGCTATGAAGCCTTAGAAAAGGGAACAGTATGTACCCTGCAATGGAAGGAAGTGTCATGGACTAAGAAAACTCAGGATCTTTATTTACTGTAATGAGGAACTCTTTTTCTGTGATTAGTTTCCTTAGCGGTATTGCTGTTCATACTCTTTCTGTGAATGGCTGTATGTAAATTAGAAAACCTTAAGATGTTAATCATTCACATGATTAGTGTCTATGCTGACTCTGCTACCTATACGTATTTTGTGTTTTATTGATGTGCAACTTAAAAACCCCCAATATATTGAATTTATAAGATGTTCTCAGAAGGATGTAGGCAGCCCTTGACATTTGGATTGAAATTGTTCTGGGACCAGAACTTGGACTGGAGTTGAAATTAACCTACTCTAATGCTCTACAGGTAGGTATAATTAGAATTTAAAATATTCTCTTTCTGTGCTTGCCCTTTATAACTTCTAAGCAGGGCCGGGTGCAGTGGCTCACGCCTGTAATCCCAGCACTTTGGGAGGCCGAGGCGGGCAGATCGTGAAGTCAGGAGATCGAGACCCTCCTGGATAACATGGTGAAACCCCGTCTCTACTAAAAATACAAAAAATTAGCCGGGCGTGATGGTATGCACCTGTAGTCCCAGCTACTTGGGAGGCTGAGGTAGGGGAATGCCGTGAACCCAGGAGGCGGAACTTGCAGTGAGCTGAGATGGCGCTACTGCACTGCAGCCTGGGCAACAGGGCAAGACTCTGTTTCAAAGAATAAAGATAAACAAAAATAACCTCTAAGCCGGTTACTTGATTTCCACACATTTAACCTACATGCATTATGTCTGGAAAGAGAAGACTACCTGCTTTGCATTTTCCCAATTAGTTTGTCAATTTTGTGACTGCAGAGGGCTAATCTCATGCTCCATTTTTACCATGCCCTTCAATAAACAAGTTTTAATTTACCAAAGAACATTATTTTAATTGACATTTCATTGGCCCAATAACTTTTTGGCATATTTTCTGTTTTATTCTGGATTTCACTATATTTCCCATATGAAGGATTCATCTGTTATGACTCTCATTAGTTTCAGATATTAAAGGCTCTGAGTTACAAATGGGATTACTTTGGAAAGATCAAATGACTTATGGGATGACAAACTAGGGACCCATGGAAAACACTAAATAGATGTAAACTAAAAATAGAATTCTAAGCCCTGCAACTATTGAAAAGACCCCTGGTCTCAGCCAAGGGCATTCCAACATTAACCTGAAAAGCTCGTTCACACCATGATGGGAAGTGGGGTCGAACATGCTCATTAACCCCTCCTCCCTTTGGAATTCAGGCACAACTGACCAGCATTAACATTACAACGGAGATTTTAAGACTTTTTTTTTTTTTTTTTAGCAATGAAACACTAAATTCCAGACTGACTATCACAGCATCATATGACAGATAGCAAGCCCTGAAAGAAATTGAAGTATTTTACCCCAAAATATATTTCTTCGACATATTTTGAAATTGCCCTGCAAAGCTGTCTTTGTGGGGAAAATCTACATTCTGCAGAGAATCACTTTTCTGCAGGTCTTTTCCCTGATCCAGGAGAGAATTAACATAAGAATCTGGCATGTTTTTAGGTCTGATAAGAAACATTTACAATCTATTCTATCTGAAGCCTCATACATGAAGGATTCATCAGCATAATAAGAATCTTGTTCTTCACAACCTCTTGTCTTAATCCAGACATTTCATTCTATAGATTCCAGGTCTTTAGATAAACTCTTTCAACCAATTGCCAGTCAGAATATCTTTGAATCCACCAGCAACCTGGAAGCCACCGTTTTAAATTGTCCTACCTTTCCAGACCAAACCAATGTACATCTTACATATATTGATTGATGTCTTATGTTTCCCTAAAATGTAAAAACAAGCTGTAGCATGAACAACTGGGGCACATGTCATCAGGACCTCTTGAGGCTGTGACATGGGCATGTCCTTAAACTCAGCAAAATAAACTTCTAACTTGGTAGAGACTTGTCTCAGATAACTTTTGGTTTATGTACCTATGCATTTTTACTTTAATATGCATTACCACAGTTCTTTTAAAAAATATTTTATAAAGGGCCATATTTCTATCTTGCCATTTTTGAGGTATTTGAATACAGATAGGAGCTCACATGCACGTTTTTAGAAGCATATAAGCTGGTTAATTGCAATCACATGGGCAATAAAAAGCTACATAACTTATTCTTCATAATATTTATAATTTATGGGTTTTTAATGACTGAAATAACTTATAGATGGGGAAATCATTTTTACAGTCATCTTTCTTTTGATCCTATAGAAATTATAAAAACTAAGAAATATTAAACAATATCCCATGAATGAGTCAGATTGAAGATTCAAGAGTCAATTCCATGTTTACTTATAAACAAAATATCACTCCTAATATTTTATGGAGATAGAAATGCACATGAAAACAGCCATCTGTATTGAGCATATATTGCAGATTACATCACACATATTATCTTATTGTATCTTCATTAAAATTCTTGACCTATAGAATATAGGTGTGTTGTTCCCCTGTATGGGTCCATGTGTTCTCATAATTTAACTCCCACTTATAAGTGAGAACATGTGGTATGTGGTTTTCTGTTCCTGTGTCAGTTTGCTAAGAATAATGGCCTCCAACTTCATCCATGTCCCTGCAAAGAATATGATCTCATTCTTTTTTATGGCTGCATAGTATTCCATCATGTATATGTACCACATTTTCTGTATTCAGTCTGTCATTGACGAGCATTTAGGTTGATTCCATGACTTTGCTATTGTGAATAGTGCTGCAATGAACATATGCATGCATGTGTCTTTATAATATAATGGTGTATATTCCTTTGGGTATATATCCAGTAATGGGATTGCTGGGTCAAATGGCATTTCTGTCTTTAGGTCTTTGAAAAATCCCAATGCTATCTTCCACAGTAGTCAAACTAATTTTCCCACCCACCAACAGTGTACAAGCATTCCTTTTACTCCACATACTCCATAACCTCACCAGCATCTGTTATTTTTTAACTTTTTAATAATAACCATCTGGTGTGAGATGGTATCTCATTGTGGTTTTGATTACATTTCTCTAATAATCAATGACATTAAGCTTTTTTTATGTGATTCGTGGCTGCATGAGTGTCTTCTTTCAAAAAGTGTCTGTTCATGTTCCTTGCCCACTTTTTAATGGGGTTGTTTGGGTTTCTTTTTTTTTTTTTTAATATCTGCTGGATATTAGACCTTTGTCAGATGCATAGTTTGAAAAAATTTTCTCCCATTCTGTAGGTCGTCTGTTTAGCCTGTTGATAGTTTCTTTTGCTTTGTAGAGACGCTTTAGTTTAATTAGATCCCATATGTCAATTTTTGCTTTTGTTGCAATTGCTTTTGACAATTTCATAATAAAATCATTGCCCATGCCTATGTCCTGAAAGGTTTTGCTTAGGTTGTCTTCAAGGATTTTTTTTTATAATTTTGGGTTTAACGTTTAAGTCTTTAATCTATCTTGAGTTGATTTTGGTATATGATGTAAAGAAGGGGTCCAGTTTTAATCTTCTGCATATGGCTAGTCAGTTATCTTGGAACTTACTATCACCAGTACCACCTCTTCTTTGTAGATTTTCTAGAATTCAGCTGTGAATCCATCTGGTCCTGGGTTTTTTTTTCCCCTCTTAACACTGCCTTAGGTTGTCCTAGAGTTTCTGGTATGTTGTATCTTTTTTCTCATTAGCATCAAAGAACTTCTTGATATTTGCCTTAATTTCATTATTTACCCAAAAGTCATTTGAGAGGACTTTATTACATTTTCATGTAATTGTATGGTTTTGAGTGAATTTCTTGTTTTGGTTTCTAATTTTATTGTGCTGTGGTTTGAGAGATTGTTATTATTTCAGTTCCCTTGCCTTTGCTGAGGAGTGTTTTACTTCAGATTATGTGATCAATTTTAGAGTATATGCCGTGCAGCAATGAGAAGAATATATATTCTGTTGTTTTGGGTGGATAGTTCTGTAGATAACTATCTGGTTCATTTAATCCAGTGCTGAGTTCAAGTCCTAAATATCTTTGTTAATTTTCTGTCTCAGTGATCTGTCTAATATTGCCAGTGGGGGTGTTAAAGTCTTCCACTATTATTGTGTGGGAGTCTGAAGTCTCTTTGAAGGTCTCTAAGAACTTGCTTTATGAATCTGGGTGTTCCTGTGTTGGGTGTATATATATTTAAGATAGCTCTTCTGGTTGAATTGAAATCTTCACCAGTATATAATGCTCTTTTTTTGTCTTTTTTATCTTTGTTCATTTTACATCTGTTTAGTCAGGAACTAGGTTTGAAACCAATATTTTTATCTGTTTTCCATTTGCTTGACAGACTATTTTTCATCCCTTTATTTTGAGCCTATGTGTGCCATTGCATGTGAGATAGGTCCCTTGAAGACAGTATACCAATGGGTCTTTGACCCTTTTCCAGCTTGCCACTCTATGTCTTTTAATTGGTGCATGTAGCCCATTTAATGTTAATATTGATATGTTGAAGCTCCTTGAAGTTTGGAGTTCATTGAGCTGGGGGAACTGAGGTGCAGCAGAGTGCTAGTGGATGCAGGGATACCTGCTGCCCTGTAGGCATTCACCACAGTCACAAAGGCACAGCAGCTTGGGGAGAAGTTGGGGGCCCCTGCTGGAGACCACATGCTCTGCTGTACTGGAGATAGTGTTGGGTTGGGGTGAATTTGATCCTATCATAATGACGTTAGCTGGTTATTTTGCAGATATGTTTATTTGGTTGTTTTGTAGTGTCAATGATCTGCGTACTTCAGTTTGTTTTTTGTAGTGGCTGGTAATGGTCTTTCCTTTTGATATTTAGTGCTTCCTTCAGGAGCTATCATAAGGCAGGTCTGGTGGTAACAAATTTCCTCAGCATTTGCTTGTCTGAAAATAATCTTATTTCTCCTCCATTTATGAAGCTTGATTTGGTCAGATATAAAACTCTGGGTTGGTCCCCAATCTCTTCTGGCTTATAGGATTTCAGCTGACATGTCCACTGTTAGTATGATGGGCTTTCCTTTGTAGGTGGCCTGGCCTTTTTCTCTAGCTGCCTTTAACATTTTCTCTTTCATTTTGACTTAAAGAATCTGATGATTATTATGTGTCTTGGGGATAACCATCTTGTGGTGTATCTTGCTGGGGTTTTCTAAATTTCCTGAATTTGAATGTTGGCCTGTCTATCTAGGTTGGGGAAGTTCTCATAGGTGATATTCTGAAATATGTTTTCCAAGTTGATTTCATTCTACCCATCTCTTTAAGGTACATCAATCAGTCATAGATTCTGTCTCTTTACATAATTTTATATTTCTCAGAGGCCTTGTTCATTTATTTTCATACCATATTTTCTCTGTTCTTGTCTAATTGTCTTATTTCAGAAAGCCAATCTTTAAGCTCTGAGACTCTTTCCTCTGCTTGGTCTGTTTTTCTATTAATACTTGTGACTATATTATGAATTGTTGTATGTGTTTTTCAGCTCTATCAGGTTGGTTACATTCTTCTCTATACTGGCTATTTTTTTCTGTCAGCTCCTGCAATGTTGTATCATAATTTTTAGCTTCCTTGCATTGAGTTACAACATACTCCTTTAGCTCACTGAACTTTACTTCTATACATATTCTGAATTCCACTTCTGCCATTTCAGCCATCTCAGCCTCAGATCAATTCTGAACCCTTACTGAAGATGTGATGCAGTCATTTGGAGGAAAGCAGGCACTCTGGCTTTTGAATTTTCATTCTTCTTGAACCTATTCTTTCATATATTTGTGGGCTTATCTATCCTGAATCTTTGAGGTTTGTGACCTTTGGATGGGTGTCTTGTTTTATCACATTTAATGACCTTGATGGTTTAATTGTTGTATAAGGTGGATTCAGCCAAATGGTTTTATTTCTGGAAGCCTTAAAGGGGGCCAAAACTCAGCTCGCAATTCCTGGACTGCATGCTCTAAGTCTGAGGGATTTGTATTGGGCCCTGACTTTGTTCTCTGGCTCCTTGAAGTTTGGAGTTCACTGCGCTGGGGGGAATGAGGTGCAGCAGCTACAGCAGAGTGCTAGTGGATGCAGGGTTACCTGCTTGCCTGTAGGCTTTCACCACAGTCGCAAATGCACTGCAGCTGGGAGAGAACTTGGGGGCCCCTGCTGGAGACCATGAACTCTGCTGCACTGGAGATGGTGTTGGTTTGGCGTGGGGTGCTGGACAGCACAGGTCTGGGTGCTTTCTCTGTGCCCTGCAAGCAGGAGTGATCACTTAGCTTGTGGGAGAATCCCCTGCTCTCTGTGCAGCATTAACACAAGGGTAGGGCACTGGCAGGAGCGGGGCTTGCTGGCTCTGTTTCCACCAAGGCTCCACCTGCAATGGCAGTTGGCGGGGGTCGGGGAGCATACTGTACTCTCAGGTGCTGGTGGGGCAAGTAAAGCACAACCTGGCCTTGCAGATATTTGCCAGCAAAGTGATATGAGGACTTGCCATGAGCTCAGGGGAAACTGCGATATAGGGAGTGAACACATGGCGTGCAGTGGTAAGGGCCACCTCACTGGAGCTCACCACCGGTCAGGTACAATCCACCAGCACAGAAGCTATGGTGTGGGCCCCGAGAAAACCCAAGACTTTCCTGTAAGCACATGTGGCCAGGCCGGTGCCCTAGGAAAGGCCAACAGACCAAGGAGTGCTCAGGTCGAGCCAGAGCTGTGTGATGTGCAAGACTGCCCTGCAGATATCAGGTCTGATAGTTCTGGTAGGGCTAAAGTTTCTTATCAGAGAAAGTCTAGCCTAGAGAGATGGCCGTACTTGGCCACACTATGCTATAGACACTCACAGTAAGCCCACTAAGCTGCACGTCAGCTGGTTTGCTGTCCCACCACTTTGCTTGTCTCTTGAGAGCTCTGCTCCATAGAGATGTGGGTCAGCAATCACTCAGTATACCACTGAGTGATATACCATCAGCCCAGGATGGTGGGTCTGGGCTGTGGACCCAAGTCAGGAGTTCCCTGTCTGGTGGCCAGCAGTAGGGGTTGTGTGGGACCCGTGGAAGATGGACTGGCTTCCACTCCAGGGTCGACTTCAACAAGCCACCCACATAGAAAAGATAGTGGCCTGTCCCTCTCCCTGGGAGCTGTGTCCCAGAAAGTCCTGAAATCTCTTTCAGCTAGAGAACACTGGTGGGGTTATCTGGAGACCCAAGTTGACAGGCTTCACACCATGATGAGAAATAAGATCAGGGACCTACTTCAAAAAGCAGTCTGGCCATGTTTTTCATAGGGAAGCTGTGCTGTGCTGGACAACCACCTTAGCCCCTGGTCAGTTGGACTCTCTAATGCATGAAGCCAGAACAGCCAGGTTGCCCAAACAGTAAAGATAGTGGCCTGTCTCTCCCTCTAGCAACTCTGTTCTAGGAGTTTTCAAATCTCTGTCAGAGAACACCAACAGGGGTGGATGGAGGTCCCAGTTGGGAGGCCCAACTAGTGAGGAGGGATGGGATTGAGATCTGTTTAAAAAGGCAGTCTGGCCACATTTTCATAGAGCAACTGGGCTGTGCTGGGAGATGACTTCAGCCTCCGGTCAGCTTGGACTCTCTAAAGCTCAAAGGTCAGAATGGCTGTGCCCAAACAGCAAAGATGGCAGCCCTCCCTTCCACCTGGAAGCTCCATCCCAAGAAGGTGCAGTGTTGCTACCATGCCTGGCTGGAATTCCAAGCCAGTGGGTCTTATCCTGTTAAGTGCCATGGAAATTGCACCTGTAGACCATTGCTGCTCAGCATCCTGGATTCAGCCTAGGGTGATGTACATGGTTGATATGGTTTGGTTCTGTGTCCCCACCAAAATCTCATGTCAATTTGTAATACCAGTGTGGAGGAAGGGCCTGGTGGGAGGTGATTGGATCATGCAGGTGGTTTTTAATGTTTAGCACTGTCCCCCTAGTGCTATTGCATGGTAGAAGTCTCATAAAATCTGGTTATGGTAGAGTGCGTGGCACCTTTCCCTTTGTCTCTCTCTCTGTCCTGCTGGCCTTGGGAAGACCATGCCTGCTTCCTCTTCACCTTCCACTATGATTGTACGTTTCCTGAGGCCTCCCCAGAAGCAGAAGCCTGTACAGCCCACAGAAACATGAGCCAATTAAACCATTTTTCTTTAAAAATTGTCCAGTCTCAGGTAGCTTTTTAGAGAAATGCAAGAATGAGCTAATACAGACAATTGGTATCAGAGAGGAGGGGCATTGCTATAAAGATACCTGAAAATGTGGAAGCAACTTTGGAACTGAGTAATGAGGAGAGGTTGGAACTCTTTGAAGATGAAGGTAAGTTTGAAATTTGCTAGAGATTTGTTGAATAGTTTTGACCAAAATGCTAATAGTGATATGAATAGTGAAGTCTAGGCTGAAGAGGTCTTAGATGAAGGTAAGAAACTTATTAAGAGCTGGAGCAAAGTCACTCTTGATCTGCTTTAGCAAAGAGACTGGCAGCATTGTGCCCCTGATATAGACATCTGTGAAAATTTGAACTTGAGAAGGATTATTTAAGGTATCTGACACAAGACATTTCTAAGCAGCAAAGAGTTCAAAAATTGGCCTGGCTGCTTCTAAAAGACTATGCTCATTTGCATAAACAAAGAAATTACCCAAAACTGTAACTTATATTGGAAAGGGAAGCAGAGCATAAAACTTTGGAAAATTTGCAGCGTGGCCATGTAATGGAAAAGAAAAACCCACTTTTAGGAGTGAAATTCAATACAACTGCAGAAATTTGCATACGTGAAGAGGAGTCAAATGTTAATAGCCAAAACAGTAAGAAAAATGCCTACAAGGCATGTCAGAGTCCTTTGTGGCAGTCCTTCCCAATACAGGCCTAGAGGCCTAGGAAAAAAAATGGTTTAGTGGACTAGGCCCAGGGCCCCACTTTCCTGTGCAACCACTGGACACAGCTCCCTGCATCCCAGCTATTGCAGTTGCAGCATGGCTAAAAGGGCCCCAGATATGTCTCAGGCCACTGTTTCAGTGTGCAAGTCAGAAGTTGCCAAGGCTTCCACATGGTGTCAAGCCTGCAGGTGTGCGGAGGGCAAGAGTTGAGGTTTGGAAGCCTCAGCCTAGATTTCAGAAGATGTATGGAAACGCCTGGATGTCCAGACAGAAGTCTTCTGTAGATGTGGAGTCCTTATGGAGAAACTCTACTAGGGCAGTGCAGAGGGGAAATGTGGAGTTTGATTCTCCACACAGAGTCCCCAGTGTGGCACTGGCTAGTGCAGCTGTGAGAAGATGGCCACCATCCTCTAGACCTCAGAATGATAGATCCATCAGCAGCTTGTACAGAGTGCCTGGAAAAGCCGCAGATACTAAACACCAGCCTGTGAAAGTAGCCATGGGGGCTCTATCCTGCAGAGCCACAGACAGGGAGCTTCCCAAGGTCTTGAGAGCCCACTTCTTGCATCAGTGTGGCCTGGGTGTGAGACATGTAGACAAACAAGATTATTTTGGACCTTTGAGATTTAATGCCTGCTCTGCTGGGTTTCAAGCTTGGATGGAGCCTTTAGCTTTTTTGTTTTGGCCAATTTCTTTCTTTTGGAATGGTAATATTTACCCAATGCCTGTACCCCCATTGTATCTCGGATGTAACTAACTTGTTTTTTTATTTTATTTTACAGGCTCATAGGTGGAAGGGACTTGCCTTGTCTTAGATGAGATTTCGGACTTGGACTTTTGAGTTAATGCTAGAATGAGTTACGACATTGAGGGACAATTGAGAAAGCATGATTGGTTTTGAAATGTGAAAAGGACATGAGATTTGGGAGCAGCCAGATAAAAATGATAAGGTTTGGCTCTGTGTCCCCACCCAAATCTCATCTGGAATTGTAACCCCCATGTGTTGTGGAAAAAACCTTGTGGGGGATTACTGAATCATGAAGGTGTATTTCCTCCATGCTTGTCTCATTATAGTGAGTGAATTCTTACAAGATCTGCTTTTTTGATTTGTCTGGCACATTCCACCATCCTCCTCCAGCTACCTGTGAAGAAGGTTCTTGCTTCCCCTTTGCCTTCTGCGATAATTGCAAGTTTTCTCAGGTTTTCCCATTCATGTGGAACTGTGAGTCAATTAGACCTCTTTTATTTATAAATTACCCAGTCTCAGGTAGTTTATGGCAATGCAAGATAGGATTACTACAGGGTCTAACCTGCCACGTTGCCAGAGTTGCAGCTACTTTTGCCTGGAAGCCCAGAAAGCTGGAGTATCTAAGGCTCTTGAGTCTTTACTGCGTGATTGAATGTCTGCTCTGCCAAGACTCCATGTAGCTCTGTGTATCAGACTGAATGCTCTAGATTCATGAAGCAGTCTCCTGACCTAAGGGTTTCCAAGATTCATGGGAAAACTGTGAGTGCCCAAGGTCATAAATTTATGACTATTTTGGGTAGGGGAGGTTCCCTTGGCTCCATGTCTCTCCCAGTTGTGCCATTAGCCTGATTTACTTTCCTCTCTTCTCTGTGAGTCAGTTAGTTTCTTCATCAGTCCTAATGCAAGTATTTTGATGTTTCAGATGAAGGTGCTGTACTCACCCCTTTCTTTACTCTCTTTGAGAGCCATGCACACTAACTGCTTCAAGTCGGCTGTCTTGGCTATGAAGTTAATTTCTTAAATGCTAAATACAGTGTTCAATGTCACATAGAAACTAGTAAAGGTAGAATTTTGTCCAAATCTACAAACAAATAATTTATAATAAACTAAAATAAATTTTATCTCACAAATAAATTATAAGCTAAAATTTTGGTAGCATGATCTTTTCAACTGTCCCCGTTGAATTACATCAGGAATGAGTGAAGTTATAGGCTATAAATAAGTGTTGCCTCAAACAAGGGATAAATGAGTTCCATGAAGATAAGAACTTCTTTTGTCCAAATGCATAAAACAAAATCTCGTGTATAGTAGGTATATAACAAATATTGACTTCAAGAATAAATAAGGCCTAGTTTCTAAAGAGTCAAAGTAGGAAACAGCAATTTAAGTTTTTAATTGACTTATCCAAGGTTAGGTTTTAAATAGCAAATAATATATGTACTCCACAGTTTTAGATTTCTTCACATATTTAATTTCATTTAGTTCTCACACACTGTATAAGTGTATACATTTTATTGCTTACTTCATGGGACACTAAGGGATGTGATACAGTGTCAGTTATCTTTGCCTTTATGTTTTTTTCTAACTGCTATATAGATTTGTATCATTTTGATGTTTATTTTAGCCACTAATGCTGACTATCAATAAGAAACAATTTTATGAATGCTTCCAATTCTAGACATATCTGAAAAGCATTTATAATTCATAATTAAGTGGTGTAGATCAACACATGCTTAGGGCTCAAAACAAAAAGATTGATTTTCTAAAGCCAAGTTAAAGACAGTCACATTGTCAGCCTTTTGTTTTTCATTTCTGATTATGTCTGCTACTTTTCTTGAAAGATGTTTGTTAAGATTATGGTTAGGTTTACATTGGGACTGAAGCAGAAAGTGTAATATACCACACAAATACTGATTTATATTATCCTTATTATACAAACTTTCATATTGATTTTTATAATTCTTTGTGAAGATGTTCTCTTTAAAATAAGCTAGAGCCTACTGGAATCATATCCTCATATTAATGGTAGTTGCCATTATTTCAATAAATACTACAGAAATTATAAAAATGGGCCACTTTTTATGATGTATAAAGACCCTCACAAAGTGCCTAAATTTATTAAAATGTGAATTAGTAGCTTATAAATAATATATAGCATTAATATCAAACTGTCTGAAATATAGCTTCTACTGTGAGTGAAAGTTCTCTGAAAAGAGTTTGGGGGAAAGAGACTTTATTTCAGTGATTAGGTTATGAACCTGGGATATACAGCCTTCAAGTAAAATGATGGTTGATTCCAAATAACAAATAGAGTATTTGGGTTTTACAGCAAAATGTGTACCCAGATACCCAATCTGGTCTATTTATGCAAACATGGGATTGAAAATTACTTAGTTCTGATTGGTTGGTGAAGCTACATTTTAATTGGTAAATACAGCTGAGCTCTGATTGGTTTGTACAATTGTATTAGTCCATTTTCACATTGCTGACAAAGACATAATAGATACTTGGAAGCAAAGGTGGTTTAATTTGACTTATAGTTTCACATGGCTGGGGAGGTCTCATGATTATGGCAGAGAGCAAAAGGCTGTTCTTACATGGCAGTGGCAAGAGAGAATGAAGAAGAAGCAAAAGTGGAACCTCTGATAAACCCATCAGATCTCATGAGACTTATTCATTATCATGAGAATAGCATGGGAAAGACTGGCCCCCATTATTTAGTTACCTCCTACCAGGTCCCTCCCACAACACGTGGGAATTCTGGGAGATAAAATTCAATTTGAGGTTTGGGTGGGAGCACAGCCAAACCCTATCAAAAATTAAGCCCTGATAAATTGTGTATTAGTCTGTCCTTATGCTGCTAATAAAAACATACCTGAGGCTGGGTAATTTATAAAAGAAAGAGATTTTATTGACTCACAGTTCTGCAGGGCTGGGGAGACCTTGCAATTATGGCAGAACATGAATGAGGAGCAAAATCACATCTTACATGACAACAGGCAAGAATGCTTATGCAGGGGAACTCTCATTTTTAAAACCATCAGATTTCATGAGACTTATTCACTAGCATGAGAAAAAGTATAGGGGAAACCACCCACATGATTCAATTGTCTCAACCTGGCTCTGCCCTTGACATGTGATAATTATTACAACTCAAGGTGAGATTTAGGTGGGGAAACAGCCAAACTGTATCAAATTGACAACAATTTATCTTGGCATGATAAGGGAAACTAGTTCGGTGTGACTGTAGAGAAGGAGGTCCTGTGATACTTTTACATATTTCTGAAAACACAAAGTACATGATTGCTCCTTGACTCAGCCATTATTGCATGGTTCTGTGTTAACTTTGAGCACCTCAGTTAGCTATGCAGAGTCCATTTTGTCTGTCCAATTGGGCATATGTTAACAGTACTCAATAAATAATAGCTGTGATTACTATTACAAACTTAAAAGCAGCCATTTTATATACTGGTGTTACTTATACTTTTTAATGTCATATCCTACTGATGGTTTGGGTCTGATTTTTGTCCAAGTTTAAGAGAAAAGGACGTTTTATAAATCAAATCACTTAAAATGAAAGGTTCAATAATTCATAATATATTTAAATAACTGCATTCATTTTCCACCACAGATGTAATAAGTTACTACAAATCTAACAGCTTTAAAAACATACATTTACTATTTCACTGTTCTACAAGTCAAAGGTTCAATATGGGGATCACTGGGCTAAAATCCAGATATTGGCAGTGAAGCAACGTTGTTTTCTGGGGTAATGCTTAAGGTTTGTTGCCTCATGCCAAGGAAATCAAGGACACGAACACACACAAGGGGTGAGTTTAAGAGCAGAGGTTTAATAGGCAAAAGAGAGAGGAAAATAGCACTCTCTCCTTAGAAAGAGAAGGGTGCCTGAATGGGACTTCTGGTCTGTGGCAGAGTGCACAGGGTTTTACAGACAGGCTTGATGAGGTGGTGTCTGAGCTACATAGAGCCCAAAGATTGGTTGGACCAAGTGTGACATTTACAAAGCACACGAGGAAGCTGGCAAACCCACCCTAATTATTTATTATGCAAATGGAGTTTCTACTTCATGGGCATAATGTTGCCTGCTCCTTACTGTGCACATGGATGACAAGGAAAGGAAAAAATTGAGCCACCATGTTACAAATGCCTAGCCCCAGATAGACTTTTACTATTGGCATAGCTGCCGATATTCATGGATACAAACTTCCAGCTTGCTTCTCTGTCTGTAGCTCGATTTTACAGGCTGCTCTTTGTTAGAAAATAAATAATTTGGGGGCTGCTTTTAATTAAAAGGGAAAATTTGCTGAGGACTTCCTTACCCTATCTGCCTAAATGATTTCTTTCTAATTCCTATATCATTCTCCCCTCAGGAGTGGTAACCCTAACTGCTGTTAGGGAGTGTTGAACAATGACTCTTTCTGGCTACTTTCTTCTTCTCAGCCTTTTGTCCAAGATCAAGTGAAAAGGGATGTTTTGAGGGGAACAGCAGCTAGACCTCCTCTTGCAATTGATCTTAGATCCTCAGAAGAAAGGTTTATGTCTATGTTTAGCAATGACTGTGTGTGGTTCTGTCTGCAGCACCACTTGGAGTGTGATTGCTGTCAGCTGTTTCAATGGGTTGTAGTACTAGTTTGCCTAAACTATATGTTGCTGAAATATTATAATAGTAACATTCTTTTTAGGATAAGTGGAATTGGATTTGGGTGACTAGAGAAACCTTAGTGTTAACCTTGGCTAAATCTTTCCCGCAATTACTGATTTTTTCATGACTTCCACAAACAATCTATGACATGCTCAAACTTTCTGACTTGTCCTAAACATCCCTTTTTTTAAACAACTAGTTATTGTCTTTAGGACAAGAATATACCACATGAAATATTTGTTATATAAAATATTTTTCTTTATAACATGCTTTTCATAGCTAGGGTGTGACATATTAACAAACCCAATAAAAAGTCCTAGCAGACTCTGAGATGGTAAAACTTTCTTGCTTACTTCTTGTTGGTGACTATTATCCCTGATATAAGGATAATAACTAAGGAAAATACTACAGCAATGGAAACTCTCTGTCTGATATTTTAGTTAGAAGGTGCTACCATGTCTAGCCCTACTGCAAATAGTAGAGTGTGTATAGCAGTGTCCACAAGGGTGGCATAGTAGATTATTTCCATCTAAAATTTTACTTGCCAATACATAGAATTTCTTTTTGAGGGTCTATGAAGTGCTTGGCTTTATTTTCCCAAACAAAGAAACCTGCAAGTATGGGCACCCTATTTACTTTTATCACCTGGCAGGATTTGCAGGATAATTGCCCAGAGCTAGAATATTGATCCAGATTTTTACATTACCCATCCCTTTCTGTTTCTTTGGGGCTGCAGGACATCACTACTTGATTCTCAGGAATAAGCAGGATTAGTATAAAATGTGGGTTAAAAAACTTAAAAACAACCAAGTGACAATAGAATTTAGTGGCAAATATATGATAAATTTTGTTGCATAACTTTTCTCTCTCCAGTCCTCATTTTTGGTAAAAAAAAAATATATGATAGAACTATGCTTGGCCTGATTATTAGCATAAAGTGCAGCAAGAATAATTATTTCTATGTAGGCCTTTTGTACTGGCTTCGATGGAACTCTGTTCCACAAGAAATCTCAGGTAAGGCCTTTTAAAGCCAAGCCCAGCCATGGGTTTGTATCCTCAAATACCTGTGAGTTGGGTGATCCTTTCCTCTTAAGGTCCCAAGATAAGCCTGGAGCTCCTGGATCTGTTAGAAAGCAACACCCTTTAATGACCACAGGCCAGAAACCCTGTAAGGGGACTGCCTAGGCAAAGGTAAGAGGCCAGTCTCCCCAAAGGGCTTTTAGTGGCTCTGAAAATCAAGCTTGATTCCTTAAAGGGAAACACATCCTTCCAGTCAAAGCCTTGGAAAAACAACCAGTTTTGCCTATTGTGTCTTAAGAATACTCACAAATGGTTTCCAAATTTTAGAGGAAACTGGCAGTGAAAAACAAATTTACTTCAAATTTTGTTCACAGAAGTATACCTTACTTAGCTTAAAAGAAAGGTTTCCTTGACTTTGAATACAAAACAAGAATTAACTACGTTATAAGAAAAAGTGAAAAAAGATTAGTTCAGACTTCTATTAGTGTAGTTCATGCAGTTAACTCCTGTTTTTATATTCATGGACATTTAAGCTCTTCATGAGTCTTGTATATTTTTGTCTCTATTCAAATGTTACAATCTTCAAAGCTATTAAAATTCTGCATTTGAGGACACCTGTTAAAATCCTATAGCCTTATTATAAATGATCTTTAGAAAAGAAACAAGTCAAGACAACAATTGTCTGCAAATGATAAAATTTTCAGGGTAGTTACAGTTAAAAACACAACTGACAAATATATTTGGTTACTTCTGTGGTTTACAATAACTTTAACCTTAATTATGATTGATAACATATACTTAGATATTAGAATTCAGAAATCCCATACAATCTTGGAACATATATTAGTATTATTCACCAAAATATAACCAAAACAAGATTGGCCATCATTTTGGCAATCCCATGTAACTAAACATGTTAAATAATACTGTTTACCTCTTCTCTGGATGTTCCAGGGGCCCTCTGAAACATCCAGACAACCAGGCATCAGGAAAGACAAATTTGAAACTTGAAGTTTGATTTTGGGAAGGCTGTTAAATATGTCAGAGGTTTAGAACACTTAATGTTATGAAACAGAATTTTAGATTACCACAGGTTATGTATTTTGCCAAAATGAAGACTCAAAGAGCAAAATCCTTTTATTAGTAGTCTTAACTATTATAAAAAATCCTGTTAAAAGCCAAGTTTTACACTTGCATAAATTTATTAATGTTAACCCCAATTTTTAATGAAATTTCATAGACAATTCCATTGAATCTTAACCAATCTGACACAGCGGTGAAATTTTTACAACCCTTTACAACCTCTTTTGCTGTAGGGCAGATTAGCATCTTAAGACAATATAAATGTGCTTTTATTTCAATGCTCAATTTATGAAAAGACCATATAGTACCCTTTTGAATTTAGTTAATGTTTACACATGGGATTTTTGCAAGTATTTTTTTTTAATTTTTACAATCCTTCCACAACTTGCTTAAACCTCCAGTATTATCTTATATAATTAAAGACAATCCTTCATCTTTAGGCAAAATTTACATTTCCATGCCTTCTTAAAATCTTTTAGTAAAAACATGTTTTACTGTTTTTATACACCTTGCATGTATATCTATTTTTAGTTACTTAAACTACATATTATAATGATAACTTTTAGCAATTTTGAACATTAATGTGAAACCTGCCAAGTTGATTTGATTATTAGCTAGGTACAGATAAAGTCTGACTTTTTCTGACAGAGTTAGGGGTGTAGCTAATTTTGTTTGTCCCCAGGCCTTACCAAGTTGTAAAGCAGGCAGTATACAACCTTGACACATTTAGCAAACCTAATATCTGACATATGATTTAGAACATCTATTTACATTTTTATGGCACTTGTCATTTACTAATATTCCTTAAGACTATACTTATTTCTTAAATATCATAGTCACGTGAACTAAAAGGCATTACAGCTTTTATTTTTCCTTAAAAATATTTGATTTAAGTGCTTATTTTTCTTTAATCCAATCAATTAGGACTCTTTTTATAGACATTACACACAACACATATATAGCTATACAGATAGACAGAAGATTCAGCACTTGTACAAATTTTCATTTGCCAGTTTCTTAATTTGATTACTGGCTTCGAGGTGGAGCCCTAGGAAGAACAAGGCCAGGAAAGCATGCATTTCTAGGGCCTAATAAACAGGCACCGCTGAAGGCAAAAACAGATCTCTAAAATTAAGGGTGCAATTTTCTAGTGGATCCTGCATCTCCAAAAAGAGGAAAATACTATGAGAGAAGACAGCACAATGCTTCTACTGTGAATTTCATTGCAAGGCAACCCAAAGCCAATCAGCCCATTCTGTAACTAGCCCATTTCCCATGGGAGTCTCATCTCTCAATGAGGGGAGGGGATGTTTTCATATCTTCCAGGTGGCCAAGAGCATGCTTTTCTGATACAAATGTGCAAAGAGTTAATATCTCTTCATAACTACTGTTAGCTATTTCTTAAAGTATATGTCCTACCTAGTTATTACACACCAAAGCTCTCTCATAATGTGAAGTAATTTCTGACACCCCCAAAACTCAAAACATGCACACAATGCAAAACAGATCAGAGCCTTTGATCTTGAGAGGGATTCATTAATTTTTAATACATGGGGTTTCATGAAAACAGAGCTTTTTTCAAAGTGGGGTCTGTGATGCCTCCTCTCTTTTTCCCAAAGAGTCCCAGGCTACCAGAAGTTATCTTAGGGCCTCTCATGTGTGCATTAATAGTGGCAAGACACAGGCATGGTGGCTCACACCTGTAATCCTCACACATGGGAGGCCGAGGTGGGTGGATCACTTGAGGTCAGGAGTTCATGACCAGCCTGGCCAATATGCTGAATCTCTGTCTCTACCAAAAATACAAAAAAAATAGCTAGGCATGATGGTGGGTGCCCGTAATCCCAGCTACTCAAGAGGCTGAGGCAGGAGAATTGCTTGAACCCAGGAAGTGGAGGTTGCAGTGAGCCAAGATCATGCCATTGCCCTTCAGCCTGGGCGTTGTAGTGAGACTCCACCTCAAAAACAAAAAAATGGCAAGACACAAAATAGAGAAAAATAATTCTGTCAACTGAGAAGAAAGCCTTTTTCCAGTAAAACAAACCTAAGAAGAGAAAAACATAAAGGTCTTTTAAATATACCTATAATTTGGATATTCATTTTTAATTAAACTGAGAGATCTTTAAGAAAATCCTTTTAAATTCCTTGTTACTCAACTTTAGCCATGTGAAGCATGAAGATTTTTGGCTTTTAAACGTTAGAAAAAGTAAACTCACAGGTGAAATCAACAAGCCTTAATTAGGTTATGACTTAACCATGAGTGTACAAGGTGTTTTCAAAGGGGTGGTAAGCAGCTTTTGAAACCATCATTTCAAAATTGTGACTGAGACAGTGAAAGAGATCTGACCCAACCAACTCCATCTTGCTTCCAGCCCCCAAGCTGCCCTTGCCCATCCCTGGGTGTAGGCTGAACTACCTCTGGTAGGAGCTTGGTTTACAGTATATAGTACAAAACAAAAATGACAGTGGCCTTTTCCCAAAATAAACCTTCCCATTGCCTGGAGACCAGACCAAGAAACTAGCCACAAGATTAGAAGCTACTGCTTAGGAGTCACACAGCTGGAGGCTACAAAGTTTTGACCCTCCCTAAACTACTCTCAAGATCAGTGCTTAAGACATTTTGAAAACCCTGCCTTGGATGGATCAGCTGGCACCACCCAGATTGATAAACTGGCTTATCTAATTTTCTGGCCCCACCCCCCCACCCCCAGGAACTGAATTAGCACTAGAAGACAGCCACCGTTGTAAAATGGCAGAAACTAAAGCACAGTATTACCACATGGTTACAGGTCATGTTCTCAAGGACATAAAACAAGATGGGGGCCTGTAACAAAGTTTGTTACTGACCATTTTGTTGGGCTGGCTTGAACAGCAGGCTTATGGGGTCCTGGGCCTGCATCCTAACCTAAGGTACCCTTTCTTTTGACAGAACCATACAGAAAGACATGCAAAGCACACCAGACTGGCTACAGCTTAAGACCAACTTCACATATCCTTTTTCACCAATTAAAACTTCACAGAGAATATAAACAGTGATCCTCATGATCCCTTTTACCAGTTTGCACAGGTAGAGAGAAACCAAAAGCCCAACTGGTAAAAAAACAAACAAAACAAACAAAAAACCCTTTTACTCTTTTTCCGGCATGTCAGGCTTCTGCGTTGCCTTCCCCTGAACTCTACTCTAAGCCAAGCATTATAAGGTTTGGGGAAATTAACTTTTCCCAGGTTGGAATAACTTTGTAAAAGAAGAGATTGGAGCCATTTTAAACCATGAAATAGGAGGAAAAAATGCCATAAATTTGGGGGTTTGGGTGGTAGAACTGGAGGAGCCAATTATGTGGATTGGGGGCCAGGAAGGGCCTGGGTATCTGCAAGTTGCATTTGAGGATTTCAACTAGAATTGTCAAGAGGTACTGCCTCTCTGCTTATTGAGAATCATGGTTCCCCTATTTCTTCAGTTTCCCTATTTTCTCCTTTTCTTTTTGACCTCCTATAGGAGACATGTTGCTCATCTCCAAAATTCTTTGCTGCCTGCAGAGCAGCTTGCTTCTTAGCTGCAGTTAGGGTTTAACTTAGGAGCAGCATAGCATCCCTCTATGAGAGGTAAAACACCTGAATTATATTTTGGAAAGCTTCTACATAGCTATCAGGGTCATCAGAAAATCAGCCTAGTTTTCCCTTTATTTGCCTAAGGTCCTGCAATGCGATAGGAATTTGAACCCTAGTGAGATCACCTCCATTGGGCATTTCCTGTAAGAGTAGGAGTGAAGGTGGGGGAATGAGAAATGTTGGAGATGGTGGAAGTGGAGGAACCGGTGGCCTAGTTGAAGGTGGGCCCAGATAAGGGGGACTGGAAGGTATGAGACACTCAATAGCTGCTGCAGATAATTTTCCCAGAAATTGCTTTTCTCGTCTTGGAAACTTATTCCTTTTGGGACTGCCTGATATGATTGTTGAAAAAGCTGGGTCAATTGTGTAATACTTGCAAAGGTCTGGGTTGTCTTGCAGGGCAAATAAAGCTTGTACATTGGGGACTCTGGACCATTTGCCTTTCCATTTGCAGGAAATATATGATTGTTGAAAAGTGTTAAAATCAAAGCTGCCTTACATAGGTCAGGCTGTGTCAGAGAGTAAGAAGGCCACACCCTTGCGCTAAAGAAAATGAGCTGCCTTTTCTTCAAAGTCTCAGGGTCAAAGGAGTCTCTATGCTTCAGAATACACTCCAGAAAGGTGCAAGCTGAAGATGGTCTGTTACCCATCCAGAAAGTGAAGTGAGAAAATTGCGTCCCTTTAGTCTCCTATATTTTGGTGGGATCCAGGTTGGAGGGGAAGAAGGTGGAGGTTTTCCCCCTTCTGTTTTCCCTCCTTTGTTCCTACTTCCCAACACACTGTTAAACATGCCACCCATGGTTGCAGGTAGGTATGACCTCCAGCCATGGAACCAGAGGAACTAAGAGATTGGGATTATTCACGCTTACCCATGTGACTCTGGTTCACCACTTGTGATGTCCCTTTGACTTCCTAGATTTATGTGGCCTGTGTGTCTCCTGGAAAGATGGATCTCAGGAAAAACTACATAATAGTTGAATTTAGGCAACTATTGCACTACCCTGTTTAATGGAGGGAGTGTGCTAGATTGAACTTTATATATCCTGCTATTATGGCCCATGCTAAAGTGCTTCTTCTTAGAGAAAGGTTCTGGTTAACTTCCAGGCTTAAAATCCCCTGACTATTTAGGTGCCATTTTAATTGGAGGAAGAATAGATGCCTTAAAAGAATGGAGTGACTGAAAGGTGGTTTCCCTGCTGATGGGACAGTATTGAGGCTAACATTTGGTTTTGGAAGACGTTTTTCTTCTTGTTGTTGAAGGCAGAGTTTTCTCTTTTACAGAAGTGGGATAAAGCCTGGCCTCTAGGGGCACAAAAAGGAGGGAAAATTGAGAAGCTAGAGTGTTATGGCAAAGGGCCAACAATATGCCTCATGGAGAGGATTCCTATTCCACTAGGTGATGGTGTTGACCTTGAAATACCATGTCCTCTCCAGGCCAAGGACAGAGAGAGAGAGAGAGAGAGACACTCACTGTGGGGAGTGGGGGAGATCCTCTATTCCTAGAAAATCACACAAAAAATGGCATTCCCTTGAGCTTCATTCCCAGCTTCTATGGCATTTCCTGATCTTGCCTAGTCCAGATTACTTCCCTGAACTAAAAATCTTGCACATTTCATACAGAAAGAGGATAGGATAGAGGAAAGGAGGAAATTATAATAAAAAAGCTGGAGGTCCTGTTGCTGATACATGATCAGGTGGTTGGAGGCTGGGGTCAGTCCAGAAGCCTTTGAATAACACCAGGGAGTAGCCCCAGCCAGAAATCCTCAGTGACTCCAGCACTTTTTCTAGCCTCACACAATGGCTGTGTCCTCTGTGAAAGGAAACTGGTTTAAACGAGGCCAATATGCCCAGCAACCCATGGGTACTGGGGGATTCTCCATGTTCTCCCCAGCAAGCCTGTCCTCCAAGTCTTGTAAGGCTGGCAGCCATGCTAATTGCTTTCAAATGGCTAAAGGAGGCCCAGTATTTGGTATGATTTGATTCTAAAATGGAAGATGAGAGCCTCAAAATGAAAGGACAGAGTTGGGGTCCACTCATGGACTCACCGTTTCAATGAATGTATCTTGGGAACCTGGACAAAGTCCCCAAAATGAAGTGGTGGTGTTGTCTGGGGTAATACCTGAGCTTCGTTGCCTCATGTCAAGGAAATCAAGGACATGGACACACACAAGGAGTGAGTTTATGAGCAGAGGTTTAATAGGTGAAAGAAAAAGAGAGGAGAATAGCTCTCTTTCCTTTGAGAGAGGGAGTGCCCGAATGGGAATTCCAGCCTGTGGTGGAGTGCATAGGGTTTTATAGACAGGCTTGAGGAGGCAATGTCTGATATATATAGGGCCTAAGTTTGGTTGGGTCAGGTGTGACATTTACGTAGTTCATGATGAAGTTGGCCACCTCATCCTAATCTTTTATTATGCAAATGGGGATCTCTACTTGGTTAGTGTCATGTTGCCTGTTCCTTACTGTGCACATGGTTGACACGGAAAATGGAAGATTGAACCGCCATATTGGACATACCTAGCCCCAGGTAGCCTTTTCCTATTGGCACAGCTGCCAGCATTCACTTGTGCAAGCTTCCAGCTTGCTTATCTATGTCTGAAGCTCAATTTTACAGACTGCTCTTTGTTAGAAAAGAAATGATCTGGGGGCTGCTTTTCTTTAAAAGGAAAACCTTACTGAGAACTTCCTTACCCTGCTATTTGCCTAAATAATTTCTTTTTAACTCCTATATCAGCAGGGCCTCATTCTCTCTGGAAACTCTAGATGAGGTCTGTTCCTTGCAGTTCACACATTCTAGAGTCTGCATTCTTTGGTTTGTTGCCCCCTCATCAATCTTCAAAACCAACAATAGTAGATTGAGTCTTCTTATATTTTTATCTCTCCTTACTCTTCTTCTATCTCATCTCTCTAACACAACTGGAATAGAGTCTTTATTTATAAATGCTCACATGATTTGATTGGGCCCACCCACATAATCCAGGATAATCTCCACCTTTCAAATTCAGTACAGTCTGCCCTCCATTTCTGCTATTCATATGTGGATTTCACATCTTTGGATTCTACCAAACGTGAATAGAAAAACAGAGGGCCAACGGTGGAGGGCTAACTGTACTATGCCAGTGTATACAAGGTGCATGAGCATCTGTAAATTTTGGTATCCAAGGTGGGACCTGAAAAGAAACCTCCCTGATCACATCTGCACATTCATAGGTTCTGGGGTTAGAGCACGGATGTCTTTGGGAGCCATTGTTCTGATAACCACAAAACATCTTAAAAATTTTTAAGTGCTTTTTAGACATTAGAGTTTTCAGCTGTTTTGATTGTATCCCATATTTATCACTGTCCCAGACTCCATTTCAGTCCATTTTCTTCCTTAATTATATTAGCTGTTTAATTTTTACTGATCCACTACTTTATTAACAGCAAATATCAATAAAAATAAGTATCTGAACAAGACTTCTGACCTTTTAAAATAAACCATTCCTTCCTTTCATGCTCAATGTATTTCCTTAATACAATTGCTCATTATTTCTCACATTGATTTAGGAAAAGAGCCATTTTTTTTGTTTCCATGTTGTTCTCCAGTTAGCCTTTCCTCTATTCTGTTACTGTAGTTGTCTTCCTAAGATCAAAGTCTTATTATGCAATTTTTCAATTCATATGACATCATTGTTACTCTTATCCAAAGGAAAAACTCATATTCATTAACACAAAAAGGGCCTTCAAAATCTTGTTGAAACTTGCTTTCCCAACTTATTTATACTCTTTCCCATTTCCTCCTGCCCTTTCCTTCAGTCTTGACATTCCCCACTGTCATTTCAGTCCCTTCATGCTGTTGTTCATGCTGTTGATATTTTTCTTTCTTTTCTTCTTTCTTTCTCTCTTTCTATCTACAGATATATGATTTTCTAACACCTACCCATCTCACAAACCTTATCTAACCACCCAGATGAAGTACAAATATGTTTTTGATAAAGTATATCTGATTAAATTGAGCACACAAAGCTACCCTGTCTTCTGTAATTCCATAGCAGTTGCTCATATTGCATTGCATTATCAAATTCACAGTGCAATTATCTGTTTAATAGTCTGTCTTCTCTTCTAAAATGTGTGATTACTTAAGTCAGAGACACGGTATAGACATGGTATCTATGGTCATTTTTGTCTCCTTTGTGTTTTCTTGCTTAATAAATTATATTAAGTAACTAGCTATAATAGTTAATCAATTAACTAGCTAATCATTCACATAGGACATAATAACAGGTATAAATATATTTAATGCATCATATACAGAAAGATTATATTCTACCTAGGGGCAAGCCTTCAGCTTTGTCTTCTAGCATATATTTAGAGCAGATTATGAGCCCAAATATTTGTTAAGTGTAGACCAAAAATGATAAGAAACAGCAAAACAGTAAAAAAGAAAATAATATTCTTAAACTTACTTGATATTTCTTCTGTAATAAGAGGTGTGTCTCTTGTCTTGAAATGAATGAATATAATTATTTATATAATGTTTCTAACTGAAAAATAAATTCTAGAAGTTAAACAATTTTATATTCATTTTGCCTCTATATTAAAAAATATACTTTATATATGTGTTTTAAAGTCAGTAAAATGTTACAGATAAATTATGTTTTCTCAACATAGCCATAAAAATGACTGCAACAGAATCATTATGCATTACATATTTAAGGTTATTGCTAATGATCACTAATCACTAATTTGTATGTCACAGATAATTAGCATCCATGCACTAAAAGATGCAACTTCAGAATAAATTCAGTGCCTTTCACACACAGAAACATGATTCTTAAGCAAATGACATAGTCCCAAAGATGATAGCAAAGTTAGTTATCACTTCTATGCAAGTGGTGAATTAAAAATTTGTAGATTGGAATTTGCCTTTTAACATAAGAATGAGATATGGCAACAAGATTAATCATAAAACCTCAGTATATTGTGATCATCCTGAGTATAAATGAGATCAGCGATGTTGCTTAAAGCTGTGAAGATTTAAAGATGATTGGATTAAATAACAGAAAGAAACCTGGCCTAGGAATCTAAAGGTGTAGGGTTTGAAGGTTTAATTCTCACTTGAATATTAGTCAGCTGTGCCAGCTGTCTTAGACAAGTTATTAAAATATTCCGAGTAAAATACGAAGGCCAGAGCAAATAATCTTTAATTTTTTTCTCCAGCATTAATAATTCTATTATTCTTTTCAAATCTATAAAGTCAGAATTAAGTACTCACAGTGAAGAAGTTAATTTTTTCATAGAAGGGGAATTATATTACCAAAAACAGCATGCACTTCACATTAAACAAAGATGTAATTCTTCCTTCCTCCTTCCTTTCTTTTCTTTTCCCCTCTCTCCTTTTCTTCTTCCCTCTCTCCCTCTTTCCTTTCTTCTGAATTGGATAATTTAAAGTAATAAGAACTTAAACATAGATAGAAAAGAACAAACAAAATACAGATAGATGAGGTAAGAATCATGCACCAGGGAAAATCATATGAATAATTTTGTTAAAATCTCTCCTAATGATAGTACCAGAAACAAGAGTAGAGTTTTAGAAATTGCACAACTCCCATTATTAAAAGGAAGAATTTTGAATAATCACATGTTAATTATTATTATTTTCTCCTATAACCAAATTAGACAGATTTCCCATGAAGGTATTTCTATGAAGTTTGGGAGTAACAATAAAATATTGAAAAATATTTAGTACTGACATTTGCAATTTTAATTAATGCAGAAACATTTAAAAAGAGAGCAGGTTTTTACTTTGCAAACCAGGAGCAAAATTTTAAATTGTTATTTTGTGAATGCGACTTTACAAGGATCATGTATAATACTGGCTAAGTATATTGTTTGATGGAATCTTAGATATAACTGGGAAGAGTTAGTGATCTAAAGCAGAAGTTTTAAATACCAATGCTAATAGCAAAGAGGCAGGTAAAAATATGTGAAATGATTAGGTGTATAAACCAGCACTTTGGGAATGACAGTTACAGAGTAGGTCTGGAGGGCATCAATTCAGAGAGATTAGCAGCAACTTAACTTCAGATAATTTGTGCTGATGCGACCTGTCATTTTTTAGAAAAAGCTTGGACAAAGAAATAAATCACAAAAATATTTTAATTAAAAAATATTTGTAATGATAAAAATTCTAATTTATTGTCTTTAGTTTCTCTACACATTTACTTACATTATTTTTTACTTTGAAGAAAATGTGTGAGGTCAGAATAAAAAACATTACTGTTATTTTACAGTAAAGGCAATTAAATGCATTTAAGTGACTTGATCAACATTATTCTTGGAATTCAAATAAAAGTTGTGAGGTACCTCTAATCATAAACATTCTGTTTAACGCAATGCTTCCTGATTTAGACTCAGGATTTTACAAATATTGAGTCAATACATGCAGAAAACAAAAAGGCACAAAAATAAAAAGCTGCTATCATAGTTTAAACATTGGCCCACATTGAAGACATAATGTCAATAAAGAGACGTAAGTCCCATTAACAGATTATAGCACATTGGTATAGAAAAATTATATAGATGGGCTGGGCGCTGTGGTGGTTCACGCCTGTAATCCGAGCACTTCTTTAGGAGGCCGAGGCGGGCGGATCACAAGGAGATCGAGACCATCCTGGCTAACAAGGTGAAACCCCATCTCTACTAAAAGTACAAAAAATTAGCCGGGCGTGAAGACGGGCTCCTGTAATCCCAGCTACTCGGGAGGCTGAGGCAGGAGAATGGCGTGAACCCGGGAGGCAGAGCTTGCAGTGAGCAGAGATCGCGCCACCGCACTACAGCCTGGGCGACAGAGCGAGACTCCGACTCAAAAAAAAAAAAAAAAAAAAAGAACAATTACATAGATGGAGAGAATTAGATACAAGAAAATTCCAAAGAGTATGTAACTATGAAATAATTTTAAGTGTTATAGGCAGAAAACACATATACTTTACTTATTGTATTATCTATTATACATCATATCATATACTTTATTATAATATATACCTAATTTTTATGGTATATATATATACGCGCACACACACATAGACACGATTAAAGAATAAATAAAAAATTTGGATAACATTAAATAATAGCTTCAAATGGCATATCTTTATAATGCCAGGAATCAGCCATAGCAGATGAACCTACCTGGTATACAGCATTAAGAAACTGTAAGCTCATTAGGAAAGAAAAGATAAAATGAGGAAAATAGGAAGGCATTCTCCATTGCTTTTTGCCTGAGGAGCCTCATAATATAGTAATTCAGAACACATATTTTAATGTGTGTTGACTCCTTGGATACATATAATAATTGTCTTTCTGCCTTGCAAACATTTCTGCATTCCAAGAGCTTATGACCCGTGAAAAGCTTCTCCTTATCTCTATATTCCTAAAGATGGAAATAGAATTTAGAATATAGTAAAAAGAAATGTTTTCAGAACGTACTAATAGAAAGCACTATTGCAAAGTATAATTAAATGTTGATTCTTAACATAAACTCCAAACTTGTAGGTGTACTACCTACTTGCTGGTAGCTTGGGTAGGATTATTAATTTCTTAGCCTCAGAGATATTCTGAACATAAACTAAAATATACATGCTAAGCATTGAGCACAGGGAGGAAACATAGTATACAATAAATGGCAGATAATGTGAAGGATGCTGTGATGACTCCCCAAGTCCCCTTCAAAATGGAGTGACATATTCCCCCAGTTGCTGACTGACAGCTCAATGGTCAGCCTTTTCCAAGGTTAACCTCAGCTGAAAACAGATGCCTCAGCCAAGTCATGCCCTCTCTCCAGGGGTATCTAAATCCTATGACTGCTTATCACAGGGGTATATAAAGGCTTGGTTTCTTGGCCAGCAAGAGAACTCTCTGAAGAGCCATCACCACTCAAGAATACTATGTACAATTAGTTGAAGCTACACTGCAGTCTAATTTCTTTTTCTGCCCAATCCTGCCTCCTTCTCTTCCCCAACAGGTCTTGATCCCCAGCAAACCCTAAATAACTTTCTGCAAAATAATCTCTATCTTAGAGTCTGCTTCCCCCAGCACTCAATCTTCAACACATATAACTTTGACTTTGAGTTTTAAAATTATGTTTTTTAAAAAAATATTAAAATTAATTTTAAATATGCTATACAGGACTTTTTAATATAAAATATATCTTTAAGCCATGAAATATGAAATCAATTTTTTAATCTAATAGTCTCATTTTATCATTTAAACCCTTTGGAATATGAGATAATTTACATAATTATGCTTTTAGGAGGTCCATAAAGCAAGACAGCAAGACTACTCGTATAAACTAGCTCCAAGGCTCCTTCGAAAATTGAACAGGGAAAACCAATTAGGTATTTACTGCCCTCAGAATATCCTATAATATTTATTTATAATTTAATAGTTCAGATCATCCATTACTTCAGCTTCCCTTACACATATCTCTATAACATTGCTATTAAAAATATTTTGTGTATCAAAATATTTCATATACCCCATAAAATACATACTTGTTATGTACTCATAAAAATAAAAAACGCATTTAAAAAATATTTTGAAATTAGCATTTCTCTTAAACCACATTTGTTCCTGTCATTTTCTGACATTAATTAAAAAATAAAATTTTAGACTTCTGGTTTCAGTTAGAAAACCTATACATTTTAAGCAAACACAATTTTTTTCTGATAAAAACAGCAAACATAATAAATTATAAATTATTCATTCTCATTCAATTTATTCCAGGACACAGACTAAAACGTAAGCCCATTTTTATGGGCCATCAAATAAGGAACTTGATTAAAATTATTAGTTCAACCAATGAAGTGAATGTTTGCCTAAATTGCCAAGTTAAAAAAAAAAAAACACTCTTATAGAAATTTTAATCTTCGTATTTTTTTTCTGAAAGTTGTCCCAGAATTGTGAGTATTCTCAGAAAATAAAGAAGGCATTTTATTCTCAAGCTGGACTCTAAATATTCTGCATGTCATCTGTCCATTAAGCTCTGTCAGAACAATACACTCACTTACATATATTTTATATATCATTTACAAATATATACTTGGTCATTGTAAAGTTTTTTAAAAGTAACTAAAATACCAACATATGAAATTCTTTAGAAATATTTTTATATATTCTATAACTATTTGTAGACAATGTCATATTTTCTGTAAATAATTCAATCCTTCATCTTAGTAAAAATTAATGTAAATAGAATGATATGCTGTTAACAAAAATTTAGTCAAATTAAATTTGGCAGCATTAATTTTAGCAAAAATAATTCATGAATTGGTCAGCCCCCTGAATCAGTTGAGGTTCACAAAGTTTCATCAAGTAACATAGGCAGGTAGCATTTATAGACAGAAAAAGGAAATGAAATATAGAAACATAGATTATAGCTCAGAATTTACCTGATTCAGCCACGGTGTGATGAAGCACTTGCCTTATACAGATACATGGTCTGATCAGTTGTCATCCCATGACTGGTTAAAGCCCAGCTGCTATAATTAACTGAGTCTCAGTTATTTGTTACAGAATATGTTACAGTTGTAGATTGTTTTCATATGAAGTTAAGTTGCAGTTTGCTACCTAGGGACTAAAGAAACAGAGAAAGATTTAGGCCAAATTTAATTTAATTTAACAATATTAATTTAAATTTTCTGATTGACATAATTCTTCAAAGAGCATTGGAATACATCTCCTAGACCATTACTGATAAAAGTGATTTTTGTTTATCTCAAGGATATTCAATTAATTATTTATAAATTTTGTTCATAAGTTTCCATTTGTACTCTGCAAGAGCAGAATTTTATGTTGATTACCAGAATGACTGTGACAAAAATATCTATTGTTTGTTTGTTTGTTCATTTAAAACTCCTGGAATATTTCCAGTAACATTTTGACAACTATAGTTTTTGTGTGTACATGGCAAAATGAGACAATGACAATAAGCATTGGAGATGGATTAAAACATACATTGCTCTTTGACAGTGTGTTTTGTGTTTTAACAGCTAAAATATAAAAGACTAATAACCATGTTTTAAAGATATATACACCAGACTAAATATCCAGAATAACACTTCCAAATAAATTTTTTTCAAGGCTGTAATATTACTGTCAGAATTGGCCTGCATTTGTGTTTGTATCCAAAGAGACACTACCTATGGGGTCCAAAAAGCCTCAAACAGAACATTTTTAATTATTTTAAGTCTATGATGCCTCCAGGCGTCAGGGAATAAGTAATCTTAATTACTCCCTTTAGGTTTTAAACATTTTCCAAAGATAAAATTCCAAGGACTATTAGCTTCTTGCATTTTTAAAGAATGCATAGGAGTCAATATATCAAGGGTGAAAAAACAGAATAAACAGCAGAATTCAATTCTTAGAGGATTATGATTTTCAAAAATATTTGTCATTTCTACAATATAAGTACTTATGCTTAATAAATTTAAATTTTAAAAGTTCAGCTTGAAAAATAAAAAAGACTACATAAAAGTCTAAGTAGTATAAAAGTACAACTATACAACTTATAGAATTAAATAAGTAAAATGTGAAATTCAGTGAACCGATTAAAATTACAAACAGAGTTGAGAAGGAGTAGAAGCTACACAGGAAACATAATAACCAAAATGTGCCTCAGAGAGACAAAGGTAAGTAAAACCTGACAAAGAGGTTAGGGGATTTACAGGCTAGCATAACAAGGCCATCAACAGTTATAATTGGGTTTTCTGAAGGAGATCATAGAAAGAATGGAGAAAAATGGAATATTTAATAATATATTACTAAGACATTTCCATAATGGTATAAAAATAATTCTTAGATCTAGGAATCTTAAAAATACCCAAGAAAACCCACACTCTAACACATCAGAATAAATTCGCTAAACTCCAAAAGAAAAAAAGTCTCAGAATAGAAAAATCAACCAAACAAAAAATTATGTGCAAAAATATCACTGAAACTGAAAACCAACTTAGTAAAAGCAACAATGATATCTAGAAGATATTAGAATAAATGTCTTTATTGTACTAAGAAAATATTTCTGACCAAACTTTTAATCCTAGATTATAACTAAAACAAAATCATGATCAGATAAACAAAATCAAGAAACTTTACAAGAATATAAAAATTTGTTAAGAATGTATATAAGTAAAACAAAAGATAATTCCAGATAGACAATCTGAGATGATAAATAAATAAGTAAATAAAATAATTAGCAAAGCTTCTGTTTAACATGTGAGTACACATTTAGAAAAATCTTGTGCAAGTTAACAATAGTAATACATACATTTAAAAAATTAGAATTCTATAAGATTCTATCCAGCAAATACTTTGCAAAGCGGTTGTTTTATTTCACACTCCATCAGCAATGTGTATGACTTTCAGTTGTTTCATATCCTTCCAGTATTTAGGTTTTTCTTTTTTAAGAAGTTTCTGAACTATTCTAATTATTGTGTAATGATATATTATTTTGCTTTTAATTTGCATTTTCCCAGTTTCTAACAACATTGAGTATTTTTTCATTTTCTTAATTGCCATTCTTATCTCTTCCTTGACTTTCTTGTCCTGATATTTTGCCAATTTTTTTAAATTGGACATTAAATTGGATTGCTTGTTTTCTAATGGAGTTTTGGATGTTCTTTACATACTGTGGTTATAATTCCTAAGTCAAATATATCATTTGATATCATTTGTCCAATATATATCAAATATGTCATTTGTAGCTTGTTTTTCCATTTCTTTTTTGAGTATCTTTCAAATATCAGAAGTTTTTATTTCTTATGAAGTCGAATTTTCATCTATTTTTTTCCATTTTGTGGTTTATGTTTCCAGTGTCCTACTTAAGAAAATTTTGCCAAAACTCTTTGATGCATTGCTCAGTATTTTTGTTCTTTTTTCTTGCTATAATTCAAGTTAAATACTCCACTCTGTTGGGACGTCTAATCTGCTTTTAATGGCATGTAGTGAAATGTTATCTCACAAACTGTACTTTCTATTCTCTGAGGTTTAATTTCTCCATCCCTTTGATGTCTCTCCATAACATAGTCATAATATCCTCTACTTTTTTGCACATAGGAAATATATATTTTAATAACTGTTTCATGTCATTATCTATAAATTTGACCATCTGTTTCATTCCAGGGTCACATTTTGTTGATTTATTTTACTCTTTGCTCTAGGTCACATTTTCCTACCTTTGAGGGCATACTTGGCCATTGTGATTGAGTGTGAGGCATTATTAATTTACATTGTTTTACACTCATATAAAATTATTAACTTTACATTATTTTATATACAATTTTTAAAATTTCTACTAATATATTATTGACACACAATAAAATATCTTGGGAACAGTTTGGTCATTTTGAGACTTGCATTTATACTTTATTAGTTGGGACAAGAGCAGCTTTTAGTCTAGGGCTAATTTTGTGCCTCAGTGAGGCAATTTTATTCTGAGTACTCCATTCAATGCCCAGTACATTAAGATGTTTTTTCATTTTGCCTGGTGAAATATGGAATATCTCAACTCTGTGGGAGTTCTGGAGATTGTTTTATTTGCCCCTTTTCGGTAGTTATTTCTCATTCTCAGATATTTTCGTCATGAATGTGCACCAATCAATAGTTAGACGAAGATCCAAGGAGGAAGCTCCTTAGATTTCCAAAAGTTTCTCTCTATATAGCTCTCTCGTCCCTGGTGATCTGCCCTGGAAATAATAGTCAGTTTGGCCTTTAGACATTGTTTCTCATCAACTCATGTTAACAGCTGGGCTCTTTTTGGTCCTTCACCTCACCCCCTCACATAATGTCTTGGAAACTCTTCAGACCGTAAGCTGAGGCAGTGATGAATTCTCATTTGATTCATTCTCGCAAGTATGACTGTCATGTGACTGTTTACAGTATCTAAAATATATTGTTTCATATATATATTTTGTCTTTAAGGCAAGAGAATAGATCCAATTCATATTTATTCATCATGGCTAGAAGTAAAGTTTCCTTATATATTCAATACTTCTAAAAATTAAAATGTTAAAAACAAAATCATGCGGTTTTTTCAGCTCTTGTTAGTTTTTCTTTCTCCTCTCCAAATTTTATGAGTGTTATTAATATAACATATATCTTAATACATAAACTCTACTCTCTGCTTATCATCTATTTAGTATATCAACCCATACTTAATATTTATCCAATTAATATAAACACATTTCAAAAATTATTTTGAGCAACTACTATGTATATAAAGGTAAGATTAGAAAGGGATGTAAATAAGTATAATTCATGATTTTTTTTCCCTTTCAATATCCACAAGTTGTTGGCCAGGCTTAGTGGCTCACACCTGTAATCTCAGCACTTTGGGAAGCTGAGGTAGGCAGATGGCTTTAACCCAGGAGTTTGAGACCAGCCTGGGCAACACAGGGAAAACCTATCTCTACAGAAAAAATAAAATAAAATTAGCCAGGCATGGTAGCATGTGCTTGTGGACTCAGCTGGGAGGTCCCAGGTGGGGGGATTGCTTGAGCTCTGGAGGGGGAGGTTTCAGTGAGCCAAGGTCATGCCACTGTACCTCAGCCTGGGCGACAGATTGAGCCTCTATCTCAAAACCAAAACCAAAAACAGAAACAAAGAAAAAATCATAGTGACAAGTTGTTATGAAGATAAAACTTTAGCAGCCTAATATATCTTGTTAAACGTGCTTCCTGTTGCTTGATTTTTGTTATAACCCTCCATTTCTTTTTCGACTATATATGGGACTCTGAAGCTAGTGACAAAACAGCCCAAACCCTCAACTTCCCCCCACTAACACTCATACTAATGACTTGAACATTTCATAAGCTGAAATGAAACAAAACAAAAACAAAATTTAAAAACAATGGCAAATTACTATAAACCAATGATTTAGGTTACACGTGAAAACAATCTTGTCAGTTTTAAATTTTTAAACTATGAGTTATATCACTAAAGCTGGCTAGAAGGACTATCCAATTATTTGGAGAGGACCTTTGCCCTCACCACAGTCTCAGACCTCTGTGTCCCTGTCTTCTTCAGTCTAGTTTTCCCACCCTGATCTCTCATGTTGTTCAGTGCCTCAGATTTGCTGCTAGCTTCGCTGGCACCGTGAATTAGACAGTTTATCTTCTATGCTATGTATCCTTGGTTCCTGAAGTCTGACTCCATAACAAAAATGGAAAACACGCAAAATAAACCAACTCAAAATAAGCAAACATATTAAAAAAATAGTCCTAAGGGGAAGTATAAGAAAGAAACTTCATTTCCTAAGTTACTGACATGTTTCTCACCTCCTTTTTGTTTTGGGCCAGGATCTCACTCTGTCGCCCAGGCTGGTGTGCAGTGGTGTGATGTCAGCTCACCGCCACCTCTGCCTCCTGAGTACAAGCCATGCTCCCAGCTCAGCCTCCAGAGTAGCTGGGACTACAGACTGATACCACCATGTCTGGCTAATTTTTGTATTTTGTGTAAAGATGGGGTTTCACCATGTTGCCCAGGCCGGACTCGAGCTCTTGAGTTCAAGCAATCCGCCTGCTTCGGCCTCCTAAAGTGCTGGGATTCCAGGCATGAGCCACTGCACCCAGCCTCCTTTCCTTTTCCTAAAAGAGAATATGGAAGACAGGAAACTATCTTATTTTTCCAATGATCACAGTAAAAAAAAAAAAATACATTCTCACTTTCCTAAGGGATATTCTGATATCGGCACCTGCAAGTAATTGCACGGAACAGCAAAACAATGCAAGAAAGTAAACAGCATGTGCCAAATTGTGATGCAGATTCTAAATTATGTGAATTAATAAGATAAAGAAATTGCCTTCAACGGCAATGGTCAGGGAAGGCTTTACCTTCAGGAAGAGCTTGAGCTAATCAAAAAATTAGACAATATATGATGATTTACTGAAATGGCAAAAACATTTCAAAAAGGAGAAAGATTACAGTTAATGCAAAGGAAATAAAAGACAATAATTTGAGTGTGTATCAATGTTGAAATAACTAGTAAGTCAGTGACACTGACACTTACATAGAAAATAGAATGAAGGGTCCTTAATCTCCAAATGTCAGCTATTCTGAATTCCATCAATAAATATTTTACTGTTCCAAAATTGCCATATTCTGAAATATTTTGTCACTTAATTAAATTTATGACCTGGAGGAAAATTTTTCACAGTTACCCAGAATCTTGTTGCAGTAAAATAAGTACATTAATTTCACATCTTTCCTGGATACAAATATAAGTGTTAACTTTATTTCTTAATAAAGGACCTGCTGATACACTGAATACAGAAATGAAAGAAATAATTACAAGTTGGAATAACTTTTCACTCTTTTCGTCTTAATTGCCAATGGAACAAAAGCAATCTGATAGGTTACTTAATACAAAGTAGACAATGAAGCTGGATTGAAGCATTAGGGTTTCCCTCTCCAATGTACACTTTTTAACTAATGTGAAGTATTGGCTCTATTTTATCTGGTTATATTGACTGTATTTCTGTTACAGTGGGTAGCTAGTCTGATATGAACAAGGCAGGAGAGGGCTACCCCCTCCAACCAAAAGTATCTGGTGACCATCAGGTGATAGTCAAACTGTTGTTAACTGTCTCTCTAAAGTAATAATTGATCACAACCGGTGCCAGGGAAAGGCAGGCTCCTAGTTGATAGAGAACACCTGAAACTGATCAGCAGCTTCCCGATATGATCTCAGGAGACGGGTGAGTGGAGAGGTATACCTACATGTAAAGCCCCAGTCCAAAGTTCAAACTGTGCGCTTATCTTTCAAGTTGCCCACTTGGCCCTCTTCCAAGTGTACTTTCTTTCTTTTCATCTCTGTTTCTGTTTCAAAGCTTTTTAATACATTTTCACTCTTGCTCTAAAATGTGCCTCGGTCTCTCCTTTTGCCTCATGCCCCTCGGTCAAATTCTTTCTTTTGAGGGGAGAAGAATTGAGGTTACTGCAGGTAAGGGTTCACGACCACTAATATTTTTATAACTGAAGAAAATAGATTTGAAATTGACCAAGGTAGCCTGAATGTTTCTCTCAACTTGACTAACTGTAGATAGGCTTCTTCCTACCACTAAGTACTTGATCTCAGTTTTATTATTTACTTTAGAATACTTACAATTGTAGATTTTTTCTCTGCTCCTTTGAAATGTAAATCTTCTATGACCCAGAAATGTCTTTCTTAAGAACCTTGTAGTCAACCCTTTAAAACACAATCATCTAAGGGGATAGTGCTCCTTTCTTCCAGCCTCTGTGGGAAGATAGTGGTCTAACTCTACTTACCTACTGTTAGCAAACAGAGATGAACTAACCACATTGACCAACCTCCCTGCAATGTCCTCTAGTACTTTTTCATTAGTTTACTCAATGTTGCCAGTGTTAAAAAAAATTATCTTACCTTTATTTTTTGTTCTCTCAGAGTTCTTTAATCTCTCTCCCCTTTTAGTCTGAAGTAATGTCTTTCTTGCCTGTTACACCTATGAAGTAAATTTTTTCTTTGACAAAAGTCTATTAAGCTGGTGGGTAAGAAGCCTGGAAGTCACTGCTCCATTGTAACAAACAGTAAATGGCTGAACAAACTGAAAAATCATCATCTCTTCTTAGGTTTATCAGAGAAATGAGGTAACAGGGCAAACTGCTATACCCAAAGTTGAAGAGACAAACAGGCACCTACAGAGTATCCCAACTTAGTGGAACAGAAAGTTATGAGCAGAAGCCACCTTGGGTATCATTCCCAGGATAGGAAAACCTAACTTTAGTTGATGAATTGCTGAAGGCTCAGAATGCACAAGTCTGAAAGTGAAAAACTCTAGAGGACCTAGTCGTAGTTTACACTTTTGTGAGTTTCACCTCCAGGATCTTTACCAAGTCTTATGAATGTCAGGGAAAAATCCTTTCATGCTTCCAGCAGTGAAAGGGAAAGGCACCATTTTTAAATACACCACACCATGCTGTTCCTAACAAGACCTGCCTTTGGGAGAAAACATTTTACAAAAGCAATTTTACCAAAGGTGTTTTATTAGATCCTAATCTAGCTAGGGGAAATGAAATACCTGACTCCAGCTCCCTGTAGCACCCCTGTTCCACCTACAGTGGGGCAATAGGGAAATTGAGAAGCATCTTTTAAGCTTATAGTCCAGGGGCACAGAAGACTGTGACCTAATAATATAACTTTAGAGCACTTCCCTTTCCCACACCTTACCTCTTCATTACTAAAGGCTTATTAACCACAGTTTTTTAAACTCAGATTCATCATATCCTCCATTCAGCAAAAATTAGAAGTCATACTAAGACAAAAAATACACATTGTGAAGAGACAGAGTAAGCATAAGAAGGTTAAATGACTCACATAAGGTAAAATGTTGAAATTATCAAATCAGGAATTTCAAAATACATATCTGATAATTGTGCTATGAGCTTTAATGAAAAAAGTAAGCAATATGCAAGAACGAAGTATAATGTAAGCAAAGAGATGAAAATTTTGAGAAAAAAACAAAAAGAAATGATACAGATAAAAAACACTGTAACAGAAATGAAGAATGCCTTTGATGGGCTGATACACTGAACATGGCTGAGGGAAGAATCCCTGAACTTCAAGATGTTACAATACAAAATTCCCAAACTGAAATACAAAGAGAAAACAAGACCTAAAAATTAGAACAAAACATCCAGGTACTATGAGACAACTATAATCAGGAACTATGAGACAACTACAAAATGTATAACATATGCATAACAGGATTACCAGAAAGAAAAGAAAAAGTGAAAGGAACAGAATAAATAATTGAAGGAATTATGATTAAGAATTTCTCCAAATTAATGTCACACACCAAACCACAAATCCAAAATCTCAGAGGACAGCAACCGAGATAAATGCCAAACAAACAAACCTACACCTAGTCATATCATATTCAAATTTCAGAAAATCAAAGATGAAGAAAAAATCTTGAAAGAAGCCAGAAGAGAAAGAAAATAAACCTTACATATATGTGAAAGAAACGATGAAAATTACATCTAACTTCTCAGAAATCAGGCAAGCAAGAAGTTAGTGCAGTGAAATATTTAGTTTTGAGACACACACACACACACACACACACACACACACACAAACAAACAAAACAAAAAGTAAAACAAAAAAACCTAGAATGCTACACCCTACATAATTATCCTTTAAACATGAAGGAGAAATAAAGACTTTCTCAAACAAACAAAAACACAGGGAATCTGCTGTCAATAGATTGCTTTCCTAGAAATGTTAAAAGTTCTTCAGAGAAGGAAAATAGTACAGATAAGAAATGTCCATCTACATAAAGAAAGGAAGAGCATCAGAGAATTAATATGTGAAGGTAAAATTTTTAAATAGCAATGTTTCACAATGAGTTAGAAACAGTCACTCAAAAGAAGATAATTACCATGAATAATGCTGCAATAAACATTCATGTACATGTGTCTTTATGATAGAATGATTTGTATTCCTCTGGGAATGTATACCCCAGTGATGGGATTGCTGGCAATTTAAGATATTGCCATACTGCTTTCCACAATGGTTAAACTCATTTACACTCCCACTGATAGTGTATAAGTGTTCCCTTTCTCCACAACCTCACCGGCATCTGTTATTTCTTGACTTTTTAATAGCAGCCATTCTGACTTATGTGAGATGGTGTCTCATTGTGGTTTTGATTTCCCTTTCTCTAATGATAAGTGATACTGATCTTTTTTCACATGGCTAAAGACCCATCAGTGCCAGATTGGATAAAGAAAATGTGGTACATATACAACACGAAATACTACGCAGTCATAAAAAAGAATAAGATCATGTCTTTTGCACAAACACAGATAGAGCTGGAGGTTATATCCTTAGCAAACTAATGCAGCAAAAGAAAACAAAATACTACGTATTCTCACTTATAAATGGGAGCTAAATGATAAGAACTTAGGAACACAGAGAAACAACAGACACTGGGTCTACTTGATGGGGGAGGATGTGTGGAGGGAACGGAGCAGAAAAAATAACTATTGGGTACTTGGGTTTAATACCTAGGTGATGAAATAATATGTACCACAAACTACCATGACATGTGTTTACCTATGAAACAAAGCTTCGCATGTGCCTCCAAACCTAAAACAAAAGTTAAAAAAAGAAGATATTTGTTATGACATATCACTATGTCCTTGGGAGAAATATTGTTGCCAGTTAACTCTTCAACTAGTTTGTCTGTGTTTTTTATTTTAGCCATATAAAAGACAAGACAGGTTTTTAGCATTCCAACTGATTTTTATTTTCTCAGTCTCCTCTTGCCCAAATTCTGACTTCATTATTTTGTGAGACAAAGATCTTCATCATTGTCCATTTTGCTTTGATTAGATGGCTGATTGGACAGGTGGACTAAAGTCAATCTTTAGTATTTTTTCATTGTAAGATTAACTATTGAGTCATTTGATATGACAATGGGTTCACAGTAGTTTTAAAGATTATGCACAACACATATTTGAGTGGAATAACACAGAAAAATACAAAGGAAAATATTTGGAGTTTACATCTTAACAAATATTTGGAGTTTGGATCTTAACAATCACATAGGCTGCCATCTATATAATTCATGTAACAGACAAACAAGATTTGTTGTAATTTTCAATATGGGAATATTCACTTTTAAATATAATTATGTATTCTACGCATAAGTTGGAATGAAAATCTTCATGTGTACTTCTCACATTGAAATTCTAAGTTTAAATGTATATTTATTTTCTAAGAATAAAATGCTACAATAATTAATATGATTACATAGGTGTATAAAGCTCACCAGCTTGTACACTGAGATTTAATGTTTTATTTTTGCTACACCTCAATTAAAAATCTTTTTTAGAAGATAAAGTGTCAGTGAAGATAATTTTCTTCCCTGAGGTTATATAACATTTTGTTACAAGGATAAGATGCAGCAAAAATTATCATGAAACTAATTGTGAAAATACACTTATCTTTGAAAGTTCTTAACTATTTGTTTACATAAAACAATAACAGAGTTAAGAATATTCAAATATAAGTAAATAACAAAATAGGCCAGGCATGGTGGCTCACGCCTGTAATCTCAGCACTTTGGGAGGCCCAGGCAGGTGTATCACCTGAGGTCAGTTCAACACCAGCCTGGCCAGTATGGTGAAACCCCATCTCTACCAAAAATACAAGAATTAGTCAGCTATGGAAGCGCAAGCCTGTAGGTAGTCCCAGCTACTCAGTAGGCTAAGCAGGAGAATCGCTTGAACCTGGGAGGCAGTGGTTGCAGTAAGCTGAGATCGTGTCACTGTACTCCATCCTGGGCAACAGAACAAGACTCCATCTCAAAAAAAATAAAATAAAATACATTGGTGGTATATTACAATTTTAAGAGAAAATGTGAAAGATGGCTAAGTAGTTGAGTTATTATTTGTACCCAGGTTGCCTGACTCTACAGCCTACATGTGAAACCACAAAATTCCATTAAATGAATACAATATGTAATTGCCTGCCTGGTAAACTGTGAATATTTTACACACAGTGAACCTTTTGGAAAAATAGACTTTCCAGTGTTATTGGTATAAGATGGTAGCCCAAATTCATTGGTGGGGTGGTGGGGGCAGTGGGCAAGAATCTTACATCCAATGAACAAACTCTGAAAAGAAAGCTTAATGTTTCTCATAGTTTTTATGATTCTCAAAAAAGAAAAAAAAAAGAAAAAAAAAGAGATAACTAAGACATGTGATGAGCACCTTTAAATACTCGAAGGTTCCCCAAATACTAATTCAGGGAATGTCATACCCAAGCCTGTAGCTGGCAGATGACAAAACACTACTGCTCCTGTGTAGACACATAATTAAATATAAAAACATAACCACACCATCAGTCTTGGAAAATAATACATATGGTTGCCACATATCACTTAATCACCACATTTTCATCTTCCCAGACTAAGAGTTTAGCCTACTTTTACTTGGTTATTAACAAATACATGATAGTTTTGTTTAAAATTTCTTATTTAATTATAAGGCATAAATACATCTTGTGATCAATTGTTTTGACAACAAGCACACAAATGAAAACATGTAGAGAAAAACTGATAGAGGCATGAACTGAAGATTTACAATTAGACAGCTAAAAAGAAACAAGCAAAACTCTTATGTTTCCTATGTAGTTTACACTGAAGGAAAATACGTGGAAGGCAGGCAGTTTTAGGCTTTGAGAACTTAATAGGGATCCTGTTTACACTTGGCCTTTTCCAGGAAGGCTTCATCGATTTTCAAGTCTAGAATTACAGACACACATATGTATTTTAAGAGTATATCTTTACTCAGGAGGGTTTTTATTATGTTCACTGCAGTGGTCTGGTTTACATTCAAGTCCCAGAATATAGGAGGTGCTGAATCATTATTTGTTGAATGAATGATTAGATATATTATAGAAAAAATGGATGCCTTCAGTTAATAGGCTATGGTAAATTTCAAAGTTGAATTAAGTAAACTCTTCAATCTTATATTTTTAAGGAAAAATTCTAAAGCTTTGGTATGTGCTGATGTGTTTCACTGTTCCTTTAAGTGCACATTATAAAAATAAAAAACGAAGGGAATTTCTTCCTGTGTCTTTCCTTTTTTAATTCTAAAGGGGTTTCAACTGATATTTTTCTTCATAGGAATAATATAGCAGTAACATTATTTATATACAATTTAATAGTTATATAAAGAATCATGATTGTGAGGATGTGAGTGCTTTGCTGTGTATAAAGTCAATCACAAGTAAGCGATATTTTATTGGTGATAGTGCTACATGCTGTTCAACTAAGTAAACGGTGCAACTCATGAAAAGGTTCAGCTGGTATTATGAAAAATGAAATGTCAGTACTACTGCTCATGAATAGCATACCAAGTACTGAATTTTAACTTAAGTATTATACTTTATTGTATTTTTATAAGCATTCTATATTCTTAAGAGAGTACAAAGGTAAAATGTTATTTTATCATAAGTTACAGAAATTACAGATTTTAAATTACAATACAATAAAAATCAGCTTCTTATAAACTTTTAGAATGAATCATAACTTTATATATATGACCTACATGTATGTGTATATATCACATATAAAATAATAATTAGAAAAATCAACATACCAGGCACATATTTCTTAGCACATAATAAATTTATTACTTCATGGAATCCTCAAAATATCAATTATGAGGCACAATTTCTATCTTGGTTTTATCTGCAAAAAAACAAAATACGAAGAGGTTGAACCATCTCCCAAGGTCTCACAACTAAAAAAAAAAAAAAAAAACAGGATTTAGACACCAACTTTCAGACACAAAAATAAGGCCTGAAATAAGGTAATTTTTCTCAAAATGATTTTGAACATTGAAATCTAGCAATTAATACAGGACTTTTTGTCTTGGAAACCAAAGCAAATTTTGTACAGAAGTTATCATCACCACTATTAAGAATAAGTATGTATTGTAGACCGCCTAGTTGGGATTAGGGATGCATTATAGAGATATACAAAATTATTCTGTATTTCAATAGGTTTATGTTTCATTTCTAGTAACTATGAAAATTATTTCTTCCAAGGAAAAGCATATGTATGCTAAAAATTTATTTAAAACAATAACCTTACAAACTGAATATTGGTAACCTAAAAACTTGATATAAATGAAGAATTTCAAAGATTCCCCATGACAGACTAACTAAATAAGAATGTTTATTTTAACATGATTCTCAGTTGATTCCTTTATGTATTACAGCTTGAGAAGAGACGAAATAGACCTTGCATTGCATTATATTATAGCATATTTCTATTTTTAGTTACATTGCTATTTTCTAAATAATGATATACCATAAAAGCATTTAGTCATAATTTTCTTCTGCCATAATTCCTTCTTTTTCAACCCCAATCATGGCAAAGATGGTAAAAATACTAATTTTCTCCATGAAATAGCATAGAACTATAATAAATAAAATTTCAGGTCTATGCATGCATCTAGTGTGTAACCGAAATGGGATCTTCCAGATTTTTTTTGGCGGTGGGGACAGGGTTTCACTCTTGTTGCCCAGGCTGGAGTGCAATGGCACGATCTCGACTCACTGCAACCTCCACTTCCCAGTTTCAAGCAATTCTCCTGCCTCAGCCTCCTGAGTAGCTGGGACTACAGGCATGCGCCACCATGTCCAGCTACTTTTGTTTGTATTTTTAGTAGAGGTGGGGTTTCACCATTGGGCCTATCTATTCTTGAACCCCTGACCTCAAGTGATCCACCTGCCTCAGCCTCCCAAAGTGCTGGGATTACAGGAATGAGCCTCCGTACCTGGCCCTCAAAATTTTTAGTAATTCTTTTATAGGATCATATACAGTGATGAACTACTCTGACAATCCAGAATATAGTCAACAATTGATATTTATATTTTATATTTGACAAAATTAAAAGAATGTCACCGGTTTTATTTTCACATTAACATGTTAACATTGCCATTGAAACATATTCAGGATAACATCATTCTTATCAGGGTTTAAATATAATACAAAATAAACCTAATGCATTTGACTAGCTACTCTAAAATCCAGATGTTTTTCTCCAGTACTTTGAGCTCTCCACTAAATTGGAGTGACCAGATGATCATAGCCAATACTTCTTTCCCAGATTTTTTTTCTCCTTCTCTTTTCCTCTTTCTACTCTTCCTAAGTATAAGGACACTTAGAAGATTCCATATAAGAGTTCTATGTAAAATTCATTAACTCCGTTGTTTAATTACTTTTCTCATGATGAATTGTTGAGGACAGCAGGATCTCACCTCCAGAATCTAGAATAATCTCTCATTCACCAGAATCATGACTACAGTATCCATTATAATTAATAATAATAATAATGTGCAGAGTCCTAGCACTGGAATAGAATAGTGCAATTTAGAATAATGAAGTGAAATTAAAGAGATAAGTTGCCAAATTATTAACACTCTGAGTGTATTAATCATAAATCGTCAAGGTGAATATGGACAAAGGCACTTGATTGTTCCTTAGGCAAATAATTGCTTTTGGCAGAATGACTACTATTTTTGGATTTGGTCAAATTTCATGTGGACTTATTTATTATTTGATGAAATGCACACCACCCAAAGTAAGATAATTTTGAATAATGAAATTTGTGCTAGATTTCCAAAGCTAATGAAATTGTTTCCTAGACATATTCTCTTTTATTTCCACTGCATTTCCTGGCAAATTAGCCTGTCATTCTAATGCCAAATTTATTTGTCTAGATAGACCTAATGGCATTATAATATTTATCCTGCTCAGAAGCATACAAGACTCTATTCTCTTCTGAAGTAGAGTCTAGCTTCTTAGTTTACCATTCAAGACTCTGAAGTGTTAATTCATCTAATTCATTTTCTACTTTCAGTCATCAAAATGATTATGCCTCAAATATACGATCTTTTTAGCTGTCCAATTCAGGATCTACACATTTGTTATATACTCCCATATAGTTTTATGCCACATTGAGCTACCAGGCCTATGAAATTTGGTAACATTTTGTTGCATTTATCACTGATCTTACGCTATTTGCTTTAATTTGTGTCAGTACTTGACTGCTCCATGTGGTTGTTTCTTCTCTCAAATTGCTTACAATTCTTTCATAAATACGTATTTTTTTATTTACATTAGAGTTTAACAGTATACTAAGCACATAATAGATAAATATTTATAAAAATTTATGTTACGCCATATAGAGCACTTTTTTTTTTTTTTTTTTTTTTTGAGCCGGAGTCTCGCTCTGTCGCCCAGGCTGGAGTGCAGTGGCGCGATCTCTGCTCACTGCAAGCTCCGCCTCCCGGGTTCACGCCATTCTCCTGCTTCAGCCTCCCGAGTAGCTGGGATTACAGGCGCCCGCCCGCCACCGTGCCAGGCTAATCTTTTGTATTTTTAGTAGAGACGGGGTTTCATCGTGTTAGCCAGAATGGTCTCGATCTCCTGACCTCGTGATCCACCCGCCTCGGCCTCCCAACGTGCTGGGATTACAGGCGTGAGCCACCGCGCCCGGCCAGAGCACTTTAACATAAACTCATAATATTACTTGATTTATGCATATATGTGAAATAAACTTTATTGTATCCTATTTTGTAGGTAACACATATGAGGCGCAAGGACATTAAAGAATCCCAAGCTAAAAAATTAAAAGGTGGCTTTTCAAAGAATCAAAAAAATAAAGCTAGTTAAAGTATCAAAGCTAGTAATTTACAGAGCCAATATTCAAACCTAGTGATTCTAATTTTATGTTTGAGTTCAAAGAGTGCTGCAGCTAATTGTAAGCTATTTACAATAAATATGGTGTATTTCAAAAATAACAAAAAATTCAAGGATTACATTGTCAAGGTGTGTGTGTGTGTGTGTGTGTGTGTGTGTGTGTGTGGATGAAGAGGAGATGATTAAAAACATAGACATGTTCATAAATTTAAAAGTGTTAACATTGTTTTAATGTGATTTATGTGTCTCACAAACTAAAAACTTCAGCTTTCAAATGGGAATTACTATTTGAGGTTGACAACAAATTTGTGTAATTTTTGCCCCAACATTTCTAAGAAAATATTGTCACTTTATGTATTTAATATATTTTGTTTTAGTCAGAACATTACTAACTTTACCTTTAAAGGGTAATTTATTTTTGCATTATATTACAAATAGAGCTAATTAATTTCCTATTATGTATTTCCCAATATATATGCCTGATATACAAATATTAATTATAAAATGAGATTCACTTAGCAAGTTATTTTCAGTCTCTTACTCATTGAGTGTTAATTCCAAAATGACATTTTAAAAATGCAATTATTATATGTATAAAAACATCTCAAAACCTTCTTGTAATTTTAGGAAAATGTATACTGCTACACTGAGATAAATATCTGTTAGTAGCCATCATGTTTTCTAGTTACCTGAAAAAAAAAATCGTAATTGTGATTCTTTGACACACCATAACTCTTGTAACAGGCTCCAGAAAAATGCTTTTTGAGACAAACCAACCTGAAAAAACAAATCTTAGAAAAGCCCCAGGTTTTGCAAAAACAATACCTGAGGCTTTTTTGAGAAACCTGCAAGCTTTTCCAAGATTGTTATAAGCTGGCTGCTCACCCAGATGGAACTCAGTTACAACTCGGGCATTGCTACACTCTGATGAATTTGCGACAGCTTTCTCCCAAAATTTGACCGTAGAAATATGACAATGAAGTTCAGTGATCAATCGATTAATTATGCAAGGTCCTGTTATCAAGTTCTTCTTCCTGGTTCCCTTTGAAAGAAGGAAGGAGAAACACTAGAATGATCACATTTAAAAAAATATGTATGAGGAAATTGATTCTAAAATCCTTTTTTTGGAAAATATGCCATGACAGAAAACTCACTAAAGGACTCTTAATCTGCTTCTAATTAATAGGAAATATTGTCCTTTTAACAGGCTATATACTTGATTCGAGTTTATTCTGGTATCTTTTCCACGAAGAAAAGACATATGTATATTAACATGATAGAATGTCAAGTCTTTTTTTCTTTAAATACTACACATTTCTCTGCAGGAGGATGTCCCCGGATCAAAGGTTAAAGACAAGAATACACAGGAAAGATATTACAGTGTTCCAAAAAAAAAAAAATACAATTAAAAACCAAGTTCTGCTTTCATAAATGCCTTGGGTCTTGATGGCTTCCAATCTTCATATAGAATATATTTTATTATTGAGGCCTCAAAAGAAATTTTCTAGTAAAAAAGCATAAAAATTAGTGACATAAATATATATTTTTATTATTGTTTCTAATAGTAATTATTTCCCATAGTAATTTGCTGGCTCTTTAAGTAAAACTCCAGAAACAAGCTTTCTTGTCTTGCTGTTCTGCTTTCTCCCTGGTGGGCACCTTGAGAAGTGAAATTAGGTCTTATTTCTGTCTCTTATCAATGCAGCACTTGCAGGCCCTTTGCTCACACTGAACACTGCATAACTATATTCGACATTAGATAAAGACGGGGGAGGATATTGTAAAGCTTGTAAACAATGCTAAAAATAAATTTTATAAACTCCCAAATAACACTACTGGATTTTAATAACTTTCATAGGTTTTATGGGTCTTCTTATTTTGAGATTTACAATTCCATCCTTGAAATCAATATGTACTTGACTACCTCATTCCAAAAAGGATTCAAAATCGGAAAAAAAAAAAAAAGTCAATTTACCTGCTTTTCTCAAAGGAGACGAGTTGGTTGAAAAGTGAATAAATCAGTTAGTTTTGATATGATTTTTTACGGTAATCTAAAATTAATCTAGTTAAATTATCATACTCAAGACAATCAGATGTTACATATCATATGTGCATATTTATTTATAATTTAAAAATGTAATCTTTGGATTATATAGACATTAATACATTACATATCCATAATCAATACATCCATTCGAAAATAACACTTGGTTTACTTGTGTGTTTATTTATTTATGAGAAGTACTATATACTTGGTGTTCCCAGTTTAGTAGTTAAAATGGGTACATAAGTTCAAGTTCTGATATTAAATAATTTGGAGTTAGGGAAAAACATGTTTTCAACTCAGAACCTCATGCAGGTGGCAAAATAATTTATGAATATGTATTACTTTAGACATTGATGTGTAAAACAAACCCCAAACCATTTAAGAGATTTTTAGTATCACCTTTTGAATTTTTATCATTTAAACAATTTGAAAATCCTTAACAAATGAAGCTAAGACATTACTTTTCTCCGTTTTAATTTCATTTAGTACATTTAACATATATGTACTTTTAGCAATGTTATGACCTATGAACCAATAATCCAAAACAAAAATTAGGACTCCTACAAAAACCTACATCCAGACACACGCTCTATGCATTCCATCTTCTTGCCTTTGTTAAAAGACTTACTGTATCTATGTGTAATCTTGAAAAATACATGAGGTTTTAAATATTATTATATTAATAAAAAGCCATCTTTTGGTGACTTAATTTTTAATTTAATTGTATATGCTCAAGCTTCCTCCATGTTGTCCCATGCTACGTAGTTCATTTGTTTTCTTTGTTATGTAACATTCTATTGTATAAATATATCACAGTGTTCATATTAGAGAACTCTGGTGTGTTCTGTGATCTGGTTCTGTGAACAGCCATTTACACATCTTCTACTAAACATGTGAAAGAGTATTCACATACATATGCCTAGAATTTGAAGTGCTTGGTTATAAGGTATATGAATGTTCAACTTAAGCGGTTAATGCCAAAGTCTTTTCCAAAGTGTTTATACCAATTTGTACCCCACGTAATTTGTAAATCCACATCATTTCCAATGCTTATTATTGACATATTTCATTTTTAATTTATAGGTTTTTCTATCAGTTAAATGATTGGAAAATTGAATCTCAGGTTAATTTTAAACATTTTTCTAATTACTAATAAGGCCGAACATCTAACTTCACATATTTCCTTTCCTGTGAAGGTCTAGCCACAGTTTCCAACATAGGAGAGTGCCTCTGAATTTACGTTTTCTCCATTGGATAGTTGTCATATTTGCACTGATTTCATCATTAAAATATTATTAAATAGTTTGTTTCAGCCTAAGTGTTGCAACGTTACATAGTTATATGGTATATATAACATATATACATGTGTAATGCTTATATCACTAGAACAATCATTTTAATAAAGCAATATTTTATCTAGAAAATGACTTAATATTCAGTCTTCTATGGATGATTCTCAGTATTGGAACGATACACATAGAGTTCTGGACCTCATTTTGATATAAGGTCATTATACCACATTCATATACGTAACTAACCATTGCACTTCAGAATAACATAAATAATCTATTCAGTATTTAGAAAACAAAGCAGTAATTTCTCTTTCTTATTGTATATTACTTATACATATGCATATGAATTAATGGAGCATTTAGAAAAAATAGATTTGTGAACATTCATATGTATTTTGTTGTATAACACTCCACTGTGTGAATATACCACAGTGTACATATCTACTTTTCTGTGGCTGTACATCTGTACTCATATACACATCAACAAATCATGTTATGTTTTTGCTGTTTATGTTTCTTTACACGATTTAGCAACTGGAGTTCTTAATGTTATTGTTTCTGGAAACTTCACTGTGTCATGAAATGATTGCTGTGATACCTAGAATTGATTGCAGTAATTTTACACAGTCTGTACCACGATGATAAATACAAGTATATAATTTACATTACACTTTCCTCATATTACACTTAACATATTTATTTATGTAATTAAGGACATATATATCACTAGACTAAGAGATATTATCTTAAACGTTAAGATTTTTAAAAACAATTTTACACTATTCTCATAGAGCTTGTAGCTTAATGAGCAATATTGTCAAAATATATTTTTAAAGGATACAATTAAGACTCTCATGCACATAAACAAGAACACAGGTTATAAGATTTTATTCAACTATATAATGAAGGAAATAGCGAGAGCTTAAAACCAACTCAAAAAGCATTTGAGAAGCTTGAGTACAGGAGGATCAGATTGCTGGGTAAGCTACATCAATGATTATAATACAACAAGGTAAAAAAAATTATATATCTGGGATTGTATGTTTTGCTTAACCAAAATAATTTGTCTTTATCCTAGCCAAAAATCTATAAATTAAATGCCCTACCAAGTTGTAAAATGGCCTAGCCAAGACAAAATAAAGTCCAGGATTGCACTGACAACATGCCTAGTAATGTCTTTTGCCTATTTCCAAATTTCAGATAAATTTTCTAGTAGTAATAAGAGAAAAAGTAATTATAGGCAAGAACATTACAATTAATGTGACCATGATGACAGTCTACCTTTAGTAAATTTTTTTAAGGATAAAAGTTAGACTTATGGCTAAGACTAAGTTTGTGATTGGTTATTAAAAGACAAAATGATGTACAATAGATCAAGCAGCTTAGATGTTAAGAGTGAAAGGGTAGAAGGAAAATTCTGTTGTCACAGAAGCAAGCAAATGATGCTGATTATAAATCATAATGTAATAAAAAACACCTCAGCAGATCTTTCTACTTTATTAGGTACAAAAATAAAGTTATATGATATTGTTCAGCTGTACTCTAGAGGTCATTTTAGGATTCAATGCCCTAGACTTCTCTTCCTTTATTCTGAAAGCATCATCTCTTTACCTGTCAAATTTAATAGGCACTATGAAAATACAACTGATTTTATTTGACACAGAAAGCTCTATCACTTCCCTTAGTTAAGGCAAGAAGACCATATGTAAATTAAGCACTGAAGAAGACTGAATCAAGAGACACATCAATCTATTTTGAACCTCGATATTCTTCTCCATTGTAGTAACTTCATGAATGCCACACAAAGACTTCCTGCACAATGTGGGAGGATTTGTCTCACGTCCAGAAAAGAGAGTAAATGGGTTAGAAGATCTTGAGTTTTTGAATGTCAATGAGTGAAAAACCTCAATGTTTTTGCAACCAGTCGCCAGTGTCTATTGTTTTTCCTCCTAAATACTTCTTGAAACTTTTTTCGCTCCTAGGGTTTTATTAAATTATAATCGTATTTGGACTGCATGTCTCCCACAGTCTCTGTCTTAGGACTCCAACTTTTGGTCTCATCATGACCCTCAAATTGATCTCACGTGCCACCACCAGATTCTGGTCCATTGAGTTAAGAGTCTGACAGAGAAGGAGGGGGCGCGGGTGGGCGGGAAGGGGGTGGTGGGAGAGAGAGAGAGAGAGAGGGAGAGAGGGAGAAAAAATATCAAGTGAGCCAAAGAGATTAAGGTGGTTAACAACATGCTTAGGGTATTTCATCTTGCAAAACAGAGGTGGCTATTTCATGGAAGATCGTTCTGTGGCAAAATACCTCTGCTTCTATGAAAGGAAGAACAGAGACTGATAAAATGTGTATGATCCTAATATGAGTGATATAAGCAAGTTAATGTATTACAACAATAACATTTTGAGCTGAAGATTTTTTTTTTTTTTTTTGACGGAGCCTTGCGCTGTCTCCCAGGCTGGAGTGCAGTGGCTCGATCTTCTTACTGCAAGCTCTGCCTCCCGGGTTCACGTCATTCTCCCGCCTCAGCCTCCTGGGTAGCTGGGACTACAGGTGCCCACAGCCACGCCTGGCTAATTTTTTGTATTTTTAGTAGAGTCTGGGTTTCACCGTGTTAGCCAGGATGGTCTCGATTTCCTGACCTCGTGATCCGCCCGCCTTGGCCTCACAAAGTGCTGGGATTGCAGGCGTGAACCACAGCAACCGGCCTGAGCTGAAGATTTTACTGCTTATTTCAAATATGAATTCCTCCTTTATATCATAATGTCTGTAGTTGTTTTGAACATTGGTGTTTTTAGCAAAATGTGTGGCAGAAAATACAGCCGTATGTATTTTAAAAATAGCAGATCTCTGTCAGGAATACAATACTACATGAATATTTTTCCTTCAAAACTTCTGAAAGTGAAATGCTGACTAAGTGTCCTAAGTCTTTTATGCTTGCAACAGAATTCTGGATATTGGAAACATCTGGCTTTGCAATGGCTTCTGAAAAAAAAATTCAGATGGATGAACAATTTATTACCTGGCAGTTACAAAATTTTCCCAAAACAGAAGGGCAAATATAAGTGCCTTCTGATAAGCTCACTCACCTCCATTCAAAGCGTTTCCTTAACTATTCTGTTGTTATTTAACTCTGGCATTTGTCCAGCTTGCTACAGGTGTATTTGTAAAATCACCTCTGGGTTTGTGTGTTGGTTTGTTTCCAAGACCTTGTAATTGATTATCTTGTCGTTCTATTTAATGTTAAGTATGTCTTGTAGGTGCCACTGACAGAACTGTTCAAAAAGTCATATATGACTTTGGTAACAGATTAAACGTTATCTTTAATTAAGGAACCTGTGAGAAGAAAATAGAATTTAAAGTTGTAAGATCCTTATATCCTAGACACAGGCAACTTGACATTTGCATTAAAATCCCTTCATTTTGTCTTTTACAGAATAATGCCTTCCCATTATCTTTTAAATTAAACAATGTATAATGTTCATTGAAGAAAAAAATCAGATCTCTGTAAAGGACGTATTTTAAAATATGCTGCAGAATTTTAAGTGTAGACAAAGACACTTGTTGAAGTAGAATAAAACCAGTTCAAAAAACTATGTTTTTGGTTCTCATGCAAATCTATCAACAATATAACATATTATTTTATTTTCTTTATATTAATTTAATTTTATTTTATTTAATTTATTTTTATTTTTATTTTTTTTTAAGGCAGGGTCTCACTTTGTCACTCAGGCTGTAGTGCAGTGGTGCGATCCTAGGTCATTGCAGCCTTGAACTCCTGGGCTCAAGTGATGGTCCTCCCATCTCACCCTCTAGATTAGGCAAGCTTAGCTAATGGTTTTCTTGTTGTTGCTGTTGTTGGTTTGTTTGGTTTTTGGTTTTGTCTGTAGAGACAGGGTCTTACTATGTTGCCCAGGCTAGGTCTCAAACTCCTGGCCTCAAGGGATCCTCCTGTCTTGGCCTCCCAAAGTGCTCGAATTACAGGCATGAGTCACCATGCCTGGCCTTCATATTTAAATAAATGTCTAATTACTACTGCGAATGTCTCTTTAATGCAGACTTTAAAAATGTGTCTTCTAAAAATTTTCTAAGATTATATAGGCTTTGAGCTTGGGATTTCTATTGCTGACAACTCAAAGCATTTCAGCTGATTACATTAAATAAAATATTAGAAAATCATGGAGTCAAGAATTCATGGAATCATTAAATAAAATGTCTCATCATTAGCTAATGTTTGGATTAACATATATGAAACATTTTTATGTATAACCTTACTAAATATGTTTAAATTATACACCTATGTTCACATAGCTATATATATGTGTGTGTGTGTATATATATATATACACATATAATTGTGTACATATAGTTACATATAGTTACGTATGTAATGTAAGGAATTTTTATTTCCTTAAAAACAACTATCTTCACATAACTTTTATACCAAAATATTTTAACTTATCTCATTAGTAAGGATATAAAATTTAAAATGGTTGATACAAATTTTTTGTTTCCATTTCTGATGTCTAAGGCATAATTTGGTAGCATGTTGTTGGCTGGGCAATTTGGAATTAGTGTTTTTAATTAATAACCTAATTTGCTGTTTAACTTGTGGCAAATGTCTGGAGGTTATAGTTTGTGGCATAACTGGAGAAATAAATGAGAAAGTAACTAGATAAAATAATCATAAATGATTGAAAAGAAGCCTGAAAGATGAGCCGGCCAATGCTCACATTAAAGTTAACTCTTCTGTCTTGAAAGCAGTGATGGTGTAGAGGAGATATTTATGCGGGGTAGGACAAGGTATAGCCAATTACTACTTTGCATGTCCAGTTAAAAAAATTCTGTATGTGTGATAATATGAGACTCTGGTTTGTCAATATTAATCTGCTAATAATATAATAATTCAGAGAATGAAAAGCTCTACAATCTTTATTTTTTATTTTAAATAGCAACTAGACTTTTTAGTTCATTCTGCAAATGAAATATTATGTTCAGTTTAATAACATTTATATGAATTTAATGTAAGTAACATATGGTCATTTCAGAATAATTAGAAAATACAGAAAAAACATAGAAAAATAAAAAAGTAATATAATTTTGACAGGCACAGTAGATTCATTATCAATAATACTCAAGAGTCTTGCTAAATAAAGATTATTGTATTATTCCTGTATAACATGAGTTGACTGAGGCTCCCGATTTGGGGTTAAGTAAATTGACCATGTAGTGGAATTAGAATGTAATGTAAGGTCAAACTGACTTTAGATTTTTTATTTGTATTATACAAGTTGTTTCTAAACTAATGGATTTCAAAGTCTATTCTTATTTGATTATTATGATCATTAATTTTTGCCAAGGAAATCTTGCTTATAAGAGACAGGATAGGGTAGTAAACAAGAACACACTCTCTGAAGCCCAGATTTGAATCTTAGCCCTTTCATGTTTTTACTGTGTGACTTTAAACAGGTTAGTTAACTTGTGTCTCCATTTACTCATCTTTAGCAGTACCCACTTCCCAGAATTCTCTGAAAAGTACAGTGTTAATAACGGTGATGATTTCAGAACACTGTCTAGCACACATATTACATACCCAATAAGAGTTAGCTATAAGGATAGTCACTGTCATTAGCATCATCATTATAATGCTAATTATATCATAGTAATTATTATTACCAGATGGAGGCACAAAGTGACAACATTAAAACAAACAAGGAAAGAAAAAGAATCTGCAAAGTTACCAGCATGTATCATTATGAAAAATAAATTTTAAAACTAGAAGGAAAAATAATATGAGAAAAATAGATTATTTCTTCCCACTAGAAGACTTACGATTCACTTTTGTTTTTAAGGTAGCTACAGATTTCCTTAAATGTAGAAATATTATGAAACACAAAGTAACTTTACATTGTAATATTTTATTTGTTTTCTGGGTGACATGCATTTTACAATGTGACTAGAAGTCGATATTGGGTGTACAATCTTCTGGGGTTTCATTTTCAAAAACATTTTCTGTTGAATACACAGTTTTAGTCTTTATTAACAAATCTTCCTCTGTGTATGTGTGTGTGTGTGTGTGTGTGTGTGTGTGCACATGCATGCATTGTTCTGTTCTGCTTTGCCTTTACTGGAAAAGAAACAGTACCGGGGGCAGCCCAGATGACAAAACCTTATTTGTTTAATATTAATGCTTACTTTGCATTCCAGTTAAGTATCATTGAGTAAAGAGAAACAGCAATACAGTTGTTCTTGAAATCTGTCCTTTAAAAAAAATTAAGACAAGTATGTGTATTAACTCATCTTTGCATTTTAAAGGCATTAATAATTGTATTTGCTTTGTCATATATCTAGCATTCTCTTGTAAATAAGCCTATTTAAACTAGCTCAGTGGAAAAACTGCAGTAAAGGGTTGTTGATACAGGGACACCTTTTCAGCTGTTTTTTTGTGGGTCTTCCATATCTTCACTTCACCCACCACCCTCAGCTATGCTATTTATTTCATAAGTCCTACCATGTAAAGAAAATCAGAAGTATAGTGAAAGGAGAAAATAGATCGTTCTAGAAAGTGAGGGATTCTATTGTGGCTTAAGGGTTCTAATTTTCCTCTAAGAATAGAAAATTTTAAAGACCAAAACAGCATGGTACTGGTACCAAAACAGATATATAGACCAATGGAACAGAACAGAGGCCTCAGAAATAACATCACACATCTACAACCATCTGATCTTTGACAAACCTGACAAAAACAAGCAATGGGGAAAGGATTCCCTATTTAATAAATGGTGCTGGGAAAACTGGCTAGCCATTTGTAGAAAGCTGAAACTGGATCCCTTCCTTACATTATATACAAAAATTAACTCAAGATGGATTAAGACTTAAATGTAAGACCTAACACCATAAAAACCCTAGAAGAAAACCTAGGCAGTACCATTCAGGACATAGGCATGGGCAAAGACTTCATGACTAAAACACCAAAAGCAATGGCAACAAAAGCCAAAATTAACAAATGGGATCTAATTAAACTAAAGAGCTTCTGCACAGCAAAAGAAACTATCATCAGAGTGAACAGGCAACCTACAGAATGGGAGAAAATCTTTTCAATCTACCCATCCGATAAAGGGCTAATAACCCAAATCTACAAAAAACTTAAACAAATTTATGAGAAAAAAAGAAACAACCCCATCAAAAAGTGGGCAAAGGATATGAACAGATACTTCTCAAAAGAAGACATTTATGCAGCCAACAGACATATGAAAAAATGCTCATCATCACTGGTCATTAGAGAAATGCGAATCAAAACCACAATGATATACCATCTCTCTCCAGTTAGAATGGTGATCATTGGAAATCATCATTCTCAGTAAACTATCGCAAGGACAAAAAACCAAACACCGCATGTTCTCACTCATAGGTGGGAATTGAACAATGAGAACACATGGACCCAGGAAGGGGAACATCACACTCTGGGGACTGTTGTGGAGTGGGGGGAGGGGGGCGGGTTAGCATTAGGAGATATACCTAATGCTAAATGACGAGTTAATGGATGCAGCACACCAGCATGGCACATGTATACATATGTAACTAACTTGCACATTGTGCACATGTACCCTAAAACTTAAAGTATAATAAAAAAAAAAGTCAGGAAACAACAGATGCTGCAGAGGATGTGGAGAAAAAGGCATGTTTTTACACTGTTGGTGGGAGTGTAAATTAGTTAACCATCGTGGAAGACAGTGTGGCAATTCCTCAAGGATCTAGAACTAGAAATACCATTTGACCCAATGATCCCATTACTGGGTATATATCCAAAGGATTATAAATCATGCTACTATAAAGACACATGCACACCTATGTTTATTGTGGCACTATTCACAATAGCAAAGACTTGGAACCAATCCATATGTCCATCAGTGATAGACTGGATTAAGAAAATGTGGCACATATACACCATGGAATACTATGCAGTCACAAAAAAGGATCAGTTTATGTCCCTTGGAGGGACGTGGATGAAGATGGAAACCATCATTCTAAGCAAACTATCACAAGGACAGAAAACCAAACACCGCATGTTCTCAGTGGGAGCTGAACAATGAGAACACATGGACACAGGGAGGGGAACTTCACACACCGGGGCCTGTTGAGGGGTGGGGGGAGGGGGGAGGGATAGGATTAGGAGAAATACCTAATGTAAATGACGAGTTGATGGGTGCAGCAAACCAACATGGCACATGTATACCTATGTAACAAACCTGCACATTGTGCACATGTACCCTAGAACTAAAGTATAATAAAAAAAAAAGTATCGTTACAGATCAAAGAAAATGAAACAATTCCCAATCCTATCAAAATATAGTTTTTCTTGAAACCAATTCCTACCATCAAGTCAATTTGCATGTATTTACTAGAAATGTATTCTACATATTATATATATGTTAATATATATATTTAATATAAATATATTTTTATGTTTAAAAAAATGGGAATTTACTCAAAAGGAGGGAGCTGGATATATGTAATTCCTGCTGTTAGTGCTCATAGCTATTATTTCTAATGACTTAGTTCTATTTCGAAGAGACATGATAATAAAAGTAAGATTTAATTTAAAGTTATTTACAAATTATAAGTAAATGGAATCACTTTTGTGAAGATGACAAAATCAAAAGTTTATTTATTGCAACCTTATGAATAAAGTGCTATTTACATTGTTAATATATTTCCTAATCAAATTTCTAGAAGGAAATATAGTCTTAAAAGCCTTGTAATTCTCAGCTTTATATGTAATTATTACACATAAATATGGGTACCTACTATTTAAATGTAATATCATTATCAAGATGAATATACAATTAACTGTTTCAGGTACAATTGATTAGCCTCAGTCTTCTTGTTTGAATGCAATTGTGCTATTGACTGATAATTAACTAGCAACTCAATTCTTTTTATTTACTTGCTAGTATCTAATTGTCAACAGAATGACTGAACTAGTATTATGTGTCTATACTATTGTATTTTAGGTTTTCAAATAACAGTAATTATTTACATCACATCAATTTGAATGTGGGAAAGATTGTGATTATTCAGTTATATGCAAATGCTGAAAGGTATCATTTCTTATACTTTTCATTCAACGTATTTTATTTAATGTTGACTACGGTCTAGGCACACTACTAGGTACTATATTTAAAAAGGCTGAGGAATGGTGTGTCTGTTATGAAATAACAAAATGTTCTGTAGACAATAGTTTACACCATTGAGGTTATTTATATTTTATCTGGTAGGAAGCCCAAGGCTAATAATTTTGTGCTGGTGGCTCAACAATTTATTCAAAGATCTCAGAAAATCTCTTCTTCCTTGTATTAGCATAGTTGCTTTTGTCCTCCTGAGTGAGTATCATCCCAGATTTATAACGTGGATGCTTGGTTAGATTTTCGCATGGAGATATGAAATTTTAAACAAATTTGTCTGTGTCTTAGCAAGAATAAGAAAATTGGGTTCCTGTTGGTTTAAATATAGGATCTGTTATATTAGCTAATTTCGTTCTAAACCAGAAGTATCCAGCATCTTGCCTTCATTTGATATCCATCTAGTGAATATTAACTATCCATTTTATCATTTGCGAATATTGCTGAACTAAATGTGAAAAATATAATGCTGATCCAATAGAAATGGCTCTTTTCATAATGGCAAATAGGAAATTATAACACAGTACAAAAGTAGGCATACCACAATCCATAGAAGCATATAGTAAGATGATTAACAGGTACCACACTTATAATGAGCAATTTAAAAATCATTTACAGAAGAAAGGGATGTCTAATCATAAACCTGAAAATAAATAGAGATTAGTTAGGTTAGACTGAGATTTCTACAAAAAATTCCTAGCAATCATGAAGATAAAGAGAAAAAGAAAATAGGACTTCTTCACTGGAAGAACCTCCATAGTCCCAGGGGTGTGTAGTGGGGATGGGGGTAAGAGGAGAGAGAGAGAGAGGGAGAGAGAGAGAGAGAGAGAGGGAGAGAGAGAGAGAGAGAGAAAGAGAGAGAGAGAGAAAGAGAGAGAGAGAGAAAGAGTATGTGTGTGTCATTTGAGCCATGACTATCTGAGTGGAAAATAGAGAGGTAAGCAGTGGCTAAACTTATAGGGTAAGATAAATTGTGCAAAGTGATTTAAACTTTGTTCTAAAAGTGAGGGAGACCATTGCAAAGGTTTAAGCAAACAAACTAAATATTTAGCTTTGCATTCTGGGAAGATTCCAGAAGTTCCAGAAAGAATTTGGCAATGAATAGGGCATAAAAATGAAATAATGGTTAATCAGCTATTAAAATAATGATGGTGGACACGTTTGTTGAAACAGGTGATGAGGAAGAGAAGCATATAACTAGGACCAAAGAAGATGAGCTCAATGTTACAGAGATTGATATCACCTATATTGGACACACGCAAGAAGTTGAATCTATAGAATCTAAATGAGATGGTTTTAGTTTGAGATTTAGAGTTGAGGATAATCTGTGTATAGAATATAATTGAATTCAAGAGAGCAAATGAAAGAGCAGAGAGATGTAGACAGTAAAGAGAGAAAAAAGACTAAATTACAACCTAGAGGGTGGACAATATGTAAGAAGCAGAACCAGGAAACTCATTCATCATCCCTGTTGGCTATAACACTACTAAAATATGGGAAAACACTATCTCTTGTCAAAGTTAAATTGAATGAGCAAGATAAAGTGACGTATTATGAGACAAAATGACAGTGATTAAGTACTGACCATTCACTGAAACACTTGATCCTATTACTTACTGTATACAGGGTTAGAGTAACGTTTGGTGTGAGACTATCTACAGTACAACAGCCTATTTCCTAGAACTTCACAGAGATGAAGGAAAGGTTTCAATACCTAAAGAAAGTAAAACATGATTGCTATCAGACATAAAATGGCTGCTGACCAGATGACCTGAGATTCCATAATTTTAAAAGTTATACTTTAAATTAATTTAATTATCTCATTCTGATCCATCAGAGATCAGTTGTCTAAATGTGTAAATTATCTACTTGGTCCTCCCTGACTAAGATAAACTACATCTTATTTTTTTGCAATATCTTCTTTCTTTTTAAAACATTTATTATTTCAGGCATTGTGCTAGGTCCTCGGGATGAATAGATGGATAATTAATATTCTTGATATTCATGCTTACTGTCCAGCTAAAGAGTCATAAATGTGGATCACTAATTTAAAATGCAATATGATAAATTCCATAATACAGGTATGTAAGGTTGCTTCATTACAATAAACTCCTTGATAGTATGAATCAGCCTATTTATTCATAATTGAAACCTTTGCAATAAGAACAATATCTGTGTAGGCACTGAATATTAGCAATATTTTTACATTCCATCTTGTTTGAGTGAACTCCCATTCACAATTGCTACAAAGAGAATAAAATATCTAGGAATACAACTTACAAGGGATGTGAAGGACCTCTTCAAGAAGAACTACAAACCACTGCTCTAGGAAATAAAAGAGGACACAAACAAATGGAAAAACATTCCATGCTCATGGATAGAAATAATTAGTATTGTGGCCAAAGTAATTTATAGATTCAATGCTATCCCCATCAAGCTACCATTGACTTTCTTCACGGAATTAGAAAAAACTACTTTAAATTTCATATGGAAACAAAAAAGAGCCTGTATAGCCAAGACAATACTAAGCAAAAAGAACAAAGCTGGAGGCAACACACTACCTGACTTCAAACTATACTACAAGGCTACAGTAACCAAAACAGCATGATACTGGTACCAAAACAGATAGATAGACCAATGAAACAGTATAGAGGCCTCAGAAATAACACCACACATCTACAACCATCTGATCTTTGACAAACCTGACAAAAACAAGCAATAGGGAAAGGATTCCCTGTTTAAAAAATGGTGTTGGGAAAACTGGCTAGCCATAGGGAGAAAACTGAAACTGGACCCCTTCCTTACACCTTATACAAAAATTAACTCAAGATGGATTAAAGACTTAAATATAATACTTAAAACCATAAAAATCCTTGAAGAAAACCTAGGCAATACCATTCAGGACATAGGCATGGGCAAAAACTTCATAACTAAAACACCAAAAGCAAATGCCACAAAGCCAAAATTGACAAATGGGATCTAACTAAACTAAAGAGCTTCTGCACAGCAAAAGAAACTATCATTAGAGTGAACAGGCAACGTACAGAATGGGAGAAAATGTTTGCAGTCAATCAATCTGACAAAGGGCTAATATTCAGAATCTACAAGGAACTTAAACAAATTTATAAGAAAAAACAAACCCATCAAAAAGTAGGTGAAGGATATGAATCCACACGTCTCAAAAGAAGACATTCATGCATCCAACAAACATATGAAAAAAAAAAAACTCCATCATCACTGGTTATTAGAGAAATGCAAATCAAAACCACACTAAGATACCATCTCATGTCAGTTAGAATGGCGATCATTAAAAAGTCAGGAAACAACAGATGCTGCAGAGGATGTGGAGAAATAGGATCACTTTTACACTGTTGGTGGGAGTGTAAATTAGTTAAACCATTGTGGAAGATAGTTGTGGCAATTCTTCAAGGATCTAGAACCAGGAATACCATTTGACCCAGTAATCCCATTACTGGATATTTAACCAAAGAATTATAAATTATTCTACCATAAAGACACATGCACATGTATGTTTATTGCAGCACTATTCACAATAGCAAAGACTTGGAACCAACCCCAATGCCTATTGATGATAGACTGGATAAAGAGAATGTGGCACATATACACCATGGAATACTACGCAGCCATAAAAAAGGATGAGTTCATGTCCTTTGCTGGACATGGATGAAGCTGGAAACCATCATTTTCAGCAAACTAACACAGAAAGAGAAAACCAAACACCACGTGTTCTCACTCATAAGTGGGCACTGATCAATGAGAACACATGGACACAGGGATGGGAACATCACACACTGGGACCTGTTGGGGAATAGGGAGATGGGGGAGGGATAGCATTAATAGAAATACCTAATGTAGATGATGGGTTGATGGGTGCAGCAAACCAGCATGGCACGTGTATACCTATGTAACAAACCTGCACGTTCTGCACATGTATCCCAGATACATATAATAAAAAAATTAAAAATTAAGTATTTAATTATTTAATTAACTTTAGAAGGATACATGTAACAAGATAGCATAAAACCAAAGAGGACCAACAGAAGAGTGGAAAAAGGAGATAGAAAATGAAGTAAGAATAAGGCCAGCTTTTAATACTTCAATTACATTTGACTCCATACTTTACTCTCCATATAAACAAATTCATTTTTTCCATGTAAGTGGAATCACATAGGAGATTGAGAACACATTTGCAGAAAGACCAGATATTTCTCATGTGGAGTATTGATAAAGGCACATCAGGAACAAGCAGTTCTACTGACATTCAACTAGTTGTAGGTGAATGCAGTGGGGTAGATCGTCAAAAGGTGAGAATAAAGAGATGCATTAGAACTAGATTGGAAAGGCCAAACATACTTGGGAAAAAAACTGGACATTGTTATGGGCTGACTTGTGTCTTTTCATAATTCAGATGGTAAAGTCCTAACCCACTCTAATAATTAAGAGTGTTACTGTATTTGGAGTTAGAAGTTGTCACAAATTTGTTTAATATAGTTGCTGATTCAGCATCCGTTTTTAGGTCTGATATCAGTTATTTGAAACCCAGTCCCTGTCATATTTGACTTAGTCAAAACTTTCCCTCTGTGTGTGTGTTTATTTTTGCAATATATCTGAGGCGTTTTTTTCCTTATCTCACAGAACCAAAAGCCAACACATCCCTTAGCTTCTATGACAAAATCTAATAATTAACTCCAGAGTCATACAAATAATTTTCTCCCTTAGAGAGTGTTTTTTTTTTAAACTAGACAATTTACAATCCATATGGAAAGCCTAGAGGATAATGCCCATGGACTTTAAAAAAGGCATAGATGGCATAGTTCCATAGTTTCTTATTCATTCTCTCTCTCTCTCTCTCTCATCTCTCTCTGTCTCTGTCTCTCTGTCTCTTCCTCCCCATCCTCTGATTGAGCTCTCTGATGCTTCCCATCAGCCCACATGGACACCCTTATTCTCTTTGTATGTGTAATTAATATGGTACTTCTGTTTTAAGCTTTTTGGTTTTACCCCTACCTGATCAATACAAATAAACCTAACTCCTCCCATCAGGACTCTTATGACCACTTATAGACTTATAGTCACCCTTGACAGAGATACCACAAGACCAAATTAGAGAAAGTCACAACAGAGGTAATGAAGGAAAAATCAGGTTATATCAATAAACCCTAATCCAATCTCCTCTTATAAGAAGTGGAGATTAGGACACAGACAACACACAGACCCAAGCATGAACATGTGAGGACGTAGCAAGAAGGCAGTCATCCACAAGCCAAGAAGAGAGATCTCAGAAGCAACCCAACCTAATCTTGTACTTCTAGCCTCCAGAATGATGAGAAAATAGATTTGTGGTGTTTAAGCTACCTAGGGTGTGGTATTTTATTATGCAGCCCTAGCAAACTAATATAATTCCCAAGAAAATGAAGCTACTGTTTTATGAAGATTAATTACAGAGGCAATATGGAATATGGGCTAGAGTTAAGAGTGATGAGTAAATTTCTCAATGGGCTATAGAGAAAAAAGGAAGTCCTAACCTAAATTTATGACAGCAAGAATGGAAAGGAAAAGTAAGATTCCAAAGATATTGTTGAGGTGTAATTGATTGCCTGAAGAGTTTGATGGGGGATGGGTTTCACTAATCCATAGATTTTTCACAGATGCTAAATTGTAATACTAAGTTGAAAGCATTAGCCAAGATCAGAAATAATTGTTTAAACACTGCATTATTTATTTGAAAATAGGTTTTTTGTTTTTGTTTTTGTTTTGTTTGTTTGTGTGTGTGTGTGTAAGGGAAGGTGGTAATGAGTTTGGTTTTAGATAAGTTAGCTTCTGGAATCTTTCAGACATTTTTTTGAATCCTTTCATTTGAATATGCCATCAGGGTCTTGAGCTTGAGACAATTGTCTCAATTAACATTCTGATAAAGAAAGTGGCTGATTAAGATGAAAGATGAGTAATCCATAATCCTGGGGCTGACCCTGTAGGGTTAATTGAAAAAATCCACAAATCCTTCTGTCCTCAAAAATGTCTGCATTCTTTGAATTTTCTCAAAGATTGACTTTCTTACTTCATTCTACAGAAATAATAAAAGTTGACACCATTATCTCCCCAAGGTTTCTGTTAAAATGCATTGGTCTCCTATGGGCAGACTACGACCAGACTGCTAACTCTCTCACAATCATATTTCATGATAAATTCTGTTAATTTGAAGCTAAGAATACAGGAAAAGATCATATAGAACAATGAGGTTCTCAAAGTTTGTGTGTTGAAAAAAAGAAAAACAAAGAAAAAAAAATACTTCCAAGAAGATATTGACTGGCTTGTATCAACAGCAACAAGCCATGCTTTGCTTGACATGAAGGAAGCTCTCTCTCAATAAAGACTTGCTAAAATAATGCAATATCCTTTTGACTTGGAACTTTAAGCACTTAGGCAAAAGAAAATAGATAATTATTTGAAAAGACAATTTTCTAAGTCTCTGAGAAAGTATTAGATTAGTTATGCAAGCATAATTATTTTCTCTCCTTGGTAGAAATACAACAGGGTTAGGAATGCATTCCTCTTTAATCCCACTTTCAGATGTTAGTGGCCATAATGCAAAGCCTGCCCCAAGGTCCCAAAAAGCATTTGTGGAGAAAACGGTTTCCATGTTCTTTTTTCCTAAAATCTCTGTGTGTTGATGTTAGTCTTAGGAAAGAATATCTTAAATTAGAGCATGTCCCTCAAAATGTTTTATTTTTTCCTTTGTGCTAAGAGAGAAAAATTACTCTTAATAATTTAAAATATAAATGGACATTTAAAAAGCACTGCAAATCTCATTGGTGAATATGCAGAGTAAAAAGCGAATAAGGTAGTTTTATTTTGTTATTCTGTCAGGAACAAATGTAATTCAAGAAGTGTTCTGAGAGAGCTAAGAACAGAGAAAAGATCATTAACTCTAGAGATTCAATAAGTAGTAGTAGAACCTATGACATAATTAAGAGTTTTCAAAGTACTATTTTTTTTTTTTTAAATATCAGTCTTCTTGGCTGGGTGCAGTGGCTCACGCCTGTAATCCCAGCACTTTGTGAGGCAGAGGCGGGCGGATCACTGTGTCAAGAGATCGAGACCATCCTGGCCAACATGGTGAAACCCCGTCTCTACTAAAAATACAAAAATTAGCTGGGCTTGGTGGTGCACGGCTATAGTCCCAGCTACTCTGGAGGCTGAGGCAGGAGAATTGCTTGGACTGGGGAGGTGGAGGTTGCAGTGAGCCGAGATTGTGCCACTGCACTCCAGCCTGGAGACAGAGCGAGAATCCGTCTCAAAAAAAAAAAAAAAAAAAAAAAAAAAAAAAGACCTTCTGTGATAAGCATGGAAATATTATGGGAAAAAATTTAAATGAGGTAAAGTTCTCCATCTTTGTTCTGCTTTGTTTTTTTTGTCAGTATTTATTTATTGAAGAAATTGAAAAAAGCCAGAGTTGAGAAATTGGAGATTATGTAAAGGAATTAACATCTACTAAAAAGCTTCTTTATCTACCTTGAAGATTTGCAAAAGATGAACCATTTAAGCCAGCCATGAAAACACACACTGCACCATGAGCACAGCTCCTAAAAGGAAATCAAAGGAGGGAAGACTAATGAGAGTAAAGCAGCAGGCAAATGAAAAATATAATATCTTGCCTGTGCACTCCTTTTTGTACAGTCTTTATTTTAATGGGAAACTGTGGAAAAGGACAAACCTATTTATGGGAGAAAAAAACTTCTACTTAAGAAGTCTAATGAAATCAAAGGGAGAGAAGACAGATAAAGATTACTGCAAGGGGCGACATTAGAAAATGCATTGAAAGCACAGACTTTGGAAGATCAGTGGTTAGGAAAGTAATTTACGAAGTTGAATTACCACATTCATTATGATTACAGTCATATTATGTTTTTGACTTTATTTTTCCTAATTAAACAACTTTATTATTGAACAGTTTAATTTCCCACAAAAATGGCAATAAAGCTTTCTTCAAGTAACTGTTTTCATTCACCAACAATGCAAAAACAATGCCAGAAGTATGGCCAAAAATTACTTATTTTAACAATATTTTAAAATATAGATAATCTAATGAAGCTACCAAGCCATATTGCTGTAAACATATGATAGAGCTTTAAAAACTACTTCAAAATATAGTTTATGTGATAGATTTTAATGAATGCAAAATATACAATTTAAAAAATAATCTGTATGATAAAACTTATGACAATTGGCAGAGCATTTTGTCTAACTTGACGATGATAATTTCCCCAAATTCAAGAAGAGAATGCTGTCATTTAGTAAGCAAGAATTTCAAACTACCATTTACAGCTTATTTCATTATTTAACATAAAATGTTCAAGAACTTTACAAAAATGTTTAAGAATGTACATTCACAATAATTACATAGTCATGACTTTCAAATCAGGTTCTTATTTCATAAATATGAGGTTATCCTTATTGTCAGGTCATTCCAGACACCTATTAAAATTTTATTCTGCTTTATACAAGTCAAAAAATATTGACTCTAGTGTTAGGACTCTGGGAGAATAGCTAGATCAGAATATAAACATAAATTTTCAGGTTACTCTAGATTTGTACAGGTTACCAAAGTGAAGAGAGGAAAAATAATATGGCTGCGCTAAAACAGGTTAGAAATATGGAAAAGATTGTTCAAACTCAGAGTTAGCTTGTAAAAATGCAAACCACCTAAGGCATCCAGGGAAAAATAACCTGGCACATTCAAGGGGCAGGTAAAACTTGTGTTCAGTGCCAAAAGAGACCCAGAGGTGATAATAGAAGGCAATTATATACAAGCTTGCAATGCCATGTTGCAATAGAACTGAATAAGCTATTTTGTGATCCCTAGAAGTAGAAATAATATTCAGAAACATGGATGTGATAATTCTTCCTAAATTCACAACTAAAAAAATTAAATTTCAAACATTTCTATTCAAACAATTTCACTGTATTTTTAGTTTAAATTTATAATTATAATTATTTAAAATTATATTAAAATAGATGTGATAAATTCTAATAGGTCCCTGGAAGTTATGATGTGCATTGAAAAAACATTTATCAGGGCAATGTAAAAAAATTATCAGATTTTATTAGAATAGGTTATAATCTTTTGATTTTTGAAACACAATTTTGGGGAAATTAAGTGTCATACAATAAAAAGTAACTTTACATGGAGCAAATCAAGAGAGGCCTAAACATAAAAAAGACAATAAAATAGGTAGAGTCATGCATTACTTAATGATGTAGGTAGGCTCTGAGAAATACATCCCTAAGCAATTTTGTCATTAAGCCAACGCCAGAGTGTACTTGTAAAAACCTGGATGGTATAGCCTACTATACACCTACGCTATATCGTACAGCTTACTGTTCCTAGTCTACAAATCTCTAGAGCATGTTACTGTACTGAATACTGTAGGCATTGTTACATAATGGTGTTTGAGTATTCAAACATAACTAAACATAGAAAAGATACAGTAAAAATAACAGGAGAAAATATAAAAAATGGTACACTTGTCTAGGGCACTGACCATGAATGGAGCACGCAGGATTAGGTGCTCTGGGTGAGTCAGTGAGTGAGTCGTGAATGAATATGAAGGCCTAGGACATTATAGTACACTACTGTTGACTTGATAAATGCTGTACACTTAGGCTACACTAATCTATACTTTTTTCTCTAATAATAAATTAACTTTATGTTACTATAACTTTTGTGCTTAAGAAAATTTTCAATTTTTAAAAACTTTTTGACTTGTCTTAGAAAGTACATTGTACAGCTACACAAAAATATTTTCTTTCTTAATATCCTTATTCTAAAAGGCTTTTTCTATTTTAACTTACAACTTTTAGAATATCCTTATTCTAAAAGGCTTTTTCTATTTTAACTATTTTTTTACTTTTTAAACTTTTAATTGAAAACTAAGACACACACACATTAGCCTCAGTCCACACAAGGTCGGGATCATCAATATCACTGTCTTCTACCTTCATGTCTTGTCCCACTGGAAAGTCTTCAGGGGCGTAACACATGGAGCTGTCATCTATGATAAGAATAACTTCTAGAATACGTTCTGAAGGACATGACCTAAGCTGTTTTATAGCTCACGTTACTTTTTAATAAGAAGAAGGAGTATACTCTAAAATAGTGATAAGAAGCACAGTAAACACATAAACCAGCAGCACAGCCATTTTTTAATCATTATCAAGTAATATGTACTGCACAAAATTTTTCATGCTGTAAACTTCTATAGGTCTGGCAGTACAATAGGTGTGTTTACGCCAGCATCACCACAAATACAGAAATAATCATTGCACTAAGACTTTACAATGGCTGTGATGTCACTAGGCAATGGGGAACTTTTCAGCTCTGTTATACTTTTGTTGTACCATCATTGTTATACATGATCCATTATTGATTGAAATGTCATTATTTAGCACATGACTATAATTCAAATTTAGCCAATACCAGAACTGGTTCTCAAAGATGTAGAATAAAGCTTCCATATAATTTTAGAGAAGGTATTTATGACATTTCTACATTTTCACAGAAGAAAAGTCATCTTTCCCCTTAGGTCATTATTAAAGCTGATTTCATAACTCTTATTTTTGAGTCTTACAAGGAGAGTAGAATTTAAAATTAAATTAGAGTCATCCAAAAAGGGGTTTTGAAGATTAGGTCTTTCCTGTTTCTTTAGAAGATCAGGTAGTAAATCTACTCTTAGTTCTGCTTTATCATATATTTTAATCCTCTACAGTATGGTACACTCCACATTCCTGGAAGTTTTCATGAATTAAGGTCAGTTGTGTAAGTAGGAGATGTTTTCTATGTGGAACGACAAAGTATACTGGGCAAAATTAGACACTCCACAAAAATTATTCATTTTTTGATTTCAAAAACCTTAACAATATTCAAACTTCTAGAAAGCATAACACTAAATTTTATAAAATAAAGACAAATAGATAAAAAGTTATCACTATGAGTTTCTCTGGGATTACAAAATGAGAGTATGAAAAGGGAAGTAGAATTATTAGCAAACCAAATTTGGGTTTGTTTTCTCATTCACAACAGAAGTCAAACACCAAAGCACTGGGTTTTTGTAGAGAAAAGGGTTTCTATCCCGGCAGCCAAGCAAGGAGACAGGAGTCAGGTTTAAATTTTTCTTCTCCAAGCTGAGGGTGGGGCAGGTTTTATTGTCAGAAAGTAATAAAGCATGATCTGATTGGACCTTGCAGTGAAGTGATGCTGGGAGGTATGATCTGTCTGGATCCTGCCATGAAGAAACTCTAGGGCTTGATCTGATTGGATCCTAAATCCTCCCATGTGATGTCTACTTCTTAATTCAGTGCTTGTTCCTCAGTCCAAGCACTTATGTTCTTCCTGTGGTTGCACGCTTGGTTCATCCAGCAATGCTCAACTTATGTGACTTCAATTTGAAGATCCACGCAAAGCAAAAATCACTAACAATTTTGTGACATGAAAGTTAAACCAGGTCTGTGTGGCTACAGAATCACATAACAAATTTGCATACTGCCAACTTCCATCCAAGGACAATTTAGCATCAAAATAAAATATCACTCTAGAGTTATAAACTTCAGGTAGGCCACAAACCAAATTATAGCTTCAGGGTGAGATGACGCAAAAATTACCCAATCTATGAGGATAAACTTTAGGTAGGCCACAAACCAATTTATAGCTTCAGGGTAAGATTACACAAAAATTACCCAACCTATGAGGGAAGTAGCCGGTAAATTACACTGAGACTTATGATTTCTGAAGGACAGTTTAGTTAATTACCATGGCCATTTAGGGCTTTGAGTAAGACATCACATTCAGATTTCTTTGAAGTTTATCTGCTGAAACACCCTCAAGGCCTGTAAGTGCCGATGTTTACAGGAACACTATATGAAACTGAAGAGAGAGGGTAAGCAGCTCCTTCCTCTGGCCTTCATCATTCCTTCATCATAGCCCACATTTTCTTGGCCTATGTAACCTTTCATTCAAAATACAATTTTTAATAAATTTATTTTCGTGGCCTTTTTATCACTTTAAACTATTTTCCAAAAATAAAATTACTTAGTGTAAGGCACCATGATTTTAGAACTATAAAGTTCTATGAATACCAGTCATTTTATTTGATGGTATGAAGCTTAAGAAAATAAATATATCTCCTTGAAATTGCTATGCATGTTTTTTTTTGGTTAATGACAGGAACTGTTTCAACTAGATTTTATTTTTAAATTTGAATTCTTAACAATAGTTTTAGAAAGGTATTTTAATTTTGTTCTCGTTGCCTATTTGTTTCTATTTGTATTGTTTTCTTGCAAACTATATAAACCATCATTGTACATAAACGACCACTGTAGATGACAGAAAAAAAAATAGAGCATGTGTATTATACTTGTAAGAAACCAGGAGAACTGTATAAACAGACCTGTAATTTAGCTACTTGTACCTCTGAAGCAAGCTATTGGAATTAGATAGGAACACCGTCAGAATAACCAATTTACTGTAGGGAAGCATTAGGGCAAAGGTGATTCTTACTCCTCTCAAGAACTCATTTTGGTAAAAATTATGTTGTCAAGAGCCAATTGTAAGCTCTTTCAGGTTGAGGATTAACTTTTATTCACTTTTTTAATCCCTAACATCAAAAACCAAACTTAATGCCTGATACATGATAGGAACTCAAAATGAATTTAATCAGTTTGGGAAACTGTATTCATTGAAATTGATTAAACGTTTTATTGAAGCTTTTAACTGCATTTTTTTTTTCAACATCAGCCACATATCACTGTCTATTTAAAACAAATCAGGCTGATTTTTAAAACTGTTTATTTTGGATTTTGCATCAGAATACACACATTTTCAAATACGTATTCCTTAAGCGACTTGATAGAGAAATTGGTCTATGCCAACATTCAAAAACCAATTAAAAGGCATTTACATTTTCTTACTTTATTAAGTGAATTTTTTTATCAAGAATATTTATTGAACACTATGGATGCAGAACATCTCCTTGCACACGGGAATTAGTTACAAAATATTTAGAAACAATTATTTTATAATTGTTAGGCTAAGGATTATGTAATTTGATAGTTGTGAGAAACATTTATTCTGATTTTCTGAAATAATTGACAACAGGTTTGCTTATTTGTATTGTTGGAAGATTTTTAAAATTGACAATAACAAATTACTACGTAATTGAAAGTGACCTCCCTTCACCTTTTTACTGCAATCAGATATACCTGGTTTCTTTCTTCATGGCATTTCAATCTGCATTAACATTGAACATACACCAAAATATGAATGTTTACAAAAGAATAAAATGCTTAGATTAGGAGAGGATTGAGAGGTCTCGGAGCTAATACAATTTGCCACATTCTACAGTTTTACAGTTTACTGTCTGTGAAAGGTTAGTGACCTCGCAAATCTACTGTTCTCTCTGTTCTTCTCATTGGGCTCATGTGAAGGTACTTGGTTCAAGAAAAGGTGCATTTTTGTAATTTATACAAAGAAGGGGGTAGGCTGGAATTGGCCTGAGATTCTGGAAACCAAGATTTTTTTTTTTTTTTTTTTTTTTTTTTAGGCAAAACCAATTCTTTAATGAGTGAGGTCTGCTTCTACCCTATTCTCCTTTTCTCCCCATGTAATAATTTTTTTAGGGTAAGTTTTTATCCCAGATTGAATTCCAGTAATATGGTGAAGTTATTATTTCTCTGTCCCATGCTGAATCCTTACAAAGGGAGGAAAATAAGCGTGTTCTACAAATACCTGTCTCACCGATTGTACAGAAGACTTGTTTTATTAAAATAAGATAACTAAGCATAAAACAACTTTTTCTTGGCCAGTTCGTAATGTATGACTCCGTAATTTTCGTGTGTCTCTGTTGCAGATTTCATAGTAGGGTAAATCAGTAGGCAAACAATGCTAATTTTTTAATGTTCTCTGTAAAATTCTGAATACCGGAAATAAGTTCTCCTTCCTCCTTTCCTTCTTACACTAAGTATTACTACAGAAGAAAATTATACAGGGAATTTTATGTATTCATTAATTTGTTGCTCTTCTTAGATTCCCTCTTAATTTCTGCCACATTTTCTGTAAATGAGACTGCCCAGTATTGGACTTAGACTTATAATTACAGATGACAATAGATCACTAATAACTGGTATCGTGTTTTTTTCTCTCCATTTTACATTTTGTAGAGAACCAGCTTATTAATCATAGTGTCTCATCATTTTTACATAAAAAGTCAAAACAATATTGTATTGCATTACTCTTCATTCAACTTATTTATAGGAAGTTAAAAAGATTCGTTAAATAAACTGTGCTGCCAACTAAGATGCCCAGTGAGATGTATAAGCACTTCGCAGGTAACTGAATACTATGAATAACACATTATACTGAATAATAATTTAGCATGAAGTAGCCAGTTTTAATGCCAAGAAAATGTGTGCTTACTTTGATAGTAAGCTTACCAAAACACAGAATTGCAACAAGGAAGCTAAGAAGACAGTAAAATAGTTGTCGCATATATAATGCAGCATATATGGCTTAATTGGCATAAATTGCTACAGACTACAAAATGAATATCTTTATTCATACATTCTGAAAGTAGTTTTTTTGTAACTCACATGCTAGAAATATGACAACAGTTGCTATATATAAGGCATCCTTATGGTGTTCATAAAGACATAGTAATCCAACACCATCTCTACTCTAAATACATTTTTTTCCTAGAATACCTATGTGTTTTTTTCTTGTGGTTCACATGTGTGGCACAATTGGCTCTGCATAAAAATATGCTTACAAATAGCATAGGATTTAAAATGTTCTGAATGAAATGCATTCTAGGTAATATGGTCAGATAATATGCTGCACAGTATCTGTTTCTAAAGGTGAAAATCAATCTAGGAGCAGTTTTGTGCTATCCTGCCATTTTTTACTAATTTGGGATTGCTCTAAATTTATACTGAAGTATTAGTGTGTCCTTCATCGGGCTCTTATCTCATTTGATTTCACTGACAGTTAAAGTAACCAAGTGGTCACTTGGATCTAAGGATTGATATTGACTGCTATTATGTTAACCAGGTAGTTGTGAGATATAGGAAAAATGACTTTTTGAGTCAGGGAAACCTGGCATGGAATTCTTGCTTTGTATCTGATACACACTGTGATGCATTAGGAATAAATTAACTCTTATGAGCCTCAGTTTCTTGAGATAAATACTTGTTCTAAGTATAAAATTTGATGACTCAAGAACTTACAGGAATTACATGCAATCATTATTTCGGATGCTTTCCATCTGGCAAAGTCCTTTATTGTTTATTGAGGAACTGGACTCAAAAAGGTGTAAATTAAGAGCAATGCTTAAAACAAACAAATAAACAAATCCTCTTCACTGTCTTATTAATCCACATCGTTATCATTCCTTGCTTTAATGAATGCTTAGGCTGATTTATAGCTTTTCTGGTCACTTTAAATATCAGCATTCAGATTCGCTTTTAAGATATCAAGTAGTTCATTATAAAATAAATGCAACGTTACTTTCTTTATAAGTTTAACGATACTGTACTTAGGGTCTACCTCCATCCACAACCATAGAAGTCCAAAATCCTTATTGCCATCCTTCTCTCTAGGATAAAAGTCACTTCACCTGCTTCTTTCCTCAATCATTCAACCTTATGCCAGAGAAAATGGAGGCCACATTCATCCCTTGAACTGCCTTCTGACTTTGATCCCTGGGGATCATAAAAGGAAGTTGCAGAATGTTTTAATCACTTTAGACCATTTCTTCCTCCCTTAGGATAGCAAAACTCATTACCTAGGTCATAAACAGATAAACGTCTTTGCACGATACACTGTAAACATTCCATGACTAGAGTCTCTTAAACTTGGTAGCTTAATTCTATAATTAATATCCCCAATTATTTATAATAGAAAATATTCTAATTCTTATATTTTAATAGTCACCACCAACCTCAATTTTATATATATATATATATATAATGTAACTGGTATTTCATAGGTACTGATATGATTCAAAGGAACAATACTTTCAATAACAATATTTTGCTAAAAGTTCTTTTTTTTTTTTTTTGAGACTGAGTCTTGCTCTGTTTGTTATCCAGGTTGGAGTGCAATGGCGTGATCTCAGCTCACTGCAACCTCTGCCTCCCAAGTTCCAGCGATTTTTGTACCTCAGCCACCTGAGTAGCTGGGATTACAGGCACACGCCACCAGGCCTGGCTAATTTTTGTATTTTTGGTAGAGATGGGGTTTCACCATGCTGGCCAGGCTGGTCTCGAACTCCTGACCTCAAGTGATCCACCCGCCTTGGCCTCCCAAAGTGCTGGGATTACAGGTATGAGCCACCGCGCCTGGTCCAAAAGTTCTTGATATTCCAGAGAAACTCAGAAAATTTCTCTGCCCTCTCTTTCAAAAAAAGAAAACAGATTTTGGAGTGTATCATCTTTTTCTGTTTTATAATTCATTATTGCTTTGCAATTAAAGTACATTATTCCCTTTCCACCAGCAAATCTGGACCTTTTATGTGCTAAAATTCTCTTGATATTCAATTTCTACTTCCATTGACTTCAATTAAATTCATAGCTGTTTGAATGTCAAATGTCATGTACTTGTTATGAAGAGGAATTGTGGTTTCAAAATCCGTGAATTAGACTAATTTGGGCATGTTACTTTACTTTTCTGTGCCTCCGTTTTACTGCTTAAACCAGCAAGTTAAATGGGAATGTTGCAGGGATCACCATCCCCCTTTATGGTGGTATTAATCTCTGCAATTTCCATACCATTCTAGAGAAGACACCACAGAGTTCAAAAAAGCTGTTGTCTGCAACTTCCCTTGTCAATACCTTTTGAGGGTCTTGGAGAAGGGAGTATACTCTGAGCCCTCCTGGGAGTCATGATTAACAGGCGGCTGATTAGGTTGCTCAAAATAAATTAATTCCAGCATTGTCAACTCTTGAGTCTTTAAACTGCTCTTTCTGTAGCGCGCAAAAGAAGTTCCAACACTTTGACTTTATTGACTAGAGGTTAGCACTGAGTCCACATTTCATTTAGTTAACCTAATAAACTATTAACACCACTCCCAGTAGAACAAAGCAACATGAAGTCCCCAAACCCAGATAAGCGCACCCATGTCAATAAACTTTTCTAATAGAATCTTATATTTCATTTCCCTTTGTATAACTCCCACTCCCTTGCATGTGTTTCAGGATCTTGCTAAGCTTGATTGGAATATTCTGTTAGTTCTAGTGAACTTAATTTAACACTATGAATGATTGATACCAGCGTTTCTCATTTGATAATTTAGGGTATAAGCCATGGTTTCCCTGCACTTCTCTTTCAAGTTTACACAACTCTTGTTACATGACAGGTGATAGAGGTGCTTAATAAGTCCAATTGTTTCACCAATCCAAGTTTCTTATATAAAAGTGGGTGGTTTTTGAAAAGTGGGTGTGTTGTTGCCTTCACAACATGAAGGTATGGTAGGTCATAGGTTTTGGAGTTTAGCTTCTCTCAGACTCATCTACATTTTCTCAAAGACTCCATCCCTTATCTCAGCTTCCCATATCTTCTTCACAAGTTCCACTGCCATGGCACAGGGGTTGACAAACATTTTCTTTAAAGGGTAAGTTAAGAAATATTTTTTTTTTGTACTGTGGACACTACTGTCTTTGTTGAAACAACTCAAGTATGTCAGCTCTGCCACTGTAACACAAGAGCAGCCATAAATATTATGTAAACCAATGTTGTGACTATCTTTAAATAACACTTTATTTATTTTTTTAAAAAAGAAGCCTGAGAGTATTAGCCTGCAAACCCCACCATAGCATAAGAGACTTGGCAGGATTTAGCCTCAAAGTGGAATTGCAATTTTTCTACTCTAAAAATTAGATAACGTGTTGGTCTTCAACTGTATCTGCCTGGTGACTATAGGTGAATAGAAATTCCTTTAAAGCTGCTTTGGAGGTCTTCTGGCTCTCCACACAGGTTGCAATTTGTGTCTTCATAACTTTTCAGTTTTCTTTTTTCCGGTATATGCTCTCTGGGAATGTCAGAAGAAGGCAAGTCTTTGTATTTATCCATGTTACCATGGCACCTAATTGTCACAACAATTTGAATTTTCATCACCTTACCCTCCTCCTGCATTTATTCTATATTATCTCAGAAATGATTTGAATACTTGTGATGCAACTGTATGCCAGAAAGGACATGTGTCACATTTCCCCCAGCAATGAGATTAGCTCTGTGCTGCTTGAATGTATGAGAAAAACAAGCCAGACTCCTATTTTGATAGTTTGTTCCATAGAGCCAGTTATGATACTAATAACTGTATCAGCCAAGGTTATAGCAGATACCAAACAATACAGGGAAATCAAGATAAGTTTAAGAAGGGTTAATAAAGGAAGTATTTTCAAAGGTGTGGACAATGTGTAGGGAAAACATGTGCTCTTTGGCAAATGTCTTAACTGATTTAAGATGTATTGATTTGTACTATTTGAATTTGAGAAGTCGGCCTGTTTTTTTCCTGATACTCTTGAATCCTTTGGAGCTATATTGTGATTGCTTTCTATATAGTAATTATAGCCTGTTTAATGTGCTGGTAGAAATAGTTGTCAAGTAAGAAATATTGGTATCACTCTTTCATAGTATTAAATTAAACTTGGCCTAAAGCTGCCTCCTTACATATTTTAAGTTTGGCCTAACAGTTTCTCCACGCATAGTGAATTGTAACCTCCTCTTGTAGCAATCACGGAGGTTCAGCCAATTACATGCAGCCAACTTTTCAAATCCTGCTTGAATATTTAAAGAGGATTTGTTAATCCTCTTTAAATAAGCAAATCCTCTCTAAATAAGCCAACACCCAGCTCTAACCAAACTAGATGTTTCTGTACCTCACTTTTGTTTTCTGTATGTCAGTTAACTTTTTATGTCCGACCATGTTACAGCCCTGGTGTTGAAGTCACTAGAAACATATTCTTGTCCGGAGTCCTCCCCAATTTGCAAAGTATTCTTTGCTCAATTAACCTCTGTGAATATTTTTTTTTTTTCTCTAGAGACAGGGTCTTGCTCTGTCACCCAGGCTGGAGTGCAGTGGTGTGATCATTGCTTACTGCAGCCTCAAACACCTGGGCTCATGCAATCCTCCCACCTCATTCTCCTGAGTAGCTAGGACTTCAAGTGCATGCCACCATGCCGGTTACTTTATTTATTCATTTATTTTGTAGAGACAGAGCCTTACTATGTTGCTCAGGCTGGGCTGGAACTCCTGCTTTAAGTGATTCTCCTCCCTCAGCCTCCCAAATTGCTGGGATTATGGATGTGAGTCAAGTTACCTGACCCTACATTCTTTTAAATTTAATTTGTCTTAAAATTTTCCTTTAACAATGGAATTTATTCCCAAAATCATTATATACAGTTGGAGTAAATTCAGATAATATTTGTACATGCTAAATTTGCTCAAAACTCTATGGTAATCAACCCTCCTGGTGAGAAGTGTGGGAGAAAGAGGAATATATAGCATAGACAAACCTCTATTTTTCAATAATTAGACTAAGAAAAACTTAATTTATGGAATAACTTGGAAAATGTATATAAATATTCTTACATATATAATGACTTTAGTTATTCTAGTTCAAATATTCTTGTTAAAATAGTAAGAATTGAAAACGTGGCTAAAGTCACATGCATATTGAGTGGTAGTTTCTATGCTTGAGCACAGACAGCCTAACCCACAGCCCACAGTTTACTTCAGAGTCTTAGGAATCTGCAATAACTAATTAGAATGATTATTATTAACGTACTGTCCTGGCCTTGCTTATATGAAAGAATGCTTACAAAGTTCTATTAAAATGACTTATTTTCTTAAGTACAGGACCATTCTCCTTGAAATATTTTATTTGGTCTTTGATTACACATTATTTTTTCCACTCACTAGAATTCAGTTTTAACCTTCAAAGTAACTTAATACTATTTTCTTTTTAACAAATCTTAATTGCTAAAACCTAAGAAGGTTTTGATATATATAGTATTTATTTCTCACATCTGGAATTATTTGTCTTATATTGAATCATATATTTTCATGTTATTTCTTTTGGATTGGCCACCAATAGAACTGTCCAAAGGCTATTTTTCTATGTTCATACGTAATTTAACATTGGTAATTTCTAATTCTATGTCCTATTAGTCAAAATGAAAAGAAATAAAAATGCCCCGAAAAGAAATTATTACAGATCAGGTACCACATATTCTATTAAGGTCACTAAGTATGGAAAATAAAGCCGGTAACCACTAAAAGGGAAAACTTTAGACTTAAGGACACACTTTCAATTACAAAATTCATTTGGTGGAGGATGTGTAAATATAGCAGGTTTTATCAATGGTTTGAGTGTGATTCTTTCTTCATGTGTTCAAATATTAGAACATTACAAGAAATAATAATATAAATACTATTATTTAAATTCTTCTTAAACCTGAGTAGCTTGTAGAAGTATATTTTTTATGGTAATGTCCCCCCTTTTTTTAAGCTTGTAAGAAAATTTTACTATTGTCTTTGCTCACAGTCATCTTTTCTCTCCTTTCACATGAGTGTTTGGTTCATGCTTCAATTTTCTGCTGTATAAATTTAATAGATGTAAGGCAGGGTCACATTCTTATTCCCTACTACCAAAGTTACTTCTACACATCTCCCGTCTTGCTTTTAGAAGCACCCTGCCTTTTACTATATATCTGGTTGCTATATACATCTAGCTCAATGAGTCTCATTCTTAGGGTCAGAACAGATCCTGCATTTTATGGATGGCCATCAGTGGTTGTGTAATAGCTTTCCCTCCAGGAAGATATAGTATGCAATCACACATAACCAAGCATTTCTCTTTAGCTGGGCTTGAGAAACTAAATAAAGCAATCATATACAATTTTCAATGGCTATAAGCACTTACACTTTGACAAGAGGTTTTTATGTTTTCTATGCATTTTAATTTGGGAAAAGGGCATTAGAGGCTTTTAATTTTACATCATAATTATTGAACAAAAAACAAAATGAAACACGAAAGAGTGTAGCTCTTATTCTATGCTGAAAAAAGAAAATTATGGTTAAAAACACAGTTTTTTTTTTCTTGCAAGCTGTCCTATAAAAACTAGCAAGACTTAAAAGGTCATATATGTAAATAACATTTCCCAGAATTTGCTTAAGTCAATCTGCTTATGGTCTGATAAATCCTAATTATTTTCTTCTCTCAGATGCACGTTAAAGTGAAAAATTCCCTCATTTTATGATTCTCTGGTATCTCATTTATCCTTATATTTATATCATTTCTATAAGGCTTTGATTTTAGCCTAAATGTAGAAGAATATAAAATTCAGTAAAACAAGCAAACAATGATTTAAAAAAAAAATGTATTGTACTTGTGAAACTAAAATTATTTTTATAAAGCATTTACAATGGCAAGTCATAATAACATGGGTATAAATAGAACACTAAACTAGTAAATAAGACTGCAAGTGTCACAGAAAGTTTTTGGACGGACCCCAATTGATTTTAAAGAATAGACAGAATTTTGCTGTGCAAAGACAGAACAAGGCATTCTAGACAGGACACCTTGAATGTCCATGAGACATCATGATATGTTTAGAAAGCAAATCATTTTACGTGTCTTGATAAGAAGTGCTGTGGTAGAAACGCTAGTTGTCTACCAAGTATTAATTTCCTTTCTCTATTTGTTTATCAATGCTTTCTTTCTCTCTTAATCACTAGAATATCCGGTTGCTCTTTGTATTTCCGTAAGACCATATAACTAAGATTTGACCAAAGATATGCAGGTTGAGATGAGTTTTCATGCAAATTAAGCATGGGGCACAATTTTCTTTGCCTCTTCCTCAGTCTTGCTGCCTGGGATACAGGTGACTGGATTTTGTATGTATGTATGAGAAGTAAACTGATATCTGCTCTAAAAATTAGAAGCTAAACATAATTTTGACTGATACAAACTGCATATAGAAAGTAGTAGAAAGACCTGTTAAGCAAAATCATATGATGAGTTTTCTTATGTGTTCAAAATTTTTTAAAATATTTTCTGAATATTAGGGCATCACTAAGTACTTTTAAACAAAGAGATATTATGGCTAAATTTAAATTTTATAAATATTATATAGTAATAAGTGAAATGCATTACAGTATGATCATACTAGAAATAGGAAACCACATTTAAAAGCTAGTAAAGTAACCTACGTATATCCTTAGGTCTTTACTTGATTGGCTAGTATCATTCATCAAGATAAGTAATGAGGAGAAAGGTAAAGATTACAAAACATAATGAGTTCAGCTTTGGGTATTTTGACAGCGACCATCTATGGGATACTCAAGAACAGCGATACAATTCTTCCCAATTCCAAAAGAAAATTCTGTAGAATTAGTAGTCAACAAACTCTGTATGAAAAGATATCAGTAAAGTGACTAAGTATTTGACCTATTTGCTGAAAAGTCAAGCCAAACTTCTCTCCACAAACCAGAGAACTATTGATGATAGATTAAATTTTATAAAACAAAATAAGTTAAATAAACCCCTTCTTATCTCACTAGCATAGACGCACTAGAGCTAAAGTTCCCACTGCCTCCTTTAACTTACTAATTTTAAAGAATGGATCACTGTAATGTGGACATGGGAAACATTGAAGATGTTTTCCTACTTAGCCCGTAGTTCTATCCTGTAACTAAACTAACCTGTAAGAAAACAGTGTTCTCTTATGAGATCATTCTTAAACTCTTTATAACCTTCAGAAAGTGTGTGGAGAGTCTGAAAAGAATATTAAATATGAAAGGAATGCTGTGATAGCATAGATTAATCCAATAATAAACTTTTAAGCTAATGACTCTTAGAGTACAATTTAATAATTTAGTAAATGACTCAATTCCTATTCCTACAGACCTCTGAGATATAAATTTCAATTCAGTATTTCTCTGGCACACTAAAAGTAAAATGCATATGAAATTCGATGTTAATTTCTTATTCTAAAAGACTTTGCAATAGACCAATTCACTTATCTTCCTCTTCTGTGCCATTTATTTCAATTGAATAAATACAATACATTCTTCCCTGTTTTGATTGAATAAGTGAGACAGAATATGCCTTTGTAATTCTTGCATTCATCATAAGAATGAGTGTTTTTAGAAGAGACAAAAGAGAATCAATGCATTTATTTCTAAATTAACGGGTATATATTCTGGGTTTTTTAAAAACAAGGATGGGGGCTAATTAGTCATACAATAATTATTCCTAAAGTATAAGTATTATAGCTAATTTAAATTTGTGTTTGTATTTATTTTGAAATGTGAAATATGGTCACTGATCATCTACCTCACATTTATAAAAATATCCTGTGCAGAAATTTTAATATATATTATATAAACCCATAAAATAAAATATTATAAAGCCACTAAAATTATTATATAAATGCTAGCATATTTAATATCAGGAAAGCATGTTAACAGTTTTTAACATGCATAAAAAATGTATACATAACAATGTCAGCAGAATCAATTGCTTTTCAAAAAATACACACTTAATGCATACATACTTAAATTCAAATGTGTTTTCTGCACAGTTTTTGTTATCTAATTTTTGAGTACCTGTACTTTCTTCTATGAAGATATGTCACTTATGATACAAACTAAATTCACTTAGAAAACTGGACAAGACAAGGATGCCATCTCTCACCACTCGTATAGTATTGGAAGTTCTGGCCAGGGTAATCAGGCAAGAGAAAGAAATAAAGAGTATTCAAATTGGAGGAGAGGAAATCAAATTGTCTCTGTTTGCAGATGACAAGATTGTATATTTAGAAACCATCGTTCTCAGCAAACTAACACAAGAACAGAAAACCAAACACCGCATGTTCTCACTCATAAGTGGGAGTTGAACAATGAGAACATATGGACACAGGAAGCGGAGCATCACACACAGGGGCCTGTCGGGGGGTAGGGGGCCAGGGGAAGGAGAATATTAGGAGAAATGCCTAATGTAGATGACGAGTTGATGGGTGCAGTATACCACCATGGCATGTGTATACCTATGTAACAAACCTGCACATTCTGCACATGTATTCCAGAACTTAAAGTATAATAAAAAGAAAGAACAAAGAAAATTAAAACCCATGCAATAGATTTTTAAAACATACACTAGAAAATAAAATAAAACAAAACTGCTGAAAGCTCTGCTTCCAAAATACTTGAAGGAAATTTATTCAGATATAATCTAGTTGATAGGAAACATCAGGAAAAAAGATATAGCTTTTGTTATCCTAGGACAAGCCATAGTAACCTTTGCAGTGATATAACACTTAGACCTACCTATCTACAATGTCAACATAGCTCAATTGATGTCTTAAATATTCAGATGCATTTTCATATAACTCAACACATTTTGACTAAAGTTAATTTCAATAAAATGACAACTTATATCTGCATTGAAGTAATTAATTTTTAGATTAATTGTGGAGTGTCTTTCATGTGAGTCTAACTGTGTCATTCCAGTTTGTTTGTTTGTTTTGGCTTTTTTTTTTCTTTCGATGGGGTGTGGAATTGGAAGCTAGAGAAAAGTCGCAGTGGGCTATTAAGCATCTTCTACTTAGAAACCATGTTTTAGTTATCAATTGTTGCATAAGAAATTACTCAAGACTTAGTGTCTTAAAACAGCAATGTGTTACTATCGTTCATAATTCTCTGGACTGCTGGGTGGACTGTGACTCTGGTCTTAGCTAAGTGGATTTTGCTTGGAGTCTCTCTTCAGCAGTTGTAATTAGTTGTTAGATATGACTGCTGTCCTGCGAAGCTTTCACCGTGCGGGAAGGCCAAGGAAACTCACTTACCTGGCTGATGCTGGCTTTCAAATGCCTGCTCAGCTGCAGTTGTCACCTGGAGACCCTGTGCGTAATTTTTCCATGTGGCTTGAGCTTCTCAGAACATGGTAGTTGTGTTTCTGTTTGTTTCCCAGAACTGGAAATTCCAAGTAATGGAGGCAAGAAGCCACAAGCATTCTACGATCCAGCTTCAGTAGTGCTGCATTCTCATCTGCACTGCAATCTCTTTGTTAGATAGGCCAGCTATTTCAAAGTGAAAAGGGATTACACAGGGGGAGAAAACCAGGAGTGGATTATTGGGGAAGAAGGCAGGAAGAAAGGTGGCATTTTTGAAGAATACCTTTCACAGTCAGAAAATTCATAAGCCATTGAAATTGTCATTGACCAATGCCACTTTAAAAGGAATACTACTTTTAATAAAAATAAAACTCAATACTAAGAGGAGCTGCAAAGTGAATTGTTTCCTCAAAATGTTTTTAGCCCTGCCTATATTCCTTAGTGCCAATTCTTCCTTACTATTTCTATTTTCTTTTCTGCTTTCTTCCTATATTTATTTTAATTTAATATATGTTTTAATAATCAAATACTATGATGAAAAGTAAAGCATCTAGCAGGGTTCCTGAGAGATAAGTTGGGTTTGGTTTGGTTTGATTTGGTTTATGTTTATGTGAAGCAAATACGTCCACTGTAGTCACTATCAGTGTAAAACAACCATGTATTGGATGAGTGTTGGGGATGTTTAAGTCCCACATGCAATATATTTCAAATGTCTGCTTTATATTTAAATATTTCTATTTAAGTATTTTCATATTTCTACTTAAATATATAGTAGACATTTGAAAAATATTGCATGTGGGACTTAAGCATTCAAATTTTTCTACCAGAACTTTCTCCTCTTTTCAAGTATAATAATTAGTCATTTTCATGATTTGACAAGATTAATTGTTTCTCTTTCTTGATCCTGCCACTTGCCTTCTGGGATTTATTGCCTTTTTGGTTTGCTTTTGAAAACTCTGGCCACCCATTCCCATTCCAAATATTTGCCCTTCTTATATTCGTTCCTTAAACATAAATATTCTGTGGTTTTTTGTTAGTGACAAATAATAACTGGAGGAAATATTTACGATATAGCAGGACACAAAAGACACCAAGGTAAGTTAGTATAGTAGAAGTAAATTCATCAGTATGTGCAAGAGAAACATATAGTTTAATCAGATTTGAATGAGAGTGACAAAGACACTTTCATGAAGACATAATCAGGAAAAAAGTATGTAGAAACAAGGAATGGATTTTATTATTGAATTAAAAAAAAAGTGAGGACAGCCAAGAACTTAGCAGTGATTATAACGAGTAAACATTTTAGTTGCCTTGACAACAGAACCACTGCTTGATGCTAGTAATATTATGGTAATAGAAACCTAGGTAAATGAAGTAAGTAGCAAAGAAGAAATGGTTAGTCCTTGCTTGGGGAGTGGTCGTGGAGAAATTTGGAAGGATTTTCTGCTAAAAATCGTGTAGGAAGAATGTGACTACTAAAGAATAAACTTGAGACTGGCTGTGTAGGAAGAATGTGACTACTAAAAAATAAACTTCAGACTAGTTATTACAGAAAGAAAAAGACCTCCCATCCTCCCACCCACTCAAGGACAACTCACCTTTTCATTCTGGGTCAGTGCTAAGTAATACATCATGCACTTGTATTCATCCATGCTGCTGCCTTGGCTTGTTAAACAGGCATCAATACTTGGAAAGAAAGCCTAGATTCCAAAGACCAAAAATAGGAAAAATATGTATCCTCATCTCCTGGTGCTCTGTGTTGGAGCTCAGAGTAATGTAGGTTGTTGTTGCTTATGTTGTTCTTCTTTCACTATACTCGCCTTGTAGGACTGTCCTTCTACAGAATGGAATGTAGACAGAGTCTCAAGAATTTGACACAGCAAGCAGGAGAATGTGTGAGCATGTGTCTGTGGGACTCTGGTAAATAGAAGATTTTGCTAAGCTGAAAAATAGCATCCATCATGAACATCTGGGCAGTAATTTCTAGAAAAACTCACAGATTTCTAAAATTGTAGATCAATTCATGTTTTATTCTTTAATAGAGTTACTTCTAAAAAGTGGAGTGGATAATCTTTTAATGTCTGAAATGATCCTTGGAGGTAGATAATCCAAATGATGAAATGCAAAAAGTTATTTTAGAGGAGGAAAAAAAAGAATAATCCCAGAAGGCTAAAATTCAGGAGAGAAGGCTCCTTATTAAATGTCTGGCTCTAACAATGGCTAGAAGAAAAAGGTAGACACTAACAAGTCAGTATAAGGGGATCCCTCTGTAAGATTTTGCAAGTGTGAAGACAGAGAGTTGGAACATAAAAACAGGTATGCCAGAAAGGTAAATTTTACCTGTTCTCTAAAGGCAATGTATAAACCTAAATGTCAGAATCTCTGATAGGTTGTTGAGATCCTGCCTTCTACCTTTGTAGCCAATTATTTTTGACTGAGGAGATAACAAAAGTCCAGCTGGGGAAATGGTCTATCTCTTTTATGAAGGACTCTGACTTCATGAAAAATAAAGACAGATCTGACAAAAAAAAAAAAAAAAAAGGAGCCAGCAATAAAGCGACTCCACAAGCTAAAAATATGACAGAGGTGTTTTAAAAATAGCCTATTTTATTATTGACTTTCCTTGAGAAAGCTAAAGAAGAGAATGATTCCAAGGAAGTGTTTTACTGTGAGAATTCTGTTTCAAGATGTGTATATAATAAATATTTTTTGGTATGTGAAAGAGAGCTGAACTTAAGCACTGATTTTTGTAAGAGTAGTACAAATTATTTTGGTTAAAGTTAGTATTGAGACATTAAAGAGTTTTCTTAAACAACAGTGTAGTATTTCCATTGGTTAATGATAATTTCCTTCAAACAATTTGTCTTGAAACAGATGTGTGTCATTACGCCTGGCTTAATGAAACTCTTGTACAATATTGGGACGAGATGTGTGAGAATATAAAAAGTGTGCATTTCTGCATTTCCAGAACCATTCTTAATTTCCGGATACTAGAATTGCAATGGAAACCTAGAATGTAATGTAAAAAAATAATTTTTTAAAAAAAGAAAATGATATTCTTGCCCGTGATATAAGTGGAGGAGGCTGAACAGTTTGGCCCTTAGCTTTCTAAACCTTGCAGATAAACAAACAGTATGCTTATTTATATACAAACACACACATGCACACAAATGTGTCTATTCAAGTGTGCATGCATGCATGCATGCATGTATGTTTGGATAATTTTGGTATCTTGGCTATGTCCATAGTGTGTTTGGTTTCTGAGCTGGGATATGAAACAGGTAGGGTGCTGGAGCAGTATTTACAAAATTCTCTTGAGCAAAATGCTAAAGACAGAAAAGCATATTTTCAAGTAGAGACATTAAATAAAAAAACGGCAAAATGAAAATTCATTATATTGAAATGAAAGATATTAAAGCCAAGGTTAGAAGTGTCAGAAGCTTTGGTACAAGACTTGGGAAAGGAGCTGCTCTGGTAAAGATCATAGGGATGTCTGGTTTACAGTCTGGCTTTAAACCCTTGACCTCAGGTGGGTATGACAAGCAGCATGCCGAAATGTAAGAACTAACTGAAAAGATGAGGAAACAAATTAGGCACAACTGAGTGAAATTAAGTTGTCCACACCTCACTCCGAAGCAGAAGCGGGATCCACAGAAGGGACAGGAAGGAGGGAAACTCAGATGAAAAATTTCTCAGAATGCAGATCCTCGGAAAAGGGTAGCAGGCTGAGCTCTACCCAAGAGACTGATGATATGACAGAAGTATCCTGGCATCCTCATTCTGGGAGACTAGTAGAATGGATGATACAATGGCTTGGGGATGAGGATTAGCTGGAAGCTTTTGGTAGGGGTGTTTCCCTTACCTGAAGATAGCTAGCAACATGGGATTGTGTTACCAACCCCAGGGAAGTTAATCTGAAGTAGCTGAATTCTTAGCGATCACTTGGTTGCAGAGGAGACACCTTAAAAAAATGACATGCAGTCAAGAATTCTTTAATTATTCAAGTCTGGGGGGAAAGCCTATTTGGTGAACATGGTAATAGATTAGAAATGACATGCTGAGATATGAAAATCTGAACAGATTCCAAGTGTTGTGTAAATATATTATTTTTAGTCCAGCTACTAGAATAAGAAATACATTCAGATTTCAAGAGCCTACTTTATTTACCTCCTTTCTCTATGTTTTTTTTTCATCAAGAGAATTAAGAGATTAAGTAGACAGTAAGTGTTGGATATGTTTGCAAAAATTATAATAATAATTTGGATTTTTCCAAATGACCCAAAAAGTTTGTGTGACTAATTGGTAACACTATAGAAATTCTAGGCTGAGTATCAGAAACTTCTGGAATGAGAGACCTGATGTAAAAAATTATGATATTTGATTGAAGTCACATTTCAATGTCCTTTTACATTGATATTAGTATATTGAGTATTGAATAATAGAGTTAATATGAACACTCATGATGATAGGCTCAGAAATGAGGCTATGCTTCAAATGACTAAGATTAAGACGATGAAAAGTAACAATGCTGAAAAGAGAAGAAGAATGCTTCCTAATTGCTGGTATTGAGAATTTTGTGAGAAGGAAACAACAAAAAATTAATCTCAAATAGCAACATATTTATAAAAGGAAAATAAAAACATTTAAAAACAAAATATTTCCTTATCCCCATGCCTAAGCATACATTTTGGTCTTAAGTCTGTGCTTAAATATACTAATTTGCAGTTTGAATAGTATGAAGTTTCCATTGTAAGGGGGAATATGTCTTTTTAGGTACATTTCTAAGTTTTATTTTATTATAATCATTACTTAAAATATCTTTACAGAATATTTCAAATGAAGTGATCTATACTACATACCCTAAATACAGGTACAATGGCATGCTAACACAGACACACACACAAATCCCATATGATAATTGCCTGTTGATTCCTTTAGTTGAATCAGGAACAAGATAATTTATAGTTTGCATGGATTCTCCCTTGAATTTTTTTTCAAAAGTTAAGAAATATGAACAGCATGAAAGAAAGATATTCAGAACCCAGTGAGAACTTAGTTGTAGCTGTAAATATTGTAGTGAACTTAGAATGTACTTATAGCATATAAATGCAACCATTTAAAATGTGAGGCAAGGACCGTAAGATATTTAGAAATGCCATTTTATTCATTTTTTGTTTGTTTGTTTTGCAACATTACCTTAGAGACAAGTAAGTTTATATAGCTTATTCCATGATGCTGGATTTATAAAAAACAAATTTCCTATGATCTCAATAATAAATACATTTACTGACACTATGGGAGATATCAGATTGTTCATGTTTAAACAATTGATTATTTTTTGACATACAGAAATAGTTCATAGACCCAGAGCAACTTAACTTTAATAACTCAAATAGCATCCTTTTTCTTGATCATAGAGATTTCTAGAAATAATGACTTTATAGTGAATCAAAATTAAAGCTATATTTTAGTCGAATTATTTTTGCTAGTTTTTTAATGCAGAATAACAACACAGAGAAAATCTTGTCAGTTTTTCTGATTTAATGTAAAATGCTATGTGAATCAGAGGTAAAGTACAATGACTATACTCATTAACTTACAACAAACATATAACTTATTGTAATTTATTTAAAAAAATATAAAAGCCTCATTTTTCTAAATAATACTCTATTTCAGTGTCATTAGTCATCAAGATTTATTTACCATCTTTTTATTATTTGAATATAAGCAGCCATCCTGAATGTTGCATGCGTTCTGAATTATAAACTATTCATCTAGGGTTTCAGTGTACCTTACTGAAAAAAAGAAAGAAGCATAAACATTTTTTTCCTGGCACATGGAGTAAGTAATGTTATTCACTTTATAAATGAAATGAGCTACTTCTTGATTGAGCATTAAGTTGGTAAATAAAACTGTATAGAAGAGTGATGATTTATAGATGTTATGCAAAGTTTAGAAGTAACGGATGAAGTGAGGGGAATGCAAAATTCCATATCCTATTGTTCTGTATATTGCCAAGAAACAACTGTAAAAAAAGTTCTTCCTCATACCTGTTGATCTGCCTTGACTGTGATTAATAGTGATAATAATAATATATAATTATAGAGCATTAACTATGTTAGATATTTACTAAGCATTTTACATATATTAATTCATTTAATCCTGGCAACCACTCCATGTCTTGTTATCTCCAAATTATAGATAAAGAAACTAGACATAGAGAATTAGATAATAGACCGAGTTAGAATGGAGATCATTATTGCAAAAACAAACCAAAACACAAACTGGAACTTTAAATCTTCATAAGTATAAAATAAATATGGTCCTTGGACGAGTTAGAGGAATTCTTCCCTTGTGATCAATAGAAAAAGTTGATGAAGTCATTTTCTTTTTTTTTTTTTTTTTGAGACGGAGTCTCGCTCTGTCGCCCAGGCTGGAGTGCAGTGGCGGGATCTCGGCTCACTGCAAGCTCCACCTCCCGGGTTCACGCCATTCTCCTACCTCAGCCTCCCAAGTAGCTGGGACTACAGGCGCCCGCCACTACGCCCGGCCAATTTTTTGTATTTTTAGTAGAGACGGGGTTTCACCATTTTAGCCGGGATGGTCTCGATCTCCTGACCCCGTGATCCTCCCGCCTCGGCCTCCCAAAGTGCTGGGACTACAGGCGTGAGCCACCGCGCCCGGCCCGATGAAGTCATTTTCTAAAATAACATAAATAAGGAAGCTGCAGCAGATTCCCTCTGGGAGAAGTTTGTCTTCATATTTACCACAACCTGCTGAGAATTGTTCTGTTGTAAAGCTTGGGGCAAACTAATTCCACTATGACTTATGTTGCTGCTATTTTGACTCACATCACAATATGTAAGCACTTGAGTTTTTCATCCTCTACTATATTCTAAGTGTTTTACTACTTTGCACTTCCTTTCTCCTAGTCAATCCACTCTCTGTTCCCAACTTTCTCAAAATTTCTACTGTGCAATTCTAGAAGCCCAAAGTATGGCTGAAACATAAATTCTGTTTTGCAAGATACAAAGTAAAAATATTTTGCAACTACTCAGGTATCACATTATCAGATCAAAATTTGCCCAGGACAAAATTGAATAGATAATGAAGACATTATTCAATATTGTTAAAATGGGAGAGAGGGCAGAACTCATTCCAAACTCAACTACACTAAAACAGAAGGAAAGGGTATTTGAACAGTTAGGGTGAGCTAGTGGAAAAGTACTGAAGAACATTAAAAGGGAGGTTGATCAATGAGATGTGTTGAGCATGTTGAGTTACTCCCCAGTATGTAAATGTTTTTCTTTGTAATTAAGTCATCTGTGTTTGCTAATATGCACCCGTGGAAGTTAGGTGCCTACCCTCTCACAGTGACTGAGAAATAGAGGTATTATCTTCTTTGATGGTTACATTTCAAAGGGACAGCTTCCAGGTTCTTGAGAAAGACAATACAAGGTTGTTGTTTAAGTAGTACACAAGGATTTTATGAAGATCTAAATCTCAAAGAGGCAGAAGAATTTATCACTGCAAGTTTTCTGAAGTAGAAGTTCTAATAAAAGGAAGGTAAGACCTATTGGCAGAAAGAAACTTATCTAAAGTTTAATTCAGCCGAGGGAAACACAAAGGCCCTTGGGTCAGTACCCTCTCTCAGCCTGTTATGTCTTAAGTACAATCAGAGTTTTCTCTGAAGACAGGGAATGTACCAGGTTTTCACTGATTTCTTTCTCCATTCCCTGCATCCTGATAACCTTCTCAAGCCAATCAGTTGGGACAGTCATAGAGATGACCTTAATTTAATTTTTTTTTAGTTTTTATTATCTTGCTCCACTTCTTAAGATGATAGTGCTTTATTGTCTGTGAATGTGTATCAACTATTGTTTTTTATATTTTATCCTCTTTGGAGGAAAGTAAGCAGTTTTCTGTTTCACTGTGTTATTATTACTCCCTCTTGACCCAAATCAGAATCCCTCATTTATTTAAATATTTTCTATATTACTGTTACTTTCTACTTCCACTGTGCTAAGACATTATAAATAATATAAACATATTTAAAATATTTTTAATTTGATAAAATAAAATATTTTCAATATTGATTTTATTTATTAATGGTACAGATCTTTTTCCTACCTCAAAATGAACATTTAAAAATATTCTAAATTTTTTTTTAATCTTAGTTTTATTTTAGTTTGGTAAGGACACTACACATGCAATCCACCTTCTTCACAAAATTTTTAAGTGTACAGTTCCATATTATTGACTAGAGGTAAAATGTTGTACAATATATCTCTAGAGCTTATTCATATTTGCTTTTTAATTGCCTTACTGATTATGATGGTTTCACATACTTATTAGCATGAGCGACAGCATTAAGCATAGAGAAAGTAAATCAAATTTTTAGGAAGAGATATATGTATTTGTACCTTTATCTTTAGATGATTTTTTTGTTAGATCCAATTATTCAATTGCTTTTAGCTCAAAATGTTGCTTCCTATTGGCAGCTTGTACTAATAGTAGATAGACTATCTCCGCCATTTTCTTACAAGTTGATTTTATGTATCACTTCAGTGTTAACTTTATCAGAGCTTCTGAACTTGACTATGCAGTCAGTGAACTCCCCAACTCTAGTAGGTACAATTTTCACAGAGTCTAAACCATATGTAGTGAACTTTGCTTAAAAATCTTAAATGAGTTTAGCATATATTATACATCTATATTTTCCAAGCTCTACCTGCTGAGAGGGTCTAGAAGCAATGACACCGTAGTAGCACAACAAATACATCCAACACCACACCCAAGTCTTGGTTTCTAACACTACTCTCAAATAAAGGAGCCTGGGATAATGCCTGATTCGAGGATTGGGGCAGGGAATACGCAAGATGAATCTGGAGCATGTTATGATGTCAGAAAGCAAGCAAGTGTGCTAAAAACAACAACGTTTATTAATGGGGGTATGACAAAGGGGGCAACTATGAAAGTTTCTAATTGTCAAAGCTGGAACAATTTAAACAACAAAACAAAGAAAGAAGGATTGAATTAAAACAGAAGTATGAAGTAAATATTCATGTGTTCATAATGATATAAATTATAAAATACATAAGTAATTGGTAAAAATAGACAAATCTCCCATGAAAAAGAATCTCAAATACTTTATGTAGCTAATTCCCCATTAAGGTGATAGAACATAACTTTCCTTGAAGATAAATCTGCCGTTCAAGCTTCTGGACCAGCAGCAAAGGAACTAAGCAATACCATATAAGGCCCCTTAAAATACTAATTCAGAGGAAGAGCGATTTGCTAAACACAGCAGGATTATATTCTCTCAGATCTGTAGCAGAAATTGTACCCACAAAAAACACCAACAGCTTCACCCTAAGAGACACAAGTGGAAGCTAGAAGCCAGTATATGATAAACCAATCGCATAAAGGCCAGACCCACAGATGAGCCAAGATAACATTGTATCTTTTGTATGATGCTTCAAATGGGGCAGATTGAGTTATTTGACATTTGCCATGATTCAGGCTTCATTACCTACCTTGACTTCCTGGGCAGTTAAATGAAAGAAATGTCATGTGGGGACAGATAGTACAGCTACTCTGTTACCAAATTAGTATTTTGACTTGAAATTACAGATACCTATGTAAAGCACTCATACTTAGAATTCTGAAACTCAGTTTTAAGGAAATTTCTGAGGTAGAACACATTTTTATTTACTTGTATAATGTCAATGAGATTGAAAACACAATGGGTAGTAGTAGGTTTTATTATTTTTAAATTCTGTTCAGCTGTAGGGGGCCATAAACAAAGTTGTTCTAGTTCATGTTGACTGGTCCAAAGCTGAAAATTGCCTGAGATTTCTTACAAATACATCAACAATCTATATTCAATACCCAAACTGAATATTTACCAGTGTTACTCTATACACAAAATGAGCTCTAATTTCAAGCAGTGATGTGCAGAATGTAATTATAAAGTCTTGTCCTTTGTGCTCTAACATTGATTCCTTTGTTTTTTTTTTTTGTTTGTTTGTTTTTTCTTTTAGGTTTTCAGGGTTTATTTCATATTTATGTGGATGTATGCCTTTCAATTTCTATTTATAGTTTCTATTTATTTTCTATCTTTTGCTGTCCCTTGAATTCCTACACATTTATTATAGAATAAAAACTTTTATCTCTTCTAAAAAAAGAATGAGAAGTGAGGGACAATTGTCAGGTAATTTTTAGGAAAATGCCATCTAATCTTTTCCTAGCCATCTTGTGATATAATCTGAAAGTAGAAATGTTAACAGATGTCGTGACTCATGTCTAGTTTTGAATGTTCACCAACTTGTGAGCTAGATAATTACAATGAAGTTTGAAATGACTGAGGCATATAACATATATTTCAATTTAATGCCAGTTTTTAATGGTAAAAATTTGGTTCCACTGAAACTCCGTAATGCTACAGAGAGCTACTATTTTTCCAGGAAGTAGGTAAACAGCTAAAAGATATTTCTTTCTTTTTTTTTTTTTAGTAGAGACAGGGTTTCACCATCTTGGCCAGGCTGGTCTTGAACTCTTGACCTCGTGACCCACCCACCTCGGTCTCCCAAAGTGCTGGGATTACAGGCATGAGCCACTGCATGCGGCCAGGAAGATATTTCTTAATTGTAATTAAGATGTAGATGCATGCTGAAAAACAGCAAAAAAAAAAAAAAATAACAATGAAAGCAACAAAGATCATATTAGCTAAGAAGACTATATATGTCAGAGAATACTACATTTCAATCTTAATGTTTCTTTGACACTTTGTATTTCTTTTAGCGTGTTCCTTCCAGGTGACTGTAGTTGGCAGGAAGTAGGGAATAGTTTAATCAGTATTTTCCACTACTGTATTAATAAATAATTTTGTTAAAACCCACTCTCTGACTCCATACCCCTACTTCCTGAGCATTGCAGTGCTATGAAAACATAAGTGATTGGTTTTTTATTAGAGTGTTTCCAATAGGTTATGGTGTCTCAGCATATGAATGTCTTCCTTAATGAATGAGTCTTTTTATCTAAAGGGAGGATGCTAATTCACACCATATTTCTCTCTAAACCTAAGCGGCATGTATTAGAACTGAAGTGCTTATTGATTTAAATTTCATTGCCTGTTTATTATAAAATATAAAATAGTCTTGGCATTGTTTTTGAAATATTGATGAAATAGAATAACGTAGGCATGAAAAAACTAACATTATTGAAGTGCTATAATAAAATTTAATGTCACCTTAATGAACAAGATGAATTAGAAAGAGTGACCATATGGCTTTTACACACCTGTGCTCATCAGCATGTGCATATAAGGGGAGCTGCCAATACTTCAAAATAATTATTTTATAGGAAGAAAAAAAGTTAGGTATCCATCTATCAGGGATAATGCTATTGTTTAAAATGTGTGTGCATGTGTGTGTTGTTTTTTTTTTTTATTTTAGGAGGGAGAAAATATCTCTTTATAATGGCCTTTTGGGAAAAAATAATTTTAGACTTAGCAATTTTTTTGTAAAAGCCATATGTTATGATAACCTTTAATACCTGATATATAGAATATTTAACAGCTGGACTATCTAAAAGCTTTGTAAATTAAAGTAATTCCATATATGTGAAGTACAAACATGTATTCCAGATTAAGTCCAGATTATACGTCTCACTGAGGTTTTAGTTCACCTCCTAACAACAACATGCACCCTCCATATTATTATTTTCTACTGCCTTTCTTAATTTTCCCCCTCATTTATTTTACCATTTTTAACATTTTATTAATACTATTGTTTTTAATTTAGACGTTGAAGAGAATCAGTCGTCATTATAATTCAGTGGCTTCGATACACTAAACCTAGTCTCTCATTCCAAGTAACCAGCCAAGTGTGACAGCTCTCATTTTCAAACCTTGGATAGTCTACGTGAGAGCAATCATATGTGTCAGTTGGAAATCTCACCTCACAGCTATTGAACAGATGGATTTTAAGGGTATAGCTCCTTGAAGCATCTTGACAAGACAATCTAGTTTGGTTGTTAAGAAACCAGTGTCGATGTCTGAGCATGCCTGCATGGTTTTCTTCAAGAACCCAACAAGGCTTTCGAAATTCACTCAAATGTTTAAAGAACCCATACTATTAAAATTCCCTTTTATGTGTTTAGTAGTTTTCTGTTGCTGAGTAACAAATTACCTCATATTTAGCAGTTTAAAGCAACACAAATTTATTATCTCAGCTTCTGTGGTTAAGAATTTGGCGCATTTAATTTCAATCTTCGGCTAGGAGTCTCACCAGGCTAAAATCAAGGGGTCGACTGACTATCCTCATCTGGAAGCTAATCTGGAGAAAGGCCTACTTCTAAACTCTTCCAGGTCGCTAGTATAATTCATTTCCTGTGGTCATAAGAGGTCCTCTTGTTTGGCTAGGTGCTGGCCACGGATCATTCTTAGCTCTCAGAGGCTGATCTAAAGTCCTTGTTACTTGATCTTCTCTATCTCAGCAATAGAAAATGTTCTTCTCAAACATGAAATATCTTTGACTTTTCCTTCTGTGACCAGGCCTTTCTGTTTTTAAAAGGTCTGTGTGATTAGGTCACACCCACCAGCTAAGTTCCTTATCTTTAAGCCTACTGTGCCATATTACATAACCATGGGAGCAAAATTCATCGTATTCATAGTCATGAGAATTATATAAAGCCTGTATCAGAGGGGTTGAGAATCTTGGGGACATCTTAGAATTCTGCCTTCAATATTTGTAGATCAATGATCTCTATGAAAAGGAGTTCAGTTTTAACTTATTTGTATTACTTTATAGAAGGGACCTAACACACACACACACACACACACGAAACACAAATTATGCAACTGATGAAACTGATGAAGAATGTAATCCTGTAACACCAGTGCCATTGAACCAACACTTCACAATATAGGAATGTGTACACACACACAAATACACACATGTGTGCACACAAAAACATACACACACACCTCAGAGATATTAACAATATTTTTTAATGTCTTGGTGTTCAGGTTTATATCAATGTGAATTCTCAGTATGCATCAGCATAAAAATGAAAAAAACAAAATAGATTCAACATGTTATCTATACTTTTCATTAAAAAGTTATAATTTAACTACTTTTGTTAAATGAGAATTAACTGTTAACAAAGAAGTATTTCATAGTATAAAATATTTCATCCTTGGATTTCAGATCCAATTCAGCTGAATTCCTCCTATAGCCTAGGCCAAGTTTCTTTCTTTCTTTTTTTTGAGACAGAGTCTCAATCTGTCGCCCAGGCTGTAATACAGTGGTGTGATCTTGGCTCACTGTAACCTCCGCCTTCTGGATTCAAGCAATTCTTCTGTCTCAGCCTCCCAAGTAGCTGGGATTACAGACATGCACCACCACACCTGGCTAATTTTTGCATTTTTAGTAGAGGAGGGGTTTCACCATATTGCCCAGACTGGTCTCGAACTCCTGACCTCAGGTGATCCATCTGCCTCAGCCTCCCAAAGTGCTGGGATTACAGGTGTGAGCCACTGTGGCTGGCTGGCCAAGTTTCATACTCTCTCAAAGACTGGCTTTACTTATCTATAAATCTGGGACAATCAAATTATATTGAGATATCAAAATAATGCATATAAATCATTTAACAGAATGTTTATATGGTAGGCAGAATTTTTAAGATGTCTCCTATCACTTCTGTCCACTCTTGTGTGATTTCCTGCCCTTGAGTGTGGGGGACTTCTTGATGATAGAATACATCTGACTTAATTATGTTAAATTATATAGCAAAGAGAGTTCTCAGATGTAATAAAAATATATCTGGAAAATACTGTTGAGGAAAAGCAGAGTGTTGGGAAAAAAGCTGAGGCAGGGCTTGTATGTCTGAGATAATGTAAAAGAGTCTCGGAACATGTCCAGGGGCCAGGGTCTAAAACCCCTCATGGCCTTTGGAACACCAAGCTCCGTGCCAAAGGGTGGAAGGCTGCCCTGCCACACCACAATCTAAGTCCAGGGCATAAAACCTCTAGCGGCTTGGACGAAATCCAGGGCTCAGGGCATAAAGCCCCTCATGGCCTCTGGAATGTGTCTAACCTTGCTAGCTCCTTGCTTCTAGCACTCCCAGGCTCATAGATCGATTGTATCTTAAACTAGAAGAACATATTTCTCATTATCTCAAGTAGCAGAACATGTTCCATATGCTTCAAAGAAAATGCTAAACTGTCACAGCTGTAGATCATGTGCTTGATACAGCACTTTCTTTCAACCCCCACAGACTCACCACCTGCTTCTTTGTTTGATCACCAATAAATAGTGTGGGCTTCCAGAGCTCAGGGCCTTCGTAGCTTCCATACTAGTGTTGGCCCCCTGGTCCCACTTTATGCACTCTTAATTTGTCTTGTCTCATTCCTTTGACTCTACCGGACTTCATGGCCCCCACAGCCTGGTGTTGGGTCTGATCACCCCAACAAAATACCTTGATTCATATACCTGAGTTCATGTACCAAGAATTCAACCCAATCCAATCAGTTAAGTTAATGAAGGTGAAGAATATCTATGTGAGCCTGACCAACTTAGGAGAGGCATTAAAATCACTGCCCTTTCAAGTGTCAGAGATATACAAAGTATAAGAGGGTATAAGGAAGGGGTTATATTTCAAGGACATTTTACTTGCCTCTGGAAGCTGAGAATAAGCTCTGTATCAAAGCCAGCAAGTGAACAGTAACCTCAGCTGTACTACAACTGCAAACCACTGAATTCTGCCAGTAATAATGTCAACTAGAAAAAGGACCACAAGCTCCAGAAAGACACACAATTTAGCTGATATTTGGATTTCACCTTTTTAAGATCTTGAGGACAGGACTAAGTCATAAGTGACTGAACTTTTGACCTTCAGACTGTTAGTTAATACACAGGTATTGTATCAAACTACTCAGTTTGTACTAACGTGTTATAAGGCAATAGAAAGTCAATATTTTTTAGCTCATATCATGCATATGGTAAATTAATGTTATTATTACCAATGTCTTCCAAATTAATAATGCTATTTGAACTGGTTAGAAATTTTTAGAAAACATTGCATTTTTTTGTTTTTAAGTCAAAATCATTCTAAAAAATACCTGCCATAAGTTTTGCATTATACTCACAGAGTGGGCAAAGCAACAGAGCAATAATCAACATGTTCATAACAAGCTATGAAATCTATTAACTCATTATGAAAGCTCTTTGATTTTAATTAGCTTCACAGAGTTTTGAGACCTAAAGTACCAGTAATTTTGAGATTATGTTATGAAATTGTTAAAGAAGAAGGAAGAGGAGGAGTAGAGGAGGTGGAGAAGAGGGAGAGGAGGGGGAAAGGCAGGAGAAATGGGAAAAAGGAGAAAAAGGAGAAGCTAACAGTATTGTCACAGCCACAGACACCTCCAGGGAAAGAAGAGGTAAACCAAGAAGTAGATTATGTTGAAAAACACAAAGTAATTGAATTGGACTTACATGGCTTGAAAAGTGACTTCATAATATGATCTTTGGAAACTCATAACAAGGTCCTGTTTAAAATCCTTCAGTGTTTCCCCATAGACAACTCCCAGTGTTCCTAACATCTGATTTTGGATGCATTTCTATCTTCAGCTATTAGTTCCTTCCATAAAAGCTCTGTCAAACCAAAAAACTCTTCTTGATTATCTAAAAAGCATATATAACTATACCTCTCTAAAGCCTTTTACTCTTTCTTGAATACACTTTAAACACCTACTTAATAATACAAAAATCTCCAACTCTGCTGTCATCTTTTTTAAGTTCTCTACAGATTCTAAAGCCTGCCTTACTATTACACTATTATTACTATTTGAGTTTTAGGGCTCACCCTAGTGAATCTTAATTATTTGCAACTTTGTCTGTGTCCCCTTGTAAGCATTCGCTTGCACTTTTATTGCTTAGTGTAGTGTTTGCCATGTACATAAAGTCCTTAATAAATCTTCACGGAATTCATAAGGAAGGTTGAGACAATTTACCATGCCTGTGAAATGGCCATGGGATGCCATGCTGTGTAGACTCTACACAGAAACTTTCTCAAAGAAGGTGATAGACAAGCATAACAAAATGCCTCTCTACTTCAAACCTCATTCTCCCCAAAAGATAGACGATGTTTTGTTTTCTGATATTTTCCTTTGCCCCAGTTTTAATACAATACTAATTCTGTCGTAATAATGGAGACAGGGAAGTTATCTATTTTTACTTTAGATAAAAGGACAAGTTATTTGATTATATTTATTTTTTCATAGTATGAATTTTATCTGAGTTTCAGTTTTTTTCATTTCATAGAAGTCTGCTGCAATTTAAAGTTCACGGAAAGATGAGAAACTGAATCAGGAAAGGCACAGAATGTTATCATACAATAACTAATTGAGGCTCAAGTCTTGTAAAGGCCTTATGCTACCAGTAAAACAGTGAGACTGTGAGAAATAACAAGTACCACAAACTATTAATACCTAACATGTATATAGTACTTTAAAACTTACACATGATGCTGTCATTGTCAAAGAGACTCAGAAATGACAGGAAGAATATCTGATATTTTGTACCAACCCAGCCTCTGTTACTTTGAGTCTCAGCGTTCTGATATGTAAAATGAAGGGAATAGCTACAGGATTTTGACATTTTGCAGCAAGAAACTTACGTGAGTCTAAAACTTTCTACATCTGAACATGTAGACACTGAGAAACTTTATACAAATAGCAAATCCATAATTCAGATGTTTTTTCTTCGCTTCCCTTTAGGTCAGTGCTTTCTGGTCCCTCATTCTACCAGGTCTTATTCTTCCTAATTCATCAGTCTTGCTTCTTTAGGTGAAGTCATCACCCCACTCCACCCCTGTGAGGACAGCATTGCCTCTACTAGTAATATAGCCTCACTTTGGAATAACATTCACACTGTCTTTTCTGAGTGCAGGAGTTTATGTTCTGAAAGCCAGTCAGGCAAGAGGTGGTTAAATTTATCAATATAGACAATTCTGTTGGAGCTACCTCTGTTTTCAATTAGAAAGGGTTAAGAACTTTGCTTAGTATATCGTTATATATTTGATGCCTATCTATATATCTACCAGGTTAACTCTGTCTACTCTACATTTTCAACCAATAGGCTCCTCAAATATCAAAATAGATATGGATATAGAGATGGATAAATAACAAAGCAGTAACTGTCTTTAAAACTTTATAAAATTTGTTCATAGACAATTTCAGCTACTGGAGCCAGTTCTCAGAAATGAGCTCGATTCTTAATTTTGAGTAAGTTAGAGATTACTTAGTGAATGCAATTAGTTGGAACTTATTTTTATATTAACTTGTTCCTCTTAGTGGAATAGGAATAGTTTGTCAATCTAAATACTTATTTGAGAAAGACTGCTTTGTTTAGTGCTTTACATACAACAGGTGCTTACATAATATATGCTTATAATTAGTTTATGTCCAAACCACCAAGAAAAGGAACACACCTAGTTAACATACTACGTGCAAGCATTGGCAGCACTGTTTTAAATCCTACTGTTTGAGCAGATGATTGATTTGTGCCTCATTAAAAACAATTTAAAAGACTAGTTGCTCTGAGCAATTAACTTCACTGAAGCTTATCTTCATGGAGAAAAAATATTTTTCTTTTTTTCCAACAGGGTACATAAAAGGAATTTTTCTAAAACAGAAACTATGTTTACTGTCTTATGTCATACCACATTATTTTACTAACCCCACAAAGAATATAATGGAATCTGTTTATTCAGAAATTATATAATGCAATGATCTCTCGGGTCAAGCTTTAAGCATTCAATAATAATAATATTTTGTTTTCACTTCTATTCAATCATTTTACCAATTCTTACATCGATCCTTCAAAATAGGTGAGCAAAATAAAAGTTATCTCTATAATTATAAATATTTATTAAAAACACACTAAAATTGTAAATTTTAAAACTGAAAGGAACTTTAGGAAACCATTCGGAGAGTTATATAGTTTATGCATTTAAGTAGATAGTCATTGCTATGATAAAAAGAGTTGCCAGGGAATTAGTATTGAGAAACAAAATTTTAGTTCTTTTAATACAGTGATTAAGAGCCCAAGGTGAGAGCAACTAGAAGTTTGAAAAATAATTTAATCAATTTAGCAACCTTCACAGGAATCATTTTCTATATTGATTACAATTGTAGTTGAGAACATAGTGTTAAAAGAAAAACTTAAAACAATTAAACAGGGCTTCACTGAGCAAAGAAAGCTTTGAGAATTAGGAAGCTCTCAAACTGGAATAGGTTCAGAGTGATTTGGGGGCTGTCACATGACCGCAAAACATTTATGGACAGAAAAGGGAAGTGAGATACAGAAATAGCTGAATTGGTCACAAGTCAGTTTTTGGCGTCTTTGAATGTAGTTTTAACAGTTGGCTGTCTGCGACTGGCTGAAACTCAGCTGCTGTGATTGGATGAGATGTGGCTATTTGTAACAAGAGTAGGTTACAGTCTGTTTACACATTCAGTTAGGTTAGAGTTCACTATGTATGAGGAAATCTTTAGGCTAAAGTTAAAAATATGTAAGGAGTCAGCTTTAGGCTAAAATATTGAGACTTTGACCAAAACTTTAAGCATTGATGTCTTTATGTCACCATGATAAATGGACTTACTTGGTCTTAAACTCCACTGGAAAATAGCAGAACAGTGGGTTTTGTAAGGTGGGAACAATGGAAAAAAGGAAACCTGATTGATTACTTCAGGTAACTGTTTTGTAAGGATTAGAGCAGAGGGGATTTCTCTATTACACACTAATCTATTGTTTTCAGGTGAAAAAAAATTAACTGTTTTGGGATCTATCTGCTTCCTTAAAGTTTCAGTTTACTTATGTAGCATATAGTATTAGTGTCTCATTTTGGCTTGATCTGTGGACCTAGTGCATGAGTTCAATCCAAGAAAATTGCCTCCCATTATTTTGTTTAACAATTCCCAGTTTTGGCACTACTCCCAGTTACCTCATTCTGGGTTTCTGGTCTCCATCATTTTGGGTTTTGGTCTTACTTTGTCGTTTATAGGTTACAGTGTCCTCATGATTACTTATTTCTTTGAATTTTTGTCATTTCAATTGAAAAGAGACCGTTTGGCATTCTCTGCATGGCTGCATGTGAACATTAAAAACTTTTGAAAGAGTAAAGCACACCAGGGAGACTACTATTATAACTCTCAGGAGGATAATACCAATAGTTGGGAGTTTACTCTATAGCCAGGGTCCCCATGAACCAAACCAACTAAAATAAAGAATTATCATAATGAACCAGATGAAGAGTGTATTTGTTTTAACTGAGCAGCCCGTTTGTTAATCCCTTGCCACTGAGTCTCTGTGATACATGATGTATTCGTCCACGTGCAAAAGAAGTGTCAGCAACTGCACTGATTACTCCCTATTCAACCAGTAAAACAATTCTATTATCTAGCTCAACTTTAGCAAGAAAACTTAAAGAAGTCTGTTGTGAACGATAATCTTTGCAATAGAATCTGCTACACTGCCTATTACAAGGGATACATTTCTAATCATTGCCTCATTTGCATTTACTCCAAGTCATAAAAAAGGGACCTAATAAATGATGCCCATCCAGAAGGGTAAAGGCCTCCTTGCAACATTCTCTCTATTCTATGATGGAGTTTAAGAGGAGTGAATAAATATTCTGTTTCTGACTATGGAGAAACAAAGGTACCATTAAAATTCCTAGCCCACATTGAACATTTATATTCCATCCATCAAGGCCTAAGGCTTCCCCTGTATAAAATTATCTGTGAAATCCTCAACAAATAAAAATATACCCCATGGGTATACAAAAGGCCCCCTTTTCAGTTCTATAATTCATAGAATCATAAATAAGAAAGCAAAATTAAGAGAGAGAAGAGTTTCATGATGGCAGAAAAATCTTATCCTCGATCGTAGGAAAGCTGTTCATGTCTAAGATACTGTCTGCTTCTGGGGAGAAATTTGTCGATTAGCTTTACTTTAAGGTTTCTAATACATGCACAATTCCAAGAGTCTGAAGGGGCCGTACTGAGTTGTGAGATTACAGGACCAAGGTTTGAGGTTCCAAAATGTTGCTGCATTGTGGTGGCAAGTGCAGTTTTTTCTGATGGTTTACATAAAACCAAATGTCTGGGTTATAGATCCTGAAGGGTTTGATTGTCTTCAGTTGGTGGATCATGAAAGCTTCCTTTACCTAGTGAAAATACACTTTAATGTAATACATTAAAATCTTGCAACATTTAGTCATATCTGAAAGATACGTGAGGTTTTAATATTGGGGATAATTCTAGTGACAATTTTATAAGGGGTAAATTATATTTTCCAGTGGAAGTAAATCTGATTGTAATCAATCTGCAATACTTTTGACTGATGCAATCCAGTTGATTCAGTTATCTTTGTGTAATGTAATTGAATCTATAATACTCTATTTAATTGTTTTGCAATGAGTCTAGTGAAACAAGTACCTCCATCACTAAAGATTTCTTCAGGCATGCTCCATGAAGGAAAGATATTTCCTAATAACCTTTTACCTACTGTAATAGCATCAGACTTTTTGCATAAAAACACTTCTAGACAACCAGAAACCATTGAAATTGGCAGTTAAATAAAATCAAATATTCAAATAGTCCTTCAGGAGTTTAGCTGACCAAACATTGATCATTGGATCGATTGTGGTGACTGTTCTAAATTTATAAAAATGGTTTTTGACCAATGATTGACATTTGTTCATCTACAAATATATGATTGAATTAGGTAATATACTGGATTATTTTATCTCTGTTATGATGAGTCATGGAGCACAGAGATATTTATAATGGGAGCTTTAAAAACAGGATGAAAAAGAAAAGAAGACAGGAAGGAGCAGGGGGCCATATAGGTTCTCCATGAATTGATGCTTAAAATTAAATATTATCTGCTTAAATACCAATTTGGTTTCTCAAATTCAGGTGCATAGTAGTGTTTATTAAGTGGGTTATCATAGGATCATAGGTAATTTGACTTGGACCACGCAGTTTACACAAATTGCATATCTTAACAATTTTAATACTGGATAATTTAGCACGAAACTCTGGCAAGGTTTTTTCTTGGTATGCAATTAGTTCTTATCCTGCTGGGTTAGCCATTGTATAAACCAGTCCATCTCTACGTTAGAGTTCTGGGAATTCTCACCCAGTCCAAATGATATAATCCAAATTTTGTTAAAAATCTCCTTTCGAGAGTGATTGTCAGGGTCCTTTCTATTCTTTTCATGAACCTCCTTGAAGACACAACAGTTTAGGATTATAATTTCTTCCAAAGAGAGAGAGAATGCATCAAAATTAAACAATTAACAGTGTTCAGGACTTAATATGATTATGGTTAAAGATGCAATTGACAAGAACATTTGGGCTACAATAATTTAGAATAATAACCATAATTATGACTGATAACATATATCATGATGTATCAAAATTTTAGGACTCTCATACAATTTTGAAACATATAGTAATAACAAATCCATTAAAATATAACTCAAAGAATATTAAATATTATATTATATTTGACAATTCTTCCCATATCATTTAGCATATCATGTAAGACTGTTTATCTCTCTTTTGGATGCTGCAATGGTCCTCTTTAGTCCTCCAAAGTTAAAGTCCTCCTACATTAGTTTGAGGTCAAAAAAGATTTAACCTTGAATTTGAAATTGACTTGGAGAAGCTGGTCAAATATGTCAAAGATTTTAAACACTTAATCAAAATAGGATCACACACAAGTCACTATAAAATAATAACCATTCATTTTGCCAAAGTGATAATTATAAAATTTTAATTTTTAAGAAGCCAATATTTTATTTTATAGAGAATAAACTCAGTTTTCCAAACAATCCAAGACCTAATAAAAACAGCATTGGACAGAATTTTTGTCTCATTCACACCTCTCTCAGTCTTTTTTTTTTCCAAAAGGTTGATTTTAATGAAAAGGTGAACAAAAATATTTTAGTATGACTTACGACTACTACATGAAAATTTTGTTTAAAAGAGAAAACCAAATTTTATGTTTGTATTAGTGTATTATCAATACTAAAGCTAGTTTTAATAAAACTTTATAAACAAACTTTTGCAACCCCAGTTAGCTTTTTATCACACATTATTTCCATAAATCTTTTATAATCTCTTACATTTTTTCCATCCTCTTTTCTCACAAAAATAACTTAGCCTTATTGTTTTTTTTTATTTAATCAATTTGAAATAATCTTTGTATTAGTTCATTTTCACACTGCTATGAAGAAATATCCAAGACTGGGTAATTTATAAAAGAAAAACGTTTAATTGACTCACAGTTCTGCATGGCTAGGGAGGCTTCAGGACACTTACAATGGTGGAAGGGGAAGTAAACATCCTCCTTCACATGGCAGCAAGAGAGAGAAGTGCCAAGCAAAGGGGGAAATTCCCTTATAAAACCATCAGATCTCATAAGAACTCATTCACTTTCATGAGAACAGCATGGGGATAACTGCCTCCATGATTCAATTACCTCTCATCAGGTCCCACCCATGATACATGGGGATTATGGAAACTACAATTCAAGATGAGATTTAGGTGGGGACAAAGAGACAAACCATTTATTCCAACTCAGTCCCCTCTCAAGTCTCAAGTCCTCACATTTCAAAATGCATTAATGCCTTTCCCATAGTCCCCCAAAGTCTACCTCATTCCAGCATTAACTCAAAAGCCCATGTCTAAAGTCCCACCTTAGACAAGGCAAGTACCTTCTGCCTATGAGCCTGTAAAATCAAAGGCAAGTTAGTTACCTCCTAGATACAATGAGGGTGCAGGCACTGGGTAAATACACCAGTTCCAAATATAGAAATTAGCCAAAACGAAGAGGCTACAGGCCTCATGCAAGTCCAAAATCCAATAGGGCAATAATTAAAACTTAAATTTTCTAAACGATCTCCTTTGACTCCATGTCTCACATCAGGTCATGCTGATGCAAGATGTGGGCACCCACAGCTTTGGACAGCTCCACCCTTTTGCTTTGCAGGGTAGAGCCCCCCTCCCATCTGCTTTCATAGACTGCACTGAGTGTCTGCAGCTTTTCCAGGTGCAGGGCAGAAGCTGTTGGTGGATCTACAATTCTGGGGTCTGGATGATGCTGGCCCTCTTCTCACAGCTCCACTAGGCAGTGCCCTAGTTGGGGGACTCCGTTTGGAGGCTCTAACCTCACATTTCCCTTCTGCATTGCCCTAGCAGAGGTTCTCCATGAGGGCTCTGCCCCTGCAGCAAACTTCTGCCTGAACATCCAGGCATTTCCATACATCCTCTGAAATCTAGGTAGAGTTTCCCACCTATGTACCCACACGCCCAACACCACGTGTAAGTTGTCAAGGATTGGGGCTTGTATCATCTGAAGCAATGATCTGAGCTGTAGGTTGGCCACTTTTAGCCATGGCTGAGACATAGGGCACCAAGTTGCAAGACTGCCCAAAGCAAGGCCCTGAACATGGCCCATGAAACAATTTTACTGTCCTAGGCCTTTAGGCCTGTGGTGGGAGGGGCTGCCACAAAGGTCTCTGACATGCTCTGGAGACATTTTCCCCATTTTCTCAGTGATTAACATTTGACTCCTGTTTACTTATGCAAATTTCTGTGGTGGGCTTGAATTTATCCCTAGAAAATGGGTTTTTCTTTTCTATTATAACATCAGGCTGCAAATTTTCCAAACTTTTATGCTTTGTCATTTCTTGAACACTTTGCTGTTTAGAAATTTCTTCTGCCAGATACCCTATGTCATCTCCCTCAAGTTCAAAGACCACAGATCTCTAGGGAAGGGGCAAAATGCCACCAGTCTCTTTGCTAAAGCATAGCAAATATCACCTTTATTCCAGTTCCCAATAAGTTCCTCATCTCCATCTGAAACCACTTCAGGCTGGACTTTATTATCCATATCACTATCAGCATTTTTGTCAAAGCCATTTAAGAAGTCTCTAGGAAGTTTTAAACTTTCCCACATCTTTCTGTATTCTTCTGAGTTCTCCAAACTGTTCTAGCCTCAGGCTATTACCCAATTCCAAAATAGCTTCCATGTTTTGGGGCATCATTGTATCAGCACCCTACTCTCTGTGGCACAAATTTACTATATTAGTTCCTTTTCATGCTGCTGTGAAGGTATACCTGAGACTGGGTAATTTATAAAGGAAAGGTGTTTAATTGACTCACAGTTCTGAATGCCTGGGTGGCCTCAGGACACTTGCAATTATGGCAGAAGGGGAAGCAAACATGTTCTTGTTCACATGGTGGCAGGAGAGAGAAATGCTGAGCAAAAAGTGAAAAGCCCCTTATAAAACCATCAGATCTTGTGAGAACTCACTCACTATCACAAGAACAGCATGGGGATAACCAACCTCATGATTCAATTACCTCCTACTGGGTCCTTCCCACAATACAAGGGGATTATGAAAACTACAATTCAAGATGAGATTTGGTTCAGGACACAGAACCAAACCATATAAAACTTTAAATAACTTTTATACTACATGAAATTATTTCTTCTCAACAAACACACATTTTCATGCCTTTAAAACTTTCCTTGTCAAAAATATACCTTGCTTTCCTCATACACTCTGTATATAGAATTGTTTCTCTTATATTCACTAGTTTTAATTACTTATATCAACTACAATTTTTACTTTTAATAACCCTAATTATCAGTGAAAAAATCTAGAAAACATATGATTTAAACGGTTTTATATTAATATTTAAGGTTGAAAATTATTTCATATCATTCAGAAAGATATGTTTTCTCAATTTTTTGTTTATTAACAGATATAAATATATGTAGCTTTTTATACTATATAAAATGTCAAAGCATAAAAACTTAAATGTATATCTAATAATTAATGTTTCAGTATCTTAACTTGCTTAGAAATGACTGATATTTTATGATTATTTATTACTTAATTAAATATAATGACTTATTTCATTTTATTTATTTAAAATAACTAAAAATAATTTTTTACAATAACACAAGTATCATCTCTACTGTCTTCTTTTATTCTCCAGGGTTCCCAGTTGTCCATATGACAGGATAACTCTGAAGGACAGAGCTTGTCTGGATTCACAATTGACATAGCAGATATAAAGCTTAGGACAGAGTCTAGAGCTGTGAAGATGATGCCTGGAGGATACAAACCTTCCCACCTGGTCAGAAGGTACACTCAGGCTAGGGAAAACAGGACTTTGCCTTGCAGCTGGTGGCACATATGCTGAGGACATGCATGTGCCTCCAGGCCTCACCATGGCCACCTATCTAGAGGCTCAAAACCAAAGACACTAATCTCACAGTAAGGTGTGGGCAAGATGTTAGAGGAACCCAGTAGCCAGCACTTACAACTTTAGCTTATAGACAAATCAAGCATGTATCAAAAATATTACAGGAGCTGCAGTTTTATGACCCCAAAATATGTTTTAGGATAGCATAAACCAGTCTGACCATTAGGCCCAGGAAAAAAATGTCTAAATTATATTTAATACTGGCAATCTTGAAGACATTTCTGTTTTATTTTACCTACAATTTTAAAATTAGCTTTATTTACCAAATAATATCTGAAATCACATAGAACTACCATATACACATAACACATAAACATACTGACATACAGACACAGATAGAAATAGATCTTATAGCTTTCAATCAGATTGTGTGTTTTTTGCCAAATTCCAAATAGCTTTTCTTTTCCACATTCAGACTATCAATTTTTAAATTACCTGTTTATTTTCTTAAGCAATTATTAATTAGTAAATCATAAATTATCACTTCTAAATGGACAACTCTTAGGTGAAACAAGATGGAAAATTTATATGTCAAAAACACACAGCTAGAACTTTATGCCTAAATAGTATATCAGTTTTACCCAAACAAGGAAAGAAGGAGGTAAAGACCCAGTTAAGACAAGATGTCCTGAAAAAGCACCTTAAACTTAAATAAGACTTGTTATGTAAATTTAAACCAATGATAAGAGTTTCTAAGTGACTCAGTCTTCCCTCTCCTCCAGGTTCATAGAGGCAGACACCCTTACAAAGGGAGATTTCTTTTCTAGATGTAAATTTCTTTTACAAAAGAGTTTCAAAATATCTATCTAAGTCACAAAAATTTACTGAGTTCAGAGTGGAGACCCTTAAGGAAAAGGGCAAAGAAAACATTTTCTATGTCTGGACTCAGCATGAGTAGCTCCAAGAAAGAAGTGAGCCTACTTAACCTGAGGGCCTATCTCTTATAAACACTTTATCCTGCTTTTTTTTAACCTTTAGAGGGGAATGATAACTAAGCCAAAAGGTTAGTAGATTCCATTTTTCTTTGCAATTGGTTGCTTAAGTTTTTTGTTTTCCTTTTATAAAGTCTTTTAAAAGGGAGTTTCAGGCTTTTTAGAAGCTTCAACCAGCATCCCTGGATTAGCCTAATTCAGGAGATCTCATCTTGAAATGCATGTCTTAAAGTGCAACACTGCTCATATGGAATGTCCCACTGTAATTTTAAATTATCTATAGTAAAATTTTGCATTTTTTGTAAGCATTTGCTGCTTCTGGGGCCTAATACTTATACACATAAATGTAGGCATATCTGCAAGGTTGATTACTCAGTTCTTCAGAAATTAAGAATCTCATTTTGACATCAAAACTTGGATTTGGCTCTTAGATCCCTTTGAGCAACTTAGTCAATGATTTTTTCCTACCTAAGTACAGAACAAGAAGCAAAATGGATAAAACACAAAAATTCCCATGAATTTCTGAAAGCAAGAGCTTTCACTCCCTGCAATATTGCCATTTACTGCCATTTTTTTTTCTGACCCAGTCAGACATTCAAACTTCTAGCTAGACCCAATCCAGTTAACTATTAGATTTAATATGGTCCTGGACCCAGTGTGGTTTCTGTCCTGATTTCTGAATTCACTTCAAAAAATATTTGCTCAAACAATTTCAGATAGCTTAAAACACAAATCTGTGGAGCTTTACATATTTAATTAAGTTAAATATTTTGAGATGAGGAAATTAACCTGAATTATCTGGTTGGCCCTGATTCCAATTACATGTCTCCTCATAAGAAAAAAGCATTTGACAAGATCCATCATGCTTTCATGATTAAAACCCTCAGCAAAATCAGCATACAAGGGACTTACCTCAATGTAATAAAAGTCATCTATGACAAACCCCCAGTCAATATAATACTGAATGGGAAAAAGTTGAAAGAAATCCCCCTGGGAACTAAAACAAGACAAGATGCCAACTCTTGCCACTTCTATTCAACAAAGTACTAGAAGTCCTAGCCAGAAAATTCAGACAAGAGAAATAAATAAAGGGCATCTGAATCAATAAAGAGGAAATCTAACTGTCACTGTTTGCTGATGATATGATTGTATACCCTGATTGAAAACCCTGCAGACTCCTCCAAAATGCTCATAGAACTGATAAATGAATTCAGCAAAATTTCAGAGTACAGTATTAATGTATACACATCAGTAGCTCTCCTATACACCACCAGTGACCAAGCTGAGAATCAAATAAATAACTCCACCCCTTTTACAATAGCTCCAAAAAATAAAATATGTAGGAATATACCTAACCAAGGAGGTGAAAGACCTCTACAAGGAAAACTACAAAATACTGCTGAAAGAAATGTTAGATGGCACAAACAATTGGAAACATATGCCACGCTCATACATAGGTAGAATAAATATTGTGAAAATGACCATACTGCCAAAAGCAATCTACAAATTCAATGCAAATCCCATCAAAATACCACCATCATTCTTTGGAGAACTAGAAAAACAATCCTAAAATTCATATGGAACCAAAAAAGAGTCGGCATAGCCAAAGCAAGACTAGGCAAAAAGAACAAATCTGGAGACATCACAAAACCTGATTTCAAACTATACTGTAAAGCCATAGTCACCAAAACAGCATGGTACTGGTATAAAAATAGGCATACAAACCAATGGGACAGAATAGAGATCCCAGAAATAGAGCCAAATACCAATAGCCAACTAATCTTTGACAAAGCAAGCAAAATCATAAAGTGAGGAAAGGACACACTATTCAACAAATGGTGTTGGGATAATTGACAAGCCACATGTAGGAGAATGAAACTGAATCCTCACCTCTCACGTTATACAAAAATCAACTTAAGATGGATCAAGGTCTTAAATATAAGACCTGAAATTATAAAACTTCTACAAGATAACATCAGAAACACCCTTCTAGACATTGGCTTAGTCAAGGATTTCATGACCAAGAACCCAAAACCAAACGTGATAAAATCAAAGATAAATAGGTGGGATTTAAACTAAAGAGCTTTTGCATGGCAAAAGGAACAGTTAGCAGAGTAAACAGATAACCCACAGAGTGGGAGAAAATCTTCACAATCTATACATCTGACAAAGGACTAATACTCAGAATCTACAATAAATTCAAATTAGCATGAAAAAAGCAAACAATCCCATCAAAAAATGGGCCAAGGACATGAATAGACAATTCTAAGAAGAAGATACACAAATGGCCAACAAACATTTGAAAAAAATGCTCAACATCACTAATGATCAGGGAAATGCAAATCAAAACCACAATGTAATACCACCTTACTCCTGCAAGAACGGCCATAGACAGAACATCAAATAATAATAAATATTGGTGGGGATGCAGTGAAAAGGGAACACTTCTACACTGCTGGTGGAAATGTGAACTAATACAACCACTATAGACAACAGTGTGGAGATTCCTTAAAAAACTAAAGTAGAACTACTTTTTGATCTAGCAATCCCACTACTGGGTATCTACCCAGAGGAAAAGTAATCACTTTATAAAAAAGATACTTGCACACACATTTATAGCAGCACAATTCACAATTGCAAAAATGTGGAACCAACCCAAATGCCCATCAATCAATGAGTAGACAAAGAAACTGTGGCATATATACATATATATACACACACACACACACACACACACATATATGTACGTAATGGAAAACTATTCGGCCATATAAAGGAATGAAGTAATGGCGTTTGCAGCAACCTGGATGTGATTGAAGACTATTATTCTAAGTGAGGTAACTCAGGAATGGAAAATCAAACATTGTATGTTCTCATTCATAAATGGGAGCTAAGCTATGAGGATGAAAAGACATAAGAATGACGTAATTGACTTTGGGGATTCGGGCGGAAAGGGTGGGAGAGGGTTGAGGGATAAAAGACTACAAATTTGGTTCAGTGTATACTGCTCAGGTGATGGGTGCACCAAAATCTCACACATCACCACTAAAGAACTTACTCATGTAACCAAATACCACCTGTTCTGCAAAGACTTATGGGAGTAATTTTTTTTTTAAATTGATTTTAAAAATAAGAAAAAGCATCAGGCATTTAACCTAACTTTTCTCTACTAACTAGATCTCAAATCGTTGATGATGGAAAGTTTCTCTTTATGAAAGTATTCTAATAACTAAAAAACGAAGGCAATAAAAATATCACCATTTTGCAAACCCCTGATGAAATAACGAATCTAGGCAATGGTTGTCAATAGTCATGAATCCTCCAAAAATAGAGAGACAGACAACATTACCTGACTCAGGTGAGAAATACACTCCACCACCTATGAAGCAGTTTTGTCCCAAAATAGTAATATCTGATTACTATTTGGGACTATTTTTGTCCCAAAATAGTAATATCTGATTACTATTTACAGGAAATTAAAAAAAGAACACATTAAATCGTCCATTAAATAAAAAGCATTACAACAAGTGGTAGCCTGCTTTTTAAAAATTTAATTATGATGACCAAATTCTTCTTGATAAATGAACAAAACATTTCTTCGTATTCTCTTTGTGATTATCTTCATCTTAACAAATGAAGAAAGTCAATCATGTATAAGCAAGTTTATGGATGAATTTATTGTGTTAAGAAAGCAAAATGTACAACTTCATACAGGTCAGGAGTTGCCTGTCTCAGAAATATTTTCTTTCGTAGTGTTATCAAATTTTCATTCACTTGGAAAACTACAGCACAGCTGAACCAAGAAGTAGTTGGTCACTGCTTCTAAAAAGATAGCTTTAGAAGTTAGTAAGCAAAGGAGAAGCTTGATGCAGTTGAGTGACCTCAGAGGAGACAGATCACTGTGAGGAGCCCACCCTCAACTGAACTGGCAAGCCAGCTGTTCTCAAAGTGCTTCAAGACACATTGGGGGTTCTCAAGCAACTTTCAGGATGTCTATGACATCACAAAAAATCATAATAATAATGCAAACAGGTCACTCACAACTTTCACAGGCTGACATTAAGCACTGATGATGATAAAAGCAAGGGTGTTGAAAATTGCTGGCACCTTAGCACAAATCAAGGCACTGGCACCACCGGTATAGGTCATCATTACCACTGTGAACTCACAGTGGAAAAAAAAAAAAGGATGGTTTCATATAGGAATATACCTGATGAAACAGTGAACATTAGCAATTGCATGAAAGCTTGACCCCTGAGTTCATGAGTTCACATGAAGGAGTTGTGCAGCATACTGATGTATGATGGTTGCCTCAAGGAAAAGAATCTATGCTAACTGATCAGCAAGCTGAACTAGCAGCTTCTTTGTTCTCATAGAATATCCTTTTTACATGAAATAACAATTGAAAGACAAAGTATTAGTATTGAAAGTTGGGCATTTGGCAGACATTTTCTCAAAAACAAAATGAAACTGTTATATCAAAAAAAAATCACTGACATATTTGTTGATGGTGATAAAAGTCAAGCCTTCAAGCAAAAATATAGACACTTGGAAAAATTGTATCTGCCACTAAGAGCATGACAGCTTTCCCAATATGCACACAGCTAATAAGAAGGTAGTGTGTACTTAAATTTGTTGAGGGTACATCTTATGTTAAGTGTCCTTAACATACACGAAATAAAAATGAAAATAAAACACAAGGACACAAGGAAACTTTGGAGGTGATGGACATGTTTATCATCTGGATTGTGGTGGTGGTGGTAACAGGAGTGTATACATTTGTCCAAACTCACCAAATTATATATAATGATTATATGCAGGTTTTTGCATACCAATTATATCTCAATAGAGCTGGAGGGAAAGAAGACTTCTAATGAGATTACTGCTGATTTTAACAACTGTATTTTTTTGATGGTAATATAAAATGTTCTAACATTTAATTCCATGAACCAATATTTTCCATATCATGTATGAGCAGGAAAGATCCAAATGGAAAGCTAGACCAATGAATTTAAATACAATAAAGTGAGAAAAGTTTACTGATATGGTTTCAGATTGCAGAATGCAAACAAACTTTATGAAACTACCACTTGCAGAGATTTGGTGTAGTATCAAAGGGAATATCCACAATTATCTGAAAAGACTGTTAAAACACTCCTCCCTTTTCCGACTGCAAAAAACGGGTAAATTAAAAGGCAACTAGACATAGACAGAGAGGAAAAAACAAAAAAACAACAGTGGTGTTGAGTTAGAGTAACAAGAGATGTGGCCACAAGCCAAAGGATGCCAATAATGTACAGATGCAGAAAGTCACAGGGAACATAGTCCCCCTAGAGTTTTCAGAGGGAGTGGAGCTGCCCATACCTTGGTTATAGAACTTTGGCCTCCAGAACTGTGAGAGAATAAATTTTATTGTCTTAAGCCACCTAGTTTGTGGTAGTTTGTTACAGCATTATAGGAAACTAATGTGGATTCCTTTTGGCAGACTTTTATTGCTTTTAGGGTAAAGTTTGCGATGATTAACCAACAGCTGTATGGAGCCCTGCTTGATGCGTCCATTACTACCTCCTTCAGTCCCACCTTATCTCACCTTCTGCATTTCAGTCTCTTTCTTGTTAAGTTCCAGCCACATTGGTATTCTCTTGATTTCCTAAATCTACCAAACTCCACTCTTCTATGGAAATTTTCACTGTTTTCGCTTCTTTCTTCCCAATATGATTTTTTCATTTCTTCTCTTCAAGTAGTTTTTTCATGATGATTTTTATTTCCTTGTCTTACTCTTCATCCCTGTACATATTTCAATGCATTATGTTATGACAATGTAGTAAGGTCAAATGTATTTGATAATAAAGAAGTGAGGAAAACCTAACAACTATTATTGTCTTTTCTGCATGAAGAAAAAAATGAGGCAGTCAAATATTTGGAAAGGAAAAGGGAAGAGAAAATAGTTGTTTTTTCCGTGTACCTAATTTGTTGCCAGGTGTTCTTATTTCTGAGTAGGCATGAAGTACTAGTATTTAGGAAAAGAGAGTAGAGTTGTTGGTGTGGTGATATAGATATTTTGGGGACAGGTTGCTGGGAAAGAAAGGAGGAGACTAGAAAGAATCCAAACACCGGGAGCCCAAAGCAGATGAAATGGCCCATAAGTAGAGTTTTTGTTGGGGAGAGAAAGAATAAGTAACAATAATGCCAAGATATAAGATGTTTGTTTTTTTTACAATTGACAAAAAATAACTGTTTATATATATATTTATACACACACACACACACACACACACACACACACACATATACATACATAGAGAGGAAAAAAAAAACAGTGGTGTTAAGTTAGAGTAACGAGAGATGTAGCCACAAGTCACTATATACACACACACACACACACACACACACACACACGTTACAATGTGATATTGTCAAACATGTATACATTGTAGAAAGATTCAACTAAGCCAATTAACAAATTCAACACTTCACCTACTTACACTTTTTAGTGAGAATGTTTAAAATCTTCTCTTTTTCTAATTTTGAAGTATACATTATTATTAACTAAATTCACCATGCTGGGTGATGAAATAGATAACTGAATCTTCTATTTCTTTTCTAACTGAAACTTTGTACCCTTTGACAAACATTTACCCTTTCTCCATCAACCTCCCTCAATCCCCAGCCTCTGGTGGCTACCATTCTATTCTCTTTTTCTACGAGATCAACGTTTTTAGATTGCATATATAAATGAAATCACTCAGTATATGTCTTTCTTTGCCTGGATTATTTCACTTAGCATAATGTTCTCAAGTTCATCCATACTGTCACAAACGACAGAATTTTTTAAGGCTGTATAGTATTACATTGTGTATATATAACACAGTTTCTGTGTATATAACGCATTTTCTGTATTCATTCATTCATTGATGGACACTTAGGTTGCTTCCATATCTTGGTTATGGTGAGGATTGCTGTGTATGATGTTGAGTGCTGAAAATTTGAACTAGATCATACTTCTCCCAAGTGTCCATCTAGGCTTTATGCTAGGGGAAACTTCATATTATCTTAATGCATCAATTAACTATCTTGATTTCATTTTAGCAAGAACTTCGCTCTATTTTACAAGAATCCATGGTGGCACACTACTCATTAAAACTTTTATTTGTCAAAACTACAAGTCTTCCTTCTGCTCTGTGAGGATATCTCCTAGAATGTCCTTCAGAATAAACATGAAATGAAAGAAAACTTCTGGATAATCAAGATAGTTGAGGAAATTATCTCTATCTGTACTTAAATGGCATTGAACTAAAAAAAAAGAGCAACCTATTTTTTGGCAGTGTTATAGTGTGTTCACACTGTAACCTTGCTATTGTATAATTTTACTGGATATTATTTCTTAAAAATTAGTAAAATGAATTGAAAAAAAGTCCTTGTATGACCATGTATCAGTTTTATAGTAAAGGCTATATAAGCCAGTAAATTGCTAGAGCAAATGTTCCAACTATGATATTACAGAGATGACTGGCTTCAAAAGAAATTTGAAATATAAACTTAATTCTTAATGATGTCAAGCTTAGAAATATTCCAGACTTGTCAATTAACTCACTAAAAGGCAAACAGGTAATAAAAAATTAAATTATATATATGTAAAGCAAGACATTAACTCAGTTCAACCACAGATGTTTATTTACTATCAACTATATATCAAACATTAGACATTAACAATATTAATGAATAAGGCATGGACTCTGCTCAGGGTTTTATATGGATACAATCAAGGAGGTAGATATTTGGAGGCTTAGTTAGGGGAAGTATCAACCTTAAAGCTTATTCAGGTTGGCCAAATTCATTTTCTTGAGATTTATTACGGAAGGACCTGGATTTTTGCTGGTCTTCAACTGGAGGCCATATTCAGTTGCTTGAGATTGCCCAAAGTCTAGGTAGGACATGTATTTTCTCCATCGACTATTTACAACATGAATGTTTCATTCAATTCCAGAAGGATACTTTCTTTGTTCCCATGGAAGAACTTGGCCATCTATTTTATTAGATCAGGTTCAACCAGCATAATGTCTCTTTTGATTTAACTCAAAGTCAAACTGTTTAAGGACTGCAATTACATCATCAACTTTTTTTTATGTTTACCATGTAACATAACCCAGTCACAGGAGTGACATCGATCATATGCATACCTGTCTTACATAGACTCAAGAGGATGGGAATATGCAGGATGGGTATACCAGTAGATAGTAATCTTGTGAACCATCTGGGAATTCTGCCTACTACGACATTTTTGGCAATATTTAAAATAGCTCTGTGAAAGTTCTGGTTTGACAATTCTGTCATTTGTGTGATCTCTGGGTCTGTTTTTATCTAACTTTATATTTTTCAATAATTATATTTTTCTCTTTCTTCAAATATCGCTTAATTCTTTATCATATGCTTACTAATATGGGTGCAATATTGTTGAGTTTCTGGATTTTTCTTTCTTGAAATACTGTTAACTTTTTTCTGGCAATCAGTTAATTTGCTAGATGATAACCTTTATATTTGCCAGGTTTGTTTTAGGACTTTATTACAGTGAGTTTAGAGAAGATCTTAATCTAAAATAAGAGTATTTCTATCCATAAGTTATGATGTTCCTGAGGTTCCAGCTGATTTCCTGTGAGTTTGTTTCCTCTGGCTTATTGCATCGCCAATATTTCTAAGCATTGTCCAAACTCCAGAATCACCACTGGGCTCATAGTCCCTGCTATGGTCTGAATTTTGTGAACCTCCAAAGTCATGTGTTGAAACCTAATTACCAATGTAATGGCATTAGGAGGTGTGGCCCTTGAAAAGTGATTAGATCATATTGGTGGAGCTCTCGTGCATGGAATTTGTGGGTCCTTAAGACATATTAGACGTAGGATAAAACATTTAAAGAAGACCAGAGACAAAAAGGATAGAAAAGAATGAAGTGTGGATAACCCAAAATGAAAATTTAGAGAATCTTGGGTAAATAACTTGAATTATATTATGATTAGTTTCTTCCTTTAATACTTACATTCAAAACATGACAAAGGGACCTCATATTCTAGAAAAGCTCATGGATACATTCAGTGTTTTCCAGTGCCTACCATATATTTTTCCAGGTTTTTAAACTTCTTTTATAACAAAGTATGTTGGTCTAATAATAGCTACTCATACATAGATAAACTGGGAAATTCCTGCAACACTACTTTTAACATTTATTTTTCTGTAAATTTAGTAGACTGAATTTTAAGTAAAGATTATTTGTACATTAGAGCAATAAGGACCTAAAGTATAAGAACAGAGAAATATTAAAATAATTTTTTTTAAATAATAAAGCATGTGAACCATAACAGAATAGAGTAGGTATAGCTATAGTAACATAAAAGAAAAGTCTAGGCAATAGGTATTACTAAAAATAAAGGAACATAACAAAAAAACTAAAACTCTATCCTATATTATAAATATAGCACTTTTCTCCATTTTATGGATATAATGCAAATCCAGTCAAAACCACTTGTGCATGTGTGCACAATTGTGTGCATAAATTGAGAGGCTGATTTTAAAATATACTTGAAAATCAATAACCACAAAGATAATTTTAAGTTAGAAAAAAATTGTTTGATGGCTTACATAACCACACTTCAAGAATTATTATAAAACTACAGTAATCAATGCAGGATGGAAGTGGAGCAAAGGTGGACACATATATGAATAAAAGAGATGATCAAGAAAACAGTCAAAAAAAAAAACCCTCAGGTACATGAGGTCACTTGATTTATAAAAAGGGGTCACTGAAACTTTGAAACAGATTTATTTTAATGGTTCATTTGCATTTGTGTATTTTTGTTAAAAAGTAAACCTTCACCTTCCCTCATACTATAAATACACAAAATTATATTGCAGATGGATCATAGTAATAAAGATTCCAGAGGGTGTTTCCTTGTACTTTATTAATGAAGACACTATTGAGAGAATTAAAAGCAAGCTACAAGGTAGGATAATCATTTCAATACTAATATCTGACAAATGATTCGTATATGAACCCGAACATACAATAAATAAATAGGCAATCCGGTGTAATTTGACTGATACCATTCAACAGGCAGCAGTAAGTAAAAGGAGTATCTAATTGCAGTGAGGAGTATCTAATTGCAGTGTGTATATGAAAATGCTGTCACCAGGAAAAACTAAGCTTAAACTTCAGAAAGTTACAAGATTAAACTATTAATCTCCCTGTGACTAAAATGAAAATACTGATAATACCAAGGACTGGCAAGAGAGTGAGGCAGCTGGAACTCTCATATGCTGCTGGTGAGAAAATCACTTTGGAGTCCTCCTTGACATGATTTACTGGAGCTGAACCAATAGTTCAATGACTCAGCATTTTTACTCCTAAGTATATGACCAGTAGAAATGCACATATATGTTCGTCAAGGTCTCTTCAGTACATATGCAGTGAAAATGAGTGCATATATTTCCCACACGAACAGGAAGTTAATAGAAAGCATATACAAATACTAAAAAACTGGAAAAAACTCAAGTGTATGCCCATCAAAAATAGAAAAAATAAATATAATATGTAGTAGAATATTAACCCACACAGAAAAAAAACACTACCATTATACACAACGGCATGGATAAGTATTAAGGATAAACTGTTGTGCCAACAGAAGCAGACAAACCATCATACACCTAATAATTCATTTCTACAATGTTCAAAAACAGGTAATGTAATCTACAGAGATAGAAATCGATGTTCATCTTGGGGGATTAATAATTAGGATGGTGCTTAAGAGACTTCTGGATGTTGCTAATGTGCCTTATCTTTGTCTAAGTGGTGATTAAGTTTACGTGCTTACTTTTTAAAAAGTTTTATTTTATTTGTAATAGTCACATAATTATACATATTTAGCATGTATAATTACATAATTATCAAATCAAGGTAATTAGCATATTTTTCACTCTAAACATGTATATGTAGGGATAAAATTCAAAATCCTCTATTCTAGCTATCTTGAAATATGCATCATCATTAACTATAGTCACCCTACTATGTAATAGAACACCAGAACTTAATCTTCCTAATTCTAACTTTGTACCCATTGACGAAATTCTCCTCATTCTTTCTCCCTTCTACCATCCACAGGCTCTGATAACCACTATTCCAGGGGTCTCCAACCCCCAGGCCACAGACCTATACCAGTCTATGGCCTGTCAGGAATCAGGCTGCACAGCAGGAAGTGAGCAATGGGTGAGTGAGCAAAGCTGCATCTGCATTTACAGCCACTCCCCATCACTCACATTATTTCCTGAGCTCCAGCTCCTTTCGGATCAGCCATAGCATTAGATTTTCATAGAAGCACAAACCCTATTGTGAGCTGTGCATGCAAGGGGTCTAGGATGCATGATCCTTATGAGAATCTAAAGCCTGATGATCTGTCACTGTCTCCTATCACCCCCATATGGGACAGTCCAGTTGCACGAAAACAAGCATAGGGTTCTAACTGATTCTACCTTGTGATGAGTTGTATAATTATTTCATTATATATTGCAGTGTAATAATAATAGAAATAAATTGCATAATAAATGTAATGTGCTTGAATAGTCCCAAAACCATCCCTACTCCACCCTAGTCTGTGGAAAAATTGTCTTCCACAAAACTGGCCCCAGATGCCAAAAAGGTTGGGGACCTCTACAGTATTCTAATTTCTATTTCTATAAGATCAACTTCTTTAGAGTCCACATACAAATGAGATCATGAGGTGTTTGGCATTCTGTCCCTGCCTCATTTCACTTAACATAATGTCCTCTAGGTTCATTCATGTTGCCGCAAATTATAGGATTTTCAGGCTGTCTTCTAATTGAACAGTATTCCATTGTGTGATTTTATGTGTGTGTGTATATCACATTTTAAAAATCCATTCATCTGTAAATAGGTGCTTCAATATACTAGTTTTATTACATATATATATATATATATGTATATATAAAAGAATGAAATTGCTGGCTCATATGTGAGTTTATACCACAGAAACAAAAGGATCATATGAGACTATTATAAACAGCTGCATGACAACAAATGGAAAAACCTAGAAGAAATGTATAAATTCCAGGACACATACAACTTACCAAGATTGAATCATAAAGAAATAGAATACCTAAACAGATCAATAACAAGTAAGAAAATTGAAGTAACAGTTATGTTTTTTCAAGTCTCTCATCAAAGAAAAACCTAGGGCCTGATGGCTTCACCTTTGTTTTCTGCCAAATATTTAAAAAAAATTATACCAATTCTACTCAAACTCTTCCAAAAAATTAAAGAGGACAGAATAGTTCCAAAGTTATCCTACAAGGCCTGATACCAAAACCAGACAAGGACACAGCAAAAAGGAAAACTACATGCTAATATCCCTGATGAACATGGAAGCCAAAATTGTCAACAAAATACTCACAAACTGAATTCAACGGCAAATTAAAAAAATTATTCACCATGATCAAGTGAGATTTATCCCAGGGATGGAAGGATGGTACAACACACACACATCAATAAATGTGATATATCAAATTAACAGAATGAAAATGAAAAAGAAAAAGTGTATGATCATTTCAACAGACACCAAAAAAGCATTTGATAAAATTCAATAGACCCTCATGATAAATACTATCAGCAAATTGGGTATATAATAAACATACCTAAACACAATAAAGACCATTTATTCCAAACCCACAGCCTACATCACATTGAAGAGGAAATATTGAAAGCTTTTTCTCTATGATCTGGAACAAGACAAGAATACTCACTTTTTCCACTTTTATTCAACATAGTGCTGGAATTCTAGCCAGAGCAATTAGACAAGAGAAAGAAATAAAGGATGTCCAAATTGGAAAAGAAGGAAGTCAAGTTGTTACTGTTTGCAGAGAACATGATTTTATATATATATATATATAGAAAACTCTAAAGGCTCCACCAGAAACCTATTAAAAATCAATGTAGTAAAGTTGCAGGATACAAAACCAACACAAAAAAATCAATAACATTTCTATACACCAATAGTAAATTTATATGCTTACTTTTAAAGTATTTGTCCTTAACACAGGTAAATTTTAATGTATATATTCATAAAAATAATTTTATATAACTTAAATATATATTTATATTCATCTAACCAAATATTTTTAAGCATTGTGTAGTACATTGTATCATATAATTTTAAAAAGCATTATGTAGTATACAAAACCAAAAGGAAATTATAATGATAAGAATAGTGAATAAAATTATACAGCTCCCTTCCAAAAATAATAATAAAACATGCCACAATAAAAAACACACTAATATACACATGCATTTGAATACCATTCTTCCCAATCCTGAAGACAATATTAATCAAGGTGATGGGGAGTTCCAAAATTTACGATCAGATATGCAGGGCTGTTTTTTTTTTCCTAGATCACTGGTTTAAATGTTCCTGATATGCTAATAAAGAAAGTTCATTAACTTCCAATAGCTGTTTGGTGTTTTATGTAAAATGAAATGATGGCCTCAGCTGACACCATTAAAAGCCATGTCTATAATTTACATTACAAGAATAACTTTCCAGCCTACCTCTTCAGAGGCCAAAGATAAAAAGAGCATTAAGATAGCAGAACTCTTTGCTTTTAACTGCTCTTCTATACCTGATGTATTATATAATATAGCAGGATGATGCTATAAAGCTAGTGGTTGTTTAAATAATCATTTATACCTATCTGACCATTTCTATTTCAGGCAGGTAGTCTTTTCTTTTTATCAGGCTCAGTTTTATTAATATAAACCAATACCGAAGGACGGAAAGCTATGATTCGATATGCCATTATATACCAAATTGTCAGCAGTTGTCAAGGCGTATCAGTTCTCTCTCCTTCTTCATGTCTCCACGTAGAGGGACTTCTTTTAGTGTAACAAGTGGGCTTTGATCTGTTCTGCCTTCCACCCCAGGAAGAAAAGACTAATTTATTAAATTGTAACATACGGCTCAGCAACTTCTGTGCCTATATTTTATGCCCTGGGGCCAGCAGAGAAGATACATCTTTGTTTTGTTGCTCCAAACTGTAGTAAGTTTACATGACAGGCTCTGCCTTTGTGGGAAGATTTGAGGGAGTAATTTAGCTGGAGGGCAAATAAATAAGCCCATCTGGAAGCCCCTAAGCCATATTCTCCATGCACCTTTATCAATAGTAAAGATATTTTTATCTCCACCTGCCTGACTCCTGTATGTTTTTCATAACTGTTCCTATTTGTTTGAGTAGAAAAAGTATGTCCTTTTGGAGCCCCTAAATCAAAAATATTATGAAATATTATAATTTAGGGGCCTAATTTTTCTTAGTGCTACTTTTCAATGTATTTGAGGATTTAGCCTCAACACAACTATGCTGATTGAATGGAAGGCATTAAGAACCCAAAGTGTGAGCAAAAATTATGCTTGAAATTTCTCATTGCAACATAAAAGACCACCTGAAAATTGTGCAATTCAGGCGAATCTCTGTACTTTCAGTACATTAAGTAGCCCTAGTTTGAACTACTGTTTCTCTCTTGATGATGGTAAGGACCTTGTGTAGAAGATGCTCAGGCTGAATTTTTCTGACCCTGAAAGTTTACCTCTGTCTGCCTTGCATACCCTGTAGGAGAAATTAGCTTAAGCTTAAATGTATTGTGACCAAGATGAATAGAGTAAAAGAAATCCTTGCATAGGTGCCAAATTGAATAAATTTAATGGAGAATTACAGAATAAATAATATCCAAAAGTGTAATAGGCTGTTATTTTTTATTCCCTTCCAAAGTTAGTTTTACCTAATCCTAGGGAAAATGTACGAGTTTTTTAAAAACTCTACGTATCCTGATACAGTTTATTCATAAAATCAAGCACTATTTCAAGAGTGTTTTCACTGCGGAAACGATTATAAAGTAGCCTCTCTTCTAGTATTTTATAAAACTCTCAACTGCTGCTATTCAAATTACCTAGCTAATTAGGTCTTCAATGAAAAGGTGTGTAAACACAGTCATTTTTAACCTTAAAAATAATTTCTAACTCCCCTGGGTGCTGTTAAAAATACAGCTAATAAAAAAATTGCTTAAGCTGTGTGAGGATAATGCAGTTAATCAGAGATCTCTAAAAAAACTTCTAGATAGAAGCACTGAACTGTGCAAGCTAATGTGAAAATATTGTAATCCCAATGCATTTGAATAGGGAATTTAGTTCTTTAACTTAAAAGTAGGTAAGTGGTACTTGTATCATTACATTAGTCACATTAATCATCACATTTTCATACGGAGAAATATAGTTAAGCACAGCAGCTGGTTAAGTTGTTAGGGATAATGACTTGCATAACATTTTAAGAATGTGAAATAGTTTTTCTATTAAAAAATTAAGGTGACTTCTATGTATCAACCATGCTCCTCAGAAAAAGCCTGGAAAACAAAAATTCACAGTGGATTCACCCTGCTTCTCCTTCCCTTCCTCAAGTACATCACCATGCCATTGTAGAAAGACACCAGGTCATCCTTCCCAGGAGCCAATCATTTAAAATAGCCCTGCAGATTGATCCCTTAACTTTAAGTTACCACTTTGAAAGAAAAATCTACGTGACTGTTACCTTTTGCTCAGGATATTCTGATTGCTGTAGAAATGGCTATCTTCACGTTCTAGAATTTTTATATCGGGAATAATTGGAGGTATGGTGAGCATAATATAACGAAATTAACCTATTATACAAAGGTTTTCAAACTTTTGGAGTTTCATAAGTAGTCTTCGTTTCAATAAAAATTAATAATAATAATAGTAAGCTTTGGAGATTTTCTAAATGCTGAAACGAGTTGATGAGTGTTTTAATCTATGTTTTCTAGCTTTAATGTGATAAAAGAATTGGCTGAAAAACACTAGAAATGACCTCAGAAAGGTTCAAGAACCCAGAGAGTCCTGGCATGGAAACTGAAGAAAGGTAGAACACAGCATGTATTTTTAACACCCTGCTGGACTCAGATACTCCTACCAATAGCAGGCAAAGCCAATAGCCCTAGAAAACCTCCTGCTGAAATGACATCTCCACCTCAGTTGAAATCCAAGCACTTCCTGTGAATAAGTATCTTCTTTCAAAAATCAGAGTCTGAGTAGGAGTATGAGATTTGCTGAGCCTTCATCAGAAGCACGCCAATATCCACTCAATATAGGGCTCTCCCCAAATAGATGGTCTGCAGGCACAGATACCAGAAACAAATTCTAAATCAAAGATCATGTGTGCATTTTAAATATTAAGATGTTACACCAACTCGTTATGATTAGAACCTCTCTCTCTGTATATATATATTTGAGATGGAGTCTAGCTCTGTTGCTCATGCTGGAGTTCAGTGGCACAGTCTAAGCTCACTGCAACCTCCATCTCCTGGGTTCAAGCAATTCTTCTACTTCAGCCTCCCGAGTAGCTGGGATTATAGGCACCTGCCAACATGCTCAGCTAGTTTTTGCATTTTTAGTAGAGTTGGGGTTTCACCGTGTTGGCTAGGCTGGTCTCGAACTCCTGACCTCAGGCAATCCACCTGGCTCAGCCTCCCAAAGTGCTGGGATTACAGGTGTGAGCCACAGCACCTGGCCAGAACCTATAATTTGAATCATTTTAATAGGATTTGAGTATCACAATATATCTGAATAAGCAGAAGAGGAGATGGCCAGTTTAGATATCAAATAAGTAGGGAGGTTCTAGGAAGGGGAGAAGAGTAAAGTGTCAGTTTCGACTGGGTGTGGTGGCTCATGCTTGTAATCCTAGCACTTTGAGAGGCTGAGGCTCAAGGATTGCTTTAGCGCAGGGGCTCGAGATTAAAGGCTGCACAACATAGGAAGACCCTATCTCTACAGAAAATAAAATAAATTAGCTGGGCATGGTGGCATGTGCTTGTAGTCCCAGCTACTCAGGATGCTGAGGGGGGAGTATCACTTGAGCACCAGAGATCAAGGTTGCCCTGAGCCGTGGTAGCACCACTGAACTCCAATGTGAGCAACAGAGTGAGACCTTCCTCAAAATAATAATAATAATAAATGTGTCCTTTTCTGAGAAGTTAGAAGTATTACAGTGAAAAAAAAGCAGCTGAAGCACATTTTCCCTCATTCACATTGATCTTAGATCTTACCACTAGTTTCTCTCTAAACAGGAAAATCTTCCAGGCTGAATCTGCTTTGCTGAGAGATGTACTGTAGCTAACTGCCTAGCTTATTGTGCCTGCTCAGCTAACGAGTTAAATTGAAGGTAGATGCTGGAGTAGCAGGGAAAGTATAAAAGGGAGTTTCTTCCTGTGTTTGATGTAGCTATGATTATGTATGATGTGTTAACTTAATTGTATTAATGCCCTCATTCTTCTCTTTTCCCTCTAACATCTTGGAATCTCAAAGCAACTTCATAATCTGGCTTGGCCATGTGACTTTAGCTAATGAGATGCTAACAAACTTAATGAAAAGAGAGACTTCAAAAGGTATTTTTATGTTTTTGTTCATTCTCTTGCTTTTCTGCTGTCACTACTTCCCAGCCTAGACAACTGTCAAATGAGAGACAACGTGAACCAGTCCCCCACATTACCCCTGGAAACAGTCAGCTGACTACCAGGCCTGTGAGTAAGTCCAACTGACATAAAAAGCCACCCCCAAGCCCAGCCTATACATCCTCCATTAGACTCTTGGGTTAAAGAAAGACTTATTTTTTTAAATCATTGAGATTTGGGGAAGCTTGTAATACAGCTTTGATATGCAAGAGATAGCTGATACAATGGAATTTAAGCAATAGTGCCAATATGTTTTGTAGCATAAACTAAGAATTATCAATCACTGATGAGTACCAGAATGACCTGGAAAGTATTTTGTTGTTGTTGTTGTTTTATCTATTGATTTAGAGGAAAATCTTTTAAAAATATACTCAGACCCCTTTCTGACCTCAAATCACTTGTTCTAGAAATGAGGTACATATTTTGTGTGTCTCAGCTTACCCAAAATATGGAGGCCCACTGATTTAAATATACTGTTGTTTCAACAATTGGAAGGGAATATCTCTAGAATGTTTACACATTTTATCACTATTTTAATCTGCCAAGAAAGAGAGTTACCCCTAGGCCATAATTTATTATTCTAATCTGTGGATACTGGTCATGCAGGATGTACCCTGAAAAGTCAGATGATCACAATGGGCTTAAGATACTTTTCTTGGAAAAATGCCACCCAGCAACACACTGAGCAATCATTTCCATCTTCTTGATAAAGATGCAAAGGAAATATGGATGCATTTAGCCTGGTCCACAAGACTACCACAGGAGTTCCCTTTCTGCACAAACAAGTGAGTAAACCAAAGCCCAAGCAACCTGTCTGCAGGCCAGAAAGTTATCATCTTTACTGCCAATGTTCCTAGTCCTCAAATATGATAATAGCATTCTACCTCATCTGTTTCTTTTCCTGCTGTTCCACTTGCTGGGGAAGGGGCGGGGGTTCATCCCATGACTGGTTCCTTTTAATTTTCCTGAACTCACAGTGGCTTCCCTGACATTTCTATGAAGAAATCCCTGCCCCCATTCTCTCTCCCCGCCACCACTATACATCTCTGTATTCCAAAGTATTTGAAGTAACTTTATTTTGTTTCCTTTATAGCTATTAGCATTGATATGGTGATTATATTTGTAGTATACCACTTATCATAAAATCAAGCATTTAGCATTTATGGGATACATACGTGTGTGTGTGTGTGTGTGTGTGTATGGAAATCCTGGAAAAGCCTGTTTTATTTATTATTAGTTAACAAGTCTTATTATCACAAGTCTTTTATTATCAGTCAGATTATCAGAAACTGGAATATCAAAGCCAAGTAGATTTGCCTGAACCCATCAGTGAAATTCGTGTTTCCCTTGTGCCACATATCCTTAATTACTTTTGTATGAACTATGCTTAATTCAATAGAAAAAAAAGTTTCGGGTATCCAGTAAGATGAATCAGGAATGAAAATGATGAAGATATGCCCAAGAGTCCAAGACATACCACTTAATGGCTCTAGTCATAACTGAATATATTGTGATTTGAAGTTCACATTGAAGGCAGAATGTGGTGATGGTCAGTGGCACCACAGTCACTTCCAGAAAACCTAGGTACTCCTTCTGACCCTGATGCTAGCCATCTGTGTGTTTATGGAAAAATCATTTAACTTTATTTTCCTCATCTGCAAGATAATAGGAGAACTAGTTGATCTCAAATTAGCTCATATCCTGTTAACGCTTTCTCTAGCATTTGGTCTTGGTCCCTTGCAGTTAATTTTTCATTGGTTCTGATAATAGTGCTTTCCTTTAGTGAAAGTGGCAGCAGGAGGTGGCAGAAAGGCCATGGGTTTTAAAGTCAAACAGATTTGTGTTTGAATTCCAGCTTTGCCCTTCCTGGCTGTGGGCTCTTGGCCAATTTTCTTATCCTTGCCAAGTTTTAGTTCACTCAACAGTAAAATGATGATAGTAATGTCTTTCTCATAGAGTTCTGATGATAGATGAAATGACACGGAAAATGCTTGAAAACATTGTATTCGGTCCTTGATAAATGCTAATTTCTTTTTCTCTGGCTCTTTTGGTATCTTTCTGAAGTCCCACTCTGTTTCCTTCAGTGCTTTTTCTTTCTCTACCCACTCCTACATACAAATATTTCCCCAGTTCAGTTTTATACTCCTTTCCAGAGATAAGTTCTTCTGAAATCTTCCGCTATTACTGTGCTGAATGCATTTAAGTAAATATTGCATGGCAAACCTCTCATTTGGACTATAATGACAAAATTTAACTGTGCTCTATTAACAACCATATAGCTATCCTACTCATTCTTTAAATCCATGAGAGACAACATGAAACTCCATAAACCTGCTCTCGTTCTTGTCTTTCCTATTTTAGTTTCATGTTGCCACCATCCTGCCCAGAATTGAAACTTCGGAGTAATCATTAACTCTTTTATACTTCTCTTCCCCTATATGTAATAAATTACCATTGACTTTTCTAGGGCCATACTGTTACTTATTTCATCCTCTTCCCTTCCATTTGCAGTACTGATCTCATTCTATTCATTAATCACAACACCTTCAACTATAACTTATGAGGAATCAAACACAAACCAGCTGAAATCCAACTCAAAACAGAAAAAAAATATTTTTTTAATTCCATAAATCAATGTAAAAAAGAATTTTAAGTTCTGGATTTTGCTTCAGGTAATCATGAATCTAGAAACCCAAAATGATCACTAAGACTCTCTCCCTTTGCATTTCCCTTTTTTGCTTTCCTCTTCCTGATTTAATTCATCAGCAGTGTTTCTCTATATGGTAGCAAAGATCTTAGCAGCAGCACTAGGAACATATGAAATGTATAACGAAGATTCCAAAGAATGAGTCACTCAAAATAATTTTAATAAATTCTCCAAAGAGATTCTGATTGCCTTTCTATTTCTCATTTTTGCTTCTATCCTACACAATAAAAAACAATACATTGTGGCAAAAAAAGAAAAAGTCTACTTTACCAGAATCACAAAAGTCTACTCTACCAGAGTCACAAAAAGTATGCCAAAGAAGAGTCTTAATTAGTTCATGTACCTCCAAATTTTTGCCACTCCAATCCATTCTCCCTGTGGAGGAGTGAGTTAGTCCAGGAGTGTTTCTCTATGAGAGGTCCTTCCACATGAAAATGGAAGTATTACAGAGAATGAAACATCCTTCCTCCAAAAAAATGACTTACTAAACCTGATACCATTTCTGAAATTCCTCCTTTGAAAATCATTTGATGGCTCCCAGATTTCAGCTGAAGAAAAATTTTTAAACACCCTTAATTGTGTTCATGTCATCTGCTCAACCAACAAATGTTTTTCAAATGCTCTTGAGTGACAAGCGTTGTTTTAGACACTGAGGATAAAGAATGACAAGGTAAATGAAACTGTTGCCCTGATGGAACTCACATTTGATGGACTAATCTGACTTTACCACTTCTTATACTTTTCCATGAAGATTTCTATCAGTCCTCTGATATAGCACTCAATATTTATTCTCTCAATCTGTTTGGGGGCTCTATGTCTTTGATGATATCATTCTTTCAAAGTCTCTGTCTCTTACCACATTATCTGTTAAAATATGTATTTATTTATTTATTTATTTATTTTTGAGATGGAGTTTCGCTCTGTTGCCCAGGCTGGAGTACAGTGGCTGAGCTCAGCTCACTGCAACCTCCACCTCCCAGGTTCAAGAAATTCTCCTGCCTCAGCCTCCCCAGCAGCTGGGACTACAGGTGCACACCACCACACCCGGCTATGTTTTTTGTTTTGTTTTGTTTTGTTTTTTTGTTTTGTTTTAGTAGAGATGGGGTTTCACCATATTTGCTGGGCTGGTCTCGAACTCCTGGCCTCAAGCATTTCTCCTGCCTTGGCTTCCCAAAATGCTGAGATTACAGGTGTGAGCCACCATGCCTGGTTAAAATATATATTATCTAGCTTTTATTGTATAACATAAACTTCAAAATCTTGGTGTCTTCTTGCAAGAAACATTTATATTTTTTCTTCTTGAGTTTGGATGAGTTGTGGTTCAGCTGGATTTTCCACTAGGCTAAAGGTTGGGTTCAGAATTACCTCACTTGTCTCATATGGTGACTTAATGGGCGTGCTTCTCTCATGGTGATGGCAGAAGTCCAAGGGAGCAAACACTGTCATATCAGTTTATATAATGCCTACTGGCATTCCAATGACCACAGAAAAGCATATAACCAAGCTCAATATCATTGGGGCAGGTAAATATACACCATGTGCTCTAGAGGGAGGTACTGCCAAGTCAAATGTCAAAGGATGTGGATATACAATTATATCATAGAGAAGAGAGTGATAAATTGGAAAAAACAATAAACTTCACCATGAAATCCAATACATTCTTCAAGACCTAACTAAATACAAATTTCCTTTTGCAAATATTTTCAGTCCTCCAGTCAGAAAATTTCTTCTCTCTCCAAAGCACTTTGAACTTTAATGAGTGCTCTATACTTCTGCAAGGTATTATAATTAATTGCTCACAAGTTGTACCTTGAAGGGCAGAAGTTTATTTATTTTGTACCTACTACAATGCCTAGAAGATTTTTTACCTATAACATGTGCATAACTTTAGCATAGTAGTCAGTAAAACTTTGTAATCAAGCGCTCCAGCTATGGAAATCGACTCTGTCACAATGAAACCAAGCTCCACACTTAGGAGTTGAGAATCCTTAAACAAGAATAGAACCATCTCATCTCCTAGCATGTTAAGAAGACATGTAAATCATGTAAAGCACTGCCTAGCATATAGGAAAAGCATAAGGACATATACATATCATTACCTTTTTCTGGCCTCACAAATGATTGCCAATTTTCACTCACCTCTAAAATCCTAAATTAGCTGAGCTTCTATTAGTGCAATGAAAAAATTATCTTTCCTCTATGGATTGCTGCTTATTGACATTTTTCATAAAAGCTGATATCAAGTATTATCTGTCAGTGATAAACATTATTACACAACTACTTGGAACTTTCAAAAGTGTATCTATTTTTTTTATGATTACTTGTTCTTACCTTCAACTATACTTTGCACTCTGAAACAGATAGGGTAGGGTTAAAGTGACCTAAAAAAAGTTCTTGGATAGAGAAACTAGGTCTGAACTGGATCAACAAATGATACATTTGACCTCAAACATTTGTACTGTAAACTCCTAGGAGAAACAGTCTTTTGATTGCCTTATCTTAGATGTAGATGCTTAATCTTTCTTTATGTCAATAACTAGAGGTCAGGTATAAACATTTGGACTTATGAAAAACTATACAAGTGCAAAGTGAACTTACGAATATGCTGAGTTTCTAAACTGATAATAGTTCCCGGCAATATCTATTTGGAAGATTTATATCAGAAGGAAATTTTCAAAACTTAAATGCATTCTCTAAAAAAACTGAGAAAAACATTGTTTACTTTATCCAAAATATTGGTTCAGAATTATCTTAAATGTACCATGTTATTTTTAGGTAAATACTATTATTTTATTTCTGGGAGTATGGTATAAAATTTGCTTTCTTTTTATGAATAAACAGAACTCATTATTTAGTCTGTTTTGAAGTAACACAAATGATTATGAGATGTTGTTCCAGATACAGAACTTGTTTTCCACATTTCCTATAACTAGTCTAAAAATATAATATGTTCCAAAGCCTTCTAAAGTCAATATGCTAAGTGTCTTTCTTTGTTCTTTCATTTAAATTCTAGCTAGAAAGTCTTTTTAGTAAACTTGCTATAACTGCAATTTTAGGTGTGAAATATTAATGCAACTGAAAATGAAACACATATTGTTTATTAATAAACCTGCATGTGTAGGCCACATTTGCATAACTTGATTTAAAATAAAGAACTGTCGTCTAATTGGTATTCTTAATGAACAATAAAACCAATGCAGGAGTCAAAAAAGGGATGTGTGTGGAGGGTTGGGTGGATATAAAAGCTAGGTAAAAATAGATATGAACCCTTCAGATCCTTTAATAATGCATAATTGCTTTTTTAAAATTGCATATTAAATCTATAGAGATAAGCCATTAGTGATTTTGTGTTTGTGTGTGTAGTTTGTACATGTCACACTCAGCATGTCCAAACCTTTGTTTCCTTTTATTTTTTTTTCTTTATTTTTACAATATTGCTCTTTATTTCTGCAGAAGCTTGAGATTTGGGGAATGGTGGTGAACTGATTTGAAAACCTTGGGTGTGGTGACCAGAAAGAAGGGACAATAATACAATCTCTGAGAACTGAGTGGGGTTTGATTCACCTCCTTGCCAGAAACCCTAGTAATTGAGATGCAGGGAAGATGAGAAGGTGACAGGTACAGCGGCTGCTTTAACTGCCTGGATAGTCTACTATGTAATGCTTTCAGATAAGGCAAATCAGAATTCACTCATAGGTGATGGCATTAAAGTAAAACAGTTAACACTTCTGAGTTTCCACTGTGTAATTAAATATTGAGTATCCATGCCATATACCATTTAATCACTAAAACAAAACTATTATGGAATGTGCTACCCTGCCCAGAAAAATTCACATGTTGGAGCTCTGATCCCCAGTGTGACTTTAGATGGAGATAAGACCTTTAAGGAGGTAATTGAGGTTAAATTAGGTCATAAAGGTGGGACTCTAACCCAATAGGACTGGGGTCCTCATAAAAAGAGAGACACCAGGAGTGCATGCACACAGAAACGGCTGTGGAAGGATATATTCCGTTGGTGTAAACATAATTGTGTTTTTTTGCCATTACTTTTAATGGGAAAATATGCAATTACGTTTGCATCAAACTAATAGTAAGAAGGCAGCCACCTGCAAGCCAGGAAGAGAGGCCTCACTAGAAACCAACCCTGCTAGCACCTTGATCGTGGACTTCCAGAATCCAGAGCTTTGAAAAAATAGGTTTTGGTTGCTTGAGCCAGCAAGTCTGTGATATTCTATGATGTTATACTGAACTGACTAATAACAGCATCAACAGAATGCTACTATTACTCACATTTTTCAATCAGGGAAACTGAGCCTCTGAGAAATGAAGTAATTTTGTTCATATTCAGGAGATGACAAGGCATATATTGAACCTGGGTTATTTTAATTTAATGATCATGATTTCATTTGCTTTGGAAGTCTGCCTATTATGGGTAGATATGTGCAGTAGTACACTGTCACTGTTTATCATTTATAACATAAATTGGTTAACTTTATGCTCCTGAAAAAAGGTTTTTGTCATTACATAAAAATCAGACAAATCAGAAAGTAAATCCAACCTTCTTTTTTAACCCTAGATATAGTAAGCTTTATTTAGTCACCGATTTAATACTGTCACTTGACATATCAATGAGACTTATAATGAACAAGCTGCTTATTGTTGGTAATGTACTTTTCAAATAGTGGGTCCTGGATTCATAGTTTCTAAGTGGTTATGTGAAACAGCTTCAAAAAGCTCTTAATATTCTGTCAAATATTTATTCAATTGGAAATATTTGAGTTTCAATGAGTAGTAATTTATTCCATTTATATTCTGCATGTGCTCATTTTAAACAAGAGTTAATTAGGTATTTCAGAAGATGTAGGAATATGAGCCCTTGAGAAAACGATGGCAAATGAAAGTGCCTTGCAGCAACTACATCTTTTTTTGCCCAATTCAAGATTAATAAAATGGAGCACTATATCAATGAGGAAATTTATCAATAATGTGAAATCATTAAGTGAGAGGTATGGGCACACATACTAGGAAAGGATTTTGGGATACTTGTTTTCTATTTTCCAATGTTCATGTTTTATATAAAACCAGCAGAGTAAATTCAGAAATACCTAGGAATATGTAAGAAACATCCCATTATTTTGCTACCAAGTGCTGTGCACAGTAATTTAATAATACTTCCAATTGGCACAAAATCAGTTATTAATGACATACAGTATCTTCCACACATGTGACATTACAGAGACAAATTTCAGGCAACCCCACATAGGTTCCTTGAAGCTAAAGTCACCATTTCTGTATCCTAGACATTTATAAACTCTTCTTTCTTAAGACCATCGAATTCAGACGTCATCTTTTTCAGATTTTGCATCACTTACTTTATTTTTTTGAGTTTTCTCTTTCATTAAAGTTGGTGGCAGGTAGACTACTGTCTTCACCCACACTCCTTTTTAGGAGTTCTATATTAAATATAACAGGTAATTAGAAAATACAGGCAAAAAATAAACACTGTGAAATTAAAAGAAATTCCTAAACCTTCACAACGTTGTTGAATTAACAAATCCTTATTTTTGTTGCTATCTTACTTCTTAAAATCAGGGGTCCACAGCCCCTGGGCCACAGACCAGTACTAGTCCATGGCCCGTTAGGAACCAAGCCACACAGCAAGCAGTGAACAGCAGGCAAGCCAGAGAAGCTTCATCTGTATTCACAGCCCCTCCTCATCGCACACATTACTGCCTGAGCTCCAGCTCCCATCAGATCAACTGCAGCATTGGATTCTCACAGGAGTGCAAACTCTATTGTGAACTGCACATGCGAGGGATCTATGTCATGCACTCCTTATGACAATCTAATACCTGATGATCTGTCACTCTGTCCCATCAACCCCAGATGGGAGCATCTAGTTGCAGGAAAACAAGCTCAGGGTACCCAACGACTCTGAATTATATTGAGTTGTATAATTATAGTAATAATAATAGAAATACAGTATACAATAAATGTAATGTGCTTGAATCATCTGGAAACCATCTCCCCACACCGGGTCCCTGGAAAAATTGTCTTCTATGAAACTGGTCCCTGGTGCCAAAAAGGTTGGGGGCTGCTGCTTTAAATGACAAGGAAGCCCAATGTCTGGTTACTTCCCTTTTTAAAGTTTAAAAATATAAGTACTTCATGTCCTTGCATAGACATTTACTTTTCTGTATTATCAAGCAGTAGCATCAAAATCACTATTTCATTTTTCTAAAATGCTATGATTCAAACATAACAGGGTTGATTTTACAATGTATTAAGGTTTTAGGGGCAAAACCAGTTTTCAGAAGCTTGGAAGCAGCCTGGGAGACGATAAGGTGTTACAGCTTTAGTCTATGCTCTGTTCATACGTGGAATTCAGACGTGTCTCTATATGTCTGGCAGCCTGATCCAGAAGTCAACTGTAATAAACCCCTGAGGAGCATCCTGGGAGAGGGCTCATCATAATGGAAGAGTCAGGCAGTCAAGCGTGGCTTAGTGAAAAAGCTTTCATTATCAGTCAAGAGAAGCAATTCTGAGTACAGCATGATGTTCATCACTAATATTTGTCTTTGAGGCTAACCACCCATGAACCCTTGTGTCCTATTATGGAAAGAGAGGCACACATGAAAAATAAAATAGGCTGTTATTCAATTAGCACTCTGTATGATGCTGTGACATCAGCTACTTTGATACATGTCTGTAAATGGCAGAATAATAGTTTGTCCCCTATTGTGTGGATAACACAATGTGTATTAAGTGCTGAAAGTACTCAGGAGAACCCTACGACTTCAGACCACCTCACAGACTTTGACCCATCTATAGGAGTAAGATCTAGTGGAAGATAGTATTATTCAGAAGTAGTGTATCCAGAATGTCTCTACAGATGGATACAGCTATAGAATAGACATAGATTATAGAATAATAGAAACAGCTATAGAATAGAAACAGGTCAATCGATAGATGGATGGATAGATAGATGATAGATAGATAGATAGATAGATAGATAGACTGTTGTTTCTGTTTTTTTCAGGAGAATCTTGACTTAAGGCAATTTGTTGGACATGGTAAGCAGGATAACAGCCTACCACAGACATCTACATCCTAACTCCTAGAACCTGTAAATATGACAAAAGGGGCTTTGCAGATATTAGTAGGTTAAGAATCTTGAGGTGAGCAGATGATTCTGTATGAATCAGATAGGCCCAATGAAATCACAGGGTTTTTTTTTTTATATAATTGACAGAAGGAGGCAGGAGAATTACAGTCGGAGAGGAAGGTGTACCAAAGGGCAGTAGAGGTTGCTGTGATGTAATTGCTCACTGATGGCCATGAACCAAGGAATGTGGATAACCTTTAGGAACTGAAAAAGGCAAAGAAACAGATTCTTAGCTACAGACTCTAGAAAGAATGCAGTCCTGCTGACACCTTGATTTCAGCCCAGTGAATTTCACTTCACTTCTGACCTCCAGAACCATCAGATAATAAATGTTTCCTGTCTTAAGCCACCACATTTTGGTAGTTTGTTAGCTCAGCAAGAGAAAACTAATACACTAGAAATACTGCAGTGGCAGATGAGGACAAGATCTTGCAAAAGGAAATGGAAATAGAAAGAAAGGAGAGAAGGAAAGGAAGGAAGGAGAGAAGAAGAAAGGAAGCAAGAAAGGTAGGAAGAAAGAAGAGAAGGAAGGGTAGAAGGGTAGGAAGGCAGGCAAGCATGTAACTGAGAATGATATGAGGCAAGAAGGATGAGTGAGAAGAGAAGATAGGACAAAAGAAGCCCAAGATAGACACATGACTAGAAATGTTTACCTTAGAGTTGTAGGCTTTGAGCTTCACAGAAGTTGAGCTATTGTCCTATGAGTTCAATGTGCTTATAGCTCCCACTACTTTCTCTGAGCATTATAATCCTGAATCCCCTGGGATACTCAGTGAGAACTAAATATGTTTCATTTTCCACTCTTGCTTCCTAGCCTAAAATATATATTAGAACTTGATTGTGGTATTTCAAAATGTATACCTACGTTAAAACATGAAATTGAACACCTTAAATATACTATGTATATTTTACTATGTAATTTTTACTATGTAATTTTTACTATGTAATTATACCTCAATAAACCTGAAAAACATTATTACTTTATCTCATTATTCTTCCAGCAGTCAACAAATTTTAAAAGAACAAAAAACGATTCTTTCTTGCTTTAAAGTATACTGCATTATTTGTGTAATAATTTTCTCCTGTAGATAAGCCAGGAATTTCCCCAAATTTAAACAAAATAATAACAGACAGTTTTAATGTTTTAATATGCAAAATCCTACATTTAATAAACAAAATGCATTTTTTCATTTGTGTTTAATATCTGAGACATTTCATTATGCTACAGATTGTTCAAACTTGCACTGTCTTTGCTACAGTTATTTAGCAATTTTGAAATCTTTTCAACTCTATAAAATGTGTCTGAGGAATAGCTTTTCATCAGTTTAGTAATGATCCCTATATTTTCCAACTCTTCATTTTTATGCTATTTTTTCTGTTTATATATTTAAGACAAAGTGGTTCAATAAATTTCATTACATTGTCATATAAAACTAAGACAAGACCTCTGCTTATCTAATGCTCTTGAAAATTGATTTAAGTCAAGGACTGGAATTCAGAATGGTGCCACAGTTTTGAACAATATTTTCAAAGATTTCTTCAAGGTGAGAGGGTGAGAGTGTATGGAAGTACAGTGAGTAGCATGTTGGAGTGAAAGCAAATGAGATTATGTTATCAGAGCTGAATGATAGCAGAATGATATCTATTACAATACTTTTTTTGTGAAGAGCTGACTATTTTGCGGTCTTTACACATTATTCCAGCAAGCAGTTTTAGCCCTGTGGCTCTATGGGCAGAGAAAATAATTGGCAAGGAAGACACCATTTTCTCATTCTTAAAGAAGATATCCTGTTCCCAAACGGAATTGCCTTCTGTTTCTCTTCTTCTATTGACTACTATGAAAACATCACATTGGAAAAAATTGGTGCCATCAGATCTTACGTTTGTAAGATCTGATTACAAACCTAAGAGTTGTCTCTTCCTTCCATGAACATGTAGACTTGCAATTAGTGTTGATCAGTTTCCAGGACATGATAAAATTGTGCTTTCCAATCTTTTTGGAAGCTAAATATGACTGTGTGTCTTGCTGAGGCAAATGAATATGTATGAAAGTAGTCATATTACTTCTAAGAAGAAGCTTTAAGAGCGAGCAAGTGACTTACCATGTCCACCCTTTCTGTATAAGTGATACTGGAGCATGTATCAAGATGGAGGACCACTGGAAACTCATTTTGGACACAGTAACTTAAATGAGGACTCCTTATTACAGCAGCATGTATTAGTATATCTGAATAGAAGCATAACATAAATTCAGATAGCATTATGTTTCTCTTTTCAAAATTCAAGATATAATACCGTGGGAGACAATTCTTCATGATGTCTCATGTTTTTGCATGTTTGTGAGCAGAGGCACTGGTTTGTCTTTGTTCTAGATTGTCTTTTCAAGGTTATTTGTATAGGATAGCCTTGGAAGACAGAAATAGTTCTCCTTTCGGGCAAAAGGGCAGATCTGCTAAATAACCTACTGCAAAAGAATCAGGTTCTGTAACATTGCAATTAATCAGTTGTGAAGCAAAAACGTTGCATGTGCAGTATCAAGTAGACACCTCTGTGTTATTCTCGTGGGACCTGGAGAAAGAGGATGGGACCAAGGCAAACACGATACTCATAAGCTTATGGTGCTCTAATAAAGTTATTGTCTCTGTAAGTTCTGCCTCTTCGTCCAGTAACCATGGCTAACTTATTAGTGTAGAAGTAATCTAAAATCTCAGATCCTTCAAAGTTTCTTGACATGATACTGGAAGATTTTCAAAAAGTGAGAATATAAACAAAAATCCAATTTCATCATGTTAATGCAAGGATAAAAGATGATAAGAACAAATTTGAAATAGGAGATAGTTTTGTACAAAGAAGTTAGCATATAATCCTCATAAAGCTTAGAAGTTTGCAAGTATACAGCAGAGTGCATTACACATAGCAGGTGTTCAGTGAATATATGGCTTGAATTAAGTGACTCAATTTTATTACTTTAATAATAGAATTTTAGTCTTATTGAGCAATTTATGATTGCATATAATTATTGTTTTGGATTTGTAGAAATGACAGTAAATCACAATGATTATTTGCCTAATAATGGTAAAAGGAAAAGCCTACAGTAAAAAAACAAAAAGTATATACGTATTTATATATTTATATCAACTTTACTATACTGATTTATATATCTCTAAATCTTTTAGCACTACACATTGATAAATTATTAATGATTAAAATTATTATGATTATTAAAACACATGGAAAGCCATCAGAGTGAAAGAATGGTTTCAAGCTAATGTCCAAAAATTTAATGAGTATAAATAGTAATAAAAAAATTAATAAATATGATTGCATTAATAAAGGTGGAATTTATAAAGCCCCTTTAAAATTGCATAAATATTTGCATATATTATACAACATATTATTCACATCAAACTTGTGAATTATAATCAGTGCTGTAGTACCTATCAGAAAGTATACAAATAAAGGCTCTGCTACTCAAAAAAAAAATTTATATTTCAGATGCAGTGGTTTATGCCTGTAATCCCAGCACTTTGGGAGGCTGAGGCAGGGGGATTGCTTTGAGCCAAGGAGTTCAAGACCAGCCTGGGCAACAGACAGAAGCCAGATCTCTAACTAAAATTTTCAAAAAGAAAAAAGGTAATAATTAGCACTATACTAATTACTCAGGACTCCCTAAGTCGTAGCCCACCGATCTTTATGCTATACATTAATCTCTGCATATCTATGAGATTTGTCACACAGATGCCTTGTATAATTGCACCACTATCATAAATGAGTCTATGAAATATCACCTTAGATCAAGATGACCCATAATTAAATTCTGAATAATTGAGAAATGTTTTCTTTACCAACGACATTAAAATGTGTTTCCAAACAAATAAAATGCTAAGATACTCAGGAAGAATGTTCAGCATTCAGACACTCAATTATTTTATATTTAATAAATGGAACTTTTTTTCCTGGGGATGGTGGAGAGGACACAAAACAAAATAGAGGATTTCACAATATGCCCAAGATTATTGGTTATTGAAAACGAATGGTTCAAACTGCTCACTTTGTTGGGCAGTTATGATCAACAGAGAAGCTTACTGGAGACAGAAATATGTTTTAGGTTTAATATGAATTGAAAAACTCATATAATTTCAATACTCTTCAAAACACAAGCAACCCACCAAAGGACAAATGTGAAACATATGCAAGTAAAATAGACTATGTGAGTTGCACTAGACAATTTTTTCAACTCTAAACCCAACTTAAATATCATCTTCCTCTTCAAAAAATGAAGGGTAGAAAATGTCCATGCAATATAATGTGTAGTCTCTGCATTATTTCTCAACTCAGTGCACCTAAGCCTCTATATGTGTAACTGGTTTCCAATTTAGTAACATAATGAAATTCATAGAATTTACATCTCATTTATTTTGAAACTTTGCCCATAAATGATTTTGTATACAAAGATGCAAATCCCCCCCCCAAGTTTAATGCAGAGATTGAGATTATTGTAAGAATTTTGCTATCAGATATGGTTTTTTCTGTTGTTACTTTGCATGCTAAAAGAAACCCAGTCATGTCATGTAGATAAAGCTAGTAACTATTTTCATTTTATTTCAAAGGTTAGAACATTCCAAAGATAATTTATGTGAATTGGCAAATGTTCTGAGGCTTAGTTATCCTGTAGAGTAACTGAGGTGTTATCAAAGACATTTTTGGTTTTTCATTGGCTTTAGCATTTTCCTTCTGTGCTTTCTTGTAGGAAGCAATTTTAACCCTATTTGCTTGTCAGTTTTAGAGGCTATTCATATATCTGTAAGTAAAGATGAAAATCAATACATTTAATAGTATTCTTGGCCTTTACAATTTGAAAATGATAGAACTGCACTGAGATGGAGATTGCAGAGTTGCTGAATTATTAAAGCTAAATTGAACATTCAAGCTAAAAGTATCATTATTCCAAATCATAATAATTAAATTATTTGTAATTGTTTTCAGCCAAACTACAACTTCACAAGAAACCTTCCTTCTTCCTTCCTTCCTTCCATTTTACAAGTTAGAATAACATATATTATTAGAGTCTCATGCAAATTTAATATAAATTTTGAAGTTTTATTACTTACACAAATAGTGGTATATTTCAGTGATTTTCTTCTTTCTTTCTTTTCTTTCTTTTCTTTTTTTTTTTTTTTTTGAGACGGAGTCTCGCTCTGTCGCCCAGGCTGGAGTGCAGTGGCGGGATCTCGGCTCACTGCAAGCTCCGCCTCCCGGGTTCACGCCATTCTCCTGCCTCAGCCTCCCAAGTAGCTGGGACTACAGGCGCCCGCCACTACGCCCGGCTAATTTTTTGTATTTTTAGTAGAGACGGGGTTTCACCGTTTTAGCCGGGATGGTCTCGATCTCCTGACCTCGTGATCCGCCCGCCTCGGCCTCCCAAAGTGCTGGGATTACAGGCGTGAGCCACCGCGCCCGGCCTATTTCAGTGATTTTATCCTTGGAGTTTGAGGAAGAATGGACTTGTAAAACCACAGGGGAATGATATTCTCTTTTGGGGCTTATCTGGAAATGTTGAACACTCAAAGCAATGATAGAGGTAGGAGGCAGAGAAATTCTAGGCAGACAGGGGTGGGTCCCCAGTGAAAGCCCACCTTCAAGCCAAAGTAGCATGAAACCCACAGCCCAAAGTGAGAACTTCCATTCCTGTTTGCCCACTCTCTCCCGATTGGTTCTTTCTGAAGACCCCAGACTCTGTCAGTACAGAGGAGAGATGGCTTGACTTCAGAGGAGAGATGCCTAGACTTTGGGGAAAAGAGATGGCTTGACTTTGGGGAAGAGATAGCCAGACATAGGGGAGAAGACCACCTGACTTCAGGAAAGACTACCTGCCCTTCCTGTCCCCTTTCCAGCTCCCCTCTCTGCTGAGAGCCATTTCCACTGCTCAGTAAAATTATCTGCCTTCACCATCCTTCAAGTGTCCTTGTGACCTCATTCTCCTTGGATGCCTGACAAGAGCTTGGTACCCACTGAGTGCAGGTACCCAAAAAGGCTGTCACACTACCCCTTTGCCATTGCCAGTGGAGGGCAGTTGCCCCACGTGATGAGGTAAGGAGCCAACTGAGCTGTTAACACATAGCCATCAACAGACAGAGGAGCTAAGAGAGGACTGTAACACTCCCTCTGGGGTTCCAGGGTCACAGGCATCCTCAGCTGGCACTGCCATGGGCCCTGCATGGAGCTCGCTCCCACCAGTGTCCAGAGTGGTTGGCTGGATCCCACACTTGCTCACTCACACCTGGTCTGGCCATGGGCCCCACACACAGCTTGCTCCCACCAGTGCCCGGAGTGGCTGGCTGGGTCCTGCCCTTGCTTGCTCATGTGATCCTTCCTGCAAGGAGCTGAGTGCGGTGGGCTGAGTAAACATTCACCCTTGTCATGAGTCTGACAAAGGAGCTGAGAAAAATCCTACATTAGCAATATTTGAAAAAAAAAAAACTTATAAAGCAAAGAGCTTTTATTTATGCATTTTCCTATATTGTTTTATATGCATTGTGACTTCCTGATGTTCAATTTTACTGATTTCCATTTTTTTTTCAGCCACTGGAAAATTACTCACTATGCCATTGGCTACATTGCCCAAGTGCTTGCTGATATTCAGTTACCCCTTTCACTACTACGGGACATTGACCCGCACATTCTTAAGGATTTGTATCATGCACCATTTCATGTGAAGTTCTGTCCAACTGACATAATTCCTGTATCATTTAAAAGTAATCGATGTCAACAACTAAAAATACATCATTTGGTATTTTTTTCACATTCTATAGCTCCATATTGATCTGTCCACATATATACATGTAACATATCATAGATAACTCACCCACACTCTCATATATACATTGTCTCTATTAGATTTCTATTCTTTCACACATAATAGAAAGCGCAAGTAATAGTGACTACTCACAGATGTTTTATATTTTTATCAAATAACAAGACTTTTGGGTATTGGGAGTTCAGAGTGGATGCACCAGCTCAAACATATAAATGCCAGGGTTTTCCAGTTTCTCTTGCCATTTTATTCACTGTCAGTCCCAAGATGGCCACTGAGCAAGGTCAGTAAAGCAAAAGCAAAACTTTCTGAGAAATACAGTATTTCTGCTGACATCTCCTTTGTCATAAAATGTGTCATGTGTCATTGCTGAGGATATGGAAAGTTTACCTCTTACAAAAAGTTTCTGATAAAAATTATTCAGGTATGTGGACCATAAGAACAAAACAAACAGTTCTTTCTCTCTATCCATCCCCTTTCCAACAAACACAGGAAAAGACAACAAAACAAAAACACCACCATCACAAAACATGATATCTATAAAAGAGAGGTAGGCAAACAGCAGATCTAATCCAAAGACAAGAAATGGCACAGTGGCAGCTAATTAGCAGGATCGAGGTGAAGCAGTCTAATTCGGATAAGGATGAAATGAATTCATTGAAAGATGTCTTTAAGAAAAATAAAACAAAATGTTTTATTAATTTTTTTTGAAAAAAAAAACTCCATAAGAGAAGAAACAATCTTCTAATTAGACAGAAAGATAGAAAAGGCAATTAAAAATGTAAGGTGAACAACAAGCTGGGAAATTCAGTTAGCGTTAAGCTAAAGCATCATGCAATTTTGTGCAATTCAAAAATGTAACACAAAGATTTTTTCTAAAAAACAAAGCTAAGCTGAACCTATGCTCTTCAGGACTTAGAGAAAAATAGTAAGAATCAATATATTCCCAAAATACATCTACAGATTATTTTGTCTTATATAATTATTTTAAATGTTTTAACAAATGTTTATTTATTTTTTCTTTTGCGACAGGGTCTTGCTCTCTCACCCAGTCTGGAGTGTAGTGGCGCTATCATGGCTCACTGCAGCCTCAACCTCCAGGGCTGAAGCAATCCTCCCATCTCAGCTCCCAAGTATCTGGGACTACAGGTGCGTGCCACGATGCAACGCTAATTTTTTTTTAATTTTTAGAGAGATAGGGGTGTCTTGCTACATTGCTACATTGCTATACTCCCCTCTGCCTCCCAAAGTGCTTGAATTACAGAGATGAGCTATGCCTAGCTTGTGTTTTGCATTTGACTACTTTTAGAAGGAAGCTATTTTTCTGGAGGCTATTGTTTCTAAAAATAAAATTCCCTTATCTATGAGTTGAGTTTGGGCAGTCATTTTACAAAACGACTTCGATTATATAAAGTTCCTTTTAAAATTAGCACAAACAGATGTTGCAATTTGGGTTAACTATGTAAGTTAAATGAGCAAATATCCTTTACCCTGATATTTGACATGTTGGTACATACACAAAACAAATTATTGGAAGTATAGAACAGTGCAAAAAGATCTTTAGAGGATTGCTGTCATAACAAAATATGTAAAACATTTCCACTATTATTATAATATGGATAAACAACATGCACATTTGTATATCATAATACTACTAAGGCAGTGAAAATCAGTTCACTGACCACTACACTTATCAACATAGATGAATTTTCAAATAATTTAAGCCCAAATGGAAGTCACAGAAGAATAGACACAACATATGTCAATATATAAAATCAAGTAAAACTAATACGCTCTTTCATGACACAGAGTCATGAAAACCATCACAAAACTAAAGAGAAAAAGCAAAATAGAATTCAGCATAGTAATTATATCGGCAGAAAAAAAGAGGATAGAAAATTGTATAGATGATTTTTAGCGTATTGCTTCAAAACAATAGGAAATAGTTCATAATCTTATTTGATTCAGCAGAAAATAAAAAAGAAATCTATTTCTTTTAGGGTGAGGATGTCTCAAATCCCAATTAAGGGATTGTCTTTAGAGCTTGCCCTAATGGTATAATAGTACACACACATACACACCCACAAGAACACACACCTCATATTATACACATACACACATATATTACATTTAAATAAAATTTATTTTCAATAAATGATGTGATTCATGGATTTAACATAATTTTATGCAAATAATTCATAAATTATCTTGGAACAACTTATTAAATAACCATATAAAATTATATTTTCCAAATGCTAAACATCATATTTATGGATTATTCAGGGTTATATTAGCATCAGTTTACTTGTTGACTCTATTAGACATTTCATAGTCCCTGAACTATTGCAGCTTTATAATATACTTTATATTAAAAGCTATGTTTGCAACTATGAATTGCTCTATTATTTTTTCAATATTTTTAAAGGTTGTCTTGCTTGTTTTTAAAAATAGCCCATTGTTGTTTTCTTGTTATTTGTTGCTGTTGTTGTTGCTTTTGTATTTGTTTTTGGCAGGGATTTAATTCAGCTGAACTTGAAATATAATTTGTCAAGATCAAAAAATATAACCATTTTCTTGGCAAATATTTTCAGTCTTGTGCCAGACATATTAAAATGATGTCAGGCCGCCATATCTAATTCCCCACCCCCACCCCCGCATTAACTGAAGCCCCTCTTACAATATCGTAAATTACTTTTCTTCAAAGAATAATGCTTACCAGTTACATTTGGTATAATGTCATTGTTAGCGCAGGAACGGGAGGAAAAACGGACGGAGGCGGCTCTACAGCAACACAGGTTTACCGAACAAACACCCGCGGAGGGGGACACCAACTAAGGCCAGAGCCCGCCCCCGCTTACAGACTGGGTAAGTTTAGGTCCGGGTGGGAGAGATCTGGGCTTGTTGTGAAGTGGGGTGGGCAGGGTGGTTAGCTGTTGCTAAGTGAGGAATTTCCTGAGATCAGGCGGTTGGGCTTAGGACTTGCCCGGCAGGATGTTTCTCACAGCCTGAGCCCTAGGGGAATTTTCCACTCTGACCTGGGTTTGCAAAATGGCGGGGGTTTACAAAATGGTGCAGCTTGGGCTAAGAGTCATCATATCCTCAGACCAGATAGTGAAACATCCGTTTAATGCAGCATGAAATAATATGTCCAAATAAAAGCCATTATAATTGTATATAAAAATTCTACATTTATCTATGATATGAAAAGGCGTTCACAAAGAATATTGACCAATAAGGAGAAGAGCTAGGGTGAAATTTATAATAATCATGGTAATAGGAATAACATTTTGTGAATGTATTATCTTCTAGGTCCTTGCAATTTCTTTCACCACTATCTAATTATCCTCATAACAATTTTATGAATATGAAACTATTACTCTTCCCTTTGATATATGGGAAATATAAAACTTAGACAATATAATTTGTCAAGGTTTTGGGGCAATATTTAGAAGAATGGCCCCCATGGTGAATGTTTCGTATCAAGTCCTACTATTCTTTAATTTGGTTCAATAGTCATGTAACTCCAATAGTGTTTTAAATCTCCTGGGGGCTCACCTTCCTTCTCAATGAAACCGAGTGAATAGAAGTTTCTTCCAAACAGCTTATTGTGGGTCTAAATAGTATAATGTCTGTCGAATTTTAGCTCCATGACTCATATTCAGAAAGCACTTATTAAATGTAAAACTCCATATGGCCTTAAGTATGATAAAATTTTTACTCACGTTTTTCGTTTTTGTCCCTATCTTGTGAACAAGTATGCTCAATGGTTTCTCCTAGTGTAAATGTGATATTTTATCTTACCTCTTTTTACTGATTATATCTTTTGATAGTCTCTTATGAATTTTAATTCTTATATTCTAACATTAAATCTCCCTTTATTCTTTCTTATTATCTTCTCGTATCTTATTTCATGCAATTCAGATATTAATTCTAAGAAGATTTCAAAGTAAAGGCTTTCCAAAACTTAGTTCCTACAATTGTGGCTTATTTATTTTTAAGTAAGTTCTCTCTTTGCATTTAAATGCCTCTTTCTACTTAATTGAATGATTCCAGTGCAATCCAACACTTGTGTTTCCCAGTAAACAAGATGTTTGTAACACCCTTCACATTCTACAGGAATGCAATTATTAGTCACTTCTCAGTTTTTAAGCTTGATATCTACTTGATCAACCAACTTCCAGCCAATTTTCTGGTATCTAGGTTCAATCAATAATACTTTAATAATATTTATTATAATGTTACCTGCTCATATGTAATTCAAAATGAAATTAAAGTCCACTGTGTGGCATATATTGAATGTGTTAGGAAAAGAGAGATGAGACTAAGCTACTTTATTGTATATGCAAGTTTATTCTCTTTTATATGTTACAAACTTTGTTTGGAAGCATGATATCACTTTTTTAGTTAAGGATGCAGTGCAACTATCAATTACCTTGGACTGTATATAATCTATGTTTAACATAATGTTATTTTAATCACAATACAAAAAATTAAAAAGAATAAATGCCATTCTTAACAAGTCACATTAATTTTTTCAAATATATTTGAATAACCTTGGTCTGGTTTTCTTTCTCTCCATACTTAGTTTCCAGACTGTACTTAACCAAAACCAAATTTTTAAAGATCATAATGAAGGAGATTTATATTTAAAATACAAATGGCTGACATGAATGTGACATGTCAGCATTTTCATGACAAGCCCTCACTTGTTAGAACTGAGCAAATTGTAACCCCTGGGCTCTTGTTTTTTGCATAATATACTTTTATATGTGTATATGTATATATATGTCATTATATATAATGATGTTTTATGTTGAAATATTTATGTAACAATTATTTAGAGCCTACTATGTGATATGAATTGTACAAGGTATTTAGAAAAACAGATGGATAACACATAGCACCTCCAGAAGTCATAGCCTGATACAGAAAACAAATTTGAAAAAATAAACTACAATATAGTAAAGTATGATGTTATAAAAGAAGCACATAGTGCAATAGCATAAAGAAGACAAAAATTAACAGCGTTTTGAAAAAGAGAGGGGATTTCACAGGCTACAGAAGGTGATATCAAATTATGAGAATAATTTTAAAGTTCAATTGGTGTTTTCTAGTATAAACAACAAGGAGGGGCGAGCTGGTAATTTAATTATTCCTTAGGCAATCAAGAATGGATTCTGATCATTTTCTCCCTGCTTTATTTATTTATTTATTTATTTAACTCGGTTTTGGACTGCTCACATTTGTTGACTAGAAGGTGTAAATTTTGGCTTTTCATTTATGTCTATACAATAATACAATAATAGCTTTTAAAATAAAGAAAACATTTATAGGTAAATCTGATTTTGTTTTCACATGGTTTCAAACAAGTTGCAGAATGGTTTTCACTGAATTAATGAATCATTTTTAAATGTGGTGGATATAGGAGCAAATTAAATCCAACAATATGTTTAAAATATTGTTTAATCAGAATACATCTTTTCATTTATTATAAACATGTATAAGATGTTTCAGGATTTGAGGGCTAATCAAGGAAAAATATAAGACCATGTGTGTGCAGTAGCACACACAAGCTTTATGGGACAGTGCTTTGACAAGCTGATTTGCAGGGGAGTCCCTCACAGCTGATCTATTCAGAGGCTATGGGGTGGGGGCAAATAGAAGAGGAGTTGAGTGAGCGGACTCCAGGGTGTAGAAGAAGATTAGAGAGGAGGCTGATAGGTTTAAGTGATGTCACTCAGTAGCATGGTGGGGAGTCTCAGGGTCAGAGGGGCAATGACATTGTCAGAAGGGCAATGACAGCTTGGAATCTTTATATAGCCCTGAGCTTATTTATTCCCATCAGATTTTGGTTGAGGTTACATAAGGTATTCAAAACAAGTAGGGTCTAAATGGCTAAAAGTCTCTTTTTTTGGTCTATTTTTAAAGTGCCTTAATGTATAAAATGTTGAATTTGGCAGTGGTGGGTTTTTAGTTACGGATCTCAGCCTGCAATGAAGAAATAAGTATCCCAGGGCCACAAAGAGGCAATTTTGACTCACTTATATATCAGAATGCAAAACAAAATAATATTGAAATAACTGGAAATATCAGTTAAAATTGGCACAATAATGGGGCAAATTAAGATCATCCTACTGTTAAATGTAAATCTCAGAGATTAGCAGCTTCTAGTAATAAATTCAATTAACCACAGCTTTGAAAAATCCCATTAAGATAATAAATGTTTAATTAACATTATAATCTTAATATATAGATTAAGTTTCACATCGGCATTCCAGAATATGTTTTGTCAAATCTTTGTATTCAGTGAAAACATCTGGTATTAATAGTACAAAAAATGTATATTTGATTTCTGTTATCAACTTATAAATAGGTATAGGTCATATCCATTTTCTTATAGTAGAGCTACTATTATAAAAATATTCATATATTAGACGTAAAAATTATGTTTTGATAACAAATTAAAGTACATAGTCAACCTCTAATGCATCAGAGCCAAGAGAAAATAATTTCTTAATCCATGTATTACATTTTTAAAACATAAATGGAAATCTCCCCATTTTATCTTTTTACACAAACATTTAAATATCTCTAATTTGAACACTTTGACAGTAAATGTTTGTAGCAAATTACTCTCAATGAAATTGAGAAAGTGCTAATTTAAATCATCCCGAACAACTGTCCTTTAAGCAGGAGAAGAAAGATAAAGAATAAGGGAAATGAGTTTCAATCCACCACAATTATTTATCTATTCTTTATTGAGTGAGGATCCATTTGAAAATAGATCCCCTATATATTCCGCTTCCTATAATAACAAATAATATTCATTAATATGTATCACGTCATTCAATTTTTCAGAGATAAATCTGAATCTGTGTTTCTATTGCTATGAGAAAAATTCTCATTAAAAATTTTTTTCAGGCTGGGCATGGTGGCTTATGCCCGTAATCCCAGCACTTTGGGAGGTCGAGGTGGGAGGATTGCTTGAGCCCTGGAGTTCAAGACCAGCCTGGGCAACATAGCAAGAATCCATCTCAATTTAAAACAAAAAGTTATTTATGGCTTTATTTCAGATCACTCCTCTGGTTGTCTCAACATCCAGAGACTTTAGATTTCTATACTCTGGAGTCTTACTGTGTTTGAGCTATGTCTATGGTCATCATTAACACATTCTATGCAAGACTGCTTAGATCTCTGGAAACAGGCAGGTGTAGCCGATATGACTGGATATGACTGTCCACTTGATGGTTTACTGAGAAAAACAAAACAAAACAACACAACAGGTCCACCCTCCTGTTAGGAATCACAAACATCTGCCTCCTACCCATTTTTAGCTCCTGAAACTTCAGGCTTTCACATCCTACATCAAAAGACAACCACTGTCCATGATTGCATATATAACAAATTAATCCTACCTGAGTCTTGGGATAAGCAATGCTTATATGCCTGGTCTCTCACTTTCTGCTGCACTAGCCTTCCCCATGGATGGTATAAGGACCAGAATTGAGGTTTGAACAAAGGGACCCAAAGATGGAAGATGCCCCAACTCAATGACACATACTTTCTCTGTTGGAAAGATGAAATAATTTGTACCAGGTCATTACAGTATCATACAGATTAGCCTCTAATTAACTGTGGGTTTTATTTATATTCTTGAATTGAGGACAAATGGGGCCAGAAAAAAGTGTCAGCAAAGAGACGCCATATTAGAACCTCATGAATGAGGAGTACCCCATGTTAAGATGTCAAGTCTTCCTAAAATGATCTACTGATTCACCATGAAACAACTCAAAACCTCAGCAGGGCTCTTAATAGTAACTGACAATGTAATTCTATAATTTATATAGAAATGAAAAGATTAACCGATATAATTTTTTTAAAAAAATAAAATATACGAACTAATACTAATTGATTTTGATACAGAGTAGTCTAGAAATAATCACACATATACATGGTCAATTAGTTTTTTAAGAAGCAGTAAACAATTTAATGGGAAATAAAAGTTTTTTCAATAAATGATAGTGGCAGCCTGGGGAACACAGTGAGACCCTACCTCTATAAAAATTAATTTTAAAAAACAGCTGGGTATGGTGATGCATGCCTGAAGTCCCAGCTACTTGGGAGGCTAAAGAGGGAAGATTACTTCAGCCCAGGAATTCGAAGTTCTACTGAGCTATGATCATGCCTCTGCACTTCAGCCTGGGAGTCAGAGAAAGACCTGTCTCATAAATAGATAAATAAATAAATAAATAGTTATGCAACAATCACATATAAAAAATGAAAAGAAAATGCACCTCAATTCTTACCTTACGACAAAAGCAAAAGATCAATTTGAGATGGACCTAACCATAAAATCTCAACTATAAAGCTTCTAAAAAAGACACTCTTTGTCACTTTAAATTGTCAAATGTATCTCATAAAAAACACAAAAGTCCCTAGGCATAAGTGAAAAAGTTTATTAATCAGACTTTATAAAAGTAAAAAAATCTCTTTTTCAAAAGACAGCTTTTAGAATCTGAATATTTTAAAAATTTAGAAATATTTCTCTCACAACTGACAGTGGGAGAAACAGTTCCAAACATTTATAGTTGACAAAGTTATTTCAAATACATATATAAAGAAAGCCTCTAACTCAATAATAAAAAGACAAATGATTTCACCAAAAAAGGGACAAAAGACTTGAAAAGGCACTTCACAAGAAGATAATATTTGAAAAGTGCTCAATATCAATAGTCATTAAATACACAGATATTAATTTCACTGTGTGATATCACATACCTAGTAGAATTGATCAAATGAAATACTTGAAATCCTGAATATTCCCCAGGATATAGAGCAACCAGGATTCCTACCTTTTGCTTATGGGAATTAATGGTGAAATCATTTTGAAAAATACTCTGGCTATTTCTAATAAATTAAAACATGCCCCACCTTATGACCCAGGAATCCATTTATCCATCCACTATTCATGTATCCTTTGCACTAGACAAAAGTGTCTAGAAAAATTCTTATACATGATGATTCACAGCGGCACTAGTCATAATAGCTAAAAACAGGAAGCGACACAAATATCTAGCAGTAAATAAATATACAAAATGCAATACAAAAAGGAACATATTACTTATGCACAGAACAAAATGGATGAATCTCAAAAATATATTATGCTGGGTGAAGGAAGCTTGGCATGAGAGGACATATTGCATGATTTCCAAGAAGTTCTGGAATGAACAAAATTAATCTATGGTGATAGAAATCAGAATAATGTTCGCTTCTAGTAGACACTATGATTGGCAAAAAAGGGGCATCAAGATAACTTTCTGGGTACACAAAAGTATTCTATAACCTGGTAGGACTATGGATTAAATACGTGTACGTGTTGTTAAAATTCTTCAAACTATCTAATACAGCCCTGTGCCTTTCAACGTAATTAGATTATAAAAGGTCCATATTTCAATAACTTTAGTAAATAAAAAGCAAACAACATGCAAAATGATTTTGAATGAATTCCTAAAATACATGCAAAGTGTACAAACATGCATATATCATATACATTAGCATCATTCAAAACAATCCATAATATAGAATGAACTTCAATGAATTCACAGTTCAGGAATCCTTTACTACTTAGACATTTTCATATTAGCTGTTGTGTTCTGCTTTTAGTGGATATTATTGCTACTTTTTATGGTACACACTGAATACAAGAGACAGATATACTGGTGGACTTTTCTGTTACAATGTTTTCTTCAACTTTTCAATTGCAGATACTATACACATATTTACTGAAAAGTTAATATAGTATTTTTAAAAGTTGGAAATGAATCTGGAATAGAGTTTCATGTTGTGTTGAAAGTAGGTTAGTCTACTAATGTTGTCTTCAGTAATTTATTTGTAAGTCTGTGACAAATCTGTCTTTTTTGATAGTCTATGCTATTAGTCTCTTGGGAGTTTCTGAAGCTTGCCCCCTTTCCTGATTTCTCCAAACCACTTACTTTTTGTGTCAAGCTTTTCATGCATTACACATGCATTAGACTCAGAGTAACTTTTACTTAATTTTTTATTATATATTTCTTCATCAATACAAAGGCAGTTATAAAATTCAAACTAATGCAAATATTAAAATCTTTAAATATATCACAGATGTTTTCACTTAATATTAAGTATAACAATATGGTTTATAGTATGGAGGGCTTAATCTGTGCCAGAAACACTTCCATGTCCTTTACATGTATTATTTTACCAAATATTCTTAGCAAGCACTTGAGGGTGAAACTAATACTATTCCCCTTTAGGACTGGGAAGCCCAAAGAGATTAAAATAATTTGCCCAAGTCATGCAGCTAGAAGTGACAAATTTAAAATGCAGACTCACCCAGTGGGACTCCAGGACCCATCAACTATTCATTTATATGCCATCATCTCCATAACTGCTTATGTTATGAAAATATTTACATCAATACAGTATAATATTGTATTTTCAAAGGAAATAAAATTAAAGCACACCTGACACCTTATCTAGGCATCAGCAATACAAGTAAAGGAAATCAAACCTGTAGTCTAGGTGAAATATTAAACAGTTCAGAATTGGGGGAAACAAATCAAAACATAACAAAACTGTCTTTCTTCTGACATCATGCCCAGGCATAGGCTCCAGAATTCTATCCCAGATTTTATTTGTTAAGCAGATCAAAAATGAGGTTGCGGGCGTAGGCAAAATTCATTTAAACAATTAAGGATAAGATAGTTTCTTGGAAGGATGGCATCTGTGTTATGTAGAGGAGACAAAGACAGATACTGCAATGGCACTGCATTTTCCAAGGCTGGGCAAATATGTGAATTTGGTCCTCAGTAAAAAGTCACCAATTTAAAATCAAAATAAGTTAATGTCCTCCCACTCTTAGAAAATAGGAATATTTAATTTCAATATATACATACTTTTTCTTCTTCTTTGTAACTTTTATTTTAGGGTCAGGGACATGCTCAGGTTTGTTATATAGGTAAACTACATGTCACAGGCATTTGGTGTACAGATTATTTTGTCACCAGGGTAATAAGCATAGTACCTGATAGGTAGTTTTTTTTATTCTGTTCCTCCTCCAACCCTCTACTCTCCACCCTCAAATAGGCCCCAGTATCTGTTCTTCCTTTCTTTGTGTCCATCTGTACTCAATGTTTAGTTCTCACTTATAAATGAGTATATGTGGTATTTTTTTTCCTGTTCCTGTATTAGTTCCTTAGAATAATGTCCTCAAGCTCCATCAACGTTGTTGCAAAGAACATAATCTTGTTCTTTCTTATGGCTGCATAGTATTCCATGATGTATATGCAACACATACCTGTTTGCATGCTTTGTAAATGGGATAACTTATCCCCATCTAACTCACCTCACTTGATGCTGTACGTTTTTAATTGATTTAATAAATCATGTGAGTAGAGCATTTTAACTTGCTCTGCAAACCTTTCAGTTCCATGACTTCTGGGGTCACTCTTCCTCCAAGAGTATACTTGGAGGCTACCATTCTATTAAAGTAAATTTCCATGTGACAATTTTATTAATGTTGCTAATTACACATTAAATGCTTTATGAACGAAAAAACAAACTTGTCTTCCTGTGATAATGCTCACTCGGCCATTAAATGTTATAATTTTGAAGGACTAGACTTGGTAATGTTTTACTGACTATTATAATCTTCAATTGTTAGGATTATTGGACTATGGTTTTCTTTTTTGTTGTAATACTCTTCTCTGGGTTTGCTACGATGGAAATTCTAGCCTCATATGATGATTTAGAAAATTTTTCCTCTTAGTTCTCTCTTCTGAAAGGGCTAGTAACACTGGCATTATATCTTTTTAATATGCTCACATTTTCACTAGTGAAAGATTAGGCCTAACATTTTCATAGGAAGGTTTTGCATTATTGTTTTAATTTCCTCTTAATGATATAGGTAATTCAGATTTTCCATTTCTTATTGTCTTAAGTTCTGGTAATTGATAACTTTCAAAGGATTTGTTGATTTATCCAAAAATTTTAAGCAAATGGCATAATACTGTTTATAATATACTCCTTTATGCTCTTTTAAAGATATTTTCCCATTTTTAAACACCAATACTATTAATTTAAATTTTTATTTTCTTTTCAAGGGAAAGTCTCACTTTGTTGCCCAGGCTGGAGTGCGGTGGCATAAACATGGCTAACTGCAGCCTCAACCTCCTGATGCTCAAGTGATCCCCCACCTCAGCATCCTCAGTTCCTGTAGCTGGGACTACAGGAACACGCCATCATGCCTGGAAAACTTTGTACTTTTTGTAGAGATGAGGTTTCTTCATGTTGCCCAGGCTGGTCTAATGCTGTCGGTTGCGATGTTGAAATCCCCACTTTTGTTGTGTGGCTGTAAAAGATTTCTTTTTTTTTTTTTTTAAACTGCAGCACATGATAATTGTAATTTATTGATGGTGTTAATTATTTTTTACTGTTTTATCATCTTGTATGCATTTTTATTTATTTTTTATTTTTTTATTATTGTACTTTAAGTTCTAGGGTACCTGTGCACAACATCCAGGTTTGTTACATATGTATACATGTGCCATGTTGGTGTGCTGCACCCATTAACTCATCATTTACATTAGGTATATCTCCTGATGCTATCCCTCCCCCCTCCCCTCACCCCATGACAGGTCCTGGTGTGTGATGTTCCCCTTCCTGTGTCCAAGTGTTCTCATTGTTCAGTTCCCACCTATGAGTGAGAACATGTGGTGTTTGTTTTTTTGTCCTTGCGATAGTTTGCTGAGAATGATGGTTTCCAGCTTCATCCATGTCCCTACAAAGGACATGAACTCATCCTTTTTTAATGGCTGCACGGTATTCCATGGTGTATATGTGCCACATTTTCTTAATGCAGTCTATCATTGATGGACATTTGGGTTGGTTCCAAGTCTTTGCTATTGTGAATAGTGCAGCAATGAACATACGTGTGCATGTGTCTTTATAGCAGCATGATTTATAATCCTTTGGGTACATACCCAGTAATGGGATGGCTGGGTCAAAAGGTATTTCTAGTTCTAGATCCCTGAAGAATCACCACAATGACTTCCACAATGGTTGAACTAGTTTACAGTCCCACCAACAGTGTCAAAGTGTTCCTATTTCTCCACATCCTCTCCAGCACCTGTTGTTTCCTGACTTTTTAATGATCGCCATTCTAACTGGTGTGAGATGGTATCTCATTGTGGTTTTGATTTGCATTTCTCTGATGGCCAGTGATGATGAGCATTTTTTCATGTGTCTGTTGGCTGCATAAATGTCTTCTTTTGAGAAGTGTCTGTTCATATCCTTTGCCCACTTTTTGATGGGGTTGTTTTTTTCTTGTAAATTTGTTTGAGTTCTTTGTAGATTCTGGATATTAGCCCTTTGTCAGATGAGTAGATTGCAAACATTTTCTCCCATTCTGTAGGTTGCCTGTTCACTCTGATGGTAGTTTCTTTTGCTGTGCAGAAACTCTTTAGTTTAATTAGATCCCATTTGTCAGTTTTGGCTTTTGTTGCCATTGCTTTTGGAGTTTTAGACATGAAGTCCTTGCCCATGCCTATTGCCTAGGTTTTCTTCTAGGGTTTTTATGGTTTTAGGTCTAACATTTAAGTCATTAATCCATCTTGAATTATTTTTTGTATAAGGTGTAAGGAAGGGATCCAGTTTCAGCTTTGACAAACCTGACAAAAGCAAGAAATGGGGAAAGGATTCCCTATTTAATAAATGGTGCTGGGAAAAGTGGCTGTAAAAGATTTCATAGGTCTAGAAGTACTTGTTTTATGAATCTGTGTGCTTCAATGTGGGGTGCATGTAGATTTAAGTGAGTAAAGTCTTGTTCAATTGAAGCTTTTACCATTATGTAATGCCCTTCTTGTCCCTTTCTGCTGTTGTTTGTTTAGAGTCTGTTTTATCTGATATAAGAATAAACCACTCCTTCTGTTTTGTTTTCTGTTTCTAGGATACATATTTAACCCTTCACTTTGAGCCTATAGATATCATAACATGTGAAATGGGTCTCTTGCAGACAACAGCTGGATGGATCTCAATTTTTTGTTTTTGTCCAACTTCCAACTCTGTACTTTTTAAATGAGGCATTTAGACCATTTACATTAAAGGTTAATATTGATATGTGAAGTTTCGAGCCTATCATTATGTTGTTACCTGGTTGCCTTGTAGTTTCTATTTTGTGGTTGCCTTCTAGGGTCTGTTGGCGATTTACTTAAGTGTGTTTTTGTGGTAGTAGGTATCTTTCTTTCATTTCCTTGTTTAGAACTTCCTTAAGAATTTCTGGTAAGGCAGTTCTGGCCGGGTGCGGTGGCTCAAGCCTGTAATCCCAGTACTTTGGGAGGCCGAGGCAGGCGGATCACAAGGTCAGGAGATTGAGACCATCCTGGCTAACACGGTGAAACCCCGTCTCTACTAAAAATACAAAAAATTAGCTGGGCGTGGTGGCGGGTGCCTGTAGTCCCAGCTACTCAGGAGGCTGAGGCAGGAGAATGGCGTGAAGCTGGGAGGCGGAGCTTGCAGTGAGCCGAGATCGCGCTACTGCACTCCAGCCTGGACAATAGAGCAAGACTGCATCTCAAAAAAAAAAAAAAAAAAAAAAAAGTCTTGTAAGGAAGTTCTAATGGTAACTAATTCCCTTAGTGCTTGCCTGTCTAGAAAATATTTCATTTCTTCTTTACTCAAGAAGCATAGTTTGGCAGGATATGAAATTTTTGGTTGAATTATTTTTCTATAAGAATGCTGAAACTAGGCCCCCAATCTCTCCTGGCTTATAAGGTTTCTGCTTAGAAATGTGCTATTAGCATGATTAGGGTCCCTGTTTATGTGATCTGACTTTTTTCTCTAGCTGCTTTTAAGTTTTTTTTTTTTTTTTTTTTGCCAGATTCCAGATTCCAGATTCTTGCTCTGTTGCCCAGGATAGAGTGCAGTGGTGCGACCTCAGTTCTGTGCAACCTCCACCTCCCGGTTCAAGTAATTCTTGTGTCTCAGCCTCCCAAATAGCTGGGACTACAGGTGCCTGCCACCATGCATGACTAATTTTTGTAGTTTCAGTAGAGATGGTGTTTCACCATGTTGGCCAGGCTGTTCTCAAATTCCTGGCCTTGAATGCCTGCCTCGGCCTCCCAAAGTGCTGGGATTACAGATGTGAGCCACCACAGCAGGCCAATATTTTTTTTTAGTGTTGACTTTGGACAGTCTGATGACTATATCTTGGTGATGTTTGCTTTGCAAAGTATCTCACAGGCGTCCTCTGGATTTCTTGTAACTAACTGGATGTCTACCTCTCTAATGACATTTGGGAAATTTTCTTGAATACTTTACAGGTTGTTGAGTTTTTCTCCTTCTTTTCTAAGAATGCCAGTAATTAACAGGTTGAGTTGCTTTACATATTGCCATATTTCCTGAAGACTTTATTTTTTATAAATATTTTTATTTATTTTTGTCTGACTAGGTTAGTTTGAAAAACTTGCCTTAAGCTCTAAAATTCTTTCTTCTGCTTGAAACAGTATACTGATAAAGTTATTGCAATTTGTTTTGTGTTGTATTTTGTATTTATAATATATTTTGAATTTTCTTGAGTCAGTTTTTCAATTCCAGAAGCTCTGATTTATTTCTTTTAAAGATGCTTATCTCTTTCTTCATTTCTTGGGTTGCTTTACAAATTCCTTTATGTTGATGTTTAACCTTATCTTACATCTTGTCAACTTCCTTGCAGTCCATGCACTGAATTTTTTTAACTGCCATTTCTGAATTTCCATTTTGGTTAGACCATTGCTAGAGAGCTAACGTGATCCTTTGATGATGTTACTATATTCAGATTATTCATGGTGCCTGAATTCTTGCCCTGGTTTCTTTTCATCCAGAGACACTGACAATTCTAATTTTTGTAATTATTTTCACAGGTAGAATTTTTTTCTTTTTCTTTCTTTGCCTATTTTACTACTTTTTTCCTTTGCCTTTCCCTCCTTCTACCCACCAGGTTGTGTAGGACTTTAGAGAATGTTGGGTAGGAACTTTTGGTTTTGTTTCTAATTCCCTATTCACTTCTTTTATCATGTTTCATATTGAGCTGTGCAGTTTGATCTACAAGCTGGTAGATGGTGCTTCTGGGTTAAAAAAAAAAAAAAACAGCTATATCCAAAGTGGCTAGATATATACTAGCTCCTTGTTTACTGGCGGAAGCTCTCTGTTGCCTCAGGAAATGGGTTGATCCATGGAGTGCACAGTGGTCTGAGCTTCCTGCTCAGCCTCTTTGGGTGCCAAGATGGTGAGGATCAGTTTAGGCAGGCCCATCTACATGTTTCCCCATAGGAGTCACAAGCTTCAGCACTGAAAGAGAATTCAGTGGACAGCCACAAAGCACCCAAACATGTACTTAGGCATGAAGCTGGGAAACCATCTCAGCCCCAAGTTCTCTGCATGAGGAGGAGGTTGGGCTAAACTACAATTCCAAGTAGGTGGGTGCTCCAGATGCCTGGACATATGCCTGGGCATAGGGCAGACAGGGCTCTATTTTACCATGGTCTCCACACAGGAAGGGTGAGGTAACTTAGGGTGCTGATCCAAGTGAGTAGGTCCTGTGAATTCCTGGAGATTTGCCTAGGTGTGGAGCAGAGAACACCCTGCACTGCAATCTGTGCCAAAGAAGTATGGGTTGGCACAAGCTTCTGGCCCAGGCAAATGAGTGCCCCTAATGCCTGGAGATATTTCTAGGTGTGGAGAGAGAGGGCTCCACTTCATCATGGTCTCTGCACAAGAAGAGTGGGTGACTCAAGCTGCTGACCCAGGCAAGTGGGTGTTCCAAATGCCTGGACATCTACCTGGACACTGAACAGAGAGGGCCCCTCTGCAACCAGATCTCTGCACTGGAAGGGTGGGGCAACTCAGGCTACTAATTTCAGTGAGAGGGACTCCAAATGCCTGGAAAATATGCCACACTACACCATGGTCTGTGTACAAGAAAGGTGGAGTGGTTCAGGCTGCTGATCCAGGTGCGTATGTGCCTGGAAATCTGCCTGAGCATGGAGTGGAGAGGTCTCCAGTTTATATGGTTTGTTTTCTCATTGTCTTGACAGCATCAGAACAAAAGTTTTTAATTTTAATTAAGTTCAGCTTATCAATTATTTTCTTCATGGATCCTGCCTTTGGTGTTGCAGCTAAGAAGTCACTGACAAACTCAAGGTCGTCTAGATTTTCTCCTATGTTATCTTCTCACACTTTTATAGCTTTGCATTTTACACTTAGATTTATATTTTATTTTGAGTTAATTTTTGTGAAGGGTGATAAGGTCTATGTCTAGATTTATTTGTGTGTGTGTGAAAGTCCAGTTTTTCTGGCAGCTTCTGATGAACAGGCTATCTTTTCTCTATATTATTGCCCTTGCTCTTTTGTCAAACATCAATTGACTATATTTGTGTGGTTATATTTCAGGACTCTCTATAGTACTCCATTGAACTATTTGTCTATTCTTTCACTGATACCACACTGTCTTAATTACTGTAGTTTTATAGTAAGTCTTGACGTCATGTAATGTCAGCATTCTGACTTTGTTCTTCCCTTTCCATATCATGTTGGGCATTCTAGACCCTTTGCCTCCCCAAATAAAATTAAGAATCAGTTTTTCAATATCTGTGTTATAGTTTGCAGAGATTTGCATTGGGATTGCCCTGAATCTATACATCAAGTTGGAAAGAACAAACTTCTTGAAATTGAGTCTTCCTATCCATAAACATGGAATATTATTTTGTTCTTAGAATTCTTTTATCATGGTATTTTAGTGCTTTCCATATAGCTATTGTATATATTTTGTTAGGTGTATATGTAAGTATTTTATTTTGGGTGTGGTAATGTAAATGATATTGTGATTTTAATTTTGAATTAAACTTGTTTGTTGCTGGCATATTAGTTGCTTTCTTTTTGTCCCATTTATTCTTAGTCATAGTTTGCAGTATCACAGTCTTAAATAATACCCCACTGTATTAGTCCTTTTTCATGCTGCTGATAAAGACATACCTGAGACTGGGGGGAAAAAAAGAGATTTAATTGGACTTACCGTTCCACATGGCTGGGGAGGCCTCAGAATCATGGCAGGAGGCAAAAGACATATATTACATGATGGCAGCAAGAGAAAATGAGGAAGAAGCAAAAGTGGAAACCCCTGATAAACCCATCAGATCTCATGAGAATTATTCTCTATCATGAGGATAGCACGGGAAAGACTGGCCCCCATGATTCAATTGCCTCCCCCTGGGTCCCTCCCACAGCAAATGGGAATTCTGGGAGATACAATTCCAATTGAGATTTGAGTGGCAGCACAGCCAAAGCATATCAACCACTCAAAATATAGTATATAATATACACCACTTAAAATATAGTATATACGATATATATTTTAAATTTCTTTTACATATTCTTTATGTTATTGATGTCATTCATTTTACTTTTATAAAATAAACTCAACACTTTATGCTTAGACTTTAAACTTTATGTTTTAGACATAAATGACTTAAATTTAACCTAATTTTTGCCATTTCTGATAACTTTTGTTTATATAGACAGAAATTTTTATCTAGCATCATATTATTCTTTCTGAAGAAATTCTTTTAACATTTCTTGTACTACATGTCTGCTGAAAATAAATTCTGTCAGGTTTGATTCTCTAAGTAAAGTGCTTATTTTACTTTTATTTTTTTAAAAATTTACTGGCTATAAAATCCTTAACTTACAGACTTTTTATTTCAAAACTTTAAAAATGTTATTCCATCATCTTCTGGTTTCTGCCTTTGTTGACAAAAAAAAAAAAAAATGTACTGTAGTTCTTATCTTTGTTCCTTAGGATACAATGTTCCCCCTTCCCTTGGGATGTCTCCAAGTTTCCTTTTTCAGCTATAAAAAGATAAATGTCTAGATGTTTTTAGTTTTTAGTTGAATGCTTACTGTTATATGTTTGTTTTTATTTATTTTTCTTTATTCCCCTTGGGTTTGCTGAGCTTCTTGGTTATGTAGTCTATCGACTTTCACTAATTTTAGAAAAATCACTGGCCATTAAATATTTTTCCTGCATTGTTTTATCATCTTTCTAAATCTAGGATCTCCAATTACACATATAAGAGGACTTAACTCATGGAAAATGGGGGTAAAAGATAAAAATATAAAATATAAACTTTCTTTCTCAACATAAGCTTCATCAAGTGTAAAACATTTTTCTAAGTGATGATGTGAGTAATTTAGTCCATTCCCAAAGAAAAAAAAATCCTCTTTAAGGATATTTTAAGATTTAAAGAAATGAAAAAAAGTCAGGAGAAACCAAATTAGAAATATAAGATGAATGCCTAATAATTTCCCATCAAAACTCTTGTAAAATTGCCCTTGTTTGATGAGAGTAATGAGCAGAAGCATTAGCATGGTGAAGGACTCTGGTGACGCTTTCCTAGGCATTTTTCTGCTACAGCTTTGACCAACTTTCTCAAAACAGTCTAAAAATGAATAGATGTTATGTTATTTTGCTCCCCAGAAAGTTAACTAGCAAAAGGCCTTGAGTATCCCCAAAAATTGTTGCATGAGTTTCACTCTTGACTCATCTGCTTTTGCTTTGACTGGACCACTTCTTCCTCTTAGTAGCCATTGATTTGATTATGCTCTGTCTTCAGGATCATACTAGTAAGGACATGTTTTATCTCTTGTTACAATTCTTTAAATAAATGTTTCAGGATCATGATCCTTCTTGTTTAAAATTTCCATTGAAAGCTCTTCTCTTGTTTGCAGCTGATCTGGGCACCATGGTTTTGGCAACCATTGAGTGGAAAGTTCGCTCAACTTTAATTTTTCAGCCAGAATTGTGTCAGCTGAACCAGTTTAGATTTCCGTGATGTTGGTTACTGTTTTTGCTGTTAACTATTTATCCTCTTCAACTAGGACACAAACAATGTGAATTTTTCCTCAAAAATTGATGTAGATGGTCTATTGGTGTGGGACTCATCTTCAACATTATCTCATATCTTCCTAAAATGAGTTATCCATTTGTAAACTGCTGGTTTCTTTGAATTATTTTCCTCATAAACTTTCTGCAAAGCATCAACAATTTCACTATTCTTTCACCCACACTTCACCATAAATTTGATGTTATGTTTCCTTCAATTTTAGCAGAATTCATGTTGCTCTGGTAGGGCCTCTTTTTAAACTGGTGTCTTATCCTTCTTAATGCCTCAAACTAGATCTTGTTCAGGCATGTTACAACAAATTATTACAAGCTTGTTTAGTGTAAAATAATATTTAAATCCACACACAGTTTTGTCATAATACACACTTCCTATACATTTTTGAAGACCCCTTAGATGTTATAGCATTGATTGTTTTATATCTTGTATTATGTACGTATTTTTTCAAAATTTTGTCTTTGTTTCTGTTTTGACAATTTATTTTACCTGTCTTCAAGTTCACAAATTCTACTCTCAACTCTACCTGGTCTGCTTATTTATTTTTTAAGGAATTCTTTTATCTGATATTAGGTTTCTTTATTTTTTAGTATTTCCTTTTGGCTCCTTTTTATATATAAATGAGAAGGAAACATATTGGGTACCTCACTGAATCATAGCTACACAGAGTCTGACTCCATAGACAATTGAAACTAGATGCTTTCTGGAAATCTACTTAGCACAAACAAGTGGAGGTTCTTGTCAGAGTTATTTTTAGGATGGATCGATTTCTACCCTCTTTACCTTATGTTGTTGTGATTACTATTAAGGTTGCAAGTACATAGACTAAGGTTGGCTTTGCCTGAGTCATGTGGTCACTTTTGCTAGTTCCAAGGCCTTACCACATATTTATGGAAAGTTTGACAAAATAGAAAATGAAAAAAGTGTAACTATGTCAATAAAAATTTGAGGTTCTTTATAGGAAGAGATTTCCTGGCAATGTTTTTTTCTCTAATCTCTTCCAGATAAAGTCTTTCTTATTCTTTATAGTCTATTTGACTACTGAGTTTTCTATTTAAGTTTCTCTGGCCTATACTATCAAAGTAATTAATTTATTCCCTTCTATTTTCCAGGAAGACCCTCTATATAAGAGTGCTACAGCAAACTTCACATTGTATTATAATTACTTACTTTTTTCTATACTTCAGCATTACTAGATTTTGCAGTTTCAGTATTAAGTCCTCTCCATTTTATTTAGTTAACTTTGAAATACAAAGCCTAAATGAATGAATAACTAATTGAATGAATAACTTAGTGAATGTATTACAGGAAGGACATGAATTTCTCTTGGACCGAGACAAATGCAGAGCAACACGTCTCAGAAGGAAAGTTCCACATTGTGCATACACACATGCTTACCCGGATTACTATGGACATTTCATTTATTGTTTGGAAGATTAAATAAGGCTCTTAAAGAGCCACAAGCAGTATTTAATCTTTAATTTACAGTAAAACACAGGCTTATTCCTCCTGAGTTTTAATTTACACAGTTATTCTAAGATCATACTGTTCATTATCCCTTCAAGATGAAAATAATTGGTCCTGATTTGGAAAATGGCCTATAATAATGAAATCAATGCTAGTTTCAATGTAACTTTCAAGCACTACAGAATGAGAATACCCTAATCTTTAAACAAAAATAAGGCAGTCGTGTGGCTTTGTATTTCAAAGGGAGTGACATGTCTGGCAAATTCACCAACATATGTGTGGGTCCAAAATAGATTAAAAAATACTTGTCATGTCTCCTACCTGTATAAAAACTTGTTAATTCCATAAGGAATAAACTTTTATTCAAAACTAAACTGAAATTTTAAAATGAAAACTTTAAAGCTCTCTCTGATTGCAAATGGACTAAGGATGCTAAAGATTAAATTATCATTTCAAAAGCACACAAAACAAAGGATAAGAGCACTTTAGGACTACAACCCAAGTTGCATAGTAAAAGCATGACCAAAGCAGCTTTTCTGTAGCGTTTACTTTCCTTTCAGGGTCCATGGAGACTTCTCTTAATTTCTCTTGTATATTGTGTGGTGTTGCTTCTGTGTCTTTGTCTATGTCTTTGCTTCTCACCTTTCTTTACTTTCTTTGTTTCTTTTTTATATCTATTTATATTTTGAGAGTGAGACAGAGAGAAAGTCAGGGTCATGAACTTTGTCAGATTCTTGGACATGTTTACATAATACAATAGAAAAATACTCATGACTTATTTTTTTGTCTTTGTTAAGAGCCTTTAAGTGCTTAAACCTCCTTCATCTTTTCTCTAATGTCGTAAATTCTTGATTTAAAAATAAACATCAAAATGAATTAAAGATGCAACAGAGTGAGATAGAAATCAGCATGATCTTTTCTATAAACATGGTAGTATTTTATCTTTCCAAATAAAGTAGAAGAAATAAATGCAGAGCCAAAAGCCAGATTCATTTTTTTATTCTCTTTAATTAAATTATTAAATTAATTTCCATCAACAATCAATTACTGTGTGTCCCCTTGATATACAAAGTGCTATGCTAGTATTTGGTTTGGGTAATTGAAAAATTCAGGTGTGACTTTAATCACAGAGATAGGCTTATGAGAGATTTATTATCAAGGGTTTATTCTACTGCCCCACCTTTAATCTACCTCAAATAATACTAAATTACATTCAGGTTGCTCTTTAGTTCCTAAACTTGAGAGACATATCCAGTTATTTCTACACCATAGCTATCTGGAATTCCCCTTTAGGGAGGAATGGACTTAAAGATTTTGTCCCTAAATTGAGCATTGATTTAAGGGGAAAGTGTGCTGTACACTTTTATTTCCTTTCATGGCAACAGTGATTGGCTGTGGTGAGTCCCGGTTGTAATCTCATTGCCTCATAGAGGTAAAACAAGGTCAATAAGCAGGTTTCTGTCTTTTTCAACTAGTAAATGAAATAAGAAAGGAGTACGATTTTTGTAAAATGATTTCCCAAAAGGCCTTTGTAAATACTGCACATTGTGATTGTTGCAATGACGTGAAATTTATCTTTTTGAGAAAGCTATACCCAGCTGTTTGTTTGATTTAATTGAGAATAATTAAAAATCACAATTTCTTACTTTCCTCTGTTAGCTTTAATATGAGGAAGAATAATAAAATCGTGCTTAATTTGAAGTGTGCTTTAAACTTTTAAAAGGGATTTTGATTGGCTCACTAAAAACAGTATTCCAGGAGATATAAGGAATGGTATCTACTCGCAGCAAGCATATCATTTTGTAGGACAGCAGAGATACATACCCAAATATGCCAAACACTGATGTGTTAAGCATGTAAAGAATAGTGCATATAAATTGCTATGCAAGTTAAGAGAAGTGACAGATCATGTCATTGTAGTAAGCATGAGCACTTCAGGAGCTGGCTGATTTTACTAGCATCTTGAAAGATAAAACTACTTGTAGTTGATAAAATGCAGTGAGCAAATGGATGGATTTAGAAAAACATAAGGATTTGAAAAAGGTAAATGTTTCAATAAAGCTCACGTATAGTGTTTACCAGAGAAATAGTGGGAGATAAGGCTGGGGGAAAAAAATGTTAAAGCCAGACCGTAAGTGTCTTGAATGTCCAATGCATAAATTTATTTAATCCTCTTGACAAAGTTAAACCATTGAAATTTTAGTGACACACATAGCTGATTTCAGAAAAATACTGCAATAAGACTACTTTGTGCAGGACCTAGGAAACCCTGGGCAGGACCCTAGTGACCTAGGAGATGAAATGAGATAATATAAGTTTTGTTCCAATAGGGACAGAAGCAATTTCTCCCTCCCTCTCTCTCTTTAATGTTCACATACTGCTTTATTTCAAGTTGATTTATTGTTCATTTGATACTCAGTTTATCGTATCATAATTGTTTCTGCACATTGGTCTCCAGAATAAACAGAATTTCTAGTGAACAGAGATTATGCCTCGCACTTCCATATCTTTAGACTAGAGGAATGCTATGCCCAGAGTATGTAGATATCCAATCAAGGAATAACTGTTGGGAAAGGAGAACAAAAAAATTGAAAAGTAGACATGCAGGTTTTGAGTGGCTCTGAAAATAGTGATGTTATTAACAGAGCAAGTGACAATAGAAGAGCCTGGCTTAAGATGGACAGAGGTTGAGCCTGGTTTTAAACACATTATGGTAGAAATATTGATGGAATATTTTTATCAGAAGTGGCCAGAAGGCAAGTGGGAATTATTAACAGTTGGATTATATTCTAGGTAAAAAAGGAATGAATTGATGCTCCAAGATTAAGCCAAAATAAGAAAAAATGGGGGGTCGATAAGAAGGTTAAGAAGTAATAATGGTAATCCCTGCCTACAATGGTTTCTGCAGATATTTGGAAAGTTGAGTCTTTCAATTCTGTAATAATCTGATGAATTTTCAAAGGATAACTTGATAACTAATAAGCCAGAAACAATTTTCTACATAATGAATAAAACAGTCTTGTGAAAAAAGACAGAACCATAGAAAGGATAGAATCACAGAAACCCAGAGATAATGAAACCAAGAACCATAAAAGTAAAGTTTTTGCCCCAAATTAGCTAAAATGGTACATTTTAAGCATAGATTCTGTTTGTTTCCCAGTCCTTTCACTCTTCAGCAGCTGCATTTTTAAACATTTACAGTTTTTTTTCTTTTGGTAGTTATATCCATATTTTACAATATCAGTTGCTAATAGAAAATGGATGCAAACCTGACTTACTATTCTTGCTTTATTTTATGTGTTAGTTGTTTTCATTCCTGTACGGTTTCCAGATTTTCTTTTTGACTTTGAAGTTTGAGAATTTTATGCTTGTTTTGGTATGGACCTTTCTTTAATAACTGGGGAATGCTTAGGATGTTGCCAGACATGCAAACACCTTCTCAACTGAAATGTTTGCCGTACACACACACATGCATGCATATGTATAAGTACATATATGTGTGTGTATTAATGTGCATATTGTATATACACAGCAAACACTGCAGTTGAGAAGGTGTTTGCATATTTACACAAACATGCATATACATATACATTTAAGTAGATTGTATTAATCTGGTAATCAATAAATGTTTACTAAACAATTAAAATCAGCTTAATGTGATGGGATAGAGCAATGAATAAACCAGAAAACATGCTTTCCTTTATTTATTTATTTATTTTTGAGACGGGGTCTTGCTCTATCGCCCAGGCTGGAGTACAGTGGCGCCATCTCAGCTCACTGCAAGCTCCGCCTCCTGGGTTCACGCCATTCTCCTGCCTCAGCCTCCTGAGTAACTGGGACTACAGGCACCCACCACCACGCCTGGCTAATTTTTTGTATTTTTAGTAGAGGCGGGGTTTCACCGTGTTAGCCAGGATGGTCTCCATCTCCTGACCTCATGATCCGCCAGCCTCGGCCTCCCAAAGTGCTGGGATTACAGGCGTGAGCCACCCCGCCTGGCGCTTTCCTTTATTAAGCTTAAAGTTTCAGGAGAATAAGAAAGGGCAGAAAAAAAAACCAAAATTTATTTGATAGAAAATATATTAAAATGTGTTCGATTCTGTGGAGCAATATAATTGAAAGTGTTAAGTGGAGAATACAGGATGAGGAACCTTGTTCACTAAAGAACTCGCTAAGAAATTGATAATGGCAGTGAAAGAGGGAGAGATACTCATGCAGTGAAGTTAAGTAAAAAGTTTGTGTATCCGAAGCATTTGTTTAGAACCCAGAAGATAGGAGAGTTGCTTTGCAGAAAATTTTGTAATAGATATAACCAGAGACTATAATTTGAAGGATATTGTCTTTTGCTAGGATATATTGTCTTTTGCTAGACAGGATCAAGGAGCAAATGGAGGGTTTGGAGCAGAGAAACAATGAGCTATGACTTTTTTTTTAATGTATTGTATTTTTAATGTTTTATTTTTTTTAATGTTTTTAAATGTTTTATGATTATTTTGAAAGCAGAAGATGCTGAAATGGCAAACATTTTTACAGGACTGTTCAGATTAACGTTGAGGATAGGCTGACTCAAGGTCTAAGATTGGTGGAAGCTGAGGGATTAGCTTGGAGGCAATTGCAATCCCCGAGGCAATTGACGCTGGTGGCTTGGACTGCAGTGTTAATGAAGGAGGTGAGGAGAGATTTTGGGCAGTGTTAATGAAGGAGGTGAGGAGAGATTTTGGGATTTGGGATAAAATAATGTTCGAGAAAAGAGAATTTGATGAGACTATCTGCATGGGGCAAGATAAACAGAAGAGTTAAAGAAGACATCAAGGTTTTTGGCCTGACAACTAGAAAGATAGATACAGTTACTGTTAACAGAAACTTCTTAAGTTCCATTAGCAAAAACCTTTTTTTCATTTAGTCTCTAACTAAATTTGTCCATATCTCCTATATTCTGATGGTCTCTGTTCATTTCTTGTTTATTATTTTGATCTTGTATTCTTTCACTATCATCTGGAGCAGAAATAATTGTATTAACTCATTTTACATTTTTGCTGGAAGGTCCACAAATTGTCTTCAAAATTTAATAAATTCATACATAGACAATAATCTGCCCCTAAAAAAAACAAATAAAAGACATCTCAAATGTATTTACTAGTTTTTCAAGTAAGTTGAATATTAAAATCAATGCTACCTGTACTACACTGAGAAAGATTAACATATGGCCGCAACAAGTGCATTTCTTTCATGTTAGTCATACTTGGATTCAAATCTTGTTTGCTCTCTAATAATTGCAGAACTCTGCAAAGTATAGTATAGTTTTACAGCATATGTTTTCTTATATGTAAAGTGGGAAATATAAAGCTATCTATGTCATAGATTGTTTGAAATTTAAATTAAAAATTACAAGGGTAATACTTGGCAAGGCTTGATATCTAGTAAGGGTTCCATAAGTTTTTAATGATGCCATTATTTAGCCATGATGAAGAACTAATGAATTCTAGGGTCAGAAGCTCTAACCTAAGATACTATTTCTCTTTCTTCTCCTTTCAACTAATAGAAGATAAAGCAATTATACTTTTTATTCTGTTTTACATCAATATCTAATGGGGCTCAAACATATAAAGATAGGGAATATTGGTTTGAATGGCTTCATCTCATAATTAATGCCTGGAACTTTTACACTGAAATTTTTGTGAAAGTTTCACCAGTCACCACACCAATCCTTGAGCATCTATCTGAAATGATGTCTGATGGAGTAAAAATATTCAGTGAACACCACTATGTGACAAATAACTGGTAACACTTAAATTAATATAAGAATTACTTATTAAGTCTTTGTGTCATGATGCATGTAGCTCTTTTTTAATGAAAGATTCATCTAAAGCTCTTCAAATATTTTCTCTACACATACAGAATAAACTAATAATTGCCACGTTTATACATTGTGTTTAGATGGTTTTGAGTATGTGATATGTTCCAGGTTGTGGCTCTTGACATTTACATACATTCAAAACATTTCACAATTAGTACAGCACAGACCTCAGCAAATAAGGAAAGAAAGGATTTGTATACAGCCCGAATCCACAAGATTGTGCAGAAACTGAATATCAGCACTCATAAAACTCTCACCTGATCTTCACACGGGGTAGATATAACCAGCATTTTCCTACTTTACTAATAGGAAAATATAGAGGGCAAGTAACTTACTCAACAGCAGAAAATCAGGAAGTATAAAATCTGAAGTTTGAACCCATGTCTATCCAACCATGAGTCTTAGATTGTTTTATTTTGGCCTTCAAACCACTGCCTCTGCAGGTGACTTGCCCTCAAAATTAATTAAAACTTGTTTACCCAATGTAGACTTAAGTCTTTACACTTGAAAAAATACTGCTTAACTGTTGTAAAGTGCAAATAAGAGGATGGGATCTATGGAAACTTCATCTACTAAATGTAAGATGCTGAATATGTTCTCAGCATGATGTGATTATGCTAATCATTTTAATAAGCCTCAGTGCATTCTAACACACACAAGGCAAATAAGAACTTTGTCTTGTTACCAAAGATATGTAATAACTTAGTTAATGAAGGATTAAAAATGAATCAATAAGAAATTATGACTCTCTAAATCATATTATTAAGAAACAAAATATTTCCCAGCATCAAGACAATTCATAAAAAAAATTGCACAAACGTAATGAGGATTTTGCCTTTCAGGAAAAGGTATAAATGGAGAAGGTGACATGATGCAGAATATACTCACTTAAGGCTATAAAATATAAATGCATGATAGAAAACTTTGAAGACACATCATTTCTGTCAAAAACATCAGCACTATACTTCAAAATTCCATCACAAAGAACCCAGCTTTTATTGCAAAGCCTGGAAACATATGCTGGAGATGTATGCAATTTCAATTTCTATATAAGCAGATGAAATTCAAGTTCACAAAGCCCATGTTTTTCATAGAGATAGGCCCTGGGAGCACTATTTCTTTTAGGTTATTCTCCTTGGACAGCGCTAACATTCTGGTAGGAGGTATTGTTTAACATGAAACATTTTACACTGCTGTTAGTGGTTTCTGGGGTACCAGTGGCCCCAGTTGGTGCGTAGGCTATATTCGTAGTTTAAATAGTTCTCTTGACTTCTGGTGATTTCTGTCAAACTGGAAATCCCAGCAGGAACAAAAATGACATTGACAGCCATGGGGTGGCCTGAATTGAATTTCACCTTCTAGAATTTTCACTCTTTCAATAAAGTGTATCATCGAGAGGGATGGGAGGACTGTCAGGTCACAGATACACCACAAATGAAAAATGACATTAGTTTTGCTTTTTATATAACAAGGTCTGATGTGGAGCTTAGTTAAAGTCATTCAGAGTCTTGGATAAAATTTGAGAAATAAAGCAAATTTATTGTTATGTTTCAAAAATCTATTTGCCACACAGTTGAATTTCAGGAGTAAGAGATGCTACACCAACATTTTCCAATAAATCTAATAACATCTTGTGATACAGAGCCTTGTCATCCATAGTGGAACCTATGAGCTGCCTGGCAGGCTCTCATATCTAAGAACTGTTCTCTTCACAGATAGAGTTATTGGGCAGCTCCACCAAGCAATTTTCTTGATATATTAATACCGATATATTAATATTCCTTAACAGATAATCTTGAGTGGTAGTGGTTAGGTGATTATGACCTAGGAAAGTCCCATCAGTCCCCTTTTCAGGGATTTAGAATTGAGAATAAAAATATTAAATCATTTTCTCTTGAGTGATTGGAACAGCAATATTAAAGCTTGGGAATAGTGGCTTGAATAAATTCCATCTTGAATTTGGGAAAGAAAGCAATGGAAACATTGATTTAGAAAGAGACAAAGATAAAACAGACATGCAGAAAGGAGCAGAGCGGGAGGTAAAATTTATTGGCTTCTATACCCAGCTTTAATCCATAGTTGAGCCCCATTTTTTTTTCTGAAAAATGTCTCCTTTGTCTCTGTGACAAGTTTTTTTTGTTTGTTTTTGTTGTTGTTGTTGTTGTTTTTTTTTTTCTGTTTTCCCTAAGCCAATGCAAGGTGTTGATGGAATCAAAAGAGTTCTCTCTAATATTATCTACTCATGGAAATAAAGTGTTTCTAGTCATGCCCTGCAGGCAGAAAGCATACATTAAGCAAATACCTTATGATAATGGAGAATTGGGATATAAAAAGCAACGTATTAAATTTTATGTCAGATAATCAGAGTAGCAGGTTAGAAAGATGTAGGTTTTAAATTCAAAAACATTATTCTGACTTGAATCCTTGAGTAAGTTTTTGAGACTTTCTTCATCTTTGCTTCTCATAGGTCCGATTTATGGTTTTGTAGTAACACAGAACCTCATATTCAGAAGGGGCTCATGCTTGGAGTTTAACATTTGCTTTTGTCTTGAAAATCTTAATAATTTTATCTTTCAATTTATATTATGTAAGTGAAGTTCAAGGGACAATGGAGCATGCACTGAGAGCTTGGAGCCTCAGCTTATATGACCCTGCTTCCTGCTGTCCCCAACCTCCGCAAGATGAGTTCTGGGTATGCCCACTTCCCACCTTCTGGCACCCTTGGCTCCCCTCAGACTTCCTCTCCCCACACGCTCTTTGCAACTGCAGCTTCTTACCACCCAGGGCTGCTAGTGGATTCCATCAATATTACCCCATCACTTTCTGCCCGTGGTGAGAGCCTAGATGCTGGTCAGATGCATGCCTCCTGGACCATCAAGATGGGGCCAGACAGCTATTCTTATGTTGGAATGAAGCATCACAGGACAGTATATTTGGCAGGTGTCTGTGGGAGTTTCTTACCCACTCCTGATCCAGGTACTGAGCATGTCGTGGTGCAGAGGTTGTGATTCTTGGGATTCGCCTGTCCACAGTGGCACCACAGCAGTGGGCCACTAAAAAGAGAGATTGGCTTCCCTGACATTTTATTATTTTTATCTGGGCTCCTGCAAATTATGCAGCTAGCCTAGGTATGGCGTAGAATAAGACTCTCATATTGATTCCACACTAGAATTTAGCCTTTTCAGGCTTGTCTGATGGGGAGAATGCTACAGTCTATAAGAGTTAATTTACATGTAGGTATTTTCATGAAAGGAAAACAAAAGTCATAATTGGAAAGAATAAAGAAATATTGAAGAGAAGAAAGCATGCTATCTGTCTCCTCTAGATCACCCTCCATAGCTTCCTAACTGGTTTTCCACCATTTGCATTGCAGGGTAGTGACCAGTTATCCTCAGCAGGGAACAGCCGCCTCTAATTTTGTCCATTGTGCTGTACAGTCATTTTTATTAAATAAAATGTTAAGAAACACCATGAAAATTCAAGAAATGGAGGATTTTATAACTAACTCATATTATGGGAAACTTAAGGTGAATTAAAAATGAATGCACACCATGTCAGCAAATATACTACATAGCAAGTGTTTGGTATGTAGGAGTTATTACATAAATTTTTTGATATAAAAATGGCAGATGAAAATCAATTGCAGCCAGGCGCAGTGGCTCATGCCTGTAATCCCAGCTACTTGGAAGGTTGAGGCAGGATAATTGCTTGAACTTGGGAGGCGGAGGTTGGAGTGAGCCGAGATCGCACCACTACACTCCAGCCTAGGGAACAGAACGAGACTCCGTCAAAAAAAAAAAAAAAGAAAAAAAAAGAAAAGAAAACCAATTGCATGGTGTTATACTTCTGTCCAGACCAGGTAAACATACAGAAGTCCTATCATACATAAGCTGGTTCTTGATTTTCTACAAGAACGGAAGGAATGAGTAACTTGATATAGTTACAAATCACAGATGTTCAAGAATTCATTTTAGTCAATAATTTCAAGCCCTTTCTATCAGTTCTTGCTAACATAAAAAGCAACATTGACTGATTTAATTTTTATATCTTCTAATTGTACCTTATCACCTGTGAGTAAAGGTGCTAACAGTGAAATAGCCAAAACAGGAAATAAATAAGATAATTATAGAGTTGACTTCTTATAAACTTGTAATCCACATATTACATAAAACCAACCAGGATCTATACACAGAAATAAAATTTTAAACATTGGGTACATGTAAAATTCTGGTCAGATTTTAAATAAGAGTCTTTGAATTTGGTGTTATTCAGTTGACTTAATACAACCGGATGAATCAAATGTTTTATAGTTGTTTACATTAAATAGGATTTACATGTGAATTAGAGTCTATATGAAGCATTAAAACTTTTCAAACGTCTAATTTTGCAAGTAGATTCCTATTGTAATTATACAGTCATCTCTCTTAACTCTGTAAACCTTGTTATTAATGGCACAACATATGAAATTGATTTAATAAGTTCAAAGTTAAGGATTTGAAATTCTAATGCAGACCTAACCATAGCCGAATTTTGTAGGGTTACACATGTTTACATGAATGCACAGATGATAGCTTGATGTAGCAAGAAGCCATTGTTGAGTCTGCTGAGTGCCTATCTTTTTATCCAGGAGAAAACCAAGGAGAAAAGACGTCAAGTTACTAGTTCAGAATTTTACAATAAATAATAGAGCCAGGTATAAATAACGAAGATTAACTGGTATCTAAACTGGGCAGCTGCTTCTAAAATCAAACTAACATTTGCTGTTGCTTAGAATCTAAAAAGTAAACTAATTTACATGTCTGTAATTTACCTCTTGAACTACTAAATTATATTACCACTTTCCATAAGTCATAGTGTATTTAAATTCAAAAGTTGAAGGAAACGGAGGACCTCATGTAATGAGAGCATGAAAAACTCAATTGTTTGCTTAAAGGCTGGCTAGATATTGAAACTAAACCACTTCCCCACAAAACTAATATTTTATTTCCCTTTGCATTTTGTAAATATGGAAATGCCATTCTGTTAAATTTTGAGCTGTGAATACAATAAACCATTCCAGTGGTCTTATTAGAACAGAACTATGAGAGAAGCCTAATAGGTATTGGAAACCCCATTTGATGTCATCATTGCAGAGCCAACATTCTGATTAATATTCATTGGTTTTGTCTGAAATTGAAAGAGTATGATGTTTATCAACATATAATGGTGTTTATTCATTACATTGATATTTATTATGAGTTTTCACAATTTGAAATAATAACCACAAAAACAACCCAAATGGATTTCTGATTGTGCATTGTTTATAGCATCTGTAGAAAATATGTTGGCATGGCACTCACAACTAACATGCTTTATTTAAAATTAAAGGGAAAATAGTGCTAATTATAAACATTGTCTATAATAGAGCTTTGTCATTTACATAATTACATTTTGTAAAGAAAGGAGGCAAGCTTGGTCTGACTTCATTTTTCCATTAGAAAGGATCTGACGGTCTTCTCCCATGGCACCAGCTGCACAGTTCTTTGCATGAGATCAGTGTGCTTCATATCAATAGCCTGTAGAGAGAGTTTACTTTCTAAGAGCTGCCTCTTGCAAATGTGCCAGGGGAGGATAATTTTGTACTCTCTAATAACATGCAGAGGGCTAGTCCGGTCCAGAAATTTTGCTTCACAAGCTATGCCTCTACCAGCATTGCCACTGGAAATCCCAGTCTCAAATAAAAATGTATTTTTTTTAACTAAACACTTACTAAGAAGCATTTTCCAAACTAAATAAGTATAAATAAGAAGGTGGGAATAATTAAATAAGTTTTTCTATGATTTTTAATCTAATTCTTTCCTCTCATTTTTACATGTAGAAAAAGTATTAAAAGATGAAAATTGATGTACAGTGATACAAAAATTAAAATGACCTAGCTAAACACATTCTATTTAAATTTTCAAGGTTGTCAGTGAGAAAAGCTAAAAGAAGCATTCCAAGTAATGAAAGGATATGTCTTTTTCTCAAATTAATGTAAATCAGCATATTGGAAATAGAATGAATTTTTCAAATGTTTAACAAAAAATTAATACAATAAAGAAAAATTCACCGAGTTTACTTTGGTAACAGAATATGTGTGTAAAGATCTTCTGGTGCTGTTTTGATACCTTAGACTGTGTCTCTTTTTGCAGGCAAATTGACCTGCATGCCTTAGATAATATTCATCTCCATATCTTCAGCAGCTAGAATGGCAGTGTACTGAAAAATATGCACTATTATAATTATGATAATTTTATAGCATATTTTATGAGGCAGACAAATTCTAGGCACCTCTCTGCTATTGAATTAACTGTGCAACCTTGGATAAGGTAATACATATTTTGGATCTTTTGTTTCCACATCTGTAAACTGAGGAGAGGGCTGGTAATTACCAACAAGTAAATTTGCCACAGTCTAACATAATAGCTAATGAAAATCTCTGATGACATTTTTTACTCAATAACTTTAGTGATGAATTATATATGAAATGCCAATGATAGAAAATAAAGGCAAAGGCAAATAAAGAACATAAAAGCACTTCATGATATATGATATAATTTGGACTTGTTCTATGTATCACTTGTTAAAAAATATGACAAGAATGCAAAAGCAAAATAACATCAGTAGCCTTTAAAGCTTAGAGTAGAAGAATTCTGCAATACCAAGCTATTTAGGAATATAATGTTAATCCTTTCTTCAGGGATTAAAAAACGAAACTAATAAGGTAAATATCTTACTACTCCTTGTTGAAAGTTTTAAATTACTTCATAATGTAACTTGCTCCAGCAGACATTTAATTATTATTAAATGCTAGCAGCACATATGTGCTGGTGATATTTTCCTACTGCTAAGAATCTTCATCTTTTAATATGCCTGAAAATATTTTTTGGAGCCAAAATTCCTCTTGGGAGTTATCCCTGTTTATAATCTTTATTGACTAGTCACAGGCTGAGAAACGAAGCTTGTATAAAGAATGACTGTTCTTATTTTAATATGTTTTCTTAAGACAAATCTTGAAGAGCAGAAGAAGATGAGACTTTCACTGAATTAAACTGAAATGTAAATACATCACTGTTTCATATCCTGAAAAATAAGGAAGACTAAGCTGCATTAGGATGATTGATAACAAAGGAAATACTGGAATGTAACATAAATCAAATAATTTGCATTATTCAGAGCTAAGAAATAAATAGCTCAGTATAACTATTATGCCCAGTACCAAATAAAATTTAAACCATTACTACAGAAACAGTTTATATCATCTTAATACTCGATTAAATGTAGTTCTATTTATTGAGCACACATATAAGCCAGGTCCTCTAAATGTCCAGGTTTCAAAGATGAGTAAATCGTGAACCAGAATTTACAGTCTAAGAGAAAAGTCATTGCTCATAAGTATCTAATTTCAATGTTACATGATAAAGAATGTATCTATGCTATTGCTCCTCAACAAAGTGCTGTATCTTCTACAAAATGACTTGTTTCTATCTACTTATAACAACTCATTGGGCTTTGTCATCTTCTTCCACACTCAAGGTTTCTGGATTTAGGGATTTGGGTGGAATCTAATTGAAGATGAGTAAAATATGTTACTTTAGCACATTGAATACTCACCCTAGTCATTAATTCAAGAATGGACCTTTATCCACACTCGGCCAATTGGTATCTCTATGATGACTCTACTGTCTGATGGCAGATGTATGCTTAATTACTGTAAGTGACCATGTTTCCAGCTGTGTAGGAAATGCTATACAGGATCATGTTATTATAATATTTTGTTTTACGGGCTGGAGTGGCAGCCCTTTGGGAGGCCAGCTGGGAGGATCTTTGAGCCAGGAGTTAGAGACCAGCTTAGGCAACATAGTGAGACTCTGTTTTTACAAAAAAATTTAAAAAATTAGCTACACATTGTGGCATGCATCCGTGGTCGCAGCCACTTGAGATGCTGAGGTGGGAGAATCACTTGAGCTCAGGAGGCAGAAGCTGCAGTGAACTGTGCTTACACCACCGCACTCCAAGCTCAGTGGCAGAGCAAGAACCTGTCTCAAACAAACAAACAAAAAAAAAAACAGAACCAAAAAAACAATATTTTGTTTTGTGCCTAGTTTTGCCCCTGCCTTTCCCATATTTTAAAATTTGAAATAATAACTATTTTTTTCTTAAGCCAAGCTGAGTTGCATTCTTAACATTTGCTACCAAGATGGTCATTCATACATTTATTTTTCTTCCTTGCATGAATTTCACATATAATTAAAACCTATGTTAAACACACAAGGAAGAAGTTTTCTAAAGGTACTACATAAGTCTGAGTCTTCATTTATACTAGAGAGAGAAGAAAAACTCTTAGATTATAGAAACAGAAAATTTATTCAAAATAAATACAGAATTTCTTCAGAGATGTTCATTCTTCTTAAAATATTTCACTAAGGAGAGTTAAATCAGGTAATAGGAATTCCTACATGTTTTAGTTGAACATTTATACCCATTAGTATGATTTTCTAGTAGATTAAGAAAGAATTCAGGCTGGGTGCAGTAGCTCACGCCTGTAATCCCAGGACTTGGGGAGGCCAAGGCGGGAGGATCACAAGGTCAGGAGTTCAAGACCAGCCTGGCCAACATAGTGAAACCCCGTCTCTACTAAAAATACAAAAATTAGCCAGGCATGGTGGTGCGTGCCTGTAGTCCCAGCTACTTGGGAGGCTGAGGCAGAAGAATTGCTTAAACCCAGGAGGTGGAAGCAGTGAGCCGAGATCACACCACTGCACCCCAGCTTGGGCAACAGAGTGAGAATTTGTCTCAAAAAAAAGGGGGGGAGAGAGAATTCATTTTAATGGGGGTTCCCTACAGCAAAGAGCTATCCTAGTGAGTTTTCCAAGATGAGGCATAATGACAACAGCCCCAGTTCTATTTGGAGAAAGAGTTCAGCATCCTCTGTGGTACAACATGATCATACAGACCACTACAGGAGACTGTAAGAAACAAACTCCTGGGATAGACTGACTGCAAGTTCTAGAGCTTAAAGAAGATCCAGAGAGGACACGGGGATTCCATTCCCTCAAAAAGATTTAGTCTTAATTCTAAACTCTGTATGAACAAAATGAACACTTAACAACCTAACCTAAATAACTCATAAAAAGTGCCAGATTTTACACCTGGCAAAAAAAATGAAAGATTGACAAAGCTATTTTTAATGTAAGCAACAGTTGTCTAAAGGAGTTCTATGGACCTTCACTCTGTGTGCTTGTTTTATAAAATCTAGAATTTGTTTTTTAAACCCATCTTAGCGTTTCAAAAGTTCTGTAATGGAAATTAATTTGGGAATTAAATTAAATGTGCTAAAACATTTTGGAGATGAGTTCTTTAACTTTTTCTGCCTGACAATTCTAATTTTATGAATACCTTGGGATCTAACTGATTTTGCCATACCTCTATGTTTGTATATTTTTTAGGGTTATAATGGACTAGGATTAACATAGTTTTACACTGACCTTTACTGAAAAAGTTACTTATGTTTATTTTAAATTAGATTATCATAATTGCAATTTCAAGACAAAAATGGCATACTCAACTTACCAAAATCAGTGTCCGCCTGCTACAGTTGTAAATTAATTGGGTGACCCCAGGCAATGGATGCTTTCTGAGCTCTAGAGTCCTCTATGTAAATAGGAAACAAATAGATTTTCTCTATCACAGACTATATGTGAATTAAATATGCCACATAATTATCCTGAAGTCTAGCACGTATTAAGCTTCCAAAATATTATTATTTTTGTGCTTATTATAATTTTTGTGTTAGTATTTTTAATCAGAATAATATATTCTCATTTTATTTTCTACTCTATACTCAATACATCAAACTTTCATATATTTAAATATAATTTTCAGGTTAAGAATATAAAAATATGATAAAGTAGGTTTAAGAATATCTGAGAAAAAATATGTGATAAATTTTATTAAGCTAGTATTAAATATTTGACAAGTCCCGTTAGTATTCAAACATATAGATAAAACAAAAACTAAAGGACACCTTTTGTTTGCACGTTCACAGCAAATAAGGAGATGTTGGAAATCACTTGGTTATCACTTGTTAAAAATAAATTTTGCACAATACTTGGTATGGTTATAAGTAGTGCTATTTAAAAAAAAGTTGTGGCTATTACCATATTGTAACATCATTTTAACACTAATGAAATCTAGTATAAAATAAATGTTTCAGCTCTCAATATAAATTAAAGAGGTTAAAGTTCTCAAACACTTTCAAACAGAATTGAAGTGAGAAACAAAATGGATTTAAGGTACCATTCGAAATTCTCATATTGTACTTTAGCAGAAGGTACATTTTATGTAAAGAAATAATATCTCATAGGTGGGAATTGAACAATGAGAACCCTTGGACACAGGGTGGGGAACACCACACACCGGGGCCTGTCGTCGGGTTGGGGGAGGGGGGAGGGATAGCATTAGGAGATATACCTGATGTAAATGATGAGTTAATGGGTGCAGCACACCAACATGGCACATTTATACATATGTAACAAACCTGCACATTGTGCACATGTACCCTAGAACTTAACATATAATAATTTAAAAAAAAAGAAATAATATCTAAATGTCCTCAATAGGTCCCTCTTTTAGGGAAAAACTGACTATTATATATTGATATAAAAGAGAAAAATTGGTCACACTGTTAACACTTGAGTCCTGTTTTGGTTTTAAAATTACTCTGGAATTTTGGAAATCATTTGAATTCAGAACATGTACATACAAGCAGAGCATATAAAGACGCTAACCATTCAGAACATTAGCCAACTGGAAGCAATGGTTAAGGCCACCAGTACATTCCAGCTGAATATCAGTCCTGCTCATAAGTGAAATATAAACATATTTCTCATGAAAACAATCACGGAAATATTCCTCTTAAATTTTAATTAGCCATGTTCTTAGTTTGCTAATACTTAAACTGTCTGATGTTAATATTTTGGAGGTTTTAATTAACAAGTACAATAGGTTGTGCTTAATGGCATAATGAGGTATAACGTGATTTTATGGTTCTATTTTAATACCCAAATATTAACTGACAGCCATATATTTATATAAAAATTAAATATCTGTTCCAGTCAAATAATACCACATTGATTTCATTAGCATTCATAAGGTTTCACAGCTGGAATGTAAATGGTACTTTTTCCCATTATAACACAAGTTTTTTAGTTGTTATAATTGGATATATTATTTTACCTTCCAATAATATAGATAAATAGGCTTATTTCTAAATAAACACATTTTCAAGAGCAGGTCAAGAGGAAATGATTTTATGTAAAATTGCAAAAAGAAATTAATACTTATTGGTAATTTAATATGGCCCGGGCACTTCACCTGGATTATCTCATTTAATCTTCTCAATTAAAATATATAGTACATATGATTATTATTATTCTTTTACAGAGAGATATATGTGAGTATAGAGAAGTGCCATAGTTAAACAAAGAGAGAGCCAGTATCTGAATCCCAGGAAATCTTTTTCCTAACCCTGTGCTTTTAACTTCTGTGTCTTTCTGCTTTCCAAATAAGTGTTCTTATATTTGGTTTTAATCTGAAATTGAGTGTTACTTCCATCTGATATCCTGTATTGTGCTGTATTTTATCATTGCCCAATAAATGCTGTAATAATTGTGTTTAAATACCAGTCTTGATACCTGATGATCACCCCATAAATAATGTTTTTTTCTCCTCTTATTTGTAACATTCTGCTCTACATTGTGATAATTTATGTATGTGTTTTATGTCCTTGGAAAATATTATAATCTCAATTTATGTGTTCATTCATTCACTCAACAAATGTTAATTGAGCATCTACTCTGTGCCTTGCACTGTTCTAGTTGCTGGGGACACAGCAGTGAAACAAAATGAGTCTGTCCCGAAGCAGCTGATACTCTAGTTGGGACAGCAAGACAATACAAAATTAGTATAGACTGTATAAGATGATGATAAGGGCTAGGGAGAAAAATGAAGCCGGTAGGGGGAATTAGATAGTCCGTTTTAGAGAGTGTTGTTTTATTTAGTTTAGTCCAGTCCTGGAGAGTCTGTTGATAAGGAACATTTCAGAGAGGAGTTTAAGTTAGGGATGGAGGCCTGCAGACCTCAGGGAAGGGAGAGTTCCAGCCAGGGGGAACAGCAAGCAGAAAGACAAAGAGAGTAAATATATTAGGTTGGTACAAAAGTAATTGCGGTTTTTGCCATTACTTTCAATGGTAAGCACCGCAATAACTTTTGCACCAACTTAGTAGCTTTATCCCTTGTACCTAATTGTGTGTTTCACATAAAGGTATTAGAACTATAAATAAAAGGGATGACAGGACATAAGTGTCCCTTTTCTGGTTCTAGCAGGTTTCTCCTAGCCTTTATCTTACAGGTTTCTATGATCAGAAGTCATCGTAATAGAAAATTCACCATTTTAGGCCTGGAAAATTTAGTCTGTTCTTCAGGCTCTGCGTTATACTAGTTCTGTGGCCTTAAGCAAGTTAATTTAACCTTTCTGAGCTTTTCTCTAAGGAAAGAGGGTGTGGACATCTGTTCCTGCCTTCAGACATTCATACAGATGGACTCCAGGCCATGCTTTTAAATTCGACTGCTTATTTCAATCACTGGGGGAGTGATTATTTTTTTTTTCTGTAAGCGTCCTAATTACTGTCACTTTCTAAAATGGGAACTAGGACACCTGAGCAGTTATTGCAAAGCTGGAGACTGAGCATCTTTTTTTCTATCATTGGGTAAGCATGTCCCTGAGTTTGTAAAAGAAGGTTGAGAAAGGTTTCTATGGGACCGTGTGGGATGCTGGAAACATTTAGCCAGACTGAACTGCATTCTAACCAATGTCTCACACATTAGAAGGGTAAGAAGATGGCTGAGACAATAGAAAAGAGAGCTATGGGAAGGAAGTGACTGGGATCACACCAACAATTGGTGTGTGTTTCCTGTGGGCCACTGTGAAATCTGCAGAACAGGGTGTTTTGCTTACCGCATAACATGAAATCGAAACAAATCTTTCTCACTCCCTATTTTCCTTTCTATGTGAAGGCAGATCTGCTATCACAATACTCCTTCTTTCTTTCTACCCTTTCATCATTCCAGCCCTGGGAAACAATTTTTACTTAATACGATAATGATTTTGGACTTTAAAGAAAAATGTCTTCTTGGAAATGTGCTGCCTACAGGAAGCACAGATTGTCTTATCCATGCTCTGTGTTTTGTAAGGGCAGGGCCTGCCCCCGAGGAGGCTACATTCATAGCAGAGAGATATGTAAAATAAAATTTAATTTTGTCTTTTACTTGGAATTGACATTTGAATCACTGAAATGAGATTTTTTTTTGACTTGAAGTGACCAGGGAAATCTCAGAGTGCTCAGATAAGTTATGAAAGCTGGTGCATTCAAGCCTGGTTTGGGGTGGGGAGTAGGGTGGGTACTATTTTTCCACCCTCCTTTCAAGTGGTGGAAAAATAGTACTCACCCTTCTCCTCACCCTAAACCAGGCTTGAATGCACAAGGGTAGCAGAGGGTGAAGTTGTTATCTGTTGCATCCTATCGATTTTTCTTTTTAAACACATTAGTTACAGTACATTTTACTATCATATTTCACATGATTAAATGTAAAGAGTAGAAAAGAAGAGAGCCAGAATCGATTTAAATAATGGAAAAATAAAATCAGTGTTAATGGTTCAGTAAAATGTGGACTAAATTGTCTACAGAGACTAAATTGAAATTTAGGGCCTGCATTCATTAGACAGATCATATAGGTATTTTCATTGAAGAGAATCAGAGTGACAGCCTCCATTTTTAGTCTTACAGACAAGTATGCCTTCACAGTTTAATACAAAGTATGCAAGAGGATAAAAGGGGTCACATGTACACCACACTCTGCATCTATACTCTTGGTGTCATTTGTTAAACAGATACCTTGAATTGCTTCACCTCAATATACATTAGGTTTTTTTAAGTGTAAAATGAGGATAATAATGTCATCTGCTATATATGGTAATTGAGAAAAAATAAGCTCTATAAGAAACTTTGGATGTAAAGTGTTTATTAATACAATTATACTCTTGCTGTGCCTATTAAATTATTGATTGAAAGACACACATTTATACTTCTTTCTACTTAAGCTTATGTTTTCTGTTTTCTACTTCCTTCTACTTAAGCTTATGCTTTGTGGTATAGAGTAAATGATCACTTAACCTCTCACTTCAAATCTTATGATAGTGTTTTTCTATCAGCATGTGTTTATAGTAAATCTGCGTGAAAAATAAAAGCCAATGAATAAAGAGTTTTAAAGATGACCTATCAATAAGCCAATATGTAGCAAACAAAATATAAGAATAGGTTATAACAATTATTGTCAGTCTTTAATTCATATGTAAGAGTAAAATGACATTTTAGAATAAAGTTGGGAAAATAGTTGCATGTGATTTGAATTTATGTTTAAAATCTGAAAAAATAAATTGGTGAAATGCTGTAGTTTAAAGACACTCTTATAATAAAAGCAGGTGCTTTTCTAGAAAGGTATATTGAAACAAGTATGTATATATGGTGTGTTTTAAGAATAAATTGTCTAAGGAAAATATTTGATAAAGATGTTTTCAAAGTTGTGATTTGAGATAGAATATAATTAAGATTAAAGCCTTGATAGTTTACAAGATAACAATGTGCCATACCTTATCAAAGGAATTATCAAAGGTTTCTAATATCTTGTGGGAAAAAGGGGAGTCCTATGAAAGAACCACCTAGACCATGAAAAGAAGTTAATTTTGTCCACTATAAATAATTCAGACAAATTTAGCAACCTAAGAGAAACAAAACAAATGTGTATCTTTCTGCTAAGTTAGTTATTGAGTACACGTAGAGCTTTACGGTGTAATAAGAGAAAAATAATAAATTTTCTTTGTTAGTAGAAAGTCAAGAAAATGGAGGGTAGAGAGCCTGAAGGTAGGGGATTTCTGCTGGATGAGTGATTAGTTTTTGTTATGATCAGTTCCTGCTCTGCTACAAAGTCAGAGGCAGAATATAATCTATATTTTTGGTTGCCTACTCAACATCCATTTTCCCTTGAGTCTTTCTTAATATCTTGGACAAGCACCCACTGTTCTTCCACTCATCTCTATGCCTTAGGGAAAGCTGACTCCATTCTCTGGCCCCAACCCTAATCCTTATTTTTCCTACATATATTATCTCAACTGTCAAGCCTTATGCTGTGTGTTGGCCCTGTCACTTAGCTGATAATGATGGACCGCAGGCATTCTGAATCTAGAGTCCATGCTCTTTACCACTATGCTATTACTGCCACTATCATAAGAGACCACCCACATATGTACCATATGGCAGTAGGAAAAACTTAGGAGACATTGGAAATATTCACATACCCCCAATTATTATAACATGAGCAAAAATAAAACAACTATTTTTAAATTTATTTTATTAGAAACTACAGCTCAGTGCTTAATAGATAGTAATATTATTTTTGTTATTATTTTGATTAAAGATATATCTATCAGAGGACATTAGCCATTTTTAAAATCCATTTTCAGAGCCAACTCTAAGAAAAACAGTAAAATAGGTGAAGTGGTGTCATCGCTTTTCTTTTTCCTTACTCTTGTTTCCAAAGTTCATGTCCTCAGCAGCTTACCCTCAATTAACTGGAGCCCACATGCTGCCTTTTACCAGTCAGACTTCTAGAGCTGAAATGCCTCCAAATGGTCATTTTCTAAACTTTCTCTCCACTAAAAGAAATTTTGTGTTTCCTTTATCAGAGTGTTATAACCAGCATAATGACAGGAATCACATAGCTCAGCTGTAGTCATTGGTTAACGTTCTGGCCCATTTATTTATTCATTTAATCAGAAAATATTTGTTTAATAATTGCCATATGCCATGGACAGTGAGACAGATATAGAACTTGTGCCATCCCTCAAGAAACTATTTTACTTATTGAGTATATGTAATCACATATGAAAGTAAATAATTCGCACTAACTAACCTTTGGTAAAGGTGTCCCTAAAAAAGTACAGGTAAAGTTCTGTGGAATGTCAAAGAAAGAGATTACTTTTTCTGTTAGTTCTTAGACATTTTAACAGGGGTCTTAATAAAATAGAAGGGCAGATCTTTAATTTTCAATCCTCATGATTGATTGCTTGGGTTTATTTACATTATTTCTTTTTGTTTTGCTTTTCATCACATTTAACAATGCCAGTTAGAAGGCCATCATCTTCATGCAAGACTTGAGGATGAAGGAACCTACTTAAGGCTTTTAAGAGGACAAGAGACAGCACTTTTCTGTCTCCTAACCACTGTCTCTGACAGTTGCCTACCAATGACACACTCCCCTGTGTGGTGATTATGGATGTCAGGCTGAGAATGGAAGCAGAAACTCAAGCCTTCTGCTAATCTAAACTACGCGTAAAAAACACATCTTATTATAAGATGTTGACTTTTCTTAAGTACTTTACTTATTGTCTTTTATAAATATACAGGACCTTAAAAACAACTCTTCCAGATTTAATTGTCTTTGAGACTTTCACCATTTCTGATCTTAATCAGTATCTTCAATAAAATAAATAAAGTTTATCTATACAACATCTTTGAAAGAAGGTTTTCAGCAATAGCAGTCTCATATAAAGGACTACATTCTGAGATGGTTGTGTATACATGTAGTTATTTTCAAAAAAATGATAGCTTACATCACATTTTTACTTTGTTGTCAATAAAATAAATATCTTAGTTTTATTTTTTATTGCTTACTTAATGCAGAAAAATGCTTGATCTGAAAAATCAACAGGAAGGTTGGCTGGAAAAAGCTTAAAATATTTTCTATGAAACGTATTTGTTCTCAAAAGTATATCAATTTTGACAGGTAGAAGGCAGCCCTCACATTTGGCTTGGAGGTGATTGTGAGTATAAAAAAAGAAAACCAGCCTGCTTTTTGTCTAATGGTCTTAATCAGCAGCTGGCTAAAACCTCTAAACTATATGTTTTCCAAGCAAAGATTACAGAGTAAAGAACCTTAATCCCCTAACCACATCCAGATTCTCATGAATTAATTCATTAGGTCATAAATAAATTACATCCTCAACCCTCAGCCTAAACTAATGTGCAGTCATTTATTTTCATCCCCTTTGGGTTTCTGAGTGTTGGTTCAGATTTCTTTAATTACTAATCAGCTACGTCAACAAGAAACACATTATATTATATTCAGAGGAAATAGAAATGAAGGGAACCTCTAAAGGCTAGACAGGTATTTTCTTTGTAAGATGTTCGTCTCTCTCTCTCTCTCTCTCTCTGTCTCTCGCTCTCTCACTCTCTTGATTTCTCTCTTGTTCTCTGTCACTCTCTTTGGACAGGGATCATCTTTGCTATCAGCAGTGGGAACACTTGAGACAGTACAACTATAACTTAAAATATCCATACAATCAACTCCCAAGGACATTTCAGAATTTTTAGCATAAAACTGTTAATCACCCAAAAGGGAGTAAATTCTAAAGGCACTGGGCCACACACTGCTGTCCCAGGGGAATAAAAATGAGATGTCTCATGGTTGGTTTTCTGTTTGATTCTACTAACCCAAATAATAATTAATTATTGATTATTTTATAGTCATGTTTACTGCTTCAATAGCAACTTATCCAGATGGCACTGCTGTGTTTGAAGAACAATAATAAACTTGCCACATAAGAGATACTTCTAGTTTAGTAAATCAAATTGTTCTACTCCTTTTAACAATACTAGGCTTGCCATTTCCATTATTTTACAGGATTTCTCTTATTCACCATATCTTCAGTGCCCAGCATTATTCCTGGAATACTCAATAAGATCTGTTTGCAGTGAAGGATTGTTTGGATGAATCATTGTAGGTAAATACACAAATTGATTACTATATATGTATATATATGCACACACACACAGACACGCACATACACAGAGAGAGAGAGAGAGAGAGAGAGGAGAGAGAGACTTTATTAAGCACCTAATATGTGTCAAAACCCAAGTTAGAAAATTGCATATTTATAGGTCTTGATCTACCCAAGAAACTATCAATTAGTGTTTTTACTGCTATTTTAAAGAATGGAGATATAGGATCTGAAATATGACTTGCTTAAGATGAAATAGCAAATAGGTAGCAGAATTAGGATTTAAACTTAAATTTTCTAAAATTTAAGAAATTCTAAAATAGTATGTTTGTTAAAATTTCAACAGATCAATTAATAAAAGTCAACTTCTAAACTATATTGAAGATATCATTGAATTTATTTTGTCTATCAATGGCGATTGATATCTTTTTTTTTTTTTTTTTTTTCAAGACAGAATCTTGCTCTGTTACCCAGGCTGGAGTGTAGTGGCTTGATCATGGCTTACTGGAGCCTTGAACCCCTGGGCTGTAGTAATGCTCCCACCTTAGCCTCCTGCATAGCTGGGACCATTGACTTTAAAGTTACTTTAAAGTTTTTTGTAGAGACAGGGTTTTGCTATGTTTTCCCAGGCTGGTTTCAAACTCCTGGGCTCAAACAATGCTCCTGCCTCGACCTCCCAAAGTGCTGGGATTACTGGCATAAGCCACTGCGTCTGGCCTTGACATCTCTTTAGTTAGATCATGATGTTAATACTATAGGATCGTTTCCATCATATTAACCAGATAAATAGAATTCCCTGTATTTTATTATTAAAAAGAAAACAAATTTATTAATGTATTAGCAGAAAGTAACCAGCCTCGCATAAAAAACCAAACCAAACCTTTGTTCTCTTAATTATAACCAATAATGAAATAATCCTATACTTCATATAAAGTCACCATTTCCTTTTAAATTTCCTTTTTTTGCATACATATGGGTAATTCAACAGTAAAGATTATAGACTCAAATTAGCTATCTCCAAATAAATTATTTTTATTTTGAGATTAACACATGAAATAGAAAAAGATATTCCCTAGAAATTTTCAGAAATATTCCACCAAAGAAAAGTTAAGAATTTTACCAATTGAACATCTCAGTTATGAGTAAATGGACAGAAATGTGTCAAACTCAAAAGAGTGCAGTGAATGCCACCTGTATATGATTTTTCCAATCAGGGCTACTCAAAAAGATTGGTCTAGAACTGTCTGTTATTGGTACCCAAGGAGATAGAAAACTTGAGCCAGACTGTAAATCAACTTTTGGCAGTAAACACACCTCACTAACTAGTTTCATTGACTTTTTTTGGAGGGGGGTGGGGAGCAGAAAGGGAATAATGTGACTTTCTTGATGAAGAAAGCATTGGTTGATTTATATTTCTGGCACAAGTTTCTTATCTCCTGGTGGACTAGTAACAAACTGTTCACAGACTTGCACCAACGTGGGAACCACACGTTTGAGTAGTGCTCAGTGGGTCTGAATTAATTACATACTGAAATAAAATCTTCACAGGGAATCATGTACACTATGTCCCCATGTTGTATTTGGCATATTTTTTTCTCTCTGTCTCTCCAACTGTTAAATGTAGAAAAGGGGGAACTGGCGCATAAGGCAATGTCTTAAAGTTCTCTTCATGTAAAAAGAGAGCAGTTTTACTAGAATACTGACAATACTGTAAGTGGTACATATGTTTATTGTTCCATTTTTAATGTTTAATGTCTCTGGGAGTGTATCATTCAGTTTATATTACTTTAATAAAGTGTTAAGGTGAAAAAAATTAAAAATAAAATCATACTAAAATTCGGAAATAAGTGTTCTAGATACTACTTTTAGTATCTAAAGATCATGTTTGGAGGAACAGATACTCAAATGACATGTATATCATTACCTGACATCACCATTCACCTATGTAGCAAATAGAATGACATACATATGGGCTTAGGGGAGAGGCTCTCAAATTTAATGTGCATAAGTATCACTAAGGGAGACTGTTCTTCACATTTCACTCCAGGGAGATGTGATGGATTCGTTCTGAAATAACAACACTGCTTACTCTGCAATTTTCAAAAAGCTTCCCAAGATACTATCATACAAGTAGTCAGAGGTGAACATTTTGCTGTGTATGTTTTAAAGGAACGTGCACTCGACTAGTAAAAAAGTAGTTTCTGCAATGGAACTTATACTTCCTTAAAGAAGCTGGTTTGACTAGAATCACAGAGTATAAAGAACTAGCAGTTTGTGTTCCCCAGGCCAAGTTAAACGCACACACACATAGCTCTCTAACTTAGTTCTGCTAGCAACCATTCTGCCAAATCTTGAATAATAAACTAGAAGCTGACATTGCAGAAACTCGATACGGGCACACATCAGTGGATACAAACGTCCAATGTCAATGTAAGCACTCTGAGTTCTCACAGCAAAACACTTCTCATTCTTTAAAGGGGTCTTTTCCAAACAATGCCTTAACCGAGCCCCTCCCCACAACCAACTGCAATTTCCATCTAGGATATGATCTTTTCTATTTCTTTCACAATCTGAAAGTGTCTTGTTCATATATTGTTTCCTTGTTTAATGTCTGTTTCTCCTCACTAGAAAGTTCTGTTCCTAAGGGTAGAGACCACATGGTTCTCATGCAGTGCTACAATCCTAGGGAATAAATCTGCACTGAGTTTCATACACATAATCTGTAGATATATATTATATGTGGAATGAATGAGTGAATGTTTTAAGGAATATTCTATGATGACGAGTCCAGATATTCCACTTAAATACATTTTCCAAAATATTAAAATATTATTTGTGTAAATGACTTGTGTTTTCAATTTCGATTTTTTTATCTTCTGCTATTTTTATCATCTGCTCAAATCAGAATATCAAAATACTTTCGAAAAACACCATCCACTAGGTTTCAGACATTTTATAACAATTTTACATATCAAAGTACTAAATAAACTTTTCTTAGCATAAAGTACCAAATACACTTTTCTTAGCTAATTAAGCCAGGTTTTTTACATTATTTTTGGCAATTTACCTTTTCTTTCCTCTTAAAATCCTTAAAATACTAAAGATGCGTTGTTGTCAAGCATATATTTGAGGAGTTGCTGGCTCAAGTGTTTTTTCTCTATATTCCATGACGTCACTCCTATTATGATTGTGATGGGTAAATTAAATATGTGTGTGTTTATATATATATATATATATGATTTTACATTGTGTTTTATACTCAGTTTTTCTGAATCACTTTTATAACAGGAAATTAGGAGTACTGGTTTATAACTGGACAGCAGCGTTTGGTTAGGGGAGGAAGACATTTGCATTCATCTATAGGTTAATGGGCTGACTATTGGTGAACGTGGGTGAGAGGGATTGTTTCTATTTTCTGTAAACAAAAAGAGCATGTATCTATTTTTAAAGATTTACTTTCATAAAAACAGACTGCATTATTTTCCTATACTTTTGATTATTTTAACAGTTATGTCTTATAATTGAAACCATCAAAACATGACCTCTGGCATTAATATTCTCATAAAATTACTTCTCTGTTTTAAAGAATCACACTTGTAAAAGTGAGTTAAGAGGTGGCCCCATAATTCAGCAAGAATTTTTGTTGTTATTTTGTAGGAAGACAATGTTGCTTTATGTTAAAGAATTTCTCTTTACACTAGGACATGACAGCAACTGACTAGCTAAAATACTGTGCTTTATATTACTGCAATTGAAAGAGAATTTGTGACAGTACCTTCTTTTTTCTTTCAGTGCTGGTACATAATTGGAAAGAAACAATTGTTCTTTAGTAGTTCTCTATATAATGTAATACATTTGTCATTTCTTATTAGCTCTTCAGATTTCTATTATTTACAATCCCTTTGAGACATAATAAAAAAGTTTTCACACAAAGCTCATTATTTCTAATTAATCCCATAACAAGACTTCAGGATAGCCATGCAATGAGACCCTTTCCTGAAACAATAGTGTTTTATTCTCCATTTCATTTTGTAAATTGTACTTTTGAGGTATTAGTACAATTTGCTTAATACACATTCTCTGTTGCTTTAAATGCAACCAGGCTAGCAAACACAATATATGACAAATTTTTCTCATCTGTAAGAGTATAACTTTTTCTTTTAAATTATAAATAATATAATCAAATTAGTTTGAAAATAAAGCCTTTCAGATATATAAGCAAAACACAAAAAACTTAATTCTAAAAATTAAATTTATATTGTATGACTACGGATTCCCCTGTAATTACACTGTATTATTACAATAAAAGAAAATATCCTCTTTGACACAAATTATAATTAGTTTAAAAGAAGCAGAGATTATTTGCAGCTCTATCCCCTATTTGTAATAATGTCATTGTTAATTTTTTTAAGAATCTTTTCCTCCTGGCTCTTTTTGAGATCTGCTAAATTTTAGAAATTTAAAGTCAAATAATTAGTAGAAGAGAATACTCAGGGAAAACTACTTCATGTAAAATGAGATAAGATTATAATTTAATATCTAGGACCCTGTTTAAAATAGAATTTACAAGGGAAACTGTCATTTAAATATTTTTAAAACATAGTCAAGATTATATATATCATACAGAATGAATCTGCATGAGTTTCATTTGATTTTTTTTTTTTGTTTTGAGACGGAGTTTTGCTCTTGTTGCTCAGGCTGGAGTGCAGTGTTGCAATCTTGGCTCACTGCAACCTCCACCTCCCAGGTTCAAGTGATTCTCCTGCCTCCACCTCCCGAGTAGCTGGGATTACAGGCGTGTGCCACCACACCCAGCTAATTTTTGTATTTTTAGTAGAGACACGGTTTTGCCATGTTGGCCAGGCTAGTCTCAAAACTCCTGACCACAGGCCATCTGCCTCCTTTGGCCTCTCAAAGTGCTGGGATTACAGGCATGAGCCACCATGCCTGGCTGATTTCTTTTTAAAGAAAACAAATTAGCTAACGTTTATATATGTAGTCTATAATAATCACATTAATAGCAATATTTATAGTGTGAGAAAAAAAGGCTGTCAGAAAATTCTGACTGCTTTGACTGAAATCTATTACCCAGTGTACAAAATTGCATCATGACCTAATTCACAACATGGTTGTGGAGATTAAATAAAAGGCACTTTATATTTCTAACTTTGTTTTTTCATTCTTTACAAGAAAGACCTTTTGGGTCTCCATTGGAAATTGGTAATTCATTTCCTCTTTTCCACTAAATCATAAAATACTTGCTGAGGTTCTACTAGGATGTAGTGGATGTCTCTTCTGTTTTCTAGAGACAACATTTTGATTCCTTCTAGCATTTCTTGGGACCCCTGGTCTTTGAAAACCCTATCAATCTCTCCTCTTTCCAGAAAAATTTTCCCCTTGACAATATCCTTCTTAAAGAATGCTCAGGAGATCTAGAGACAACATTGCAGTTCTTTAGCCTGTCACAGAGCATATGCAGCCGGCTTTGATACAGTTATTGCTGGGTTTAAGTTTTTGTTTAAAACATCGATTGAAAGGATAATGTGACCATGTATAGTTTTTCTTTGTGTAGATGTGTAATATGTAATGATCTTTCCCATCATTATTGTAGAAAGTGTTTTACTAACCATTGCTATCAAAAGCAGGAATGACGTATAATGACAAAGATGCTCTCCTTGACCCAAATTTAGTAAAACTCCTGTAAGACCTCTTCTCTCCCTTGGCCTTCAGTGTCCATCCCTGTTGGGTCTGCATCTTCCATTTTTAACAGAAATTCTGCTAAGATGGTTTAGAGAGAACCCCCACATACCCATACACCTTCATATCTAAACATGTTTGACATCTGGTCAAATACTTCATCCCTCAGGTGATATAGAAACACCATGGGTTGCCTTCAGTGAGAATCCTGTTAGGTCAGATTAGCAAGAATTCTCCCTTTTAAGACATCTTAAATGATTAAGATGTCTACTCTTAATCATTTTCCATCCACCAACCCCCATGCCCACCATCTCCTGGTCCTTGGCTATAAAAGCCTACTTGTTCTTGTCATATTTGGAAATAAGCCAAGTTCTATTCTGAGGTCTCTCTTTCCCATATTTCAATAGTTCCTGGAAAAAAAAATCTACTTTTATCACTTTAACTATTACCTGGCTCTGGTCTTCTTTAATGACAGGAAAAAAAAAAAAAAGCCTTGCTTAACCAAAATGAAAAAAAAGTACTTAGCTTCAGTTCTTTACTGACCCAGGTAAGAGAATATTACCTAATGGTCTCAAATATGGTATAATTTTAATTCTCAGGGTTATTTTTGATTGGATTTTGCCTATGTCAATTTCTGAAAATGTGTTTGTATATTTTCTGAGCCTTGCAAATCAACACAATGATAAAAAATGGAATATTACATCTGTCTTTTAAAAAGTCTGACCCTGTTGAGAAGTTTAAATAATAGTACAATCACAATGACAAAAGGTGTAATGGAGTTTGTTGACATCTAATATCCTTATAATATCCAGATAATTTGCTAACTGCCCTAATGTGCTCATGGTTATGCTATGCTAGACAGTTTTAGGACAAAAATTAAATGAACCCTTTCTTTGCACTGAGGAGTTTATGCATTAAAAATACCACTATTATATTGCTAATTAAAGAAAATAGTCAAAGTAGTCATTTATTTGTACTAACACAAACTAAATTCCCTCAAAGCTAAATTATGCCTTGGTATTTGATATTGCATAGCTCCCTGTATTTCTTCTTCTTAGCATTCATCACAGTTTGGAAAAATATATGAATGTATTTCATTATTTACTTACTCAACAGGCTTTGTTCTCTACCACATAAAGATGTAAACCTGCAAAGGGCAGAGGTGCTGTCATTCATTGTTGATTTTGTAGGCAAACCTCTAACACCTAGCACTGTATCTAGCACACAGTAGGCATTCAATCAATATTTGCTCAATAGATAAATGAATAAATCTACTGGATCTATGAAGATCTCTGTAAGAATAAAAACTTCCTTTAATTTGTTTAATAAGATTTAGAAGTCAAAGGAAATTGTGTTCTTTGACCTTGGAAGCATCATTGAAAAATCAGCTCACAAAGGCATATTGATAAGAGAAAAGGCATCTAGTTTTATCAATGTGCTTGGGGGAGAATCACAGAGTGATTGCCCAATATCCCAATGGGGTCCAAATAGCTATATAGCCTTATTACAGAGGAGAGGGTGGAAATGGGGAATATAGGTAATTCTGTTGATGGGCAATAAATGATTACTAGGCAGAATGAATAGATCATTAGAGAACAGAGATTAATGTGTAAATGGTTTTTTTGGGTAAGAAACTACATGAGTCTGAGAGACGGACTTTGTCCAGTGTTGGATATGTTTGGGTGTGGTTACATTTTTGGTCTTTTCTGCAGTGAATAATGAGTTATCAGGAATGAGAAGAAAAAACAATTGTTCTCCTTGGTGGCTCCATCTGATCTTTATGTAGGAAGGGGAAAAGTCTCTTCCATCTTTTGTTAACCTGTAAGGTTAAATATTTATTATACCAAGGAGCCACATTTTGGGGTAAAGTTCCCTATGCTCCTTCAAAGGTATGCACAGTAACTGACACTGGATTTGCAACACAGTTTAATTTAGAAAAAAAGAAAAGAAAAGAAAAAGAAGGAAAGGAAGATGAGTTAAGTAGAGAGAAAACAAAACTGAGGGAAAGAGATAGAAAGGTAAATAGGAAGAAATGAAATAATGAAATAATAAAACTGGAGAAAATCTTAAATGTATATGTTTTCATCAGGTTTTATGGGGAATTATATATAAATCATCTCCAAAATACATAATCTATATATTTCTATATAACAGAATATGAGGTACTAAAATTTAGCTCTAATTTGATAAAATGAAAATAATGAAAATTACAAAATTATATTTGTAACTGCCAAATATTTACTCTTACAAATAAACCTATAGCCAAGAAAAATGAGACTAAAAGCAATTGGGTGATATTCCTGGAAGCATTCATTTAGTAAATGGTGAGCTGGGGCTAACAGTCATGTTTCTTAGATAATATGTCTTTCTTTATAACCAACAATATTTATAAGTGGCCTGCTAAATTTTATATTTTATCTTCCATTTGGGAGGGCATAAAATATTATTTGTTAGAGGTAAAATATCTACAAATGAAAGTTTATCATTTTGTTAGTGGTGGCTGGTAATCGAGTTATTGGTGGCAAATACAGATGGGTCTGTAGCAACCTCAATTCTTGCTTATTCAGAAAAAAGAATTTGACTGAGGGGCATAAGGCAGGAGAAGAGACTGAGGCAAGTTTTAGAACAGGATTGAAAGTTTATTTCAAAGCTTTAGAGCAGAAATGAAAAGAAGGAAAGTACATTTGGAAGAGGCCCATGTGGTAACTTGAAGGACAAGTGCAGGGTCTTACCTTTTGACTTGGGGTTTTGTATGTTGCCATACTTCTGGTATCTTGCATGCCTTTTCCCTTGAGTCTTCTTATGGATGTGCTGCCCACATGCACAGTGGCCTGCAAGCGCTTGGGTGAGCATGCACAATGTATTTACTGGAGTTGTATGCATGCTCACCTGAGGTGTTCTTCCCTTTACCAGTGGTATGTACCCAGATGGTCATATACCAGTTAAACTTCACAATTTTGCCTCTTAGGGCACATATGTGAGCCCACCCACCCAACTCCTGGAAATTTAGTGGGAAGCTGCTAATCCCCAGTTTCAGGTGTTTCATCTATTGGGAGATTGACTTTCCCTGGGACTGGCTGCAACTTATTTTTATTTTAGAGAGACATTAACGACTGCCTGACCATCACCTGATGATCGTCTGACATTCCTGTTGTGGGGGGTTGGGAGGTGTGAGGGGAACCCTCTCCTGCTCTGCTTATGGCTGACTAGCTGTCTGCTATATCAATTTCTTATGTAAACTTGGAGCTTAACATTTCATAGTAATTAAATAATTATTTTACTAAATATTAATTGAGCATATATTATGTGTTATCAACGTATGTGATATCACCATATATCACTGAATTTAAGATTGTAATGACTATAGGAAATACTATTATTTAGTTTAATTCTAGTAGAGTAAATTTAAAATTAAATTTTAATGTATGCTTTATCAAGTATAATATGCATACCTATGATGGAACAACATTAAAAAATGTAATTTTGAATCAATAAAATACAGTATTATTGTCATTTATTTTTACAACAATGAAACCATTATATAAACATACTCCCACCTTACTATTATCACTTAAAGATAGAGTATGCATCTATCTCTGTGGACAGAGGGATGATTTTGAATAGAATGGGAGGCAGATTTACCCTGAGCAGTTTCCAGTGTAAAGGTCCCCAAAATATTTTCCTATCACATTTCTCCCCCTTTTCTTTGTAAAAATTTTGGAGAAAGCATTTTGGAAAAAAATAAGTCTCTGGTCTCAGGTTTCATCTGATCTCTCATGGCTAGGACAGGTATTCCTAGAAGGATACATCCTGAAAACTCATTTTTAGCAGGTTGTGGAGTCTCATGTCCTATGAAGAGAAAATGGGGGAGTAAGGGAGAAAAACAACAATAAACAAAAGAACAATCTTGGAAAAATCGATATAGGACACATTATTCTGAAGTCCATATATTAGTAGGCAGGTATGAAAGTGGCTTATATACGTAAATTGGTTGCTGTTATTTTCTTCTGAAGTTTAAGTTGTATGGCTGCAGTTCACAGGGCATTAGGGAAGCACAGCTTAATTTTAGTCCAAATTAGGAAAAAAAGGAAAAAAAAACCCATTATTTTGAAGGCTGGTAGCCAAGAAAAGTTGAAATTCAGTTCAAACTGTAGAAAACAATAAAAATTGAAAACTTCAGGCAAGATTAGAATCTAACAGCAGATGTATTACAGTTTTGAAACATATTTTTTCTGTCTCCAGTTTCTCATTATTACTAAAGACAAATAATGGTAGGACTGGTTTGGTTTATTATATGTGGTCTAAGTATTTGTATATGTGCAGCAAGAATAATTATTTTTACATAGGCTTTTAAATTGGCTTTGATGGAACTTGTTCCATAGGAGGAATCTCAGATAAGATTTGTTGAAACTGAGCCCAGCTATGAATTTGTGTCATTAAATACCTATGAGTTTGGTGAATTTCCTCTCCTCTTGAAGCTCCAAAATAAACCTGAGGAATCTGAGCCTGTCAAAAAAGTGCAATTCTTTACTTACCACAGGTCAGAAACCCTGTATATTGACTATGTACACAAAATATGAGGCCAATTTTTCCAAGGGCTTTATTGGCTCCATAAGTCAAGTTTGGTTCCTTAAAGGAAAGCACACCATTCCAGTCAAAGCCTTGGTAAAATAAGCAGTTTCTCCAATGTTGCCCTGTTACAAATAAAAACAAATTCCTATTGCACTTATGCAAATAACTGTATTGCCATAAGTTAAAAATATTCACAAATAGTTTCTAAATTCTGGAGAAATCAGGTAGAGAGAAACAAATATACTCCAAATTTTGTTCATAGGAGTATACTGAATTGTTAAAAATTGTCAATAGCTCAAGAGAAAAGCTTTTAGACTCTGAAAAAGCAAAGCAAAGGATCAGCAAACATTTTAAGCAAAAAATCAAAAAGATTAGTTCAGCTCATGCTGTTAATTCCTGTTCTGCTTGATACTCATGAGCATTTCAACTCTTCATGAGTCCTGAAAGTTTTCCTCTGTTCTTATGTCACAATCACCAAAGTTGTCAGAAGCTTGCATTCAAGAGCACCTGTTAGAGTTGTACCACCTTCTAAAGAGAATCAAAACAAAACAATTGTCCATGAATGACAAAAGTTTTAGGGCAGCCATAGTCAAAGACAAAACTGTCAAGGAAATTTGTTACCTCTATAGCACACAATAATTTTAACATAACAATTATAATTATTACTGATTATGTATACTAAGTTATATCAGAATAACAGGAATTTCCCATAATTTTGGAACACATACCAATAACATATTTACACAAACACAGCCCAAAGAAAACCCAACACCAGTTGATATTTGACAATGCTTCCTCTAAAATTTTTGTACCAAATAAGTCATTTCTTTTTATTTTAGGAAACTTAATATCTTAAAGGATTAATTATGTCAGAAAAAGACATAATTTATAATTTGATTTTGGAAAGTTTATCAAATATCAAAGGTTTTAAACACTTGATATTACAAAATAGGATCACAGGTCATTGTAAAATAAGTCATTCATTTAACCCAAATGATAACTCAAAGATTTCCAAAAAAGGCAAAAATCTTTATTCTTTGAGAGAGGAGACTTAATTTTCCAAATAATAAGTGCTAATAAAAACAACATGAAGCCAATTAAATTTGTTTTTCAAAATTTTATAAAGAATCTATAAAATGTTAATATTGACCATGCCTTTTATAACATTTATAACCTTTATTAAGGAATTAGTTAATACTTTAGGAAAACCTTGTTAATCTAACACAGAGGCCCATATGCTGGCCTTGCATCGGTTTGCCTTTGACATTAATGATTAATTTATAGGGAAATCAAACTTATTTTATCTTTCAAAATTGGCCCTTACCATGTTACACACCCGCCTCTTTCACTATAGTCCCTGTGCCTTGAGGAATTGAATAGCTTGAATTTCTTGCCCTGTGTCTCAGAAACAGTTATTTTGATTGGCATCTTCTGTGGGGCTTGAAGATGAGTCTTTAATTGATGTCAGTGTTTAAGATTTATCAGGACTTGTTCTCCTTTTTAGATGCAGTAGATAGAGCCCTGTAACTCAATGTCACAATGACTTTAAAGGCACAAACAGGAAGATGCATGGATATAATAACTTTATTTTTTAATAAAATTACCTGGATTTTTTTCCTAGCCAAACCAAAATCTATTCATAATATGACAACTTGATCATATTAAAGCTTTTGAGTTTTATTTTTAAATATAAATCCTCTCATTGTGACTTACACCAACCACTCATGACATGCTTCGACTTTCTGATTTGTCCTGAACATCCCTCCTTCTTAAACAACCAGTCATTTTATTTTAGGTCTAAATATTTTATGCAAGATTCTTTCCCTATAAAATTATTTCATTTTCAGCTTTCTCATTACTAAAAAAAACCTCTTTATTTTTGTAACATCCTTTATATCTCTTTATTTTCTGGTTCATTTTACCTGGTTTAGTACATAAGCTTTAAATAAGCTTTGAATTAGACAAAACATGTTCACTTTTTTTTTTAAGAACACACTTCTTTTCTGGCAAGAATTTTTCCTACAATATATTTATTGAAAAATACCCAAATAACAAAATATCTATTATTTAATTTAATATAACTTTATATTCTAAATTATGACCAGTTTGTCTACAAGTATTTGTCCCATTACATTTACCTAATTATTTTATTTTTATTGTTTACCTAGATTATTTATGAAAAGTGTGGCAGTCTTGATTTAAAATTATGAAACCACCATTGCGAAATTATAACTGAGAAAGTGAAAAATGATTTGACCTAAATGACTCTATCTTGCTCTTAATCTCTAAGCTGTCCTTATTCATTTCTGGGCATAGGCTGAACTAACTTTGGAAGTAACTTATTTTATAGTTTAGTTTGAAACAAAGACTATAACAGTCCTTTCCCAAAACAAACCTCCTTATTGCCTGTGGGCTAAACTGCCTAAGCCACAAGATTACAAGTTATGGTAATCTTACTAAATTTAAGATGAAGCTATTTTCTTTAAACCTATATCATTGTCTTATTTATTATAAATTACACAAGCAAAGATCATTCTGTATTGGGCTGGGTTTATAGTTTTGTAAACCCTGTGCCAAATTTTGACACCTTATAGTATTTGGCAGGGATAAGTATAAAATAGTTTGATTAATAAATGCAAACAAAAATGTATGCTGGCAATTCTTAAGACATTTCTAATATTACTTTACCAATAATTTTAAAGGTAGCTTATTTATTAAAGATTTGACTTAAGTTACATAAACTTGAAAAAGCATTGACTAGTCTTTTCTCTTTTAGTATCTGATTTAGGTGCTTTTATTTTTTGCCAATTACAGCTGTTTTATATATTTTTAATAGTGAAATATAGTGTACACAACATATAAATACATAGACGTATTAGGCATGCCAATAGGAGTACATTTTGTAGATTCATAAAAACCTTTTTTAAATTTTCTTATCTTCCACTTTCAGATTCTTGATAATCTGTTTTATAACCCTGGGCAGTTGTTAGCTAAATAGTCTTAAATTTGCATATTATAGGAAGAAACTCAGGTGGAAGTCAAATAGCAAAATTTACAGTATAAGCTGCAGAGAGAAAAAATTTTGATTATATAAATGATAAAGGCCTTTAAAATATAAACACACACACATGCACATACATACACACAAATATCCGATAGCTTTTACTTCAGAACTTTTAGCCATGAGATAAATACAAGTTTACCAGATTGCAAAAAGAACTTGTTGAATCTAAATAGTGGTTTTTATCTTAATAGAAAGATAGCAGCGGATTTAGAGCAGGCAGAACAGAAAAAAATAGAGCAAAAGAGGACTTAGGAACTCTATAGTTTGCAGGTTTAACTTAAGGCTCTTTTTCCTTAATGTAAATGTGCACAAAGACGATATAATTTATATTTTCCATAAATTTTGGCAAGTAGAGGTGCCATTAAACCTATGGAGTGCTCCAAAGGGGGTCATTCTCCTTGTCTTCTCCACATCTTAGATATTTGTTTCTGCTTTTTTTTTTTTTTCTTAAAAGGAGGAACTGAACTGTGGTCTAGGGTTTTTGTGTGGTGAATCGCTATGTGCTGTTTGTGGGCAGGACTCCACAGTATGTCACCATTGAGTCATTTCCACCCTTTTACTTGCCTCAGTTTTTCTCTCCAGAGGTCTATGACCTCAGAGAGGGCTCAAAACACTGGGTGATTGATCAGACCTTATATGTGTTTCCTGGACAAGCCATTCTTAAATTAATTTTTTGTTGTGGATTTCCCTGCAGGGCTACTGCATGTTGTGGGGTGTCAACCCAACACACACTCCCACGAGACCCCGGTCACCCAGGGGTGCCTTTTGGCTGATAGAAGCAAAATGACCTTTCTTTTGGGAGCTGAGAAAACCCAGCTTTTCATTAACATATAAAAGCAACATTTCAATTCCTTATTTAAATGCACACAAACAAACCAAATTAAGATTAAATTTGGGATTAAAAGCAATAGAGAAGATCCTTTAGACTGCACCTTTGAACTAGAACTAGGATCATTAAACAACAACTTCAGATGAGAACAAACAACAAAAAAACCCCAACAATATGATCACTGAGCACTCTAATGGTAAGAAGAAATTAAGACCACCTGGTTGTTAATCTTAACTGTAGGCAAGACAAACCCCAATTCAATTACTTACCTAGGGATGCATCTCAAGCTGACGACTGCTCTCTACCATCCTAGAGGCAAAAAACAAACAAACAAACAAACAAAAAACAAATCTCATTTTCCCTGTTGGAAGAGAGCTCAAACTCCGTAAAGGTGTTACCTACCTTCCATCATCATGGAAGCCAGACAAACTTGGCTTCATTGAGTTGGAAGCAAGTAAAACTCCAAAAAAAAAAAAAAAAAGAGGAGTTATGCAGCAAAAAAAGCTTTAAATCTGGACCAAATTTTGGGAGATCAGGGATTCTCTGGAGGGAGTGCTCCCAGACCTCAGCAATTTTTCCTATTGGTTTGAGTGATAAAGTTAGCTCATGTTGGTACCAAGCACCAATAGGAGATTTGTCAAAAGTCAGGAGCATCTCCGCTCAGAATCCCTCCGTGATTACCAAAATGTGAAACCAGAAAATCTGAGACAGGTCTCAGTTAATTTGGAAAGTTTATTTTGCCAAGGTTGAGGACATGCCTGTGACATAGTCTCAGGACATGTGCCCAAGATGGTCGGGGCACAGCTTGGTTTCACACATTTTATAGAGACATGAGACATCAATTAATATATGTAAATAGTACATTAGTTCCATCCAGAAAGGCGGGGACAACTCAAAGCAAGGCTCCCAATCCTGCTCCCCAAGGGGACTTCCAAGTAAGTGAAATACAAATGAATTGCATTTTTTGAGTTTCTGATATGTCTTTCCAAAAGAGGCAATCACAATATGCATCTATCTCTGTGAGCAGAGGAATGATTTTGAATAGAGTGGGAGGCAGATTTGTCTTAAGTAGGTCCCAGCTTGAAGGGGCCCAAGATATTTTCCTTTCACAATAGAAACTCCAAAATGAAAGAAAACCTAAGAGAATGAAGGCAGAAGAATCAACAAAACCCCACAGTTAAAAATGATAGAGTATAGAGTCAAAATTCTGTTGACTTAAAATTCAACAGGTCATTTTAAAATTAAAAGAGGCAGAATCTTGTAAGACACAATGCTTTTGATATCTGTAACATTACTACTAATACAAAACAGTAGGCTATAGTTTGGTAAACTTTTCACTGCTCTATTTCTTGGTGTGAGAGTTCTTCTCATAGAAAGAGCAAATAATGCTGAAATTAACTAATGAGTTTATTAAAGTTTGCATTTTATGTGTACTAGATAACATAGGATATTGTATGAAAGGCAGCAAACTACAAAAACTTTCTGTCCCTCGCTTTTTTCAGGTAATATAATTGGGATCAACATAGATCAGTTTTGTTTTCCTTTGTAATGACTGAATAATATACCATTTTATAAATGTCTCATAATCTATAGGAGTTTGACCATATAGGTTGTTTCAGGTTTTATGCTCTTTAAAACTTTTCAATGAATACTCTTGTGCGTGCATTATTCCACAAATTTACAAGCAATATATGCATGTATATATACAATTTTTGTTTCTATAAGTATATAAATATATATAATACATATTATATATTTAAATCATTATGTTTATCACAAATATGTAAATATATTACATAAATAGTATATAATAGAGTGATATATACACACGCATATATATATATATTACTAAAAATGGGTGAAAGACTATGTGTATTTTACATTTTAACTGTGTTGTCTTTTCCCAGAGATTGGCCGATTTGTCCTCCTATTATTCACATATTGAGAAATGTCTGTTTTTTCCTCTCCGTTTCTGGAACACCACTTTCTTCCTCAGCATATACATTTACTCCCAAACTAACTGCTATATATTCAAGCTTAAAACAACTTTTCTTGGATGCCCTATCAATTTAATCTTTCCTGGTGGATTGCAGAACATCAGGAAGTATTACAATTTCTTATTTATTTCCTGTGCTTATAAATGTGCAATGATTTTTCTATTTAATTTAATTCAAAACTCAAAACCATTACTATGGCCTCTGTCTAGTTCTCTAAAATCTTCTGTCAATCTCCCCACCAATCACTATAATAAAACCACATTCGTTTGCTATCAGTTTCTGTTATAGTCTCTCTTTTTTGTAATTTTTTTTACAACTCACTATTTTCTCATAAACTGATTTCTTTAACAGGAATACTTTGCTCCTCATTTCTCAACTTGTAGACTCCTTGCCATCCTTCACATAATTAGGTAAATATCTACCCACCCACTCCCCCTTTTGTTTTCAAATCGACTTGTACTGATTTTGTCTTAGTTTAGGTTTTCTTCCATAGTAGAAATTGAGTCAAGAACTTGGATTCATTAGTTGATTTTGGATATGATTCCAGAAAACAAAAGCAGAGAAACAGGCAAAGTAAGAGAAAAAGAGAAACACAATAAAATACACATTTTATTAATATACATTAACAATCATTCAACCAGAATTCAGTCTATTAGCAACTCTGAGAAACCGTGTGAGATAAATCTTGGATTCATTCCATTAAAGGGCTTGGAGGGTGGAGTATATATTCAATAACTTCCATCCTTCATTGTTGGAGGGAAATTCCATATTTAAGGATTTTATCTGAATGCAACTGTACAAAATAATATGGTGCTGGAAAATACTTCCAGACAGTAAATAAGAGAAACACAGGTCTTGAAAAGGAAAGGAGACAGTGCCAGAAACATACTTAATGTACAGGAATGTTTAAGTACAGCTATAGGTAAACACAGACAAGCATGTAAAATATTGGGTGGAGTATGAATAGGATCTGTTACAGTTTACTCCTTGAACTACGCTGAACTAACCACATGTGCTCCACAGAATGTTCATGAAAAAAAAAAAAACTCTTTAAAATACTTTAAAGGGGTTTAGTTTGAGTCAATATAAATTACCATAGCCCAGGGAAACACAGGCTCAAGGAGTGAGAAAGGGTGCCCAAGGTGGTTAGATCACAATTTGGTTTTATACATTTTAGAGAGGCAGGAGTTATAGGCAAAGGCATAAATCAATGCTTGGAAGATATACACTGGTTCAGCTGGAAAGGGCATGATATCAGGAAGCAGGGGCTGATAGGATATAGGTGAATTCAGAGATTCTTAATTTGCAATTGGTTAAAGGAGTAAGTCCCTATCTACAACTAGGAGTCAGCAGAGAGGAATGTTTAAGTTAAGTATGCAATCTCAGAGTCAGTCAAAACAACCTGTTTAGCAAAATTGATGCCCTGCAGGCATGATGTAATCTTTACTTTGGATAGCCTTAGGTCTTGTTTATAATTTTGCACCTTATTGCAACAAATCGTCTTTTGTCAGTTTTTGTTTTTGTTTTTGTTTTTGTTTTTATTTCTTTTTCTTTGAGACTGAGTCTCCCTCCATCGCCCAGGCTGGAGTGCAGTGGCACAATTTCGGCTCATGAAACCTCTGCCTCCTGGGTTCAAGAGATTCTCCTGCCTCAGTCTCCTGAGTATCTGGGATTACAGCTGTGTGCCACCACACTCAGCTAATTTTGTGTGTGTGTGTATTTTTTTTTTTTTTTTTTTTTTTTTTTTACTAGAGACAGGTTTCATCATTTTGGCCAGGTTGGTCTTGAACTTTTGACCTCAAGGGATCCACTCGCCTCGGCCTCCCAATGTAGTGGGATTACAGGCGTGAGCCACCATGCCCGGCCAATCAGAAACTTTTAAAACTACCTTTGAACTAATTTTTGCAATGTTCAATAGGTAAAAGTTATGATATTCTTATAAGACATCTCCCAGGAAAAAGTAGTACATTAAAAATATAATAGCAAATGGACTGATGCAAAGTTGCAATTAGGAGAGAGAACATAAGGCAAAGCTGTAATGAAATACACATTTCCAAACCTCCCATCCCCTTCTAACAGCATGCAATTTAGGGCAAACTTCTGATTCTTTAGAACCTCCTCCAAATCACCCACCAAAAACTTCAGTACTTTACCAGGTTCTTGCTAACACCCTCTTTTCAGGATACCATATTTCCCCATGTTGTGTGTTCTTTCTTGCTGCCAGAGGTGATACACACAATTTGTTTAACAAAAGGACTGTTCCCGGTAGTCTTTGCCTATTATAACATTGACATTTTAATAGTAGATCCATGTTCTGTGATTAAAAGCTTTCTCAATATTAAGTGAAAACCAGAGAAAATTTTAAGTTAATATTAATCAGTCTTGATGCTTATTATCATATATGTATTCTCTCATTTATTAACTCATGGAACTTTTTTTTTAATTGAGCCGTTACCATGTTCCAGGATTTTAAGGAAATTGTGTGTGTATGTGTGTGTGTGTGTGTGTGTGTGTGTGTGTGTGTATGTGTATGTATATATATTATATAAAAATATATATATATATATATATATATATGTTTTATGTGTCTCCACTACTAGAACATTAGCACAATGGCACAATAGTGACCACTTACTTTGCTAGTCATACCACAGGTGGTGTTGGATACCAGTAACTGCAACATCTCGCCAGTCTCAATCTCAAGAGTAGTTTCACATCCTCAGCAACTATTTTTCTGGATGATCTCTTCTAGTATCCTGACTTCTGTAAGTGTCTTCCTTTATCAGGATTTATAATCCATTGATGCCGCTAGTTTTTCAGTCAGTCAGTAGCTTCACTTCACTATCTCACTTCCGTCTTTGCACATCATAAATCTCATCTGTCATTTTCATCTGAAATTCCATTTCCCTATGTCCTTTCATTTTATTCATTTAGGAAAACAACCTCACAGTTACTATTATCTTACTCTCTTTGGCACTAGCTCAATGTGGCTGTAGAGAAAAAGCAAACAAACATGCAGACTGTTTCCAAGTAAATTAGTGACCAATAATTCTAAAGCTCTTAATGTTTCTGTTCATCCTACATTTTATTGTCCATCACTATCCCCCTCTCTTATAATATTTGTTTGTTTCTAAAATCTAAATCTCTTCTAAAATCTTCAACACTATTTCCCCTAACCTTACTCTCAGTAGATGTCTTGCTTCCTAATTCACTGATAAAATAGAAAAAAAAAAAAAAAAAAGCAGGACAACAAATTCCAAAAGCTACCACGACCATATCTAACACTTACTTGATCTCTGTCTGTGTACTTTGACTTCCCTTATTACTATGGATGGACTGTCTGGATTTTGTTCAAAGGTCAAACACTCTGCTAGTTCATTAGATGCCCTCCATTCTTGCAGTTAAAGACATTACTCCAGTAGTTTCCCTTTTCATCAACTTTTTCCTTTCACTAAATCAATCCTTTCAACATTTAAGAACTTTTTTAATTTATGCAACCTCAAGAACAAAACCAAACAAAACATTTCCTGACTCCACTTGCAGCTCTCCCTTCCTCTTCATTTCTCTACTGTAAAACTCTCAAAATATTCTTCTACAATGGTTGTCTCTATTTTTGCTCTCTTCCATTGTGTTATGAACACATACCAGGCAGAGTCTTCTCTCTGATTGCTTCAATGTATCTTACTTCATTGAGCTTATCATTACTTCTATATTGCTAGATCCAATGGAAATCACTTTGTAAAACACTTTTAAAAACCAGGGCATTCCAGACTTCAAATTTACTGGATTTTCTTGTCTTATTATCTGTTCATTCTGAGTATTTTTTGTGTGTGCATTTCACAAATTCAACTTTGGACGTTAGACTGTTCTATGACTTAGTCTTGGAAACTTTTTCTTATCATCACTCACTCCCATGTTCTACTCACGGCCTTATATTCTTTAAATACCCATAATTTCATATAATTTTATCTCTATGCAGGAAATTTCTTCTTTATGACATACAAAATTACTATTAGGACAATGTATTTTCCTGATTATCTAACAGTTATCTCAAACTTAGTAAGTTATAAATGAATTGCTAACATTACCTCAAAAAAAGTGCAGTCATGTAACTAGCAAAAGAGCTAATATAATAAAAAAGTTACTATCAATTATGGTGGTGGCACATGCCTGTAATCCCAGCTACTGGGGAGGCTGAGGCAGGAGAATAGCTTGAACCTGGGAGGCGGAGGTTGCAGTGAGCTGAGATCGCACCATTTCATTCCAGCTTGGGAGACTAAGTGAGACTCCGTCTCAAAAAAAAAAGAAGTTTCTAATTCAAAAGGTATGCCTTGAAGTAAAGTTTACAGGTTCTTCTCTTATCTGCATGTATGGTGTTAATATGAATATTTATATGTGTGTTGCATGTCAGGTATGTATGCAAGTACATTTTAATTTTTTATTGTGGCATACCTCACTTGTCCAATTAAAATTTATGCCTATTGAATCTGATCAATTTTGTACCCATGAACTACAGTAAAATTAATCCATTAGCAAATAAATCAGTTTAAATAATTCATATATGAAGCCTTCATCTGATTACTGATTTACTCTGTAATTCACTGGTTTGACCAAATTATATTTGGTTTTATTTAAAAGGCTAAAAATATATCCTCAAATTAATGACTTTTCTGAATATCTCACAATTGTGTTAACTCTTGGTTGTGAAGATATACACTAATTTTCATTTTTAAAGAAAAAACTTATTTCTATCAATATTCACTTGAAATAACTTTCACAATATTGTCTTCTACAGAGTGACTAATACTGTCTCTTGGGTGCAAGGATGTGCATCAAATTGTCTTCCCTTTACTTTCATCATATCTTCTCCTCTGGTTCTTAACAATTATATTACTTTAGCTCCTGTTAATTTTCTTTATCATATATACATGTGTGTGTATGTATGTATGTATATTTACATAGCATCTTATATATCTATATGTGTGTGTATTTAAATATATACATACATACACATAAATATATATAAGATGCTATGTAAATTATCTATGGCCTTAGAAAAATTAACGCCTATCTGTAACATATTAATTTTCAATAATAGATTTCAAGAAAAACTACCTGGGGTTTACACTCCTCTCTATGATATTAAGTAATTTATCTCAAATATACATATTTTCACTCACTGGGGGAAGAAGGTTTACAATAGAGTGAAGAATACAAATAAAAAATATAAATGTATAGGTTAGTTCATAGTTTTTGTGAAATATGCTGGTATCAGAATTATATTGCTTTCCATATGCCCTCTTTGTCTTCCCTCTTTCTCTGCATTAGCCACTACCTCTAGCCATGCAGTGGTTTCTAGCTTGCTGTCATGAACAATATCAAACAATTCGTGGAAAAAAATTACAGCAAGACAAAAACAAATTAATGTAGAATTGTCTTCTCTTCATATAAAGTCTATTTATTTCAGTATAAAATCTTCCATAAAAGAAAGATTCATAACCAACTGGAGAAAGAGAGGAAGAAAGGAAGGAAGGGAGGGAGGGAGGAAGTCAGGGAGGGAAAGGAAAGGAAAGAGATTTATAATCCATTGGATAGAGGGAGGGAGGGAGGGAAGGAAGGAGAGAGGCAGGGAGGGAGGCAGAGAAAAGGAAAGAGAAGACCTACCCTTGCTTAGTAACTTGAGAAAATCCACAAACCTAATATTCCTTTAGGTAAAAAAAAATTATCATTATTAACAGTTTAATGACAAATGCTATCTGAAAAGTAGCAGAGAAATCAGCATTTGGTACTTGTCTCATTAGCAGAATATCAGTGAATATAAAGTCAAAACATTTTGTTATCCCTAGAAAATGTCTTTAGATTCTCATATTTTGTAGCTTTTGTAACACTGTCAACACTAGAAGAGTTTGTTGATATTTAATCTTTACTTAGGACTCTGTTATTCTGATGTGGCTAAATAATGTATAGGTAACAAATACATTTACAAACTATATAGTCATAAAAGGTAAATCAAAACTTGTCTTTAAAAAGTTATTTAAAAAGCTAAATATTTATTTTATGTAATTTCATTTTGTATACATACTATAAGAGGAATACAGTCATTTGTTGCTTAATGACAGGGATAAGGTCTGAGAAATGCATTGTTAGGTGATGTCATTGTCATGTGAACATCATAGAGTACTTAGACAAACTGAGATAGTGTAGCCTGCTACTTACACACCTAGACTATATGGTATTGTCTATTGCTCCTATCTTATAAACCTGTACAGCATGTTCCTGTACTGAATACTGTAGCCAATTATAACACAGTAGTAAATATTTAAATATTTGTGTATCTAAACATAGAGAAGATACAGTAGAATTATGTGTTATAAACTTATGGGACCACAGTGGTATATGTGATTCATTAGTGACCAAAATGTTACGTGACACACTACTATATATAGTAAAAAAAAAAAAATTGTTGCTAATATTTTAAATTTTAAAATTCTTTGTTTAAAATGAAGATTTATTTCAGATTAAAAAGCTAATCAGTCTTCTGGTCATTATTTAGTGAGTACTTTTATGCACAGATTAATATTTTGTAACATTAATTTTAATTATTATATCTCATTTAGTTTATTTCCCCTCACTCTAACTTTTTATTTTTTCATCATTTTAAAATGATGATTTTAAAATCATTTTAAAATGATGATTTTAAAATCATTTTAAAATGATGATTTTAAAATCATTTTAAAATGATGATTTTAAAATCATTTTAAAATGATTTTAAAGATGAAATTTCTAAAACTTATTAATATTTGTATAGGAAAAACTTCCTTATTAAGATTATTGTGCTTTCTAAATTTTCAGTCATTCTCACTATCTAACACATATTGGGAATTCATTTATGTAGTTTAAAATTTTTGGTCTGAGAATATTTGTTTTGCATTAATATTTGCAAAGTTATCTTTGGTATGTTTGTCCATTTTATTGCCCCCAAATATGGTTTTAAGTCAGTTTATTATTTTTGCATACAGGTATTATATTTCTTATAAAATATTTCTGCATTTTATTTTTTGTTGTTGTAGGTTTTGATGTAAGTTAGCTCACTTGCCTCTATCATATTTTCTAAATGGTAATTGTATGAAGGACAATTACTAATTTTAATTTTTAATTCTTCTGTGTGTATATATTTATGGGGTACATGAGATATTTTTATATAGGCATATAGTGTATAATAATCACATCAGGGTAATATGTTATGCATCACCTCAAGCATTTATCATTTCTCTGTTATGAACTTTCCAATACAGTCGGTTATTTTTAAATGTACCATAAATTATTGTTCACTGTAGTCATCCTGTTGTGCTATCAAATACTAGATCTTATTTATCTAACTGTATTTCTGCACCCATTAACCATCCCCACCTCCTCACCACCACTACTCATCCTAGCCTCTCCTAACCATTAATATACTCCCTATCTCCATGAGTTTAATTGTTTTAATTGTTAGCTTCCACAAATGCATGACAGTATATGAAGTTTGACTTTATGTGCCCGGTTTATTTTACTTAACATAATGTTCTCCAGTTCTATTCATAATGTTGCAAATAACAGGATCTTTTTCTTTTTATGTCTGAGTAGTACTCCATTTTGTATATGTACCACATTTTATTTTTCCATTCACCTGTTAGTGGACACTTACTTTGATTCCAAATCTTGGCTACTGTGAATAATGCTACAATGAACGTGAGAGTGCAGATACTTCTTTGGTAAATTAATTTCCTTTCCTTTGGGTATATACCTAGAGGTGGGATTGCTGAATCATATGGTAGTTCTCTTTTCAGTTTTTTGAGGGACCTCTAAACTGTCCTCCATAGTGGTTGTACTAATTTGAATTCCCACCAACCGTGTAAAAAGGTTCCCTTTTTTACACATCCTTGCCAACATTTGTTATTACCTGTCTTTTGGATAAAGCCATTTTGACTGACTTAAGATGACATATCATTGTATTTTTGACTTGGATTTCCCTTATGAACAATGATGTAGAGCACATTTTTATATGCCTGGATGCCATTTGTATGTTTTCTGTGAGAAATATCTATTCGGATCTTCAGATCTTTTGCTTTTGCCCCTTTTTTTTTTTTTTTTTTTTTTTTTTTTTTTTTTTTTGCCGAGCTAGCTGAGGTTTTATTTTGGACAGAAAAAAATAAAAGAAGAAGCAATTGAATTGTTTTGTAGCTGGAGGCCTGGGCAAGGGGGGTCCCCAGGCAGTAATGCCCCGCAGGTGGGCTGAGGGCTAGGGTTGAGCCTCAGGTGGGACTCCTGTTCCCTGTGCTGTCTTGCACAGCGGCCTCCCTCCCGGGCTCTGGGGAAGCTGCAGGAGGGGCAGGCTGGGAGGAACTGCCACAGCTGTTGACTTGGGCAGGACGTCAGGGGACTCGGACACCAGCTTCCCGTCGCGGATCTAGATCTTCACAACCACAGCCCTGGTGGAGCTGGTGCGGCTGAAAGAGCTGGAGCCCATGCTAGAGCCAAAGCTGGAGCCTAGGCCGTACGTAGTTTAATTGGGTTGTTTGATTTATTCCTATAGAGTTATTGGAACTCCTTATATATTCTGGTTATTAATCCCTTGTCAGATCGGTAGTTTACAAATATTTTCACCCATTCTGCGGGTTGTCTCTTCCCCAGAGAATATTTTTCTGTAGATTGTTTCTTTTGCTGTAGAGCAGGAACTTTTAACTTCAAGTAATCCCTTTTGTCCATTTTTGCTTTGGCTGCCTATCCTTTTGGGGTATTACTCAAGAAATCTCTGCCTAGAACGATGTCCTGGAGAGTTTTCCCAATATTTTATTTTAGTAGTTTTATAACTTGAGGTCTTAGATGTAAGTCTTTAATTCATTTTTATTTGATTTTTGGTGAGAGATAGGGATCAAGTTTCATTCTTCTGCATATGGATATCCAGTTTTCCCGGCACCATTTATTGAAGAGACTCTTTTTTCCCCAATGCATGTTCCTTTGCCAAAGATGAATTCACTGTATATATATGGACTTGTTTCTGGGTTCTCCATTCTGTTCCATTGGTCTATTTGTTTTTATGCCAGCACCATGCTGTTTTGGTTACTATAACTCTGTAGTATAATCTGAAGCCAGGTAATGTGATTCCTCCAGTTTCATTCTTTTTGCTGAGGAGGCTTTTGCTAGTCTGGCTCTTCTGTGGTTCCATATAAATTTTAGGATTTGTTTTTCTATTTCTATGAAGAATGTCATTGGTATTTTGATAGAGATTAGAGTGAATATGTAGATTGTTTTGGGTAGCATAGACATTTTAACAATATTGATTCTTCCATTCCATGAATATAGAATATCATTTCATTTTTTGGTGTCTTCCATTTATTTCATCAATGCTTTATACTTTTTATTGAAGAGATCTTCTACTTTCTTAGTTAAGTTTATTCCTAAGTAGTGTATTTTATTTGTAGCTATTGTGAATGAAATTACTTTCTTGATTTCTTTTTCAGATTGTGTGCTATTGGCATACAGAAATGCTACTAATTCTTGTATGTTGATTTTGTATACTGCAACTTTACTGAGTTTATTAGTTCTAATAGTTTTTGGTGGAGTCTTTAGGTTTTTCCCAATATGAGATTTTATCTTCTGTAAACTAGGATAATTTGAGTTATTCCTTTCTTATGTGGATGCTCCTTACTTCTTTCTCTTGTTTGATTGCTCTAGCTAGGACTTCAAGTACTATGTTGAATAACAATGTTGAAAGTAGGCATCCTTGTTTTGTTCCACATCTTAGGAACATGCTTTCAGTTTTTTTCCATTCAGTATGATACTAGCTGTGAGTCTGTCATAGTGGCTTTTATTGTGTTGAGCTATGCTTCTTCTATACATGGTTGTTTCAGGGTTATTTTTTATCAAAGAACAATGTTAAATGTTATTAAATGATAGCATATTGTTTAATTTCCATATGCTTGTATAGTGTGCAAAATTTATCTTATTATTGGTTTCTAGTTTAATTCCATTTTCATCAGAGAAGATACTTGATATAATTTTATTTTTAAAATATTATTTCTAAGAATTACTTTGTGGTCTAACATATGGCCTATTCTAAGAATAATCCATGTGCCGAGGAGAAGAACGTGTATTCTGCAGCTATTGGGTAAAATGTTTGGTAAACATCTATTAAGTGCATTTAATCTATAGTACAGCATAAGCCCAATGTTTCTTTCTTGATTTTCTGTCTCAACGATCCACCCAATGCTGAATGTAGGATGTTGAAGTCTCTAGCTATTATTGAATTGGGGTCCGTCTCTCTCTTTCATTCTAATAATATTTGCTTTATATACATGAGTGTTCCAGTTTTGGGCGCATATATGTTTACAATTATTATATCCTCTTGCTGACTTGGCCCCTTTATCATTCTATAAAAATCTTCTTTGTCTCTTTTTATAGTTTTTGTCTTTAAATCTATTTTGTCTAATATAAGTATGGCTACTCTTGCTTTCTTTTAGTTTCCATGGGCAAGGATTGTCTTTTTCCATTCTTTTATTTTTAGTCTGTGCGTCTTTATTGATAAAGTGTGTTTTGGAAGGCAACAGGTCAATGGGACTTGTTTTTCACCTTTCAGCCACTCCGTCTTTTGATTAGAGAGTTTAGCCCATTTCCATCCAATGTTAGTGGTAAGTACAAAATTACTACTGTTATTTTGCTATTTGTTTTGTGGTTGTTTGTTCTAATTCCTTGCTTTTTTGTTTTTTTGCATCTCTTGTAGGTTTTTTGATTTGAGGTTACCGTAAGTCTTGCAAATAACATCTTAAAACTCATTATTTTAAACTGATGACAACTTGACTCTGATTGCACAAAGAAACAAGCAAAAATAAAGAACTTTACACTTTAAATTCTACACTTTTATATTTTTTATTTCTACTTATATCTTACTATACTGTCTATGTCTTGAAAAGTTATTATTTTTGAGAAATTCGTCTTAGCATTTCTACTCAAGATATGAGTAATTTACCCACCGCAATTAAAGTGTTATAATATTCTGTATTTGTGCCCTTATTATTACCAGTGAGTTTTGTACCTTCAGATGACTTCTTGCTTCTTATTAGCATTCTTTTCTTTCAGATTGAATAACTCTCATTAGCATTTCTTGTAGGACATATCTGATGTTGGCAAAACCCCTCAGCTTTTGTTTGTCTGAAAAAGTCTTTATTTATCCTTCATGTGTGAAGAATATTTACACTGTATATAATATTCTAGCATAAAATCTTTTTCTTTCATCATTTTAAATATGTCATGCCACTCTCCTGGCCAGTAAAGTGTTCACTCAGAAGTCAGCTAACATACTTATTAAAGCTTTGTCTATGTTGGTTTTTTTCTTTTGCTGCTTTTAGGATCCTTTCTTTATCCTTGACCCTTCAGAGTTTGATTATTAAATCCTTGATGTGGTCTTACTAAGTTTAAAGCTGCTTGGTGTTCTGTAACTTCCTTGTATTTGAATATTGATACCTTTCTCCAGGTTTAGAAAGCTCTCTGTTATTAACTTGTTGAATAGATTTTCTATCCTGATCTCCCTCTACTTACTCTTTTAAGCCAATAACTCTTAGACTTGCTGTTTGGAAGGTATTTTCTAGATCTTGTAGGCATGCCTTATTCTGTTTTCTTTTGTCTTCTCTGCCCATTTATTCTCAAAATAGTCTGTCTTCAGGCTCAGTAATTCTTTCTTTCAGTTGATCTATTCTACTGTTGAGTGACTCTGATGCATTCTTCAGTTTGTCAATTGCACTTTTTTGGCTCCAGAATTTCTGCTTGATTGTTCAAAATTACTTTAATATTCTTATTAAATTTATCTGATAGAATTCTCAATTCCTTTTTGGTTTTATCTTGTATTTCACTAGGCTTCCTCAAAAAAGATAAACTGAATTATCTATCTGAAAGGTCGCATATCTCTGTCACTCTAGGATTGGTCACTGGTGCTTTATTTGGTTCGTTTGGTGAGGTCATGCTTTCATGGATGGTATTGATGCTTGTGGATGTTCATCAATGTCCAGGTATTGAAGAGCTAGATATTTATTCTAATCTTTGCGGTCTGGTCTTATTTGTTCCTGTCCTTCTTGAGAAAGCTTTCCAAGTATTCAAAGGGAATTGAGTGTTATGATCTGTCTTTGGTCACTGCAGCTGTATCTGCATTAGATGGCACCCCAAGACAAATAATGGCATGACTCTTGCAGACACAGAGAAGTATTGCCTTGGTAATCCTCAGTAAGATCCAGGAGAATTTCCTGGATTAACAGGTGGATTCTGATGTTCTCTTCCTACTTTCACACAGTCTCTCTCTCCATGCTGATGATGCCTGGAGTTGGGGGAGGAGTGACACAAACACTCCTATGGTCGCCAACACTGGGAATGTGCTAGTTTACACCTAAATCTGGCACAGTACTGTGTCTTGACCAAGTCTTTTAGAAATTATTTCCTGACCCATCTGCTGTTTATTCAAGTCTCAAGGGCTCTTCAGTAGGCAAATGATGAATCCTGCCTGGCCTCTGTCTTTCTCTTCAGGGCAGCAGGTTCCCTTCTGGCCTAGAGTAGGCCTAGAAATGCCATTCAGGAGCCAGGACCTGGAACTGGGGACTTTAGGAGGCTGCTTGTTGCTTTATTTTACTGCAGCTGAGCTGGTGCTAAAGTTGCAAGGCAACTTTTTACTTTTCCCTTTCCTTTCCTCATGCAGAAGTCTCTCCCCATGGCTACCACCATCTCAGGGCCATGAGGACTACTGCCTGGACACTGTTGACTTTTCTTCAAAGCCAAGGGCTCTTTAGTCAGCAGATGATGAATGCTGCCAGGACCAGCTCTTTCCCTTCAGGGCATCAAGTTCTCCTCTGGCCTAAAGTGGGTATAAAAATGTCATGCAAGAGCTAGTGCCTGGAATGGGGGATTCAGGACTCTGCTGGGTGCTTTATTTTATTGTGTCTGAGCTAGTATCCAAATTGTAAGACAAAGTCCTCTTTACTCTCCTTCCTCCTTTCCTCAAGCAGAAGGATTCTCTCCTGGTGCCCTCAGCTGCACTGTCTGGAATTAGAAGAGGGGTGACAAGCATTCATTTGGCTACCCTAGCTGCTGTTTCACTGGGTTACAGGTACCCAAGTTCACTGGCTCCAAGCCCAGCACAGCACCAGCACTAGTCCTGGAATTGCAGTCCTGTGGTCCAGACAGCTTCTTAAGTTTATTTAGGACTCCAGAGTACTTTAGCCCATGGTGGTAGGGCTAGTCATAACTCAGACTCTCACTACTGATATGGACAATTCTCCTCTGGCTAGGACTGGTCTAAATGCTTCTTCCATTGGTCACCAGCTGAATTGTACCCTGTGTTGCTTCTGACTGTGACAGGGCAGCACTGAGTTCTAAAATGCAAAATTTTCACAATCATTGCACTTTCCCTCCCCCAAACACACAGAAAATGTTCCACACCACATGACACTGCTGGGGGATGGGGCAGGGGTGCTGCAGGCATTCAAGACTCTTTCCTACCCCTTCAGTGCCTCTTTCCTTGATATAATGTTAAACCTGGGTACTGTGATTGCTCACCTGATGTTTTGTTATTTTCAAGGTGCTTCCCTGTGTGGATAGTTGTTCAATTTGGTGTTCTTATGGGGGATTATCACTGGAGGGTTCTATTCAACCATCTGGCTAAGCCTCCCTCCTGACAACCAGTTACTAATTTTTAATATTCAGCATATAACACTTCACTAAATTCTGTTATAAGTACAAATAATTGTTTTGAATCATCTGTACAATACAATATTTGCTTAATAACTGCATTATCAATATGTCCAAAACTTCTAGGACAAGAAAAATAATTTATTTTTAAAAAATTGCTATGAACCAAAAGGTTATTGATGTTTTTACAGTCTCAATTCATAAAAATGACTTAATTATGCAGGAGAATATTAGCAATTTTTTCAGATTTTCAAATTAGCATAGGTTTCAACATATATATATGTTGAAAAGTTATATGTTGAAACTTAATATGGGGTATATTTTAACATTATATAGTATGTATATGGTGTGTGTATAGGTGTTATACATAGTATATATGTAATGTGTGTATGTGTGTGTGTGTATATATATAGTGTTAAAATATACCCCATATCTCTTCTATTTTCTTCAGTCCTTTTTTAGTTTCCAGGATATATGCCTTTTCTTTAATATTATTTTAAATTCACATAATTATTTTTATATTTTCTCATGTTCCAGTGTTATTTTTTGATGAAAATCTTATATATTTAAGATGTAAATGCAATAATTTGATATACATGCACATTATGAAATGATTATCACGATAAAGTTAATTAGCATCACCTAACATGGTTAATAACCTTTGTATGTGTGTGTGCTGAGAACACTTAGGATCTACTCTCTTAGGTAATTTCAGGTATCCAATACAGTATTATTAACCATAGTCACCAGGCTCCACATTAAATCCCCTGATCTTATTTATCCTGAACAACTGAATTTTTGTACCCTTAATAAAAATCTCCCCATTTTCTCTACCCCCAACCACCATTATATTCACTGCTTCTATGAAGCTGACTTTCTATGTTCCATGCATAAGTAAGATTATATAGTATTATTACATTTTTTTTTGTGTCTGACTTATATTACTTAGCATAGAGTTCTCCAGTTGCATCCATGTTGTCTCATATGGCAAAATTATCCTCTTTATGGCTGAATAACTGTAATTACACACATACACACACACACACACACACACACACACACACACACCCCACACACCCCCCACCCCCCACATTTCCTTTATCTATTCATTGGTTGATGAACACTTAGGTTGTTGTCCTATATTGGCTATTGTGAATAATGCTGCAATAAACATGCAGGCTCAGATGTCTTTTTGAGGTACTGATTTTATTTCCACTGGATATATGCCCAGAAAATAAGATTGTTGGATATGATAGTTTTATTTTAATTGTTTTAGGAAACTTTATACTGTTTTCCGCAATGACTGTTTCAATTTACATTCCCACCAACAGTCTATAAATATTGCCTTTTCTCCATAGCCTTGCCAACACTTGTTATCTCTGAACTTCTTGATTAATAGTCACCCTAACAGGTGTAAGATGTTATCTCATTGTGGTTTTAATTTGCATTTCTCTTGTGATTTTTGAGCACCTTTCATATACCTGTTGGCTATTTGTGTGTCTTCCTTGGAAAAATGTCTATTTAGTCCTTTTACCTATTTTTAAGTGAAATATTTTGTGTTGTTTTGTGTTTTTTTAACTACTGAAATATAAGTGTTCCTTAAATATTTTAGATATTAACCATTTATCAGAAAATGGTTTGTAAAGATTTTCAACCATTCTATAGGTTGCCTTTTCACTCTCTTGATCGCTTCTTTTGAAGAAGCTCTTTAGTTTGATGTAGTTGCACTTGTCTATTTTTTGTCATTGTTGTTGTTTGTTCTATTGGTGTTGCCTCCAAGAAAGTATTTTGAAGATGAATGTCATGAAGATTTTGACCTGTGTTTTCTCCTAGGAGTTTCACACTTTCAGGTCTTACGTTTAGGTTATTAATCTGTTTTAAATTGATTTTTGTGCATGGTGTAAAATAGTGTTCAATTTCATCGCTTTGCATATGGATATCTGGCTTTTCCTATATCAATTATGGATAATCTATCTTTTTTCAGTTGTATATTCTTCATTCTTGGCACCATTTAAAAAAAATGGTTGAATATATACGCTTGGGTTTATTTCTGGGCTTTCTATTCTATTCCATTTGTCTATGTGTCTATATTCATGCCAGTATCATACTGTTGTAAATACTATTGCTTTATAATATAGTTCAAAATCAGTAAGTTTGATGTCTCTACCTTTGTTCTTTTTTGCTCTTTTTGCTTAATTGCTTGGTTAGTCAGGATCTTTTGTGGTTCCATAGAAATGCTGAGGTTGTTTTTTTCTATTTCTTGAAACATGTCATTAGAATTTTGACAGGGATGGCACTGAATTTGTAAATCACTTTGGGTAGCATGAACATTAGAACAATATTCTTCCAACTCTTAGACATCTGGGTCTGCCTCCAGAAGCATGGACAGACATGTCTCTCATTAGTTTCTTGGTTATTCAGGACTGCTCCCAAACTGCAGCTGAGAGGGTCTGGGGACTTCAGTGTCCACAGTCAGGACCCAAGCTGGTGAGTAGATGACCCTGTTACCTGAGACGTGGGTGGGTATGGTTCTTCCCAAGCACCTTGGGAGATGTTGGTGTTGGAACCAAGGCCAAAGGAGCTGTAGTTGAGTTGACAAAAGGAGGAGGCTATTTCTGGATCTGTATTCAGGACCACAGTCATCATGCCTGACACCTGGGCAGGGAACCTATCTTCTCAAAATGGCTCTCATCATTCTTGGGTCAACTGGAGTTTCACAATTTCCTATCTGGATCCCAAAGTTCCACAAAGGCACTTTTGTCCATGGATGGCTACCAGTTATTGATGCTACAGGAGGGATGTGTGGGGGACCTCCTATTTCTTTATTTTGTTGCTGTTACCTCTCCTCTAATCTGTTTTTATTTTTATAGCTAGTTGAAGGGCTTGCTTTTTATTTTTGACTTTTGTTTTCATTACCCCTCCCTTCCTTTTTTATTAATTTCAAAAATAATTTTATAAACTCAAGGATAAATGCTAATTAATAAACTTTCCTTCTTACAAATTAAATATATCAGGTTATAGATTTTTCTAGTGAGGCACATCTTCGTATTTAGATTTTGTATACATTCCAAATACTGTTTTATTTTACTTAGTTTCTTGCTTGAACCAATGCATTTAAAAACTTTTTAGAAAATTTTCATGTTTGAGGGTTTCTAATTTAATTTGTATTATTAATTTTTAGGTATATTATATCGGAGTAAAAATATAACATAACAGCCTGGGCAACATGGCAAAGCCCTGGCTCTATGAAAAACACAAAAATTAGCCAGTCATGGTGGTGTGCGTCTGTAGTTCCAGCTACTCAGGGCTGAGGCAGGAGGATCACCTGAGCCTGGGGAAGTCAAGGCTGCAGTGTGCTATGATTGCACCACTGTACTCCAGTCTGGGTGACAGAGCAAGACCCCCCCAATGCTTCTCTATGAACACACACAGACACACACACATACACACACATACACACATGTATATATATATAAAATAAATACATCTTATGATTTTAGACATTCATTAAAATTGTTTCTATATTGTGTTATTTTAATCACTATTAATTAGTAGAAGTACAGTATTTGGTACTTTCCTTGGAGATCTGAAAGAAGATATGCATTCCATTTGTAGCTTATAAAATTGGTATTAATATTATATGTCTATGTCTATATATATATATATATATATATATATATATATATATCTTTTGAAATAGCTAAAGAACTCCAGAGCTTTAAGCTCTAGAAAAATGGAATGGACAGATTAGAGATGAATTTGTATCTGCCAAAGTAGTGATATATTCAGATATCAGCCAAATAAGTGTACAAATTTAAGATACAAGTTTTCTTTTCAAATTTTCCAGTTTAATTTTGTCACTAGTAATTCAATTTGACTTTCACTAGGGTAAAAAACTGTGATTAATTGACATATTTCAAAATTACTACTTGATTCTCTAATTATTTAATAAAAGCATTCTGTCTTAAGAATTCAAATCAAGGATGTAAGAGAAAAACTCACATAAGCCTGTTTTCTGTTGCCGAGTAATATGTGAACTGTAGTCCAAAGCAAAGTAAGATGTATGGAAGAAGGGAGATTGGCAAGTGACATTTTCCTCCATGAATTTTGCATTCTCACTTCACTCCTTGTTACCCCCTGAGCTAGAATCCCAATATGAGGCTTGTCACAATCTGTATCTGTCACCTCAAGTGAATGAACAACTTTCCAATATGTTCCTGACAGCAGGGCTTCAACCACGTGGGAGGATCTGGGAACAGCTCCTTGATTGGCACTTCAAATATCCCTCATCAGCTCCATCATGGCTTGAATTCTGCTGAAGAACGCAGGTGTTCCAAGTTGGAGTATGTTAACTATTTCTGTATTTATTTTAATTTTGAAAAAAAAGTAAGAGAAATAGTTTATTCTAAAGCCTATAATGTAAGTTTGAAATGGATGAAGTATATTTTATTGCAATCCTATTTCATAATTTACTCGTACCCTTCCTATAGATATACCCTGTCTAATATTTACAGGCAAGATATTTAAAGATAAATGACACAAACTTTTAGGCTTATACATGTTTATTAAATAGACCTATATCTGATATAGCTTAAAAAATTAGGCTTAGAACACGGAAGATCAGATTGTTTGGGAAGATTTGCTTTATTTTCTTTCTCTTATGGTCCTGAATATTAATATTAACTAGCTATGTCAGTGGGCAACTTTCAGTTACCTAAGCAGTGAATATTTATTTTAAAATACAAATTAAGTTGTATAATATTACACAGGAATTAAAATGTCTTACTCCTGAATCACTTTATTAATTTATGTTGATTCTTTAATATCTGGATTAACATATTTCTTGTAATAAATAATGAATAAACTGAAAAGTGTGTATATACTTAGGTACTATAAGAATTGCAAATGAAATACAATGACAAAGAGTGTTGGTGGGAGTTGAATAACCTTAAAACAGCATTCACACTGTCTTAATATATTTTCTCATTTAAGATTTGTTTAAGGTTGACTTATAAAAGTACCGTAAAGGATGTACACTGTCTCTAAATTTACCTTCAAGTACATTTTTCAAGAATTTAATATGAAGTTCTCTTCATATTATATATAAAGACCTGTATATTTTCAAATCCTTTTAGGAAACCATTGTTCCTAACAATGAATATGTACACATAATTCTGACCTGCTTTGTTTTGATATTTATATAAGATTGTTTAACAGCATTACATTTATGGGAAAAGGAGCATATTTTAATAGGCTAGTGTGCATCCACTTTAGAATTGGAAGGTGGCTACCATTTATGGGAAAAGAAGTATATTTCAATAGGCTATTCTGCATTAGCTTTAGAATTGGAAGGTGGCTACCTTTTGTCATAATAAAACAAAGTTGCTTAGTATTAATAGGTCAGGTTGGAGGCACACCTAAACAACTTAGAAACAAAATGCACACTGAGAACCTTCACATGTTTAATCACATAATTATTATTTTAAAGTATTATAGAGCAGGAAAAAAGAGATTTAGCAAGTGCTTGCTTCTTTTATGCTATTTCAAACTTGGTAAATTGAAAGGAGGTTTAGATTCAAGATATTTGTTTTCTTCTTTAATCCTTCAAGGACATTTTTTTCTGTTATTTTTTCTGAAATTATTCTTAAGCCAACATAACATTCTGGGTTTAAATTGCTACAACATCATGGATGTTAACTTTAGAATTAAATAATTAATATTGTTAATACCACAGATGAGCATTCTAACAGGATGTGCCACTTTAAAGAAGGTCCTCAAAAAACTGAGGCTGCACCTTGTATTGTGACTGATCACAATAGTGCTGCCCTCATTTAATGAACAGGGATGTCCGTGGAGTCTTGACAATAGTGTAGGATGTTTCAAGGTTGCCTGAGATAGGTTCTGCAAACAAGGAGTAATAGGTAATTGGGCAAGTTGTGGACAATGGCAGCTGAAGAGAAGTAAAAGAACTGGCAGCTTTGAACCCATGAGCTGATTTTAGTGACAAACAACAAAAGGAAAAGGATTTCCTACTGGGACTTCAAAGATGCCAAAATAGTCTACACACATATCAACGGAAAGCACAGTACAGTATCTTCTTGCTTTAAACTGGTGAAATAAAATGAAAGTGAAGTAGATGTTTCAATCTCCTGGACTTCTACTGTATTTTCATTTGGAAAGACTTCAAGTTACATCATAAAAGCAAAAACAAAGAGGATAAATGGAAGGCACTAAAACACTTTCTTTATTGGCCATATTCACTTCATTTTGACATGAGTCTCCTACTCTTTTCTTTGTCGTACTTGTAATAGTATTTTATTTTAATAGCCTAATAATACTGATGTCTGACCTGCTTTATGTTTTTGGCTATACAATTATCTTTTTTTGTGGAAGAGCTGGTAAATAATTTTTTAAATAATAAGAAAATGTTGATATACATTTCTGAAGTGAGAAAGAAAGGAAAGAGGAAAAGAGACAGAAAGGAAGGAAGCAGAAGAATCTCAGTTTTGAAGGAAAAAGAAACAAGTCTCACATGTATTTTTGGAGCACTGTATTGGAGATGAGAATTCTGAATATAATCAAGGAAAAATACATATTAAAAAACGCTTATATATATGATGAGAATGGTTAAGATTAGCCTTCTTTCTAACCAATTTTATGTTGGTTTTATAAAATATATATATATATATATATATATTTTTTTTTTTTTTTTTTTTTTTTTTGAGACGGAGTCTCACTCTGTCGCCCAGCCTGGAGTACAGTGGCACGATCTCGGCTCACTGCAAGCTCCGCCTCCCGGGTTCACGCCATTCTCCTGCGTCAGCCTCCCGAGTAGCTGGGACTACAGGCGCCCGCCACCATGCCTGGCTAATTTTTTTGTATTTTTAATAGAAACGGGGTTTCACCATGTTAGCCAGGATGGTCTCGATCTCCTGACCTCCTAATCTGCCCGCCTTGGCCTCCCAAAGTGCTGGGATTACAGGCGTGAGCCACCGCGCCCGGCCTAAAATATTTTTATATATATTTTAATTGCATATATGTGCTATTCTAGTAGTTATAATGATTATAAATTTAAGGATGAGGCAATATATAGTCCATATATCATATTTTATATAATCAAATATACAAATTTGTATAGATCAAATACATACATATTTATCTATAAAGGAAACTAGGAACAAATTTATCTGCTTTGGGTTCAAAGCTATTTCTTGAGAGAGTGATCACAAATAGTCATAACAAATGTGTTTCTTAACATCTCTATCAAGGGTGATTTTGTGGTCAGCTAGACATCATGGGTCATTTCTTCTGTGATATATAGGAATAAGTCAAATTCAAAGTTGCTTTCTATAAAATATAGTAGGTTAGATCGCCAGCCTCCCTTAAAATGAAATGTAGTGTTCAAGAAATAGTATATGAGATTAACCTCCTGCATTGCTAATAGTATAACTTCGACAACATAACCTAGCATCTTGGTGACTGATTTTTAAAATTCGTAATATTATAATAATTTCTACACTATAAGATTATAAAGAGTACGTGTAACAAAATGGGTAATTGCTTTAGAATTAGGAGGTGTTCTGCCAAACTTAATTAGTAGAAGTTATCCAAATGAAGAAAATTGTAAACTGTTTGCTTCTGGGAAAATGGAAAAAAAAAAAGCAGTTTAACATTTCTGGATTCTCTCAGAAAGACAGAGAATGGAGGAGAATATGACTGGTTAAGCAGGCATTAGTAATGATATAAAGAGTCTTCCATACCATGTTAAAAAGCTCAACATTGCTCTGGGGTGGTGTGTAGCCATTGCATGCTTACAAGGATGAGGCAACATGGGCAGATTTGTATCTTAGATAATTATTGAGGAGGGAGACACAAATTCTTAGAAAGCTGTTAAAATAATCACATTGAGACCTAATGAGAACCTGCGTTAATGAGGTTCTAGTAGGGATGACAGTGGTGAATAGATTGAAACAATTCTCAAAATACAAACTAGAAAGTACTTGTTAATATTTCAAATATAGAGAGCAAAAATACAGAAATAACATTCAACATTGTTATAGTTATCTTGGATTAGTCAAGGTGTGGAGCCCACTCATGACTTTTAGATAAATGCCTTTTTTTTAAACATTTTACCACATCTTTTATTATTTCTTATAGATAATTCACCTGGCTTAACGTAAAAGAAAAATTAGTGCCAGGAATTCCAGACCAATTTACTTCTGCATAAATCCATTAAATCTATTCTAGCTGGAAAAAACTATAATTTTATGGTGTGTATATTACTAAAAGTTTTCTGTGTTTTCTATGTATTTGTGTATACTTCTTTCCACTTAATTAAATATAAGATGATCTAGGTGGGAAAGAACATGAGCCCTTGGGTTTGATACCAGACTCCAAGCAGTGCCACCTAGTGATTAAGTATGACATCTAGAATCAAACAAACATGCTTCTGGAGAGATTAGCATCCATTCTTTAAACCACTGACTTTCTAGCTTTACCTTACAGCCAGGAATGTCAATCACTCATTAGTTTGATTCCATGACATTTTTATTTTACAGCTTTCTCTTCTATCCATGGATTTGTGAGTAGAGTGACTTGGAGCCAGTTAGCGTATTTGAAGACTCTCTTCACCTTGTATTACACTTCCCTAGGTTGTTTATCTTCTAGGCTTCCTTTGTCATTTGCTGTCAAGATTGTAACTTAAGGTTTTAAGGAATGACCTTCTTGGGTGTGGAGCCTACATTTTGTACTCCAAACCATGTTTACCAAGGAACTCTTCAGTGGGATATTGGCAGTGGCAAATAACATGCAATAATATTAAAGAGGTATTCAGGAATCCCATTTATCAGTGACACTTGTGAATACAGCTCCCTCAAAAACCACTTAGAAAGGAAGCATCACTAGTCCAAAGTAGAATTCAGCCTTTTCAGAATAAAATTCCATAAAACTGTATCACCCTTTCTAATGTAATATTATGCTTAACAGTAAAGCTCACCAATATCCTTAACAACTTTATTTTAATTAACAGTTATATAATGTTTTACACTTTGTAACTATTTTTGGCCTAAGTTTACCTTATTTTATCATTGAATAGTATTTTAGTTGTCAGATATTGGCTCTACTGTTCAAGTATGTCAGAATTATACTTGCTTCTGTTACTTAGAATACTGGTTGTTTAATGTTGTTAAGCACCAGTTTCCACAACTTTGAAACGAGAACTTGAAAATCCCTAAAAGGGTAAGAATTAAATGAAGCAAGACATGTAAAGAACTTAACACAATATTGCAAATACAGTAAGTACTCAATCAAAAGATGGGTATTACTACTTAAGCAATATAGGTAACCAAGATGGTCATATTCAAGGTATACAACACGATGCTTTCATATGCACATACATTGTGAAATGATTATTACAATTGAGCTAACATATCCATCACTTCACATAAAACATATCCATCACTTCACATAATAATCTGTGTGTGTGTTGACAGTGCTTAAGATCTATTCTCTTAGCAATTTTTAAGTGTACATTATAATTAATAAACTATAGTCACCATGCTACACATTAGGTCTATAAAATTTATTTATACTGTAAGTGTGTAACCTTTGACCAACATCTTCCCATTTCCCTCACCTCTCGACCTCTGGTCACCACCATTCTACTCTCTGTTTGTATGAGTTCAACTCTTTTAGATTCCACAGACAAGTGCAATCATACAGTATTTGTCTGTCCACATCTGGCTTATTTGACTTAGCATAATGTCTTCCAAGTTAAACCATGTTTTCATAAATAGCAAGATTTCCTTATTTGTGTGTCTGAATAATATTCCACAACACTGATTTTATCTATTGAGTGTTTTTGACACCTTTGCCAAACATTAGTTGACTGTGCATGTGTGGTTTTATTTCTGGATTTTCTATTTTTTCTATTTGCCTATGTGTCTGTTTTCTGCCAATAACATAATGTTTTGATTACTATCATTTTGTAATATAATTTGAAATCAGGAAGTTTGATGCCTCTGATTTGGTTCTTCTGGTTCAAGATTGCTTAGATAGTAAAGGTGGTTTTATATGAATTTGGTGTTTTAAAAAAAATTCTATCAAAACTGTTATTGGAATTTTGGTAGAGATTGCATTGAATCTGTAGATCACTTTGGGTAGTATAAACATTTGAACAATATCAATTCTCCCAATCCATGAACACAGGATATTTTTCCATTTATTTATATCTTCTTCAATGGCTTTTACCAATGTCTTACAGTTTTTAGCATACAGATATTTCACCTCCTTGGTGGAATTTATTCCTAAGTATGTTATTCTTTTTAGACTGTAAATGGGATTGATTTCTTTCTTTATTTTTATTGTAGTTTCCTGTTAGAGTATGGAAATACAGCTGATTTTCTATATTGATTTTGTATCCTGATACATTACTTATGCCCACTTTCATCACTCCTATTCAACCTAGAACTGGAAGTCCTTGTCAGAGGAATGAGTGAAGAGAAAAAATGGCATCCAAATTGAGAAAGAGAAGGTAAAATTATCCTTATTTGCTGATAATATGCTCTTACATCTAGAAAACCCTAATCAACCTAAGTATGCATCAAGAGAGGACTGGATAAAGAGATATAGTCAATATATACACAGAATGCTACTCAGCCACACACACACACAAAAAATGAAATCTTGTATCTTGCAGCAACATGGATGAAACTAGAGGCCATTATCCTAAGTAAAATAACTCATAAACAGAAAGTCAAATGCTGCATGCTCTCACTTATAAATGGGAGCTAAATAATGAGTACACATTGACATAATATACAGTCAAATAATAGACATTGGAAACTCCAAGAGGTGGAAAGGTCAGAAGGGAATGAGAGTTTAAAAATTACCTATTGTTTACAATGTTCATTATTCAGATGATGGATAAACTAAAAGCCTAGACTTTACCACTATGTGATGTATGCATGTAAGAAGCCTGTGTTTGTACCCCCCAAATATATAAAAATTTTAAAAAAATCGGTGATGATATGCCTCAGTTTTTTGTTTATCTGGAGAAATGTTTCTTTCTCCTTGCTTTTCAAAAGTAAGCTTTACCAGGCAAAGTATTGTTGGTTGACAGTTTTTTTGTATACTTTTTTCATTAGCACTTTGATTATATCATCCCACTCTCTTCTACCTTCAAAGGTTCTGCTAAGAAATCTACTGATAGATTTTGGAAATTTTCTGCATGTAAAGAACTTATTCTCTTTTGATGCTACAAGTTATTTATTTACCTTCAATATTTGGCGTTTGAGCATAATATATCTTCGTGAAGTCTTCTTTGGGTTAAATCTCATTGAAGATCTATGAGCTTCATGTACCTGGACCTCCATAATTTTTTTCCAGATTTAGGACTTTGGGTTTGCTTATTCTTTCTTCTGTGTGACCAAGTCTGCTAGTGAGGCCTTCTTTTGCATTTTTTAGTTCAGTCATTGGATTCTTCAGCTCTAAAATTTATTTTGTTCTTTCGTTATTTTTCAATTTTTTGGTTAAAGTTTTAATTTTGTGCTTGTATAGTTGTCCTAATGTCCTTAAATTATGTATCTGTTTTCTTTTATAGTTCACTGAGTTACCTTAGAACAAATATTTTGAGACATTTTTTGGAAAATTTGTGGATCTCCATGTTTTTTATTTGGTAACTGCAAGTTTATTGTTTTTCTTTGGTGGTATCGTTTTCCTGATTCTTCATGATCCTTGTCACCTTGCATAAGTGGCTTCACATTTGAAGAAACAGTAATCTCTTCCAGATTATGTGGAATAGCTTTGGTGTGAAAAGACTTTCAACTGTGGGAAGTGGAAGGAAGATAAGGGAATGCTGAAACATGCTATGGCATCGGATACCAAGTACAAGGACATGTGCGGCTTTAGTTCTGCGGTTCACAGCATCTTTTAAACTCGGGAAGCTGGGATCTGCAACACTGGAAACTGGGTAGCCCATGGTTTCAAGAGCTTCAGGAATTCTACAGAGGGTATATGGGCTGTTGGGATCTTCAGCAGTACTTCCAGATTCTGCAGTAAGGGATCAAAATCATTAGCAATGTGGACCTGAGCTAATGATGCATGTCCTTAGATGTGGGGGCTGGCTGCAGATGTTGTGCTTCTCTATAGGGATTATAGTTGGTACTGTGCCTGTATGTGGCTGAAGGAGGTAGGTGAAAGGACAAGTACAGTGGTTCAGGCCAGCGACAGGATTAGGGGCTGGCTGCCTGTACATGTGCAGCTGTAGATCCCAGGGCTGGCAATGTGCATGTGCACAGCTCTATTGCCTTTTGCAGGTTCCCAAGAAGCAGTGAGGATTGACATTTTAGGTTTGGGTTGGCTGCATGCACACACAGCTGCGGGATCCACCATGGATGCATGTTTTGCAATGGGACCTGGGGCCAATGGCTGAGGCCTGGGCTGTGTTTGGGCATTCAGATGCAGTAGCTGCATTGGGTCCCAGGACAGTTCCAGAGATCGGGATGTTAGCGAGGCAGTGGCTCAGGCACCTGGAGTCTGCAAAGGTGAAAAACTATGGCCCTGGAGATAAAGGATACAGGTGTCCTCTGTAGAGCAGGCCACTGGGTACCATGGTGGCTTCTGCCACATGGCTGATACTAATAGTGCCACACTTCTTTGTTTCTTGCTGTTTCCAGATGTGTCAGCTATACCAGTTTCCTTAGTGAGCTGGGTAGGATACCAGCAAAGGAGACCCTCTGGGCAATGACCCTAAGTCTGAAGAAGCTGGTTATTCATCCCGCTTTTCTTTTTCCTATGAAGGAAAACTAGTGAGACAAGGATTTCCGTCTTTTTGTTAGCAAAGTCTTCCTGGGGGATGGGATGATACAAGCAAAATGAGTGTGTCTTTTTTCACCATTTTGGTGCAGTTATTCTTTTTTTCCTCTACTATGTTGTTGTACCTTCTTAAATTGACTTCTGAGCTCTACCAGGTTATAGTCACTCAGGGATGGCTGTCCAGTTATTGTGTTTTGGTGGGAAGACAAAAGCTGGAATCTTTTGCTTCACAGCCTGGTTGATGATACTCTCCCAATTATTGTTATTATTGCTATTGTTACAATTTTTACAAACTGGTACATAAGTTTACAATTACTAGTCAGAGGCTCAACCATATAGGCACATAATATATTTAAATGAATAAATACATGAATTGAAGACATATCAGGCGGTGTTAAACATAGTTATCCCTGAAACACGGCACGATCTAGCATATGCAATTTTTCCTTTGCCTCCTGCAAACATTTACAACCTGGCTAAAAGTCTAGCATCTGCTGTCAGAAAACTGAGTCACAGAACAATCTGCTGCCTTGTTCAAACTTACCAGCATTTTAAGTGTCATGACTGGGATTTAAGCCAGGCTGTCTGCCTTAGGGCACCAGGCATTGGAACACTTACCTGTATCACGTTTCTAAGTATTATGATTAAACTTTATTTATTTAGCATCAAGAAGCAGGGAAAATAAATATAAACTGGATTAGTGGTTACTAGACTAAAAACAGAGTAGATTATAGGCATATAAATAAAGGCTTTTAAACCCTTCTATAAGAAATTGATTACTTTCTACAGAATAAAATGTTTCCTATGCTTCCAGTGTAGCTTAAGTGGGCACTCAGCAAACAGAGGTAAAAATTAGGTGTTTAAAATGAAATTCTTTAAAAAATACATTAATTTGTCACTAAAGTTTTTTCAGATTTATTCTTGGGGTGGGGATAAAAGACATTGAATGCCATGTATTTCATCTCATCCCAATACCTCACCAGGACAAATGCAGGATATTACATTGAAAGATACATGCCTGGAATTTAAACAGGCACTTAATTTGTGCGATAAACATTGATAAAATGTCCTAGACACTGTGCTGAGGACTGAGGATACTGAGATGAATGAGACCGTGTCCTACCTTTTAAATAATTCACCTTCCAAGGTGGAGAAATGCATGTAAAGTTAGACTCATAATGCCAGGTAGAAAAGCATATCAAAGTGTCTTTAAATTTACATCATAAGTGGCAACCTTAGCAGCCTAGGAGAGTTGCAAAGACTTCACAGCGGGAAGTATCTTTGAGCTTTGTTTTAATGAGTGTAAATGATTTCACTATCCAAAAATATGGATGATAAAAGCATTTTAAGCGTGGGAATAGCATATGTACAGTGACAGAGAAACTGGCACTATCTCAGAGACTATTGTAATTTAGAGAAAATAAGGGAAAAAGTTGAAAATATAATGGTAAATAATATAACTTTATATATATATTCCAATAAATATATGTTTTATAACTATATCAAAGGTGAAGCTTTGATATAATGCAAAGAAATATGAGAGATAATAAGACACTTTTTTCAAACATTATAAACTGCACAGCCATTTTGATTTTCATTAAAAGAGATCTTATAAACCTCCCTCTCCCATTTTTAATGGTAAAGTTTGATTACACTTTTAAATAACCATTTTGATTCCTTATTGTATGTTTATCTGACGTATATTTGATCCTTTAGAGAATACTTCCCTAATAAATTGAAATTATATTCCAGGGAAATGTGAATTTTTACCTTTTTCAAGCTCATATAATAGACATTGCTTTCTTGCTAGCATGATTTGAACAGCACCGCCTGAGACCAATTAGTAACTTGAGATTTTGAATCTCTCATTTTGGATTCATACTGCAACCATGTAATCATGAAAACTCAAAATATAATGAAAATAGCAATGCATTTGATATCAGTTAAACTCAGCTATAGTTATCAGAGTAATTACCATTTTCAACTTAAGAATCTTTACACATTTTAACTTCATAGTTCTAATTACCTCTAAAATCAATATATTACTTTACTTAATGTGTAAGGGTCACAATAACCATTCAGACTATATTAGGTTCCTATGGCTGTTGTAAGAAAAAAAATTGCTGTAACAATGTAATGACTTACAACAACAAAATTTTATTATCTTGCAATTTTAGAGGCCAGAAATCCAGAACCAGTCTTACTAACCAAAATCAAATTATTGGCCTTAATATATCCTTCTAGAGACTCTCAGGGATACTCTACTTCATTGTCTTTTGGATCTTCTGGAAACTTCCTGTATTCCTTGACTTGTGATCCCCTTTTATGTTCAAAGCCAGTGGTGTGTCAAGTCCTTCTCACATTGCCTCACTCTGACCTTATTTGCCTCCCTCTTTTCCTTTTAAGGGTCCTTTTGATAACACTGAATTTGTATCAAATTTATTTTAGTTCCCTGGTGGATTACCCCAGATAATCCCTTTGAGATCAGCTGAATAGCAACCTTAATTACATCTGTAACCTTAATTCTGTCTTGCCATATAAAGTAACATATGCATAATTTCTAGAGAACAGGTCAAGCATTTTGAGGGGCCATTATTTTACCTACTCCACAGAATAAGAATTTTTAAAAAGTAATTTAGAATCTATGGTTTTAAAAGGGCAAATTATGAGGATCAATGAAGAAAAACAAGCATATTTTAGTAAAAGTGTTTATGTGTTAGTTGCTCCAATATTTTGATGGCCACTTTACACTGCTTTAAGTTTTTTTTACAATTGGAATCAGTAGTTACATTTAATTTAATTTCTCAAATAAAAATTTAAATTAATTTTTTGCAGGTTTCCCTTGAAAATACATTCTTCAGTTTTAATGGAACATGGTTATTATGCCTCAGGGAAGAAAGGTTTACAAAGTGTTGATTAACAGTCTCAATTGTCAAAACTTCCAATTCAACTCTAAAGAATACAATTTAAAAGAATATCTTCTAATGAGGCGTGCAGTTGGGGAAGGAAGAGAGAAGAGGGGGACAGAGAGTGAAAAGGAAGAGGCACATTTTCCTAAAATTAAGAATTTCATATTTTGCCTGGTGAGTCACTGATTTTAAAAGAAGGAAAAGAAAGATTTAAAGAAGAAAAAAAGAAAGGAAGGAATGTAAAGAGGAAAGGAGGTAAGAGGGAAGGAAGAAGATTGACAGTATCAATACTATGCAGTCTCAGTCATCCACTATTTTCAGCCCATTTTTCAGGTAAAGGATGTGTGATCTTTTAAATTTCTCACATTCAGAAGCCACAGATGCCTGTGAAGCTCTTTATTCTTTAATGGCTATCCCGTTTCTCTTGCTCTCTGTTCTATTTTGTTTCACTGTGTTTTTCATCTGTACTCTGAAGTCCCTGAGGCCTTGGCTATTAGTATGCATTGAATGTATTTCTACTTATATTAGTTTTTCCTGGATGAGTGTGTCACCCAAGATGGTACTCCCTTACCATTATATTCTTGGTATTGCTTTTTTTTCTCTGCTGCTATCTGCCACCCTTGCCTGTTGTTGCTTTTCACCCCATCTATCATCACTTCTGACTGTTACGGCCACTTCTGCTGTTGCAGCCTCTGCCTGCTATAGCTCCCCTGCCTGATTGCCCTAATCCCAATTTTCTTTCTATATTTATTCTCTGTTGGTCCACTTTACACCCAGTCAGGACTGACTAATGTACCCACACTTTCATTTGTTGACTAAACCATCTTTCTGTAATATTTAACTCTTATAAATGCTATTTATTCTTCCATTCATCAAATATTAACAGACTGCTTATACTTCAATATTAAAATCAGTATTATTATTACTTTAGGGCAATGAAAACTAAACAATAGATAATTGCTATGCCCAAGAAGTTTATAATTTAGGTGCAGAGATGACAATAACTAAAATAAAAAGCAAGGCTGGATGCAGCGGCTCACACCTGTAATCCCAGCACTTTGGGAGGCTTAGGCAGGTGGATTGCCTGAGGTCAGCAGTTCGAGACCAGCCTGGCCAACATGGCGAAACCCCCACCTCTACTTAAAAAAAAAAAAAAAAAATGGGCCGGGCGCAGTGACTCATGCTTGTAATCCCAGCACTTTGGGAGGCCGAGGCAGGTGGATCACCTGACGTGAGGAGTTCGAGACCTGCCTGGCCGACATAGTGAAACCCTGTTTCTACTGAAAATACAAAAATTAGCCGGGCATGGTGGCGGGCACCAATAATCCCAGCTACTCGGGGGGTTGAGGCAGGAGAATTGCTGGAACCCGGGAGGCGGATGTTGCAGTGAGCCAAGATCGGGCCATTGCACTCCAGCCTGGCGACAAGAGCAAAACTCCATCTCAAAAAAAAAAAAAAAAAAAAAAAGCAACAGAGAATGAATATGAGGTGTTATCAAATGCCAAATGGTAGTTTTATGGTAAAGTATTAAGGATTGATTTGTGGAGGTAATTCTATCCAATATGTCCCTAAGTTGCAAGTATTGACACTGTTAAAAATTCAAAGTTCTAGGACTTGGACTGAAAACATATAAGTAAGTACAAGAAGTTTTTCATTTTTAGATGACATTTGGTAATAGAAGTCAAAGCTAGACTTAAAAAAAATTAGTCAGATTGTTTAATCCATGTTTATTTATTATCAGCCTTATCTATGCCCTACTTCAAGTATCTTAGAAAGCATCTACACAGCAAGGAACGCCTCAAAGAGTCAGACACATTGGCTTATCAGGGTTTTCTGAATAAGCTCTTGGAAGTCTTCAGTGGACAGACAAAGCTAAATAGATTTAATTTTAATTAGCATTTTAGGATAGCACTCTAGGATGTGAGACAGATATTTCCTTAAATATATTAGCAAAAAAACCTTTATTTCTAAGAATTGTTTTTATAACTGTTGTATTAGTATGTTTTCATGCTGCTGATAAAGACATACCCAAGGCTGGCTAATTTATAAAGAAAAAAGATGTTTAATGGACTCACAGTTCCATGTGGTTGGGGAGGCCTCACAATCATGATGGAAAGTGAACAGCATGTCTTTCATGGCTGCAGGTAAGAGAGAATGAGAGCCAAGTGAAAAGGGAAACCTCTTATCAAACCATCAGATCTCGTGAAACTCATTCACTACCAAGAGAACAGTATGGGGGAAACTGCCCCCATGATTCAATTACCTCCCACTAAGTCTCTCCCACAACACATGGGAATTCTGGGAGCTACAATTCAAGATGAAATTTGGGTGGGGACACAACCAAACCATATCAACTGTATAAACACATGCTTTATGCTTGTAAAGTTTAGAGCTTACGATAGTAGTCTATGATTAGTAAAATACCCATATGTAGGCAGAAATATATGACATCTGCATACAAATCAGGTAGATATTCTTTCTGAGACAGTAAACTAACAAAATGAGGCCTGAATCAATGAACTAAAAAAGCTTTGATAGTTCTACACTGAAAATAATTGGATTTTATTTTTCTAGAGCAAGGCACAATTTTAATGAATATGGTTGACCTTCTCCTAATCCAACCGACTTCTTTTTTTTCACAATGCAATACATTTCTGAGCTATTCTAAATTTCTACACATGAAAAAAGTAGTTGTTTAAACATAAACTGCAGTCAACAAATGCATTTGGACAACTCATAAATTGTAATTCATAAATTGTTGCATTAAGTTTTATAACTATGACAACAAAAGCTAGACTTTTAATGTATTGTAGAATATGTGAGAGCAAAATTTTAAAATAAATAGTTGTAATTTCATAAACCAAAAGTTTGTACTAGAACTCCTGTCATTTTAGCTGTACCTTATATATTTTGTTTATTTAAAACCCTATGGAAAGCCATTTCTCTTTTTACCCCCATAAAGCTAAAGATATATTCCATTAAACTATGCCCTTTCACAAGGCTTGTCTTTTTAGTGATAATTTGTAGTATTAATATGCACTTAAATCAAAATATTCAATAGAACTTTACTGTATCAGAGAAATTATCTTTATTGAAAAGAAATAAAACATAAAAAATAAAATTTTTGGTTTTTATAAGGTCACAAAATTTCAAGTTGTAAAAGATAAAATTCTCCATTTTTTAAAGTTAGCACTTCAGAGTCATAATGTAAGCTGTATCCATTAAAGGTTAATCAAAATTTTAAGTTAAATTAAAAAACATAAATGAGGTATCACCTCATTTCATTCATCTCACCTTGAATATTAATACCCTTCATTAAATCAGAAAAGTGTTTAGTCAGAAAATTTATTTTATCAGTGGCTTTGCTTCCACACTAAAATTAAATTTCTTTTGGTATGGCATTGAAGATGTGATTACCAACTTCATTGATCTACTGGACCAGTTGGGTGTTCATGGGCTGCTGTAGAATAGATTTGGAAGCTTGTTGCAAAGTCCTTGATGTGAGTCTTCCTGTATAGAACGAACTATTTTAGACAAACACATGAATAGACCTATCAGGGATAGCTGAGCCCAGTCCGTAGGAAAGAATCTGGGCGGAATCCGCTCTGTTTCTTGGTGGCATGCACTTCTTCATTAGGGGCAGCACTCATAATTCAAAAGCAAACTTACAGAAATCTCCAGGAAAAAAAAATTAAAAAGTTTGTTCCTGAAGAGTGATCTGTGATATCACAGCTAAATTCTAGATATGACTTGAGTGATCCTAAATATCACATTCTGAATAAGACAAATGTTTTAGCACACACATCTATGATTATATCTGTTGCAGTTTATAAAGATGCAAGAAAAAGCACCTTCAGCCATAAATGGTTTTATTAAGAAAGCACTCTGCCTTTGCACCTCTGGGGGAGAGTGAGTGGGAGGAACAAGGTAAACTTTCTATTCATGTATTATGTCAAGTGCCCCATTAAGAAACGATCCACTCCTACAGGGAGGAAAGAGGACAAAAGAGTACTGGTCCATTACCTTGCTTTAGCTTGACCCTCATTACACTCAAATAAATATTCATGAATTCCCCGAGATATTAGGTTATAGGTAGAAAAAGGAAGATATCTGGAATAATAAATGGTAGTGCTTAAACTTAGAGAAAAAAAAAAGTCCTGCAAATTTTTCATCTGTACTTATAGTTTGTTATTAGCAAGCATTTCTTACAAGAAAAATTAGAAAATAAGCACATTTATTAAAAATATGAATTCATTATTTTAATACAGTTTTTAAAAAGGATACAGGGGTCAGTGATTGCCATTAGGTTCCATTTTAGCATACTGAATATTTAGTAGAAAACAACATATTGGAAGCAGCATTTATTTGTTAACATAGAAAAATAACAAAAATAGTTATCTGATCCGTTTAGTAAATTCAGCTTTAAACCCCACAGTACATAAAACCATCACATTACAATTCTGTATTGTTAACAGCTTCTTATCAGCTTTGCCACACACCAAAATGAAAATAACGTGTGGGTTTTTTTTTCTAGGTATATCTGATGCATTAACAGTTTTTACAAAAAGTAGTATAATTAGACATTTTAATTATAAATATAAATAAATGATATAACAAAAAACTCCATATGCCATTGTAAGTATAAATTTACATATATATTCACATGCATATATTTTCCCTTGGAATTTTGATGATGGAATACATTTATCCAGAAGGTTGACTTTATCTCACCTATAATATTTGAAATAAAAAATAAGAATATAATAGAGATAATGTAATTTGTATTTATTTCTTCAGTGTTCATCTGCAGGTGGAATAATTCAATCCTATTATTTTAGCAATGTATTTACTCATTCAGTGAACTACATAATTTATTCATTTAGAAAACCAACACCAAGACATGCAATCCAAATTTTTGTAGAATTTTGTTTCAACCAATGGGTTTTTCTGGATGTAGCATAGGGGAAAAGCCATGTTTTGAGAAAAAGCTAGATGTTTGAGAAAAGAAAAAAAAATACTTCTCATCCTCTGATAATGGTGTTTGTATTCTTGCTATCTTTCTTTTCTTTCTGTTCCCTTTTATTATAATGTGGAACTTTTTGATTTGGAGAGCAAAAGTATCTAAAATGGAAATGCGCTAGCTTTTTTTTTTTTTTTTTTACCATAATTGTGATCTTAATGCCACCATAGTTTTCTTAATGATTGAATTGAAAAATAAAACAATGATAAATCCATAAAACACCAAAAAATGGAGTCATCTAGGTGATTCTGTTACACTTGACTGTAAATTATAAATAGTCCTTCAAGAAAAAAAAGTTTAATTTGATATTTGCATGGTAATTTTGCAGGTAAGAAAGTAAACTTTCGATGTAAGAGGTTTTATTTTATTTTTTGATAGCTTTCTTTTTTTAATCCAACTTTTATTTTAAGTTCTGGGGTACATGTGCAGGATATGCAGGTTTGTTACACAGGTAAACCTGTGCCATGGTGGTTTGCTGCACAGATCAACCCATCACCTAGGTATTAAGCAGAACTTTTATTACCTATTCTTCCTGATGCTCTCCTTCTCCCTTCTCTCCCCCAACAGGCCCCAGTGTGTGTTGTTCCTCACCATGTGTCCATGTGTTCTCATCACTCAGCTCCTACATATAAGTGAGAACATTCAGTGTTTGGTTTCCTGTTCCTGCCTTAGTTTGCTGAGAATAACGGCTTCCACCTCCATACATGTCCCTACAAAGACATGATCTCATTCTTTTTTGTGGCTGCATAGTATTCCATGGTGTATATGCACCACATTTTCTTTATTCAGTCTATCATTGATGGGCGTTTGGATTGATTCCATGTCTTTGCTATTGTGAATAGTGTTGCAATGAACAGCATATGTGTGTATCTTTGTAATGGAATTATTTATATTCCTTTGGATATATACCCAGTAATGGGGTTGCTGGGTCAAATGGTATTTCTTCTTCAATATCTTTGAGAAATCACCACTGTCTTCCACAATGCTTGGACTAATTTACACTCCCACCAACAGCGTAAAAGTGTTCCTTTTTCTCTGCAACCACGCCAGCATCTGTTGTTTCTTGACGTTTTAATAATCGCCGTTCTGACTGGCATGAGATGTATCTCATTGTGTTTTTTATTTGCATTTCTCTAATGATGAGTGATGTTGAGTTTTTTTTTATATGCTTCTTGGCTGCGTAAATATTTTCTTTTGAGAACCGTCTGTTTATGTCCTTTGACCACTTTTTAATGGGGTTGTTTGTTTTCTTCTTGTAAATTTGTAGACTTTCTATATTAGACCTTAGTAAGATGGATAAATTGCAAAATTCTTATCCCATTCTATAGGCTGTCTGTTCACTCTGATGATAGGTTCTTTTGCTGTGCAGAAACTCTTTAATTTAATTAGATCCCATTTGTCAATTTTGGCTTTTGTTGCAATCGTTTTTGGCATTTTAGTCATGAAGTCTTTGTCCATGCCTATGTCCTAAATGATATTGCCTAGGTTTTCTTCTAGGTTTTTTATGGTTTTGGGTTTTACATTTAAGTCTTTAATCCATCTTAAGTTAATTTTTGTATAAGGTGTAAGGAAGGTGTCCAGTATCAATTTTCTGCATTTAGTAGCCAGTTCTCCCAACACCGTTTATTAAATATGAAATAATTTCTCCATTTCTTTTTTCAGGTTTGTTGATCAGATGGTTGTAGGCGTACAGTCTTATTTCTGAGTTCTCTATTATGTTCTATTGGTTTGTCTGTTTTTGTACCAGTACCATGCTGTTTTGATTACTGTAGCCTTGTATAGTTTGAAGTTGCGTAGTGTGATGCCTCCAGTTTTGCTCTTTTTGCTTAGGATTGTGTTGGCTAGTCGGGCCCTTTTTTGGTTCCATAAGAATTTTAAAATAGTTTTTTCTAATTCTGTGAAGAACGTCAATGGTAGTTTAATGGGAATAGCAATGAATCTATAAATTACTTTTAGCAGTATGTCCATTGCCACAGTATTGCTTTTTCCTATCCATGAACATGGAATGTTTTTCCATTTGTTTGTGTCCTCTCTGATTTATTGGAGCAGTGGTTTGTAGTTCTCCTTGAAGAGGTCCTTCACTTTCCTTGTTAGCTATATTCCTAGGTATTTTATTATCTTTGTAGCAATTGTGAATGGGAGTTTATTCATGATTTGGCTCTCTGCTTGCTTGTTGGTGATGTGTAGGAATGCTAGTGATTTTTGCACACTAATTTTTTATGCTGAGACTGTTGAAGCTGCTTATCAGCTTAAGGAGCTTTTGGGCTGAGACAATGGGGTTTTATAGGAACATATCATCTGCCAACAAAGATTATTTGACTTCCTCTCTTCCTATTTGAATACCCTTTATTTCTTTTTCTTGCCTGATTGCCATGGATAGAATTTCCAATACTATGCTGAATAGGAGTGGTGAGAGACGGCATCCTTGTCTTGTGCCGGTTTTCAAAGGGAATGATTCCAACTTTTTCTCATTCAGTATGATATTGGCTGTGGGTTTGTCATATATGGTTCTTATTATTTTGAGGTATGTTCATTCAATACCTAGTTTATTGTAAGTTTTTAACATAAGGGATTTTAAATTTTATCCCAGGCCCTTTCAGCATCTATTGAGATAATCATGTTTTTTTTTTCAGTAGTTCTGTTTATGTGATAAATTACATTTATTGATTTGCTATGTTGAACCATCCTTGCATCCCAGGGATGAAGCCGACTTGATCATGATGGATAAGCTTTTTGATGTGCTGCTGGATTTGGTGTGCCAGTATTTTATTGACGATTTTCGCATCGATGTTCATCAGGGATACTGACCTGAAGTTTTCTTTTTTTCTTGTATCTCTGCCAGATTTTGGTATCAGGATGATGCTGACCTCATAAAATGAGTTAGAGAGGAGTTCCTCCTTTTCAATTGTTTGGAATAGTTTCAGTAGAAATGTTACCAACTCCTCTTTGTACTTCTGGTAGAATTTAGCTGTAAATCTGTCTAGTCCTGGGCTTTTTTGGTTGGTAGGCTATTTATTACTGCTTCAATTTCAGAACTCATTATTAGCCTATTCAGGGATTCCATTTCCTCCTGATTCAGTCTTGGGTTGCTGTATACCTCCAGGAATGCGTCCATTTCTGCTAGATTTTCTAATTTATGCACACAGGGCTGTTTATAGTTTCTCCAATAGTTGTTTGTATTTCTGTAGGTCAGTGATGATATCCTTCTTATCGTTTCCGATTGTGTCTATTTGATTCTTCTCTCTTTTCTTCTTTATTAGTCCAGCTGGTGGTCTATTTTATCAACTATATTAAAAAACTGCTCCTAAATTTTTTGATTTTTGAAGGGTTTTTCATGTCTCTATCTTCTTCAGTTCTACTGTGATCTAGGCTATTCCTTGTCTTCTGCTAGCTTTGGGGTTTGTTTGCTCTTGATTCTGCAGTTCTTTTAGTTGTAATGTTAGGTTGTTGATTAGAGACCTTTCCAGCTTTTTGATGTGGGCATTTAGTACTATAAATTTCCCTCATTTATAGACTAAGAAATTTTAAAAGGACAATTCAGTAAATGAAAGTAAATATGTAATCTGCTAGATTTCCATTCTGGTAGACAAAATGTAATTTTTCATACTTTAAGGAGAAAGTCAAGATTAGATTATATGGATATATTTTTATTGTATTTATGAATAAAAGAAATATGAACACAATTTATTTAGAATATAATCTGATAAATTGGCCAGATAGAAAATATTCATTCACTTATTCTCTCATTTATTAATTACTTATACAAAATAGTGGAAGTGGTAACACTTTTTACAAGTGTGGGCTTCAAAGTCTTCAAATCCAGGCTCTGTGTTTTGGTAGTTTGTGCTGTTGGCAAGTATCTTAACTTCTCTATTTCTGTTTCCATATGTAAAACGTTAAAATACTAGAAATTTCCTCATAGATGTTGTGTGAATTTAATGAAATATTTTCATAAAGAGTTAGATGTGTGCATTTATATAAATGCTTAACAAACCAATTATATCAATAAATATTTATGGTATCTTGTATCTTAATCTTGCTTTATTTTTCTTTTTCTCAATCAAGATATCAAATCAGGTTTATTATCTAACTGTTTTAGATTTCTTTATTTATATGTTGTGACAGATACATTTATTCATTTGTTTTTGTCCATCTTTTCCAAGATAATACAAATTCTCAAAGGGAAAGAATTTAAAATTTAAATTGTTTTATACATGTGTTCAACATTTGCATTTCCAAATACAGGAAACTTCAGTGTCTTTTGCACATTATTAAAATTAGGGTCTTGATGTTTTATGTATTAATAAATAAATTATAAAATTTCATATTTAAAGGTTTTAACTCATTGTACTATAATGTTGAAAAGGCTTTTCCCTTTTTTCTTTTAACATTATTTTAAGTTTTTAATTAATAGATTTTTAAAATAGTTTTCAGTTTACAAAAGAATCGAGTGAGAAGAACAGTTCTAATCACAGTTTTTTAGCATACAAAAGTTTTGCAGATTTAGTCTGGCATTAATTTAATACCTTCATTAATTTAATTTAAGAAATTATTCTGTGTCACATAGTGATTTAATCATTGTTGATAGAGTTCTATTCAGAAAGGGCAAGACACTTGGCCTCATAGAGATTACATTCTAGTGTGGGAGTACAAAAAATAAATTAATAACAAATAGAAAAAAAATATATGATAGTGTTGGGTGCTATGAAGAATAAACAGCATGAAGTAATAGCCCCTGGAGTACGTATTTGTTGAGGACAGACGTTACTTTATGTAGGGTAATTTATCTTTGAGGACACACTATTTGAAGAACACTGGGAAGAACCAGGCAGAGTAATGCAAAAGCAAAAGATGTTAGCTAAGAATAAGCTTGGCAAGCGCAAGGAATTCAATGGGAGACTGGTGTAATTGAAGACGTGAGTGAGTGGGTGGAGGGTCATATAAAATGAGTCAGGAGAAAGGCAGGGAGGCAGCACAACAAGGGCTTTATATGCCATGGAAAGAAGCTGAAGGTTATTCTCTTCAATTCTAGATAAATTTTAGGGCTGCTTTACAGAGGCAGTTCAGTGTGGAAGCGTGTGGGTGTAAATCTTGCCTTGCCACTCTCTGTGTGACTTTGTTAATGAATGCTAAAGTCATAAATTATTCATCTTTTTCAGATTCTTCATTTAAAAATGAGGGAGGGCCATAAGTTAAGATTAATATGAAGATTAATGTATTATTATAGCCAAGAAAACAGAACAGTACATGGCCCATACTATATACTTAATAATTGTTAGCAAATATTATATTTTAGAGTATAATCTTGCTACTGAAAGATGAATGGGGTAAGCTTTTAGATAACTGAAAATAATTTAGGAGGCTGCTACTGAAGTCCAGGTGTAGACTACTTTTTGCGTGGTGGTAAAAAAGATATAGAGAAATTGCCCGATAAGCAATAGGCTTTAGAGGTAAAATCAATAGGATTTATTAAGAAATGGAAATATGGGGTTAGGAAATTAGACTACCAATGTTGTCCTACATTTTTTCTTTTTTGCATTTTTACTATTTACAGTCTTTTTTTCATCTGGAAGCTAAATGAGTAGTTATTTATATTTATTTGTTTGATATTTTATAATGAAATTTATTTTAGATATGTAGACAGATATGAACCTGGTTTTTCAGTCATTTGTCAAGCGTTGTTTATTAAATATTCTAATATATTTTTCATTTTCTTCATTATATCTTCAATTATGCATATTCTAGACTCCTATTTCAAGATATAAATCAGCTCTCTATTCTGGAAACAAGGCCACAATTGGCTAGGTATTGAAATGTTAATATAAGCCTTAATTTCTACTAACGCAAGTTTTAACATAGCCTTTCCACTCCCAAAGTTTGTTAGCTTTTCTAACTTATTGACCTTTTCATTTAAAATTTTAAAAATAATTTGCATTTGATAATCATTGTATTAAGCATATATGTTTATTTGAAAAGGAAATGATATCTTTATAACATCCAATAGCCAGAAACGATGTAGAATTATCTCCATATTTACTCAGTATATATTTTTTATTTCTCAAGAAAAGTAATATATGTATGTTATTATATACACATTTGTAATATTTCAGATACAACGTAAGTAACATGAAGAATATCCTGCCTGCATATTACTTGGAAAATATCTTTACATTTTTACAGTCTGCAGGAATATGATTTTATTTATTCAGTTTAAAAAAATCATAATGTATTGTTATAAATATATTGTAAAAAATTTTAAAAAACAAAAATATTATAGTGTCCATCCCCCTTGTTTCCCTCAGCACTCCAAATTTTTAAAAAAATTACATGACCTCAAATAATTATATATTAATATCATAATATTAATATTGAAATTATATATCACATAGGTGTAACCTCTTTGTTGTTGCTCTTGTTAATGCATTGATCAGTCTGTACTGAATAATCTTAAATAGTGTCAGTAATATTGGGCATAAGAGTGTCCACAAAATCAACATTTAATATTCTACTGACAACCAGCTTGAGATAGATTATCTTCAACATATAAAGAAAGTATCTTTCTTTTCTTTCTTTATAATGTCAGGAATTTAAAAGATACTTTTCTGCTACTAAAATAGTACTTATTCCAGACACTAAAATAGCTGTTAACCTCCTCCAAAGTGGTAGATGCCTTGCTAACCAAATGAGGTTTACAGACATAGGATTATAGATGAAGTGAGAAATTGGCCAAGTGTTAATCAACTGAAAGACAAGTGGAGTAATTAAGCAGTAATAGTTTATGAGCATTACAAGTGAAAACAGAAATTGTCATTGCTCAAGAATATCTCTGAGAAGTTTCCTCATAGTTTCCTTAAAGCCTGATTTAATTTTATTTGTTGTCAAATTGGGGTGGGAATAAAATGTATTTCTGTTCAATATCTATATCACTGTGAATTTTAAATGATAATTCTGCTTCTTTGTATTCTGAAAAAATTAGGACTATTGTGGACTCAGTTGCTCCCTCCAAACTTCGTATGCTGAAGTCCTAACTTCTAGTATGTCAGAATGTCACTATATTCGAATTTAGGGACTCTAAAGAGGTAATTAAGCTAAAATGAGGTAATTAGAATGGGCCCTAATCCAATCTGACTCATATCATTATATCATGGAAGAGGAGATTAAGGCAGAGAGAGAAACATCAAGAGATGTGCACACACAGAGGAGAGGCCATGTGAGGATACAAGTGAGAAGGCCGCCATCTTTAAGCCAAGGAGAGAGACTTCAGAAGAAGCAAAACCTGTCAGCACAATGTTTTTGGACTTCTGGCCTTGAGAATTGTGAGAAAATGAATTTCTGTTTTTTAAGCCATCCAGTCTGTGGCATTTTGTTACAGCATCGCTAGCAAATTAAGAAGAAGGTCTAGAAACGTCAGTTTGTCACAGTGCAGGGAATGTCTTGGATTCAAATCAAGATATATCATAGCCCAATGGCATCAATGCAATATACACCTGAGACACTAAAATTAATTTTCTATCATAATGTTAGTTTCTCTTACTTGTGTTTAAAAAATGTGCAATGTTTTCTTTCAAAATATTGACTTAGCATATCTACAATGAAATTATATTGCAACTATTACATGAGTTTTCAGTCTGAGAAAATTTGGAAATTCATATTTTTAAGCGAAAATATGACATTTATCTTGGAAACGTTGACCTTTTCAAACCTAAACAAGTTTTTCTCAGTAACAAAACAGATTCTTGCCTGGGGAAAAAAAAAATACATGCTTCTTTTGATCTCATGAAATATTCAAAGCGATAATGAAGCATGTTTTGCTTTCCTGTAAACCTGTTAAGATATTATTTCTCTGAGTTTGACAGTGGTGAAAATTTTATCACACTGCATGAAATGTGTTATTTTGATACATCGACACCATTTCAAATCTTATCCTTGCACATTCAAATTTGTGACAAAGAATATTTTTGTATGAATTTCACAGACAATTTCCATGGGATTTTTTTTTAAAGTATTAGTTTCAGATGCTGAATGGCTTTTACATTGTTAATAGGTAAGGAAACACTGATTAAAGCATTGATGATGGATTAACATCACATTATAATTTAAAGGCAAACCTGTAATGTAATTTCTGACATGGATATCCAGATAAACTGGAAAAGAGATATTTGGAATTAGAGTAATTAACAATCTTATTTTCTGACTCTATTTACAGAATGCTCACTAAAGTAAATATGGGCTCATGATTTTAATACAAAGAAACAGTGTTTACAAAAATTTATCACCATGAATCAAAGCACCAAGAATGTAATCTTATTGACTTTCTTTTGTTCTCCTTTCATTATCTTGTTTATATATATAGTGATATATCTACTTCAGAAATGTAAGATTAAGTACGTGGTAGAAGTGAGGTGAGAGAAAGACCTCCCCATGCAAAAAATGAAATAGTAACAAATAATAGAATGTCCTTATTTCGAATTTTACCTTTTCTATATTTGTGATCACACATCTAATCAATTTCCAAGTTTGAGCTTTCTTATCTCATTGTCATTTTTGCATACTAATTCCCATTGCCACTATCATAGTTATATCAAATTACCTTTATTTTTCAATACAATTCAGCAATTACATTCAAACTCATCTTCTAGGTTTCACTTTCACCTCCTTCCATCAAATACACTCTAAAAAATAAAATTATGTCATTGCATATTTTTCTTAAAATATTTTCTTAAAATATTTTAATGTATCCTAATGACCTCATGATAAAATACTTAACATTTGAATTACTCAATGCCTACTCTCGTCATTAAAATTATTCTACCATTCCATCTTTTCCTTGGTTTTTAAATTTTTCTTTGTTTCTGATATATTGAACTTCTCCTCTGCTCTGGTGGTTTGCAAAGAACTGTCGCATGCTTCCCATTACATATGCCTGCTATCAAATATCTTCCTACAAGCTGTTATTTTAATAAATGAAGAAATATTGCTGCCCAATGCCATTAGTATGATTTTTTTAACTCATTTTTAAAGATTTGACTTTAACATTGTTTCTTCATGAAGAATTATTGAATAGTTTATGGCTTCTCAACCAAAACTAACTATTCATTTCTCCGAATTCCTGTAAAATTTTATATCACTAAAGTAATGTATCCTATTCTACCTGCTTTTATACTACATGTGTATATCTGTTCAAAAAGTAACCAACTTAAGAGAATTGTTTTAAGATGTTTGTATAGCTTCTTAGGATTTAGTGTCTTTTATAGTACCACAATGAAAATAATTTTTTAATTGAATTGAATAAATATTAATTCATACAGTAATGTCGCAATGTATACATAAATGCAAACATGCACACATACATATTTTTCTTGATCAAAACCTTTTGATAGAGATCAAATGTGGGTGTGTGTGTATATATATGTGTGTGTGTGTATATACATATATATATATATTCCCCTTATGTCTGCTATAAAGTATGTGATATTTTATTGCTTTCTTCTTTTTGTTTCATAATATTTAGATGACTAAAACATAACTGTGTTAAAACAATGTGAATTAATGTGCCAATGTGTGTAGTTATATATTAATCATGCAAAGGCTGTTGTATAATATAGGTACTCTGCTACATTTTACATATCTGCTTTTTGAGGAATAAATACCAGAAAGAAGTGGCCTACATAAATCCAAATGGCTTTAGACATTTCAAGTACTGGAAAACAAGATTATAACTATTTATGAAGAAATGGAACATCCTTGCTGAAATCATCCTGCAACAAGTTGTGCTTTCATTTATAATTGAAAACACCAAACTCTAATGCTTGAAAATAAAATCTAATAGTAAGTCTGAACTTTTACTTTCCAAAGATCTCTCAGTGCTACACAGGTTTTGGTGACAGAAGGAAGACAGATACTTTTAGGCACATTCTCCCTCAGGCCCATTTCTAGCTTTCCTGCTCTTTTATCTTGATAATCTACCTGAGTAATTTTAGCAAAGCCTGATTAAGCAGGGCTTTCCATCAGTTTAATATGGTGTCTGTTAATGAAGGTTGAGAACAATTATGGGGCTGTGATTAACACCCTTTGACCTTTACTGAGAAATAGGGGTGTTTAAATCCATGAAGCATATAGGCCTTTTGTACATGAAAATTGCCCCTAAGCAATGCATTTTGGTGACAAGGCAGAAAAATGTGAGCAGAATAAAATCCCTTTGTATTTATTTCTTGTGGAATAGGTGAATTGAAGAATATAAAGCTGTTCTTGAAATGACTGTCAGAAGAAATCCTTGAGTTAAGAACATTTAAGTACCCAAATGATTAACTTGAGTCTCGTTCAAGCATAACCCCCAAACCCAAACAGAATCCTTTTGTTAATATAACTGAATCGTAGGAAATTAAATAGGCTCAAGTAGAATTTTAGTGGACTGAATTTATCTAGATTATTTCAAAAATGTAAAGTGTTGGAGAAATTACTTTATAACAATTGGGCACTTGACATCAACCTTAAAAATTACTTTTGGGAGTCCAACTAGTAAATTTTTATCATTCTTTGGTCTTAGGTTGATGGTTATAAGCACTTATTAACACCCTCCAGACACGTTTTGTGCTTACCTGGAAAATTAGTCATATCGCTGTTATGAAATTCTGTATAATAATTTTAATGGATGAAAAAAGATACCTCAAATCTAATTTCACTCATCTCTGGGTATCAGTGGGGGATTTGCTCCAAAGCCCCCCACCATTGGATACCAAAGTTCACAGATACTCAAGTATCTTATATAAAATGGTGTAATATTTGCATATAACCTAAATACACCCTCTTGTATATGTAAATCATCTCTAGATTGCTTATAATACCTAATACAATGTAAATGTTATGTAAATTATGGTTGTACCATATTTCTTAGGAAATATTTTTTAAGTCTGTATATGTTCAGTACATACAACCATCTATTTTTTTGTTCTGCAAATTTTAGATCTGTAGTTGGTTGAATTCATGGATGAAGAACCCATCAATATGGAGGACTGACTGTAGCTTTCTTGTTGGTAATATTAAATCATTCTTGATATTAAAATAAATTAACTTTTATATGAAAATTCCTAAGGTAAACATTGTCTGTCATAGGTGTTTTGTACAATATAAGGCATGCATATGGGTTTTTCAAAAATAGGACATGCTGGTTAATTTACTATTTGTGTTAATTAAGAACTACCATTGCTATACTAAAGCAATAACTTTTTAAGTTTTTGACAAATCCTAGGAAACACTGCAGAATTTTGCTATATTTCAGCTTCAGCAACCTAGTTGTTAATATTTTTTAATTTAGTCTAATACTAGAAGTTCAAATGATTTTTTAATGGTGGCTTGAGGTTACTTACGGTTTGGTTACAAATTAATTTCCTGTTAGTATGTAAATTGAGTATATTATACATTACTATTCTGGTGATGGCAACAGAGTTCCCAGAGAAATACAAACATTGTAGGTTTTTGGTGGCATACATACAAAACAAAAAGCATACATTTTCTACTAAGATCTGAAGTACCTTAAATAATATTCTAATATCTAATTAGCTATGAAGAAGCCATTGAAAACTATTATGTACTAATAGTAAAAAGTATACATTTTTCTCTGTGTTTTTTCACTTCTGCGAGCTCTTTCAGATTAGTATAGTGTGAGTGCTATAACATATTTCTAATGCATAAAGGTCATTAAATATAAATAATGTATTAATTATCAGGGGTTGATTTAATGTTTTCAAGGTTTTGAAGTTAAGATTCTGCACCTCTCTAAATACATTTATTATATAATAATTTAATTTCTTTTGAGGCTCCTGTCTGGTTTGCTTAACAGGCAATCACGTTTTACTGCGTTGTGCATTAACTAGGCCCAACAACTTCATTACAATGCTTTGTTTCATTTTGTTTTAATGCTTACTTTAGCCCTGCCTACCTTACCCAGGAGCCCCTTCATAATTAGAAAAGCTCATTATCTTTGGGGCACATTTTAAGCTTCAAATTGTTGACTTATGATTGACCACAAATCATAGCAGAATAACTTTTATATAACTTCTCCATTAATGACCCGTGTTTCAATTTTTAAATTCAGTGGTCCATTGAAATGAGAAATCTTAAGGTAATATACAGATAAATTCTATTCTATAGAAAGCTACATGATCTTATTAGAGAAAGAAATGAACTTGATCAAAGATGTGGATTGCAGCTTCAGGTCCTCTACTTGATAAGTACCTTGATAATTCTGGATATCAGGTTTGTCATCTATGGAAATAGAAATACAAATCCTTAGGATATTATTGGTCACTAGTCCACTTAGCACATGATACATTATCATGTTGACCAGGTCATAGTTTATAAATATTATAAATTAAACTACTTTTCATTTTCTGGGAGTGATCTAACTTATACAATTATACAAAGTAGTGTCAACACTATGGACTTAGAAAAAGTCAAAGACAATGTTTTCAAAACATCAAAGTTTAGAGGTAAAATTTAACTGGAAAGTCTTAAGGGGGATATATCATTTACATCTTCATGTACACGAAGGGCTATTTTGTCAGCATTCATGTGATAAATTATTTTAAACAACGGGGTGATAGGATTGCAGTTAAAAGTGAAACTCACTACTAGATTTAAACTCCAACAGAAAGAATTGATAGTAAATATTAAATATTAATAAAGTTATATTTGACAATATAATAAAATGGTTAGTATTCTAAATGGATAAAACAATAAATTACTATTTTGGTTATAAATAATGTATTTTTATTTACAAATATAGTGATTGTTACCTTGTCTTTTGAGGTCCTGGCCATTAGTGCTTCTTTCTGACAATTTATTAATCGTTGCTATGTTTCTTGGGCAAATCTTCCTTAGTTTGTCTCCTCTAGTTTAGGTTCCATTTACTTTCTATTCCTGTGAATATGTAGAGAAGCAGATATAATGTCTTCTGATGAAATATTTCAAATCATACTATTATACTATTTGTCCTTGGTAATAATCTAAATTGCTACTCTTCTTGACTCCATTGTCTTAATATACAGTCTTCTTTTAATTTGCACAGTTATACATCAGTCTACACATGCTATGTCTTTTTTTTTTTTTTTTTTTTTTGGCAGAGTCTCACTCTGTCGTCCAGGCTGGAGGGCAGTGGCATGACCTTGGCTCACTGCAAGCTCCGCCTCCCAAGTTGCACGCCATTCTCCTGCCTCAGCCTCCCGAGTAGCTGCGACTACAGGCGCCCGCCACCACACCTGGCTAATTTTTTGTATTTTTTAGTAGAGACAGGGATTCACCGTGTTAGCCAGGATGGTCTTGATCTCCTGACCTCATAATCCGCCCACCTCGGCCTCCCAAAGTGCTGGGATTACAGGCGTGAGCCACCGTGCCTGGCCTACACATGCTATGTCTTTAAAAATTTTTGTTGACTCGAATTCACTAAAAACTTACTTTTGGTTAAGCATATTGATATGTTTTTATAGTTTATAAGTGCTAAATAAATTTTCCATAATTCTTTTAAAGTTAAATACTGCAAGATAACTTAATTGAAAGACTATAACTACAATCAAATATGATGATACAAGATCAAGAATATATAGAAACAAAGTCACAAAAATGTGTTTGCTTATTAAATTTAGTTTTCATCATTGAAACACAGCAAGTACAGAATACATTTCTATAGTTTTTCATCTTAAGGAAATTACCTCTATAAATATTAGAAATAATTGACTGGAAGTTTGGCATAATGAAGAGTAGTCTTCACTTAATATGTATAATTTGGAGGAAAGTCTTTGGTGAAGCCTTTCTTGACAATAAAATTGAACAGGCCATTTACACTTCACATATAAATTTAGTTTAGAAACTTATTTACTGGAATATTTCACAATACTATCAAAACTACAACATTCATTAAAGTGTGTTTTTTTTAATTTGTTTTATTTTCATTTTTTTTTTGTGAAAGCAAATAAGTGGAGCACTATTCCCTGGTGAAAGTGTACCAGATTTTTACCACCAAGCTATACCTACTGACAACCCTGCAGTCATTAAAGGCTAGGAAAGCTTTCAGTGACTGATCTGTGAAGTATTAGGGTCCCTGCCATTTTTCCATTTCTGTAGTTAGGAATAATCAACTTTGTTTCTGATCTAAAATGTCACTTATTTTCTTTTTAGTATAACCAACTTTGAATTCTGAAACTAATTGATATATCTGTAACAAAGCAAAAATAAAAGTTTTTTTACACCATCATCTATGTTGAAAATTGCTAAGTATGCCAAGATGCTATAATATTTTAAAAAATCTGAAACAAAAGTTTAAATATCTTGTCTTGTAGAAATAAATGCATGGTCTTTTATGAAGCTGATTTGTGAACCATATTCAAAATATGCCATGTATACCTTCAAATAATAATCAGTTAAATTTTAGCTATTTTCCTTCAATGTACCAGATGAGTGTCAATTTGAAAGTGGGGAGAAAAGCTACTCAGTGATATATGAAAAGGAGTAAATACTAACTGTATTAGATAGCATTTACCAAGAACAAACTACCCTAAAATTTGGTGGGTTTGAATTACAAATACTCTATACTTATTTCTCATTTCTATAGTTAAGCAATTTGGGACTAGTTTTTAGCTTTAGCTGCTCCTCAAGTTATCATGTAACGAGCCTGACCAACATGGCGAAATCCCACCTCTACTAAAAATACAAAAGATAGCCAGGCATGGTGGCGGGCGCCTGTAATTGCAGTTACTCAGGAGGCTGAGGCAGGAGAATCTGTTGATCCCTGGGAGGCAGAAGTTGCAGTGAGCCAAGGTCTCGCCATTGCACTGCAGCCTGGGTGACAAGAATGAAACTCTGTGTCAACAACTACAACAACAACAACAAATATATATATATATAATCTAGTCTCACTAATGCATTTGCCACCAGATAGTAGTCAACAAGATGGTTGGGATGTATGCTGCTCATATGGTGGACTTACCAAGATTTCACTTTATGCTTAATATAAGATTTCCGAGATTATCAAAAGAGTAAGCTCTAATGCACAGGCAGTTTGCAAACCTCTGCTTACAACATTTGCTAAGGATCTATTGTACAAAGCAAATAAGATGGCCAAGCCCAGATTCACAAATAAATAAATAGACTCTTGATGGGAGAGCTAGAATACGACATTACAAAGGGGAAGATACCTGGTAGGAAAAAAATCGATAACATTTTGTATCTATACTAACAAAAATACCAAGATAGCACCACATTAGAAGAGAATATAAAGAATAATATATTCTTCAGGAAAATATGTATTCTGAATTATGGCATACTATATAAAATTGTTAATTCTTTTTGGCTACTCGACATTTGAACTTTCAAACTACCTTGTCTTCATTTATGTCACCTTTTTAAAAGCTAAAAACTTCAATTTGGCCGGGCGCGGTGACTCACGCCTGTAATCCCAGCACTTTGGGAGGCCGAGGCGGGCAGATCACGAGGTCAGGAGATCGAGACCATCTTGGCTAACATGGTGAAACCCCGTCTTTAGTAAAAATACAAAAAATTAGCCAGACGTGGTGGCAGGCGCCTGTAATACCAGCTACTCGGGAGGCTGAGGCGGGAGAATTGAGACTGGCATGAACCCTGGAGGCGGAGCTTGCAGTGAGCCGAGATCGCGCCACTGCACTTCAGCCTGGGCGACAGAGCGAGACTCCATCTCAAAAACAAAACAAAACAAAACAAACAAAAACAAAAACAAACAAACAATAACACGTTTCATTGACTTATTTTCTGAGCTTCCCTTGTAGCAGCTAGACTGTGGACACGTGATCTTGGCTTTACCAGTCAGAAATACCTGCCTTCTCAATTTAAAGCTAGTGATACAAAGCAAAATATACAGACCAGAAGGAGAAACAAAATTACACAGTAGCAAGTGCAGCTACTGCAACCAATTTCAAGGAGCAACATTGATGAGAATTCCAATGGCAGTTCCCTATGCATAGTGTCGTCAGCGTGATTGCAGCACTTCACAGATCCAACGAAGTGGTAGGATTTGGATGAAATATTCCAGACTACATAGTTTCTGTGTCAGATTTTCTGGTCATTCTGAAATGTCTACAATCTATCCAATATCTGTCAATACATTTCTGCTTAAATTACTCAGTCTTGATTGCTTGCAGCTAAAATACTAAACAATACACATGACGGAATACTTACACAAACTAAGCATTAATTGCAAAAAGTCTTTATACAATCATTTTTTAAAACATTTAGGTTTTCATTGAAATATATTCAGATAAATACTTATTTGAAATTAAAAAGACGCTAAAAATCATGTTTGTATATCATATCAGCTATATATCTACAATGATGTCAGGTCCACATGCTAGCATTGAATAAAAAAGATTGTAAACAGTACACATATTAGACGCTCCATTTAAAGATAATTAATTATTGATTCTGTCAATTTAGTTGTTATAAGCAAATATTGAGCAAATCTTAACAAAGGTATCTTCATTTCATAAGTTAAGAAACTATAACTCATTGTGTTTAATGAAAATCCTCTCTACACCCAAGAATTTCTTTGTCTAGGTTTTCTTATTATTCAGATTTTCACTCAAATGTTGTCTCCTGGCTGGGTTATAGTGGCTCTGGCCTAAAGTGCTAGCTACTCTGGAGGATCGCTTGAGCTCAGGAGTTCAAGGCTGCAATGAGCTATGGTTGTGTCACTGCACTCCAACCTGGGGAACAGAACAAGACCCTGCCTCTATTAAAAAATTTTCAAGTAAAAGGCTTTCTCCTCAGAAAGGGCTTTCATAACATTTCTTTGTAAAACAAAAAGTAGATTTGTTTTTCCATCAAATTATTTCTATTCCTTAGCCTGTTACATTATCTACACAGCATTCTACAAGGCAATATAACATAAATTATAATTTTGTCCACATGAAACAAATTGGAAAACAAAAAATCCATTTAAACAGTGGGGAAAATGTCTGAGTAGGCACGTCATCAAAGACAATATACAAATAGCAAATAATCGTATGAAAAGATGTTCAACATCATATTTTATTAGGATATTGCAAATTAAACTTATGAGATCCCTTTTAGAATAGCTAAAATACCCCTTGCCCAATATGACAACACCAAATGTTCCAAAAATGTAGAACAACTCTCCTTTATTGCTAGTGGGAATGCAAAATGATAGAACCACTTTACAAGACAGGTTGAAAGCTTCTTACGTAATGAAACATAGTCTACTTACATAATCCAGCAATTGTGCTCCTTGGAGTTTGTCCAAATGTGTTGGTAAAAGCCTACACATGAATGTTTATAGCAGCCTATCCATAATTGACAAAAGCTGGAAGCAATCAACATGCCCTTCAACAGATGAATGGGTAAACAAATGGTGATACATCTGTATAATGAGTTATTATTCAGGGATAAAAAGTGAGCTATCAAGCCATGTAAAGACATGAAGGAACCTTAAATGCACATTATTTGGTGGAAGAAGCCACTCTTTCAAGGCTGCACACTATATGATTCCACCCTTATAACATTCTGGAAAAGGAAAAGGCAAAATTATAGAGGAAGCAGAAAGATCAGTGGTTTCAAGATGGAAGGGAGGAGAAATGAATAGATGGAGCACAGGGAATATTTAGGGTAGCAAAATTATTTTATAATATTTTAATAGTAGATATATGACCTTGTATAATACATTTGTCAAAACACACAAAACTGTAAAATGCAAAGACTGATCTCAAAAGTAACGTATGGTGAACTTTAGTTAATATTCTGTAGCTAATAATAATATCTTAATACTGTTTCAATTATGTCAAATGGGTCACACTAATGCAAGATGTTAATAATAGGGGAAATAGTGAATAAAAAAGAGAGCGAGTATGTAGGAACTATTTGTTCTATATGGTCAATTTTCTGTGAAACTAAATCTAAGCAAATGAAGTCTATTAATTAAAAAAAATAGCCTGCCTTGAACCCCACTATGAGATGTTTATGCCTCAGTTTCCTCATCTGAAAAATATGAATGAAAATATTTCTTACATGACAGTGTAATTGTGAAATCCAACTAGAGTAATAGATGTAAAAAATATAGAAAAATGTCTGTCACATAATAAATGCCTAATACAACTTAGCATTTACTATAGCATCCTCATTGAAAATTCCCTCTCCTATTTTTTTTAACTGCGTCCTAGGTAATCTGAAAATCCACTGGTGCAGGAATATTTTCTATCCTGTTCGCAGTCAAAATAAAATGATTTTGAAGAGTGACTGACATATAGTAGGAATCAATAAATATTTGTTAAGTGAATAAAAGACTCAAGTGCCGTGTTATTATTACTTGTTTAATAATGAAAAAGGAGCTACTACTTTGCTAGTGAAATTAGTCTTGAAACGAATTTCTTCTTTTGAATTGAATATAAATTAAAGGTCTTAAAATATTTAACATTGAAATATTACTGTTCATTTAATACTATAAATTCTGCGTGCTTCCCTAAATTACATTTTAAATGTGCAAATCTCCCCCTCCCTGCCCAATTATAGTGCTCAGCTAATCTATTATTCTGTTACTATGGTTTCATAAACTGTTTTGGGATTAGTTAACCAGGAAGTTTCTGTTCTCATCTTTCTTAGGAATTTTTGTTAAGAAAAGCCATCAACTTTTATTAGTCATGCTGCATGTGAAGAATTATTAAAATGCTTTATAGATAAAAGTCCCTTAATATATACGAACTTTCTTTGCTAAATTCTGTTTTGCAGCCTGGAATACTGATATATGGATTTGGAACTTAACTCCAGTACTCGCTGGCTATGAGATCTCAGGCTGCTCCTCAGAATTTTTAACCATTAAGTAGAGATAGTAATAGTATCAAATTCACAGGATAAAAGTGAAGATTAGATTATCTAACAGATACATACATCACATGGATAGAATCTGGTACAGAGTAAACATTCGATTAATGCAAAAAACTATTTAAAAAACACTTTATCTATCTATCTATCTCTCTATATATATCATACAGTAACAACTTACTCATTCTAGTGTTTGAGAAAAAAACACATTTGAAGATGTAATTATAATTACTTGGCAAAGCGGATATTAACGCCTTTGTTTTCATTCTGAAGCCTTGCTATGGCAGTTCCTTGTTCAATTCTTTGGCCTTTAATTGTTAATTTATCCCCAGCTAGCAATCTCAGATACTTTTTCTATGAATCATAATTTTATTGTGTAAGAACACATGCAGATGAATAACAATTTATCACAACTGTCAATAGAACCAACATGAGTGCTCACAATTCTGGTAGAGAGCATAGCCCAGGTAAGGTGACATTATTTATAACAGAGTAAAAGATACATCTAATGGATTGCCTTACAAAGAGAAGTCATCATAGGAGAGCCTTCTGGTGACATTCAGCATAAGAGACACCGTGTTCTAGAAAGTTTTTCCTGACACTAATGCAAGGATTTAGATCGAAGATATTTCTACATGAGAATCAGACATCAGAAAATGTCAGCTCTACACACAACTGTGCAGTTAATGAGATAAATTAGGGTTTACATAAACATACCTGTTGTACTCTGTTGAGAAAAAATAGTATGTGTGGATTCGTTTTTGAGAAATTAAAGTCATAAAGACTTAGAAGGTTACAAATTTATCCTAAACATTTCAAACTGAGGTATTGCCTGTTTAGCCTGAAAGTACTATATATTGAAACAAAAGAAAAACCAGAACCAGAAAACTACTCATAAAAATTGAACCAAAATGAACAGAACCTAATTTAGACTAAGAACAACACAAGACATATAATAACCATGACATAATTAGCCAATTACTGAGTTGAGTGAATAGAAACTTAATTGCAGAGCCATATTGGATGCTGCTTTCTGGATGTATTCACTTTGAGACCACTTCACTTTCTCTCTGGTCTTCAAGTAGAAACACCTTCAAGTATTTCTAAGAAGACATTCCTGAAATAAAATAAAATAAAAAATAAAATAAAATAAAATAAAATAAAGTAAAATAAAATAAAATATCTTCAAACAATATTTGAAGTGGTAAGTTGCAATTCCAATTTGTAAACCACACGTTTCTTATTTATGTTTTAATAGCCACACCTCCAAGATGTGCTTCTCAAATTATGAATATCTGAATTTTGAAAAATTATTAACATATAAAATGCTGTATAAGATAAAGGGAAAAGACTAAAATTAAAAGAACAATTTCTGCTCTAGATTGGTTTTCTCATTGGAGCAATTGAAACCATCATCAGAAATCAGAAATAAAAATAATAATAATCTCCTTTGTATGTTTCTCTTGTTTCTTTCTGCATTATTACTTACCTTGTCTTGGCACTATGAGTGTCAAGAACTGGATTATGGCCCTAAAAATAGCAAAGTAAGTGAAGCTATTTTGCCTTCCAAGTTCAAGACAAACTTGGTTATGTCATAGAAACACACACAAGCAAATGTTCCAAACATAAATTTAGAATTTGGGGAATGTATGTCTATAGAAATCATTCATATTATCTGTTAATATTCATAAGAATCAGCTACATCATATATGAAATCTTGTTATATATTTATTTATTTTTATATTTCTTCCCACACACAATAGTTATGAAATCCGTGAGGTTAGAGATTTACCTACAGCTCAACTGCTCAGTATTACTTACTGGAAGAATAAGAAAACGAGCATTAATAGAGCTCGAAAAACTGAAACACTGAGTAACAGATTCATTGGGTAAAACCATGGACTGCATTGATCTCATATTAATATATCTACTGTATTATTCATTGCTCAATAGACTCTCAGCTGATAAAATTGTTATATTTTCAATACAGATTATGATAATGAATATAGAAGAATCTGTATTTGATGTCACTGAGTATTTATTTGGCAATCATTATTGCTTAATATATGTCAAGAATTGTTACAAATGATTCATATAATCTCCACAAGAACCTACTAATATAGCCATATTATTATCATTCACATTTTACAGATAAGAAAATGGAGATATCAGAGGTCTAGGAAACATTCCTAATGTCACCAAGCTAAAACGTGTTGAGGTTAGAATCCAAACTCCTGAAGTCTAATTCAAAACTGTACCTTTTCAAACACTCTATGTTGTCCCTGAATCTTTTCACTGCTGAATTATCTTTTTATAACGGTAAATAAACAAAACATTTTGTACTTTGTTATTCTCTCTAAACTCTAAAACAATCTTTCTGTGCATTTGTATTTATTGTAGTTTATAAAGTAAACGATTATTTCAAAATGGAGTGTCTAGTTAAAGAGACAGTATAGATATATGAAAATGAAACAATACAATATCAATAACCATGTATCCTCTTATGTATTAATATTTTCAACTATTCACTCATATCTAACAAATATTTTAATATTTATTGTGTGCTATACTTGTACAAGACATTGGGTGTGCATCAGTGAATGAGAGAGATGTTGTACATGAGTTCCAAAAAGCTCATAGTTTACGAGAAAAAGGCAAACCTGTATAAAATAGTTATGGGAGTGTGATGAAGCTTTAGCATAACATGGATACCATGAAAGCACTGAAAATGTGTCCAGGCTCTTTACATCATAACTTAGAGAAAACTGATATTAAGGGGAAATATATACAGTGGAGGGTATTTGCTTTGAAAATGATGAAAATATAATGAAACACAATACAAATAAAATTACTTTAGACATCAGTTTTTATTTTATGAATTTTTAAGTTCAACATGTTGCTTCTTAAAGTATGTTCCACAGAGATCACTGGCATCAGAATTGTCTAGAGTATTCATTAATAATGTATATTCATGGTTTCTCCCTAGAGTTGTTGATTAGTAACACCGGAACTGGATGTAGGCAATCTGTGTTTTATTAGACTCCACAAATTATTACTTTACAATCTGAAATTTAAGGAACACAGAATTAAACTTTAGCTATGCTTAATACTTAGCATAGCCAAATATTAAGGTGTTTAAAACCTTAATACATTTTAATAATTTGGTGCAGTTTGTAGAGTTTTGTTTAATTATGTTGAAAACAAAATGTTTGAATTACAATATCAATGCATGCATTTTACAAAAGCAAATAATTGATAAAACACAAAAATACAAACACCTATGATGAAGACCCCTAACATTTTCTCCGTTAGTTGTTAATCCTTGCCAAATGATTAGAGAACATCTCTTTCTCTCTCTGTCTCTCTCTCTCTCTCTGTGTGTGTGTGTGTGTGTGTGTGTGTGTGAGAGAGAGAGAGAGAGAGATAGAATTTATATTTATTTTTTATCATCTCCTGAAGCGTAATAAAAACTGTTCTTCTCCAGTTTTGATAATTTGTATATGCTTTACCAATTTCACCAATGAAAAAATTCATCAAAGAGCTTCAATTTGCTTTTTAAATTAAAATATACTTAAATATATTTTCATGTATTTATTGACCAATTTTATTCTCCTTTTTATTGCCTCATTTTAGTACTTTCTTTACTTTCCTAAGGAATCTCTGCTTTTTTATCAGTGTATCATCTATGGTAGTTGGATTTTCAATGTTTGATTTCTTTTTTGTGACTTTTTTATGTGTGTAGATACATTTTTCTTTTAAAAAATATGACTGCATTTCCTCTAATTACATGAGCTACACCTTCTACTGTGCAGAGTTGTTGATGAGCAACAGGTGACCAGGCAGAAATTATGTTCTCATCACACCTTTGAATCAAAGTCAGGGAGGTGGGGATAATGAGTTCAAACATGTAGTGTGAGTAGAATGAATGCGGGTCTTTTTCAGGTCTGCGTATTTAAGAAGCTGGTGGGCCTTTATCACTCTCTGCTGCCTCAACGGCCAGCTGAATACTGAGGACTATCATGACCCAGAAAAGTCTCTAGCCCCAAGAGAAAAGGAAGGACGTTGAGGCTCTGAATCACAGCATGGTAGCCTACCCACCATGCTAGCAATAAACTTTTACTCTGTGAAGCCACTGAATACTTTATGATTGTTATTTACAGAAGCTAGCATTAACCTAACTAATAAAAGGGTTTTAAAGTTTTATTTGCTTCCATTTCATTTATGGCTCCTGGTGGTTTCTATGCCATTTGTAAAAGTGCCTTTCCTATTCCTGAGTTAGAAACACATTTCTCCTTGTAGTGTTTTAAACTGCCACATTTTACATTTAAATAGTTAATCCCTCTGGTATTTGTCTATAGGTGTAATTGTTAAAGAAGTAAAATTGGTTTCCTATTTTTTATATTCTATTTTTTAATTACTAAAAAGCCAATTATAAATGTTACTAAATAAAGATGAAATAGTTTCCTCACTACCTTGAGATGTCTTCTTTACCATCAGCCAAAATCTTACATACATGACTTTATTTATTTTTGTTATACCCTCCTCATTGATTGGCAAGCCAATTCCTAGGTCAATATACATTTTTAATTATGTGACTTCACAATATTTTAAAATATCTGGTAGCTTGTTACTATTCTTTATTTTCAGAATTTTTATAGCTAACTTCATATTTTTATTTTTCAGATAGATATGAGAATTATATTTTAATTAAAAATTTGTTACATATACAGGTCAAGTTAGAGAAAATAGGTATCTTAAAGATCATCCTCTTCCATCTTTGTTCATTGAATAGTCATCTTTTCATCTGTCAGTATGTTTAGGTAAACATATTTCCAATTATAATGGTTTAGTTATTTTTCATGTTTAAAAGTGTTCTTCTATATTTTTAAATTAGCCATTATCTTAATATATGATATAAGTTACTTATATATAGAAATATCTACATGAATCGTATGATATTCAACTCTTTGTTTGCAAGTATTAGATGATTTTCCTGAGTCTTAAATAACTTAATAACTACTTACATATAATACATATGTTTCAAAAATGTTATTTCATGTAATGTCATGGTTAATTATAATGTGCAAAGATAGACCAATATAAATATAACATGTAATTTACTGTAAACATTCTTGTCTTCATCTTGTTTTTGGTAAGAATGCTTCTAATGCATTCTCACATATCACCATGGAAGCCTGATGTAAATTCTGGCTTCAGAGTCTCCTTGCAAAATAATTTAATAATTTCTGAAAAAATTCAAACTTTAATAAAACTATCGCCTATTATTTATAAAATATTATATAACATAACTACTTTTTAGATATATTTTAAATGTTATAGGATAATAATAATGTGTTTGATATTCTTGTCTCTTGACAGCTTTCCTGAGTTTATTATAATGTCTTCAATTATAAATTACTTAATAATATATGTTGAAAAGTCTTTAAAAGACTTATTATGATTTTTGAAATTGTCCCATGGGCGCTATTGCAGTGCAATTGTCCATTAGAAAAAACAAGTTAGGTGTTAGCTATTGTGTTTTTCTTCAGTGGAATTTTCTGAAGAAGCTATGGCAACTGTAATACATGAAATTTACTACATCCAACTTTTAAGAAACAATGTCATGATTACCATTCTCAGATTGTGTTGCATCTCCTAAAAGCTGAGGGTAATAAATCTAGATAAGAACAGATTGATTTTCTATTGTGTCAGTGAAGAGATTATAGAGGATTTTATATCCTCCAGGCTACCTTACAATAGGCATCTCTTATGGTCAGAGACAGGTTTGTGACTGTAGATAATGATTTTGACAATGATGGTAATACATATCAACCAACATCAGATTTGAGTACATATCTGCTATTTCCTTTGGGCATACATGCAAGATGTTAACTGAAATGAACATATTTACAAGTAAAACACTACAGTACTCTGAACACAATTAAGCACATATACATATGGTTCAGTGTATAAAGAATATTTGTTATGAAAGGAAGAAGGCAACTTGAGGGTTTGAGAGAACTTAATCTCACCAAGACATGAATTAGGAGTGGCAGATATCTTCAACTCTAGGTTCATAACCTAAGGACAGACAGCTGTTTGGGCATTTGCTCTTGGAACTCCTGCCCTCAGTAAACACATTTGATGTTCATTCATGGTCTTTTGGTTGTGAATACTCAACCATCTGTTAGTATGGCATGGTGCCTGTTTACAAGTTGGTAAGCCTGTTCCACTAGGAAATGGGTGCCAAGTAAGCGTTTGGTTGGGTAGCTCTGTAAGTCTTGCACTGCAGTTGCTATAACTAGGCTATCCTCTGTGACAAGTATATCTTATTTGTATGGGAAGGTTTATTTTTGTTTCATTTTGTTTACTCTCAGAAGCCTATTTTGTATGTTAACCTTATCTATTGATTTCCTTAAGATAAAGGGTATATATTTAGCATAGCATGGCATGGAAACTTCTTTCTTTCTGTAGATGCTATTCATATATTGTAACATTGTAGAGAAACAATAGACTACTATTTTTTAAAAGAACTATTATCTGTGCATTGAGTAATTTTCCCAGTACAGTTTTGCTGTTTTATACTATTTTAGTTTTATATTGTTATTAGTTTATAGACTCCTATCCAGTATGTTAGAGCTGCATCTATTCTCTAGCAACATTTTAGAACCACCTTTGACTAAGTACATACGTTTAGGTGTTGATTTAAAGAGAAAAATAAAGTAAAACCATATGTTGGTGTAGAATACAATAAAAATAATAGTGAACTCAGTAGTTTCTGTGCTATACTTGAGAGATGATAATGATATAAACAAAATATATTTAATAATTTTCACTTACTTAATTTTTCCTTGTGGCCTTTCAGTTAACTTAGAAAATAGTTTTCTATAAGAAATACAATTCTCAGGTTTCTAATGTTATGATAACTATGAGGAAGGCATTTCATAAAATGCAGCTGTAATAGTTTTTGTTTAGTCAAAATATAAATTCACAACAAAGGATGACTATTTAAAAACATCCAGTATGCCTATTTAAAGTACATGTTATGATCATAAATGTACCTCCTGATTTAGAAATTCATGGTAAAATTGAAAGGAAAGTGATACTACCACTGGTTGGCACAGACTTCATGAGTACTGGTTGGCACAGACTTCATGAGTCAGAAATTATAAAATGAGTGAAGTAGGATCTATCAGAGGCAGTAGAGCAATGCAATGAGCCCATATTAAGTTTTAGATCCAGATGCCATCTGTTAGCAATATCCCTTTGATGAGAAATAAATGAAAATGGACTATGATCCCAACAGCCCACACATTCTACCAGTTTTCTAGAGTTGCTAAAGATTCCAAATACATGTTTGCCAAATTTCCAGGCAAAAATATTTGTTATGATTAGCAAGATTCTGACATAAAATCCCTACATATTACCTTACTGGGTGAAATGTGATTTGTAAGGCATGAGCATTTCATGTCTCTAGTCTTGAGATAGTCCCAAGCAATCAGCTAGTTTGATGATTTACCTAAGTGTAGCCTAACTTATTTTTACTACTGTTTGATAACTGGGAGGCTTCTCCTGCAAATAATTTTTTACACTTTCCTACAAAGAGCAGCAATCTAAAAAGACATCAAATATGGCTTAAGAAAAATCCAGCACAGAGTAGTTCTATTAAATGCCTCTTTACTTCTTAGAAACTCCTTAGTCTAGTATGTGCAATATGTTTTTTCTTAATAACATTTTCTTCTTGACTCCTTTAAAAACTTTTCCACTTCTTGAAATAAAGTAAAATCAGAATAAAATCTTTAGTTCTTCCTAAAATTAGAGACACAATTAGTGAAATATCCAGAGGGTATTATCCTACAGTTGAAGTCTCTTAGCAAATGAAAACTCATATACACTGAAGAAGGACAATAGAGAGATGTCATCAGTGTGAGGAGACAGAAGTGTCAGGGCATGTGTCACAGAAGTTTACATAGGAAATTGGATATAAATAATTGAAATGGTGTTGATAACTCAGAAAGATATTATTTTCAAAAACATATTCATTCAAAAAGGTCATGCTGACGCAACTGTGAGTAGAGTGGGTTCAGGTACACAAAATTAAAATAGAAATTAGTGTTTATGGCATTGAAAGAGGCTACAGAAATGTAAATGTTTATGTAGGTATTCAGTGGAATGATCCCCAACTTATTTTTCTCTTTTTATATTTTTTGCAAAATCTCCAAGAATTTCTTACACCTGTCTTGCAAACTCAAGGCACAGTAATTAATTGGGATTTTTTTCACCTTGTATTATTTGTTTGCTGATTCTTTTACTTATTTATCCCTTCCATTGATCTCATGTCTGATTCAAGAAATTGGTTGGAGTTGGAGGAAGGATTTGTACAAAGATCAATGAGACACAAAAGAGATATTTTTAATATGTAGAGGACAACAAACCAGTCAGCTTGCTAGGGCTTCCCTAACAAAATACCACAAACTGGATGGCTTACACAACATGAATTTATTGTCTCACGATCAGCAAGTCAGAATCAAGATAAAGGTATTGGCAGGGTTGGTTCCTTCTGGGGGCTGTGAGTAAGAAATCTGTCCCATGCTTCTTTTCTACCTTCTTCTTGTTACTTGCTCTACGTCTTTGGTGTTCTTTGTCATATGCTTCAATATCCTAATTTCTTCCTTCATTTTCACATGGTGTTTCTCCTGTGTGCATGTATATGCTCCAATTTCTCTGTTTTATAAGGACACCAGTCTGGATTACGAGTCTGCCCTACTCCAGTGTCACCGCATCTTAGCTAATTAGATCTAGGTAAATCTAATTCATCTTTTTGAAAAAAATAAGTAATCATTGAAATATTTGAAAGGAAGAAGTCAAAATAATCAGAAAGTTTTATGCAATACTAGAGGAAAAGGAAAATTGGTATGGTTCCTTTTAGATTGAAAATAAATATAATTTGTAATATCAGTAATATTTATAGTCATATTCATATTCATGCAGATACTTTTTATTTTTGCATAATGCAAATATCGCCTTGGGTAAGGCAATTCATGTTCATTCTCCAAGTGCCCAAGTAAGCATTACTCCTCTTATTGTCCTGGAGTAACTCTGAAAAAGAAAACAGGTGGGACTAGTCTCAGTCACTGGGAAAATTTATTGGCCATATAGTATCTACTACTCTTTGGAAATTAATAGAATTCCAGTGCAAATTGTATTACATTAGAGACATTTGCCAAAAATTATATGAGCTCCAGTATTCTACGTTCTTCCTAATTTTGACCCTCACTCATCACCAAGAACAAAGCAAAACATAACTAAAGTGGTAGGCGTACAGCCTTTGATGCTTATTAGATCTGAGGGCTGCACTTTTTTTTTTAACATTTTTGGACAGACTCTTTAGCACCAATGCCTACATAAAGGAATATTGTCTGGTTTCTTAACTGAGAAAGATGAGAAACAATGTACATCCTCTAAATAAGGATTTGCAGCAATGAAGAGAAGAAGATGAAAATTCTTAGAGTTAGCTAGTCATAAAGAATGGCATAGGTGCACAATTAAAAGTTTTCTGCACCTCAGAGTTTCCTCAAATTCAGTCTGAATACTAGGTTTTTTTTGGTTTATATTATGACCCAGTAACATCAACCTTCTACAAACTTAGCACATTTAATATTCTTCAATCCAAATTCATTTGGAATTTATTTCCAGTTGATGAATATCTTTATATTTAGCTTTTTTTTTCCTATTCTTGCCATCTTGAATTATAGGCTTTTCTCTAATATCTGGTTATCCTCTAGCAAATACTAGCTATTGTAAGTATTTTGCTTATATTTTTATTTTCTTTGTATTTAAAATTTAATTATCATATCCTTTTGAAATCTCTGTTATATGAAGTTTCCCTAATTATCAAAAGCAAAGCAATACAAATAAACAAAAGGAAAACATCAAATTGAAGTGAATGCAATAAATATATATATGATAAAGATTATATGCTATATAAGAACGCATAATAATTGATGAGAACAATGGACATGTCAAACATATAATTGGAAAATAATATCTATAAGAATAATTTCCCCCAAAATAATATTAATTATTTTGTGTATACTTGCAATGTATACATATCAAGTGCTTACTTTATGAAGGAATTTAAACTCCATTCTAGAGATATAGTGATGATGAAAGCAAACAAAACCCTTGCTTTCATGAAACTGTAGGCCTAGCAATAATGACAACCTTAAAAAAATTGCTATATTATTTAAATGCCAACATGACATGAATAATGAAATAAGATGAGCATCTATAAGAATATTGAACTTAGGTGATACTAGTGAAGTGATTTTAAGTATAAACCTCACTAGGAAGTAGGAAAAGTTGAGTTGATACAGAGGAAGAAATAGGTGCAATGTTTTGGGGACAAAAAATATTTTTAAAAATGTAAGAAATAAAGGACAATACAGCGGAAGACTGAGATAGGGCTAAAAGTGTAAAAACACAAGTCAGGAAGAATTTATGTGTGGCAGAATGTATTATTTGCTCAGAGTTCATAATTTCCTCTCTTCCTTTGTTGTTATTCAATGTGAGTGGGGTAAAATTGTTGTCACTAAGCATGGCTGTGTGACTTAGTTTAATCAATCTAATATACACGAGGTGAGAGAGAGAAAGTTCTGATTCCAAGGTTTTGCTTTGTTTTGTTTTTTTGGGACAGAGTTTTGTTCTTGTCGCCCAGGCCGGAATGCAATGGCACAATCTCGTCTCACTGCAATCTCCTCTTCCCAGGTTCAAGCGATTCTCCTCCCTCAGCCTCCCGAGTAGCTGGGATTACAGGTGCCTGCCACCATGCCTGGCTAATTTTTTTTGTATTTTTAGTAGAGACAGGGTTTCACCATGCTGGTCAGGCTAGTCTTGAACTCCTGACCTCAGGTGATCCACTTGCCTCAGCCTCCCACAGTGCTGGGATTACAGGTGTGAACCACCATGCCTGGCCCTGATTCGAAGTTTTAAGAGGCCCCTGTTGAGCTTCGGATGCCTGTTTGTACTGACAAACACACAGCCATGGCTTCTTCAGCTCAGAGCTAGGGTGAAGACTCCTGGATCTAACGCTGATCAGAGCACAGCCTAGCAGATAAGGACAGCCAAAAGAAACCAAACTACTACCAACCTACAAACCCATGAGAATAAAATTGATGATTATTGTTGGAATCCACAGAGATTGGTGGTTGTTTACTATGCAACAGTGTAGTTTCTGGCTATTTGTGTTTTATTTTTTATATCTTATAGTCTATTAACATATCTCAGGATTATTAACAAAATCTTTGGATTGTTGAATCATGTTAAACTTAACATGTTTAATTACCTTAAATTCTCTTACCTCTACCTTAAATTCTCTTACCTAAAAATTGCCATCTTTATTATTTTGAGTCTCTCAAACAATCCAAGAATATAGTTGGTCTTTTCATTTATTCAAGTTTCCTTTTGAGCAATTTGGTAGTAATTTATTTATTTTTCATATTGTTATCATTCCTTTTATAAAGTATGTTCCTTAGTATTTAATCTTTAATCATGTTTTTGTTATTGTATTTGGTATTTATATAAAACTCTTTAGTGAAACATGGATCAAAAGCAGAAAAAAGTTGATTAATACAGATTTGTGTATATGACTTTATTTCTTCTAGCTGTAATTTTATCTTTTTAGAGTTATGAGTAAAGTCTGATTATCTAAATAGTTTGGGGAATTATTTGTACAGCTATGAAGTAGTTGCAGGTTCAAATGAATAAACATGAATAATTTAATCTGTTCTCATAATATAAGTGAAAATGTAATTAAACAATGCTATTTAGAAAAGTTTTTGGTGGATTCAGAGATACATTGATTAATTTAATAAAAATGCTGAATGCATTTATGTATTACATGTACATGTGCACAATAGTATACATTTTTAAAAAGTAACTCATCAGTTATTATTAAGAGCCAGGCAAATTTTTATACCTTTTACTAGATGTATTACCATATTCAGTTAAACCTCATTTCCCTCTCAGGCTTTTGGCCACCTGTGGCTACCTCCTCATTTTGTAGCACATTTGATTATCTTGGCTGCCTTACTGTGGGTGCTAAGCCCCTTGCATGACTTCTGTGGGGTCCACTATGATGGAAACCACAGCATAGTCAATGCTCAGTTCCTACTCAACAAGTCTCATTAGGGTGCTGGCTTGCACCATTTCTAAATGCAAGTAAAATAGCATCAGAGAATCCTGGATTCTTAGGCTTCTGGCAGAAGGACTAGTTGATATGTACTAGAAATATGAGGAAGTTAACACTTCATGAGATAAACATTGGCCAATGATAAACAGAAAAAGGAAAAAATTTGCAGAAAAAAATTATCTTCTTTCCTCCCTCTGATGGACTATTCCATGGCCCAGTGCTTCCATATGGCCTGTTCAGAATGCCCTATATGATCAAGACACTAGTTATCTTTTCATTTGAAGTAACATATCACCTTGTATTCGCATGCACTTTTACTCTGCATCACATCCAATTTCCCTCATTTGCTGCCTGGGGATTACAAAGTTGATTAAAGCATTGTCGTGTGAGTTATGCAGCAAACTTTCGTTATTTTTCTTAGCGAACCAAGGCTAAAACATCTATGAATTTTCAAATTCTTCTCATTAGTAAAAAGACAGTTTTATGCATAAAAGCTATTCTTTTATCATAACTTGTAGAACAATTAGATAATTAGAGGCATATTAAAAGCCTAACAGCGACAAATATTTTAACTATTTTTTGGTCTATATGTTGAGATTTTTCTCATCATTAAATTTATTATACATAAATTTAGAAATAATGTAATGAGGAAATTAGGTAATGTTAGTGAAACAAGCTAAACAGAGAATTGTTTATACATTGATTTCAAAATGTAAACAAAATTTAGTAGTTATAATTTGGTGAAGATATGCACAAATATTAGATTATTTTCTTATACGAAAGATGTTTATTATTTATATCTTTCTTGCTCTTGTAATCCACGCAAAGCAAATTTTATTTGTAATATATTCAGTAATAATTCTCTAATTTATCAGAATCTAAACCAAACTTGCATTTGTCTAGTTATGTCATATGAGAAATATGTATGTGGTAAACACTTTGAAATTATTTTCTGAAAGTTTTGGGTAAAATTCTTAACACTGCATAAAAATGCAAAGTAATACAATGTTCTAGAGGCATGAAAACAGCTTTGTTCTATAAACTGGAACAAGCCTTCAAGGCTCAGAAACCAGGCATTTTTACTATGATTAAGAATATGAACCAATTCATAAAATGCAACTAACTCTAAAGTCATAAACATTAATCTTCAAAATGAAAGCCCGGAGTACACCAAAGTAGGAATAAATATGTAAAAATATAAAGTATAAAATTCTAAATAAAGTTTAATTATATTGTATACAGCTGCTTATATATTATTCTATATAATTTTTCATAGAAATATTAGTATTCCTTAATTTTAATGTTAAACAAAATTTAATTTATTAATTATAACATAAATTTCAAAACTTATTAAGTTCAAAAATATAATTCTTATTATAGTAAATGCTGTAATGTCAATACTTAGCACCATATTATTCTACAGCAAAGGTTTCTGATACTCTCTCATCTGTAATTATTCTATATATATAATTCCAGATGTTCTGACTGTGTGACATAAATTATATAAAGGAAGCATTGACAAGATGGTTATTTTCAACTCTAAAATATGAAGATTATTAAGTGCTTTTCTTAGGCACTCCAAACTTTTTTATTAGATCATGCTCCATACTTTTACTGGTAGATTTCTCAGTAGATGATAAACATTGTCATGATTGGTATGCTTAAATGTTCCTGTAGGGATTATGTGTGATCAAAATCTTCACAATGTGTGATTTACTGAAAATAACCTTTTGTTTTGGAGTAGAAACTGTTACTTACAAGATTTTCTAGGTTTTGTACAGCCGAAGAGTTTTATCGCATGACTTATTTTTCTTTCCTTCACTTGAACAATGACCACTTATAATAAGGATTCCTATTCAACACACTGATGGCCACATCTAAAAACATAGAAGCCAATCAGTCAAAAAATACAAAATTTTAAATTACCAAATATCACATTATCATCTGTGCTTCCCTTTCTCTCTCTGTCTGTCACTCACTTGCTCTCTCTCTCTGTCTCATAAGCATAAAGACTGAAATCCTCAATTACTCACCTCTGTGCTTCAAGGCAATTGTTGAAGAGCAAATATTCGTCCGGGCGCGCTGGCTCACGCCTGTAATCCCAACACTTTGGGAAGCCGAGACGGGCGGATCACGAGGTCAGGAGATCGAGACCATCCTGGCTAACACGGTGAAACCTCGTCTCTAGTAAAAATACAAAAAATTAGCCGGGCGAGGTAGTGAGCGCCTGTAGTCCCAGCTACTCCGGAGGCTGAGGCAGGAGAATAGCGTGAACCCTGGAGGCTGAGCTTGCAGTGAGCCGAGATTGCGCCACTGCACTCCAGCCTGGGCGACAGAGCGAGCCTTCTCTTAAAAAAAAAAAAAAAAAGCAAATATTCAAACACATGATAGATAGATGGCGGACTAGATACAGGTAGAATATGGTCCTCCACTAAAAGGAACGAGAATAGTAAGTAGGTACTCACATTTCAAACAGATCTGCTAGGATTCACAAGAGAAATGACAGGATGCACCAGAAGTAAGTAAGGAGAGTGTTTGAGGCAGCTTACTTGGCAAGAGACTGGCTGAGACCAGCGAAAGGCTCCTGCATGTGGGACATTAAGAGAGAAACCCTCATGTTTCCACAGTTCAAAATAGACTTTTACGATCAGCTATGGGAGATAATCTCAAATCACTAGGGCCTCTGGCCTGACATACGAAGTTACACTGAGACATTGCTCCAGTAAGGAAACCCACACGGAATCCCGCAGGCATCCAAGCCTCAAGCAGTTTCAGCTGGGTGTTATTTTGAAAGCCTAGATACTGGGGATCTACAGACATGGCTGCTGCTGCTGCATTGATCCAAGCAGGGAGAAAAAACACCGGGCACACCCATGAAACCCTGGGAGGGTCCCCATCACCCTGCTGCAGGCTGCAGTTGAGACTGAGTCATGAGAGGACCACACTCCCCACAGCTTTTTCCCCAGGCTGCTAGCCTAAGAGGATCCCTGCCCTCTCTGTTCCCAGGCCCAAGGCACCATTTTGAGAGTTTAATGCTGGGTTGTGTCCTGCCTCCAGGCTGAGTTCTGGCTGATGCAGCTGCAGCTGCTGCTTAGTTGAGGAGGGACAAGGAAAGAAGGCTCTCTGACACGTATCTGGGACAATACCCACCCCCCTGTTATGGGCTGCCATGAGAACAAAACTCAAGTAGACCGCACTAGGCACAGCTTCTTGCTCATGCTCCTAGCCTGAGGCGGTCCTAACCACCTTGGTCACGGCCCACAGCTGGCATCATTTTGAGAATTTAATTCTGGGCTATGCCTCATCCTTGTGCCAAGTTTGAGGTGATGCAAGCTGAAGTCACCACCCAGATTAGGGACGACCAAGGGAGGGACAAGCTCTTCTAAGCATATTTTGGATAATACCCACCTCCCTTATACAGGAGGTTGTAGGACTGAGGACTAGCTGACCCAACTCATCACAGCTACCAGCAACAGCAACATCTTCACCTTGGACGTGTTGCTCCACCACCGTTAGAGCTTCAGCTCTTTTCAGGGAACCCACCTACATATATGACTCACGAATTTTACTAGTAGCTTCCAAGCAAGCCACCTGGAGGCCCAAGAACCAGCCCTCTTGGATCTACTCATTTGCAAATCAGCATAATCTGATCTGGGGCCTAACAACAGGCACACTCAGGCCACTGTTGTCACCACTGTGTTCTGAAAACAATCTCAGATGGTGCCCAAGTTCTCAGCAAAATTTAACCACAACCTAAACTAATAACTGCACCTTAAGCCACCAAGGAAATCACACATACCACTGAACCTGGGTACTGCTGAAGAGGTCATACAAAAGTCACAACTCTGCAGGCAACAAAAATCAAAGCCAAGCTATCTTACTCAAACAACAAAATAGAAGTCTTGTAAGGAAAATATTGTCCTCTACAAAATCATTTTCAAAAAATTAAAATAAGAAACTGCTATACCAGATACACAGGTATCAACGGAAGGACATGGGAATTATAAAAAAGCAGGAAGATATGACACCACCAAAAGACTACAACAATTCCCCAGCAAAAAATCCTAACAACAAAAAATTCCTCTAAATGCCACATAAAGAATTTGAAATACTGGTTTTAAAGAAGCTCAAAGAGATGCGAGAAAAATCTGAAAACCAATATAAAAAAATAAGAAAATCGGTTCAAGATATAAACAAGAAATATAGCAAAGATATCTTTAAAAACAAAGACTATGCAGAAATCCTGAAACTAAAAATTTAATGAAGAAAATACAAAATGCGTTCTAAAGCTTTAATAATGATCTAGACCAAGCAGAAGTAAAAAAAAATCTCATAATTTGAAGACAGGTCTTTTTAATTAATCCAATCAAACAAATATAAGGAAAAAGAAATAATGAACAAAGATGTTGAGAAGTCTGGAAGTATATAAAGTGACTGAACTTATAAATTATGAATATTCTTGAGGTGGAAGAGATATCGACATTTAGAAATCTTATTTAGGATAATAATCAATAAAAACTTCCCAAGTCTAGCAAGAGAGTTAAGCATTTAGTTATAGGTGGCCCTGCAATCACCAGGAAATGTATTGCAAAAAGGACTTCACTATAGCATATTATATTAAGAATGTCTAAAGTCAAGGTGAAAAGAATAATTTTAAAATTTGCAAGAGGAAAGCATCTTACATCTATAAAGAATATCCCATCAGACTAACAGCAGACATTTCAGCAGAAACCTTACTAGCCAAAAGAGATGGCATTTTCAAAGTCCTAAAATAAAAAATCTTTTAGCCACGAATTTTAGTCCAAGTCCTGCCAGAATAACCTGCATAAATGAAGAAGAAATAAAGTCTTTCCGAGACAAGCAAATGCAGAGGGAACTTGTCATCACTAGACTGGCACTACAAGAAATGCTCAAAGGAGCCTTAACATAAAAACAAAAGGTTGATATTCACCATTAAAAAAACACACACAAAAATATAAAACTCACAAGCCTTATAATACAATCACACAGAAGAGAAGTAGAAGGGAATCAAATGACAATACAACAGAATTTCATCAAACCACAAAGTCAAAATGACAGAAAAAAGAGACAAAACTTTGCAAAACTACTGAAAACATTAACCTTATAAAAGGAACAAACCCACACATATCAATATTAGCCTTGAATGTAATTGGATTAAATGCTCCACTAAAAACACAATTGAAATAATAAATTTAAAAAACTTGATTCCACTATACTGCTGCTCGCTTACAAGAAAATCACCTTAACCATAAAGACACATTTAGAGGGAAAGTAAAAGAGTGGAAAAATATATTCCATGCAAATGGAAATTATAAATGAGAATAAATGGCTATATGTATATCACATAAAACAGACTGTACACTAATAACAGCAAAAAAAAGAAGACTAAGGTAATTATATAATGATGAAGGGATCAGTTAATCAAGGAGGTATAACTATCCTAAACATATATTTTCAGTCAACATCAGAGCACACAAATTTACAAAACAAACCATACTAGCCATAAAGAAATAGCTAGGCTGCAACACAATAATAGTGGTGGACTTCAACTCCCTACTCACAGCACTAGGCAGATCATTGAGAAAGAAAATCAGTAAAGAAACATTTAACAAAAATTGGACTTCAGACTAAGTGGACTTAGAAATTTAAAGAACATTATATTCTACAACTAGATACCATATATTCTTTTCAGTAGCACATAGAACATTCTCCAAAATAGACCACATGTTAACCACAAAACAAGTCTTAATATATTTTACAAAACTAAAATCATATCAAGTATCTTCTCAGACCACAGTGGAATAAAACTAGAATTCAACAGCAAGAGGAAATTCAAGAACAACACAAATACATGAAAATTAAACACCATGTTCCTGAATGATCACTGGGTGAATAAAAAAATTAAAATGGAAATTTAATTTTTTTTTGAAATGCAGACTAATGAAAAAAACAGCAAAACAAATCCTACATACAGCAAAAGCAAGGTTAAGAGAGAAGTTTATAGCATTTAATACTTACATTAAAAAAATAGATTGTAAATTAACAACCTAGCATCACACCTTGAGAAACTAGAAAAATAAGAACAAACCAAACCCAAAGTTAGCAGCAGAAAAGAAGTAACAAATATCAGAATAGAACAAAATGCAATAGAGCCACCCTTCCCCCCCAAAAAAATACAAAAAAAAAAATGAAACTAAATGTTGATTCTTTGAAAAGATAAACAAAATTTATAAACCACTAACTAGATTGAGCAAGAAAAGAAGAGAGACGATCAAAATAAGCAAAATCAGAAATGGAAAAGTGGTATTACAACTGATACCACAGAAATACAAAAAAAATCAGAAACTATTATGAACTATGTGCTAACAACTAGAAAACTTAGAGGAAATGAACAAATTTCTAGAAAAATAAAACCTCCTGAGATTGAATCAGGAAGAAATCAAACTCCTGAATAGACCAATAATGAGAAGTATAATTGAATCAATAATGAAAATATCTCCCAAGGAAAAAAGTCTCAGGGCTAGATGGATTCACATCCAATTTCTACCAAAATACAAAGAAGGGCTAACACCAATTCTTCTGAAATTATTCCAAAAAAAAAAAAAATTCGGAGGAAGGAACTCTCTCTACTCTTTCTACCAGGCAAGTATCCCCTGACACCAAAACCTGACATGGAAACAGCAACAAAAAAGAAAACTACAGACCAGTATCCCAGTTTAACATAGATGAAAAAAATACTAAATGAAATACTAGCAAATCAAATCCAACAGTACATCAACAAGATAATACACCATGATCAAGTGGGATCTATCCAAGAGATGCAAGGGTGGTTCAACATACACAAATCAATAACTGTGATACATGACATAATCAGAATTGAGGACAAAATCCATATGATTATCTCAATAGATACAGAAAAAGTGTTCAATAAAATTCAGCACCTCTTCCTGATAAAGAATTCTCAACAAACTAGCCATTGAAGGAACATACCTTAACATAATAAAGGCTATATACAGAAATCCACAACCAACATCATACTTGATTGGGAATGCTTGAAAGCATTTCCTCTAAGAGCTGGAATGAAACCAGGGTGTCCACTTTACCACTCTTTAACATAATACTGGAAGTCCTTGCTGCAGCAAATAGGCAAGAGAGGAAAAATAAAAGGAATCTAAATTGAAAAAAAAGGATGTCAAATTATTTCATTCATAGATGATATGACTTTATATCTAGAAAGCTCTAAAAACTCTACCAACAAACCTTCAGATTTGATAAATACATGTTGTAAAGTTTCAGGATAGATGCAAAACTAATGTACAGAAATCAGTAGCATTTCTCTACACCAAGAATTATTTAACCAAAGACCAAATAAAGAAAGTAATCCCATTTACAATAGTTACGAAAAATATAAAATACTTAGATACTTAGCCTAGGAAAAGACAAATATCTACAAGGAAAACTAAACAATACTCAAGAAAGAAATTGTAGATGACAAAAACAAATGGAAAAAGCTCCTATGCCTATAGATCAGAATAATTAATATCATTAAAATGAAAATACGGCCCAAAGCAGTTTACAAGTTTAATGCAATCACTATCAAAATACCAACCTCATTTTTCACATCTTAGAAAAAATAATTTTCAAGTTCATTTAAAACCAAAAAAGAGCCTGAATACCCAAAGAAATCCTAAGCAAAAAGAAGAAAGCTGGAGACTTCACATTGTCTGACTTCAAATTATACTACAAGGCTATAATATCCAAAACAACATGATACTTTTATAAAAATAGACACATGGATTAATGCAGAAGAATAGAGAAACTGGAAATAAGACCACATACTTTCAGCCTACTGATCTTTGAGAAAAGTGTGAAGAACATACACTAAGGAAAGACACACTTTTCAATAAATGGTGCTGGGAACATTGGATTGCCATATGCAGAGGAATGAAACTGGACATGTATCTCTCATCATATACAAAAACAACTCAAGGGTGATTAAAGATTTGAATGTAAGACCTAAAATTATAAAAATACTAGAAGGTAACCTAGGAAACCTGTTTTAGACATTGGTCTTGGCAAAGAATTTATGGCTAAGACGTCAAAAGCACATGAAACAATAATAGATAAATAGAACTTAAACTAAAAAGCTTCTGCACAGCAAAAGAAATAATCACCAGAGTGAACAGTCAACCTTTGAAATGAGAGAAAGTATTTCCACACTATGCATCTGAAAGGGGACTAATATCCAGAATTTATATTTAAAAAATCAAACAACAAAAACCCCCAAATCATTTTATTAAAAAGTGTGTTAACATAAATGAACATTTTCCAAAAGAATACAAACAACTGACTGAAAAGTATATGAAAAAAATGTTGAACATCACTAATCATCAGAGAAATGTAAATTAAAACCACAATGAGACAGCATCATCACCAATCAAATCGCTATTATTAAAAAAGACAAAAAATACAGGTTGGAGAGGGTATGGATAAAAAGAAACACTTATACACTATGAAAGGGAAGGTAAATTAGTGAAACCTCCTGGAATACAGTATGAAGATTTTGCAAACAAGTAAAAATAGAATTACTGTATGATCCAGCAATCCTAGTAATGAGTATCTACCTAAAGGAAAATAAATCATTATATCAAGATCCCTCATCATGTTTATTGTAGCATTATTCACAATAGCAAAAACATGGAATCAACCTAACTGACCATCAATGGAGGACTGGATTTAAAAAAAATGTGGTATGTATACATGTTTATAGCCATAGGAAGAATTTAGCCATAAGACTATTTAGCCATAAAAAGAATCAAATCATATCTTTTGCAAAACCTGGCTGAACTGGAGGCCATTGTCTTAAGTGAAACAACTTGGTCACAGAAAAGCAAATACTGCATGATCTGACTCATAAGTGAAAGCCAAATAACGTGTACACATGGAAGCTGAGTTTGAAATGATGGATAATGGGAACTCTGAAGTGTGGAGGAGTGGGTGTGGTGTGAACGATGGGAGGTTACTTGGTGACTACAATATGCCTTGCTCCTGTAATGGATATACTAGAGGTCTTGACTTTACAATAGAGCAATTTAACAATGTAGCAAATTTGCTATTGTACCCCATGAATATATACAAATTTAAAAAAAATTAAATCAAATTCATTCTTTAAAATAATATCAACTTAAATTTTACATTCAAGGGGTATATGTGCAGCTTTGTGACATGGGTACATAGTGTGATGTTGAGGTTTGGAGTACAATTAAGATTTTTTTCTTTAGCTTTGACCTTGGATAGTCTGGTGACGTTGGTGATATTTGTTTTACATAGTAACATGCAAGTATTCTCTGGATTTCTTGTATCTGGATATCTACATTTCTTGCAAGATTAGGATAATTTTCTTAAATTATTCTCTCAAATATTTTTTTTAGGTTGTTTACTTTTTCACATTCTGTCTCAGGAATGCCAATAATTCATGTTTGGTCACTTTATAAAATCCCGTATTTTGAAGACTTTCTTCATTCTTTTCTCTTTATTTTTGTCTGACTTTGTTAGTTTGAAAGAGCAATATTCAAGCTCTAAAATTCTTCCTTCAGCTCAGTCAAGTCTACTGATAACTTTTTCAATTGTATTTTGAAATTCATTAAGTAAATGTTTTCAATGCTGAAGGCGTGATTGATTTCTTTTTAAGATGTTTATCTCTTCCTTCATTTCCTGAATTGCTTTAGAAGTTTCTTTGTGTTTATTTTCATCCTTGTCCTGGATTTCACTGACCTTTCTTTCTCCATACTTTGAATCCTTTATCTGTCATTTCTGAGTTTACATTTTTATTACGGACCATTACTGGAGAGTGTGATTATTTGGTTTGCCACTACTTTCAGATTTTTCAAGGTGCTGAAATACTGCTGGTTCCTTCTCATCTGGAGACTCTGGCACTTCTAATTCTTGTTATATTTCATATGGGAGAATTTTTTTCTTTTTCTTTCTTTCCCTGTAATAATAATCTTATTATTATTATATTTCTTTCCCTTTCTATGTTCCTCCCTCCCTAGGGGGTTTGACTGTAGAGAATAATGGTTAGAGTCTTTGGACTTGGCTTCTCTAGCCTTATGCACTTCTGTCAGCAGGTTTCACATTGGACTGTCTGATTCAATCTATAAACAGGTAGATGGCCCTTATGGGTAAGATCCAGCTGCAGCCAACATGATTAGATATATACTTGATTCTTGTTTACTGGGAAAAGCTCTCATTGCCTCAGACAATGGACTGATCCACCAAGTGCACAGTGGTCTAAGCTCCCTACTTAGCCCTAGGGGAGTAAGAGGCAAGATAGACAGAGCTGGACATGGGTATGGATGCCTACAGTTCCTCTTATGGCAGGCACATGCACAAGTACCAAGGGAATATCCAGTGGGTGGCCACCAAGCACCCAGCAGTATGCCTATGCATGGATCTGGGAAACCTCTTTGACCCCAAGTTCTCTTCATGGGGAGATGGAGCAGCCTAAACTCCTAATTCAGGATAGTGTGCGCTCCAGATTCCTGGAGATCTGCCTGGCTGCAGATTGGAGAAGGTCCTGCTCCACTATGACTTCTGCACAGGAAGGGTGGGTCAGCGCAGGCTCTTGATTCAGGAGAATGTGTACTCAGACTGCTTGGATATCTGCCTGAGCATTGAGTGATGAAGGCCCAACTGTGCTGTAATCTCTGCATAGGAAGGGTGGGGTAGCTTAGGGTGCTGGTCTAGGCAAGCAGGTTCTCCAAATGCCTGGTGATATGCTTGGTTGTGGAGCAGGGAGGGTACCACTGCACCACAATCTATGCCCTGGAAGGATGGGACAGCTCAGGCTGCTGAACCAGATGAGTGGGTTCCTGGAGATCTGCCTGGGCATGAAATGGAAGAGACCTGCTTGTATCAGGATGTCTGCACAGGAAGGGCAAAGTGACTCAGGCCTCTAGTTCATCCAAGCAGGTGCTCTGAATGGCTCAAGATCTGCTTGTCTTGTAGTCGTAAGGGCTGCAGTCTACCATGATCTATGCACAGGAAGGTTGGGGAAGATCAGGCTCTTCCAGGTGAGGGGATTCTCTGAATGCCTGTAGATTGACCTGGGCATGGAGCCAACAGGGCCCTGCTGTACCATGATCTCAAGGGAGTAGCTTGGGACACCCAGCAATGACACATACAGACAACTTTTAGGTTGCCCAGCTGGCCTTGGATGCACATCTCACCACTAAGGAGAAACTGCAGCTGCAGCAGCTCCCCTCCAGCCTCGGTTCTGCAATGGGGAAAAGCACAATTTCAGCACTTACTGCTGAGGTGCCTTCCACCGTTCTGGCCAAGAAGGCCCCTATCCTGCTCCAGAACAAGTGGTCCAATCTCTGGCCCAAGCCTGAAATGCCTGCATGCCATGCTGTCAGGTCATCAAAGAATGACTGACTTTGCATGCACCTGAATTGCAAATGGTGTCCTGCTCTTGGTCTCTGGTCTTGGAAAATGCCTGCAGCTTTTCCCTCTTTGTCTTTACGTCTCAGTATCCCTAGGCCTCTCCCCAAGTTAGTGCCAGGGCTTGGGAGAAATAAAATGTTCTTCCTCAACCTGGATTTCTCAGATCCCAAGTGGAAAGGTAAATCACAGAGAGAGGCTCTCTGCTTCTCTTACATATGAGTCCTTCACTCAGTTTTATCAGCCAGACACAATCAAGGAAGCTGTTTGCCTACATGCTCCACCCTAGGATCAGGGATGTCCGTAATGATTCTGGTGGATTCCCATTTTCCCTCTTGAAATAAAGCTCACAGGTTGATCTTTCTGCAGTATCTTGCTATTTCCAGGTGACTCAGGCACACTCAAAGCCTTTATCTATCATCTTGGAAAAACAAAATTAAGTTTTTAAAAAACAAATATTGAGGAAAAATAATAGTTTTATCTACTATCCCTGCAAGAATTCTATTTCAGTTCTGTAACTGGACCCAAAGCATAAATTAAGGGATTTAAGTTTTCTGCTTCTGCGAAAAGTAATAGCATTGTTGTGAGGATTTTTTAAGTGACAAGAATAAGAAAAGAATAAAAATGAGTCAACTTAATCGCATTTATTTGTCACATATCAAAATTTGTGACAATCTGGACCTAATAGGCCTGTGCACTAAAACTTTATATATGATTAGTATTATTACCACTTTATAAAGGCCTTAATATTTTCAAAATGCATTCACAGTCATATCCCACCAAATCATATATCGTACATCAATAATCCACAAATTCCTATGGATTACTTTGTGATCTAACACATCTGAATTAAAGTCATAAAATACCTCTAAGATGACTTACAGTAAAGGTTTCCTACATACTTTCTTATTTGCTACCTTATACGATACATTCTTTGTGAGGAGAAACTATATTTTGTTTTTGCCTATGTTAGAGCCAGAGCCTTGTTCTTTGTAGATAACCAGTAGTTTGTAACCAGAGAAATGAATGAATTAACCACTTAAAAGACTATGAGTAAATGAGCCAGCAATCAGGTAAATATGATGAAGTGGGAGAAATTCAATGTCCATATCATGGGAGATTGCCTACAAAAGCAAGAAAATCAAATAATGGTAATGTGTAAGATTAAGAAATATAAAGACATCTTTACATATTTTGGATTTTTTAAGGTAAAAAAATGCACAGCAGAGAATGGTTGACCAATAAGCAAATATTATCTTCCTTTCAAATTAGTCTAAAACGAATTCTGCCGAAGATGAATTCAGGATATAAGTGGATGCAATAATAGTAAGTAACTCACATATGTATGAACTTTATCATTTGAAAAATACTTTATCAAATCTCAAATTGAGTATATGCGTATTCTTATCCAAAAATGTGTCTGGGGCTCCTGGCAGACCTCAAAGGGAAGCCAAGTCAATGAAATTTTTGCCCATGTTCTTAAAGCAAATAAAACAACTCATTATCTAAATCAAATGCTAATTTCAGGTAGAAATTGTATAAAGGACATTGTGCAACAAAACAGACTCTGAAGTTTATTTCTAACATTCACATTGAAGTTGATTTTTCTTATGCTTTCATAGGAACTTTGCGCTTTTTACATTAACTGAAGTAAGATAAAGCTATACCTGTTTTGAGAAAAAAACAAAGGCTTGTATTTCCATAGGCATATTAATATTCCAGACTCACAGATATTTTCTTTCTTTACTTGTAAAGAAACAGCCTCTCTCTGTTTTCATTCAAAAACCTCAATTATTATTTTGCCCCCTGTCTCTGAAAGATAGAAAGCCTGTACCTTTCTTTCTTGTCTTCACTACTTCAGACAGTGACTTCTAGTGAGGTTAGGTGACTTACTAGGGATTACAAAAAAGGTCAAAATTAGAGCAAGAATTTCTGGTCACCCATCTTTCACTTTCTCTTTCAGCCTGAACTCTCACCCACGTACAAAAAAAAAAAAATAGATGTGGTACAAATTCTATCTGATCCCCAAATTTACTTTATAACAGCAGGAGCTATGGGACAAAAATCATTATGGCATCCTTAAGGAAACTGAAGGTCTATCATAGAAAGCAGAATTCAGCAGCGAAAAAGATCAACTAAATTAACCATTTTTAACAAAAGGCCAGTATATCAATTTGTATTGCATTTCTGTAGATGTCTCCAGGATTCCTTACATTTGGTAATTAACTGTGAGAATATTTGATCAAAATGTACCAAAAGAAGTTAACCTCGGCCGGGCGCGGTGGCTCACGCCTGTAATCCCAGCACTTTGGGAGGCCGAGGCGGGTGGATCATGAGGTCAGGAGATCGAGACCATCCTGGCTAACAAGGTGAAACCCCGTCTCTACTAAAAATACAAAAAATTAGCCGGGCGCGGTGGCGGGCGCCTGTAGTCCCAGCTACTCGGGAGGCTGAGGCAGGAGAATGGCGTGAACCTGGGAAGCGGAGCTTGCAGTGAGCCGAGATTGTGCCACTGCACTCCAGCCTGGGTGACAGAGCGAGACTCTGTCTCAAAAAAAAAAAAAAAAAAAAAAAAAGAAGTTAATCTCTTTAGTTATAATTTATCATAGAATTAGATAGTCACCGTGTCTTTTCAGGTTATAATTACCTATGTTTGTATAATGAGGTTTATTCTCTTTCAGATGGTGTATTGATTGATATTCAGAATAGGATAATTTGATTCTACTCTCCCACGTTTATGTTCCCATAAGTAAGAAATTAAATTTAATCTTTTTCAGTTCGCAATCAATATCAGAAATAATAAATAATAAAACATAAATACAGAAAAAAAGTCAAATGCCTAACAACCACAGAATCTTCCTTCTTTAGATTGTAAAATGACTTGTGTAAGAGCTAGTTGCTGCCTTGTTTCAACTTCCAAAAGTTTACTCGTATACATCAAACTGAATATTCATGAAGTGGCTTCCCAGTTAATTGTACATGTGTGGGATTCCTGGCTTTGGACAATAATATATAGATGATTACAAGAGACAGACTGGTTTCTATGATTGTGGAAACACCTATCCTTTTTAGCCATCCTTTTCTCAGAATGTTTGTGCTACTTCAGAAAGGGTTAATTTTTAAAATAATTCTACTGATTATATTACTATTACTGCATTATTGACAATCATAAAGGAGTTAAGGTAAGATTTATCAGTCCAAAATATTTAATTAGTATAGTTGAGTTACTGATTAAAGTCAATGACTAACCAACAATAAATATATCTTGTCAAATAAATGGGCAATTTCCCCCTCTTACTTATCAACTGCATTTGAAATAACTGACTGCTCTTTCTTTCCCTGAACACAATGTTCTCTGCAATGTCGTAAGAGCCTGACTTATTCCTAGTCACTCTCTATTTCCTGAGTTCCAGAGTAGTAAAGCTAATAGTCAATGTATACTATTGAGATGTCTACAAGCATCTCAAGATTTCAGTTGTTGGTTCCCCAACCACCACACACACGACTACTTTACCCTCAGATTGGCTTCACTTGATAAAGCCAAGAATCTAAGAGTAACTTTATTTCATTCTTTTCCTTTACATTTCTTATCCACTGTGTAAGTTCTGCTGGCTCAGTGTCCAAAATATATTCTGATTCAGAGCTCTTATTCTCTTCAGTGTTACAACCCTATCCAAGTTACCATTAGCTCTCACCTGAACTCTTTACTGCAAGTCTCTATACTGAACAACTTGACTCCACTCCTGCCCTACACGATTCAACTTCACAAAATAAAATAAATCCTATGTTCACTGTTCAAATATTTAAAATCCAATGGTTTCATAGCAATTGTGAATAAAATTGAAGTCATCATGTCATAGAAGGTCTTTCACTAACTACTCCTCATCCTCTCTAAAGTATGGCTCAATGGGCCTTTTTCTGTCTTTAAAAATGACCAAGCACATTTTTATGTGATAGCCTTTGCAATTTCTATTTCTATTTCTTGGAAAGCTTCCACACATCTTCCCATGTCTTTGCACATGTGCATTTTTCTCATTGTTTTCCTCTCAACTCAAATATCAAGAAATCTTTTTCTGATAATCTACCTAGAACAGACTTCAAATATTCTCTGTCATATTGCCGTATTTTACATAATTCAGAAGACTTACCATTTGTAGGTGTTTGGTGAGGGTGGTGGGAAAAATTGTAGAAAGATGCAAATCTTCTTGGAAAGCTTTGGAAAAGGATTTGGTTGAAGGCAGTCAGATTATCTTATCTGGTGCCTGAAAGCTTAGGTTAGATAACAAACGGATGTAAAGAAACTAATCTGGATAAGTTAGTTTACTTAGGCCTCGGAACCTGGCCTTTAATCATCCGCACAGAGGACTGATCTCTCCAGGGTGGCGGGGTGGGGGGTGTGGGGGGTGGGTAACCCACAAGTGTGTTGACTTTGTCATTAAATCTGTTCTAAATAAATGCTCACAGCGCCAGCTCATTAGGGCCATGGCTGCTGATTCTTTACAGCACCATCCTTAGGATCTGTAAGCAGCCCGGGCCCCTAGCCCGCTCTTTCACTGGATACCTGTGTCTGAGTGCATTCCTTCATCTGTCATTCGGCCAGGGTCTGTGGGTTGGACCTGGCAACCATTAATTGTTTTGGATTATATTTAGAGCAGCTGTAGATTTATAGGAAAATTGAGGAGAAGATTCCTTTACATACATAGCCTCCTCCATTATTAACATTCCCCTCTATAGTGGTACGTTTGTTACAAATGTTGAACCTACATGGACACATCATAATAACCTAAAGTCCATAGTTTACATTAGGGTTCACTCTTGGTGTTATACATTCTATGGGTCTGAATGTATAATGGCATGTATCTATCATTATAGTACCATAAAGAATTTCAATTCCCTCAAAAAATCATATTTGTGTCTATGTTTTTGGGTTTTTTTTAAGAATTAAATGTTTCACCACTATTTTCCTAGGTCCTGAAAGAGTATATATAAATATATATTGACTGAATAAATAGAAAAAGTTACTATAAATACATTTTTAAAATTATGTTCCAAGACTACTCCCATAGTCATCTACTGACCTAGCATGCTTCAATGCTGCATTGCTTATTACACTGGAGTAAACAAAAAATTTCTAAGCATCTGTTCCATAAGTCACTCTGTTCTCAGGATAGCAGTTGACCAATAAAAAACAGCTGGAGGAGACACCTTTAGCAGTCCCAAGGCAAATTTGTTTCTATTTCATTAACCCCAAGAGGTTTAAATCAGCCCAAGGACATGCCTAAACACTCAGTTTCAAGAATTTCTGCTCCCTCCAAAGTATCAAGTTCTGAAAGAGTAACTGAAGTCACTCAGTATAATCTAGGTTTGGATGGAGTATTTTAATTAAAAGAACTTTGATTTCCAGACCCAAAAGTTTCTGGCACAAAGAAAAATAGAATGGTAAGTTAACAATTGTGTTTTTTTTAATTTCATATAATTCTTGAAGAAGGAATATTATTAGTTTGTTTACTTGGAGGAGAGTATTTACTTTTGCTTGCTAAACATTACTTAATGAAAAATCACATCGTTACTTTGATGAATATTAAATATTTGAGATATAAAAGACAGAGTTCAGGTAGTTAAAAAAGACTTAGGTCCAAATCACATGAGTAATGTTGAACAATAATTTCACTTAGAGCTCTACGCTCATAAATGTCACCATATGTTTTAAATTCATTCTGTTTCTCCCTGATGAGTAACTCATTACCTCCTGAAGAAGTCCAATTCAACCTTTAAACAGCTCTAACCTATAGAATGTTCTCTGGACAATTATAATATGATGAATTTTAACTAGAAACTGCCTACGTTTTATTTCAGTATAAACATCTGTAAGAGAGGTCTTTTAGTATTTTATTCCTAATTTTATAAAATCATAATTTCATTCAATGTGAAAGGGATTTCTGGAAAAGGAAAAAGAAGAATTTAAAAATATTTATGTAAACAACAAATATCTGGCAAAAGATGTCTCCCTGTTTGCTACTTCAGATCATATGGCAGTCTGAAATACTGATTTTAAGGGTTATAAAGGTATAATATAAAGGAAGATATAATTTGAACTGTAATATAGTTTAAACAATAGAATTAGGAAAAAAAGTTAAATTACCTCATTTTTTCCTATGAGTTAAAAGAAGTACACCAAAATATAATAATAATAATGGAGACACAAATCATTTACCTAATTGCCAAGTCTAGTTAGAAGTTTTGCTGAATTCCAGTGCTTATGACATTGGGATGAATAAAATAATTTAAAAATATTTAATTTTAAGCATAAAGAAAAGTCTTTCTTATGTTTCTTCTTGCACATTTAAATCTACATTCCTGACCCCTCTTCCATGATTCAGTCATTGTATTTCAACTCTAGGTTGAAAGTGTTCACTTAGACATACCAAAAGTTCTTTCACTATGGCTGATTTTGCTAGCAACGATATATTCATTATGTATTATTATTTCCATAAAGAAGCTTTATTTTCTATTTCCTCAACAACAGTTGTAGACAAACCCATTATTGACTGAAAAGCCTTTGTCATGGTAGTTCCCTCCACCAATAATGCCGTAAACTAAACCTCTTTTCTCGTATCTATCTGATATATTTTCCCCAGTGGACATTTTGTTACCCCTTTCCTAGTCTTTTGTTTACTATTTGAAAAGACTCAGCTTGATCCTCAATTTCTTGGGAGTAAGATTCTTGTTCTCCTTTTCCTCTCAGAGACATAGTGAGTCACCTCTTCTCTTCTCTTCTCTTCTCTTTTCTTCTCCTCTCTTCTCTTCCCTTCTCTTCTCCTCCCTGCCTCTCCTCTCCTCTCCTCTCCTCTTCTCTTCTCTTCCCTTCTCTTCTCCTCGCCCCTTCTCCTCTCCTCTCCTTTTCTCTTCTCTTCTCTTCTTTGTCTTCTCTTCTCTCCTCCTCTTTTGCTTCAAAACATACTTCTACCCTTTCCATTGCTACACCGAAGGGATATTGTGTGAATTTCATGTCTCCCAAAGGGGCATCGTGTCTTCTTAATCATGGTTTCCTACCATTCACCATATTCCTGGTACATTATAGGTACTCAAAAAAGATTTTGTGAGGAAATTCATAAATGAATGAGTCAATAAAATGAACAAATAAATAGATTATCAACTAGGTTTCTTATCTTCCTGATTTTATCCTCCTGCCCATTCTGCAGATATTTCTGCAAAATTGGAGGACGTTGAGAGCAAGTTTCTCTTTTGTAACAACAACTCTTTTAGGGGAATTCTAGTAATACAAAGTAGCAAAAGATCTTTACATAACCTTGCATTGCTATGTAAATTTATCTGGGCTCCAGTAATTGTATAAGTTTCTATCCCGTCTCCGTTGGTTCTGACTAGACCTTTCTTCCTAAATAGAAGTTTTAAATATGCCACTCCCTTGATTGGAATTTTTTAGTAGTTTCACACTACCTATTACACAAAATCCAAACTGCAGAGCCCAATCATCAGCACACTGAAAAGTCTGTCCACTACCAGTGTTTACAGCTTAATATACCATTACTTTCCCCTTCAGGAACCCTGCTTTGTCTCAGTATTAATTACTAGTCTTCCATACTTCCAGCCTTATTAATAACTAGGTGCATTGATGTGCCATATAACAACATTTTGGTAATCAATGGGCTGTGTATACAACTACGGTTCTATAGGATTATAATGGAGCTGAGAAATCACTATCTCCTAGTGATTTTGTAGTTATAATGCCCTAGCACAATGCATTACTCATGTGTCTGTGGCAATGCTGTTGTAAACAAACCTGCTGAGCTGTGAGTTGAATAAAAATATAGCACACACAATTACATATAGTATATAATACTTGATAATAATAGACAAGTACTCATTTATGTATTTTATAATAATAATACAATAACAATAATAATAATAATAGACTATTAGTCATTTATGCATATTATATTTTTATTGTTATTTTAGACTCCTTCTACTTATATTTTTTAAAGTTAACTGTTAATCAGTCTCAGGCACATTTTCAGGAGGTATGCTAGAAGAAGGCATTGTCATCATAAAAGATGAAAGCTCCATGTATGTTATTGTCCCTGAAGGTCATCCAGTGGAACAAGATGTGAAGGTGGAAGACAGGGGATATTGATGATCCTGGCCTTGTGTAGGCCTAGGCTAATGTATGTGCTTGTGCCTTCATTTTAAACAAAAAGTTTAAAAAGTAAAAAACAAAATAATTGCATTTGAAAATAGAAACAAGATTATTCAATGAAGACATAAAGAAATAAAAACTTGTTTGTATAGCTGTACAACATATTCGTGCTTTAAGCTGTGTTACTACAAAAGAGTCAAAAAGTTAAAATTTAGAAGTTTATAAAGTGAAACAATTACAGTAAGCTAACTTTATTATTAAATAAAGAAAAGTTCCTTCTTTTTAAATGTACTGTAGCCTAAGTTCTACAGTGTTTAAAAGGTGTAGAGAAGTATACAGTAATGTCCTAGGCCTTCTCATTGACTCACCACTCACACACTGACTCACCAAGAACAATTTCCCATCCTGCAATCTCCATTCATAGTAACTGATGTACCATGTTTCAACTCTTATACTGTATTTTTATTGTACCTTTCTTACGTTTAGATACACAAATACTTACCATTGTCTTACAGCTTCTCATAGTATTCAGTACAGTAACATGCTGTATACATTTGTAGCCTAGGAGCAATAGGCTATCACACATAGCCTAGGTGTGTAGTAGGCTATCGTCTATGTTTGTGTGAGAACACTCTATGATGTTCACACAATGACAAAATTGCCTAATGATGCACTTGTCAGACCACAACCCTGTTAAGAACTGCATGTCTATATTACACCCGTAACATTTATTATGAACGATCTGCAAACACACTAATCCAACTTTGTACTTCCTTTGTTTATTGTGTTTAGTCTCTCTTAAGCTTAGACTGTAAGCTTCTTAAGGACAAGACTTTCCTTTTGCTTTATTTACTTCTGACTTCCCACTGCATAACAGATTTTCTAGCATACAGTATTGAGTTGTATAAATGAGCAAATATATCAAGGTGTATCTTGACATTCCTCACACAGAACTTCAAATGTTACCAAATTATTCATGTACCAAAATTTTAATACCCATTTCTTGCATGATTCATGTTAAATAATTAAGCCTATCTTTTTAATTTCTTTGATTATTGTGATTATTGGTATTCAATTTTGCCTTTATATTAACATTACATGTCTTTTTGTCTTTGCTTTTTCCTAAATAAGCAGTAAACTTATTAAGACAAGGATTATGTCTAAAGTTTTCATTTCATCCCTAACCAATTTAAATAAAATATTGTATAGAAATTTAGAGCTGAACAAGCATTCAGAGATAATGTAGCCTGATTGGAGATACACAGGTTCTTACAAATACCTAAAATAAACCTAGGCGTAAATAAAAAGTGTTCTATTTCTTGATGAATTACATGTTGTGTGAATTTTTAAAAGACACTTTACCTACTTTTCCCTCTTCTTTCTCTTCCTTATTAGAGAAACTCAGCAGAGGAAATATAGCATGACATACTATCTAACGGATCTGGATCCTTTCATCCACCTGCCTTCTTGGCTACAGTACTCATGGCAAGCTCTGTAGGAGACACAACTCATGGCTCAGACAGGACCTAACAGCTTTCTCTGGCTGACTCTACTCAACTTTGGTTCCCACTGACTCAGCCTGCAGATTATCTTTGCGGTGCTCCATTCATTCCTGTTGGTCAGTCTTCTCCCAATCTTTGTGTATTCCCTAAAAAAATGTACCTCATGAAAGGTAATTGCCTGGCAATTCAGCATCCATTCCTGATGAAAACTGAGGAAAACTCAGAGAAAGTAACCCCAGCTCCACAGAATTTTGCCAAGTTATTTTTGCTACATTTAAGCTTCATACAAGGTGACTCAAGAGTTGTCTTAATTCCTGAAAAAAAGGGAAGATATGTTCTTTTCCTTATCATTCCACTTAACTCCATCATGTAATATATCTCCTGCTCACCAAACCAAAGACTTAAAAGAAAAATGTCTACTCATCTCTGATTGATTCACTCTTCCTCCTTGTATCTTTCTTTCTACTAATTCTCAAGAAAATAAAAAGACGTTTGCTTTAAAAAAAACCATGTTACAACTGTGTTCTATAGAGTAACATATCTCTGAAGCCTTAATGTCATGGTTATACAGAGTATTGAGAAGATAAGAAAGTTAAGTAAATTTGGAAAAAGAAGTATTCATCCAACATTATTTAATCCTCACATCTAATGTCTTGTTTCATCAATTTATATATGACAAAACTGAATATTACATTTTTTAAAAATTCCTTCTGTAATAAATCCTAGTCTGCCGCATTCTGCAGGAAGATGAATGCCTCTGGCCAATTGGTCCAGAGGACTTGGTCTCTAAATGATAAAATAAAATATTAATCATTAAGAACTATTAGCCTGTTTCCTATAAAATAGTGAATTTGGCTATTCTTGTATCTTATATCTAGATTATACTCAAGGAAAGATTTGGGAAATTACTCTCCCAATAAATCTCATTGGATTGTGGGTCAAGATGGAATTTATACCCAGGATTTGTTATTCTTAATTGCCATTTGGCTATTGCTTTATTTTTTTTTAACCAAGCAAAGAGGTGCAAAAAATAAAGTTAACTTAGGATGTTCAGAAATAAAACAAACCTGACAGAAGCAAAAGATAGAGACTGTCTCTGAGCATGACATTTTTACAAATATTTTCTAGAGTTATTATTTCCTAACCACAAATATCCTAGTCATTTGGCATCAAAGACTAAATGTTAATACAGCAAACACAGTTGAAAATTTAGAATTAGGTAGCATATCTTAGAGGATTAAAGTGTATTAATCTATGGTAATTGATTTAATTCTCCAGGCAATGAAATGCTATCTTTATGGTAGCAAAATTTAAATGTGTGCTATGGCTTTAAAACAAGAGAAGATTATCCATTCCAATCCAAATGGAGGTACAAGAAAACATAAAAATGAAAAGATTTTTGATATTATTTGTTGATTTTTTTGAAACAAAACATTTAAAATGCCACCTAGATTAACCCATTGCCCTTCTGTAAGATTCATATGGTTTTAGAATTTAATAGTATGCATACTTTTTCTCTGTAAACTAATAAATTATTTTTCACGTGGCATACAATAGTATATTTATATCCATGATCAGAAGAATTAGATTTAATGTCTGGTTTCCTTCAGGGTTATATCGGTCTATATAGTTAATTTATGGTAGTCTTACTTCTTCCTCTTCAAACTTAAAGGCAAAGCTGGCATATATGCAAGCTCCTCTTCCAGTTTTAATATCCGCTGTTGCTTTCGTTGTATTGTTGTTACTTTATAAGATTGTTTAGGAACATATATTTGACATGTGGGGATTTAAGCAACCATCTAAAAACACCTATGCAGCATAAAGCTAATGACTGAGGCACAAATGTATATATATTTTTATATATGTATAAATGTGTATATATATGTATACAAAAAAAGTACACACATATATATGTTTTATACATATATACATATTTAAACCTCTGAGAAACTCTAAGTTAGGCTATTTTTGTTGTTTTTGGAAAGTCAGTAAGGGCACTCTGTCTCTTTGTATGTTCATTTTTCAACTATAAAATGAGTTTTAAAGCCAGACTTTGAATGTTGTGGTAAAGAATAAGCAATAAATTAGATAATACTTTACAAGTATGAAAAGGCTTAACTGAAACCTTTTGTTATCATATTTTTTTTTAAAAAGCCTCCTGTAATTCCAGCTACTTGGGAGGCTAAAGGATGAGGATTGTTTGAGCCCATGGGTTTGAGGCTGCAGTGAGTTGTTATCGCTTCACTGCACTCCAGCCTGGGTGACAGTGTGAGACCTTGTCTGTAAACAAACAAAAAGAGTGGAGGGCAGAAGAAAGAAAGAGAGAAAGAAAGAAGGAGAGAAAGAAAGAGAGAAAGAAAAAGAAAGAAAGAAAGAAAGAAAGAAAAGAAAGAAAGAAAAGACAAAGACTATATAACTCATTTTAGTCCAATTATTAAACAATTATTAGGAAGTTTTGCAACTTTCTCAAATAAAGGTTTTTCCATTTCCAATAAAATCAATTTTAACTTGAATATTTAGTAGAACAAAGACTATTTCCTTTAAGTATAAATATGAATGTGTGTTAGTGTGTTTGTGAGTGTGTCTGTGTGTGTGCAGTATGTGTGTACAGGAGCAGGAGAAGAATGGTGATGAGGAAAAATAAAAGATGGAGAGAGGAGAGAAAACAGATTTTCCCAACCAGCTTGCTGCAGTGAATGAACTGGCTTCACATAGTGCTAGTTTAAGGCTTAGTACTTAAGCCAAAATGTGATAGCCTGTCTTTTTTTCTAATTAGGGTAACATATTGTAACAAAAATGTAACCGTATAATTTACCTCATAAAATATTAATTATGGGAAAATAAACATCACCCTGTGCTAGAGATTAAATTGTAACTGTACAGAGTGTTAAGGGAGCTGAAACTTAAATTTTATATGTACACTTCAATCCAGCAAGTCTGCTTTTAGAAACTTAACTGGAGGAAATTTAAAGAATTTACATAAATCTTTAAGTATGAATGTAATTCATAATAGTAACCAATAGTGAATAAAACCAAAATTATAAGATTTTATACAATACTCAAAATCATATTCACATAATAATATATAGAAAATTATACATGATATATTATTAAAATTGTTCATCAGCTATTAAATGAAAAACACCAGATTACAAAATCATCACCACATACATATTGTCAGTATGCTATAATGTATACATGAATATATCATGGCAAAAAGAGCATAGTTTTATACACTAAAATGTTAATCTTATCTCTTAACTGATGGGAATTTGAGATCTTTTTAAAAATTTCTTGCATATTCAAATTTTCCTTCATTGATACACATAAGCACACATATACACACATATATGTATATATGTGTGTATACATACACATGTGTGTAAACATACATATGTGTGTGTGTAGAGAGAGAAGGCAGAGAGAGACAGGTAATTACCCCGATATAAAAATCAATTATGTGTCAAATAAATCCCCATAAAAAAATCAATTATGTGTCAAATAAACAATATGAAGACCTATTTTAAAAATTAGAATCCATATTTGGAGAATATGTGATTTTGAAATTTTAGTAGTAACATCATGAATATAAGACTCCACAAGTGTGTCCTGAAATTTTTAAAACTTAAGCAAATATTGTATCTAATACCTTTATTTTCAGTCTTCAAATAATTTCATCTGCTTTGGCAGACTTTTTTTTGTAAAAATTCCAACTAAGGTCATTATTTCCACACATTGAAACATTCCCTTTTTCTTGCTTAAAAATAATAATCAATACAGGTGATTTCAAAGGAGAAGCTAGGCTATTTGCACATAGTTAATTATTTTTCTTGCATTAAAAGCTCCACTTTTGAGTCTTTGTGTGGTAGCATTGTGTAAAAGAAAGAGAGGCTCCTTTTCTTTCTGTACATTTAGTCTTTCCTATGTATTCCTGCAGATGCATACATTTTCTTATTTAAATAGCTGTTCACAGAAGGTGGGTTGAAAGAGAAGGTTATAAAATAAAGTTTCAGAAACTTGCCTGAGGCACTGTAAGTAACATTTCAAGAACCTCTGCTCTGTGTGAGTGGGCAGACATGGACAGACATGGGTACACTATTGTAATTTGACTTATAAACATTATAAACATAGAAGTTCTTATTGAAAACTAAATAACACAATGTGTGTTAATTGTGATTTTATGAAATAGAGGACAAAAAGATGGTTTTCCTATTAAAAAGGTAAGGATGAGTCACCATACAAACCTGAACAATACTCTGAGAGTCGTTTCTGTCATTTAGCAAATCATAATGCTTCTTGAGCTATTTTTGAGTTACAGTTTTAGATTTTACTGTAGGCTTGGATTTAAGGGTGCTTACAGCACAAAGCATACATCTTATAAAAAATCATAAATGTATATTCCTGTTGAATCCTCTCTCTAATTCAACTTCAAATACTTGCACATACACACACAATAGTTCCCAAATTTCTTCTGTTAATTCTTCTGATATTTATGAATCTCCCATTTAGAAATATGGTAGAAATAAAAAGTGAACAAAGCTGTATTTATTTAACTTGCCTTTAATTATACCTAAAGGCTGTGTAATTTTTTTTAGTATTTCTGGATTTGTCCAAAGAGTATAATTTAACTTTTTAATTTTTTGCCCTTTCCATTAGTCAGTAATATTCATGTTTTTATAAATTCATTATACTTTACTTTTTCCAAAATCAATAATATAAAAATGTAGACTTTCATTTCTCAAAACTTTAATAATTTTCGATATATCTTTATTTCCAGCATACTGTATATATAAGGAGAGAAAACCTATATTTCCAAATAAAATTAGAACATCTTTCTAATTTTAGTTTTAGAATTTGTAATGATCCTATCTATTATTATATTAGTCCTTTTTCTTTTTAACCCTAGCTGTTCCCAGAGATCAATCTGGAATACTGACAGAATTTTTTCTTGATAGTGATAGCAGCAGAAAACAGACAAATTCCTAGGCAGACAGGGATGAACCCAACTTTCAAGACTGAAGCCTGAAAACCTAGCTGCCAGTTCCAGGTAGAGTCCACAAACAAAGTCAGAACTTCCTGAATGCTTTTTAGCCAATCAAATGGTGCTTTTTCCAGGCATGCCCATGGACCAATCAGCACACCCACCCCCCCATTCTGAGACCATAAAATCCCTAGACTCAGCCTCAGAGATGGCTACCCACTTTCAGGCCTCCTCTCACACAGAGGGCTACCCACTCTCAGATCCCCTCTCCACTGAGAGCTTTCCTTCCGTCACTCAATAAAATCGTTCACTGCCCTACTCACTCTCCAGTGTCTATGTACCTTATTACTCTTGGTCACAGGGCAAGAACCCAGAACTTGCGGAGCTGTGGGCAGCAGGACCAAACAAGCTATACCACACTCTTATTCACCAAGCTATAGGTGGCAGGAACAAACAAACTGTGACACACCCGCATCTGCTGAGCTGAAGGTGGTGGGAACAAGAGAGAGCTTTAACATTTCTTGGGGGGTTGGACCTCAGGACTCCTGAGACGAGAGCTGTAACACCACTTTAGGCTCCATGGTTGCTGGCATCTCTGAGTTTTCAGGCACCACTGCATTCCCCTCATCTAGATGGTGGCACGCAACATGAAAGCTGCTCATGGCACACCAGGTCCTGGCACAGGCTGAGTGCAGATCCTGTGACAGGCAAGGGATCTGGGCCAAGGCATGAACGAAGCACACCCTGCCATGGTGAGTGGGTGGAGTGAGCCTGGCAGGCCTGAGTGAAGCTCCAGGCAGAGGTCAGATCAGTCACAGAGATTTCCAGCTGGCAAAGTGGCACCAAAGGAATCCTGTAACACTGTAACCCTTCCTCCCACTTGCAAGAAATGTGGAAGAAAAAGTTATTGGGTGCTATTTTCTCCTGCTTGCCAAGGTAAAAAAGCTGCAACAATAGCCTAGTTGCATTTTTATGACTATCATTTAAATAATTTATCTGTGAGCATATTTTTTCTATAAATTAGCTTGCTAGGTGTACTAGTCTAATTTCACACTGCTGATAAACACATACTTGAGTCTGGGTAATTTATAAGGAAAAAGAGGTTTAATTGACTCAAAGTTCCATGTGGCTGGGGAGGTCTCACAATCATGGAAGAAGGGTAAAGGCACACCTTACATTAGCAGCAGGCAAGAGAGAGAATGAGAGCCAAGTGAAAGCACAAACCGCTTATGAAATCATCAGATCTCATGAGACTTACTCACTACCATGAGAGCAGTATAGAGGAAACCACCCCATGATTCAGTTATCTCCCACCAGTTTCCTTCCACAACACATGGGAATTATAGGAACTACAATTTATGATGCGATTTGCCTGGGGACATAGTCAAACCATATCATTCTGCCCCTGCCCCTCCCAAATCTCATGTCCTCACATTTCAAGACCAATTATGCCTTTCCAATATTCCCCCAAAGTCTTAACTCATTTCAGCATTAACTCAAAAGTCCACAGTTCAAAGTCTTATCCAAGACAAGGCAAGTCCCTTCTGGCTATGAGCCTGTAAAATCTAAAGCAAGTTAGTTACTTTCTAGATACAATGGAGGTACAGGCATTGGATAAACATAACTTTCCAAATGGGACAAATTGAAGAAAACAAAGGGGCTAAAGTCCCCATACAAGTCTGAAATCCAGTGAGGCAGTCAAATCTTAGAGATCCAAAATGATTTATGTTTATTCCATGCCTCACATCCAGGTCACACTAATGCAAGAGGTGGGATCCCATGGTCTTGGGCAGCTCTGCTACTGTGGCTACAACCCCCCTCCCAGCTGCTTTCATGAGCAGGCACTGAGTGTCTGCAGCTTTTCCAGGTGCACTGTGCAAGCTGTCGGTGGATGTACCATTCTGGGGTCTAGAGGACAGTGACCCTCTTCTCACAGCTTCACCAGACAGAGCACCAGTGGGGACAGTGTGTGGGGGTTCCAACTCCAAATTTCCCTTCCGCACTGCTCTAGCAGAGGTTCTTCATGAGGGCCTGGTGCCTGCAGCAGACTTCTGCCTGGACATCCAAGCATTTCCATACATCCTTTGAGTTCTAGGCAGAGGTTCCCAAACCTCAATTCTTGACTTCTGTGCATTCACAGGCTAAACACCACTGGGAAGCTGCCAAGGATTGGGGCTTACACCCTCTGAAACCATGGCTCAAGCTGTACCTTGGCCCCTTTCAGTCATGGCTGGAGCAGCTGGGACTATGGGCACCAAGTCTCTAAATTGCACATTGCAAAGGGGCCCTGAGATCCGCCCACAAAACCATTTTTCCTTCCTAGGCCTCCAGGCCTGTGTTGGGAGGGGCTGCCATGAAGACTTCAGACCTGGAGACATTTTCCCCATTATCTTGGGGATTACCATTCTGCTTCTTGTTACTTATGCAAATTTCTACAGCTGGCTTGAATTTCTCCTCAGAAAATGATTTTTCTTTTTTTCTTTTTTCTATCACATTGTCAGGCAGCAAATTTTCTGAACTTTTATGCTCTGCTTCGCTTACAAAACTGAATGCTTTTAACAGCATCCAAGTCACTTCTTGAATCCTTTGCTGCTTAGAAATTTCTTCCACCAGATACCCTAAATTATCTCCTTTAAGTTCAAAGTTCCACAAATCTTTAGGGAAGGTTCAAAATGCTGCCAGTCTCTTTGTTAAAACATAACAAGAGTCACTTTTGCTCCAGTTCTTAACTAGTTACTCATCTCTATCTCAGCCTGGATTTTACTGTCCATATCATTATCAGCATTTTGGTCAAAGCCATTTGACAAGTTTCTAGGAAGTTCCATTCCTTCCTACATTTTCCTGTCTTCTTCTGAGCCCTCCAAACTGTTCCAAAGTTGCTTCCACATTTTCAGGTATCTTTACAGCAGTGTTCCACTCTACTGGTATCAATTTATTCTGTTAGTCCTTTTTCATGCTACTGATTAAGACATACTCGAGACTGGGTAATTTATAAAGAAAAAGAGGTTTAATGGACTCACAGTTCCATGTGGCTGGGGAGGCCTCACAATCATGGTGGAAGATGAAAGGTCCTACACTGGCAGCAGACAAGAGATAGAATAAGAACCAAGCAAAAGCAGAAACCCTTTATAACACCATCAGATCTCAGGAAACATTCTCTACCAGGAGAACAGTATGGAGGAAACTGTCCCCATGATTCAATTATCTCCCATAGGGTCCTTCCCATAACACGTGGGAATTATGGGAACTACAATTCAAAATGACATTTGGGTGGGGCCACAGGCAAACCATATCACTAGGGGAACTATTAGAACCTATATATATGAATAACTACTTTTAGTTAAGAAGGACAATTCATCCAAATACTCAGTAATATTTTGCATTTGAATATATTATGTCCAATTTATTTAAACATTTTTGTTCTAGGGTAATCTACATAGCTTTTTTGTGATGTGTACATATATTTTGTAAGTACATTACATACATAGAACTGTTATTCTAAGATTGTCTTAATTAAATTGGATTTATTGATAATTATGTATTTTTCTGTATTATACTCAATCTGTCAATTTACTTCTTTATCAAGTGATAGTCTTTTCTTAATTTGGTACTTTCTTTGATGAAAAATTGGCTGATTTTCCAACTTCTTGACTATGTATGGTGCATTACAAAATAAGACAGTAAAAATGATTGTTAGGTTAATTAACTACTTAAGTCATTCATCTTTGTCTTGTATCATATACACAATGAATACAAGACTTTTGTCTTGTATCATATACACAATGAATGCTATGGGGAGAAATTCAGAGCAGGAGGCAGAGGCTTTAAATTTACAGAAGGATACTTGCATAGGTAGGATTCAGTGAGAATGTAATATTTAAGGAAAGGCTTGGGAGAGGTAGAGGTGGCTAAGAACAGGAGTGATAGTAACGAGAAGGAGTATAGATGGAGAAGAGTTTAGACAAATAAATAGGGACAAATTGCAAAGGGCACTGAGAGTTCTTTTAAGAATATTTTATTTGAATTAAATGGGGAAGCTTTGAAGAGTCATGAGCAAAAGAGTGATTCAATCTAATATTAGATCTTAGAGAATCATTCTTGCCTAGTCCTAACATTATAACCAAAGCCAGAAAAGGTTAAGTAAGTAATGAGTGTATGTCACAAAAATGACCCATGTCAGAATCTGAAACAAAATAGAATCCACAACTTGTTATTTTCTAAGAGTCAGCAATTCAGCATTACTTACTTGGTGACAAAAGCAGAATAGCCTGTCTTTCAGAGATAATATTTTAAGAAACTCTGATGCTTATTGGGAATCTATAGACTTAGTTCTCCTTGATATTTTGTTAGAGTTACTTAAGAGGAATAGAGAAATTATTTTTAGGAAATGGTCTATGTTCTTCAAAGAATCTTAAAATGCCTTAATATTATCTAAATTACATTCTAAGAAAACTGGTCTGTGTCTGACAAAACTGACTTTTTGAATGTGTTCATGTGGGAGAACTATAATGTGTAAAATCATGTGATTACATTTTTAAAGGTTTGAAATATAATTAATTAAATGAGATAACTTCCATAAACAAGAAGAGAAAAAGCATTTAACAAAAATTAAAACCCTTTGAACTCTACTGCAGAACTGACTAGCTGACTTCTGATTTCTATATAACTCCCTTTCCACTGGTTCTTAATAAGATTACCTACAGGATTTACTAGTAAAGGGCAAAGCCTGTTCAATAACATCCAACTGTTCACAGTGAATGTGAAATGGGCCCAGATGGAAACATCTATTCTCATGTCTTGTAAATACTTCTTCAGTGTAACAATGTTTATGCTTGCAGCTTTTAAAAAGGTGGTGCTGAGTTAAAATAGCATAAGTTCTTTGGACAGTACCTGTTATATCTCTCTTCTGCATTGATTTCCCTCAGAAAGCACCACAGTATTGAAAATAAAAAAATAAAAAAATGATACTTTTTTATATTGTATGCTTTTTTTGGCAGGCCTTCCTTTTTTTTTTTTTATACTTTCTATAAGGCCCTAAGGGTACACTTAGATTCAAGAAAGTAATTCAAGATGAAAATTAAGGTCTGGAAAACTTTCTAATCTGTTCTTCAGGACTATGTAAATGTTCGGTCAGGCATTGAAATTGTTGTTTTCTGAAATCATCTTTTAATGCGACATGCTGTATCATTAGAAATGACTTTCTAAAAACTTAGATTTAAAATATTCCTATTTGGGTAGGATAAATAAAGACATATGTAAATTTTGCCTTCAGGCCACTCATTCATTTGGTAATTTGTGTACTACAGAATCTAAAATAGTTCAAAAGTTTTTAAGAAGTCATATTTTTCAAAGAAAAAGTAAGCTTTAAGTAAGTCATGTTTCAAAGGAACAAAATAAAATTATTTCTCTGTTAAGAAATAGTAAGTATAATAAATATAGCTTGATAAAGCATCTGTGATACTTGATTGAATCATGAATTTAAAAATGTAGGAAATTTGAATATGCATTCTGGAAATGTGAAGTTATTTTATTAGTGTTAAATTCTTTGAGGAGGTCAGTATATTATGATTTGGTAGGAGGATGCCTTATTTCATCCAGACACATGCTGAAGTTTCATATAGAGAGAAGAGAGAGAAGGTGAGAGAGAAAGAAAGAAAGCAAATGTGGCAACATCTTAACAAGTAATAAATTTAGCGAAAGGATACATTTCAACATTTACTTTCATTTTTCTCAAAATAAAGAGTTCACAAAAACAGTATAAATTATATGCCTTAATTCATCCTTCTTTTATTCAAGTAATTATCATTGAGTCAGCCATTCTAGTAGACCCTGAATATAAGGAGGTAAGTTAGGTAAGAATGGGTTTTGCCCTCTGGTAGCATACACACTAGTAGGCAAGGCAAACATTAAACAAACACAAATAATTCAGTTGCAGAAAACACAATCAGTCAAGAGTGCTATGAAAATATATATCAAGAGATATTAACCTAGTTACAGAAAGATTGGAAGGCTTCCTTGAGGGAAATACGTGAATGATTCAATATGTAAAATGATGCAATGTGTTTCAGAAAGAAAGATCAGTGTGCAAGTAAGCTTAGAGTGATGAGGAACTATCACTCAAAAGATATCCATGGCTGTTCTGAACTATGTATGATGGCTGATTGTCAGTGTAGGAACTTAACAAAAAACTTTTGGCCGACATATTTTTCCTGGCCATAGTGAAATCTTTGAGGAAAAGGAGCACAAATTATTTCTTGTTGAGCTAAATATCCCCAATAATGTCTAATACAGTCTCATCCAAAGAGTAAATGTTCCATAAATATTGTTGAATTGAATAAAATTGCCTATTTTTTTGCTTCATAAAGTATAAGACAATCAGATTTTTCAACAATGGAAATATCTATCAAACATACTACATCAAGTATTATTTCAGTACAATAATCTTGTAATAAGCACCAGCAATATGAAATATATCTAAGTTTTAGCAAATATTAGGTGTCTGATTAACATAATATAATATGAACTCATGCAAACGTATTGGTAACTGAGTAATTGAATAGGGAGAAAAAATATTTTAGAAATATTTTAATTCTAACCTATATTTCTATAAAATAGTAGTTGTATCCTATTTGAAAGCAAAGCAAGAGAACAGATATATTAGACAAATTAAATTTTTGAATATACTTCTGTAGCGAAAAAAAGAAATCAAGCAAAAATTTTAGTAATTGGTACAAATTAATTACACCCCTACTTCAAAATAAAAATAAACACAAAATAACACAAACAAAAAAGTACGCTTATTCTGTATGATCCTGTTAAATATATTAAGAATATATGTGTCAATAGTTTTGTCATTCCAGACCCAAAAATCCAGTATTAAAGTATAGCAAGTACGAGAAACATAAATTATAAATACATGAAATTCTCAACCTGCAAAAACCAAAAATTATAAGGCCAGACGATGGAACTAATTATTGTGGTATACACAATTTTTAATGGTTTTTTGATTTTGTGATTTTCATGTAATTTTTGACTGTGAATTGTTTTTCTTCCTTTAGTGATATTGGGCTGGCAAATGAGTTTCGTTTTTACTCCTCTTTCAGGGCCAGCCAAGTGCCTATCCCCAAATCTTCTTCTTTTGTTCTTCTTCCTAGTGAGAGAGGAAAGGAGATGTGAGCCCTCTACCAAATGAAATATTTCCATTCTCCTTCCCAAAACAACAGCAAATTCACTCAAATCCCATTTGACAAATATCAGTCTTCAAATTGGAACTGAAAAATAGAAACTAGCGCTGGGCACCTTGGCTCACGCCTGTAATCCCAGCACTTTGGGAGGCTGAGGCAGGTGGATCACCTGAGGTCTGCAGTTCGAGACCAGACTGACCAACATGGAGAAACCCTGTCTCTACTAAAAATACAAAATTAGCCAGACATGGTGGCGCATGCCTGTAATCCCAGCTACTCGGGAGGCTGAGGCAGGAGAATCGCTTGAACCCTGTAGGTGGAGGATACTGTGAGCCAAATTGTGCCATTGCACTCCCGCCTAGGCAATGAACGAAACTCCATCTCAAAATAAAAAAAAAGAAAAAGAAAAAGAAAGAAAAACAGAAACTAAACTGGATAAACAGAAGAGAATGAATATTTAGAAAGGTAGTTGATAGGTCAAGATAGGTAAACATCTTAACTTGTTTAAACGGATTTCACCGCCTTTTATATTGCCACAATTTTACTGTGCAATCTCAGAACTGTTGTCAAAAGGTCATTAAAATATAATGAAAAAAAACAATAATGAATGGAAAATATTATGAGGATACAACATGTGTTTCTAAAAATAAGTAAGTCAAACTAACCTCATTTTAATTTGTAATTATATTATTAGCTAGAAGGTTATGGTAATAGCATAAATATTTAGCTCTGATTTCTGAGAAGGCATTTTGTTTCCATAATGTATGTTTACCTTTGGCAATTTATTTCACAAACTGTCACCTTATCCAAGAAATAAACTGAAGAAATAAGGGATGATGAGGACAGAGTTAGATGTATTTCTACCTAGTTGAACAGCCTCATCCAAAGATGGTTGAAATGATATTTTCTTGCAATTTTACATGTATATTATTTGGAAATGGACAGATTTGTTTTCTGTAGCTTAAGAAAGCAGAATAAGACAGTGTTTCAAAGTAAAGGGAGTAAAACCTTTATTTAGTTCAAAATAAAAAACAAAATCCTAACTATTAGAATCATCAAATTATGGGGTGGGGTGCTTTGAAAACTCAAGAGCTCCTAATTATAAAAATAATCATGCAGAGCTTTCAATTAGAGGTTTTTCAAAAGGCTACAGAAAGTTTTGCTCCAAATAAAAATTTTGAACAAGATAATATTAAAATCACTTTTTTTTCTTTTTTTATTATACTTCAAGTTCACAGAACATGCAGGTTTGTTACACAGGTATACATGTGCCACGGTGGTTTGCTGCACCCATCAACCTGTCATCTACATTAGGTATTTCTCCTAATGCTATCCCTCCTCGAGCCCCTCACCCCCAGACAGGCCCCAGTGTGTGATGTTCTCCTCCCTGTGTCCATATGTCCTCATTGTTCAACTCCTACTTATGAATGAGAACATGTGGTGTTTGCTTTTCTGGTCTTGTGGTAGTTTGCTGAGAATGATGGTTTCCAGCTTCATCCATGTCCCTGCAAAGGACATGAGCTCATCCTTTTTATGGCTGCATAGTATTCCATGGTGTATATGTGCCACATTTTCTTTACCCAGTCTATCATTGATAGGCATTTGGGTTGGTTCCAAGTTTTTGCTATTGTGAATAGTGCTTCAATAAACAAACATGTACAAGTATTTTTATAGTAGAATGATTTATAATCATTTTAGTATATACCCAGCCACAGGATTGCTGGGTCAAACGGTATTTCTGGTTCTAGATCTTTGAGGAAATGCCACACTGTCTTCCACAATGGTTGAACTAATCTACACTGCCACCAACAGTGTAAAAGTATTCCTATTTCTCCACATCCTCCCCAGCATCTGTTGTTTCCTGACTTTTTAATGATCCCCATTCTAACTGGCATGAGATGGTATCTCATTGTGGTTTTGATTTGCATTTCTCTCATGACCAGTGATGATGAGCTGTTTTTCATATGTGTGTTGGCCACATAATTGTCTTTATTTCTTTTTTGTTAAGAAGGCAAAGCACACCAATCTAAAATATAAATCACCTCTTTGTATTTAACATGGATTCTTTTCTGGTAATATTGAATATCAACACTCCAAATACAACATTTATTAAAATTTTAAATAGTAAATTTATGCTAAATAAAAACAACACTTTTTTAGTGCATACTATGAGCCAATCAGTTTGCATGTTTCATTGCATTTATTTTGCACAAGAAGCAAGTAAATTTGATATTCATGTCATTTGACAGATATGGATATTGAGGTGAAGAAAAGCTAAGTAACTCTTCCAAGGTCACACAGTTGAAATGTGGAGTATCTTAAGATGGTGCAATATTAAAATGAATATTGACATTTAAATTTGAGTAAGATATCCATAAAGATAGTGTTTGTGGTTTTTTAAATGGCATCGAGAAGCCTTATTGATCATCTTAAATGTCATGGGGGGTAAATAGAACTTTTATACATATAGTATCAATCTGCTTGGGACATAAAATTTGGACTTAAAATTCAAACAAAATAAAATCAAGAGTTATACAAGGCACACAATGGGAATTAAGAAACTGCCAGGGTATGAGGCAGACTGTAATCATTATGGAGATCAGAAAGGGGAAACATTAGGGGAGGTAGGCATTAATCAGAAACCTGCTTGAAGGATCAGGGTTTGAACCATATTATTGATGTTTGATTTTCACTCAGTTACTATAAACAAATTATTAATTACTGTAATTTTTTTAATTATAAAACTTATTTGAAGTGACCTATTCACTGGTAATTACTTTTCTAGTCAAACACGTCACTATTCAAGAGGGAAGTATAAAAAGTTTTTTATATAGAATGTTTCATTTGACACATCAGGTAGAGTAATTTCTAATCATTCCTTCTCTTTCATAGTGTTTGTGATATGAGAAAAGAAATAGTTCTGAAAAGAAATATCCCTCACAACACAATATTACCAAATTAAAGTGAAACATATCAAATTATATAAAGTGTTTGAAGTTTAATAGTTTAATAGCCAAGAGATGGCTCTTTGGATTTGTTTTGAAAATGTCCCCTGTTATAGTTTAGCTATTTGACCCTCCAAACCTCATGTGGAAATTTGATCCCCAATATTGGAGGTGGGGTCTAATGGGAAGTGTTTGGGTCCTGGGGACTGGTCCCTCATGGACGGCTTTGTGCTGTTCTAAGGGTCATGAGTGAGTTCTCATTCTGTTTTTATGAGACTTCCCCTGAAATCTGGTTGTTAAAAGAGCTTTGTTCCTTCCCTCTTGCTCTTGCTTCTTCTCTTAAAATAAATTACCCAGCCTCAGATATTTTTTCATATTAACACAAATAGAGTAAGACCCTCTCAAACTGTGCCTTTTAATTTATATGCCCTCATTAACTCTGCACATTCATGACTGTGTTGGATTCAAAAAGGATGAGAATGTTCCAGGAAAGGGAAAATGCCAAGTATTTTTAAGGATGCTCTCATTCATGAAATTATATATATACATATTTTCTAACATGAAGACAGCTCTCTTACTTCAGAGCACCTCTTCTTTTCTATGTTGGAACAGTTTGATCTCTTCAACTAAATATCTGAATTCTATTTCCTCTACATCAGAGGCAACTTACATTGCTCTGTGCAATAGACCAAGAGCTACCCACTCCCAAAAATGCTGTTAACCAACTTCTTGAGTCACGAATGTTGAGAACTCAGAGGAGTAGGGTATTACAAGGAAAAAAGTAAGTTTTTCATTCTGTGGAGACTCTTTAACTGCAAATAAATAAAGCACAGCTTTAAAAAAAACTAGCAGACTTTATAAAAGCAGTAGTAGGATTACAGAAAGATGAGTGGAAAGCACAAGTGAGACAGGAGAGTTCCCTGAACTTCCTCACAGGACATGTGACAGGGATGTGGCTTGTCTGTTTGGCCGCCAGGTGCACTGAAACCCCTATGGAAGAAAGAGCATGCAGACAGGCCAGTGCAGGAGACAGGCTCCGGCCCCATAGTAGCATCTAGGGGTGGGTGCCTGGGACTCCTGAAGCCCAAGTGGGCATGTGTTACAACAGTGAGCTCTTTTAACTTTGCCATCCATGGATGGCTTAAGTGTTAAACAGCTCAGAGGACCCTCTGCCTTTTCACAAGTGCATAGGGCCAGTGTGACAGCTTTCTGTATCCCAAACTCTTGTCCGGCATCCAGGAAAAATCAGATCACACATGGACTTGAAGGACAGTGACTGTGGAGGTTTTATTGAGTGGTGGAGGGAGGTGGTGCTCAGCGGGATGGATGGGGAGCTAGAAAAGAGATGGAGTGGGAAGATGATCTTTCCCTAGAATTTGGCTGTCCAGCGGCTGATCTCTCTGATCATCCCCAGCTAAACTCCTCTCGCAGTTCAGACCCTCCTCCTCTTCTCTCCTTCTCTGCTGCACTGCTCTTTTGCTCTTCTGTTCATCTGCTTTGTCTGCTTATGGAGCCTGGGGTTTAGGGTTTATATGGGTATAGGATGGGGGCGTGGCAGGCCAAAAGGCAACTTTTTGGCGTGAAAACAGGAATGCCTGTTCTCATTTAGGGCTATGGGGTTTCCAGGCTTGAGTGTGGGGCCTTTGCCAGGGAACCACCTTCTCTTATCCAGTATTTTCCTGTCTCCTGCTCGTATCACAATGCCCTTTACCCCTATCCCCACGTCTCCCTATTATCATTTTGAATTAGTGTGTTACATTCATTTCCATTGATGAGCCAAAGTTAATACACTATTATTAACTAAAGTTTATATTATACGTTAGGATTCATTCTTGGTGTTGTTTATGGGTTTGGGTAAATGTATAATGACACGTATCCACCATTACAGTATCATACAAAACAGTTTCACTACCCTAAAAATCCCCTTTGCTCCACTTATTCATATTCATCTCTCCCTTTCTTCATCCCCCTGTATCCCTAGAAATGACTGCTTTTTTCACTGTCTTCACATTTTGCTTTTTACAGAATGACACATATTTGTTTGTTTTTTTGTTTGTTTCTTCCTTTCTTACTCTGACAGTTTCTGACTTTTACCTGGTCTAAGTAGACCATTTTGAGTGATTATTGATATAGTTGGATTAATATCCCTCATGTTCATTACTATTTTCTATTCATTGCCCTTGTTCTCAGTATCTACTTTTACCTTCCACTCTTTTTCTGCCTTCATTAGTTTTCACTGAGCATTTCATATGATTGTTTTTTTTCACTCTTTTAGCATATCATTCATTTTTATTTTTATTTTTTAGTGGTTGCCCTTGACTTTGCAGTATATATTTTCAACTAATCCAAATTCTTTTTCAAATAGATGTTTTCTGACCCATATCATTTTTCTTCCTAAAGAATTTCTTTTAACATTTCTAACAAGGCAAATCTACTAGTGACAAATAATTCTATCAATTTTCATTTGACTGAGAAATCTCCATTTCTTTTTCACCTTTGAAGGATAGTTTCAGTGTATACAGAATTACAGAGTTATTTTTTTCTTCTTTCAACATTTTATATCACTCTACTCTCTTCAAATTTGCGTGGAAGAGAAGTTGTGGTTACTGTTTTCTGTAGCTGTAGGTGTCCAAGGCAAAAATTTTCTCTCATGTCTTTGATTTTCTTTCCTCTATTGTCTTTAGGGTTCCCTATGGACTTCTGCTTAAATAGGGTTCAAACTGTTCAGTTTTTTCAGTTGCAGTCCTCATTATTATATGGGAATACTATTGATATGTAAGGCAAAAAGTGAGATAAAGAGCTCTATAGTCCTAGGATTAGGTCTTAGTCTGTTAGTGAGCCCAGACTATAACCTTCACAAGTGCTTCTCAGGTTTGTTTTGTTTTGTATTTTTCACACCGTAGGTAAGACAGAAAGGCTAGGTGGGGCTGGAGTTGGGTATTTTCATTCACTAAAGTTGATCACCTAGAGTAAAAACAGAGGTTGGTTAAGCACTGGCGAACTAGTTTATCTTGATGCTATTCCTTATTAAGAAGAACAGAATATTCTGGGCTTATTTCAAAATAGCTGCTATTCTCCCCATGCCGGAGCAAAAAAAGTTTTTTCTCTGATTCTCACTGTCAGAGCTGGAAGAACTCCTGGAGATAATACTTACAAAAGTTTTAAGGGCTCCCTAAGTCTGAATACCCCTGAAGTTTTTCACTCTCAAGCTTGCCCACACTGAGCCTCCAGCAAGTTTTCAATTGCCACTTAGGTTTTCCTGCCTTGATGTGGGTTCCCACAGAGGTTTCTGCTCAAGGGATTCTGTTCAGGTGAGTTGTGATTCTCTGCACACGCTTGCCTATATATCCAATCGTAGGAGCAGTGGTTTGCCTGTAATCTTAGTTTCCTGACAGGTCTAAGAACTGTTGATTTTTAAGTTTGTTTAGATATTTTCTTATCGTATGTACAGAAGTGATGATTTCCAAGATTTTTATATGCTGTAGCCCAAACAGCAAGCCTAAAACATTTTTCTTACAAGTTTTGGTTAGCTTGTTAACTTCTGTTAAGCCTGCCTTGAATCCTTAGAGAATCTTGTAAATTCCTGCATGTGTGTTTATAGTGGGAAGACAGGACAAACAGAGGAAAAGAGTATAACAAAGAGTAAAAAAGAGTGAGTTGCCAAAGATTGAGACAACGGAGGCAAAATAGAAATTAACTCTACTCACTGGGAGTAGAATATGGTATAATTTCGCAGCAGATAGTTGCTATGCATAAATATACATTGAAATACATACACACAAGCATTTTAATGAGAAGTTGTGAAGTAAATGCCAAATAGTGAGAGAAATCTAGAATGTCATTTAATTTCTACAAATATGAGAAGTTAGACACATTTAATTAGTAAAAAACAAATTTAAGTCCAAATGCTTGCACTTATGAAAGTATTTTAGAAAATGATGTTTTATTTCAGAATTAAGAATATGCTACTAAATAATACATTTGGTTATGTGACATTTTGACACTTAAATCTTCTTTATCCCTAAGAATTAAATTTAATACTCTAAAATATTGTGGTAATGAAGTATAATATTCAAGGGTCATAAAAATGATTCAAATACATAAGACACTCAGAAACTGTTAGGTAAAATACATGCAGCCATTTGCAAATGTATATATAAACAAGTGAAAGCACCTTCAGAAGTTTTCATTACATTAAGATTTAAAATCAGGCTCTATTATTTGCTATTTATAGTTTATGCAATAAATTCTTTTTCAAATCCTTATGTGTTACATATATGTGTGTTAAATACATCACAGATTGTTACACTTTATAATTTTAATATGTTTCATGTTGAAGTTTGGAGTTAAGACAAATAACATTTTATAGTTAAGCAAGCATGTACTTAAAAGGAAAATAATGACTTAATGATAACATTTACTTATAATAAAACAAATACTATAGTAAAAACTAAATGCCAATTTGAATTCTTAGTAGATATAGTAAAAGAGAAATATTATCAGACTGTTAAATGCATAGAGACTAAAGTAATCCACAAGGATTAACTTCAAAGCTCTACAAAATTTTAGCATTTTCATCTAATTTCTCTGGAAGACATAACTGCCTTCAATTTATAAGGGAAATGGCCCCTGTTTTTAATCCAAAGAGATATTGGGAAAATGTCTTGGAAAATAGATTAAAGTATAAGCATGTGTTTCTCCCTTAAATGCTCTGTTCCTTGGCAACATGAAATCATTCTCTCTTTATCAGCTGATGATGCCAATCAGTGATGCAGACGATTTGTCTGAAGTTCAGCCAAAAGCTGATCTTGCTAACCCTGCCTTGCTTGCTTGCAACTAAAGGAGATTTTATCTCATGCTTATGCTGACCACAAAGGCAGGGCTTTTGTGAGTGAGGGCCTTACAGTTCAGCTGAAACCACAAATCCACCCATGAAGAAATTGTTGAATTTGCCAAGGTTAAATCAGTGTTTTTGTCGCATCACCATTAGAATACCAACTTCTAGGCTCTATTTTCTCCTTTCTGAATGACACATACCAGACCATTAACAGATGTACAGTTTTTGGCAAAGAGATGGTTGTGAAGCCACCAGAAGATAAGCTATTTTGCTGATGCATTCCTGCTACCTTGTATCTTTTTATTAAAAAATAGTAAATCTCTTCTTTTTCAAGTAACATGTCATTGCACTTACTGTTGTTTTAAGCAATCTAAGAAAAAAAGAAGAACCTATTTTTACTAAGAAAGGTAGATAATCAAATATTTAGTTGCCAAGCCGAATGCAGTGGCATGCACCTGGTGTCCCAGCTACTTGGGATACTGAGGTGACAGGATTGCATGAGTCCAGGAATTTGAAACTGCAGTGAGCTATGATAGCTCCACTGCACTTCAGAAAGACCCTGTCTGTACTGAAAAAAAAAACAAAAAACCAAACCAAACAAAAAACAGCCTGGGCCTGGCGTGGTGGCTCATGCCTGTAATCTCAGCACTTTTGGGGGCCAAGGCAGGAGGATTGCTTAAGTCCAGGAGTTCAAGACCAACCTGGAAAACACAGCAAAAACTTAAAAAAAGACCCCATCTCTACAAAAACTTAAAAAAAAAAAAAAAAGCTGGACATGGTAGCATGAGCCTGTAGCCCCAGCTCCTCTGGAGGCTGTGGTGGGAGGATCACTTGATTCTGGGAGTTTCAGGCTGCAGGGAGCCATGATCACACCACTGCAGTCATCTTGGGAAAAAGAACAAGACTCTGTCTCAGAAAAAAAAAAGAAAGGAAAAAAAAAAAAAAAAAAAAAGACCAGGCCTGAGATCGGAGGATCCCTTAAGGCCAGGACTTCATGGTTACAGTGAGTTACGAAACTACCAATGTACTCCAGTCTGGGCGACAGAGTGAGACTCTGGTCTCAAAAACCATCAATAAATAAAATAAATACTTAGTAGCCAAAAACAGATAAAGAGAGAAAAATAGTGTGCTTTTTGACTATAACAGCGGGATTTAGCAGAATTCCTGGCATATAGAAGTAATGTATCTATTGTGTTTAATTCATTCCATTGGGTGATGAATAATTTTACTCCCCAAAATTGCGTTAAAGTACAATTTCTTTAAGAAATTGAAAACTATCTAACTGGTATTTCTGGCTCTCTCAAAGCCACCCTCAAATCATTTCTTGACATAATAGCTACAGTGATCCTCCCAGAGTATAAAACAAACAGATCATATTATCACTGTCCTGCTCCATATTCTCCGATACTTCCCACCTGATTCAGAGCATGGCCTTTTCTGTGGAGCAATTGGCCAGTGTTTGTGATCTAACATCCTATTATCACTTATCTCTCTAACCTCCCCTAATACCACATACTTCCTTAACTCACTTATCTTCTCTTTGTTCCTTTGTCAGAACTACCAGGTTCCTACCGTAGGGATTTTGCAAAAACTCTTTCCTCCACCTGCACCAGATACTCACATAACTTGCTTTCTGTCTTTTTTTTTTTTCAGGCCATTACTCAATTGCCAATTGTACAGAGAAACCTTTTCTTACCACCATATTTAGTATTATAAACTCTGTCACTTCTCCACTCCTTCTGTCCCTTCTCGGCTCTATTTTTCTCCTTGACACTTAGGATCTAATAAAATTTATATTTTAACAGTACTTATCTATCTAATTTTTTGTTTGTCTATATCAGGGGTGGAAAAACTATGGCCCACAGGCCCAATCTGGCCCTCCATCTGTTTTCATAAATTTTTATTGGAACATAGTGCAAACATTTATTTATGAATTATCTCTGGCTGTTTTATGTTCTAGTGGCAGAGGTGAGTAATTATGACAGGGGCCACATAGCCTGTAAAGCCTAAAATATTGCTACAGAAATTTGCTAATCCCTGGTCTGAAAAAACAAACAAACAAACAAAAAACAAAAACGCTCCAGAAGAGCAGACATTTGTCTGTATTTTTAACTATGACATTCCTGTTGTTTAATATATTCCAGGCACATGGTAAGTGCTTAGTATATATTTGTTGAATAAAATAAATGAGCGACTCTTCTGCCCTAATCTTTAAGAGAGGTAACTTTAGAATCTTAACTATAGCAGTTACTGCTTTTTAACCTCAACAAGTTACTTACTATGCCTAATTTTGCCTGTCCGCTTGACTGGATTAAGGAATATGCAAATAACTGGTAAAGCATTATTTATGGGTATGTCAATGAGAACATTTCTGATAGAAATTGCTATTTCAACCAGTGGACTGAATAAGAAAACTCCACCCTCAACGTGGGCAGGCATCATCCAATTAGTTTAGAGCCCAAAAGAACAAAAAGGCAGAGAAAAGGTAAATTCTCTCTCTCTCTTCTGGAGCTGGGACACCATCCTCCCACCCTTGGATGTCAGAACTCCTGGATCTCCGGCCTTTGGAATCTGGAATTTGCACCAGCTTCCCCCCATCAGTTTCTCAGGCCTTTGGCCTCTGACTGAGAGTTATATCATCAGCTTCTCTGGTTCAGGTGCCTTTGGACTTGGACTGATTCATTCTACAACTTTCCCCGGTCTCCCACTTTCAGATGCGCTATCATGGGACTTCTCAGCCTCCATACTCTTGTGAGGATTATAAGATTTTCCTAATAAATCCTCTTTCCTATATCTATCTATCCTATGGGTTCTGTCTCTCTGCAGAACTTTGACTAATACATTACTTAACGTTTCTTAACTTCCATTACTTCATTTTGACCTGAGAATAACAAAATAACCTGCCACATATAATCTTAATCTGAGAGTTAAATAAATTGATCAATAATGTGCTTAGATGAGTAATTGCCACAAGATAGTACTCATGTGTAGCTATCTTGGTAGGAAACTTTATTGCTTGTAGTAAGGCAGTAATAAAGTGATTTTGTGTCTTTGCATTACTGATTTAAAAACATGTATTTACATATACAGCATGGAATACCATGCAGTCATGAACAATAATAAAAATCTTTTTTTTTTTTTTTTTGCAGGAACATTGATGCAGCTAGAGGCCACTAATCCTTAACAAAGGCAGGAACAGAAAACCAGATACCACATGTTCTCACTTATAAGTGGGAGCTAAATGATAAGAACACATGAAGATATAGCGGAGAACAACAGACCCAGGGGCCTATTGGAGGGTGGAAGGTGGAAGGAGGGAGATGATCAGGAAAAATAACTAATGAGAACTACGCTTAATACCTGGGTGAAAAAATAATCTGTATAGCAAACCCTCATGGCAAAGTTTACCTATGTAACAAACCTGCACATGTACCCTTGAACTTCACATAAAAGTTAAATAAGTAAATAAATTGTATATACGTATATATATACACACACCCACACATATGTATCTTTGAAGTTTAATACCTTCTTTGTCAAATACCCCTTTATCCTTACAGTTGGCTAACAAATAATTCCTGTTTCGTAAATGCATTAACCATGAAGTAAATACAACAATAACAGACAAAATAAAACCAAGAGAATAAAGGAAGAATAATGAAAAAAGCCAGAGAAGCTTTAAATAAAGTGATTACCCAACTAAACAGGAAAAGGAATTATTTGGAAATAATGGTAACTTCCCTTTTTGAGGTATGTAATGTGCTCCAGTCAGAATATATAGCTATATGTGTGTATGTGTCTATGTGTATATATATGCACTTACACATATACATATATGAAATATACTGTGACTGCTATGACAAATTATTGCAAACTGGATGGCTTAACCAAATAGCAATTATTATCTCATAATTCTCAAAGCTAGAAGTCTAAAATCGGCATCACTGAGGCATGAACAAGCTGTAGGTAGGGCCACAGTGCTTCAGAAGGTTCCAGGGCAGCTGGAGAATCCACTCCTTCTTTCTTCCGGCCTCTTGGGGCTGGCAACGTTCCTTGATTTGTGGCTGCATCACTCTAATCTCTGCCTTCCTAGTCACATTGGCTCCTCTTCTGTATGTTTAGTCTCTCTCTGCATCTCTCTATATGGACCTTTGTGAATGCATTTAGAATTGCCCTGCATAATCCAAGATCATTTCCTCTCCAGATCCTTAATTTAATCACATCTTCAAAAGCCTTTATTTTCATATTAATTAACATTTATAGTTTTCCAGTTTCCATGGATTAAGACATGACACCTATGTATCTTTGGGTGGCCATTATTCTACCTAATAGATGGTTGTATGTGTGTGCATGTGTGTGTGTGTGTGTATGTAAGTTACTGCAACCAAGTTGTTACTATCCCCTCCCACCCACTTTTTCAGGTGTATAACCTATTTTAGTTTCAAAATTAACTCGCTTAAAGTAACACAGCTAGTGATTGGGTAGGTTGAGCAAATAGCAATTAATGGCATATACAGGATGGAAATATATGCTGCTTTGTCTATTTCCAAAAATGTTATGCTTGAACATTGTACTTTTGTCTATTCTGGAATGAATATTTATTTTAGTTACATGGTTATAAAGACAGAAAAGGATTCAAGAAACATAAGAATAGTAAGTGCAATTTCAATCAGGTAATAATTAACTCCCCGTTGGCTAGCTGAGTTTGAGATATCATTGACACTTTTTCCTTTTAATTGATTTTACACCAAATATGGAGTGTGCACCAAGTATGATTGAGAACAATGCGATTTTATTTTTTCATTTCCTAAACATTAAAAAAATTCATATTTATAGAAGTTCTAAAGCAGACATAATTAGAAATAACAACATAAAAACCTCACATGCAAACACACACACATACACACACACGCCAGCATATGCTTCAGAGCTTTTGTCTCTTACAGAACTACAATAGATATTCCTACTCCTGCCCTCTGGGTAATTATAACCCAATGTCATGTAAACTCTCTACCATTTTTGTAAGTGTCATCATTCCTATGCAAAGGCCAATTTCATCTGCTCTGTTAAATCAACTGCAATGTCATACAAATTTATCCTGTCTCAGAGAGATGGCTAATTGTTGATAAATCCTACAATATGATCTGTATATCCCACAGGAATATGAAGTGTTTCAGAGCATATAAAATGTTTTCATCTATTATTCTCATGCCAATTCAGGAGGAAAAATGTATTTTAAAAGTTGTTTGCATCACAATTACAGTTTCTCCACAGTAATCTCATATTCTCGTATTGCTCTCTAATTACTACTCAGGAAGCAGATTATGTTCCATTGTGTTCTAAAGTAGCTTTAACTTGCTGGATTGCTTATCAATATAACCAGCTGTTCAATGGTAGATCCAGTGATGACGGAGGTTTTAATTGCTTTTTTTGTTTGGCTAAGTAAGTTCAGATGGTCACTAATTAGTTCTGTCATGCAGAGATAGTTTTGTTATGAACAATGCAATCAGTGTTTCATTGAAAAGACAACTGTCTTAAGATCAACGCTGCTTAATTATCCCTATGAATCCATCCTCAGTTTCTTTATTTGTTAGAGCTGTCATGAGTAAGGTGACAGGAATTAAACCAAACTGCAGCTTAAAAGTATGCTTCCACCAGTGCATAAAATGATTCTTCATTTTTGTCTGTTTAGAAGCATTCAATTGAAACGAGTTATAAAGACCTATTCTTTATTAAGGTTTATGCAATGCTTCAGGGCCCCACAAATTATACTATATTATAAGATATTAAAATTAAATGTTTTGGTTTTACATTGCTTAGTAAGTTTTGCACATGCCTGTTACAGTCCTTGAAGTTAATCCCCTTGGGAAAGTACAGATTCTTCCTAAACTAACAGAATAAGATATTTTAACATGTCTAGCCAGATAATATAAAATAGTGAGATAATGGCACAAAAATAAATCAAATAGCTAGATATATTTTATGTTTTTATATAATGTTTCTTTATGCTTCACAAATTTTTAGAAGAATGCGCTCTCTTGCTGCCTAAAAAATACAAGGACACTCAAAAAGAAAAGAGAAAAATCTCAATACACTATATGCCTCAAGATACATTTCTGTGCCTTATTCTCCTCTTATATGCCTTTCTGAGAGTAAAATAAAGACCTAAGTTTCTTATCTGATGCTTTCTGTTATTCAACACTTTTTCCCTTACCTTGTCACAGAGCAACTTCAAGAACTTTCAGTACTAGTGACCCAGTTTTTATTACACATATTCTCTTGAGACAAGAAATCTTAGATAAGAGTTAGTCATTAATATAGTAAGAATTTTTTTTTCTTTTTTTTTTTTTTTTGAGACAGAGTCTCGCTCTGTCACCCAGGCTGGAGTGCAGTGGCATGATCTCGGCTCACTGCAAGCTCTGCCTCCCGGGTTCACACCATTCTCCCGCCTCAGCCTCCCGAGTAGCTCGGACTAGAGGCGCCCGCCACCACGCCTGGCTAATTTTTTCTATTTTTTTTTTTTTAGTAGAGCTGGGGTTTCACCATGTTGGCCAGGATGGTCTCGATGTCCTGACCTCTTGATACCCCCGCCTCAGCCTCCCAAAGTGCTGGGATTATAGGCTTGAGGCAACGCGCGTGGCCGAGAAAGAATTTTTATACAAAATTTACGTAATGTTATACTACACTTATTCTGAAGTTGAAATAACATGCTGCATTTCTTCTAGTATTAAAACAATAGCTTTGGATTTGAAAAGTGTTACTAAAATAAAATAAAAATGATGTCAACTTTAGTGATTTTTAAATTTTGACAAATGATCTACTTAATAGATCAAACAGCTCTTTACTTCTAATATGTTCTCCAAAATGTTCTGTTTTATTTCCTGGAACTAAAATTGTGTTGTTAAAAATATTATTATTTTTTTCTTTTTTTTTTTAACAAATGGAATTTTATTTTGTATGAAATGTAAAGAGCATTGATTAAAAACTTAAGCCTATTCCTTCAGCAAAACAGCTAAAAAAAAAATCACATTCTAGGAAAACTTGGATTTTTATGTTACACAGAGTTTTTCCTTTGGTATTAGACATATCCTAATCTTAGCACAAACGAGGCAAGAATCCAGACAGTACAGCAAACAACATTCGCTTTGAGCCTGTCAGATGAACAGAAATTTCAGAGATCACACAATGCTGGCAGATATCTAATCACAGCCAGAAAGAAAAGAAGATTTGTTGAAAATGCTATTTTTTTAGGTGACACTCCAGAAAGAAGTTTTACTTGCGGTATAAACCTAGGATTAAAACATAACTCTAGCACTTTGGGAGGCTATGGCAGGCAGATCACTTGAGGTCAGGAGTTTGAGACCAGCCTGGCCAACATGGTGAAATCCCGTCTCTACTAAAAATACAAAAAATTAGCCGGGCGTGGTGGCACATGCCTGTAGTTCCACCTACTTGGGAGGCTGAGGCAGGAGAATCGCTTGAACCTGGGAGGCAGAGGTTGCAGTGAGCTGAGAGGGAGGGAGGGAGACTCTGTCTCAGACAAACAAACAAATAAAAAACATAATTTTATGCCCAGATTTAGAGCATCATTCTATAACTATATCTAAAATTAAGGTGGGAATACCTAAAATTGACCCACCTCAATGAAGTCAAAACCAATAATTAACAGGAACAAAATATTAATACTTGAATTTTATTCTAGAGCAAGTCTAATACCTCACAGAAAATATATATATATATATATATATATATATATATATATATATATATTCCAGTTAATATAAGCTAGTACCACTCTAGTGCTACTCAGTATCCTTCGGATTGTTCATTAGTCATCATAATTTATTAGACATGTGAAAAACCAGGCAGATTTCATTCAAGACATTATTTAAGACAATAAAAATAGCCACTAGAAGCAGATACACAAATGATGCAGATGTTAGAATGAATAGACATCTGCTTTAAAATTTTTTTTCTACAAATGTTAAAGAATATAGAGGGAAATATGACAAAAATACGAGAATTTCAGCAGAGTATAAACAAGTTTTAAAAGCAAATAACACAGTTCTAAAATTATACTTTCTGAAACAAAGCTTTCCTTTGATGGATTTAACAGACTGAATACTGCAGAAGAAATTAGTAAATGTAAAGATAGGTCACTACTAATAATTTAAACTAAAACATAGAGGAAAAATAAAGAAACAAATGAGGAAAACATTGCAGATATGTAAAACAACATAAAATATATAAATTTGTATGCAACTTCTTACTGAATTAGAATAATACTGTATGTGTATAATTAGAATAATATAATACCACAAAGTTAGAAAAAATATGAGAAAATTGTGACCAAATGTGCATAATCACCTTTAACTTTATTTAAATTTGACTGTTGACTGTTCAAAGCAAATGTAATAAAAAAGTAGTATAGAGTTCAAAAATATGTAAAAGTGAAATATATGCCCACAATAGCACAAAGAGTAGGAGGTGTGTATGGATAATTAAACTACTGAATGATTCTTTTAAGTTCATGAAGTGGTATAATAGATTGAGCTGTAATAAATTCTGAAAGTATATTTAATCTACAATATCCACAAAAATCATATGAGAAATATTGCTGAAAGTCAATAGAAGTAATAATATGAAACATAAATATATTAGAGTAATCCAAAAGAATACAGGAAAGGAACAATAAAGTCTCAAAGTATAAATAACCAACAACATGAATAATTTCACTAAATCTAAGTCAACCATATAAAAAAACTAAGAGATGGAGATTGTTCAATTATAAAATAAAGCATCAATCCAATAAAGTGCTACTTAAAATGATAATTTAAATAAAAGAAAACAGAGGGAGTTAAAATAAATGTTTGAAAAAGAGATATACTATGCAAATACTACTACTATTTTAAAATTTCAATTTAGTTATATTATCAGGCAGAGTTTATTTCAAACTGAAGAAATGTAGAATGTTAAAATGATACACAGAAACATTTTTGAAAAGTTTAAAAGGATCAGTTTATTAAAAATATTGATACACTTCTCTTTAGCTAATGGTACAGTTACAAAATATATCAGTTAAAAATGTATAGGAAAAGATAAGTTATGCAAATTTCATCAATGTGAAAGATATGCATATACTTCTCTCAATAATTAACAAGCGTGTGTACAAACAGAAGTAAAGATACAGAAGAATTGAAAAAGACTATCCAACAATTGAACACTGAACATTGAATCCAATTGAACTCTGGACAATTACAAACATTAGAATCAATGACATAATGCATTTTTAATTGTTCATAAAAAGTTTATTATAATAGATTATATGGGGACATGAAGCAAATTTTAAAGAAAAGTAAGACAAAAATAATTGGTTTTTAATTCAAACTTATTGATCATGAGAAAAAAGCATGATAAATTTGTTTGATTTATGTAAAGCAGTTCTTGGAGAAAAAAACTATATTAGAAATGAAAATATGTGAAACATTTAAGACACAAGCTTCAACCAAGGGAAAAGGAGAGCAAATTAATCCGAAAGAAGAAGGCAAAAGAAAATAATTCATGTATAAGAAGAAATCAGTGCAAAAAAAATAGTGAAAAGCTAGGTATTTGCAAAGTTTAATTAAACTGATAAGCTCACAGCTGAACAAGGAAAAAAAAGAGGGAAAAATATTAATATCAAGACTCTAAAAGTTGATATTATACATCCTAAAAACTCCAGAAGAATACATAGGAAGATATGAATAATTTTATCATAATAAATTTAGAGGAAATTAGAAATTATTTGATAATTTTTTTTCAAATTAAACACAGGTAGAAATAGAAAATCTGAAGACACTTATATCTGTAAAATTGAATCTGTAATTAAACACATTCCCACTAAAATAATCCAGTACTACATGGCTTCAATAGGGTAATTCTATCTAATAGTGGGAAATATCATAAACTTTCATTCAAACTTATGAAAACTCTTTTTAAGAATAAAGAAAGAAAGAAAGATAATTCTTAACTTGTTTTATGAGGTCAACATACTTTGTTACCAAAAGCTGATGAGGTCAAAACATGAATATACATTTCATTATACCTTATGAAAATAAACACAAAATAATTGTAAATTGTATCCACCAATATATAAAAATAATAATGCATCTAGATTAAGTGGGATTTATGCCAGTACAACAAGGTTGACGTAACATTTGAAATTCCATCAGTGTAATTCAGCAGATAAAAGAAAGTATATAATCACCTCGATAGAAGCAGAAAAAAAATGTGGTAAAATTCAACATTTGCACGTGATTGACTCTCTGAAAATAGGAACAGAAAGCAAATTCTTCAACTGATAAAGCATGTCCACACAAACTTAAAAGCAAATTATTCATCTGACAAAGGTTGTCTACACAAAAAAAGTACACATTATTGTTCAAGGTGAAATATTAAATGATTTCCCCTAAGATTAGAAAAATGATAAAGATATCTACTCACATTTTCACTACATATTATGCAGAAGTTTCTAGCCAGTGCAATAAACAAAGAATATGAAATAAAGAAACAATTAGATATAAGAAATTAGTAAGATTGTCAATATCTTTAGGATACATAATTGCCTATGTAAAATACCCAATGAAATCCACAAGTAAACTACTACAAATCAGGGATTTCAGCAAGTTGTGAGATTCAACTGTATTTCTATATACAGGTAACAAATAGAAATGAAAATATTTTTTAAAAAGTAACATCAAATTACTAAAATATTAGAAATAAATAGATAAACAAGGCCTCTACTCTGAAAATGTTAAAAATAATTACAGGAATTAAAGACCTAAATAAATTAGGAGCCATAATGTATTTATGTTAAGATGCCATTTCTCTCTAAATAATTTTTTTCTTATTTTTTGTGATGAGTTGATTTTAAAATTTATATGGAAACAGCCTAATTCATAGGAGCAGAGAGTAGATTGCCAGTAGAGAGGCTAGAGGTGATGGTTAAAGGGCACAAAATTTCAATTAGATATGAGCGATATATATTTTAATTAGATTAATCGCACAGCAGAGTGAATATAATTTATGTTAAAATATTGCACATTTAAAAATTTCTATAAGAGTAAATTTATAATGTTCTCACCACAAAAAAAGTTAAGTGTCTGAGGTAATGGATATGTTAACTAACTTGATGTAATTATTCCATATTGTACTCATAAATTATAACATAACTTTGCAGCCATAAATTTATATAAAAATTAAGTATCAATTTATAATAAAACTACTAAATACCTAGGACAAACTTTAATAAGAAAATTTATATTATCTGTTTTCCACACTTACTAAAATGCTGTAACTACTAAACTAACCTGATTAAGAAAGTTCTAAACATAAAGTTCTAAAATTATACTTTTAGGTAAAGCATTTCTTGGAGCAAAAAATCATATTAAAAATGGAAATATGTGAAACATTTAAGACACAACCTTCAACCTTTAGAAGACAGGAAAAGAAAGATAGTGTGGTTTTCATGGAAGAAAAGAGAAATTTATCAATAGACTGAACCAGATATTCCAGAAATAGACCTCCACTTACAGAATAGCTTAATTTTGAGCAAAGTTTCTGGTGTAATTTCAATGGAACAGGAAGTTCTGTCTAAAAAATGGTTATGGAACAAATGGAATTTTGCATTAACAAAAACTTGAACCCTACCTCATACCATGCATAAAAATTAATTTGAGATGGATTTAGATCTAAATGTCAAAGTTGAAACTATAAAAACTTTTAGAAAAAACATGGGACAATACCTAAATAACCTGGGTTAATGAAATCCCTGAAAAGGTGATTAACTCTGGTTAATTAATTCTAATTTTTAAACTTCTTCAAGATTAAAATATGTGGTATTGTCTGTCTTTTATTTTTTCAGGTAGTTGTGTAGAAGTAACTCCCTTGGTTCAAATTTGCATTGCTTTATGACTAATGATATTGAGCACTTTTTTATTTCATTTTTTTAAGAAATTCCATTTGAAAATATTTGCTGCCAGCATACTATACGATTTTTGTTTGTTTGTTTTTCATTTTTTTTTATTATTACACTTTAAGTTCTAGGGTACATGTGCACAATGTGCAGGTTTGTTACATATGTATACATGTACCATGTTGGTGAGCTATACCCATTAACTCATCAATTGCATTAGGTGTATCTCCTAATGCTATCCCTCCCACTCCCCCCATCCCATGACAGGCCCCAGTGTGTGATGTTCCCCTTCCTGTGTCCAAGTGTTCTCATTGTTCAATTCCCACCTATGAGTGAGAACATGCAGTGTTTGTTTTTTTGCCCTTGCGATAGTTTGCTGAGAATGATGGTTTCCAGCTTCATCCATGTCCCCACAAAGGACATGAACTCATCCTTTTTTATGACTGCATAGTATTCCATGGTGTATATGTGACACATTTTCTTAATCCAGTCTATCATCGATGGACATTTGAGTTGGTTCAAGTCTTTGCTATTGTGAATAGTGCTGCAATAAACATACATATGCATGTGTCTTTATAGTCGCATGATTTATAATCCTTTGGGTATATACCCAGTAATGGGATTGTTGGGTCAAATCGTATTTCTAGTTCTAGATCCTTGAGGAATCACCACACTGTCTTCCACAATGGTTGAACTAGTTTACGGTCCCACCAACAGTGTAAAAGTGTTCCTATTTCTCCACATCCTCTCCAGCACCTGTTGTTTCCTGACTTTTTATTGATCGCCATTCTAACTGGTGTGAGATGGTATCTCATTGTGGTTTTGATTTGCATTTCTCTGATGGCCGGTGATGATGAGCATTTTTTCATGTGTCTGTTGGCTGCATAAATGTCTTCTTTTGAGAAGTGTCTGTTCATATCCTTTTCCCACTTGTTGATGGGGTCATTTGTTTTTTTCTTGTAAATTTGTTTGAGTTCTTTGTAGATTCTGGATATTAGCCCTTTGTCAGATGAGTAGATTGCAAAAATTTTCTCCCATTCTGTAGGTTGCCTGTTGCAGAGACACACATAGGCTCAAAATAAAGGGATGGAGGAAGATCTACCAAGCAAATGGAAAACAAAAAAAGGCAGGCGTTGCAATCCTAGTCTCTGATAAAACAGACTTTAAATCAACAAAGATCAAAAGAGACAAGAAGGCCATTACATAATGGTAAAGAGACCAATTCAACATGAAGAGCTAACTATCCTAAATATATATGCACCCAATACAGCAGCACCCAGATTCATAAAGCAAGTCCTTAGAGATCTACAAAGAGACTTAGACTCCCACACAATAATAATGAGAGATTTTAACATCCCACTGTCAACATTAGACAGATCAATGAGACAGAAAGTTCACAAGGATATCCAGGAATTGAACTCAGCTCTGCACCAAGCGGACCTATTAGACATCAACAGAACTCTCCAACCCAGATCAACAGAATATACATTCTTCTCAGCACCTCATCGCACTTATTCCAAAATTGACCACATAGTTGGAAGTAAAGCACTCCTCAGCAAATGTAAAAGAACAGAAATTATAACAAACTGTCTCTCAGATCACAGTGCAATCAAACTAGAATTCAGGATTAAGAAACTCACTCAAAACTGCTCAACTACATGGAAACTGAACAACCTACTCCTGAACGACTACTGGGTACATAACGAAATGAAGGCAGAAATAAAGATGTTCTTTGAAACCAATGAGAACAAAGGCACAACATAGCAGAATCTCTGGGACACATTTAAAGCAGTGTAGAGGGAAATTTATAGCACTAAATGCCCACAAGAGAAAGCAGGAATGATCTAAAATTGACACTCTAACATCACAATTAAAAGAACTAGAGAAGCAAGAGCAAACACATTCAAAAGCTAGCAGAAAGCAAGAAATAACTAAGATCAGAGCAGAACTGAAGGAGATAGAAACACGAAAAACCCTTCAAAAAATCAATGAATCCAGGAGCTGGTTTTTTGAAAGATCAACAAATTGATAGACCACTAGCAAGACTAATAAAGAAGAAAAGAGAGAAAAATCAAATAGACGCAATAAAAAGTGATAAAGGGGATATCACCACCGATCCCACAGAAATACAAACTGCCATCAGAGAATACTATAAACACCTCTACGCAAATAAAGTAGAAAATCTAGAAGAAATGGATAAATTCCTGGACACATACACCCTCCCAAGACTAAACCAGGAAGAAGTTGAATGCCTGAATAGACCACTTTCTTATATACTTACTGGCCACTCTAATTCCTTTCATGTAGTGCCTATAAAGGTCACTTGCCTATTTAGAGAGAAGATCTTCATGAGCTTGTGCAAAGATTGAATGGTAGTCCCTCCAAAAGATATATACACATCTTCATCCCTGGGACCTGCGAATTTAACCTTCTCTGAAAAGAGTGTTTTTCCATATAAAATTAAATTAAAGATCTTGAGATGAAGAGATACCCTGATTTTCTGGGTGGGCACTATGTTCAATGACAAATGTCCTAATAAAAGGAGGCAGAGGGAGATTAAAATGACAGAGACAGGAGTGCTGTGGCCACAAACTACAGATGTCGACAGCTAACAGCAACTGGGAGATGCAAAGAACAGAGTCTTACTTACAGCCTCCAGAACTGTAAGAGGATACATTTCCTTTTAGCCCCCCAGTTTCTGAATAATTTATTATGGAAACCCTAGAAAGTGAATATACTAGAGTCAGGCACATATTCCTTTGCTAGTTTATAAAATAACTAACATCTTGATAAATGAAATTTCATCCAATTATATGCTTGTTTTCATTATAAAACATAACAAACACAGAAACCAAAAACCCCCAAACTCAACATCATTAAGAAAGAAAGAGCAAGCCACACATTGGAGAAAATACTGGAAGTACATACAATTTACAAAAGGCCTATATCCAGATTGTATAAGTATATCCTATAAATCAATATTAGAAAGTCAAACAACCCATTTAAGAAAATGAGCAATTGTCTTTACAGACACCTGAAGTGGCGTCCAGGCAAGGTGAGGAGGAGTCTGGGTAAAAGGGTTGCCAGGTGTGAGGTGTTGGACCCAAGCCCAGTAGAAATGGTATGTCCATGAAAGGGAAAACTGATGCATGATGTGGGAGTCAGAGCAATGTGAGGACCTTTATCTATTCAAGGGGGGCTCAGTGTGAAGTGGTGAGGACCTTATCTACTCAGGGAGGGCTCAGTGTGAGGTGGTGAGGACCTTATCTACTCAGGGAGGGCTCAGTGTGAGGTGGTGAGGACCTTATCTACACAGGGGGGCTCAGTGTGAGGTTGTGAGACCCTTATCTCAGGGAGGGTTCAGTGTGAGGTGGTGAGGACCTTATCTACTCAGGGAGAGCTCAGTGTGAGTTGTTGAGGACCTTGTCTATGAAGGGTGTGCTCAGTGTGAGGTGGTGAGGACCTTATCTACACAGGGAGGGCTCAGTGTGAGGTGTTGAAGCCTAATATAAGTGAGCAAGGGCCCTTCAAAAAAGTCAGCCTGGTGCAGGATGTCCTTAGGGAGGGAACGCCCATTGAGAATTGTCAAAGTACGAGAGGGATGAGCATATTCTCCACTGAGTGCCTAGCATGAAGTATCAAAACCCAGGTGGACTGAAAAAAATATTCATGCAGGGGATATGCAGGATACAGTGTGGCACAGGAGTTGGGAATATGAAAGGACATTCACAAAATAGTGTTTTCTTCCAGTGTGTTCGATCCTAAGTGGGACAAGGAGGGATCTTACATAAGCAGAGGGCCCAACGCACGACAGAATGCAGTAAGGAGGGCATCCACTACAGTAACCAACCCAGTGTATGGTGTCAGAGCCAGAGCAGTGTGAGAAGTTTGTTCCTGGGGAGGAATGTTGCAGAATACCAGAGTCTGAATAGGGTGAGGGAGGCATCCATGTTATGAACAGTGGCAGTGGCTCTGCACATGGTATTTATACCTAAGTCGGATGAAGAAAGCATCAATCCAGAGAAAGAGGCAGCTGTGGTGATGGAAGATAGTTTATCTACTGGGGAATTGGTCTTCTAATGGGTGGAAAAGAGAGTTACAAATATGGAAAAAGATAAAACTAGAATAAATAATGTGATACTTAATATTTACACACACACACACACACACACTGAGTTTTGTACAGAGAGACCCTGGGAGCAGCAGCAGCATTGCCGTGATGGCGAGTAGCACCACTAAGACACAGATCTTTGTTTGTAAATATGATGTGGTACGACAAGGAACCAAGAGTCCTTGGAAATGGTTAATTTCAGATATAAAATATCCTGTCATTTTAGAAGTTGAGAAAGGGCAAAGGAATTATGAGAACATGCAAAAATAAATAAATACAATTAAAAAAAGAACTTTTTTTAAAGGCCCATTTACTGGCCAAATCAAATCAGGAAGAATTTGAGTATCAGAATAAATAATAATTATGAGTTATAATTCATTCAGTAAGGAAGAACAATAATTTTATACTTAAATAATCAAATAGAATAAATCAAAAGATTGTTGAAGAAGGAAATACTTCAGGGTGTTTGGAGATGAGGCTTTAGGGAGGTAAGTAGATTTAGATGGGGCCATGGAGGCAGTGCCCTCACAATGCAATAAGTGCCCTTATAATAAGAGACACTAGAGCTTGGTTTCTCTGTCCTCCACCACTGCCATATGAAGACATAGAGAGAAGGTCATCTGCACAGAGGGCCTACACCAGAACTGAATCATACTGATACCCTGATTTCAGATTCTCAGGCTCCAAAACTGTGAGAAAATACATTTCTGATATTTAAGCCACCCAGCCTATGGTAATTTGTTATGGCTGCCCAAGCAGACAAATACAATTATATTAATTTTAAGTTCCTGATTTGGATACTGACAAGCCAGGAGGATGTTCTTTTTTTGTAGAATAAATACAGGAATGTATTTGGAGGTAATAGTGTCTCTAATTGGCAACTTAGTTTCAAATACTTTGTATAAACTTAAAACTTTCTGTAACTTTGAAATTGTTTTAAATTAAAAGAATAACACAAACTAAAAGTATCTTGCATTTTAGTATCTGTGTGCAATTATATAGCACTGTAAAATAAAATTGAGCCCAAAACACAAAAATTTAATATGAAAGTTTTATCATCCATAAACATCTTAGGAGTAATTATTAACTCACGTTATCTCATTATTCCCGTTTTTACTATCCATTGTTGGTGACATAAAGAATAGTAAAAAGAATCTACAAGCAAGCTGTTTAGCTTGCTGTGAAGTAGAGAATATCCTAGGGGAGTGAATTTCAATTATCAGAGCCTGTTTTCTTCTTTTGATGAATAATGATGAAAAGTTGAACCAGCAAGACATTTTGCATGAATGAGTACATGGATACTGCTTACAACACTTGACCAGATTCAAGAGGAGTTTCAACAGGACAGTGGTAGTAAGACGCTTTTCAGAGCATGCCAACATTAAGTTAATTTTCTTGTACTTTACTCAAAAACACTTTTCCCTCATACTATCATTCTTGCTCCTCCCCACTCCCCCCCAAAAAAATGAACCTTGAATTTCTTTTCCAAATCTTCTGGTGTACCCTGTTTTCCATGGTTCTCAAAGTTGCTGCACTCTGGGATCAACTGAGGAGTTAAACGTCACTGATGTCTGGGTCTTATCCTAGATAGTTTTTCCCATTTGGTGTGTAATGTGGCCGGAGATAAGGTCTATTGCTCCAATCACTGTGTTCTTCAAGCAACGTGTTCTTACTACAGTTTTATTATGCAATAGGAGGAAGCCTTTTTGCCAAAAGATGTGAGGGTAAGGCATGCACAGTTAAGCCTCCTCTGCTTTGATTATGTTCTTGGCTTTCCTTAATTTTATGGCTGCATGGAAATAATCTTTCTTTTCCTTACTGATGCATTATCCTTATTTTTTCTCACTACCCAAAATGTCCAGGTGAAACTGTACATTCTCTTCTGAATGCATTAACTTGACTTCTTAAAGTTTTGCCCCCTTTGATCAATAATTGCCACAGGGGAAAAAAGCCAACAATTTGAAACATTGATATAAATAAAAGAAAAAGTGGAATGCCCCTGAAAAGTTGTTAACAATGTAACCAGAAAATATTACCCATGCATCAATATTTTTTAATAAAATTACTGTGAAGCTCCAGTTAAATTATTCAGAAAAAGTCATAAAAATATGTCCTCTATATTAGCATCAGATTATGGCAGGATGTGGAAGGGGTGGAAATGTGCTAGAAATCTCGTTTCTAGAGAAGTAGTGTGCCAGAGATTTCAACCAATTTTATAAGCCATTAGAAAAATATAAAAATATACAATTTCTTAAAAATTAAGAAAAACAACCAGAAGACATAAAGTATGCTACTTCCAAACATCTATAAGAAACAAAGAGGATGTCAGATTTAGAAAACCTCAATCAATCCTCCTAAAGAAAAAATACTAAAAATAAGAAAAATCATAATAAATATTACAGACAAAACAAAGACTTTCGTAAGAGTAATGTTTTTGCTGACATTGCAAGGTGAATGAATTTGAAGTTCTAGTATCTATCTAATATCTATCAAATATCTAACTATCTATAAAGATATAAATGTTTAGATATTTGGAGGGAATTGAGAGCAGAGCATTTCAACTACACACTGATTTATTATAAAAGACCCATCAAAAATATGAGATTATGAAAGTGGTTAGGCAAAAAAAGGTTGGACTCAAAAGGTAAGTGAGCTCAAAGGATATTAAGATTAGATATATTCTAATCAGACATAATATAACTGAAAATAAGCATCATTAGATGGAACAGATATTTTACACTTTTTGTTAGTTTATATAATCATTGCCAAGAATTTATAGAAGCAAAAATCTTTCTCTCTCCTTGATAATGTGGTGGCAAAGTATCTGAGGAAGAAAATTAGAAAAATAAAGTTAAAAAAAGTATAGTACTAGAAAATATTTATGCACTTTTTTCCAAACTCAGCCAAGCAACGTTAAAAAAATATACACAATTAGAGAAAGAAGCTATGTGGGCACCAAATAGCAAATCTGCTTGTAAATGTATTTAAACACTTATTAAACAATTAAGCATATATTTTGACCATCAGAGTTAACTCTATACATACTCAAATCACAGCATTTATATGTTCTTATATCAAAGCTACAAATGTTTTAAAAATATGAAGTTTAAAAATTCACAAATATGATAATCTCTCCAATATTAACTGAAACATTTATGCAATTACAGAATATATTATATATGCATATATATTTGTGTTTGTGTCTATATGTATATATATGTGTGTGTGTGTGTGTGTGTATTTCACATAAAAGGTAGGTTTTATAGTACCCATGTTTTCTGGCTCTGAAATTGGATTGCCTGGGTTTAAAATCAAACTGTTGAAAGTGGTTATCTAATATTAAAAAATAGGCTTAAAAGAGATACAGAATTATTACGGTCTGAATTGTATCCACTCAAAATTCATATGTTGAAAACTTAATCCACTGTACCTTAGATTATGACTACATTTGGACATAAGATCTTCAAAGGAATAATTAAGTTTAATGAGTTTGCTAGGATGGGTCCTAATCCAATATGACTGGTATCCTCATAGGGAGAGATTAGGACACAGACACACAGTGTGAAGACCACATGAAGACACAGGAAGAAAGTGGGCCAGGTAGAAGCCAAGGAGAGGGGCCTTGGAAGAAACCAACCCTGCTGACAGCATTTACTCTTGGACATCTAGCTCCATAATTTTGAGAAAATGAACTTCTGCATCTAATGCACTGTATATAATATTTTGTATGGCTCTACTAGCAAACCAATACAAAGTTGATTATTATTTCAAAATCTGTACAGTATCTATTTTCTGAGAGTTTTATGATAGAAAATCATTATTTATTTGTTGTGCAACTGTTTAAAAACAGAAGAAAAAATAAGTCACAGTTGGTATGGATTTCTCATTTCCCTGACATTTTCTTCAACAACCATCAATTGTCTTTCATGTTCCATTGGCCAACACCACCTTTGGCTTATGAAAGTGTTAGCTGGATCGATAAAAACAAACTATCTCAAACTATATTTTCCCAAGCTACTGTCCTCCATGTCACAGTTATAATTTGTAGCCATGGAGCCCTTTATTATGATATTAGCTTCAGTTATTAATTGAATCATTAGTTTTTTTCAGCCTCAATTGAAGCTGAAAGAATACATATAAAAATAAATTAGATAGTACAGCATGCTATGGAGTTAGGTAGGATTGGCTTTGAAATCCTGTTCCTATAGCTTATGGAAACTTGAAAACTTAGTTGATTCAATTTCCAAAGACTAAATTTCCTTATCTGTAAAATTATGACAATCCACATGTACAGCTGTCCCTCAGTATCTATAGGAAATGTTGGTTCTAGGACCCCGCCACAGATATAAAATCAGCAGATGCACATCCTTCTTATATAAAATGGTGTAGTGTTTGCATGTAAGTTATACATATCATTCTGCAGACTTTAACTCATATTTAGTTACTGATACTACCTAATACAATATAAATGCAATATAAGCAGTTGTCATACTGTGTTGTTGCTTTACTTGTAATAATTTTCATTGTATTTTCACTTACTACCTTTTTTTCACTTAACCTAAGGTTGGGTGAATCTGTAGATGCAGATCCTGCAGATGTGGAGGGCTTGACTGTAACGGGTACAGTTTGGGAAGGCAAAGCACTCAATTGTTAAGACTCGAGGCTCTGGAAGTGCCATTAGGGAAAGTACAAATAGTTACAAACTTTATTCAGGGAAATTTGAAAGCACATAGAAAACTCTGTTTTTTATTTTTCCATGACCCGATTTCTGAAATTATGTATTAGGCAAATATTTCTGAAAATATACTCACAAAAACGCAGATTAAACATGTCACAAAAAAATGTGGTGTCACAAAAAAACAGATAAAAACGTATAATGGACAAATATATTTTAGGAAGATACTATGAGATAAATCATCACTGAAATCACAGGCACGATAATAGCAATGACAAAATGTCTATTTATTCTTAAGAGGATAATTATTTCTTTCAATGCTCTAGCCAATGGTATAGATCAATTTAAATACATATACATATCAAAAATAATTCAATTAACAAGTGCTTACTGGGTATCCTTCAGACACTATAAAAAGTAAAAATTAAGTTACATACAAAACAATACATTTAATAGCAAGGTAAATACCAATAAAAATGGGTACATGATTATGTAATTTTATCACTTTGAGTGATACAGACAAAAAGAAGCAAAATCATTCAGAGCAAGCTATAATAATGAAGACTAAGACTGCAGTAAAATGGAGAGGTTTGTGAAGGTTCCTTGAATTTTACATGAACATTGAAGATACAGGTGGGTTTTAGCAGGCCCCAGAGCCTATTACACTACTACTAGTTAGAGAAAACCAACACAAAACAAACAAAAAATGGCAAATGGCCAATTATCATATAGGCAAATGTTCAACCAAGCCAATAACTAAAAGCAATAACAATTTAAAATATGATGCAATTTTTTTTTACCAAGCAAATTTGGATATCTTGAGGAAATGATAATAAAGAACCACAGAATCAGACATTCTCAAGTGCCATTCCTAAAAGCATAAGTAGTTGCAAACCCCATGCAGGGAAATTTGAAAGCACTTAGCAAAATTTTGTTTATAATTTTCCTGCCATCTGATTTCTGAAATTACATATTAGGCAAATACTCTGGAAAGTATATAAATATTTTGCTATGCAGTTTTATGTCAACAGTGATGTTTATAATTACAATAACAAAAAGAAACAATCCAGTTATTCTTCAATGGATATATGGTTAAACTATTGTTCAGCTGTAAAGTAGAACTCCATAGAACTTTAAAAAGAATACAAAATGACATTAGAATTTATGTTACTCAAGTTTTTTACTGAAATCATATGATGTTGAATGAAAGAAAAGTTATTACAATAAAGCTATTGCAATGATGAATATAATGAAGGCTCACAGTTTTGAATGCTTACCATATACTAGCCTCTGTAAAAAACATTTAGATTTGTTATGTTATTCTATTTAATATAATAAATTTATAAGCTTTTATATATAATTATTCTTAATATTATACAAATTTAGCACTCAAGAAAACCAAGAGATATAGTGGTCCTTCTACAATTATACTTTTATGTGTCAAAAAAGGAATAAAAGCCTAGAGCTGTCTAGTCTCTTGAGCTGAAGTTCTTCACCAAAGTATATTCAACAATTAACTCGAGATAGAGAAACTATGGGCAAAACCAACATATTATCATTTTAAAAAATATAAAAATGGACTTTGCACAACAAAAAAGGAATAGATAGGCAGAGATATGAAAGAATACATAAGCGAACAATAACATCAGAGTACTCTCATTAATTCTCATGTGGGGATTTATCTTCTTCCAAATAGTCTATAAGAAATAAAATGGTAGATGATGGACCCCTTTACGCACAAAAAAATCTATGCCTTTACCTTCTATATTCATAAGAGTTGTTAAACAGGCAGCTCTGTACTCTGTGGAAACCTTGAAAAGTGATCTAATGAACACTCGACGCTATTCTCTGTCATGACATTTAGGAATAGCTAGAAAATTCTTTTGTCATTTTTCTGGCTTTCCATTTTATAAAAACTAAATTCAAAAACTTTTCAAGAAAGGCCACTGTCATTAGAAGTAGCTTTCGAATTTTCCTCACAGTTTCAAGTCGTTTATACTAAACTACCACTAACAATTGGTTTATGTTTGTCAACATCGGTTTAGCATAGCAAATTAATGCTGTGGCATGCATTTTCATGTAAGTAATTACATTGAATCACTATATGCACTTTTGATGATGTGAAGTGCTTTGAGACAGTTTCTGGGGGCAAAGTTTGCCATATATTCTTAATCCATTGATGGCAATGGCATTTTTACTAATATTGTTGAATTGAGTTTATATTCCACCTACCAAATTTCACATGATGTCCGATGTACCCATTTCATTGAATTCCTTTGCTGTAGATTCAATCTTGAAGTCCACATCTGTGTCTGTGTTCTCTCACATCTCCACATCATCCCATCCCTAAAGTAGTCACTGCTCCCTTTTTATGTGTACTGCAATTAGGGCAAATCACCTGGATTTTTAAGAGGAAACTTCATATAATTATCTTTAACCTCTTTATTCAGCTCACGTATTTCCTACTAAGTCTATGAATCTGAATTACTATTCATCGTTTCTTTAATTTGAGCCCACAACTTAAATTTCTGGGCCGTCATCCCCATTAAATGTTCTAGCAAGTTATTTTATTATGTCTCACCAGTGAAAAATTTAATAGAAACTATACCTTCGCTCAGACCCTTTCACAGAAATGAGTTTTTTTTTTTTTTTTCTTTTTTTGAGACGGAGTCTCACACTGTCGCCCAGGCTGGAGTGCAGTGGCACGATCTCGGCTCACTGCAAGCTCCGCCTCCCGGGTTCACGCCATTCTCCCGCCTGAGCCTCCCTAGTAGCTGGGACTACAGGCGCCCGCCACCACGCCCGGCTAATTTTTTTGTATTTTTAGTAGAGACGGGGTTTCACCGTGTTAGCCAGGATGGTCTCGATCTCCTGACCTCGTGATCCGCCCGCCTCGGCCTTCCAAAGTGCTGGGACTACAGGCGTGAGCCACCGCACCCGGCAGAAAGGAGTTCTTGATTCTCTTCTCACGTTAAGTGTGGAAGAGAGCTAAGCCTTCCAGACAATGATGTTTCCTATGTCTAACACTCTTTATCTGCTATTTCCAACTGTCTCTCAAATCTTCTTATTCAACACCAAACACAGATAAGCCCTTGACAAATTTGTTTTGGGGGAGATAATGGATCTAGGAGATACAGGCACCTTAACAATCATTCCCTGCGTTGTAGTTTGTGACTTCACTTTAGCAGGCAAAATATTAAAATAATATCGCATATCAGAAAATTCTCCCTCAGTCTTATTTCTCAGACAGCCTTCTATTTATAAGAAGATGAATAGCATAAAGGCAGAAATTGAATGAACTAATAGACTGCTAACCTGATTCCTCCAAAACTTAAAAAAAGTAGGTTTTTTTAATTTGTGTTTTCCTATTTCTCAAATTAGATTCTGATTTTCATTAGAGTCAAGATTGACTCATCTATTTCTATTTCTAGTCTATGGTATTCCTCTAACCACTTCTAAATTTCTCCTTTGCAATTAGGCTTAATATTGGATTTCTGCCAGAAGAAGAAATATCTGGTAACTTATTTTGAACTGGACTCTTTCCAGACCTCATTTATTCTTTCTCTGTTATTCAAATACAATATTCTTGGAAGACTGCAGTGCAACTTTTCTGTGGAGGGAGCCAAAAAGTTCATAACCAAATAAATATACCAAATTGCCCTGATTTTTTAAACCATATCTGCTTCTCCTGATTAAGTACATCATTTACATAATAATGATAACAATAATAAGACTAACAAAAGAAAAAAGAGAGTATCGAGGATTCTGTTTCCTTAAGTAATCAGAACATAATTACTTGGGTTTTTTTTTCTATTTCAGCACCTCAAAAAACGAACGTATAATGAAGTTGATGTGTCCCATACAATTGTGTGACGTAACTGCACATATATATATACATATTTATATAAATATGTATATATATATTTTTGTGACAGAGTCTCACTTTGTCGGCCAGGCTGGAGTGCAATGGCACAAACTTGCCTCACTGCAACCTCCGTCTCCCGGGCTGAAGCAATTCTCCTGCTTCAGCCTCCCAAGTAGCTGGAATTACAGGTGTGTGCCATTATGCCTGGCTAATGTTTGTATTTTTAGTAGATATGGGATTTCACCATGTTGGCCAGGCTGGCCTCGAACTCCTGACCTCAGGTAATCCACGCGCCTTGGCCTCCCAAAGTGCTGGGATTACAGATGTGAGCCACCGGGCCAGGCCCATAACTGCTTATATTTTTACTCAATTATTTCACCTATATATTTATTGCTTATCTTTTATAGTATCTACTTCAGACTTCAATTCATCATTGAAACTCAGCAAATATTCATTGACTCAATCAACCAATTCATCAATGCATGATATTTGAGATAGTTTTTGGTTACATGGAACAGCTTAAGGCAACTCGTCATTTTCTCCCTCTAGCTCATTATCTAGAATTATTCTTTCCTAACTGTACATCCATATAAAAAAACACAGAAAAGAAAGTGTCAACTGCAAAAGTATTACTTGCACAATAAGACTTAGTAAAAGGAGTAATGGCAGAATAAGAATCAATTCTCCTTTATTGGAATAAATGTCCTTTAGCATGATGTAGGTCTCAGTGGTTTACCTGGGACATATTTTTGTATCAGAGGGATAAGACACAGAGGACTCCAATATTGATATAGACTTATTGCATAAAAAGCAAAGGAAACTGCTAAGCTTTTTTAGGTATTAAAGATATGTCAACCATTTCTCTGAATTGTCTGCACAGACCTAGCATCTGACTACTTGAATTAGATGTTGCATTTATTACCTATGCAAGGTAATCTTGTACAAGTCAACTAATCTCTTTAGTCTCAGTTTCCTTACCTGTAAAACAGTGACAATAACACTTCATGTACTTGCTGTAAAGATGAAATGAAGTATAAAATGCCTTAGAGCATCTGGAACATATTAAATAAATATTAGTTATTCTCATTGCAATTAATCTAATATAGAGTTTTCCACCTGCTTTATTCTGCATCACCAGAGGATTATATTGGGGTCTGGAGTTTAAGTGCCTGCCAGCAAGAATAGTTTCATTTTACTAAATGTATTTTCTTCATGTTCATTTTTCTCACTACCTAAAAAGATGACAGGTGACTGAATGGGGACAAGATTTGTGTGAATCCTGGGAATGAACTAACTATTAATAATTCTAGCAATACTTTGAGTAGTATGAAATATATTCTTTAACCATCTACTCTAAATGAGATAAAGCCTCATTTTTCTTAATCCACATACCTGTACAAGCCTTGTTGTAAGCCTGCAAGTTGAGTTCATGGAGTAGGTTTTCATTCTGATAGGATAGAAGTTTGAATTGCATGACAACAGCATGGAAGAATTAAATGACTTTTACCTTTTTGTTACAACTTTGAGGAGGCATATAAATATGTGTGTTATTTGGTGTGTGTGTGTGTGTGTGTGTGTGTGTGTGTGTGTGTATCATTCTGTTAGTTTCTGCAAAGGATATATGTAGGTCTTTTTAATATGTAAAATAAAAAATAAAAATATTTAAATTTTGAAATAAGAATGAGCTTTCTAGAAATACTATTTATTACATTATCCTTAAGTAATAAAATAAAATAATTAATACTATTATCATATTTCAGCACCTATTGCTTAAGTTAGATAATGCAATCACGTTGAATTGTGGAAGAAAGCAATAGAGATTTTTAGTGGGTGAAGGTTTATTACAGTGAAACTATTGGGAATTTGCAATAATTTATAAGCTTCCCTTCAGCTTTCTGCTGATCTATTGGAATGGAAAGATAAATGTCTCTGTGATTTATAACACTGGGCATAGAAATTAAATAACATTCTGAGACACTGGAGCTGAATAAAACCTCCAGGTTTCATTTGGTGACTTTTTTCTACTTTGAGAAAAGAAAAACCTGTATTTTTTTCCTTCTAACTATGGATTTCCTGATCAGAATAATAAAAATTATTAACTTTTGGATGGGTTTGCTGTAAGGTATTTTTTAGAAGTTAAGGATGGCATAGAGACAAGCCAGTTCCCATAGCTCTTGGGTGGAAGAAATTTATACCAACAAATATAGTGAAAGAACAATGCCAAAGTAGGGAAACAAAGAGCCTCAATCCAAATAGTTTGGACTGTGAGACTGAGTCTTGCAATGTACCCAGCAGAGAGAAAATAGCAAGGGAGGGATCATTCTATTGGAGGCCGGGGAACATTGTTACTACTGTCATTATTTAAAGATGCTTTGAGCATCAACAATGCACTAAATGTTGTGAAGAACAATTAGACCCAGTTCATGCCCACTTGGCACTCAATTAGAAAATCTAAAGAGGTCTCTTCAGAGTACTCAATGAAAACTCCATATTTAGACCATTTTCACAAGAGGTTTGGCTGTTAAAACACTTTCTGAAATGTACTTAAAGTGGAACTGTGGATGAACAATCTAGTGATTCAGTATAAAGTAACATTTGTATTAAATTATATACGCATTTCACATAAACATATAATTACATAATATAATAATTATATGTAGTTTATATGCAGCATATAATGTATTGGAAAAAGAAAGACTGAAGACAACATTATGAAGAGAATATGAGGCAGTGACTATGAAGTAATATAAAACTCACCTAAAATGTAGGCATCTCCTTGGAGCTCTAGAACACTTGAAAAATAATTTCAGACCAGACTGATTCAGAATTGTTGGTAATAATTATTGGAGCCATGTTTCTGTAATTTAAATTTTCATTCAGATATACTCATCAGATACACTTGCATACATCAGTAAGAAACATCTATTTTTGAGGAAATACATTACTAATACATACATGAATGAATATACTTGCTACATGTTAATATTGTAGTTAAAATAAAATCATTTTTGATACTTATAATTTTTTGAGAAAGCATTATATTTGCATAAGAAGGAAAGTAAGAAAAAATGGTTCAGACCAGTGCATTGATAACTATATGAGTAGCAAAATCACAAAATCTCAAAATGTTTGCATTATTTGTTGATATGGTTTGCCTTGTGTCCCCACCAAAATCTCATCTTGAATTGTAATCCTCATAATTCTTATAATCTCCAAGTGTCAAGGGAGAGACCAGATGGACATAATTGAATCATGGGGACAGTTCCTCTCATGCCATTGTTGTGATAGTGAGTTCTCATGAGATCTGATGGATTTATAAGGGGCTCTTCCCCCTTCGCTCAGCACTTCTTCTTCCTGCTGTCTTGTGAAGAAGGTGCCTTATTTCTTTTTCACCTTCTGCCATGATTGTAAGTTTCCTGAGGCCTCCCCAGCCATGCTGAACTGTGATTAAATTAAACCTCTTTTCTTTATAAATTACCCAGTCTCGGGCAGTGCTTTATAGCAGTATGAAAACGGAGTAATACATTTGCCTCAAGCTGGATGTATTATGACACAGTAAGACTTTGGACATTTAGCCTACATGACCACCAGCTGCCAGCTAGTAAGAAGATGGATAGTAATTCAGTATCCCTGTGACACAGAACCCCCAGTGTTACAGAGGGAGTTTCCCTGTACCACCAAGACAACTATGTCACCAAGGAGTTTTGTTTTCAATTCCTAGTAAAACACCAGGGTTATTAAAATATGTTCTCATAATATTGTGTTTTTTAAGTTACTCAACATTTTATTAAAAATTTGCTCTTTCTACCAAGACCATTTTTCAACTTTTACATTGATGTTATCTTATATAGATTTCAAAATATTTATACCTCAATGTAAATAAAATTTTAAATGTAAATGAAGCAAAAGTTATCAAATTAACTACTACCTACAGCAAATTCTCAGGATATCTGCAATGTAAGTATTTCAGTAGGAAAAATTACAGAAGGTGAATGACTTGTTATAACTTCCTTCTCTTGAGTGATAAATATTTTACGCCGTGGTGAAGAATGTGGAGTCTTGTATCAGGCTGTATGGATCTGAAGTCTCGCAAAACAGTTTAATTCCTTGTTTACAGCCTTTACTTAAGTAAAATGTTTTTTGAGGGCAGGAATTCTATCCATTATTATACTTTAGGGATGCATTTCTGTCTTACTCCATTTTGTGCTGCTATAACAAAATATATAAGACTGAGTAATTTATAAAGAACAGAAATTTATTTTCTCACATTTCTGCAGGCTAGAAAGTCTAAGATCAATAGGTGTCAGCAGATTGGGTTGTGTGGTGAGGGCTACATCATCTGGAGGAGAGGAACTGTGTGTCCTCACATGGCAGAAGGTGGAAGGGCAAGAGAGTCAGATGCTGCATGAGGCCTCTTTTAAGAGGGCCTTAATCTTATTCACAAAGGAGGAGCCCTAATAATCTAATAACCTTGTAAACTCACTACCTGTTAAATCTGTTGCCTTGGGGATTAAGTTTCAACATAAATTTTAGTGGGACACAAACATTCAAACTATAACGGTTTTAAAATATAAACCATTTGCTATCTTTCTGCTTTCAATATGTATCAGCCTGGAGACATATGTCCAAATATGATTCTACCAAACACATTTATAACATTAAAGCTAGCATTGCTATTAATTTCTGAGAAAATATTATTTTACAGCCTGCACCAAAAAATTTGAGATGCTTAAGTTAAAGCCTTTTATCATGATGATCTGTAATACACAAATGTAAATACTGGTGTCTTGAGGAGGCCCATATTTTATATTTTATTTGCTCGCATGGTGGTGTAGTCAGATTTTAGGTAAACTTCTCTTAATTCATTGATTAATTTTATTATGGCCACACAATTGCAATGAGTTTTTCTTCCCATAAAAATGGTTGGTTCTGGAGACATAAACACACAGCTTTTGTGCAAGATGTGATATTAAAGACACAATTTTTATTTGCTAAGTCAGCTTGTTTTCATTTTAAAGTTATAAAAGAAGTGTAATATTATTGATGCCAATGCCAAATGGGGATTATTTGTCCCAAAATTCCACCTCAGAAGAGTATTAAAAGTAATTAGAAATTGTTGGAAATTGAGGATGTTGATATCATGTACTGGAAACATTGTATTCAAGTTTAATGTTAAACTATTAAAATGAGCATTTTATCACTCAATATGAGCTACAAAAAATAGTACAATAAAAATTGAGAGATTATTGGTAAGCAATGTCAAAATTCAAATCAAAAGTTATAAGTTCCAAATAACAAAGTTACACTACATTCATTCTTGTTTTTGACCCTTTACTTAAGAACTTGCATCTATATATGTTTTCCAATTTTTTGTTCTCTATTCCTAATTATATACTTTAAGTGCCAGATCTTCTCACTTCCTCTAAGAATCTATCTAACTCAAACAATAATGCATTTTTAAATGTTTTATATTATGTTTTTATGTGCCTTGGAATTATATAAACATCTTTAATATTTTTATAACATATGCAACATGTCTAAATTGTTAGCAAACTACAGCTTGAAGATCAAATCCAGTCCATCACTTGTTTTTATATAGCTCACAAGCTGAGAATGGTTTTGCATTTTAAGGAGTTTAAAATGGATGAAAAGGAGATGCATATTTTGTGACTCAAAAAAATTATATGAAATTCAAATTTCTGTGTCCGTAAAGTTTTACTGGAACACAGCCATGCTCATTTTTTATATTTTCTATAATTCTTTTTAAACTACAAGAGTGCAGCTGAACAATTAGGATAAAGACAATATGGCTCACAAACTCCATTTTTTATCTGGACTTGTAAAACAAATGTTTTTCTACCCCTGGTCTATAGCCTTAGCAACCAATTATTTCATATCTTCATTCAGTGGTGGAGTTTATGCCATTCTTTATTATGTTCAAAAGCATAGTACATAAAGCATTATCATGGACACAGTGATTCTTACAAAGTGTTTACCAAAATAAAGCAAATCAAGTCAGTCTAAAGTAGACGAATTTCAAACAATGAACAAAAAAATTATTCTAGGTATAGTAACTTCTTTGGAAATGTAAATGGATTTTATCCTCATTGCATGGTGATGTATGGTATACCCAAACTTTAAAACAAGAAGTCATATAAAAGAAACCTTAAAAATATTTATCAAATAAATAGATATATGGATAAATGAACACCTACATAAAAAGCATAGATAGGAAAGAATGAACAAGGCTGCACATAATTTTGTCTGCCTGAAGTAGGTAGCACCTTTGGGGCCTGAAGAATGAATGGAGGTATATTACATTGAAGGAGACTGATAGGGTTTGACTCTGTGTCCCCACTCAAATCTCATGTTGAATTGTAATCCCCAGTGTTGGGGAAGGGATCTGGTGGGAGGTCATTGCACTATGGGGGCAGATTCCCCCTTGCTGTTCTTGTGACAGTGAGTGAGTTCTAACAAGATCTAGTTGTTTGAAAGTGTGCATCACCTCCCACTTCACGCTGCTTCTTCCTCCTGCCAGCCACGAGAAGACATGCTTGCTTCCGTTTTGTCTTCTGCCATGATCGTAAGTTTCCTGAGGCCTCCCCAGCTCCTGTATAGCCTGTGGAACTATGAGTCAATTAAATGTCTTTTCTTCATAAATTACCCAGTCTCAAATATGTTCTTAATAGCAGTGTGAGAACAGACTAATGTAGAGAGTTTTTCTTATCTGTTGCATAATTCCAATAAAGATATTCAGTGAGCCAGGGGTACCAAATTGTGGGGTTGGAGATTTGAAACACAAAAATTAATGAATGGTATTTTCAAATGAGTTCTTTATAAATATGCTCCATGACATTTCTAGAAATTCATCAAATCACTTTCTGTATATTTGAATATTTTAGAAAAAAATACCTTTTGGCCTTGGCTTTGTCAACACAAAATTATAGGTGTAATTAAATATAAACTAACCCCTAAAATGTCTAATTTTTTCCTTAAGGTAACATTATAACTTATCAAGGTAACATCTAGAAAGGAATTCAAATAGTCCTTTGAATTTCTTCATTATTTGTACCCCAATGAATTCTGAAGACATTTTTGCTATTCTTTTCTCTGTATGAGAATGATGTACAAAGTAGGAGAAGCCAAATGACTGTATTTTTGAAAACTTAGACAAGAATTCATTTTCTCTTAACTTAGACAAGAATATATTTTCTCTTAACAAGACAAGAAAATGTTGCTGGTCTATCTCTAAAATGACTGCCTTTTTCTCATAAACACCTAAGATATTGTCCTCTCTCCTACGTTTCTGTCAAACTTATAAATAATGTGTCAGTATGTAGGAGCTATATGCTCCTAATGCATGAGAGTCAATATCTGTTGGATTTGAGTGATGATGATTGTCATCAAATGATGCTCTGGAGGCTGTTGAAAATTCTACATTTTTATCAAATAAGATGAGTAATATTTCCCCATAAATAGTTTTAATAAGATTAATAGCATTTCTCTAGCAGTTACTATTTAGATAGTAAGTATATTTGTTAAATATTTATAATTTTTTACAGCAGGGCTCTGACTGGCTAAACAGATTATTCTTTTTGCATATGTAGTTACATATATGAATTTATACAACTACATCTATGCTTTTCCTTGCTGTTTAAAATTTAAAATTAAATTTCAACATATTTTAAAAATGGTTGAACTTTCATTTTACTGAAATTCTAAAAATTAAAATTTTCTTGAAATGCTACATTGAGTATAATAGCAGGAAAACCGAAATGAAAAATTATATGTAAAGCTAAGAATCTGTGATTATCATACTCAAAGAGTTTATAATCTAGTTTATTAAAAGGGGGCACTCACTTAAGTCCACAATAAGATTAGAGGTTGAAAGAACGTTTGTAACTTACTAGAAAAAAATAGTGGTTAGAAATTTTTATATTCTGATAATTAAGATCATTAAAATTTTGCATTTAAATTTAATTATGGATTCATGAATTTATAATATAGACCTCATCTGCCACAAAGAGCATTTGAGGCAGCTGATTGCCATAGTGAAATATGGAAAAGAGTTGGTTTACAGTTCATGCAAAAAGGTTTGGGAAATGTAGTGATATTCACATCAATGACTTAAGAATTGTTGGAGCCTCTACGATATGTCTTTTTACTGGTTTCAGTGAATGGATTCTATGAAACCAAATGAGATGTGAAATCTATAACTACTAAGGCAGAGAAACAGACACTTTAGATGAGGTATCACATTGTAGGATGTTGAAAAGAAAGACTAACAGTTGTGAACTATGTGATAATATTTACCCAATAGCTGCCTGTAGCTTTTACTGGAGATTGGTAGAGCCAATAGCAAATACTCTAAATCTAATTTTCCCTAGTAAATACCCCATTGATAGAAAAAAATTGTAAGCATGTAGTATATAATATATGCGGTATATATGTTTATATACTCATACAGCGATTTATATATTGTATATTATCTGTAATATTAAATGGTACTGTGTATTACCATATATTATAAATTACAAATTAAATTTTATAATTATATCTAGAATAGAGTACTATATCTTACATTTTATATTAAATATTACATTACATTTAATAGCTATTTTATGTTATAGATTATCTGTGTCTTTCTTCCTATTTCCGCAATTACCTCTATTCATAAGACTATATTTCTAAAATTCAGTTTACTTTGGTTATTGTTATTATTATTCATGAAAGGTTCATAACTCCTAGGCCTCTAGCACACAGACATGTAACTACACACTCACACAATTCAAATTTCTGCAAAATGAGACTGAACTAAAATACCAATATCACTGGGTAATTTAAACAAGAGTCATTTTTGTGTTTCACAATTATGAAACTATTCAGGTTAATGTAACTTTCGGTTTTGGTCAAGAAGTCATACATTCACTTCAACTGTTTAGTCCCAGAGCAGCACACTTAACAGCCAGCTCCATGGCAAAATATTTTAATCAGATTAAGAGAGAGAAACAGGTCGGGTGCAGTGTCTCACGCCTGTAGTCCCAACACTTTGAGAGGCCAAGGCAGGTGGATCACCTGAGGTCACGAGTCTGAGATCAGCCTGGGCAACATGGTGAAACCCCGCCTCTATGAAAAAAAATACAAAAATTAGCTGGGCATGGTGGCAAGCACCTGTAATCCCAGCTACTCGGGAGACTGAGGCAGGAGAATCCCTTGAACACGGGAGGTGGAGGTTGCAGTCAGCTGAGATTGCACCTCTGCACTCCAGCCTGGGCGACAAGAGCGAAACTCTTGTTCAGCAAAGCCAGGACAGATTAATATGCTCTCCAAAATACTTACTTGCTAGTGAAATATTTGACTGTTGTCCAGACTTTACTCATCTTCCACTACTTAGACTGTTTTAAATTTTCTGTTTCCCAGTTTTAGGACTTACACATGAGCTCAATAAAACCAACCTGAACTACTGATATGTATGTGTGTATTATAATAAGAATACAATTCTCTACTCACTCTCATAATCCATATTAATTTTTAAGCGGCAGAAAGTGACTTTATTCACTTCGTTAAATTAATAGACTTTGTTTTTTAATAAACTTAAATGGAGTTTTAGGTTCACAGTAAAATTTTAGTGTGAAGTTCATAGAGTTCCCATATCTCTCTTATCTCCCCTGCCCCGTACTATCTCCCTATTATTATTGTATTGCACTTGTGTGGTACATTTGTAAGAATTAATTAGACAACATTGATACATTATTATTAACTAAATTTCATAATTTACATTGGGGTCACTCTTTGTGTTGTACATTCAATGAGTTTTTACAAATATGTAACTGCATGTGTGCACGATTACAGTACCATACAGAATAATTTCAATGTTCCAAACATACCCATTGCCCTATCTATTTATCCCTCCGTCCTTCCCTCCCTGAAAAACTCTGGCAATTACTGATCTTTTTATCATCTCCATAATTTTGCCCTTTCCAAATATCATATAATTGGACTCATACAATTTGCAGTCTTTTCAGATTGGCTTTTTTCACTTGGCAATATGCAATTAAAGTTTATTCATACCTTTTTGGATATACCACAGTTTATTCATTCCACTACTGAAGAATACCTTGGTTGCTTCCAACTTTTGGCACTGATGAGTAAAATTGATATAAACTCTTTTGTGCAGTCTTTTCTGTGGACACCAGCAATGAATGAGCCTTTCTTGTGTTCCACATCCTTATCAGTATTCGGTGTTGTTAGTATTTTGGACTTCAGCCATTTTAATAGATGCATATGATACCTGATTGTTGTTTTAATTCACAATTCCCTGATGACTTATGATGTTGAGCATCTTTACATATGCTTATTTATCACCTATATAACTTATTTGCTGAGATGTCTCTTCCTATCTTTTGCCTATTATTTATTTTGGTTGTTTGTTTTCTTGTGGTGTTTTAAGAGTTATGCCATTCATTTTTATAGAAATAAATCCCATTACTTCATCATAAACTTTTATCATCCATTTTATAATTAAAATAATGCTAGAGCTGGGCATGGTGGCCCACTCCTGTAATCCCAGCATTTTGGGAGGCCAAGGCAAGCAGATCACTTAAGGCCAGGAGTTTTAAGATGAGCTTGGGAAACACGGTGAAATCCCATCTCTACTAAAACTACAAAAATTTAGCTGGGCATTGTGGTGCAAGCCTGTAATCCCATCTACTCAGGAGGCTGAGGCAGAAGAATCTCTTGAACCTGGGAGGTAGAGGTTGCAGTGAGCTGAGATCACACCACCACACTCCAGCCTGGGTGACAGAGTGAGTCTCCATCTAAAAAAAAAAAAAAAAAAAAAGAAGAAGAAGAAGAAGAAAAAATAAAAAATAAAGTGCTTTCAAAGCAATATATTAATGAAATTTTGAATATAACATGTCTCAGCTGTCTGCTTGGTATACATTTTCCTATCTATTAATTGTTTTCAAGTTAAAATGCCAAGTTGTAGGCTATTAAAAAATCTATTTCTGTTTTTCTAAACTTAGAAATTCACCTATTTAATAAATAATTTATGAATTCAATTATAAGTTAATTACTTGAAAACACAAATTCTAACTCAGCATGTGGTTACCTCTTTAAATACCTTAGAGACAGTTCTATGTAACAGTGCTAAAGTCTAGACTCCAGTGGCTGAGTGTAGGTGAGAATCAAGAGAGCTGTAACCTTTGAGCCCACTAAAGGAATTTCAATTAATGGTCTTGTAAGTGTTCGCCACTGTGTTAGATAATGAGGATTCACAGTTGAATATGCAATGGACACTCTCCAAGTAGAAAAATAACACATGTAAACAATTAAGCATAAATCAAAATAATAAATTTATAATTGTTTAGAACTTTACTAAGTGTGACATATGAACTGCCCTAAGAAGTCAACATAAAACCTAGTCACGTTTTTTTAGATCGTCACAGTAAAATAAAAATATCTTCTTATTATTATCCTCTTCTAAAACACTTGAATTATCCCAGAAACTCAGATTATATTTCCACCAAGGTGCCTAGGATTTGGTGTATTTATCTGTTCTTACACTGCTATAAAATAATATCTAAGACAGGGGAGTTTATGAAGAAAAGAGGTTTAATTGTGTCATGTTTCTGCAGGCTGTACAGGAAGAATAATGCTGGCATCTGCTTGGATTCTGCAGAGGCCTTAGAAAATTTACAATTATGGCAGAAGGCCAAGGGGGAGCAAAGTATCTCTTCTCACATGGTGGAAGCAGGAGCAAGAGAGAGGGGGAAGATGCCACACACATTTAAACAGCCAAATGTCATGAGAACTCACTGCCACAAGGACAGTACCTAGAAAGATGGTGCCACACCATTCATGAGAAACCAACCCCATGCTCCCATCACTCCACACTAGGCTCCACCTTCAACATTAGGGATTCCAATTCCAATTCCACATGAGATTTGGCTAGGGACACAGATGCAAATCCTATCAGTGGGGAAGTCTGGTTGTCTAGAGGAGAAATATTTCCCTGCAAGAGTAATGGAATCCATAGATTTTACATCGGTTCTGCCCTTGCAGAATCTTAGGTATGCTCATCCACTCAGTAATCATAACAAGTACAGTTCTGTGGACTGCCACTGCTGAGTGGGGTGACACACTCAAGCTGCAAAGTAACAGTTCCATTAGAACACACTGCATCACACTGTAAAATGATGTCTGGATTCCTAAGGACCTTCCACAGTTTAATGGTCAACTCTGATGATGTCAAAACAAGAAACTTCATCCTCTTTGTACTTGAAATTATGTTAACAACGCAGATTTTTCCCTTTTTTATTTTATTTTCTTTTCCCTGTTATGAGATTTAGGATAGGGCAATATCTAGTCATGATATCCTGTCTTCTTGAATTGACATTCAGGAAGCATTTAGGGTAGCAGTTCCCTTTTTCCTGGAAGAATGAGCCTCATTATGCAAAGGCTTTCACTGCCTCCCTGGCTTTGTATCCTAAGAATAGTGGAGACTTTGATCAAGGTACATAATCAAATCCTAATTGCTGGTCAATATATGCTTCTTTTCTTTATCTTGCATAGCTCTCTCTGTGTGTGTATATATACACAAATATATATACAGAGGGAGAAAGACACTCAACTGACACTTAGTTGAAAAAAATGTGTTCATCCACAAGAGGAGGATAAGTGAGAGTTCAAATTATGCACCTCTGTCACCCCACAATCAATGGTGTTCTTTGATCTCTGCCTGGACCGTCACACTGTTGCTCTTATGAATTGTAACATGAAATCTTCACAATTTAAAAATTCATTTCCCTTTTCATATTACAGGAAATATTCGCTTTGAAAGAGCTTGGTTAATATATTCATATTTCTAATGGCTAGTTAGAACAAAATGCCGTATGTGGCTTATATATAGTTTATATAACCCACCACTGCTGATGTCCTTACTGTTAGGTTTATCTATCCTACTTCCTAATCACTTTCCTCAAAATGTCTAACTTAATCTTTGGTACATCAGTTCCAAAAATCTGTTAGAATCATCAATATATTATACTACCATTATTTCACTATTCTTTGTACCTTAATGTGCATCTCTTGAGGATATTTATTTTCAATCTTCATCTCATTTAACAAATTGGCATTCAACACTTTAAATTTATCACTCCTGCTTGCTTTATAAAATTGCTTCACCAGGCTTCAAGGAGAAAGTGCTCTTCTGGGATTCTTTGTTTTTTGGTCATACTGGCTTCTCCTCTTCAGCTTACTGTACTCACTTCTTCTTTTATCTTCAACCTCTTAATTTTGGAGTGCCACAAGGATTAGTACTTAGTTTTCTTGTCTATGCCTTTATTTCCTTAGTAATCTCATCTATTTTCATAGATTTGAATACTTTCTCTATATGAAAGATCCACAAATTTCTCTCTCCAGATTACATCTTTTCCCAAATTTAATCTATGTCTTACTGCCTAATCAACATATCTTATGAAATTAAATATCTAAATAAATATCTCACCATGTTAAAAACATATTTCCTGATTTTAATTGAGGGCACCTCTATCTGTCTTATTGTTACACCAAAATTCTGAATATTACCCATGACTTGATTCACACATGTCCCACATCCAATTCATCAGAATGTGTTGGCTATAACTTCAAAATATATCCATAATCACCTCTCTTTTAATCAATATGGTTTTCTCCCAGATTTGATGTACAATAATCACTTATTTGCTTGGGGATATATTGATCCTTATATCCTCATACTTTATATAACGTCTAATAAACAAATATGTTCATTGAGTATATAAATGAATAAATAAGTGAATGTGTAGTTATTCTTACCCACTTTCCTGTAAAGACTCATACCATTTTATTAGTTGATTGAAAAGTTCTCTGAAAACTATTGAACCTGATATAGTCAACATTCCCCAGAAAACTGACAATTGCTTTCTTACCACTGTTTTGTTTTTACTATCGCTTTTTTCTCAAATAAATTAAAAAGCAGAAGTTGCATCCTTCTTGAGAAAAAAAAATAATGTCTCAATTTTCCATAAACTTTGCATTACATTATACCAATTACTTGAGAATTTATTTTATTCTTAACTCAAAACTCAAGTAACTTTACATCATATGCCTTTTCTCCCTATCCTTTCTCTCCTTGTTTTTTTTATTTATTTGTCTTCTTTTCTTGTTAATTTCTCTGAATGTTCTATTCGATATTCTAAATAGCAAATTACATTTTCTCTACCTCTGTTTCCTATATTTACTTTCTTCCCTTTTATTTTTTCACATTGTCATTATCCTTATTCTAAATTTGGCTTATAAATCTTTAATAGTTCCCAATAGTTTATGGGATTTGGCTGTCTTTCAGGATATTAAATTATAGAGTCAAATGTCAATATTTAAAAACAGAACAATATGGAACCCAAGGAAAGTACAAAATAAAAAAAAATCAAGGGCCGTGGGCTAGAGAGCAGAAACAAAAATTACTGTAACTTAACCTACAAAACAATAAAAGCACATATAAAATGCACTAAAATAACATAATTCTCTCTCTTAGGGATAAGACGTGATGAGAAGTGATTTAACAACTCTGTTAAGCATGGTAGAATAAGTGAAGTTGTTCCTTATAACAGGAAAGATTTATGAAGGCCATAGGTTTTCAGCAGGATCAAATGGTTTGAATGATACTCTCAGGGATCAGATATCTGCTGAAGGAACATAAGTCATTTTCATTGCATTTTTTTCCTCTATAAAATTATGACATCCTCCCCCTGCTTTCTTATAACCTTTCAATGAGTATTTGTCAGAATAAGACTCTTCTGAAGAAAATGCAAACCTTACTTATGATGATAAAAGTTTGAGACAGGATAAACAAAACTCCTAGGAAGAAAAATGATTCACTCATTTTTTTGAATTACTCACCAAGGGCTGAGTTGTGCTGGTTTCCCCCTCAGCATTATTCCTCTGTGTCAATGGTTTAGTCCAAAACACACTACAGAGTATGCACTAGAGAGCCTATTAAAAACTGCTGCAGCACCCAGAAGTGTGTTGAGAATGAATTATTGATGAAATTCTACCGGAGATTTGCCACGACTATCACTTATTCCTATTTGGGGTTATAGAACATTTTTTGACATTGTGTGACACTTGCTATTCTTTATTCTTTGACATGGGGAGAGAAAAAAATTACATTAGTATAAATTTTCACAATAGAAACCATATTTTAGGAAACAAACATGATCATTTAACATCCCATAGATATTGTCATATCACAACAAACACAAATGTGCACCAGTGTTGGAAGAAGAAGGAAGTATAATCTATTTTCAAACATTTTTGTTTGTTCAGTTTTAATTTTTTAAGTGTGCTCTCTGCTCCAACTCTTTTAGCATCTATGCTTCCTTACTACTCTATTTTTCTATCATCATAATGTGCGCTTTGTGTTTTTCTTGACCTCATTATATTTTCTTATTCTCCTTTAAATCTGCCTTTTCATTAATACGAAGTGCTAATTACGCATTAATGAAACTTATGAAAATCCTTTTTCACTTAGGCCATCAGTTTTTGTATCTAGATTTTCTTTCAAACACAAAGTTGGAAACAATTAAGTGTCTTGGGATTTTTTTTAAATATCTTTTTAAAATACTATAATTTTAGAGTTTAAAAAATATGTTGTGTTATAATTGATTCCAGTCTTTGTTGAGGATATTATATACAATCTTATATTTAATAACATTGTACTGCTGATATAGGCCATTCAATTAAAGGTTTGAATGGCATTTGTTGATTATTCAACAAATATTGAGTGTCTAATACGTTTCAGGCAAGTTATAGACTCGTGATATAGAAGTGAATCAAATTGATTAAATTCTTGCCTTTAAACAGATTATATTCTAGAAATGGAACATCAGTGGTACATGTGATAAGAATCACAAAAGCAAATGCTTAAATAAGATATTTCTCATACATTTTATAAAGAAATTAGAACACATTAATAGAATAGAGATTGGCTACAGAAGAAACTCTGGCTTCTCAGAGAAGCAGGGCAAGGAAAAATGAGGTATATAATATAACGTTAATTGAGTTTTTGGGTGATTTACAATAAAACAGTTTTCCATGGAGGTGACATACGGGCTTTAAAAGTTTACAGGAAAATTTAGAAATTATTTCACTTTTATCAAGAAGAACAAAAATTCTACCTGAATAAAGTGGGGCCCTGAGAGTGGAAATGACAGATATTGAAGCCAGCAAGCAAAATTTCCTGTAGCTAGAGTATGTTTGGTAGGTTTCATCAATAGTAAAGAGATCAGATGTGTAGAAAACAGTAAACAGGTAGACAGAGGTAATAGAAGGGGTTGGAGATATAGCTAAGAACCACATCATATAGTCTCTGGGCCTTAGGAAGATTAGATACTTATTTAAGTATAACTGAAAGACATTGGAGTATGCAGCATGTAGAAGCCATATAATATGATTTATGTTTTAGAAAGATTTGCCATGATGCTGTGGTTGTGGGCAGTAGAAGGCCAGAGATGATAGCATATTGCACACCATGTTTTAGCCAATGCAATAAAGCAAGGAAGTAAAATAATTGTTACTAATTGGACAGGTAGAAGTAAAACTATTTTCAGAAATGATTTGCTATGTAGAAAATTTGATTGAATCTACAAAAAGCTATAGAATTGAAAATTGAAATTACAAGGCCGCAGAATTAAGACAAATATACCAAAATTAATATTATTCCTATATACTAATAAAAATGAATAGAAATAGAAATTAATATAATTTTGTTTATAATATCATCAAAACTATTGAACACTTTAACATAAACCTAAAAACTATGTAAAAAACCACACACTAAAAATTACAAAACAGTTCATAGAGAAATTTAAAAAGGCAATAACAACGGGGGACATATATTGTGTTAATTGGTGAACCACTGTATCATATGTAATAAGACAGAATTAAAGGAGGCCAAGAACAGAGAGCAGAAACACAATACAAAAATTATAGGCCAGGGATAGTGGCTCACGCCTGTAATCCCAGCACTTTGGGAAGCTGAGGCAGGCGGATCACCAGGTCGAGAGATCGAGACCATCCTGGCTAACATGGTGAAACCCCGTCTCTACTAAAAATACAAAAAAATTAGCTGGGCGTGGTGGCGGGTGCCTGTAGTCCCAGCTACTTGGTAGGCTGAGGCAGGAGAATGGCGTGAACCTGGGAGGTGGAGGTTGCAGTGAGCTGAGATTGCACAACTGCACTCCAGCCTGGGCGAGAGCAAGACTCCACCTAAAAAAAAAAAAAAGAAAGAAAATTATAGTAGAACATGTATTAGTTATGACATATATGGATTATAAATCATAAATCTGTGTTTAAGTGGATAAAGTGGAAAGAAAGAAATTATCTTCAAATGTAGCATGGTCAAAAATGTGAGAAGACAAAACAGTGAAGGAATCATCTACTGTATCTTGAACTCTACAAGACAACAGAAAGAGTAAAGAAGACAACACTGATTCAAGTATTAAAATCATAAGAGAATGAAGGAGCACAACTTGTAGATCTTTGGGAGACATCAACTTGAGGGTAACAGTGTATGATACCTAATTACTTACACCTTAAAAATGCTCAAGATTTAAAACAAAGGGAAAGAAGACATTTGATGGAAAGAGCAGCATGGAACAAATAAGATCCCTACACATTTACAGGTCCTGGAAATACATCAGGTGTGGAAGAGAAATGATTTTAATATGCAAAGGCTGTGGGAATAGCAATTAAGACCCTAGTTTTATTTAGAGCAAGAGGAAGGGAAGAGTTGCGGAAAAATAAAAACCCAAATGGAGTTGCTGATTCGGAGATTCTTTGTATTTTATATCTCCAAATATCAATCTATCATTCTTTGTTATATCAAATGACAGAATAGATTTTAAAATGCCAATATTGTTGAGATAAACTAAGTACTTAGTAAGTTTCTTCCTCTACTCCCAACTCTCCTTGGCTTTTTACTATAAATTTAATTTACATTCATTCTCTTTCCAATTACTTTTGTGAGGAAAAAAAAATCTCATAAAACATTACTGACCTAATTTCTGAACTATCTCTCTTCCTAAAACTGTAGTCATTTCAGGGTAGCCAAATAGCTACCATTCTATAACAAAACTTTCATGTTACTTTAATCTTCTCAAGATATATCTCTGATCAAATTAAAGCTTGCCAAGTTCTACTATACCAAACATGTAACAATTTAATAATACCATTTTATTATATTCATGATTAATTCACAATATTGTTTAATACAGTCATAGAAATGTATCACCTAGGATATTGACTGCTGAGATTTCTAGCACGGTTTAACTTTGAACATCTTAACTGTAAATTTAAGTAATCAATATTTACCACAATGGAAATCATCTAATTTACATTCTTTATATGCACTATATATTCTTATTTCTTGGGTTAAAATTTTGGTGGAAAATTCTTTCCTTATATAATAATATGCATGTTTGAAGAATGACAGATATTTAATGTTGGTTATATTTTAATATCACTATTGACAGCATAGCAAAGTGATACATTTTATTTTCCTTTCTCATGTTACAAAATAGAAATATAGTTGTAATAAAACAAAATAATCTTTAAACTTAAGCTAATAGTTTAATTCAGAGTCTAGCCAACTTATACTGAATAACTTATTTTATCTTATGTAGCTATGACAAAAATAACGTTTATTTGTAGAGTTATTTAGAAGTTTAGATGACAAAAATATATCAGGGTCTAACATATAATTGGCATTCAATATTTTTAATATTTTTTTCTTTCAAAACCAAATATTTCTAAAAAGCTGGGTCTATGATCTTTGTGACAGATGCAGTGGTGATACTGAAATATATTTACCTGTGTCCATGTGTTCTCATTGTTCAACTCCCACATGGACACAGGAAGGGGAACATCACACACTGGGGCCTGTTGTGGGGTGGGGGGAGGGGGGAGGGATAGCATTGGCAGATATACCTAATGTTAAATGACGAGTTAATGGGTGCAGCACATCAACATGGCACATGTATACATATGTAACAAACCTGCACGTTGTGCACATGTACCCTAAAACCTAAAGTATCAAAAAAAAAAAAGAAATATCTTTACCTTCCAATCTTCTCGGAGAAGATAAAATAAACACGTACATAGACAAAACTGTTCACAAAGATGTTAATGTCTCTTTTTGCATGAACTACATTTCTTGAAGCAAGGCTTTATAAAGTAGGTTGAATGCAATCATTTATTGAAGAAAATTTTTCAAAAAGGAAAAGAGTTGTTGGATACTATCAACTCTAATATTAACAGGCGAAATTTCCCTGGAAAATTTCTTAGCATCTTTATAAATTTCTGTGGATGGTTTCAGATCTACTAAGTTGTCTGCAGCTGATAGTGTCATAAACATCTTTAAGTATAATCAGAAAACATTATTTCTACTGTCAGTCAAAAAAATATTTTGATCAACTCATCCTTTGAATTTGATTACATATGTAGAATTTTCACTGGTAGATTCATAAAAATATTGTTAGAAGAAAATAAATTTACATGGAAAAACTATATTGGTCAAACATCAAAATATTTTCTAGTTTTGCAAACTTGAAAAATTATAGTGGTATTCTCTTTGATAGGAAACATCAGAGAAAAAGCTACTTTTGTGGGGAGAGAAAATAAATTTTTACATGTTGATTCTGAGATGCCTTATGGACATCAAAATAGATAGCTTAGGGAAGCTGGTGAGATATTCTTTGCTGCGAGTATATATGTTTGAGAATTAAGCCCTCCAAGACTTGAATCTCTGATAATTAATTGATCCATAACTTTATCAGGATAAATAATATGTAGTAAACCAAAGGCTTGTTTTTCTTAAAATATATTTCTGGTTTTGCAATTCTAGTGTATTGATCAATTTAGCCTTCTCTGATTATCACATTGTTTGATTCTTTTAACTCTAAAATATAATTACAAATTTGTAATGTGCAGTAGGGCTCTTTCCCTCCAATATATTTCTAAACTTCCTTTTGTACTCTCAGTTATTTTCTGATTGAATATAAACATTTGAAAGTTTCTTGACAAATTTTTTTAAAGATTTGTTGGAATATTAATTTTATGTATATTAAAGCTGCAAATTCAATTATGAAGAACTGACATCGTCATAACCTTACCTTCCCCTTCCAGAAATATATCTTTCCTATTTATTCAAACCTGCAATTTCTCTCCTCATTAAAAATACATTTTTATGTGGCAAGTACAATTACTTTTATTGCTACACACACAAATACATACTTTTTTATTTTGGAGGATTTAAAAATTATATATTTATCCCATTAAAATGTAATCTATGACTATTAATGATTGTAAATATTTGTTTTTATTTTCTATGCACTTCAGAAACTTATAAATATTCATAGACTTTAGTAGAATCTTTAGACATTTCTATATTCTAAAAGAATGCTTTGTGAATAAAGATAAGCCTGACACTTAAATGGGGAGGAGAAAAAAACCTGGAGAGTATAACAGAATGAATAGAATTTAAAAGAACTTCTGAAGTGAGGAACATTGTTTTTTGGAGGAGGAGGAAGCATTGGGAAGAAAAATAAAACAAGTTTAATTTTACAGACAGGGAGGAAGAGCAAGACCTGATAGTTAATTAGATAATGTATTTGGCAAGGTGCTAGGGAAGGCAGTCAGGGATCAGGCACCTGGAAAATGCATACCCCTCTTGAAGAGACAGAGAAAGGAACAATAGAAATAAAAAGACAATGATTACACATAAATTTGTAGGTATCATTGCAGAAATTTGAGTAACTTCTTGGGCTGATGGCTACTTTTTCCTTGGTGCAATAGGAGATATGGCTGTTATTTTCCTTGCTAAATCAACATTTCTATTCTCTCATAGAAGAGTGATTTCTATAAGTTTGAATTTATATTAGACTACCTTGCAACTTTATATGATAACATACAATGCAATGTTGTGTTTTTGGACTTCTTTTAAAAATAACAGGCTTTAAAAGTCTTGCGCAAGTGCTAGCATTAAAATGATTTGAGCTCTTTGATTTTTAAAGTACCTAAATGTCAATGGAATTGGAAAGTTTGTCAGTTCCATTTACATTCCATCCACTCTTGGACCATTTGTCAATGTCAGAATTGGTGCACTCTATTCACAGATGTCTCTGTGCCATTATGCTTTTAAAGATTACATTATATTACAGCGTATTCAATTCCCTCAAGCAAGAAATAGGATGGCTTCCTATAGGTAACAATATTTATTTTTACATTCAAATAGATGATTTCTGCCTTCTATCCTTGCCTTTTACTGGTTTCAATTGTATATGTGGTGTTAGGAATGAACCGCAATTTTAAACCTGTATATAAAATAGAATGTGAATGCAAATAGAGTTTGCTGAAACTTCATTGTTAATTGAGTGCTGGCATGTGATAGAATTTTAGTACTTTTACATTGATTGTCAATGGCAATAAAAGGAGTGTATCCTAAAAAAATAACAGCAGGCTCCTGACCGAAATCGGCCAGGAGCGCCTCTCAGGTTTTAGCTAAATAAAACCTGTCTTTAACTGCCCGCCGTGTTTCATGTTTCTTTCCCCTTTCTTGAACTCTCACGTTTGGTACTGAAAGTTGGGACAGGTGCTGGGGGCAGAGGCTGTCTTGCAACCCAGGAAGCAGTGGGCAACGGCAGCAGCTCATCCTGAGTTAGTTAATGAACCCTGAGTGTCTCTGGCCATCAGCCCCGTCTTTTCTCTCACTTCACTTTTCCCTCATATTCATTTGCTCTCTCTCTCTCTCTGTCTCTTTGTCTCTCTCTCTCTCTTTATTTATTTCTCTTCCTCGTGTGCCTGAAGTCCAAGAGGCCCTTTGCTGATTCCAACCGAAACATCTAATACAGGACAGTAATCCAGCCCACTAGCAAGATCTGCCCTCCCCTGGCTTTCTCGCGGTACCTGGGAAAAGTCAGGTCTGCAGTCCGGGGCCTCGGAGAACCAGCAGGACCAAGCTAGAGGAAATCTGGAGGGCGCCCAATTTTCTTCTCAGCTTGACTATCCTCTATAGAAAGAGGATTCCGGGTCTCTGTCTTTTGTCTGGGGACGCCTAGAACAAAAACAGACACCCTAGGCTTCTACTCACCAGCCCACATGGGTGCCAAACAATCACACATTCCTACACCCTCTCCACTGCGCTGTCTCCTTCACAACCTCGCCAAACTTGGCTTAAGAATTTAGTCTGTTGCTGTAACACAGCCTGGCCCCAATACACATTACATAATGACAGCCAATGCCCCCAAAATGGCACCTTTGACTTGTAAATTCTCAGGAACCTTAACAACTTTATAATCAGGAATGGCAAATGGCAAGAGGTTCCCTATATCAGGCTTTCTTCTACTTCTACCTTAAATCCCAGCTCCCCCGCCCCGTGTCAAGCTTGCACCTCTCGTAAAATCTTTCTTCTTAATGAAAACCCTCCCCAGGTCTCCCCTTCCCCTGAAACTCCTATTCAGGCTGCAGATGAACTCTCTCTGTATTCTTATCCCCCAGCACCCATTCCTCGCCTGTCCAAACTCTCCGCCCTAGTGGCCTCTCCTTCCTCCAATCCTTCAGCCCCACCTCTTACCCATTCAGAAGCCTCTTCTGCCATTCTCCCTCTCCGGGAAGTGGCTGGCGTTAAAAGCATTGCTCGCATTCATGTCCCTTTCTCCACGTCTGATAAGTCGCAGATCAAAGCTATGAGTATATTCAAAAGGACTTTATGTTCTTCTCTTTATATTTTTCTCTTCATCAATCTTGTTTTCCTGGAAAAGGTTTTTTTCCCGATTAACTGAATTACTTTTCTCCACTCCATCTTGCCACTCTTGGTGCATATAAAAAGAACCCTACAATAACTTTTCGTGGCCTGGGACTCCTTGGGAAAACAGAAAAGGCCCCACAAATCCCGTTTTGGGAAAAAAAAATCTCTGTTTTCCTTATGGATCCCCTGGAATTAGAGGTGAATAAGTACCTCTCAAAATCTGTCTTTGTCTTCCAGCTATACTTGTTTATTAGGCCCTGGAAACTGTTTTACTAATCCTGTTCTTAAAGGGCCTCACCCGAAGGCCAATAATACAATTGGAAAATAAGCAGAAAAAAAAAAAATCTTATAACTACTGAATCTTCTTCTGGTTGTCCGTGTGGCTATGTATGTGTTGTGTGTGCCATGTCTATTAAAAGAGCTCTAATTAATTGGCATAAGAAAAATAAGCATTTAAATCAAATATTTTTAAGAGAGAAGTAAAAGCTGTGGGACCTTTCATTTCATGTGGCTTTAATCTTTAAAAACTTACTGGTATAAAAAAATTAGAAATTAGAGTTGCCAGCATACATTTTTGTTTGCATTTATTAATCAGGCAAATTCATACTTATCTCTGCCAAATACTATAAGGTGTCAAAATTTGGCATAAAGGCTACAAAACTATAACTCAGCCGAAACAAAATAATCTTTGCTTGTGTAATTTTTTAAATAAATGAAACATTAATATTGTTTAATGAAGTTAACTATATCTTAAACTATTTAGTAAAATATCCTAGCTTCTAATCTTGTGGTTTTAGGCAGTCCAGTCCACAGACATGAAGGAAATTTGTTTTGGGAAAGAACTGTTATCATCTTTAACATTAAAGAAAAGGGAATTTATATAAAAGGAATCTTGGCCGGGCTCACGCATGTAATCCCAATACTTTGGGAGGCCGAGGCGGGCGGATGACGAGGTCAGGAGATCGAGACCATCCTGGCTAACACCGTGAAATCCCGTCTCTACTAAAAATACAAAAAATTAGCTGGGTGTGGTGGTGGGCGCCTGTAGTCCCAGCTACTCAGGAGGCTGAGGCAGGAGAATGGCGTGAACCTCAGAGGCGGAGCTTGCAGTGAGCGGAGATTGCGCCACTGCACTCCAGACTGGGAGAGAGAGCAAGACTGTGTCTCAAAATAGAAATAAATAAATAAATAAACAAGAATCTTATACGGTAAATTCTTGTCCTAAAGCAAATTATCTGGTTGTTTAAAGAGAGAGATGTTTATAACAAGTCAGAAAGTTGAGGCATGGCAGAAATTGTCTGTGAAAGTCATGAAAAATTTTATAAAAGGGAATTTATGCAAGAAATGTTGTACAATTTAAAAGTGATTAGGCCTCCTGAATGCTTTATAAAATGTCACTGTAACTCTTAGCTGTACAACTTTCCTGCTTTGCAGCTAAGGTAAAACCTAGGACACATGGAGTTAAATGCTGGAATAAGCCAGACCTTATCTGCACTTCTGTCTAGGTCCTAGGGTCTACACCTGGCACATAATTAAAATCCCAAACTTACCAAGGTTTCCACAAAGGTAAAGGTTGCTAAGAGTTAACAGTGTAACAGGTATTTAAAACTATTGAAAAGGCAGTTTATGTGTAAGGTCTGTAAGGAAAGTAAAATATACTTTTGGTAAAAAGATTATAAAGAGGCATAAGAATGTGGAGTTTTACCCAGATTAAAAGGTTAAAAAATTGTTTTGAAGGTTTAAGCAAGTTTTGAGAGGTTAATTGTAAAGGAAATTCTGTGTGTAAACATGCTGGCTAAAGTTAAAGGGGTGTCATCCAGTTTTTCTGTAAATTGATCATTAAAATAAAAGCACAACGTGTTTCTCTTAAAGCACTAACCTGATCTTTAACAAAAATTATAAAGGGTTAAAAGGGGTCTACAAAAATCTTACCTCATGGTCAAACATTAAAATCGATTAAATGTGTCTACAAGGTTTTATTAAAATTGAGTTTATCATTAATAGCACACTAATATAAAGGTGAAATTTGGCTCATCTGGTATAAAATTGTACAGGAAGCATTGTTGAATATAAAATGGTGTTTGGCTTTCTTTGGGCTATATTTGTATAAATATGTTATTGGCATGTGTCCCAAAGTTATGGGAGACTCCTATGATTCTGATATATCTTAGTGTACATCAACAGTAATTATTATAATTGTTATGTGCTAAAATTATTGTGTGCCACAGAGGTAACAGATGTCCTTGTCAATTGTGTCTTTAACTATGGATACCCTAAAACTTTTTGTCATCCATAAACAATTTTTGTCTTGTTTTGGTCCTCTTTAAAAGGTGATTTTATAATCAGCTATAAAGTTCTAACTGGTGTTCTTGAATACAGGTCTCTGATAACTTTGGAGGTTGTAACATCAAAATAGAGGAAAAACGTTCAGGACCCTTAAAGAGTTAAAATGTTCATTAATATCAAGTGGAACAGAAATTAATTGCATAAAATGAACTAATAGGATACTGGAGTAATCTTTTTAATGTTTTGCTTAAAATATTGCTAATCCTTTGTTTTGCTTTTCAAAGTCAGAGAAACTTTTCTTTTGAGCTATTGACAGCTTTTAACAATTTAGTATACTCCCATAAACAAAATTTGAAGCATAATTTTTTCTCTCTACCTGATTTTCTCCGGAATTTGGAAACTATCTGTGAGTATTCTTAAGTTATGGCAATATAGTTATTTGCATAAGTACAATAAGAATCTGTTTTCTTTTGTAACAGGACACAATGGGAAAAACTGGTTATTTTTACCAAGGCTTTAACTGGAACGAGGCTTTCATTTAAGGAATCAAACTTGACTTATAAAGCAATAAAACCCTTGGAAAACTAGCCTCATATTTTGCATACAAGTCCCTGTACAAGGTTTCTGGATCTGTGGTAAGTAAAGAATGTCACTTTGTAGTAGGCCAGGAACCCCAAGTTATCTTGTAACCTAAAGAAGAGAGGAATTCACCCAACTCCTAGGTATGAGATTGGGTGGGCTTGGCTTTAAAAATGTCTTTTCTCAGATTCCTTCTATGGAATAAAGTTCCATCAAAGCCAATTTAAAAGGCCTATATAACAAGTAATTATTCTTGCTGCACTGTATGCAAATAATTCAGCCAAGTATAGTAAAGCAAACCAGTCCTACCATGATTTGTCTTTTAATAAAAATGGGAAACTGTAGAGAAAAAAATTACGTTTCAAAAACTGTAGCACACCTGTTGTTAAATTCTAGGGTTGTCTAATATTTTGCAATTTTTATTATTTTCAACTGTTTAAATTAAATTATAATTTTTCTGGCTACAAGTTTCCAAAATAAGCTGTGCTTTCTCAAAGCCCTATAAACTGAAAACCAGGTGTTTCGGTAGGCGCTGCCTCTAAGCCCCCCGACCATCACAGGAAGAAATCTCTTCGCTGCTGATGCAGACAACTAATAACTGAGGGTGCCCGGAATTATTTGCCCCCACGTTTAGTGAATCCACGGAGCCCAGGGTAACTAACATGGTATCTGTTACAAGATTCAACTCCTAAATCCATCACACTCAAGTCAAAGGCTGGAAAGCTCAGGAAGTAACCCCTACAGCCAAAAGAAACGTCCTAAATAGCAATGTAAAGAAATAGGAAATCTTTTTTTTTTTTTTTTTTTTTTGAGACGGAGTCTCGCTGTCACCCAGGCTGTAGTGCAGTGGCGCGATCTCTGCTCCCTGCGGGCTCCGCCCGCCGGGTTCACGCCATTCTCCTGCCTCAGCCTCCCGGGCAGCAGGGACTACAGGCGCCCGCCACTTCGCCCGGCTATTTTTTTAAAAAATATTTTTAGTAGAGACGGGGCTTCACCGTGTTAGACAGGATGGTCTCGATCTCCTGACCTCATGATCCGCCCACCTCGGCCTCCCAAAGTGCTGGGATTACACGCGTGAGCCGCCACACCCGGCCGAAATAGGAAATCTTAAGCTGAAAATCACAAAGGATAAGTAACTAAGTAAGAAGTACTCTCTTACTCAGTCTCACCCCTACCCCACCAAATATTTTTGTCATTCCTACCTCTCCTTTTAAGCCAAATATTAAAAGTTTTAATGGTAATTATTTACTACACCACCCTTGCAGGAATTGCTTTAGTCACTCTACTATTTGCAGTAGGAATATACACTGTAACACCCTCAGGGTGGAATATCGGACAGAGACTGCGAATTACTATAACATGTTGCTTAATTAGTATCCTCATAGCAGGAATAAGGGTTACTAACAAAAAAATAAGAAATGAACCTTTCCAAACATGTGCCTCTGTCTCTCATTAGGTAAGGAAAGTTGTTTCTATATCAACCAACTGGGACTAGTGAAAAACGCTGCTGAAAAACTTAAAGAAAGGGCTAAAAAGCTAAGACACTATCAAAACAACCAAATAGATTCTAGGTTTGGAAACAAAAGCATAGCATGGGCCATCCCACTCCTGGGCCGTCTCCAAATAATATGCCTGGAACTAATGTTCTTACCCTGCCAAATTAACCTTTTTCAAAGATTTTTAACTGACAGGATCATGGCCATTTCACAGACAACTATCCAAAAACATCTACAAACGGCATTGCTCCTACAGTCAACCCGAGACCAAAAAACTCTCCGTCCCCTCATCAGCAGGAAGTAGTCAGAAAGAACATGTCCTCCCTCCTCTTTTTTATAACTATACGGTCCGGATTGACAGAGCAGGAGCATCACCACCTTGGACAAGCCCCTCATTCTGGAGTTCACCTTAATAAAAAACTGCCTAAATCCAAAGGGCATCAGCCTAATGGCTAAAGTCAGCATGACCATAAACCACAAATAATGTTTCCAACCAGAAACATTCCAAATTCCTCCCTGATCAGAGACAGGCTAGCCTCTAGACAAGCCCCCTCCGGGCCGGAAAGATGTCTGCTCAAGATAACCTCCCCTCCTCCCAAAGAGATTCTAACCCCACCATAAACTTCTCCACATACATAAACATTCCAAGCTTGTAATAAGCCCCCTCACCCTAAAACCAATATATACTCTTAGTCTATAAGAGAAAGCACTCCAGACCGAAATCGGCCAGAAGCACCTCTCAGGTTTTAACTAAAGAAAACCTACATTTAACTGCCAACAAACAAACAAACAAACAAACAAACAAACAAAATCCAGCAATTTGCAGAAAAAGAGAAAGTGGAAAGGGAGAAAAAATAACATAATCATTATTTTGGAAAAATGTGGAAAGGAGTGATACCATACCAAGGAAAGAGACAAATAAGAAAATTTATTATATAAACTATAATCTCAAACAGGTATTACTGACTGAATGGTTTCAAGACATAGGGAATCAGTCTCACATAACACGTTTACCTTGCAGTCTTTCACATTGATATACTGTCTGATAAGAAGCTAAGAAGAAACTGTCTTGGAGTGGAAGCATTCTGGATGAATAATATTCTGGAGTTCAGATTCCTTAATGCCAAGAAATCTACATAGTTATGATATCTGTATCCACTTATTTATTCATCTGTCTCCCTCTCCAGTGTGATTCTGATTGAAAAGTATTATCTGGATAAATACGTACTAAACATAAAGAAAAATGTAGAATTTACAACAATAGCAATGAAAAAATAAAAATTTATATATCATTATTTAAGCAAAATTGTTTTCCTTTTTTAAATGTGTAGTTATCCATATTGCACTGTTCAAATCAAGTGGATTGGGCCACTATGACATCATCATCTGTTCATTTTCTGCATGATGTATCAGTTTTACTAAATACCATGTGAAATGGCAAACTCCAATTTTACTTATTATAACTGTGAAAAATTTAAATTAAAAGATATTTATTAGTAAAAATATAGTGGTTAACTATTAAAAGGCATCTAGTATATAAAACCTAGTATTTTCTCCTCACCTTCTTCTACTGCTTCCCTTCATCTTATTTCTAGATAAATAACAGAAGACCTGTTACAATTTTCAGATTCTATCACTCATTTCATTTTTTTCTTTATGTCAACTCTCCAACCTCAAAATATGTAAATATTGAAGTTTCTTCTTCTCCTCTTTCCCCTTCTACTTCTCATTTTCTTTTTTGCAATAACTGGAGTGGGATATATGCCCATTTATTATTTTCTAAACTGATTCATTTATCTGTTTTAAGAAATATATATAACAAGTAGAGTTCCTTGGAGGAAAAATAGGTAACTCCTCTCTTTAAATCTAATCTCTCTTTTGACTATTGGCATTATTCATATGATTTTAGGAATTAATCATTTTCTCTAAAACTTATACTTTTTAAAATTACTGATCTATATTTATTCTTGCAATCATGCCATATTAAGAAACTAGACACCTGGCCACATTGTAATAATCCCAGTTGAAATATATTCTTTTACTAAACTGTGAAGACCATGTAGGATTTGCATGCAAAAAAAATTGTTTTGAAAAACATGTCTCATAAAGTATGCTACATATACGTATTTTTATCATTTAAGGTTTTAACCTATTTCTACTATTTTCACAGTTAATTTTATATCTATATCTTATTACCTCCCCACCAAACCACACGAGACTAAAAGAGCCACACAGACTTTATGATGAATATTTTAAAAGAAAATAAGCAAGCAAATTAATTAAACACTTAAGCCTTGATTTGATAAACATTTAAATCCACGGACAATTAGCAAATTAAAGTATTTAGATTATAGATCATTCAAGAATTAAGTTATAAAAATTATTTCAAAATAAATGAAATAACTGTACAATCAAGGTGCTTTCTATGAGTTCAGATTTTCTTCATTCAATAAAAACTTTAATAGTTTTTATAAACTGAATTATTAGATTTTATTTTTAAAAGATTGATGTGATAGAAGTATGAAGTGTAGATTGGAAAAAAGTCTCAAAACATGTAATAATTTTAATAAAAACAATGAACACACTAATATTGAAAATGATAAGACATAAATCATGAAACAATTTTGAAAAGAATTAATGATACTTAGTAATGACTGGATATGGAGTGAATGAAAGACAGGTGCAAGTCAAAAATGAATTAGAAAATTGGTTGGAAAAGAATTAAGAAAGTAATACTGTAGTAGACTTTATTCTCACTCAGATATGACAGATAAAGTAGACAAAAGAAAGTCAAAGTTATGTAAAATCAAAACAATGTAATATATTGAAACGTTCATGAAAAACACAAAATAGAAATGTTCTTACAAATATGTATTACCAAATTAGGAAAAAAAGAAGAAAATTACAGGAATAGGCAACAAACTAAAATTTTAGTAAAATAATAAAAATTAAGGTTAAAAATATTAAAATTAATGTGACTTAAAGTTTAATGACATTGAACATGAAAAGTGAAATTGTTAATTAAATAGAAAAAATCTTTAAAGTAGTAAATGAAATGATAAATCACTAATTAAATAAGTCAAGAATAAGTAAGAGACAGTGAAATACAAAAAATAGAAACAAGGAAAAGAAGAAAAATAGAGAATTTACATTGAAATATTTAATATGTCTATATTTTAAGTCAAGGCCAGAATAAATCATGTCCCATAAAACATAAATGTTTAAGGTTGACTTGAAAAGTAATAATCTAATTAGACCAAAATTTATAGAAAATCTTAAGAATGTTTCTAAGAAATTATCTCAAAAAAACAAAAAACCATGTAGACTTTTCTATGGGGCAATTTTTCAAAACTAATTACAGGGTATAAAAACAGAAAAAAAAAACAAAAATATCACATATTTACCTCAGTTTCTTAAAACAGGCATAGCTGTAACAAAGAAATACAAAAGTACAATTGTTTCAGATAGCAAATAATATGGTTTGGCTGTATGTCCCCACCAACATCTCATCTTGAATTGTATTTAGAACTTTAATCCCCACTTGTTGAGGGAGGGAGTTGGTAGGGGGAAATTGGATCATGGGGGTGGTTTCCCTCAAGCTGTTCTCATCATTATAAGCCACAAGCTCTGATGGTTTAAAAGTGTTTGGCACTTCCTGCCTTGCTGCCTCCTTCTCTCTCCTGTCACCTTGTGAAGAAGGTGCTTGCTTTTTTTCCGTTGCCTTCACCATGATAGTAAGTTTGCTGGGGTCTCCACGGCCATGTAGAACCATGAGTAAATTAAACCTCTTTTCTTTATAAATTACCTAGGCCCAGGTAGTATCTTTATAGTACAGTGAAAACAGACTAATACAGAGAATTGTTAATGGTATAGAGGGGTATTGCTATAAAGATAACCTAAGAATGTGGAAGCAACTTTGGAAGTGGGCAATAACCAGAGGTTGGAACACTGTAGAGGGTTCAGAAGAAGGCAGAAAGATGTGAGAAAGTTTGGAACTTCCTAGAGACCTGTTGAATAGTTTTGACCAAAAAGCTCATAGTGATATAGATAATAAAGTCCAGGATGAGGTGGTCTCAGATGAAGATGATAAATTTATTGAGAACTAGAAAAAGGTCACTCTTGCTATGCTTTAGCAAAGAGATTTGTGACATTTTGTCCCTGCCCTAGACATATGTGGAACTTTGACCTTGAGAGAGATCATTTAGCATATCCGGCTGAAAAAATTTCCAAGCAGCAAAGCATTCAAGACGCTCTTTCTGAAAATGTACAGTTACATATGCTCACAGAAAGAAGATTTGACATTGAAACTTATGTTTAAAGGGAAAGCAGAACATAAGTTTGGAAAATTTGCAGACTGACCATGTGGCGAAAAAGAAAAACTCATTTTCTGGGGACAAATTCAAGCTAGCTGCAAAAATTTGCATGAGTAATAAGGACCCCAATGTTAATAGCCATGACAATAGGGAGAATGTCTCCAAGACATGCCAGAGACATTCATGGCAGCCCCCATCATCACAGAATCGAAAGTCTACCAAGGAAAAATGGTTTTTTGGGCTAGGCCCAGGACCCTGCTGCTTTGTGCAGCCTTAGGACTTGGTGCCCTGTATACAGCCACTCCAGCTCCAACTGTGGCTAAAAGGGGCCAAGGTACAGCCCAGGCACTTTCTTCAGAGGGTGCAAGCCCCAAGCCTTGGTGGCTTCGACATGGTATTGAGCCTGTGGGTGCACAGAAGACAAAAGTTGAGCTTTGGGAACCTCCACCTAGATTTTAGAGTATGTATGGAAACACCCAGATGTCCAGGAAGAAGTCTGCTACAGGGATGGAGCTCTCATGGAGAACCTCTCCTAGGTCAATGCAGTAGTGAAATCTGGGGTTGGAACCCCCACAGAGAGTCCCCACTGGGGTGGCACTCCCTATTTCAGTTGTGAGAAGACTGTCCTCCAGTCCCCAGAATGGGAGATCTACTGACAGCTTGCACCATGTACCTGGAAAAGCCACAAGCACTCAACACCAGTCTGTGAAAGCAGCCACAGGGTCTGTACAGAGCCACAGGGGTGGAGCTGTCCAAGGCCTTGGGAGCCCACCCCTTGCATCAGCATGCCCTGGATTTGAGACATGGAGTCAAAGGAGATCATTTTGAGGCTTTAAGATTTAATGACTGCCAGGCTGGGTTTTGGCCTGCAGCCCCTTTATTTTGGCCAATTTCTCTCATTTGGAACAGGAACAGTTACTCAATGCCTGTATGCGCATTCTATCTTGGATGTAGTTAACATATTTTTTTGTTTTACAGGCTCATAGGCTGAAAAGACTTGCCTTGTCTCAGATGAGACTGTGGACTTGGATGTTTGGGTTATTGCTGGAATGATTTAAGACTTTGGGGGACTCCTGAGAAGGCATGATTGGTTTTGAAATGTGAGAGAGGCCAGGGACAAAATGACATGATTTGGCTCTGTGGCCCCACCCAAATCTCATCTTGAATTGTAATCCCCACATATCCAGTGAGGGAGCTGGTGGGATGCGATTAGAGCATGAGAGTGGTTTCCCTTATGCTGTTCTCATGATAGTGGGTGAGTTCTCATGAGATCTGATGGTTTAAAAGTGTTTGGCACCTCCTCCTTTGCTCTCTGTCTTTCCTGCTGCCTTATGAAGAAGGTGCTTGCTTCTCCTTAACCTTCTGCAATAATTGTATGTTTCCTGGGGACCTCCTAGCCACAGAAAACTGTGAGTAAGTTAAACCTCTTCCTTTTATAAATTATCCAGTTTCGGGCAGTATCTTTATAGAAGTGTGATAACAGACTAATACAATATAGTTAGATTTAGAGATTGTCTAGTAAATTCATATGAAAGCATTTCTTAACTGGAGGTTAATATTTTGTCTGGCTAAAAAAGTAGTGTGAAAAGGTCAATATTTTCCCTAAAGTGTAATGGAAATATAGATACCATCTATGCTAACAATTGCACTTTAAAACACCAGGAGTAAATTTAACCTAAAATTTACAGAACTTGACTGAGGATTACTATTAAACTCTAATGAAAGTCAAAAAGAAGGCTGGAATAAATGCAGAATCATTTGGGTGTAGGTAATGATAGAAATTATCCCTACTAACTAAAAGAGAGTAGAAGTTCTCTTCAGGAACTGCAGTTATCTGTATCATTTTCTTAAATGATGCTTTCCATTCCCTTCGTAAAATGTTTGAAGCTCTTTAGGTAGTCGTTGTATGTCCTTAAACTTGCCATAAAAATAAAGGTCAATGCTTAACAAGAATCAGTTATATTTACTCATAATCCTGTTTGTATCAAAGTGATATGTGCTCATTTAATTACATATAATATTACTATTACTAGATGCATTATAAAAGTATGCAAATTAGTATAAATAGGATTAATATAATGAAAAAATAATTTGACTATTTTAAAATAAAACATATCTAATACAGTTGACCCTTAATAAATGTGAGACTTAGGGGCATCAGCCCCTCACACAGTCAAAAATGAACATTTAACTTTTGACTACTCCCAAACTTAACTGTTAATGGCCTGCTATTGATCAGAAGCTTTAACAATATCATAAACACTTAATAAACACATATTTTCTGTGTTCTATTTATTATCTACCGTATTCTTACAACAAAGTAAGCTAGAGGAAATAAAATGTTATTAAGAAAACTGTAAGGAAGAGAAAATATATTTACTATTCATTAAGTGAAAGTGAATAATTTTGAAGATCTTCATCCTCATTGTCTTCACTTTAAGTAGGCCGAGGAGGAGGAGGAAGTTGATCTTGTCTCAAGGTTGGCAGAGGCAGAAGAAAATTCACATACATATGTATCTCCACAGTTCAAACCTGTGTTGTTCAAGCATCAACTGCATTTACATAAGATGAATGATATTTTGTTTCTATGTAAAATAAATCGAATTATTTTATAAGATTTTATAAAAGCATATTGCTATATTTTCAAATGAATTGTGTCTGTGACAACAGTAAATAGGAAAGAAATAAAAAATATAGAGGGAAAATCTACAACTTATACTTGATATTTAAATAGTATAAACTCAATATTAATTATAATTAATTTCTTTCTGAAGAATACATATTTTCAATCTCTGCCCACTATAAAGTCTTAAAAGTAGTAACAAATCACTAACAACGAGTAACTCTACTGGCTAGGTTGGGATCTTTAAAAGCTTTTCTTACTAAAAGGAACCACAGCTTCTTACAGAACAACAAATGCCGGAATAAAAAACTTACAACGTCACCTTATCATGTACTCTAGAAAACAAGAAATTCCATTGAGGTATTCAAAGGAAATAATAGTTAATTGAGAAACTTGAAAGCATGGTGGAGCATATCATAATAGATGGATCCAGCTGCCCACACTTGAATCCAAGTGTCAGTTTTAAACATTACTAAGGTGAGACAGTGTATTAGTTCATTTTCACACTGCTATAAAGAACTTTCTGAGACTGGATAATGTATAAACGAAAGAAGTTTAATTGACTCACAGTTCCATATGGCTGGGGAAACCTCAGGAAACTTACAATCACAGTGGAAGGCAAAGGGGAGGTAGGAAACTTGTTCACAAGGTGGCAGGAATGAGAATAACTGAAGGAGGAACTTGGCAACCACTTATAAAACCATCAGATCTCGTGAGAACTCACTCACTGTTATGAGAACAGCATGGGGGAAACTGCCTCCATGATCCAGTTATCTCCACTTGGTCTCTCCCTTGACATGTAGGGATTATGGGGATTACAATGCAAGAAGAGGTTTGGGTAGGAAGACAGAGCCAAACCATATCAGACAGCCAGAACTTATGTACTTCCTAGTGTTATATTAACAATTCCACAGCTCCAGCTATAATGTGGTCTTGCCAAAAAACTTAATCTTGAGTCTAAGCAAGTCTCTAAAAGTACCGTATACTGAATACATGAGAGATAGAGTAAAAATGTAAATAATATCATGAGGAATCGAGGTGCCAAATTAAAGATATAGAAAATTCTACAGCTCAAAGTTGATGGCTAATTCCACAGGACTAGCAAATAACATGTAAAAAACTACTTTAAAAATAAAAATTATCAATTTTAAGAAGTTAAGAGATATTAACTGAATGCAACTGATGGACACTTTTCAATTTAAACCAAAATACTTTAAAAAGACATTTTTGAGATAACTTGAAAATATAAACATGATATGGATTTAGGTGATAATAAAGATGCATTTTAATCATATCAGGCATATAATAGCATTGAGGTTATTGTAAAAAATATTGTATCTCTTAGGAATACATACTGAATAATTTATAATTAAAATGAAATGATGTCTTAGATTTACGGAAGGAAAAATGCATAGAGGTAATTTTCAAAGCTGTTAAAATGTTAATAGTGATATTCTTAAAATGTTAATTGTAAAATGTTTTGATTGCTAGATATCAATTATGTGTAAAATTATTTTCTATGTGTCCATGTTAAAGTAGGTATTTAAAAACCACCAATATAAAGAATAATTTTTAGAAAAACTAAGCACAAAAATTTTCTTTCAAATATAGAATTTCTAGTACATATGTTTCAGTAAGTATTCCTGTCTGGCAACTCAGTTTTCTGTCATTATTTAAAAATTCATCACCTCTTTTAATATTTAAATTGATATAATTTCTTTTTGTTGTTGTTGTTATTGCTTCTGAAGATAAAAGTAGAAGTTCCAGGCAAGATGGCTGAATAGGAACAGCTCCGGTCTGCAGCTCCCAGGGAGACCAATGCAGAAGGCAGGTGATTTCTGCATTCCCAACTGAGGTACCCTGTTCATCTCATTGAGACTGGTTGGACAGTGGGTGCAGCCCATGGCGGGCAAGCCAAAGCAAGGTGGGGCGTTGCCTCACCTGGGAAGTGCAAGGGCTCAGGGAACTCCCTCCCCTGGCCAAAAGAAGCTGTGAGGGACTGTGCCATGAGGGGTGGTGCTATCCAGCCCAGATACTATGCTTTTCCCATGGATTTTGCAACTCTCAGACCAAGAGATTCCCTTGGGTGCCTACACCACCAGGGCCTTGGGTTTCAAGCACAAAACTGTACTGCCATTTGAGCAAACAGCAAGCTAGCTGTAGGAGTTTTTATTCATACCTCAGTGGTGCCTGGGACCCCAGCAAGACAGAACAAGTCACTCTCCTGAAAAGGGGGTGGAAGCCAGGTAGCCAGGTGGTCTTCCTCAGTGGGTCCCACCCCCACAGAGCCTGGCAAGCTAAGATCCACTGGCTTGAAACTCTTGCTGCCAACACAGCAGTCCGAAGTCAACCTGGGACATTGGAGCTTCTTGAGGGAAGGGGCGTCCGCCGTTTCTGAGGCTTAAGTAGGCAGTTTTCCACTCACAGTGTAAGCAAAGCTACTGGGAAGTTCGGACTGAGCAGAGCCCAGGTGTCTCTGAAAGAAAGGCAGCAGCCCCAGTCAGGGGCTTAGAGATAAAACTCCCATCTCCCTGGGACAAAGCACCTGAGGGAGGAGGCGGCTGTGGGCACAGCTTCAGCAGGCTTAAATGTTCCTTCATGCCAGTTCTGAAGAGAGCAGTGGATCTCCCAGCACAGCGCTCAAGCCCTGCTAACGGACAGACTGCCTGCTCAAGTGGGTCCCTGGCCCCTGTGCTTCCTGACTGGGAGACACTTCCTGGCGGGGGCCAACAACAGCTCCAGCTGACATCTGGTGAATTCCCCTCTAGGACAAAGCTTCCAGAGGAAGGAGCAGGCAGCAATCTTTGCTGTTCTGCATCCTCCACTGGTGATACTCAGGCAAACAGATCTGGAGTGGGCCTCCAGCAAATTCCAGCAGACTGCAGAAGAGGGACCTGATTGTTAGAAGGAAAACTAACAAACAGAAAGCAATAACATCAACATCAACATCAACATCAACAAAAAAGACGCCCATGGAAAAACCCCATCCAAAGGGCCTCAGCATCAAAGATCAAAGTTAGATAAATCCATGAAGACGAGGAAAAACCATCACAAAAATGCTGAAAATTCCAAAAACCTGAATGCCTCTTCTCCTCCAAAGGATCACAACTCCTCAACAGCAAAGGAACAAAACTGGATGGAGAATGAGTTTGATGAACTGACAGAAGTAGGCTTCAGAAGGCGGGTAATAGCAAACTCCTCCAAGCTAAAGGAGCATGTTCTAACCCAATGCAAGGAAGCTGAGAACTTTGAAAAAAGCTTGGAGGAATTGCTAACTAGAATAACTAGTTTAGAGAAGAACATAAACGACCTGATGGAGCTGAAAAACACAGCACAAGAACATCGTGAAGCATACACAAGTATCAATAGCCAAATTGATCAAGCAGAAGAAAGGATATCAGAGATTGAAGATAAACTTAATGAAATAAAACGTGAAGACAAGATTAGAGGAAAAAGAATAAAAATGAACAAAAAAAAGCCTTCAAGAAATATGGGACTATGTGAAAAGAGCAAATCTATGATTGATTGGTGTACCTGAAAATGGCGGGGAGAATGGAACCAAATTGGAAACACACTTCAGGATATTATCCAGGAGAACTTCCCCAACTTAGCAAGGCAGGCCAATGTTCAAATTCAGGAAGTAAAGAGAAGACCACTAACATACTCTTTGAGAAGAGCAACACCAAAATACATAATCGTCAGCTTCACCAAGGTTGAAACAAAGGAAAAAATGTTAAAGGCAGCCAGAGAGAAATGTCAACTTACCCACAAAGTGAAGCCCGTCGGACTAACAGCAATCTCTCTGCAGAAACCCTACAAGCCAGAAGAGAGTGGTGGCCAATATTCAACATTCTTAAAGAAAATAATTTTGAATCCAGAATTTCATATCCAGCCAAACTAAGCTTCATAAGCGAAAAAAAAAAAAAAATCCTTTACAGACAAGCAAATGTTGAGGGATTTTGTCACCACCAGGCCTGCCTTACAAGAGCTCCTGAAGGAAGCACTAAATATGGAAAGGAAAAACCAGTACCAGCCACTGCAAAAACATGCCAAAATACAAAGATCAATGACATTATGTAGAAACTGCATCAACTAATGTGCAAAATAACCAGCTAGCATCATGATGACAGGATCAAATTTATACATAACAATATTAACCTTAAATGTAAATGGGCTAAATGCCCCAATTAAAAGATGCAGGCTGGCAAATTGGATAAAGAGTCAAGACCCATCGGTGTGCTGTATTCAGGAGACCCATCTCACGTGCAAAGACACATACAGGCTCAAAATAAAGGATGGAGTAATATTTACCAAGCAAATGGAAAGCAAAAATAGCAGGGGTTGCAATTCTAGTCTCTGATAAAACAGACTTTAAGCCAACAAAGATGAAAAAAGACAAAGAATGGCATTACATAATGGTAAAGGGATCAGTGCAACAAGAGCTCACTATCCTAAATATGTATTCACCCAATACAGGAACACCCGAATTCATAAAGCAAGTTCTTAGAGACCTACAAAAAGGCTTAGACTCCAACACAATAATAGTGGGAGACTTTAACACCCCACTTTCCATAATAGATAGATCAACAAGACACAAAATTAGCAAGGATATTCAGGACTTGAACTCAGCTCTGGACCAAGCAGACCTAATAGACATCTAGAGAACTCTTGACCTCAAATCAACAGAATATACATTCTTCTCAGAACCACATCACACTTAATCTAAAATTGACCACATAATTGAAAGTAAAACACTCCTCAGCAAATGTAAAAGAATGGAAATCATAACAAACAGTCTCTCAGACCACAGCAGAATGAAATTAGAACTCAGGATTAAGAATTTCACTTGAAACCACAAACTACATGGAAATTGAACAACCTGCTCCTGAATGACTACTGGGTAGATAATTAAATTAAGGCAGAAATAAATTAGTTCTTTGAAACCAATGACTGTAAACTGCAGTCATTGGTTTCTTTCTGCAGGACTATAAACTGGATTCCTGGAATCTTTGATATTCCTGGCTGTGTATAGTGCCTGTTGGTGGAATGTACTGATACTCAACTAGAGTGAGAAGGGACTGGATTTCTGCTCCTGATACACAATGCAAGCTGTAGTGCCCTTGAACAAGATAACATCCCCAAGGACCTCAGAGACCCTTTCTACGTCAACCAATATGAGCAGGAGCACATTAAGCTGCCTGTTATCAAGCTTCTCCTGTCCAGCGAGCTGTACTGCCACATCTGCAGCCTTATTCTGAAAGGGGACCAGATGGCCACCTTACTGGGACACCAGTCTGTCTTCCAGGCCCTGGCCTGGAAAGAGATCTATGTGATGGAGGGTAACGAAACCCCCATGACAGAGTCTGACCTCAGTCGCGCACCCATAATGATGAGTGCCCACATGGTGATGGTGGATGCCCTGATGATGGCCTATACCATGGATATGATCAGCATTGAGAAGGTGGTGGCCAGTGTCAAGCACTTCTCAACATTCAGTGCCTCGAAGGAACTTCCGTATGACCTTGAGGATGCCATGGTGTTCTGGATCAACAAGATAACATCTCCTGATCTTCTTAGCTGGATGCCTTCCTTTCTGCTCTAACCTCCTCTTAGCACAGTCACTCACTGCTTCGTAAATCTCAGATCCAGTCTGTTCAAGCCTATCTTTCTATTTGCCTCTTTCCTTCTCTTCGCATATCCATTATTCTCAAAGACACAACGTATCAGAATCGCTGGGACACAGCAAAAGCAGTGTTTAGAGGGAAATTTTAGCACTAAATGCCCACAGGATAAAGCAGGAAAGATCTAAAATAGACACCCTCACATCACAATTAAAAGAACTAGAGAAGCAAGAGCAAACAAATTCAAAAGCTAGCAGAGGACAAGAAATAACTAAGATCAGAACAGAACTGAAGGAGATAGAGACACAAAAAAACCTTCAAAAAATCAGAGAATCCAGGAGCTGGTTTTTTGAAATGATTAACAAAATAAACTGCTAGCTACAATTAATTGAGACTGAGACAATACTTAGAAAAAACTGTATTCTGTCATCAACCAAACTAAACCTAATCTCCCTTTTTGTGTCAGTATGTGTAGATTTTTTTTTCTTCCCCTTTTTGAATGCAGGGTCTCACTTTGTCATCCAGGCTGAAGTTTGGTGGTATGAATGTGGCTCACTGCAGGCCCGACCTGGGCTCAAGTGATCCTCCTGCCTCTATCTCCCAAGTAGCTAAGACTACAGGTGAGCACCATTACACACAGCTAATTTTTTAATTTTTCTGTGGAGACTAGGTCTTACTTTGTTGCCAAGGCTGGTCTCAATCTCATGGGCTCAAGCAATCCTCCCACCTCGACCTCCCAAAATGCAGGGATTACAGGTGTGAGCCACAGCACCCTGCTAATAAACAAGCTTTATATTACCTTCTAGGGTGTTTCCCGTAACACAATTAAGAACACTGATTACCAAGTAAGGGTTAACACCATTCCTCATATTTTATGATGCCTCCTACATTTTGTCGCTCAGAAAAATAACTTCTAAATAGAACTTTCCAGTACGAGATCACTGTAGGCAGGGCCATTTTTTTGCTCTCTCACATTACATGGTCTCAATCTTTACATGCCCACTTCTTATTCCACAGATACAATGAGTGCATCATCCTCATCTTCTTAGCTGGGTGCCTTCCTTTCTGCTCTACATCTCTGTATAGCATAGTCACTCACTGCTTTGTAAATCTCAGATCCTGTGTGTTCAAGCCTATCTTTCTATTTGCCTCTTTCCTTCTCTTCTCATATCCATTATTCCCTTTTTCTTTTCTGTTCTCTTCTGTTTCTTTATCTTCACCTTTCTTTATTATGTCCTCTCTCTCCTTATTTGTTACATACAACAAAAATCATGAAAAGGCAGACCCAGACCTTTCATATGAGACAAAAGTCTGGCTTGCAGGTGAAATTTGTAAAAAAGAATTTAACTGTTATAAATTTTCTATTTTGGCAGACCATAAAATAATTGCCAAATCATTGATTTAGGTATTAATCGCTAGTCCAGTCTTTATGGCTTTGGAGTGGAGCACAAACAGACTATAAGACAATTATGATATAAAGCAGTGGGTGCAGCAGTTTGCTTAGAAAGGGTTATAATTGGGGTAGGTTATGATTCATATGTCTTACAAGGCTATTTGTCCATGTTTTTATGTGGCATGTGCAATTGGTGTTATATTCAATACATATCTTCACTTATCTTAAATGTGTTCTCATAGTTCCCCCTTTGTGATGCTGTGATGGTTGACTGGGTAAATAAAATGTGTTAAATATACCCCATGGAATATTACACAGCCTTAAAAAAGAATAAAATTATGTCTTTTGCAACAACATAGATGGATGTGGAGGACACATGTTCAAATGCCTCATGTTCTCACTGATAAGTGGCAACTGAACATGGGTACACATGGACATAAAGATGGAAATAATTGACACTAAGGACTCCAAAAGCAGGGAAGGTATGAGGCAGGGTGAGGCTTTTAAAATTACCTATTGGGTACAGTGTTCATTGTTTGAGTCATGGGTCCTCTAGAAGCCCAAACCTCACCATTAATATGTCCGTGTAACAAATCTTCACGTGTACTCTCTAAATGTAAAATAAAATAAAATAAAATACCAACAAAAGTTTTTGACACTTTGAATTAAAGTTGTTTTTTCTGTTGTTTGTTTGTTTTTTAGATGGAGTCTCACTCTGTCGCCCAGGCTGGAGTTCAATGACACGATCTCGGCTCACTGCAGCCTCTGCCTCCTGGGTTCAAGCAATTCTCCGGTCTCAGCCTCCCGAGTAGCTGGTATTACAGGCTCCCACCATGACGCTTGGCTAATTTTTGTATTTTTAGTAGAGATGGGGTTTCACCATGTTGGCCAGGCTGGTCTCGAACTCTTGACCTCAGGTGATCCACCCACCTCGGCCTCCCAAAGTGCTAGGATTACAGAAGTGAGCCGCTGCGCCTGGCTAAGGTTATTTTTAAGTGTCAGTTTGTCAAATGAATTTGTTTATTGCAGTTAATCTTGTTCCAAAATAGACATAGTAGCACAATTGCATGTATTCTCTTCAGGAGTTCTCCAAATAATATCATGCATGGAAAATGTTTTACTTTTCTGAAATCAGAAAAAAAAGCCTATATTTATTTTCCTCTAGTTTTGTCAATTTATTTCTTTCATTTAAATTATTGATGGATCTAGAATATATTTTAGAATATACCATGTAATTAGCTACTCTTTTACATGTCAAAAAAGATAAGAAATTCTAATGCTATTTGTGAAGCAGGTTCACTGTGTATTGGTTATCAACTTGTTGAGTTTGGTGAGACAGAAGACCCATGCACACACGTTATGTAAAGTGCATTTATTACTCACTGATTGGCAGAGAGGGACAACAGATGCCTAGGATTTATGGTGAGCCTGTCCCCCAAGGCTCAGAAAAGCTGTCTAAAGCAGATAAAGTCTCAACTGCATCTGTCCCACTTGCACCACAACTGAGGGACACTGGAGAGCAGCCCACCCTGGATTTGATACTCTGGGATGATGTGACCTATGAAGTTAAAGCACTGAAGGGCATCCTGTTGCTGGGGGTGACTGGAACAGAGCCCAGGCTATTCTAGACTGTCCCTCCATATCTCAGATGTTGCATTCCCAGCACATGCTACAGTTATTCTTCAGAATTATAAGTGAGAAAGGGGAAAGAATTGAGTTAGTACAAGTTCACAAGGAGAAATATCTTGAACCATTTATTAAGTACATGATATTTTTTATCTAGCCGATAATGTAGATTTTTTATACATAAAATTTGGATACATAAATTATGTCTATTTCTGTGGTATCTAATTAGAGCTATCAATCTACAGATTGAAACTTATGCAAGAAAAATCTATTTTAATTATTTAATATGGTAAAACCCCATCTCTACTAAAAATACAAAAAAAATTAGCCAGGCTTGGTGGCACATGCCTGTAGTCCCAGCTACTTGGGAGGCTGAGGCAGGAGAATTGCTTGAACCTGGGAGGCAAACATTGGAGTGAGCGAGATTGCACCACTGCACTCCAGCCTGGGAGACAGAGCGAGACTCCGTCTCAAAAAAAAAAAAAAAATAAGGAAGTTATGATATATTTAATATAGACTTGAGAAAGTCTTTTCTTTTGTTAGTTGTCTGTTGCTGTGTCCCAAATCACCACAAACTTAGTAACTTAGTTTATTATCTCAAAGTTTTGTAGGACATGTGTTTGTGCATTTATCAACGAGGTCTTCTGCTCAGCATTCTAGAAGGCCAAAATCACAAGGTGTTTGCTATACTGCACTCTTACCTGGTGGCTTGATTAAGAAATAATCAGTTTCCATGCTCTTTTACACGTAGACAGAATCTAGTTCCCTGTGGTTATGGACATGAGATCCCCATTTTCTTGTGGCTCTCAGGTCCTAGAGCACCCCCTCAGGTTCTTACCACATGGTCTACTGCACAACGTAATAGTTAGCTTCTTGAAAGTTAGCTCTAGAGAATCTGTTGCTTTAAAAGTTTCTCTTTAGGAAGGGTCTGGTCCCTCATTTAAGGGCTCAACTAAGCATTTCAGGTTTATCTAAGACAGTCATCCCTTTTGATTAACTAAAAGTCCACTGGTTAGTAACCTAATTCTGGGAGTAAAATCATAACTTATTCACAAGTCTCACCCACACTCAAGAGAAGGGAATAATACAGGGCACATATACCAGGGGTCTAAAATCTTGGGTGTCATCCTAGAATACTCCTTGTCACACTTCTCATTCTTTATTCATTCAACAATATTTGCAGAATGTTACAAGGAAGATATTATCACAAGACGTAATCCCTGTTCTTACAGCAGTTGTATAAGCTAATCTTATTCAAGATGTTTTGAGCTGGTCTTTCTATTTTTAGTCTTAAAAAAATCTTAGAATCCTTTATAAGTTCATGGTAAAATTTTGATTTGCACTGCATCCAACCTAATTTGGAGATAGTTTATGTAGGTAGTCTAGCTACTTAGAAACATGATATGTTTTACTATTATAAAATTCTATCTACTTTTCCTAAAATTTTTGAAGAGAGACAAATTCAATGTCTAGATACATGGGAAATGTATTCATTTTCTGTAGCTGTTGTAACAAATAACCACAAACATGGTAGTAAACAGCAGAAATTCTCTAATTGTTCCTGAGGTCAGACATCAAATATCAATTTCACTAAGCTAAAATCAATGTGTTCACAGAACCATCCTTCCTCTTCAGGCTTTAACAGAGATTCCATACTATGCTTCTTGCAGCTGCTGGATTACTTTCTTTCATTACACCAATTCCTGCTTCTGGCTTTACAACATCTTTTCACTCTGTGTATGTATTAGTACATTCTCTCATTGCTGTAGAAAACTCCCTGAGACTCAGTAATTTATAAAGAAAAGAGGTTTAATTGGCTCATGGTTCCACAGACTATACAGGAAGCCTCAGGAAACTTAGAATTATGGCAGAAGGTAAAGGGGAAGCAGACATGTCCTACATGGCTGGAGCAGGAGGAAGAGAGAGAAGGGAGAGGTGCTACACACTTTTAAACAACCATATCTCATTTGAACTTACTCACGATCACGAGAACAGCAAGGGGGAAGTTCGCCCCCATGATCCAATTACCTCCCACCAGGCCCCTTCTCCAACATTGAGGATTAAAATTTGACATGAGATATGGGCAGGGACACAAATCTAAACCATAGCAGAGTATCTTCTACTCTTTTCTCTTATTCACAACCCCCTTTGGTTCTCTCTTATAAGGTTCCAGTGACTGTATTTAGGGACCACTTGGATAATCCAAAATAATCTTCTAATGTCAAAATATTAAACTTAATTATGTCTGAAGGAATCATTTTTTCCTATAAGATAACATTTACTATTTCCATGGATTAGGACCTGATATCTATGCATGGGTATTATTCAACCTTCTACAAAATCAAACAAACAAACAAACAAAAAATCTACATATAGTGCCACAAAAAGGGAGATTAGGTATAGTTTGGTTGATGACAGCATACATTTTTTTCTAAGTATTGTCTCAGTTTCAATTAATTGTGGCTAATCAAACACATTAATTTACATTGATAACCACCAGAAACTCAAATACAATTTAATTAAATTTAAAAATTATTCATAGGCAAAGAAACATAAAGAAAACACTTTAAACCATGAAAAGCAGACAGACAAATTTAAACTGGCTTAGCCTACCAGAGAAAACTAAAACCTGAAATACTTAAGCTGGCAATAACAAAAACTGTTTTCTAACTGTTACTGCAAGAGAAGTAAAGGTAAAAAAGAAAAAAAAAAATAGGTGACACTATACTGGATACATGTATAGCTAAAATAAAAATAAAAATTGAAATGCTTAAAATCTCACATTCTGTCACCAACCCAAGCCTAGTATTAATATTTTACTCTCTGAAAGTTTCAATTTAAATTTTAACTGAACTCTGAAATTAGAGACATCAGGGACAGCTGAAGGAAAGGCACATAGAGAAGACACAGGATTAAATAAAGTTGACAACAATGAGTTACAGAAAGATAGAAGCTGGATTTGTGTCACTAGGAATAAGACTAGAAAAAAGTATTTATTGGGAAAATATCTATATGGTAATAAATGCAAAATTTAATAGAAAAATTCAAGGGGCTCAAAGGATCACTAAGAAAAGCCACTAACATATAAAATGAAGGGCAATATAGATAAAGAAAAAATAGTAACTTGCAAGAAATAGAGTGGGAAGGAAGTGATGATAAACCTCAAACAAAAGGACTAATTAATATACTTGAAATATAGAAAAAGATATTGCAATCATAAAATGAGAGCAAATGGATATAAAATTACCATTAGTATAACAAAAAGAACTCTTAAAATAAAAAAAAAGAAGAGTTTGAAGATAAAGGTGATGTCTTACTCAAAGAGTAAACATTGAAAATAAGAGAGATGAAATGATATAGCAATGATATCAATATTATGGTTCGGTCTAGTCATTGCAACATGTGAAAATAGAAACTTCAAAAACTTATGACCGTGAAAATGACAGGAAGTATGTTAAATACCCACATGTGTGCACATATGCACATACACGCACAAACAAATGGACATGAGACATGCAAGAACTGATAGTGTGCCTATCACAATGAAAGGGAAAAATCAATAAAGTCACTTATTTGAAAATTTTATAAAATTTAAGACAAATATGAGCTAAAATCATCTAGTGTCTTTTAGAAAATCATATTTAATATACAGAATGGCACTGGAGGACTTGTGAAATGGCAACACTGAAACAGAAGAAAATACAGCAATGCCTTTTTAGTTCTGAGAAAAAGGAAGTCCAACCAATAATATTATACAAAACCAAAATGAGAACCAATCAACCATTTTTCGATATGCAAAATGCCCATTTATTTCCCATGTGGTGCTCTTCAAAAAACTATTGGAATAATTTTTCTATCCCAATGAGTTGGTAAACAAAATGATGAAGTTGGGAATATCAGAAAATAAAAGAAAAAATGATAATGCATTATGTTTGATGCTGCATTTCCAGAGATAAGCAGGAAGTAGGATCAAGAGCTCTGATGTCTTCAAGAAAAGTAGAATATTATAGTCTACTTAGTCTGTTTGGCTACATCAAGAGAAGATTTTAATCCCTAGTAAAATTTGGATCTAAGATGATGGTAGGTTAAAATTAAATGAACAACAACAGAAGACCGTTATTAAATTTAGAGTAAAGAAATATTTACATAACAAAGGTGTTTTAATTATAGTATTCTACATAACTCAACTGTGAATAATAATATTCATCTAATCCTGATATTGTTAACAATAAATATTAAACTACATAAAATTTAAGAGTTAATTATATTGAAGGTAGAGAGGACATTAACGTGAGTGTGTGTGATAGGTGGAAATGGAGAAAAAGGATAATTACTATAAGTGATCAAAATATTGATCATTGATTTTGAAATGCCACTTGATAATATGTAACTCCAAAATATTAACAAGTAATGAAATTACCTTTTATATTTATAAATATAAAGATGATTGACAAAATATATTATTTCACAAGTTGAAAGTGGTTACCAGTGAGAAATGAAGAAAAGCAATTTAGGAAGAATGATAGATGGAAGAAAATCACTAGTTTCTACAATTTTTTTTTTTTTTTTTTTTGAGACGGAGTCTCACTCTGTCGCCCAGGCTGGAGTGCAGTGGCGCAGTCTCGACTCACTGCAAGCTCCGCCTCCCAGGTTCAAGCCATTCTCCTGCCTCAGCCTCCTGAGTAACTGGGACTACAGGCGTGTGCCACCTCACCCGGCTAATTTTTTGTATTTTTAGTAGAGATGGGGTTTCACTGTGTTAGCCAGGATGGTCTCGATCTCCTGACCTCATGATCCGCCCGCCTCGGCCTCCCAAAGTGCTGGGATTACAGGCGTGAGCCACCGCGCCTGGCCTAGTTTTTATAATTTTTGAAGAAAATATTTGACTTTTCATAAATAAGTAATTCAAAATAAGCATTATTATAACTTAAGGAATGTGATTATGGAACCTGAGTCACCTAACAGGCAGCTATAACTCAGGCTGCTGTAACCTTTGTGTCTCTGACTTGAGATTAAACTTTTCTTTACCTACATTGTTTTGTAAAATGTTGTAAAGACTCAAGGGTGCCAGAAAAGACCCCTTCCCTCTTAACGATAGTCCTTCATTGTATATTAACTTCCCTCTTTCTTCTCTTCTCTTCTCACAAAAACCTCAGAAATATCACATTGTATAAGATGGAATGTGAGATATATGCTTTTAAATTGAGGAAAGAAAAGAAAACAACCCGTAAGTAATCAAATTTATGTAACTCTTAAAACTGCTTTTGGTGAAAAATATAATCCTGTTAATTGTCTGTTTTCTGAATATATAAATAAGACCTTAACATTTCAGCTTTTCATCACTGATCTCATTCCTTCAAAGTCTGTGTTTTCCAGATGGCTATCCTCAGGTTTCTCTTGAATAAACTCTTTTCAACTGGACTCTGATTATTTCAATTATTTTATGTTGACATAGTGGCATCCCACATGTGACCCAAAGTGGGTTTCTTCCATTGACTCCTGCTGCTTCACAGACAGGCCTGTGCCCTGGTACCAGCATGGACCATTTCCATCCAACCGACTTTGCTGGAGTTTGCCAGAGCCCTTGGTGAGGCCTGTCTCAGGTTTTGAATCTCCCTGACTGACGTGAGTTTCAGATTTTATGTAAGCAACCTGATTATATCCTTGACAGGGCTAGAATTATATTTTAAAGCATTTAAGGTAGGATGTTTCTTATCTGTCTACAGATTTTATTGTTTGCAAATTTGTAATTTTACTCTTCTTTAGGGTTGGGGTGGTTTTTTTGTGATTGTTGTTCTGTTTCCTAAAGTTTGCAACCATTTCCCTTGTTTGAAAACTGGTTAAAGGAAAATATGTTTTTCTTTAACTGGAAGAAGTGAATGTCTATGGCTTAAGTAAAATTGTTATCTTAAACTGGCCAAGTTTGGAAGCTTGGTTCAATTTGACACATTTAAATTATTTGTGTGACCAAAAATTTATAAAAGACCTTTATGAGGACATGATATGTCCCGAAGACAAAGACAGTGTTCCTCCTAGATGAAAGGAACCTTAGATTACTAACGTCTCACAGGAATGTTGGAGCTTCCCGCTAGTGATAAGAAATGATCAGATAGGGAATCTCTAAAGGAGAACATACATGGAAATTTGCTTAAACTGTTGGGCACGTGCAAGAAGCTGATCTTCCAGTACTTTTTTTTTTTAAGGAGTCCTGCTCTGTTCCCAGGCTGATACACAGTGGCGTAATCTCGGCTCACTGCAACCTCTGCCTCCCAGGTTCAAGCTATTCTCCTGCCTCAGCCTCCCGAGTAGCTGGGACTACAGGCACGCACCACCACACCCAGCTAATTTTTGTGTTTTTAGCAGAGATGGGATTTCACCAAGTTGACCAGATGGTCTCAATCTCTTGACCTCATGATCTGCCAGCCTCAGCCTCCCAAAGTACTGGGACTACAGCCATGGTGCCTGGCCGATCTTCCAGTGCTTTAAGCACACAGAATTCCTGGGCTTTACCTAGCTGCATAAAGGGAAGAACTGACCAAAGGATGACATCTTTGAGAGCTGTTTCCCTAACTAGTAAATTTGATCCAAAACATCTTTCTCTTTTCCAGCCTTTCATTAATTAAGAGGATAATACAAATTATTAGTGATCACATATCTAAACCTGAGTTGTCTTTTAGGAAGCTTTACCTTTAGAGACTTCAGATGGATTGACATACAATACTTATGGTTTCACCTCTTGTCGTATTTAAAAAAATGGTCTTATATAACATATGAAGAACCGAAATTGCAATGGCTCAAGTGGGGAACTTTTGAAATGCTTAAAATCATTTACTTGTGGGTGCAATTAGAAAAAAAAAGCTGGCTCGAGGATAAAATGGAATAATTGGGAGACCTATTTTTATTGGTATTTAGAAGCATCCAAAAGGGGTTCTGGAAAAGTTATTTCTTTACAAGAAGAAAAAAGAAAGATTGTCAAAACACTTTATGAAAAGGCTGCCAAAGCTTCTCCTCCTCCATGAGAAGCTTATCCTTCTCTTCCTTCATCTCCTTTTTCTCTTTACACTTTACTTTCTTAACTTGCCTTGATCTGCTTCCCTTTCTTCTCCTTCTACCCTTGCTGTTCTGGCTTCATTTTCTATACAGTCAGTGTCTGGAAAGAAAAACCCTGCCTCAGTTTGTCAACCATGGTCAAAGGTAGAACTTAAAAACATAATTAAGGAAATGTTGGACTTCCATCAGGACTCTACTGGCTTTGGCAAGGAGTTTAAATTAAATATTTAAACTTATGACTTTGGCTTTTCCGATTTATATAAATAAAAAATAGTTCACATATTAGTTGTGGAAAGTAAGGCTGAAGATTAGATTGGTAAAAGTCGTTGGAGAAATCCACTAGAGAATTTCCAAAAATGTTCAGTACGAGGTCAAAGGAATGCCTGTGAAACTGTAAAGATTCTGCTTGCAGGCATTCCTTTAGTCATACAAAAGGTAATGGGTTGTAATGAAATACACTAATGTTGAAAAATTCCAAATAAGTCAGTAATGGCTGACTTTGAAAGATTTGAAAAAATTCTTAGCCAATATTCAGGCGTATCTGAGGGAAATTATACTAATCATCAAAACAGTATTCTCAACTCCAACTTTACAAATAGGTTACACAAAGAATTAGCACAAATAATACAGAAACAATATCCCAGTTGGGCCAATTCTCAAATTCATGATTTGGTTAATCTTGCTGACCTACTTTAATTAAAGAAAAAGAGAAAGAGGCCAGACAAAAGCATAAAACTAACAAGATTATGAATTGGCAACTGAAACAATTATCCACCCAAAAATTAAAAGCCAAAATATCCCCAATTAACCCCTGAACACATCTAATCCTCCAACTTGCAATTGCTGCAAAAAAAGAGACCATTTTTTTTAAATGCCAAAAATTAAAACAGAGAGAATAACAAAGGAGAAACGGATAGGAGTGCTCTGAGAAACTTAAAGGGATAGTTCCTTTTCTTTTTACTAACACTCTGACAGAAATAACAATTATTTTAAATGGGGAACAATTCCAAGCCCTCATTGACACTGGGGCAATGTTTTCTGTAGTAAATCCCACCTTATTACAAGGCCCCAGTCTTTATTATAAACACTTGATTCAATGGTGGGTGTGACAAATATTCCTATGTCAGCATAAAAACATAAAAACCTAAGTTTATAACTTTCCCACTAGGTCCCCTACATGGGGGATTCATGTTTTCTTTTTGGTTCCATCAGCCCCTATCCAGCTAATAGGAAGAGACTATTTAGAACTATGTAAAAATCATATTTCTTACTCGCAGATGGGGAAAATGTATTTAGAATTAAATTATCCAAATGGCAAAACAAAATTAATGAATGATAAAACAGAGTTAACAGACATAACAAAAAAATTTAGCAAAAATTTTTCAAAATTTAATTCAATTACTATTCATCTTGACATTGAAGACACTGAATTATTAAGCAATGAAGACTTACAAAGCCTGCTATTTTAGTGTCTGATCAGTTGTGTTCAAAGTTCTCCACTGATAAACTATTGTTTCACCTACTTCAATAAAAATTCAAATGAACTTATCAAAACTGCTTCCAAATATCAATCACACACTTCTCAAAAGAAGACATACAAGCAGTCAACAAACATGAAAAAAAAAGTCAACATCACTAATCTTCAGAAAGATGCAAATCAAAACCACAGTGAGATACTGTCTTATACCAGTAAGAATGGATATTATTCAAAAGTCAAAAGATAACAGATGTTGGGGAGGTTGTGGAGAAAAGGAAATACTTATACAGTCTTGGTGGGAATGCAAATTAGTTTAGACCCAGTAGAAAGCAGTTTCAGGATTTCTCAAAAAACGAAAACTGAAATTACCATTTGACCCAGCAATCCCATTACTGGGTATACACCAAAAGGAAAATAAATTACTTTACCAAAAAGACACCTGTGCTTGTATGTTCATTGCAGCACAATTTACAATAGCAAAGACAAGGAATCGCCCCAGGTGCCCATCAACAGAGTACTGGATAAAGAAAATGTGGTACATATATGCCATGGAATACTATGAGGTCATAAAAAAGGACAAAATTATGTCTTTTGCAGCAACATGAATGTAGCTGAAGGCCATTAACCTAAGTGAATTATTGCATAAAAAGAAAACCAAATACTGAATGTTTTTACTTATAAGTGGGAACTAAACATTAGGTAAATATGGACACAAAGTTGAGGACAATAGAAACTGGGGACTCTAAAAGGAGAGAGGAGGAGGCTAAGGGTGGAAAAACTACCTGTCAGTATTGAACATAGGTTCAATACTGGGGCGACAGAATCATTAGAAGCCTAAACCTTAGCATCATGCAATATCCCCATGTAACAAACCTGAACATGTACCACCTGAATCCAAAATAAAAAATAAAATGGAGAAAAACACAGAGAGTGTCCCTTGAGAACTGAAGCTTTGGAATGATTAAAATCTATAATTTTACATTATATAAAAAAGAGAACTGAACATTCCTTGTACAAGCCCCTGCAATACACCAATTCTCCTGTTAAAAAAATCACTTAGAATAAAATAAAATTTGTCCAGAATTTGAGAGCAATAAACAACATAATATGTAGTCCCAGCTACTTGGGAGGCTGAGGCAGGAGAATGGCATGAACCCGGGAGGCGGAGCTTGCAGTGAGCCGAGATCCCGCCACTGCACTCCAGCCTGGGCGACAGAGCGAGACTCCGTCTCAAAAAAAAAAAACAAAAAAAAAAAACAAAAAAAACAACAACATAATAATTCCACAGTATCCAGTAGTGCCTAATTCTCATTTCCTACTCACAATTATTCTATATAATGCATAATTTTTTTACAGACATAGACATGGAGTGCATTCTTTAGCATTACTAGAGGCAAAGATGTCCAGTTTCTCTTTGTCTTCACTTGGAAAGAAAGACAATATATTTCAACAGTTATGACACAAGGGTATGCTGAGAGCCAAACTTACTTTTCACAAATACTAAAAACAGACTGCTCAGATGTTGACTTTATTGATATATCTGTCTTAATGAAATATGTAGATAATTTACTTTTTTGCTCAGAGAACAAATGCGCTTCCATAGTGGATAGAATATACCTGTTACAAAATTGGCACTAAAAGATTATAAGGTGTATTAGTTCATAATCATGCTGCTATAAAGAACTGCCTGAGACTAAGTAATTTATAAAGAAAAGAGGGTTAACTGACTCACCATTTCACAGGCTACACCGGAGGTATGGCTAGGGATGCCTCAGGAAACTTACTATCATCGCAGAAGGGCAAGTGGAAAGTAAGCGTGTCTTCACATGGTGGCAGGAGAGATAGAGAGAGAAAGGGGAAGTGCTACACTCTTTTAAAAAACGATTTCATGAGAACATGGTGGGGAAAACCAAGATCCAATCACCTCCCACTCCCAACATTGGGAATTACAATTCGACATGAGATTTGGGTAGGGAGACAAAGCCAAACTATATCATAAGGCATCTAAAAAAACTCATTCGATCTTGTCAAAATCAAGTAAAGTACTTAGGACACCTAATATCTAAGGAAGGACTTTCTATGAATCCAGATAGGTTGAAAGGAATTTTAGCTTTTCAGCCACAGAGAACGTAGAAACACTTGAGAGAGTTTTGGGAAACAGCATGGTGTTGTAGAAATTGAATCCTTATTTCTTTTTAAAAGCCTGGCCCCTATATGCGGTCTTAAAACAAGAAATGCCAGACCTTCTAGATTGCATTAAAGAAAATCAACTAACTTTAGAAATGGTCAAAAATGACCTTGCTAATATCCCAGCTTTGGGGCATCCAAATTATAAATTTCCATTTTCATTATTTATACATGAAAGTGATGGAAATGTTTTATGGGTCCTAACTCAAAAACACAGAGATCAAAATAAACCTGAAGGGCATTATAGACAACAATTATACCCTGTATCTAGAGAATTGCCACTTTGTATGAGAGCCATATAAGCCACTGCTATTTTAGTTAAGGCAGGGGTCCCCAGTCCCCAGGACATGGATGGGGAATGGTCTTTGGCCTGGTAGGAGCTGCGCAGTACAGCAGGAGATGAGCAGCAGGCAATTGAGTGAAGCTTCATTTGTATTTACAGCTACTCCCCATTGCTCAAATTACCACCGGAGCTAAGCCTCATATCAGATGAGTGGCGGCATCAGATTCTCATAGGAGCAGGGACCCTATTGTGAACTGTACGTGTAAGGAATCTAGGTTGTGTGCTCCTTATGAGAATTTAATGGCTGATGATCTGTCACTGTCTCCCCTCACCCCCAGATGGTACCAACTAGTTACAGGAAAACAAGCTCAGTGTTCCCACTGATTCAACATTGTGGTGAGTTGCATAATTATTTCATTATATATTACAATGCAATAATAATAGAAATAAAGTACACAATAAATGTAATGTACTTGAATCATCCTGAAACCATCCCTCAACCCTGGTCCGTGGAAAAATTGTCTTCCATGAAACCTGTCCCTGGTGCCTGGACCACTGAGTTAAGGCAGCTGAAGAAATTATAAAGGGAATACCCCTTAATATCTTTGTCCCTCATTCTGCGGTAGCATTGCTGAACTCACACTTGCTGAACTGGAGAAGTCCTTGATTTTCAAATGTAATGGAAGCAAAAAGGTTTCTTAATTTCTCTGGGTCAATCCATAAAACATAAACATTTTATTTCAAAACTACTAGAAGACGTATTATTACAAAAACCTCTGGCCAATATTAGAATTCTGTATCATTCAAAATGAAATACCACAGAAAGCAGAGGAAATCAGTGAGCGGATAGGTGGCAAATAATGCTGCTCTAAGCATATCTAAGTAAGAAAAACAACCTGTATTAACTTTTAAGAAAGCACCTGAATTTGACATAAAATTAGCTCAATCCAAAGCTCCAAAATCAGAACAAAAAGGTTGGGAAACACAAGGGTAAAAATACCCCTCAAACATGAAATGTGGTACAGGCCAAATGATTTGCTCATACCGTTTGCTGAACTGCAGTTATCATTTTTAATGTATGTGTGTAATCTAACTCACTGGAGTCCTGACAAAGTTGTTGCTTAGAGCAAATACATTTATGGAACTTTCTCTGACCATAGCTCATAAGGTAGACAACAGATGTCATACTTGCCAAAATTATAATCCAGGAAAACTATACATGGATCCTAAGGACACTTTCCTTTACCCAAGGATCCCTTTGAAATGCCATAACTGGATATTATCTAGCTGCCACCCTCACAAGTCTATAAATATGTACTGATAATGAGTTGTATGTTTTCTCATTGGGTAGAAGCATTTACACACAGAGGAGCAACGGCTTTAGCAATGGTAAAATCCTTTTAGAAAAAATTCTGACTGAGGATTTCCTTTGGAAACTCACAGGGACAGAGGCGTTCATTTTATTGGACAAATCACTTCACTCAGTCAGTAATAATTCTGGTCTTCAACTTTTCTGTTATGCTTATTACCCCCAGAAATCTGGATTAGTAGAAAGCATAAATGGAATACTCAAAGCCAATTGGCAAAATCAAACAAGGTTTTCAAAATTATTTGGCCAAAAGCTCTTCCACTGGTTTTGCTAAACTTAAGATCAACTCCTTTCAGTAAACACTGATCATCTTCATTTGAAATTATAACAGACAGATTTATGAAATTATGTCTTTAAAACTTTGCCTTCTTGACAGAAAAAAAATTTATCTAATCGTCTTATGCAACAATTAATTAAAAATTATGAATTGGCAAAATAATCTTTTCATAGTGAGCTCCCAGGAAACAAAAATCTCAAAGATCATGGATTTCAACTAGGAGATTTTGTCTGCTAGAAATAATACATTGTAAATGACCTTCTCCAAATAAGATGGAATGAACCTTACCAAGTAAGGAGTACTTATATTGCTAAATTAAAAGGTATAGATATCTGGATTTACCTTTCTAGAAATGAAAATTGAATCTCCTGAATGAGTCTTTTCACTGGAAGATGGTCTTTGACTTAAGATAAACTGATGCCACGATAAGAAGGAGATGACATCGGAGATGGTCAGCTTTCCCAAGACACAAGAAGAGGCATGTATGTGAATGAATGCTTATACTTATTTTATAGTAGCTGTTATTATTGTTGTCTTAGGAACATTGATGATTGTTACCACCCTATGTAAAGTAGAACTTTTGCCTTGCTTGTTTTAACTAAATTCCTTAAATTAGCTAAAATGTATTTTATATAATTTTTTATAGTTGCCTCTCTGTCCCAAAGCATAGACTGGCATGATAACACTTTGGTTAAATTATCCCAAAGTGTTGCCTCTGGAGGGAATCTATCAGATGGTTGGATTTGCCAGATGATTCTGAGATTCATTCTTTTTTTTTTTTTTTTGAGATGGAGTCTCTGTCACCCAGGCTGGAGTGCAGTGGCGCGATCTTGGCTCACTGCAAGCTCCACCTCCTGGATTCACGCCATTCTCCTGCCTCAGCCTCCCAAGCAGCTGGGACTACAGGCACCTGCCACCACGCCCAGCTAATTTTTGTATTTTTAGTAGAGATGGGGATTCACCATGAGATTCATTCTTGACCACTATATGACATTAGTAGTACTTGTCACTGACTTCTGAGATGTTCATAAATTCACCACTTATATAGGATGACCTCTCTTTGGATTGATATTCCAGGCCTTATTTCTTTGTAATCCAATTATTGTCTCTCCTTGTTTTAATTTGTCCTTTGTATAATATTGGCAATTGATTCTGTAACATGGGAACTCCTTGATCCTATATATGCCTATATAAGTATGACCTTAACCTTTACAACTTCAAAGCACTGACCCCATTCCTTTGGAGTGTATGGTTACAGGATTGCCAGTTACATTGTTTGGCTCTGTGTTTCCACCCAAATCTCATCTAGAATTGCGTTCCTCACATGTCAAGGGAATGACCTGGTAGAAGGTGATTGGATCATGGAGGTGGTTTTCCCTATACTGTTCTTGTGATAGTGAGTGAGTTCTCATGAGATTTAATGGTTTAAAAGTGCTCGGCAGTTCCTCCTGTACTCTCTCTCTCTTCCGCCTCCATGAAAGATGTGCTTTGCATTTCCCTTCACCTTCTGCCATGATTGTAAAGTTCCTGAGGCCTCCTCAGCCCATGCAGAACTGTGAGTCAATTAAACTTCTTTCCTTTATAAATTACCCATTCTCAGGTAGTTCTTTATAGCAGTGTAAAAACAGACTAATACAACTATCTTCAGCTTTGCTCTTGAATAAACTTGTTTGAACTAGATTCTGATTATTTTGATTTTATTTTATTTTTACGTTTAAAAATTGTATGGGTACGTAGTAAATGTGTATATGTGTGGGGTATGTGAGATATTTCCATTATTTTAATGTTGACAACTTCAACATTAAATATGTTTCTTAAGAAATGTATACACATAATTTTAAAATGATGCTTGAGTTCATCCATTCATTTTATCCCTCAATGGCATTGTCGGGGATGTTTTGTACATAATCCTACGATTAATTATAATTTCAGCTTCTGTGGTTTTGTTTAGTCCTTTTCTATATGCAATTATTTTCTGCTTTCTTGGCATTAACCTAACTGACATATTTGTCAAAATGAAATAAAATCTAATAATGAGGGTTTTATCTTATCTACATTTATGTGCAATCATTCAAATATTTGTTGATAAATTCATTTATTTATTCATTATAGAACACTTTAATTTTTTTCTTGAAGTTTTGATAATTTGAGTTTATAAAAGAAACGGTAAAAGACAAATGACCAGGAAAAAAAGGCATTTATGTTTTATTACATGCCATGTGTGCATGAGAGTTATACAGAATATAAAAATTCAAAAAAGGTGAGATAGTTCAGGAGGCTGAGGCAGAGGAATTGTTGGAACCAGGGAGGTGGAGGTTTCAGTGAGCTGAGATCAAGATCGTGCCACTGCATTCCAGCCTGGGTGACAAAAGGATACTCCGTCTCAAAAAAAAAAAAAAAAGGTGAGATAATTGACTTTTTTACATTATCTTGAGGTTGCAGAAGGAATAGAAGCTTGGAGCTTGACAGAGCAGGTTATGGGCAAAACAGGTTACAAGAGGGAGAGAAGACCTGGCTAGCAAAGGTGATCTTATGCAGATGAAACCTTACAAGTTGCAGCCCTCCGAAAGAATAGATGACAGCCAGTGGTAAATGCTTCAGTCAGATATTTAAAGTTGTCAGATTCTTAGTTAATCTTTCCTAGACTGGACAAGGGAGGGCCTCAAAGAAACCTGTGTGCATCTGTTGTTTACTTCCCTTTGTTTTCTCTACAGATGCAAATCGTCCCCACAAAAGGCAGCTTTGCTGGGTTACTTCTGTGTGCAGACCCCCTGAATAACCATATCCAAATATGTCAAATAAATATAAATAAAATAAAAATGTTTTAGTTTTCTTCATTAGACTAACAGTTTATTGTGAATAAAATACAGTGCCAAATGTCTAGCTTTGAACGCCTGGCCTCGAGGCCCTGAAAGCCAGTAATACAATTACATTAACTTATATCACTTTGCTTTATTTTCTTTGATTTCTGGAGCACTTTTAGTATGCTCATCCTAATAAATGATTGAATATTCTTGAGTCTTCATTTATTTTATTATTTTTAAAGGGCACACGTCTCCATTCCCCACCATTTTCTATTCCTTTATAGAGATTTAAACATTACTTCTCAGGTAATTCCAGAGTAGTTTATGTAGCACAGGATAGGTTAATCTTAAGTGTCTGTTAATTTGTTATTTTAAAAAAAGAGCATGTTAGGCATGCATGACAAACTACAATGATGACAGTGATTATTAAAAGCCCTTGTTCTTGAATGACAATCTCAGGGAAAACAGGTTGTTATATCTGAAGGTGATTTGGTTTTTCCATATAGGCCTTCCAAAATCCCAGTATCTTATTGTGATTTGCCACATATATGGGCTCACATGGGTGATGTTCATTTACTATCATTTATTAAAAAAAAAAACACAAGTCATATGTTTGACACAGAGTCCAAAAATCAAAATAATTAAGATAGACTAGAGAAAGAAATATGTAGCAGGTATGAGTAGCTGTATCTACCTATTCAAATTAATGTATTGGTTGATTTTACAGAGGTAGAAAATACACCTGCCTGTTGGTTTGATTTTGGGAACACCTTTATATTCTCTATTGAGAATCATGGTATCTACAATTAGATATTATATGTGTTTTGGCTTGATTATATTATATGTGTTTATATTTACAGAGGTAGAAATTACACCTGCCTGTTGGTTTGATTTTGGGAACATCTTTATATCCTCTATTGAGAATCATGGCATCTACATTAGATATTATATGTGTTTTGGCTTGATTATATTATATGTGTTTATATCATACTCTATGTGTTTTGGCTTGATTATAGCTCTGTTGATGTCCACAAACAAATACCAATAATAGGGGCAAAATTCATCTGCCCAACAAATTCTCCTTGACCTCTGCCTAGACTGAGCTGATTTATCAAAACAGGAAAACTGCAGGAGAAAAAGAGTTTAATTCATGCAGAGCAAAATCTACGGGAAACCAGAGTCTTAGTATTACTCAAATCAGTCTCCTCAAAAACTCGGGGATTCGAGCTTTTAAGGATACTTTGATGGATAGAGAGCCAGTGAGTCAGGAGTGCTGACTGGTTAGATCAGGGATGAAATCATTGGGAGTCAAAGTTGTCCTCTTGCACTGAGTCAGTTCTTGGGTGAGGGCCACAAAACTAGATGAGACCCTTTATTGATCCGGGTGGTGCCAGCTGATCCATCAAGTACGGGGTCTGCAAAATACCTCAAGCACTGATGTTAGGTTTTACAACAGTGATGTTATCTCCAAGAGCTGTTTGAGGAGGTTCAGAAACTTTTAGCTTCCAGCTGCATGACTCCTAAATCATAATTTCTAATCTCGTGGCTAATTTGTTAGTCTGGCAAAGGCAGCCTAGTCCCCAGGCAGGAAGAGGGTCTGTTTTGGGAAAAAGCTGTTATCATCTTTGTTTCAAAGTTAATCTGTAAAGTAAGTTCCTCTCAAAGTTAGTTTGGCCTACACCCAGGAATGAACAAGGACAGTTTGGAGGTTGGAAGTAAGACAGAGTCAGTTAGGTCAGATCTCTTTCACCATCATAATTTTCTCAGTTATAATTTTTGCAAAGGCAGTTTCAATCACTTTAGTCATTAGTATTTATTTATAACTTAATATAAGTGAATTAATTAGGAGATATAGTTCTTCATAAATTGATAAAATAAAACACAGCTGGGAATGAGGATGAAAGAATACTAACATCCACTTTCTGCCAGGAACTTTGTACATATTTTATATGTGTTAAGAAATATTTTCATATGATCTATTTTTTTTTCATTTTACAGGCGAGTAGAATAAGACTCGGTAATTTCACCAAAGTCATAAGCTAAGGAATTGAGAAACTAAAATTGAAGTCCTTATTGTTCAAATGCCAAAGCCCATACTATTTTTTCCACAGCTGTTCCATACATGTAAATAGAATGAGAACAAAATCTGTATAAAATAGTATCATTTGTTCTCTTTTGAATATGTCCCTTTATGCTGCTTCACCTTGTGTTTGTGAATGATGAGGTAGCAGCATAGAGGCTGAAAGCAGGCATTGTTGGGATATCAAAGAGAAAATCTATCTAATTCATCCCTGTGAAGAGTCCAATATGGTGGAGCTATTTGTAACTATCAACTATATCTATCTGTCTGTCTCCATGCATATATAGCACCAGACGATCACACAATTACAGAGATTATTTTATTCAATAACAACTTATTGCAATATAGAGAACAGGCCTCAGTGAAGAAGATCTCAAAGGGAGGGGAGGGCCTTTGGATACGTTGGAGGCCGGCAAACATGAGAATCATTGGTAATTCTTAAGAAAGTCATGAAGAATGGATGGAGAAAAGTCTTATCTTGGAATATGTGAGTGTGGATGGCCCTTGCTGTTAGTGCTTTCCTTGAAGACAAAGGGCAGTGTAGGGGATTTTGGAGAAATTTTAAATAGACATTTCCTTAGAACACAGGACACAAGTAAAGTTCAACATTTCAGACATCATGTGCGCGCGCGCACACACACACACACACACACATGCAAATCTAATAAATAACCTCTCCAACTTGTTTGACAAAGAGACATATCTGAAATTTCCCTATTCTTAAAATCTTATTCTCTTGTTTTAATATGATAATTTTTATGAACATATTTCTTTTATGAGAGCTCCAGAGAAACCTGAAAAGATAGAAATGTGACATGGCAGCTGTGTTGATAACAAGGCACAAGCTATGTTAATTACACCACATTTTAAGAGGTTAATTTGAATAAAATATGAGCATTTTTAGAAAGTCCTCAGTTCTGGGAATTTACGTTTTGTTTTTTTGTTAAGTACTTTGTGCTTCTTATCTCAATTGTTTTTTTAATATTACTAGATTGTCATCAGACTAAGAAAATTATTTATTATCCTTGTTTTCATTACCTACTTTATCCCCTGCCTCTTAATCTGTGAAGGTTGAAATATACTTTGCATGTTACAGTAATCTTACACAACGATTAAAAGGCAACAGAGGTATAAATGATCTTAAATAATTTCATAAACAGTAATTCTTTAAACATTTCAAAAATAACTTTTTTCTCCTTCATTGAATGTTATTTTTCAGAAGTAAAACTAGCTATCCCCACACTCACCCTGGACCCTGAAAACTGAAATCACACCTTTATCTTTATATTGACATGACTTTGCTATGTCTTCAGCAACATGATTTTATTTTTCCAGCATTCTGCTGCCTAAGAATATTATTTAGTTGTTCAGTACAGGAATCACCTGAAACGCTTGTCAACTTTTCAAAGAAAAACATAAACAGAGAATTTGTGCCCTAAGATTCTTTGAATCTCTCACCTCGAAATCTCTGTTTACTGTTTCCACAAATTCTAAAGTGTTGTATCATGATTCTGATTCAATATCAGTCAAGTGCCTGCACTGAAAGGCCTGCCATAAACCAAACGTCCAATTATCAGTACATTCTGACCTTGACTTCTCCCTCTGAGACGCTGCGGAAGCTTTGCAAGGTAGCATTTTCCCTTACATTGGTAAGAAATAAACTCTGCTTTGTTTTATTAGCAAGTGGTGTTAGTGATGTTTGGGGAGCTAGCTTTTGGCTGCTTGATCGTGCATAGTAACATTCTTGGAATAAAAAAGTAAGCTAAGCTTAAGAATTCACACGGAGTATTTTAAAGGTCCTACCTCTACTTAGCCATAATACATTATACACAATAATATCACTTAGAAGGATAGACTTCAGGACTTATCAGTCATTCAGGCATATTGTGAAAGATATTGTCATATCCTTACCCAGAAAACAATGTGATATAAGAAAGGGGAGATATGTGAAGTGAGAAGGAATTTAATAGTCTGAACCAATGGATGATTTTCATATGGCCCACTGTATCACTTCAATCCTATTTTCTATGTACTTAATAGTTGTGCAAATTTGGGACTATTACTCTGCCTTTTAAACACTATTTTTATTCAATTTAAAATGAAAATAATAATATTCCTGCCTCACAAGATGACTGCTGGAATTAAACCTGTGTTATGCACATTAAAAGCATTTATTATGTTTGAATTTCACATAAAAATAAGAATGTTTTTTAAATTGTGTAACACATCTTCTCCCCATTATTTTTTTAGTTTTAAATAAATGGAATTGCAAAATCCACAGGATAAAACAAAGTTCTTGTTTTTGTAACTTAAAGGCTAACATCCAGTAATAAGATGATAAATTTGGGGGGAAAAGAAAGACTAAACATTTCCAAACCAAAGTGGTATGAAAGCAGAAAAATAATTACAATGTATCAAACATTAAACTTTAAAACATCAAAATCATGAGATTTATACAGATATAAAAATGAACAGTGCTAAAGATGCTATTTAGCTGATTAATGAGAGAACTAGTAAGATACTACATTTGGTTCAAAAGAGAATCTAAATATTAAAAGTCTATAGATTAAGAATGTACAAATAGAACTAAATTTCGGGTGTATTTTCCCACACATTGGTAAAGGAAATCAACCAAACCTCTACTAGACAGATTTTATTAGCTTGCCTATGGACAATAAGTTGCATTACTATCATTTATCTACAACATAAGGGTTGTAAAACAACTAAGTGTTAATGAAAGACTAGAAATAAACTAAGGAGAAATAGGATGTTCTAGGTAAAGCATAGCTTTCCATTGAAGCACAAATTGTTTCCATAGATCTGGCCATTTAATTAAAGAATAATCTAAAGAAAGATTATTATATTCTACAGAATAAAGCTGGTCTCATTAGATGTGGTCTGATTTTTAGAGGTACAACAAGAATCTTAATATATCACATAGGTCTTCTTTAATTTTCTTTGCTGTAAGTCGTCAAAAGAGATCTCAGATTAGACTTTTAAGAGCCTCTATTATTTGCTATGTCGAACCTAGAAAGCTAATTCAAACCCAAAAAAGTTTCTTGTTGATATTTGACTAGAGTACTTTATCAGTCTGTTCCTGCATTGCTGTAAAGAACTACCTGAGACTGGGTAATTAATAGAGAAAAGAGATTGAGTTGACTCACAGTTCTGCAGGCTGTATAGGAAGCATGGCAGGGAAGGTCTCAGGAGACTTACAATCATGGTAGAAGGTGAAGAGGAAGGAGTCATGTCTTACATGGCTGGAGAAGAAAAAAGAGACCTAAGGGACAGATGCTATGCACTTTTAACAAGCAGGTCTCCTGAGAGCTCTATCATAAGACAAAACTAGAAGGATGGTGCTAAACCATTAGAAACCACCCCCATGATCTAATCACCTGCCACCAAGCCCCACCTCCAATATTGGGGATTACAATTCAACATGAGATTTGGGTGGGGACACAGAGCCAAACCATATCAAGTATCCATAACTTTGGATGATTTCATCTCTTCTCAAAGTCCTCAAATATCCTAAGGTATTTGGCCTGCTAGAGGTGACTTCCCTTACCACCTGTAAGGCTGGACCTTATAAGTCAGGTAATAGGTCAATTTTCCTGGTAGTGGCTTTGAAAGTATTTGACTTCATAAAACCAAACTTAACTCCTTTAAAGTGGCTGGTGTTGGGACATGGGGAAAACTTTCCTTTGCCCTCTGAAGGTTCATGAAAATCAGGTGAAAGCTGGCAGATTACTAGGAGAAAAGGCATATAAATTTATTAACACATAAGGGGAAAATCAGAGTGATTGCTTCAGTCCCCCAATGGGGTACAAAAGTTGTGTATCCTTATTCACAGGGAAGGGAGAAGATGGAGGATGTAGACAATTTGTTCGAGGGACATATAATGATTATTAGGGAGAATAGAATAGACAAGAGAGATAGAAATTAACTTGTAAATGACTCCTTCTGAAATTTGAATGAGCCAGACAGTCAGGCATTATCTTATTGAAAAATCCATACAGATGGGATGCCATTCCTCACTCTTCTCTTCTGAAAGAGATTATGAGATTTCAGGGAGGAGATTGAAGGCAATTGTGTTTCTTTTTGGTAAGAAGCTTTTTTGGTCGGATTAGAAAATTATAAAGAGTCCCCACTTGCATTTGAAGGGTGAGGGAAAGACAAGTTTAGATGAATCTTGATTCTGAGGTTTTTCCATTTTCAAAAGCACTCAGCATGTCAAAGTACTACATTTTAGGGAATTATTTTCTGTATCCCAACACTGGTCATTCCTGGTTAAGTGTTCATCATTCTCAAATAGCACAACCCAGGTAAGACCTGGTTGCTTAATCAGTATTCCCAGTTATACCATGGTAACAAATCACACCCTGCTAAACAAGAGGAGAGAGTCTTAATGAACTTATCAAGTAACTCAATAGCAATATAAAGGAAGAAAACTTAATATAATCAATTTCTATATTGAGGGAATATAGTCGGAGGCAATATCTGTGGGCTAGGGATGGTCTCCAAATGCTGGTGGGACCTTGATCATGACCAGTGTCCAAGCTCTTAAAATGATCATGAGAAGGAATTCAAGGACCAGTCAGAAAATAGTGAAAGTATAGAGATTTATTGCCAAGCAAGAAGTACACACTCAAGAAAGGGGAGAGTGGGCATACTCAAGAGAGAGCCATGCAATGGAGTTTGGGCTTCCTACCTTTATGGTTTTCTTTAACCAAAACCACATCATCAAGATAATGGGTGAGGGTCACATTTGCAACTTGTGATAACATTTTAGGTAATGTATCTAGCTAGTCTGGAAACTACAGGGAAGGAAAGAAAGAAGAAAATTTCCTCAAACAAATATCCCTGGACAATGAAGTTTCATACTTAGGTCTCTGGGCCTCACAAATTTTGCCTATTTCACATAACTCAGACTTCCCTAAACCATTATTGTGATTTTTTCTTATTTACACTTTTTCTTTTTCTTTTTTTTTTTAACATAGTCTTGCTCTGTCACCCAGGCTGGAGTACAGTGGTGCAATCTTGACACACTGCAACCTCTGCCTCTTGGGTTCAAGCAATTCTCATGCCTCAGCCTCTTGAATAGCTGGGAATACAGGTGCGCACCACCACACCCGGCTAATTGTTATTAGAGATGAGGTTTCACCATACTGGCCTGGGTGGTACTGAACTCCTAACTTCAAGTGATCCCTGCCACTTCTGCCTCCCAAAGTGCTGGGGTTACAGGTATGAGCCACTGTGCCCAGTCTTATTTACTCCCTCTTCATGAAGATCTTTCTTTCCTGAAAATATTGGTGATTATTATTTTAGATGTAAGTCTGTCTTACATTGTTAGAGAGAATCATTCTCAGATAATTTTTTCTCATGTCAAATGCAAAGAGGAGAGGTACTGTGGCTTAAAAAGGCCAAATTGATTGGCAACTCAAAGGGACAGTGCAACAGAATCTGAGTCAGGTCATCCACTTACAAAGAGCCAAGGCATGTAGGATCATTTCTGAGTGTCTAGCTGTCATGATTTCAGTTCTTGCTACTGACTTTAGACATCTAAAAACACAAACCATAATCGATTTATGAGTCAAAACTATGATGCAATGAAAATAACTATTAACATAATTAAAAATCCAGGTCTAAAAAGGGTTCCTATTCCTGAAGGTAACCAATCAAATAAATCATGTAAGGGGTTTGTCTTTCTAATGCTTTGTAGCAATTGAGCCTTTTGAGTGATCCTTTTGAACTGAGTTTCCACTTATCATCCTGGGCAAGATCGACATAACTGGGTGCAGATCAGATTCAGTTGGAGATCTCTATAGGTGGAAGACATCCACTTAGCTGGAGCTACATTTTCTTAACTAAAAAATGTGAGTCCATGAGTGTATGCCTTTGAGTTTAGCTGCACAAGTTTTGGTTTTTAATACCTGGTATGGTCACTTCAAATGTGGTCGCAAGGATTCCTTTATTTAACAGCATTTCTAATACACAAAATCCCCAGGTCAAAGGCCATGATCTTTGATGTCTTTATCTCCCAGGTCCTCAATGTTAAAGAATCTTAAATCAATTTAAATATTTTTTAGTGATAAGTTATATAAGACTTTGGCAATAATGAAGAATATTAACTTTAAGCTGGTTTGAAGGCTCTTAAATCCAGGAATGTGGGTCTTCCTGTTATTATTTCAAAAGGAGAAAGCTGATGTTTTCCAACATAGTAGAACATAAGTTAAGTAATACCAATGAAAGATTATTAGGCCAGGGAAGTTTCAAGGTTTCTATAACTTTATTAATTTTTTTTTAATTCCATTTGTACATTCCACCAGTTCAGAGGACTAAAGGTCGCATGCAAAATTGAAATGCTGAACAGTTGGCCATAGGTTATAAATAAACTGAATTATTTGACCAATAAAATGGGTTCCTAGGTCTCTGCAAAACTTTAAAGAAACTCCCCAAGAAAGAATAGGACAAGACTTAAAATGGCCATGGTTAAAGATAAAATTGATGAAGCAATTTGGTCATTTTCTTTTTTTGTGTGCTATCATTCACAATAACAATAATGATAATCATTATTATTATTGATAATATTTACCAAGACGCATTAGATTTTTAGGAATTTCATATAATTTTGGAACACATATGAATAATACATGCAAACAAATATAACTCAGAGAAAGTTAGACCTCATTTCCTATTTGACAATGCTTCCTGTATGATTTTTACATACCAAAAAAAGCCTAAGATTTCTCTCTTGGACTTCCAGGCATTATTTTTGAAAGGCCCAAAACTTAATTTGAGGTCAACAGAACTGATATTTGAATTTAAAATTTGATTTGGTGAAGTTTGTGAAATATCAAAGATTTAAAACGCTTGATATAAAAACAAGACTTGCTTAAAACACTTGATTAAAATAGGATCACAGGCTACTGTAAAATTATAGTAATTCACTTTGCCAAAGGAATAGTTAAAATATTTCAAAAAACTGGAGAATTTTATTCTTTCCTAAAGAGATGTCTTAGTTTTTCAAACAAACAAAAGAGCCAATAAAGACAGCATGAGGCAGATTTCCCACCCTTTCTTTTGCAGTTTTCTCAAAATATAAACCAAAGTCTTTTGCTCTTATTAATACTACATTACAGTCTTGTTCAAAAAAGAAAATCAAATTCTACCTTTGCATCAGTGTATTACTAATGCTAAAGTTAATTTTAATAAAAGCTTACAAACAGATCAATTCAAACTCAGTCAGCTTTGACCACTGAAGATAAGAGTTTTATAAACATTATAACCTGTTACTATTTTCTCATTGTCTTTCTTTCCCCAACGTTCTATATTCATTTAGCTTTATCTAACAATTTAAAATTTTTTTAAAAAAAATTTAATTTCCATAGGTTTTGGGGAAGAGGTGGTATTTGGTTACACGAGTAAGTTCTTTAGTGGTGTTTTGTGATATATTGGTAAACACGTCACTCAAGCAGTATATGCTGAACCCAATTTGTAGTCTTTTACCCCTTGCACCCTTCTCCATCAAGTCCCCAAAATCCATTGTATCATTCTTATGCCTTTGCATCCACATAGCTTAGCTACCATGAATGAGTGAGAATATACAATGTCTGGTGTTCCATTCCTGAGTTACTTCACTCAGAATAATAGTCTCAAGTTTCATCCTGGTTGCTGCAAATACCATTAATTCATTCCTTTTTATGGTAGAGTAGAATTCTATCATATATATACATATATATCACAGTTTCTTTATCCACTCATTGGTTGATGGGCATTTGGGCTGGTTTTACATTTTGCAATTGGAAATTGTGCTGCTATAAACATGCATGAACAAGTATATTTTTGTATAATGACTTCTTTTCCTCTGGGTAGGTAACCAGTAGTGGGATTGCTGGATAAAACGGTAGTTCTACTTTTAGTCCTTTAAGTAATCTCCACAATGTTTTTCATAGTGGTTGTACTAGTTTGCATTCCCATCAGTAGTGTAAAAGTTTTCCCTTTTCACTGCATCGCACCAAAATCTTTTTTTTTTTTTTTTTTATAAAGGCCATTCTTGCGGGAGTAAGGTGGTATTGCATTGTGGTTTTGATTTGCATTTCCCTGATCATTAGTGATGTTGAGCACTTTTTCATGTTTGTTGGCTATTTGTATATCTTCTTTTGAAAATTGTCTATTCATATCCTTAGCGCACTTTTTGATGAGATTGTTTGTATTTTTCTTGCTAATTTGTTTGAGATCCTTGTAGATTCTGGATATTAGTCCTTTGTCAGATGTATAGATTGTGAAAATTTTCTCCCACTCTGTGGGTTGTCTGTTTACTCTGCTAACTGTTCCTTTTGCCATGCAAAAGCTTGTAAGTGCCACCTATTTATCTTTGTTTCTGTTGCATTTGCTTTTAGGTTCTTAGTCATGAAATATTTGCCTAAGCCAATCTCTAGAAGGGCCTTTCCAATGTAATCTCCTAGAATTTTTGTAGTTTCAGGTCTTAGATTTAAGTTCTTGATCCATCTTGAGTGGATTTTTGTATAAGGTGAGAGATGAGGATCCAGTTTTATTCTCCTATGTGTGGCTTGTCAATTATCCCAGCACCATTTGTTCAATAGGGTATCTTTTCCCCACTTTATGTTTTTGTTTTCTTTGTCAAAGATCAGTTGGCTGTATTTGGCTTTATTTCAAAGTTCTCTATTCTGTTCTGTTGGTCTATGCACCTATTTTTATACAAGAGCCATGCTGTTTTGTTGACATTGGCTTTATAGTGTAGTTTGTAATCAGATAATGTGATTTTTTATTCCTTATTCTGTAAATTTCCAGAAGTTGTGTAAAAAATCTCAAAGATTGTTTTACATGCAAAAGAGATTCCCAAATTGAATTGAATTCTGTTGAATATTTTGTAATTAGGATCCAGTTTTGGAAAGCAAAAATCAACAAGTGTTTGAAGATATTTAAATAGTTGATTAATATAGGATTATGTGTGCCCAAGAAAGAATACCCAGTTTCCTATTTAATCTAAATGGCTATAAAACATTTAGAGAGCATGATTGTAAAAATGTTAGCTCTTTTATAAGTAAGAAAACCTTGTTTTTCTAAATAATTTAGGGCATAACTGTTAAAAAAAGAATATACCAAATCTTTGTTATCCAGACAGATTATACATAAAAAGATTGTAATTTTTTATATTGTAGGCAAAACTAATAAACAGTAAATCAAGGAAATAATTCTATTACATATAGTTATATGAGTTAGTGGCCAGTTAATCTATACATTTAAGAATATTATTTTTGGTCCTTGAACCTATTAGGCTGCAAATTTAAATGACCAAAGCAATTATACAGTATACTAAATCTTTACATGAAACTGTACGAGCAATTGTATTAGTCTATTTTCACACTGCTGATAAGGACATACCTGAGACAGGGCAATTTACAATAGAAAGAGGTTTACAGTTCCACATGGCTGGAGAAGGTCAATCATGGCAGAAGGCAAAAGGCACTTCTTACATGGCGGCAGCAAGAGAGAATGAGGAAGAAGCAAAAGCGGAAACCCCTGATAAATCCGTCAGATATCATGAGACTTACTCATTATCACAAGAATAGCACAGGAAAGACCAGCCCCCATGATTCAATTACCTCTCCCTGGGTCACTTCCACAACACATGGGAATTCTGGGAGCTACAATTCAAGTTGAAATTTGGGTGGGGACACAACCAAACCATATCATTCCTCTTCTGGCCCCTCCAAATCTCATGTCCTCATATTTCAAAACCAATCATGCCTTCTCAACAATTCCCCAAAGTCTTAACTCATTTCAGCATTAATCCAAAAGTCCACAGTCCAAAATCTCATCTGAGACAAGGCAAGTTCCTTCTTCTGCCTCTGAGCCTGTAAAATCAAAAGCAAGCTAGTTACTTCCTAGATACAATGAGGATACAGGTATTGAATAAATACTCACTCTACTAGTACCGATTTACTGTATTTGTTTTCATACTGTTGATAAAAACATACCCAAGATTGGGTGATTCACAAAAGAAAGAGGTTTAGTGGGACGTACAGTTCCACATGGCTGGGGAAATTCTCACAATCATAGTGGAAGGGGAAAGGCACTTCTTACATATTGGTGGCAAGAGAGAATGAGAAAAAAGCAAAAGTGGAGACCCCTGATAAACCCATCAGATCTCATGAGACTTATTCATTATCATGAGAATAGCACAGGAAAGACTGGCTCCCTTCAATTACCTCCTCCTGGGTCCCTGTCAAAATACATGGGAATTCTAGGAGATACAATTCAAGTTGAGATTTGGGTGGGGACACAGCCAAATCATATCAGCAATCTATTTTCAACATTTTTCCAGAAACATGTAATGTCTTAAAACATGGGGGCTTGGTGTTCTGGAAGAGAAATTACATAATGACAGCCATCAACTCCCAGTGAAAGCATCTTATTGATATTATACAATGACTAGAAGAGCATTCCAACTAAAGTTATCAAATTGAATATACTTATTATTATTATTATTATTATTATTAAGACAGGGTCTGGTTCTGTCACCCAGGTTGGAGTGCAGCGGTGCAATCTTGGCTAACTGCAACCTCCATGTCCTTGGCTCAAGCCATCCTCCCACCTCAGTCTCCTGAATACCTGGGACTACAGGTGTCCACGATTGTGCCCAGCTAATTTTTGTTTTTGTAGAGATGGGGTTTCACCATGTTGCCCAGGCTGGTCTTGAACTCCTGAGCTCAAGCTGTTCACCTACCTTGGCCTCCCAAAGTGTTGGTATTACAGGCATGAGCCACAACATCCAGCCTTTAATTATACTTAAAGAATACTTGGGAATCAGAATATCGTCAGAAGAAGACTTCTAAACCAAGACCTTTGTTTAAAGTTGATGGCAGGACACATTAAATAGCCTCCACCCAAAATATTTGCAGCAGGACCAAGAGCCATAAACTAGTGTATGCCCCTCCTAGCACTTTAGTTTTTTAGCCTATTTCTTTCTATTTTGCTGTTATATACATGCTATGGTTTAAATGTTTGTCTACTCCAAAACTTATGTTAAAATTTGATTGGCATTGTGACAGTATCAGGACCTGGGATTTTTGAGAAGTGATTGAGCCAGGAGGGTTTTTGACTTTATGATTTGATTAATGCTATTATTGTAAGAGTACATTTATTATAAAAAGACCAATTTGGCATCCTTTCTCTCTGTCTCTTTCTCTCTTGCTCTTCGACTTACTGCCATGGAATGATACAGCAAGAAGGCCCTTGCCAGATGCAAGCTCGTCAATCTAGGACTTTCCAGCCTCCAGAACTGTGAGCTAATAAATTTCTTTTCATTATAAATTACCCAGTCTCAAGTGTGCTATTATAGCAGCAAAGCCAGACTGAGACCATGGTTTTAAATTGCTGATAACTTAATTCTTATTTCTTGAACATGTTAAGGAGAGTTTCTTTAACTATTGTACATAATTATTGAGAACAAATTATTCTTTATTATTTGAAAATGTATACCAAACAATTATTACACATTTTAGCTACAGCTTTGTATCCTGCAACTGTTATTTTTAATATCTACTATCTGATATCTCTGGATGGAAATCTAGTATATATTCCCCTATACTTTTCAGATGATCATTTGCCTTTACTAGACACTTTGGGTAAATGAAATAGTGCCACATTATTAATAGTAACTTCCATTCATGTTAAAAATTGGACAAGAAGCAGCAAAATTGATTGGCAAAAATATCATTACAGTGCTGTTCCCAAGAACAAAAGACATAGTAATGTTGGAAACATATATTGGAACTCTATTTTATTTATTAGCATACATATTTTTCTTAGATATTCTCTATCTCCACACATAATTTTTTCTTCCCAAAGAACAGATAAATGAAATGAATAATTCTATCACATGAAAAGATATCTATATTTAGTAATTTTCTCCCATGTTTTAGGCAGATAGACATCAAGACTTTATTTGTTTACCAAATATAAAACTTGTGCCTATGAGAGAATTATTAGAATTTTTCAGACAGTCAAGATTTATTTATATCCATCTTTCAATTTTATGTCTTGGGTTATACCCCCAAACTATCAAATATTACACCAGGAAATTACTCAGAGTAATCAATGATTAACTCTTTAAACTTTAAATCAAATTGGTGTAGAATCTCTTACAATCAAAATTATTCAAATATGTAAAAAGTCAGAAATTTATCAATAACCTAGCTGAAATGATAAATGTTCAACATGCCTTGAGGTTTGAGATATAAGTCTACATATTTTGCCCATTTCTTATCATATAATCTAATAGATTTTATTCTATTTGCTAGCCAGAATGTCATATTTGCCATCACTAATATTTGGTGGAAACACCCATATTTAAAAAGAAGCCAGTGTCTTCCCCAATCTTGTAGGTTTAAAGCAGTCAAACAAATCTAATCTTTGTCTGCTCTTTGTCTTTGTGTGAGTTACAGTCAGTGTTTGTATACTCACCTCACCATTCCAGGAAAATTAGATTTCACCATCAAAGATTTTCTATCAGTCCCTAAGAGATAAGCCAATGCAAAGACTCTCTATGTTCTGAGGTCCATACTGAGAACTTCTGACACCAAAACACAGCAATAAAACCTCTGCCCTCACTTTCACTTACATGGCATAATTTTAGAAGTGTCTCTCTTGTCACCTTCCTTACTTAACTAAGTAAATAAAATTTGGTTTTCTTATGTTATAACTGGTTTGTTCATTTTATGTATGGGTTGTGCTGTGATTTCAGTCATTGACAAGATTAAATTGCGTATATATATATATATATATATATATGCACTGTATATCAAAATAGCACCCTCCTTTTAAATTTTGAAGCATTATTCACATTATAAGAGGAATTAAACTTAAAATTGCATATTTAGTGATTTTTGACCATATATTTTCTGGAATATATAAATTAGAACATTTTTGTAATAGATTTTGAATCAGAATTATTAACGATTTCTAGGAATTCGTTCTATTTGTTCAAGTTCACAAATATTTGCGTTCACTTTAAATGAATTTTCCTTCAATTTCATCACATCATCATTTTAAGCATGAAGTAAAATGCCCAAATCTCAGATTTTGTCTTCCTGCTAAAAGAAAAATTACTAATGTAATTGCTTTATCCACTAAAAAATAAAGCTATTTTGAGAACTCTTTATGTTTGACAAGTTGTAGTAAAAAAAAAAATTCTAATGAAATTCCATGTTTAGATGACAAATCTAGTAGCAACTGACTATATATTGATAAAATGAAAAAGTAATGTCCTTGGTTTCGCAAAAGTATGCAGTATTAATTGATTAAAGATTTTCTGAAAATGAGCTTTAACACAAACTTTTTTTCTTTTGGTTTTTGGTTTTGTCCAGATAAAATATTATTTCATCTAATTGTCTATACACACACACACACACACACACACGCACACACACAAACACACACACAAGTATATATACATGGTTTAATTATTTTGGATGAAAATATAATAGATTCTTCAGTAGCAATTGGAAATATGTTTCAATAAATGAATTTCACATAAAATGTCCCGAAACAGCATGCTTGAATATGCTTTTATAATTTTTTCTACTTTTTAAATTACAAAATTGCTTGCTAATTTCTAGTCTCTTCTCTTCAAAGAACATTAAATTTCAAAAATTAAAAAAACATAATTTTGTCTAATATAAAGTACAATTGGTTTCACGTGAGTGACTGAAGACAGTTCCTAGGATTACAAAGCATGACACAGTGCAAGGATATAGGGATTTCTATTTATTTTCAATTCTTTGTGCAATTTTGAGTATTTTTGGCTTAACTGTCTTCCCAAGAGCTGATGAAAACATCTTATTGAAAATTATCATGCTTGTTTTTATATGATTCTGTAGATAATATGGATCAAGTAATAACAATGAATACAGACGTTTTATTGGTGATTACCTAATCATAGGACCCTCGCAATTTGAGGGCTCTTTTTATTTGGTGTTTGATGATTCTTTGGTAATATATTAAAATATATAAGTATGAAGTATATAAGAAAAACATGCTTCATTTCAGAGTCAATGCTAGCATTGTATATGAATGTTTACTTAATTTAAATACATTCATCCTATTATTAAAACCACATCAGGTAGAAAAATAACAATGGAAATCATGTGTGTGGGTAGGAAGGTGGGTAGTCAGGTACATACACACACACACACACACACACACACACACACACACACACACGCGCGATAGTTTTCTCAACCACCAGAACAATCTCTTCTCTTAATTTTTCATTTCAGAAGACAAATTTTACTTATCATTGTTCTCTTTACTCATTTCATTATTTATATTTGGTGAATGAAAAAAATTACATAAAAGAATTGGAAGCCTGTTGTGAAAACTTCATTAGCTTTCCAGAAAACAGGCAGGATTTAATACAAATGGAGGAAGGAGCCCATAAAGAAATCAAAATAAACTTTCAGAATTTCCATTTGGATCCTTTTTAGACATTTTGATTTTGCTAAAATTCTAAACCTATTCACACATATCTTTGTCTTTTCCAATAGAGTTTTCAACAAATTTATGTTCATTATTTTAAAATCCTTCCTTGTATTTGAATCTATCATTGCATGACAAATTACTCCCAAATATATTAACTTATCAAATATTATCTCACAGTTTGTATGGATCATGAATACATCTGTGGCTTAGGCTCAAGCTCTCTCACAAGGCTGGAATCAAGGTGTCAGCTAGTGCTGTGGTCTTGGAGAGGACTCCTCTATGAAAGGATCTGCTTCCAGGTTTACTCACTTGGTTGTTGACAGGATTTCAACTTTTTGTGGACTGTTGGACCGAAGTTCTCAGTTCCTTAAGGGCTATGGATCAGAGGTCCCCTTCAGTTTCTCGCCATGTGGCATTCTCCATAGGGCAACTCACATATGGTGGCTGGGATGGGGAGAGAGAAAGAGAGAGAGAGAGAGAGAGAGAGAGAGAACCTAAGGCAGAAGCCACATTCTTCATTGTAATGAAATCTTAAAAGTGATATGCCTGTAAATGGATCTACTCATTAGAAGTGAGTTGCTAGGGCCACCCCACACTCACAAAGATGTGATTATACAACAGGGTGAATATTAGGAGTGGAGATCTTTGGGAGACAAGGTAGAGGAGGCCTATTACAACTGGTAATATCTACATATGTTTCATTTGTGAGTCTCCTTTCATTAACTGATCCTTTAAATTGATTATGCGTCACATTTTTCTTCTTCACCTGTTTCATAATTTTTGATTGCATGTCAGATATTGAGTATTAAAAAATAATAGAGGCTGAAGTAAATAATATTTATCACCAACAAAGACAGGCCCTTTCCTCTGCCAGCTCTTTAAAGTGGGATCTAAACCAATCTAATTTGTACTTGAACTGGGTTTAGAATTTGCTGAAGCTTTAGTCAAATTTAGATCACCATTGGCTTCATAAGCTGATAAGCTCTGAGTGTAGAATCAGGAGACTCTTCAGCAGGGCTTGAAATCTGAGCACAGCTGAGACTCTAGATCTCTCTCTCTCTCACTCTCTCCCTCTCTTTTTCACTTTCTTTTGCTCTTTTATATCCTCTCCCTCTTTTTTGTAGCCCAGTTGCCAGTTCTATGTACCACTGAGGATTTCTCTGTAGGCTCCAATCCAACTTCCAACTTTCCTCATATTGAAGAGATCTCACCCTATTACCTTGCACTGAGCCTTCTTTAAACTGTCATGCACTTTCAAATGACCCAGGTGACTCAGAAATATCTGTCTCATTGTCCTGCTCTACCCCAGCTGTTGATGCACTCCCATGGCTCCCTTGTCAGATACCTTCAGAAAAAAAAAATGATGGATAGAAATACTTTCACTGTACATCTTGGGCATTTTAGGATTTTAATGTTTCTCACCTACCCATTTGTGTCTGTTAAAGTACACTAGCTAGGTTCTACTTCTAAATCGACAGGATTCTGTTTCTCTTTTCACCATGCACCAGGGATGATAGTGGCTATATGCTACTTTTCTCCTAGTCAGAAATTGTTCGTTTCTAGGAGTGAGGATGTTTTGATTAATTTTCCTTCCTACACTCCTGACGGGTTTTAAAAATATATTGTTTTCTAGATTTTTTTAAGGCCTTTTTCTCTTTGTTAGGGTGGGGTTCATGATCCTTTACCACTTTCTATATCTCAATTGGAAGCCCAATTTTCATGGATTTTAAGTGTAAATGACCTCTAGCCCTAACCATTCATCTCTTCGCAATATGTCCATACCCTACTAGACATCCCTGCTTTGATACTTAATAGACATGTCAAAATTGTAATGCCCAGTTCTAAGCTCATAATCATATCCTTAGCTACAACCTAAAGGTGTCTCATACAGTGTTCCCCCATTCAACTAATGGCAAATCCATTCTTTTAGTTACTCAGACACAACCTTTAACCCACTTTTAATCTCACATATATTCTCTCAGGAAATGCTTTTAGTTCTTTCTGCAAAATATGTGCTACATCGGATCCCTTCTTACCGGCTACATTGTTGTCACCCTAGACCATTATTTCTTTTCTAGATTGCATTAGTCTGTTCTCATGCTGCTAATAAAGATATAAGACATACCAAAGACTGGGTAATTTATAAAGGAAAGAGGTTTAATGGACTCACAATTTCCACATGACTGGGGAGGCCTCACACTGAGGGCAGAAGGCAAAAGAGAAGTAAATGCATATCTTGCATGGCAGTAGGCAAGAGAGTTTGTGCAGGAAAACTCTCATTTATAAAACCATCAGACTCAAAAGACTTATTCACTACTACGAGAACAGTGTGGGAAAAACCACCCCCATGATTTAATTATCTCCACTTGGCCCCAACCTTGACACATGGGAATTATTACAATTTGAGGGTGGAGACAGAGCCAAGCCACAGTATTCCACCCTTGAACCCTCCCACATCTCATGTTCTCACATTTCAAAACCAATCATGCCTTTCCAACAGTCCCCTAAAGTCTTAACTTATTTCAACATTAACTCATAGTCCAAGTCCAAAGTCACATCTGAGATGATGCAAGTCCATTCTGCCTATGGGCTTGTAAAATCAGAGGCAAGTTAGTTACTTCCTAGATACCATGGAGGTACAGGCATTGGGTAAATGCACTCATTCTAAATGGGAAAAATAGGCCAAAACTAAGGGGCTACACTCCCTATCCAAATTGAAAATCCAGTGGGGCAGACAAATCTTAAAGCTCCAAAATGATCTCCTTTGACTCCATGCCTCACATCTAGGGCTTGTTGATGCAAGAGGTGGGCTCCCAGGGCCTTAGGCAGCTCTGCCCCTGTGGCATTTCAAGGTACAGCTTGCCTCCTGGCTGCTTTTATGGGCTGCTCTTGAGTGTCTGCAGCCTTTTCCTGGAACACGATGCAAGTTGTTGGTGAATGTACCATTCTGGGGTCTAGAGGATGGTGGCCTTCTTCTCACAGCTCCACTAGGCAGTGCTCTAGTGGCGACTCTGTGTGGGGGCTCTGACCCCACATTTCCCTTCCACACTACCCTATCAGAGGTTCTCTGTGAGAGCTCTGCCCCTTCAGCAAAGCATTGCCTGGACATCCAGGCATTTCCGTCCAACCTCTGAAATCTAGGTGGATGTTCCCAAATCTCAATTCTTGACTTCTGTGCACCTGCAGGCTCAACACCACATGGAAGCTGCCAAGGCTTGGGGCTTGCACCCTCTGAAACCATGGCCTGAGCTGTACCTTGGCCCCTTTTGTCCACAGCTGGAACAGTTGGGACACAGGGCACCAATTCCTTACTATCCACACAGCAGAATGACCTTGAGCCCAGCCCAGGGAACCATTTTTCCCTCCTAGGCCTTCAGGCATGTGATGTGAGGGGCTGCTGTGAAGGTCTCTGACATGCCTGGAGACATTTTCCCCATTGTCTTGGTGATTAGCATTTGGCTCCTCATTACTTATGCAAATTTCTGCAGCTGGCTTGAGTTTCTTCCCAGAAAATGGGTTTTTCTTTTCTGTTGCATTGTCAGCCTACAAATTTTCCAAACTTTTATACTCTGCTTCCTCTTGAACACTTTGGCACTTAGAAATTACTTCCACCAGATACCCTAAATCATCTCTCTCAAGTTTAAAGTTCCACTGACCTCTAGGTCAGGGTCAAAATGCCATCAGTCTCTTTGCTAAAGCATAGCAAGTGTTACCTTTGCTTCAGTTTCCCACAAGTTCCTCATCTGTATCTGAGATCATGTCAGCCTGGACTTTATTGTCCATATTACTATCATCATTTTGGTCAAAGACATTCAAAAAGTCTCTAGGGAGTTCCAAATTTTCCCACATTTTCCTGTCTTCTGAGCCCTCCAAGTCTCTAGGAAGTTCCAAACTCTGCCACATTTTCCTAGCTTCTTCTGAGCCCTCAAAAATCATTCCAATCTCTGCCTGTTACCCAGTTTTAAAATCACTTTCATATTTTCAGATATCTTTACAGCAGCACCCCACTCTCTGCAGTACCAAATTACTGCGTTAGTCTGCTCTCACCCTGCTAATAAATACATATTCAAGACTGGGTGATTTATAAAGGAAAGAGGTTTAATGGACTCGCAGTTCCACATGGCTAGGGAGGCCTCACAATGATGACAGAAGGCAAAGGAGAAGCAAATGCATATCTTACATGGTGGCAGGCAAGAGAGGTTGTGCAGGGAGACTCTCATTTATAAAACCATCAGATCTCATGAAACTTATTCACTACCATAAGTACAGTATTGGGGAAACAGCCCCAATGATTTGATTATCTCTACCAGGCCCCCCCTTGATACTTGGGGATTTTTACAATTCAAAATGAGATTAGGGTGGGGACACAGCCAAACTATATCATAGATTTAAACTCCAACTGGCTTTTTTCTTCCACATTTGCCTACCAGCCCACCCTACATTATGCTCCGCTGAGTAACTGGAGTGATCCTTTCACAACATGAATCAAACCAAGATACTGTTCAACTCAAAACCCTGCAATTGTTCTGCATTCACTCACATCAAACAAAAGTCCTTATAACGGCCTACAAGGGACTACATGGTCACATTCACCTGCCTCTCCCCTCATTGCCATCTTCACCTCCTCTTCTTTTCTTTGTAGCCACAGTGACCTTTTGGTTGTTTATCAAACACAGAAAGTATACTCCAATCTCAATGCCTTTGCATTAGCTGTATCCTCTGCCTGGAATGCTTTTATGCATATATCTTTATGACTTATGCCCTTATCTCCTTCACGTCTTTTTAAATATCATTTTATCGGTAAGGGTGAGTTAAAATTGCATCCTCATCTCCTTGCCATTTCCAATTTCTCCTACTTTGGTTTACTTTTTTTCAAACAAGTTATCACATTCTAGCACTTCATAAATTAATCTATCTACCTATCTATATATCTACCTGTGATGGTTAATTGTATGTGTTAAGTTGACTGGGCCATGATGTACCCAGATATTTGATCAGACATTATGTTGGGTGGTTCTATGAAGATGTTTTGGGATAATAATAACATTTTTGGAAAGTACATTGCCCTCCTGAAAGTGAGTAGGACTCATCCAATCATTTGAATACCTGAATAGAACAAAAACAATAACCTTCCCCCAAAGAAGAGGAAATTTTTTTCTGTCTGACTACCTTTGGCTATGGGACATTATTTGTTTGTTTGTTTGTTTGTTTTCCTGCCTTTGGACTTGAACTTAAGCATCAACTTTTCCTGTGTCTTGAGCCTGCTGACCTTTGGGCTGTAACCACACCAGCGTTTCCTTTGAATGTCCAGCTTTTCAACTGCAAATCATGGGACTCAGCCTCCATTATCACATGAGACAATTCCTTACAGTAAATCTCTTTCTATGTATTTATACGCTCTATTGGTTCTATTTCTTTGGCGAACTCTAATAAACTATTTATCTATCATCTATTTAGTTTTTTAAAAATTTATGTATTTTTATTATATGTCTTCCTTCACTAGAATATAGGAATTATGAGGGCAAAGATTTTTATCTGTCTTATTCACTGTTTTACTGCAATACCTAGATTAATGTTGAGGACATAGCTTTGAAAAAATTATTGAATCATTTTTGGTTATTTATATAATTCATGCATATTTCCTTTAAATCTTACTCTAATTTGTCTTTTGTTTGCTCCTGCAAATGATTCAGTTTTACATCAAATTTTCTAGTATATTACTCTTAGCACATAACATATACAAGTGGTGTAGAAACACATTTAATGACATTGAAACCTAATAGCAGCAACAAGGGGTACAGCAAAGATTTGAAGCCAGACATTCTGGCTCAGAAGTTCATGGTTTTACCACTAGGCTATACATGATAAGATAGAATGTATTGTAGCTCTGATATTTTTTGGCAGTGTCTCCACCAAAAATCTCATCTTGAATTGTAAACCCCATAATCCCCATGTGTCAAGGGCAGAAAGAGGTGGAGGTAATCAGATAATGGGGGTAGTTCCCCTCTGCTGTTTTCATGATAGTGCATAAGTTCTCCTGAGATCTGATGGTTTTATCAGTGTCTGGCATTACCCCTACCTGCAGTCACTCCATCCTGCCACCCTGTGAAGAAGGCACCTGCTTCTCCATCATGATTGTAAGTTTCCTGAGGCCTCCCCAGCAATGAGAAACTGTGAGCCAATTAAATCTCTTTCTTCATAAATTACCCAGTCTTGGGTATTTCTTCATAGCAGGATGAGAATGGACTAATACAAGCTCCTCTGTGAGGTGAAATTCCATTAGCAGGCAGAGCACAGTTCCAACCCTTCTTTTTTTGTCTATCATTGCCCAAAGGTTATAGAAATTTTATTTTCTTTTAATTTTTATACTTATATTCCCAATAGATTAAAAATTGAATTACACATGTGTCTGAAGAAGTTTGCACTTTGCCCATGGTGGCATGCAAACCTGCCTTGACATGATAGGAAACTGCTCTTCCATCAGGACAATTATTCTCATCAGGCTTTCAAATTTTCAGCCACACAGTTTTTTGGTCTGATTTCTAAAATGTATGTCTCTCCTATTATTTATCCTATATTTATCAAATATTTATTGACTCCTTGTTATAAGCCAGGGGTCATTCTGGTTATAGAAATGTAAAATATTTTCAAAATATAAGTAACCATTTCTCAGGCACTCACCAAAAATACAACCTGTCTGCTAAGTTGTCTGCCATCCTACTTCTAAAAATGCATGTGTATAGTAAGTGAACTTTAGATAGCTAGTTTAAAGCATGTACTATTCATCTACTCTTCTAAATTATGTAAGTTCAAGTTGCATTCCCATTTAAAGGTTGACTACAAGAGGTACACATACTTGGTTAACATTATACCATTTCCATGACAATTACGTTCACTAAATGTGCTTGGCTCATCAATGACTACTTAAGGAGAAAGCTATATAAATCTATTTCTGTTTTATATGTAATATTTGTAAGGCTATGTCTATTAGCCTTCACTCGTAGTCTTTCAAATACAAGGACTTTATGTTAGAAAAAGAGCATGAGTTTTAGAGTTAAGTATATGTGGTCTCAAATCTTGTTTCTCTCATTTACTATAAATCCATAATACTATTCTTAGAAGCAATTTGTCAATCTGTAACAAAAACCTTAAAAATAATCTCTTCATTTAGTAATTCATCTGTGAATTTTTTAGAAGGAAAATAATATCAAAGATGTACACAAGCTCCAGAATAAGAATGTTTGGAAGAACATTATATATAAACGAACAATTGGAAACAATATAAATATTTAGCAATAATGGAATAGTTAAGGAAAGTGTAATGCAACCATCATATAGAATAATATGGAGCCAGAAAAATCTTACTGAACATTTAATAACACAATGTAAAAGTAGAAAAGAAGAACATAAAATTCCTATTATTCTGATTTTTAAAAAAAGGGAAAAAATCTGTCCTTACATTTCAGGAACTATCTCATTAAAAAAGAAGTATATAATGGTTTTATATACATGATTTCATTCGGATTTGAAACAGTGATGTTAGAGGTAAAGTATTTGTACTCTAAAGCAAGAGAATTAACATTTTCAGATGTTAAACAACTTTTCCAGTACAAGATGGCTAGCACAAAATTTGATATATTGAACTTAGGTTTTTAGATGTCAATGTTAAGACTATAGTTTACCACCGAAAAACTATACCCATTTCAAGTTGTATAAGCTTTGAAAACAAATCTATCCTCAGTAAAATGAGTGTACATCTATATTACACTTACTGTCTTATGCATGTTTATTTTATATTCTCATGGAAGTGAAAAAATATCTCTTTCTTTAAATTCAAAGTTTTGGATTTTTACATTTCCCACATTTTTTTATTTTTCTATTTGTAGATTATGTTTTGTTTGTGTTCAAAGTCTATTTACAACATTTCATAGGTACTTGGTTAAACTAATGCTCTTTCATAATCATACTTAAGTCTCTAAATTACATTACCATTTTACAAATATAGGAGAACTTTCCCTAACTCTAGAGAATGGACTTTCAAGATCAATCAACCCTAATTGATTAGCTACAGCTTTGTTGTGGTAGGCAAAATAATCGGTTTATTTATCCTTTGAAATATTCTAAAAACAGAGCTTACTTTATATATGCATAAAAAAGTAAGAAAAATTTATAGCTCTGAGTGGCTTAAAATAAAAGAAAAACAAATCAAAATATACAAGGAAAAAAGTCACATATAAAGTATTGGGGTTGAATTAAACATTGAAATTGGAGTCCTGAGTAGAATGAAATTTAAATTAAATCAGTTTCAGCTTAATACAATTTGTGCTTTCCTAAAATTGTTTCCTGTCAAGTCTTGGAACTTCATAATATTTTGTTAGGCGTATTGGTTTACATGTTTTATTATCTGCCAGACTGCAGATTTCTTAAGGCCAAGACCCAGTCTTACTAAGTGTTGTATCCTTAGCATTTTTACAGATTTAACATTGAGAGGGTTTGAGTATTAATAAGGAATGAATTGATATACACTTGAACTAGTTGAATGTAGTAACTGATGATAGGAAGGTTGATATAAAATGGTGCGATTATTTTACATTTACAACAATTTTTCTTTGGCTTTTTTTTCCCGTTTAGATACACAAAGTAAAGCTAATTTCAAATATTTCAAAAATAATTTCTTATAAAAAATTTTTAAAAATTACTAAAAACAGCATGTCACTTCTATAGTTTTAGAAAGGATTACTTTTGATAATTCTCACTTGATATTTGCCCTTGATGTTAATGTAGGATATGATTTATATAATTGTAAAATTTTGCTATTTGACCATTTTAAGATCTCAGACTATCTGATGCTAAAGAGAGGCTAAAATAGAGACAATATGCACTAATTAAGTATATATGGGCCTCAAAACCATAATTCTATAATTTTATAAGACCTAAGTTTGTGACACAGTTTGATCAAAATTGTGTTTTTGTGTTGTTTTGCATAAAATTTCTTTAAAAATGTGTTGCAGTCCACAGAAAACGATTGGGATAGAGCAGCTAGCCACAAATTATTTACAACATTTATTCAACAAATGTTTACCTCTTTATGCAAAGAACTGTGCTAGCACACATAAAAGGTAGTCCTGGAATTCCATTAGATAATTTTGATGCCTTATTTTAGGACAGAAGAGTATTGGCATGCAATATTAATCTGAGAATATTGCATAATTTAGAAATTAATTTGTTGATGATGGTAGCAATTAGATCATTTTTAACTTAAGTAGAACAGAAGGAAAAATATCATTAGTTGATATTACTGTCAGTAGGGCTAAATAGTATCTGGGAATGCAACCAAATGACTTCACAGAAAAGACAAAAATGTAGGCGGGGGAGTAAAAAATAGAGGAAAGCACAACAAAAGAGAGAAAATCATGAAAAGAGAAAGAAAGAAAGAAGCTGAATATGTGAGGAAATGGGTTTCTAAGGTCACCACGGTGATTTTGGAAGCTCTTAAGTGTATCAAGTCGGTAATTAATATCCCCTTCTGCCTTCATCATCACCACCACCACTATGAGTGACTAAGCTCTTAAAATCTCTGATTAGAAATCAGAGTTAAGTATTAACGCAAAGGTTACACGTTTTACTTTTGTATGAGAAATTTTGGAGACAGGCAAATATCAACCGTCCTGAAGTTATGGAAGACACCTCTAAGTAATCATGATACACTTTCCACTGAGCCAGTATGTGACTTCTGTATCCACTCCACAAATCCTTAGATAATCACAACCAACAGACAATAAATGACCTTTGAGAGTAAATTGATTTTCCATCCAAGCTGTTAACAAATTCAAATAAATTATTTACCTTTAATTCACTGTTTATTTATCAAACTTGTACTTTGTGCCAGCCATTGCCCTATTCTGAAAAAGCTTATACTGTAGTGAATGAAAGAGACAATAAAAAAAGTAAATACATAAATAAATAAGGTTCAGGCTATATAAATGCCATGGAAGAAAATAATCAGAGGTAAGAATATAAGAAGTTCTGCAAGTGGGAGAAAATGCTGTTTATAGCTGTTGGAAGATACACTGATGAGTGCCAAATTAAAGAAACGGTCAGAGGAAATACATTAGATAGAGGATTTGGTAAGGAAAAATATCTGGAGAGGACAACATATTTGGCTCATGTTAAAGGAATAGCAAGAAGCCTACTGAGGATAAGGGCCTGTGAAGTTAGAGAGGCCAGACCTTAAAGGTTTTGCAGTAATTTGGCTTTCCACTGGTTAAGATAGGAAGTGATTGGAAGGCTTTGATCAGTGAGTGGAATTATATAATCTGTCTTTACAAGACTCATTATGGCTACTCAGTTGAGAAGAAGGAAAGGATGTGAAGAACAGTTGGAGGCTACTGTAAAAATCCAGTCAAGGATAGTAGATTCTATAGTTCCTTCAGGTAGGTTCAAACAGTAAACGGTGAGAAGTAGATACATTTTGAAGATAGAGATAACAATATTTGGTGATTGATTAGATGTGCAATATTAGTAAAAGAGGAGTCTAGGATAATTTCATGATTTAGGTCTACCTAGAAGAGTAAAGTTGTGTCAGACTAAAATTTTTAAAAACTAGAGAAAGGGCACATTCAGAAATGCATATTTGTCAGAATAGTCTAAGTTATGTTGTGATAACAAGCAACTTCAAAATCTCAGGTGCTAAAAACAATAAACATTCATTTCAGGCTTTGACACATGTCCGAAGAAAATCAACAAGCAAAAGTTCTGCTTGTCATAGGTACTCGCAGGCCCAGGCTGAGGAAGGTCCACACTGATGAGCGTTTGAATAATCACTGTGGCACAGGTCGGGAAACATACTGGTTCATGCACTAAATCTTAAAGCTTCTTTCCAGAAACAAAACTCATAACTTATACTTCATTTGCCAAAGCAAATGTACTTTCTACATTTATACTCAAAAGGGGTCTACAGGTGTTATTTTACCATGTGTCAGAAAGCTGGAGATATTTGTTTAATGGCTTAGGATTCATCAGAATACACTTATATTTACACATGCCAAGTTTGTAATTCTTATTAGACATCAAAGAAATGATGCCAAATACAGAGTTGTCTATTTGGGTATAGAATTCAGGAGAGTCACAGCTGTGTGCGGTGACTTATGCCTGTAATCCCAGCACTTTGGGAAGCTGAGGCTGGTGGATGACTTGAGGTCAGGAGTTTGAAACCAGCCTCACCAACAGGGCGAAACCCTATTTCTACTAAAAATACAAAAAAATCATCCGGGGGTGGCGGCGCACGCCTGTAATCCCAGCTACTCCAGCAACTGAGGCACAAAAGTCACTTGAACCTGGGAGACGGAGTTTGTACTCTAGCCTGGGTGACAGAATGAGACTCTGTCTCAAATAAATGAATAAATAAATAAATAAATAATTCAGAAGAGTCATCTGGGTTAGAATTTAAAGTTTATAGACATCATCTTGAGAATGAAATGTAGATAGAAAAAAAAATACAAACCTCAAGCAACAGGTCACACAAATTTGAGTAGTCAGTAAAGTGAGAGAGAAGCAAAGAAAACTGAGAAAGTAATCTCACTGAGCAAGATAGGAGGAAAACCAAAAGGAAATGGTATCCCAGAATACAAGGGAAGGAATGATTAAGAAAGAATTGAATGATCATTTACGCCTAATGCTGCTAATTATGAAATTAAACTTGACGACTGGACTAAGTAGCATAGAGATTATTGATAACTTTAAAAAAAATTTTTCTGTAAAGTGGTAAGAAAATTTGCCTGATTACATTGGTTAATTGGAGATTTGGAGGACAGGAAGTGATGATAGTGATTTGAAGTTTTGATATAACGGAGGAAATCCCTGGAGAAAGAATGAGTTCAAATGATGACTTTTCTTCCCCTTTCTTCTGTGTTAAGATGAGTGATATTAAATATGTTTTCATGCTCATGAAAATAATAGATTGTGAAGGAAAAATAATAATGCAAGTGAGTATTTCAACTTTACCTTAAAGTAGAAATTGTGACTGAACTCCTTTTGAAATATTAGTGCCTTCAGCTTTATCACCCTTTCTCTCTCTGTTTCACTTTTGTGTCTTGTAAAAAGAAGGGAAAAGATATCACGAGGTCAAGAGGAATCTAAGATCTATTGGGTATTCTTGCAATGTCAGATTGAAGACCCTCAGAAAATTCCTTAAAATCAAATAGCTGTTATAAAACAGATTTGAACAAATGAAAGAACTATGTATGCCAATGCAATGGCAAATGATAGATATTTGTCACGTTTCAGGACTGTAAGTAATTGGAATAACTATAAAATAGAATTAAGGTGACTTAAAGCATTATAATAAAATCCTGGAACTATGCTAAACTGTTATTTCCAGGTAGTTGGAATTTATGGAAAGAGATGCCATTGTGCTAGTGTTTCATATATTGGCTCTGCCAGATTCTGTTTCTGCCCAGCTCTTCTATGTGGGGCAGACTCATGCGGATGCATCACCTGGACACTCCTGTAAGTTCAGACCAAAAGGAGACACCAACAAGATATTGTGGGTAACAGAATATAGAGATCCCCACTCACTCACTGCTTCAAGGATCTTGTGAAGTCCATCAAATCTCAATAGTTCTAACTCCACAGTTCAAGTCCTCACCCAGTACCAGGTGTATAGTAAAATCCTCACCCAGCCCCATTAAGCTGTACTGCTATTGACACCAGACACCTTGGCATCTCATTTTGGTTCTGTCAGACTTACTCATACTTCTTCAGTAGTTTTTTCACTGAAGTCTTTTCAGTTGAATTATCTGGGTGTGATTCCATGCAATTCAAGGAATACATCTTGAAATATTTTATGGGACACATCTTATATTTTATATATGTCATTCTCTGTCACTGTCATTACTTATTGCAAGGCTCATATTGCTCCTATTGGCCAGTGCGAGCCAATTCAAGTTGGCTCCTGTATCCTTTTGACATGTTTTCACCAGGTTTTGAGTCCTGCTTTTTCTTTGGTACAATAATGTATTTTGGGTTCAACATGTTTTTTTCTCTCATCTAATCCTAGAACTGGCCATTTGTCCAGGAAGCCTAGTCCCTTACAATGGGAGATAATATCTTAAAGTAAATTAGTGTGCTAAACATGCTCATTCTTTTGGAGGTGTGATTTACACCTTGGCCCTTTCACAGCATTCAGCCCTTAGAAAATATATATTGATTGAATCATAAAATAATGCTAACATTTCTAAATTTAATCCAACACCGAAGGGTTGTTTTTGTCCTTCTCCTTTCACATTTATATCTTCTTTAAAAGAACAAATTTTAATAAAATTGATCCTATGTCTACTGAGTTTACCTGGAGAGCAAGCATAAGTCATTCACCTCCTATTTTGAAACTACTTGAATTGAGATGCTTTCTCATATCCCAGGTAGCTTCTCCTTCTTTTAGGTCTATGTCTATTTTGTCTATTAGTCTATTTATAATAGACTATCTAACCAAATATATCATTTATCAGGGAAGATACCTAGCCAGTTTTTATGAAAAGCAATTTGAAAGCTACTGTAACAACTGTGATGGCAGCAGCAGACTGCCTGGAGCACCCACTGCCATGATGCCAGCCACTGCAGGGAGAGCACAGGGAGAAGGTGGGTAGCCCACCTCTGTAGCCCACCACCCTGAGGGCTGCCAGGATGGGGCTGGCCTGTGACACCTGCTGGTGGGGGAGTAGTGCAGTTAAACAGAGGGGGGTCCTGAGGCAAAGCTGGACCTGGGGCAGTGCCGCACTTGCACACAAAGCACAGGGGCCAAGCCCAAAGCAAGGAGCTGGGCTGTGCTTTGAGCCTTGGGACAGGAAATAGGACTGGTGCCCACCTCAGGGACCTGGCCACTGCACCCACCCCACCAAGGGTGCAAAGTTCCTGTGCCTTGGGAGGAGGTTCTGTGCAGGGCTGCCTGGGGTCTGCCCCACATTGGGATGACTGCTGAGCCTGACACTCCCAACAGCCAGGCTCTAGGCCGCAATCCAGTCTGCCCTGTGCCACCCTTGAGTGCTGGGACAACATTGACATGCCAGGCCCTTGCTGCCTCACCTCCCTCTGGACTTTGGGCTCCAACAAGTGTGGTAGGAGGGAGCCGATGGGGTGCTGAGGGCAGCTTGGTACTTGCCTGTGGGTGCCCCCTGGTGCGAGCAGCCTGGACCCATGGATGGAGGCAGACAGGGTTCTGGTTGGAAGGGGGCAGGTCCCTGCTGAGGCTCCACCTTCAGACCAGGGAGGGCTTGAAGGCTGGGGACCAGGCCGCCAGTCCCTAACTAGAGTGGGAACCTGTAGTCATTTTTCCGGGCCCATCCATGGCCATCCATGACAATCATCATGCACCTCCTCCACTCCGAGGCTCATGGGCTCAGCCACAGCAGAGTAGACCTTGGGATGACCACCTGCAGAGAAGGGCTACACACTCCAGGGCCTCGTCTTTGCTGAGAGCTGGGAAGATGATGAGATAACCTGCCTGCAGAGGGTGCAACCTGCTCCAGGGCCTTCTTTCTGCTGAGATCTGCAGAGACATTGGGATGACTAGCTGCAGAGAGGAGCAACTCACTACAGGGCCTCCTCTCTGCTGAGAGCTGAGGAGATGATGGGAGGACCTGCTTGCAGAGAGGAGCAACCCACTTCAAGGCCTCCTCTCTGCTGAGAGGTTCAGAGGTGATGGGACGACTGCCTGCAGAAAGGAGCTTCCCACTCCAGGGTCTCCTCTCTGCTAGGAACTGAACACTTGTCAGGACACCCTGGCTGCAGAAAGGAGCTACCTACTGCCGGTCTCCTTGGAGCTATTCTATTGCTCAATAAAGCTCCTCTTTGTCTTGCTCACCCTCACTTGTCTGCATACCTTATTCTTCCTGGGCAGAGGACAATAACTTTGGACCCACTGAATGAGGCTAAAAGAGCGGTAACACGAACAGGGCTGAGACATGCCCCTTGCTTGCCACATTTCGGGAAAAGATAAGGAAAGAAAAGCTATGGTCCATTGGGGATCCCAGACCTGGGAGCTCCCTGATCCAGAGCTGTCACTCCCTTTTTGGGGTCCCGTGGTTCCTGGCATCTCCAAGTTTCCAGACACCACCATGTTCCCTGGTGCTAGCTGTGGAAGCTGTTTGTGGTGTGTCTGGTCCAGCAGCAGCTTCAGAGAGAGCAAGTGCCCATGCTGGCACCTGGAACTGCCTGCCTTGCTGTAGTAGCCAGCATGTCTGACTGCACAGTGGCCAGAGCCTACACCTGCTCACACATCCCTTACCAGTCCATGCAGTCTACATTGGCAGAGGTGGTATCCAGGCTGGTAGTGTGAGCAGAGTGCAGTCTGCCAGGCTGAGTGGGAAGAATGAGCCCAGTGGGCCCAAGAAAAACTCGGAAAAAGAAGCCACCAGCCACAGAGGTTTCTGGCCAGAAAATTGACACCCCAAAGATTCTGTAACCATTGGGCTCATATGTTTAGGTCATGGTGGAGCAGTAATGGTGAGAAGCTAATACATTTTGGAGATAGAAACAACAAGATTAGTTATAGATTTCATGTTGAATATTCAGTGATGAAAGAGAGAAAGAGAAGGGTTAAGGATAATTTTAATACTTTTCACATAAGAAACTACAAGAATGAATTTGTATCGCATAAAAACTAAGAAGACTGGAGTTATGAATATATTTAGGTCAGTCAGGACAGTTTCAGTTGAGGCTGTGGTAACAAACAACTCTGGAACTCCAAGGGCTAAATGTAACAAAAGTTTATTTCTTAAGATAGCTGCCCATTTACTCTAGAGTACTTGCAAGACAGACTTTTCTTAAAATTCTCTTTAATGAGCAAAAACTTCTGTGGGTCTTTTTTTATCTCAAGGTTTAAAGTAACACAGTCAATCCAGTACTTAATGTTACCCACTTCCTCTGGGGAATCAGAGTAAACTCACTCACTGCTTCTATTTCTTCAAATGAACATAATTAAGAGTTAGTGAGCTCAGACTACACTGCTTTGTGTCTCTTTAGTTTGTTTTACAAATTTATGTATTTTTCTTACTTATGAGCCTTTCAGCTTTTACTTCTCAACTTATTCTCCTTTATAATCTAATTTTGATCCTTACAGAATAGAAAGTATACAATAACATGTTTATTAAGATATAGACAAAATATAAGTCTTTAAACACTGAATGAATCCTTCTATGAAGTAAATCTATCACTTGTGTGACAGCTATTTGACTTACTTTAATGAATGCTTTTTTATTTTAAATAATTAAATTTCCAGGCAGGTAACAAAAATGTGGATATCATTAGTTGTAGGAAGAGCATGAGGCAAATGAATATTCAGCATAACACAAGCAGAATAGAGATGCATCTGTTTTCTATTATGCATAACAATTTACCACAAGTTTAGCAACATAAAATAACCCCTATTTATTTATTTATTTATTTATTTATTTATTTATTTATTTATAGAGATGGGGGTCTTGCCATGTTGTCCCAGCTGGACATGAACTTCTGGGCTCACACAGTCCTCCTGTCTTGGCCTCCCAAAGTTCTGTGATTACAGGTGTGAACCATCACACCTGAACTACCAACACCCACTTATTAGCTCAAAGTTTTGTAGATCAGAAATCTAACATGATATGACTAGGTTCTCTGCTCATGGTATCACCACACTGAAATACAGATGTCAGGGTAGTTGAGTTCTTGTCTAAAGGCTCTGGGGAAAATTCTAAATTCAAATTCATTTTTTCTGGCAGGGTTAAGTTACTTGAATTAAATTCAGTGTGTGATTTCTATATCCTTGCTGGTTGTCATTCAGGGGCTACTCTCAGCTAGAGGCTGCTTGCATTCCCTGCCATGTGACACCTTCAATCTTCAAGCCAGTGATGGCACATCAAATCTTTCTTTTGCTTTGAGTCCCTGAATTCCTCCATCTCTGACTTCTAGACCCAGATTTAAAAGGCTCATGTGATCAGGTCAGTCCCATCCAGATAATCTTCCTATCTTAAGGTCAATCAATTTGGGGCATTATTGTATTTTCAAACCCCTTTTGCCACAGAAGTTATCTGTCTTAGTGCAGGCTGCTATAGGAACGTGCCATAAACTGGATGACTTATGAACAACAGAAATGTAGAATTCTGGAGCCTGGGAAAGCCAAGATCAAGGCACCAGCAAATCAGATATCTGACAAAGTCCTGCTTCCTGGTTCATCAGTGGTCCTCATGACTTAGGCACCTCTCAAAAGACCTACCTCTTAATACCATTACATTGGTGGTAAGGAGTGCAGCATATGAATTTTGGATTATACAAAAAATACACTCTATAACAGTAACATAATCACAGGAATGACGTTTTGTAATATTCATAAGTTCCATTCTCATAAGAGGAAGAGATTATATAAAGATGAGTGTCACTTGGGGTCACCTTGGAATTCTACCTCCCACAGGACTGTTCCTAAAACTATTAAATTATCCTTTTATTTTACATAAAATAAATATAGAATGTATATGAAATAATTGTTTAGATTTGGGAAAATTACTTTTAGGTAAGAAATTCTTGCCCCTGGTCCTAATTTTTTTTAAATATGAGATATTAAGAAGGAAAATGCATAAAATAGGACTGTTCTGAAACAAAAAGGGTAACCAAAGAGACTGATATCTTTATGAGATAAGCAATTCAAATCAAAATCAGATGTCCATGCACTGACTGTCAAAGTGAATAAAAAAATGGGGTCCATTAGCTTATTAATTAAAGACCATTGTGTCTCAAAAGGTTAAAATTGAACTGTGTTCTAATAAGAGCTTTAAGTGTCTTTTAACATGACAAGATATGAAGACAAAGCTTTCTTCTGAAAGAAAATGTCTGGAATTCTGATTAGATCAAGAGGGGCCTGTGAATATAGTTTCTGGTTAAATTGAATGCTCCCACCTGGATTTCTCTCTCTGTGCCCTGTTGGTGCTTGACAATGATAGGGTTAGCTTAGGACAGAACAAAAGGAAATTAAAGACATCAGTGTAACAGATTTGTGGTTTCAAGAGGGCAATCTAAGCCTTTATAAATCATCAGTGTATGATAGAGCTGCTGTTCTGGGAAATGACTTAGGTCAAAATTGCATAGTGTAGCTCCTATAAATACTCTCAGATTATTTATTTCTCTGTTGCTTGTGTACTCATTTCTTACCTTCAAAAGGGGAAATAGCATACACTAACACTGGATGCTTTCCTAAGTGGCCGGAAGCTTCAGCTCTGGCCACAGTAACCACAAGAAGTAAGCATCACCACTAACCACTCAATCCGCTTATTAACTAAAAACAAACACAAGTTGGAAAGTTTACTTTGCCCTAAGTAGGGGAAAAATAAATCAATAACAACTCAGATTCTATTTGTGAACTAAAATGCTCAAGCTGCTGAGTAACATGTGTCACAAACAATGTGACAGTGTTAAAAAAAAAAAAACACTGTGCAAAGGCTTGCAAAAAGAACAAGAATTGTTTTTAATGAATTTTGGCATTCTTGAGATGACAATAAATGTCAGCAAGAACTTGAAACAAAGAATAGAAAAGAGAGGAGGAAAACATTTGCTGAGCATCTACCAATTACAGCCATAAACGTTGTGAGATATGTTAGATGCTTTCATTTGCTCCCTCACATGACAGAAACAAAACATGTTTAATGCTTACTGGTATAGACTGTGGGTCAGGATTTGGCTTAAGTTTTTACTTTTCATGTAGCAATTTGCATAAATACAATACCGCAATATGTATTTGTCTCTATACTTTGTCTGGAAAATATAAATAAGAATATCTACCCTACTTTATATTATTACAATGATAATAAATGAGACAGTGAAGTTAAAGCACTTAGAACAGCACTCCTTTTGTAAGTATAAAATTTATTATCATGATGATCATGATTGTTGTTGTTATCTCATTTTATCTTCAAAATACATGGTATCTGGCTTCATGTTCAAGATGTAGAAAGCTAGAAGTAGTTTTGCTCTTATAGTTAATATCATGACTTTTACTGTATTCAAAACAGAGCTGGAGTGGAAGGACAACTTCCCCAAAATACGTTGAAAGAAGGAAGAGAGATAAAGCATTCATTTATTTTAGTAGACATGACCAGATACCAATAAAAAGAGTTGAAAAAGAAGTGCTGACAATTTTAAAATGCCAAATTCAGAAGACAGTGTGAAAATTCGGAGCTATAAAAACTGGAGGAATCTATACATTTCAAGGTCTTTCTCTACCAACTCCACTAGGCATTCATAAAATAATTGAAGAAAGCCCTGATAAATTCCTATTGTGGTACAGGCTTGAGGAAGGAAAACAGCAGATATCATGTGGAAGAAGCAAGAAACTTCCTCTAGATCCAATTTCTTTTGTTCATGAAAAAAAAAGTCATGATCTATGAGATTGTGGGGAGAAGCAGGCAACCATCACTCCTGCTCATTGGTAAAAGCATATTGTAAACAATCATTAGAACTAGACTTGGACATGGCACCTATCTTAGAACTGAGAGGAAATTTAAAATAACTATTACAAAATCTATCAGATTAACAACATATTTATCAGCAGAAACCCTACAAGCTAGAAGGGTTTGGGGCCCTATCTTCAGCCTCCTTAAGCAAAACAATTATCAGTCCAGAATTTTGTATCCAGTGAAACTAAGCCTCATAAATGAAGGAAAGATACAGTCTTTTTCAGAAACACAAATGCTGAGAGAATTTTCCACTACCAAGCCAGCACTACAAGACTACTAAAAGGAGCTCTAAATCTTAAAACAAATATTCAAAATACACCAAAATATAGAACCTCTGTAAAGCATAAATATCACAGGGCTTATAAAACAAAATCACAATTACAATAAAAACACACAAGGTATTCAGGCAACAAATAGCACAATACATAAAACACTATCTCATGTCTCAATGCTGTGAATGTAAATGACATAAATGCTCCACTTAAAATATATAGAATGGCAGAATAGATAAGAAATCACCAACCAAGTATCAGCTGTCTTCAAGAGACTCACCTAACACATAAGGACTCAAATAAAGTAAAATGATGTAAAAAGATATTCATGCAGATAGACACCAAAAGCAAGCAGGAATAGCTATTCTTGTGTCAGACAAAACAAACTTTAATACAACAGCAGTCAAAAAAGACAAAGAGGGATATTATACAATGATAAAAGGACTTCTCCAACAGAAAAACATAACAATTGTAAATATATATGCACCTAACACTAGAGCTCCCAAATTTATAAAATAATTACTACTAGACCTAAGAAATGAGATAGACAGCAATACAATAAAAGTGGGGGACTTCAATATTCCACTGACAGCACTAGGTAGGTCATCAAGATAGAAAGTCAATAAAAAAATTATTGATATAAACTATCCCCTAGAAAAAAAGATTTAACAGATATTTACAGAACATTCTGTCTAACAACTGCAGAATATACATTCTATTAATCAGCACATAGAACATTCTCCAAGATAAACTATACGATAGGCCACAAAACAAGTCTCAGTAAATTTGAGAAAATCAAAATTATAGCAAGTACTCTCTCAGACCACAGTAGAATAAAATTGGAAATCATCTCCAAAATAAACCCCCTCAAAACCATGCAAATACATGAAAATTAAATGACCTGTTCCGGAATAATCATTGGGTTAATAATGAAATCAAGGTAGAAATTTAAAAATTATTTGAACTGAATGATAATAGTGACACAACCTATCAAAACTTCTGAAATGGGAAATATTCCAACAAACACCAAAGAAATACAAAAGATCACTCAAGGCTACTATAAACACCTTTGTGCACAAAAACTAGAAGACCTAGAGAAGATGGATAAATTTCTGGAAATATAGAACCCTCATAGATTAAACCAGGAAGAAATAGAAACTCTGAATAAGCCAATAACAAGCAGTGAGATTGAAATGGTAATAAAACAAAATTGCCAACAAAACAATGTCCAGGACCAGACAGATTCGCAGCTGAATTCTACTAGACATTCAAAGAGGAATTGGTACCAATTCTATTGACACTATTCCACACTATAGAGAAAGAGAAAATCCTCCCTAAATCATTCTATGAAGCCAGTATCACATTAATACCAAAACCAGGAAAGGACGTAACAACAACTAATGAATATAGATGCAAAAACCCTTAAGAAAATGCCAGCTAACCAAATCCAAAAGCATATCAAAAATATAATCCACCATGATTAAATGGGTTTCATACAAGGGATGCAGAGATGGTTTAACATATGCAAGACAATAAATGTAATACACCACATAACCAGAATTAAAAACAAAAATCACATGATCATCTCAATAGATGCAGAGAAAGCATTTGACAAAATCCAGCATTTCTTTATGATTAAAACACTCAGCAAAATCAACATAGAAGATATACCTAAATGTAATAAAAGCCATCTATTACAAACCCACAGCCAACATAATACTGAATGGGGAAAAATTGAAATCATTCCCCCTGAGAACTGAAACAAGAAAAGGTTGCCCACTCACACCATTTCTATTCAACATAGTACTGAAAGTCCTAGCAGAGCAATCAGAAAAAAGAAAAAAATAAAGGGCATCCAAGTTGGTAAAGAGGAAATCAAACTGTTGCTGTTTCCTGACAATATGACTGGGTACATAGAAAACCCTAAAGACTGCTCCGAAAAGCTCCTAGAACTGATAAATGAATTCAACAAAGTTTTAGGATATAATATTAATGTGCATAAATCAGTAGTGCTGCTATACACCAACAGCGACCAAGCTGAGAATCAGATCAAGAACGCAACCCCTTTTACAATAGCTGCAAAAATAAAATAAAATAAATAAAATACTTAGGAATATACCTAACCAGGGAGGTGAAAGACCTCTACAGACAAAACTACAAAGCACTGCTGAAAGACATCATAGATGACACAAACAAATGGAGACTCCTCCCATGCTCATGGATGGGTAGAATCAATACTGTGAAAATGACCATACTGCCAAAAACAATCTATTAATTCAATGCAATTCCCATCAAAATATGTTGTTCTTCACAGAACTAGAAAAAGCCATCTTAAAACTCACATGGAACCCAAAAAGAGCCCATATAGCCAAAGCAAGACAAAGCAAAAATAACAAATCTGGAGGCATCTCATTACCTGACTTCAAACTACACCAAAAAGCTATAGTCACCAAAAGAGCACAGTACTGGTATTAAAATGGCACATAGGCCATTGGAACAGAATAGAGAACCAGAAATAAAGCCAAATTCTCACACCCAAACTCAACAAAACAAGCAGAAACACAAAATGGGTTCAAGAAACCTTATTCAACAAATGTTGCCGGGATAATTGGCAAGATGCATGTAGAAGAATAAAACTGGATCATTATCTCTCACCTTATAAAAAAATCAACTCAAGATGGATCAAGGACTTAAATCTAAGACCTGAAACCATAAAAATTATAATAGATACCATCGGAAAAACCCTTCTGGACATTGGCTTAGGCAAATATTTCATGACCAAGAACCCAAAAGCAAATGCAACAAAAACAAAGACAAGTATTTGAGAATTAATTTAACTAAAAAGCACAGCAAAAGAAATAATCAGCAGAGTAAACAGAGTGGGAGGAAAATTTCACAATCTATATATCTGACAAAGGACTAACATCCAGAATCTACAAGGAACGCAAACAAATTATCAAGGAGAAACAATCCCATCAAAAAGTGGGCTAACAACATGAACAGACAATTCTCAAAAGAAGATATACAAATGGCCAACAAACATATGAAAAAATGTTCAACATCACTAATGATCACAGAAATGCAAATCAAAACCGCAATGTGATACCATCTTACGCCTGCAAAAATGGCCATAATCAAAAAATCAAAGAATAATAGATGTTGGCATAGATGCAGTGAAAAGGGAACACTTCTACACTGCTGGTAGGAATGTAAACTAGTACAAACACTATGAAAAACACTGTGGGGATTCCTTAAAGAACTAAAAGTAGAACTACTATTTGACCTAGCAATCCCACTGCTGCCTATCTACCCAGAGGGAAAAAATAAGCCATTATATGAAAATGATACTTGCACATGCATGTTTATAGCAGCACAATTTGTAATTGCAAAAATATGAAACCAGCCCAAATGCCCATCAATCAATGAGTGGACAAATAAATTGTGATACACATATATGTGTGTGTGTGTGTGTATATATATATACACATATATGTGATATACATATATGTGTGTGTGTATATACACACACATATATCACAGTATTCCATGTTGTGTGTGTGTATTTACATGTATGTGTGTGTGTGTGTATATATATATTTAGAATACTATTATATTAAATGTCCATTAATCAATGAGCAGATAAAGAAATTGTGATATATACATATATCACAGTATTCCATGGTGTGTTTTATATATACACACCATGGAACACTACTCAGCCATACAAAGAATAAAATAATGTCATTCACAGCAACCTGGATGGAATTGGAGACCATTATTCTAAGTGAAGTAACTCAGGAAAGGAAAAGCAAATATTGTATGTTCTCACTTATAAGTCGGAGCTAAGCTATGAGGATGCAAAGGCTTAAGAATGATACAGTGGACTTTAGGGACTCAGGGGAAAGTGTGGGAGGGGGATGAGGGATTAAAAATTTACAAACTGGGTATGGTGTATACTGCTCAGGTGATGGGTGCACCAAAATCTCAGAAATCACCACTAAAGAACTTATTCATGTAATCAACACCACCGCTGTTCCCTAAAAACCTATGGGAAAAAAAAAAGTTGGGGAAAAAAAAATTAAATAAATAAAATAAAATAAAATAACTATGATTAATATATTAATGGCTTTAATAAAGTTATAGACCACATGCAATCACATAATTAATTTCAACAGAAAGATAGGAACTAAAAGAGGGAGTTAATTAAAATTGATAGGAAAGGAAAACACAGAAACATAAATAAAGAATGCCTTCAAGAGCTCAGTAGTAGACTTGCCACAGCTGAGAAAATAATCAGTGAGCTTAAAGGTAGGGCAAAACAAACTACCCAAACTGAAATACAAATAGAAAGAAAGAAAAAAAAAAAAGAACAGACCAAAACATTTAATTGAGGTGAAACAAAACATTCCAAATATCCATAATTGAAATCCTGAAAAGAGAAGGTTAAAAAAAAAAAACAGTGCAGAAAACAAAAATTGAACAATTAGTGACAGATTTCCAAAGTTAATGGCAGACTGTAAGAAGCTCAGAGGTCACTAAGTATAATAAATGCTGCAAAATTAAAACAAAACAAAGAAAAAGCCCTACAGATATTTATACTGCTGAAAACAAAATATTGAATGCAGCCAGTGAGAGGGAAATAAATTACATACAGAGGAACAAATATGAGAACTATGGCTGACATTTTGTGAGCAACCATGCAATACAGAAGGCAATAGAATAGCATCTTCAGAGTGCTGAAAGAAAAAAAAAGAAACCTGTCACCCCATAATTCTCTACTATGCAAAAATGTCTTTCAAAAATGAAAGACTTGTTAACCAATCAAATCAGAGAATTAGAAGTGTTAAAGAAAGTTCTTCATAAGGAAAAAAAATAATTATTTACATGTGGAATTGGGCAAAGGAATAAATAACATTGGAAATGTAATAAAGGAAGGTAAAGTTCAATTTTGGCTTAACAGAAAAATCTCTAAAACATAACTGTTTATGTAAAAATATTACAAATATGTTATGTATTTCAACATACATAAAACAGGATAGATGGAAGGAATTAGAATATACTTTTGTAAAATCCTTTACTACATGTGAAGTGATATAGCAGTATTCAATTTTAAACTCTAATTTAAGATCTACTTTGAAAATTCAATTTTTTAAAGATCTATAAAGAGTAAGTTGATGAATATATATAGCAGCTTTATCGTTAGTAACCAAATATTGGAAACAAAGCTGATGTCCTTCAGTCAGTGAATGGATAAACAAACTGTGGTACATCCATATGGTCAAGTATATGAAATGCTAGTTAGCAATGAAAGGAAACATCTATTTATTATAGGAATTAAACTTTGATAAATATTTTAAGCACTGAAATTCATTCTCTTCAAAAAGGCTTTATATTTCAGATGTCTACTAAAGACAAAAAAACAACTCTCAATCTACCTTCCCTTCATTGTGTATTTGTCTTTAAAAAGTACAAATTTTTGTTTGGGTCTTAATATTATAGTTTGTTTCCTTTTCTGAACATATTTCTATAGAGTTTTATGTAGGATTTTGTATTATGATATTGCTTATAAATGTGATAACATAAATTGATATACATTTATTTCATATTACATATAGTATTCATAACTATAGTATAATTTTCTTAAAAAGATTTATCTTTTCTATTATTTTTTGCCTCCCCCTGGTCCATTATGGCTAAACATTAAAAGGAGATCAAAAACAGAGACTATGGAATTGTAATTATGATACTAGAAAGAATCTCTATGATTTAAAAATCGATAATATTTAAGACTAATAATTTCATTAAGAATATAAGCCTCAGGCCAGGTATAGTGGCTCATGCTTGTGATCCAGCACTTTGGGAGGCCAAGGCAGGAGGATCACCTGAGCCTAGGAGCTCATGGTTGCAGTGAGCTATGATCTTGTCAGTGCACTACACACTGAGCAACAAACCAAGACTTTCTCCAAAAAACAAACAAAAAAAAGAATCTCCAAAAATATTTAAAATATTTAAAATTCTCAAACATAATTCCTTTATTTACCAATGGGAAAGATGGCACTTTTCCAAATGGTGTTAGAAGGATCACTAGAACTCAGGCCTTTTGATTCTGAAATAAGTACAGTCTTTTTTCTAGTACACCTTGCCTTCTCTCATAAAGTAAATTACACCTGGTGCTGGTCCACATGTGGATAAAAGGCTCTAAATTTCAAATTCTGAACTTCTTGGAGAGGTGGTACCAAATTCCTTATAAATGATGCATTCTCTTTCATATTTTCATTAAGGCCATTTTTTTTGCATAATTTCCCTGTCTTTCTGAGAGTAGAAATGAAACAGCTTTTCTAAAGAATATGCAGTTTTAGTCTTCTCACAGTTAACTATATACATTTCATACAAAATTAGGCTTACATTAACTATTTTGTACTAAACTATGACCTTGATAATAGCCATGCGTTTATGGAGAGCTATTCTCTGTGGAGCAGACTTTCTTCTACTTAAAAGCTGCTTGAAGGTAGTTTTCAGTAGATATACTTGCTTCTGAAGACACTTGAAAGACTTCACATATGTTAATTACAGCAATCAAGACTCATAAAGCCTGGAATTTTACAACTTTTCAGAAAGCCTCTGGGAATAGAACATCTTCCAATTCAGTGGACAAGTTAAATCCAATTACACTTCCTTCTTTTGGCAGCCTCTCCTTTCATATACTTACAATCTGCAAATGTAGAAAAATTCAAAACAAAAAAGAAAAGATTCAAACTGTACTATTATCAGGAGAAACACAGTCCAACATTACCCAACCATTATAAGTTCTTCTACTGGCAAAAGTTCCCGGTGTTTATTTGTGAAAAGATAGTAATTTCTGGATTGAAAAGAGAAAACTTGACAACATTACCAGTATATGATATAGATACAGCTACACACACACAACAAAAACAGAAAGCTACTTCTGGTTTCAAGCATGGGCATTTGCAATCTCTTGTATGTTCTCATTTTTAATTGAAAATCAAAAAACCCAACCAAGGAGCTGAGAACCTGTATATGGAGACAATGATAAGACTACATGTAAAAATAGAACTTTGACTCACACCCTGCAGCAACCTCCCCAGGAATCCAACCTCCTTAACTGCAACAAGCAACCCAGAAAGCCAACCTAATATTGCATTCTTATAGGAAGGCAGGCATATCTCTAGTAGCAATTCAGAAAACTAAAATGTGACTTTTGTAATAATTGGCCCCAAATGGCTAGGGCTTGATTAATAACTGAGAGCGTCTCAATTTTTTTTTTGTACCTGCTTCTAACTTAAGACAGACCAGAGAAAACCCAATATGCACCCCTAACCAACTGATAGGATGCCCCACTTCTAATTAACCACCTACAGCTTCCCCAGGCCAAGAGCCTCCAAAGGGGGCACACCTGAAGTCTTTCTCTTTTTCTACTCTAAAGCTTTCACACTCCTCTGCCTGCCTTTGAGTCTCTGTCAAAACACAAGTGGTCGTGGCTGACTCCCTTGCTATAGCAAGTTCTCAGTAAAGAGCCTTTGCTTTTCTCATTTGATTGGTCTTCATTTATTTCCATGGATCAAAAAGACCAAAAATACCAAAAAACCTCTCTGTTTTAGAAAATTTGGAGTGCTTTAATTTAATTTTCTTCTTTGTTCAAAATATACACTTTCATGGAAAAATATGTCCCATCTTTAAGTTGTTTTTTTCTTTTTTTTTTCTTTTTTTTTGAGACGGAGTCTTGCTCTGTTGCCCAGGCTGGAGTGAAGTGGTGTGATCTCAGCACACTACAACCTCTGCCTCCCTGGTTCTCGTGCCTCAGCCTCCTGAGTAGCTGGGATTACGGGCGCCCACCACCATGCCCAGCTAATGATTATATAATACTAATTTTTGTATTTTTTGTAGAGATGGGGGGGGTTTCACCATGTTGGCCAGGTTGGTCTCGAACTCCTGACCTCAAGTGATCCACCCACCTCGACCTCCCAAAAAGTTGAGTTTACAGGTGTGAGCCACCACACCTGGCCTAGATTGTTTTTTCTAATATATTCCTGGTGGAAATTTTTTTATTTTGTGGCATTTTTATAATGTATTTGAATAATAAATGATGAATCTACATGTCTCTTAGGGTTCTGATTTTGCATGTACTTTTGCATAGAGAATGCTTTATTTTTTAACATGTTTCACAGAAATTTTTAGGTAAAATTATCACTATTATACCTGTATATATCTGTGTAAACATATATGTATATAAATTTAGTGTATTAAAATAAATATTTGTATACTTCAATGGAATACATTTATTTTTTACTAGACATTATAATTTTACCTTCTTTCCATGTGGTTATTATTTCAGTAATTATGTAACCATTAGTGGTAATATATATTTTTTAAATGTGCATTTAATTAATTTTATTTAGGGATCATTCAGAATTTATAATTGACTATGAATTATCCTTTGTAGTTTCAACACATTTTTTAGCACTGGCTTTTACTTTTATTTGTTTTTTTAAGGGTTAAAAAGTGTCACATTTTCCATACATTACTGATTGATAAGTTATATGTTTCTCATTGACAATTGGATGACCTATCTAGAATTGTTTTGTTTGTTGTTCTTTTTATTTGAGAACATCAAACAAATTTATAATTAGGATTTTTCATAAATTTATTCTATAATAATCAACTAGCATTAGAAAAACCATAAGCATGAAGTCAGGAGCAGGCAAAGATAATGCAAAACCCCTCAAATCCAAATGTTATAGATTCATATTCTATGTATCACAAGTTTTAAACAGTCACTTCTCTTTCTGAGGTTTTTTGTTACTTTTTAAAAGTAATCTTTTTTATTGTTCTACCTGATGATGATTTTTTAGTTTAGCTCTATGTACAAATCAAATAGATATGAGCATCTGAATGTCAGAAACTTTGTATCGGTCTTTGTGTGTACTCACATATTGTTTTGCAAAGCAAGTATTTAACAGTGCAGATAATAGTTTCATATTATACAGGATTTCAACCTTTTCTCTTCAGCTTACAGTGACTTATGTGACACCAGATAAGGTTTTTGACTCATATAAATTTCAGTTTTCTCATTTATAAACTACAGATGATAGTAGGATCTACTTCATAGGATAAATCTAAGTATTAAATTGAGCAATCCTTATAACATTTTTAGGCTGAAATTTGGCATAGAGTAAATTGCTTAATAAATGGTAAATATTACCTAATAATATTTTGTTAAATGAATGACTTTGGCTACCATTGGACCAAAAGAATGACCTCTCCACTCTGTCTCTTTTATTTCTTACTACTTGATTTCTATAAAGAGGTATAACATGTTTCTCATTGAACAAGACAGCTTGAATGAGAGTGCTGTGGGTTGAGTAGTGCACTCTCTCCACCCCAAATATACGTGCTGAAGTCCTAACTTCCCTGTACCTCTGGATGTGACTTTGAAAATGGGATGCATGCAGATATAATTAGTTAAGGTAGGGTCATACTGGTGTAGGGGGGTGGGTGGGTCTAATCAAATATGAGTGACGTGCTTGTAAAGAGGGTGGCCATGTAAATAAAGACAGACACACACAGAGAATGCTATGTGAAAACAAAGGCATGGATGGAGGTTATGCAGTTGCAAACCAAGAAATGCCAAAGATGGACAAACAAAACAAAACCAAAAACCAAATAAACAATAAACATCAGAATCTAGGAAGTGGCCAGGAAGGATTTCCCTACAGATTTCAGCATGGCCGCTGCCTACTCTTGATTTTGACCTTCTAGCTTTCAAATCTATGAGACAGTAAATTTCTATTGCTTTAAGCCAACCAGTTTAAGGTTGCTACAGCAGTCACAGGATACTAATACACAGGGCATTGGAGTTAGTCGGCCTGGCTTCATATACTAATGCTGGACTTTTGGGCAAGTTTTTGAACCTCACGTAGTTCGTGGCACTTTGTTGAGACAGCCCTAAATATCATACAGAGAGGAAGATTGTTTCTAGTCTTTCCTTAGGAGTTTTATGTCCTCATTACAGGATGATAGTATTTAAGCATTAATCTATTTCATTTCTCCTTCCTCATCCAGAAGCACCCAAGCACTCAGACTCTAGAGTCAACTTTGCCAGCACAGAAATCCCAGCTCCAAAAGTTATATGATGTAGGATTTGGGCATGTGATTTATCTTCTTTTTGTTTCAATTTCACACCTCTAGAAGAGACATAGTAAGATTTTATAATTCAATCTTTTATCAAAGGATTAAATGAGACAATGCAAATAAAGTGTTAGAAATAGTTTCTGTGTGCACAATGAGTGCTCCATATCTGTTAAACGCATTATTCTCCTTGGAAGCAAACAGCCTCATTATACAGAGGCTTGGCTATAGTTGAGAAGGCAGAGGAGACTCCTCTTCCACTGGTGCTTCTTTAAGAATGGTTGGTCTAGATGGTCTCTGTCACTATGTCACCTTGGAGTTTCTTTTGTTACCACACACACATTGTAGATGAGGCACAATCCTCATCTCCAATGTGTGTGGCAACAAAAGAAACCTCATTGGTTTCTCTTTCAGATTCCTCTTTTTCAGCAGCAGTTACATCTTCCAAATGTCTAATAAGGAATATGGTAGCCACACCATACAATGTGATCCTTGTCTGAGACTCTATGATCTGCTTCTATTATGTATTCTAACACTTTTCATTTGATAAGCTGATCTTGCCTAAAGGATGGAAATGATACAAAATGATTCTGACACTCCTCAGAATGCTAAATGTGACAATCTACCGGCTGTGTGGCTAGTACAAATAGATCAGGGCCGAAACAGAGAGGGCAGACAAAACTATTGTACATCCCAGGCACAAAAACTTATGGGTTCCAAAGTAGGAGAGAAGTTGAAGTGTGTTAGGAAAATAATGGTGGATGTCAGACCCACCTTGCCTGAGGCATTATGAAATCAGGAGGTTTCATCATCAAAGACAGCAAGGATGAAGTGAATCTGGAAGAACTACCAAACTGAACTAATTTGGACAAAGAGTTGCTGCCTCTGAAAACTAAAGAAATTCTTGTGTGAATGCCACATGGAAAAGATTATAGAAAAGAACAGTCTTATAGTCCACAGCTGCACTCTCTAATTATAGTCACCACAGGGAATATGCCCTGAGGCAAATATTACCTAAAATCATTGTCCATGACCTGGATGAAAGAATTTAGCCTATACTCATTCCATTTACAGATTAAACAATGTAGTGTGGATTTCTTTATAAGATAAAAATTTAATACAAGTATAATTTGACATCAATAAGCCTCCCCCACCCACTCACCCACCCACCATGAAAAGCAGAAAAGAACAAAACATATCCTAATGGAAAGGTTAAAATAGAAACGTAGAATAAGGAAGAACTGATTAAGCACACACAGCTAGGTGGGAGACCAAATGGATAAAAATGGATAAATCTGCAATAAAATCTCCTTGTTCTTTTCTAATAGTGTAAAAATTCTATTGAATGAGACATTCAAAAATTTTCTACTAATTTAACTGCTAAAATTTATTTTTCAGTTCTGTTTTTGCATTTTCCTGAAATATATTTCATTATTGTTTCTTCATTTGTTATCTTCAGTGATTTGTATTTTTGCCATTCTATCACTATCTGTCCATTCATTATTTCATGTGTAGAAATGTATAAAGAAATTCAAAGAATGTGAACTGCATATATGTATTTACCATGGGACATAGTATGGAACTTATCTTTTTTTAAGTATATTTCTTATTGTCATATAACATACATGAAGATTTATCTCTCCTTGAGTTCATTTTCATAACAAGAACAGTCCCTAGTACTAGCTTAAGGATCAAGAAACAGAACATTTTTATTCCCCATGAAGCCCCCTCAGTCCTATTTCCAGATTCTACTCCTCCCTAGATAACCACCATCTATACATCTAACACTATAGATTAATTTCTCCTCTTTTCATACTTTATATAAACAGAGTCAAATTGTATTCTTTTTTTTTTTTTTTTTTTTTTTTTTTTTGAGACAGAGTCTCGCACTGTCGCCTGGGCTAGAGTGCAATGGTGCACTCTCGGCCCACTGCAGCCTCCACCTCCAGGGTTCAAGTAATTCTCCTGCCTCAGCCTCCTGAGTAGCTGAGATTACAGGCACCCACCACCATGCCTGGCTAATTTTTGTATTTTTAGTACAGATGGATTTCACTATTGGCCAGGCTGGTCTCAAACTTCTGACCTCGTGATCTGCCCGCCTTGGCCTCCCAAAGTGCTGGGATTACAGGCATGAGCCACTGCTCCCGGCCTCAAATTGTATTCTTTTGGGACTTTCTACTTCAGTTAAATAGTATGTTTCTGAAATTAATCTACGCTACTGTGTATAGTAATAGTTATTCATTCTCATTAGCTATACAGTTCTCCATTGTTTGACTATAGCACTATTTACTTATTCATTCTATTACTGTTGATGCAAATTCAGATTATTTCCATTTTTTTTTGCTATTATGCCTGATATTGTTTTTAACGAGTTGCATATAACTTTTAGCAAAATTATGCAGACATTTTTTGTTGGGTATATAACGAAAATAGGAAATATGACAGTTTTGTATGTATGTTCAGTTTTAGTGCTAGAAATCACTTAGTTTTTACTTAAATATGTGAAATACACACACACACACACACACACACACACATACTTTTTTTACCCGAATATCCTCAAAATGCATTGTTTTACTTGGCTGAAAGTATTACTGTGTGTGGTTTTTTTTTTTTTTTTATATATTTAGGAAACAATTTAACTTTTTTAATTAAACTTTTTATTCTAGAATAATTATACATTCATATACATTTGTAAGAAATAATACAGGAGAATCCCATTTACCACAAATCCAGTAGCCACAAGGGTAACATCTTCAAAAACTATAGTGCAGTATGACAACCAGGATATTGACTTTTACTTTGATGCAGTCCATTTATAGAATCTTTCCATCACCACAGGGATCATTTGTGTCATCCTTTTATATCCATACTCACTTCCCTTTCTCCATCTTCCTCTTTCTAATCCCAGGCAGTCAGTAATAATCTGTTCTCCACTTTTATAATTTGGTTATATTATGAATGTGGTATAAATTGAATTATATAGCAACGCTTTATTACTATACAGTATATTATACAGTAAACCTTTAGGGATTTTTTTTTCACTCAACATAATTACCTGGAGATTCATTTTAAATTGCCCTATTGAAAACTTCAACAGTGTTTTCCTTTTAATTGTTGACTAGTAATCTATACTATAGATGTATTACAGATTGTTTAATCATTCATTTGTTGAAGTTCATCCAGGCTGTTTTCAGGTTTTTGGTTATTATGAATATAGGGCTAAGAACATTTACTTATAGGTTATTGTGTGGATATAATTTTTATTTATCTGGGATAAATAATCAATAGTGCAATTGTTGGACAGTTTGGTAATTGCATGCTTAATTTTATAAGAAAATGCTAAATTGTTTCAGATTCAAGTGTATGTCCCTGCTAGGAATTTTGGGGGAATTACATTCTGCATATTTATCTTGTATCCTGGCAAGGCCGCTAAAATTATTTGTTCTAGTTTTTTAAATTTAATTTAATTTTTTTGTAGATTCTTTGGAATTTTCTGTATAGATAACCCTTTCATCTGCAAATAGGGACAGTTTTCTTTCTTCCTTTCCAATCTGCTTACCTTTTATTTTTTCTATTGTGGTACTGAAATGTCTAAAACTTCCTATAATCTGTTAACAAAGAGTGGTGAGATGGATATTGTTGCATTTTTACCACTCTTAGAGTGAACATAATCAGCCTTTCGTCATTAAACATAAGATTAGTTGTAAGTTTTTTGTAGGTGGTTCTTATAAAGTTGAGGATGTTCACCTCTGTTCTTGGTTTGCTGAATATATTTTCTGTTCAATTTGATCAAATATTTTTCTGCATCCATTATTACAACCGTTTGGTTTAGTTTTTTAGCATGTTGTTATGGTGGATTACATTGATTGATTTTGAATGTTAAACCAGCCTTACGCATACCTGGAATAAATCTAACTTAGTCATGGTGTATAATTCTTTTGACACATTGCTAGATTCTATTTGCTGATATGTGTGGAGAACTTTTGCATCAAAATTCATGAGAGATATTGGTCTGTAGTTATTTTCTTTTGTGCACCCTGGTTTTGGTATGAGAATAAAATTTCCTCATAAAAGAAATTTTAAAATGTTTCTTCTAGTGTTTGAATGATGCTGTGTATCATTGGTGTTAATTCTTTAAAAGTTTGGTAGAATTCTCAAGGCCATGCGCAGTGGCTCATGCTTACAATCCTTGCACTTTGGTAGACCGAGGTGGGCACATTACTTGAGGTTGGGAGTTTGAGACCAGCCTGACCAACAGGGCGAAACCCCATCTCTAATAAAAATACAAAAATTAGCAGGGTGTGGTGGCAGGTGCCTGTAGTTCCAGCTACTCTGGAGGCTGAGGCATGCAAATCCCTCAAACTCAGGAGGTGAAGGTTGCAGTGAGTTGGGATTGCCTCACTGCACTCCAGCCTGAGTGACAGAGTGAGATCTGTCCCCCAGAAACATGTTTGGTAGAATTCTCTAGTGAAACCATCTGGGCCTAGAGGTGTTTTTTGTTTGTTTGTTTTGTTTTGTTTTGTTTTGTTTGCTACTTAATTACAAATTCAATTTATTGGACAATTATAGAAAATATCATATTATCTATTTTATCATATCTTGGTTTTTTAAGGAATTGATAGATTGCTAGTTGTCAAATTTATGAGTGTAAGGTTATTTAGAATATTCTTATGTTTCTAATATCTACAAGATCTATAGTGATATCACTGATTACTTTTTAGTAATGATGCTTTTATTCTTCTTTTTTTCTTTGTCAGTTTTGCTAGAGGTTTATCAATTTTATTAATTTTTAAGGGAACTAGATTTGTTTTTTCATTGAATCTCTGTATAGTCATCCTTCGTTATCCAGGGAAAATTTCTTCCAGAACCCTTGAAGGATAACAAAATTCACAAATGCTAAAGTCCCTTACATAAAATGCCACATTATTTGCTTATAACCTACGCACATCCTCCAGTATATTTAAGTAATCCCTAGGTTATTTATAATATCTAGTGAAATGTGAAAGCTATGTTAATAGTTGTTACACTGTATTTTTAAATTTGCATTATTTTTTATTGTTGTTTTGTATTATTTTCCCCAAAATATTTTCCCATTTAATGTTGGTTGAATTGTGTTTGATTGAATCTACCCATGTGGAACCTGTAGATACTATAGTGGAGTGGAGTGTATTAATGCAGAGCCTGTAGATTCAACGGTAGATTGAATCCACCCATGCAGAACCCATAGGTAAACTGCATTGCTTTCCTGTTTTCAATTGTACTGATTCCTGCTCTTATCCCTATTATTGCCTTCCTTCTGCTAGTTTAAGCTTGGTTTTGCTCTTCTTTTTTTATTTTCTTGAGGTAAGGACATAGACTTTTAATTTAAGATCTTGTCTTACTTTCTAATACAAGCAATTAATGATACATTTTCCTCTCAGCCCACTTTGGCTGTGCCCTACATATTTTCATATATGTTTATTTTTATTAAATTTAATATAATTTATTCTTTTCTTTGACCCTTCATTTTTCACCCAAGGATTATTTAAAAGCATTTTGTCTCATTTTGTTTTTGGATTTTCATCTTTAATGTTTACTTCTCACTAATTTCGAGATGTTTTTATTATGATTAGAAAACAGTCTGTGTGATTTCAATTCTTTTAAGTTTGTGGGAGTTTGTTTTATGGGAATTTTTTTTTAGGCAAATTATTTTCCATTGTTTTCTGGTATTGTGTCATCATAGATTTCAACATTTTAAAAGAACAGGGGAAAGTACAAGAAGCCAGATGAATTTATTTTGTATGATAAAGGGATTAAAAAGAAGATTTAAGAGGAAAGGATTTTTCCCCAATAATGGTAGTAATTTTTTTATTTTTACATATTTATTTTTAAAAATTTAATTGTAAAATACACATAACATAAAAACTAACATTTTAACCATTTTAAGTGTACAGTTTCATGGCTTTAAGTACATTCGCACTATTGTGGTACCATCACTATTATCACACTTTTTAGATAACAATAAATCTTAGGAAGAAAAGACTTTACTTGAACACAAACTTTCCAGTGAATTGTATTCTAAAAATTAGAAATATTGGGCCAGGCGCGGTGGCTCACGCCTGTAATCCCAGCACTTTGGAAGGCTGAGGCAGGCGGATCACGAGGTCAGGAGATCAAGACCATCTTGGCCAACATAATGAAACCCTGTCTCTACTAAAAATACAAAAATTAGCTGGGCATGGTGGCGGACGCCTGTAGTCCCAGGTACTCGGAAGGCTGAGGCAGGAGAATCGCTTGAACTGGGAAGGCGGAGGTTGCAGTGAGCCAAGAGCAAGACTCTGTCTCAAAAAAAAAAAAAAAAAAAAAATCAGAAATATTATCTTGCTTCATGCTAGAAGATGGTCGTCAAATGCATCAGGATATTTAATGCAGTGGAAGAAGCCATTATTTCATATTTCAAAAACATCACCAAAAGCTTAGATTTTTGATGGATTATTTCATTTAAAGAAAATTCTGTAATAATGTAAATTTCTTTCTTATTTTTAATTGTGTCATAGGTATGATATTTTATACAATTTTTGAAACATTATAATTATACATTTTGTCCCATTATCTTTATTTATTTTGAAAGAAAATTTTGGCATATAACCTTACTTTAAGCAGCTATTGTTGGCAGTAAAATAATCAAGGAACTTACGATAGCAGTCCTCTGTTGTCATCATATTGATTTCAATCACTCATTTATCTTTCAGTATTCTACAGAAAATTAACATCATCATTTTCTTAATTGATAATTATATCTTACTTTTAAGTTTTGTTCCAACTTCTTGTGTTATTAATATTAGCACTAGACACTAATGTTTCATACTTCCTACAAGCAGATAAAGAGCCATGATTTTGTACTTTTTCTCTATTTTGTTATGTCTCATTTTATTCTTTCTGGATACTTAAAACTACTTGGACATAAACCCTGAAAGAAAAATTCAGACAGTTGTATGAATTATTTAAAACATTCAAACATATACACAAAAAATTAAGGATGCAGTTAATATTTCACATGGTTTGTTGAGGGTGGGCAAAGCATAAACATCTTGAGCATTTCTAACTACCAATTCATTAAAAAATTTTTACTACAGTCTTATGGACTGGATATCATCATCTCTATTTGGTGAATGCAGAAACCAAGCCTCCAAAAAACAAAGTAAATTACCAAATGGACTTTGGTTGTGAGAGGGACAGCTAGTATTTAAGCTCATGTTTATCTGATTATGTTGTCCATTCTCTTTGCAAAAAAAATCCAAGTCTATAGAATAAAGTGAAATAAAAATAAAATTATGTAAAAAAGAAATTGTTTTCAATTGTATATTTCATAGTATATGTAACAAAATTGATAAGTTGCTCAAGGGAAGCCCACATAGCAAAACGCTTCCTAATTCTAAGACCAGAATCAAATTTCTCCCCCAAAATTGACCGCCTCGCTCTTCTCTTTGTGTCTCCTCTCTCTTACACACGTCTGCATGTGTCTGCACAAACACCTTTTTATATGTAACAGCATGCTTTATTAGCATTTTATTGTAGGGAATAGGTTTTTGCTTTGTTCTGCCATATCTGTTTTTTTTTCACGTAAGTGAATTCATCAGTTGCAAATAGATGAAGAGACAATTTCTTGTCCCTCTCACTGTCATTACAAGTTGTCAGGATTTTTTGTTGTTGTTGTTGCTGTTGTTTTGTTTTCAGTGTGGACTCTTCTTCCTTCCAGAGTTAAAGGAACAGACTTTTTGTTAATGTAGTAAAGAGAGGAATTACAGACAGGGACAGTCCCACTCTGAACAGAAGCTCTTTGTAGGCCTTTTTTCGTAAACAATTCTTGGGTCTCTAGGTAGTTGAGACAAGAGAAGTAAAACAGAGGATATGTGGAAGATGTGAGGTCTTAAACCTAGAAACTGGTAGATCTACGGACATTAGAAAAGAGGGCAGCTGAATAATTTGAGTGGCAGAAACTTGAACTATGATTGAAAATGTAGTATTCCGAGAGACAGCAAAATCTCTTTCTTGTGTGATTATCTGTAATATAAATTTTGAATCTAGAAAATTTGTCATGATTACTGAGTTTGGCTTGCAAATGTGAATGGGCCACACTGAGTGAACTTTTGTAAAATCAATGCTTGCAATAACATCTAAAACCCTGGGTTCTTTCCCAGTTTTCTTTACCACGTTAGGCTCAAGACCTGGTACAACTGACGTGAGGGGCAGAAAAAATTCAGTAAATCTTAAGGTGAACTTCTCACCTACCTTAGAAAGTAGAGTACTTTAATGGAATTTAATTTTCGTTAAAAAATACATATCTTATTTATCATACTATTTATATATTCTTATAATTAAAGAGCATAGTTATAAAATAGCACGAAACATATTGAATACTTTGCCATACAAACATGTAAGTTGTCAAAATTGAAGAGCAACTACAATGATAAAAATCAAAATAGAATGACTATTCAAAACAGAAATTGAAAGTCAAACAATTTTAATTACATTAAAAGTAAATTTGCTTCTTTCATGGAAGCTTGATAAGGCAAAAACCCTGGTGCAGTTACTAGAAGAGTGGTGGTTAGCCCCACGAGCCAAAGAAATATGCTACAGGTTTAATGTATTCTATATAGTACTATTATGTAAAAGAAAACAAGTGGTATTGCTGTACCGAAACGTGCCACCCCATCTGCTAAAACGCTTTTGTACATGACAGTGTTGTCAGTTCCACATAAAATCATTTCCTAACATAAATGTACATTTCCCCCAAGGTAAATGTGCCCTTTCCCATTTCACAGAAATAGGCAGACACTATTGAAAGAAACTCCCATTTTGCCACTACTGTTATTAATTCAAATGTCTACTGTTATTAATCCTACATACAACCTACTACTTTATACCTACATAATGCTTTAAACATGACCCTATGTTCATTGCCCATGTTTCGTTGCATTAGTTGCCTTTAATTTGCCAATGTGCCAATGCTGCGTTTGACTTCTTATTCTAGATTTTCACTTAATCTATTTAATGAAATAATACTTCTTATGAGTAATAGAATAATATTATATGATAGCAGCTTTGTCTCTCCTTCCCTCGGCACTAATTTTAACATCTACGTTAGAAGATTTAATCTGGCAGGCAGTAACTACCGCTTTCTATAAGGTTAGTTCTGTTCTAAGCAGTAACTGCTTACATATGTATGGCCTATCCTCATGAGCTGATCACAGACAATCTCATGACACTTTATTTCCATGTAACCGAGGAGGAGGCATATCTACTTGTAGATTCTTTCTATATATATATGTGTGTGTATATATAATATATCTATATATGATGTATAGGTATATATTATATATATATTAACTGAGTATTTAAATTTGTAATTTATTATTGAATTAAATAATCCTATAAATGCAAAAGAAAGTGTTCTCCTTTCATATAAATTAGGACATAATCATATGAGAGAAGAAAATATCATTTATCATTTATGCTACTGTGTACTGAGTATATGTGTTCATAGCCAAGTTCATGGTGGGATTACTTGATGAAGTAAAGAAAGATATGGTACATTCAATCAAAGTGATGAACAAAGATTTTCATGGAATCTGTATCCTTTTCAGTAGCTCCTCAACATGGAAGCTGTACTTTTTCTCTAAAGATAGAAAGAGGAATACTTATCAGTTCCACACACCCATTTCCTTAATAGCACAATTCCGAGTTCTCAGGTGGAAAAAAAACAAAAACAAACAAACAAAGAAACAAAAAAATAAACTTCAGAGAAATGCTGCTAGAAGTGAGCATGTACCACATTTTCTGGTCAGTGTGTCACAGCTGAAGAAAAGGTCTTTCTTAAGTAGTGAGAATTTAAGAACATAGCTATGGAACTATAGTTGACTAAGATTGAGAACTTAAAATAATAGCATTAAGTTATTGTAGACATAGATACTAAGAATACTCTGCAATTTGTATAATTGCTCTGAGACAACAAAGTGAAGATCAATATAGCGCAAGTAACTGAAGAAATCAGTGAACCAGGGAGGAATTAGATGGAGCTGGCACACTGCGTCTGAGACACACTGAGGTGGAGGTGGTAGTTTTAGTACCTGTACTCTGTCTCTCCCTGTTTTTAGAGATAAAAAGATACTATGCATAGACTAATATATTACATCTTCTAGGAATTTCTTTTCACCTCTATTCCAACCTCCCACCTTCGTGGAGTGCATTGGTACATATCGTAAAGTTCACCTTAGATGGATTATGTTAATGTAATCATTATCACATCATTCTAAATGAGAGAGCATGAGCAGCAGCAGGCATAAATTAAATTAAACTTTTTCACCAGTCTGTAGACCAATATTAAAAAATGTAATGTCTGTATGTTTTTTCATGTTCCTCTTAACCAGAAGAAGAAAAAGAAGGAGAAGGAGAAGGAGAAAGAGAGCAAGAGAAGAAGAAGAAGGAGAAGGAGGAGAAGGAGGAGAAGGAGGAGAAGCAGGAGAAGGAGGAGAAGGAGGAGAAGAAAAAGAAGAAGAAGAAAAGAAGAAGAAGAAGAAGAGAAGAAGAAGAAGAAAAGAAGAAGAAGAAAAGAAGAAGAAGAAGAAGAAAAGAAGAAGAAAAAAAGAAGAAGAAGAAGAAGAGGAAGAAGAAGAAGAAGAAGAAGAAGAAGAAAAGAGCTTGGAGAGAGATTTATTGCCCATTTATGTTTGGAAAGAGCCCAAGGATAGTTTTTGCTCTCTGTCTTGAAGAAAGGAGCATAACTGTAATTTTCTTAATTATATGAGGTGTCACAAGTAAAAAGGTAGCAGTACTAGCTCAGTTCTCTGTGGGAACACTGGCATCTGTGAGAATTTGCACAATCCTTGAATTAGTAAGCTTCTCAACAGGGGAGAGCTAAGACTTGTTATTCTATTTTGGATTTGAGAGAATGTCTAATCTACCCATGGCATTCTGAAAATGCCTTACCAATTATCTAAGCATTGTTGTGTAATTTTAAGATGTGCTGAAAGAACATTGACAAGATAGATGTTAGACAAGTAGATTTGACAGTGGAACTCAAATTAGAGGAAATCAAAACTTTTTTGTTATTGTTCACTGTTCCACAATTTGTATAGATGTTCTTGAAAGGAGATATATAGTTAACACCATATACGGCATTTGAAAATATACTGTGGAGGTTGCAGGTATTCTTTAAGATAACATTTTAATAATAAAAAAGAAAGAAAGACACATTTGACTTTCCGTTTGTTTTTTTTTTTTCCACAAAGTGATTAATCTGTTACTACGTAGAATTTTAAACTGAAGTGTAAGGACATAGAAATTTAGATAAGCCTATATTCAATTTGAAAGAAAAAAAAGAAACAAGAAATATGATATGAAGAGGGAGTTAAGCACTTGTCTTTCCATTCATTGTCAAACTATAACAAATACAGAATTCTGCTGTAAACTTTAAGTAATACTCAGAAAACAAGTAAATACATCTAGTATTTCTTTGATATACAGATGTATATATACGTATGTCTTGGTTTGCTCTAGTTTTTTGTTGGGGGGATGTAGAAGAAAGTGGAGCCTGTTTACAGGTTTGGGAAGGTGAGATTCGAGAAGGAATGAATGAAAATTGTAAAGAGTTAGGTGAAAACTGATGGGCCATAGACTCAGAGGAGGTGGAAAGAAAATGTACGTCAGATAAAATTATATTTTGCCGCAAAAATAGAAATTATGTGTGTAGTTGGTTGAGTAAATAGGAGTTTCTTTTTTTATTTTTATTAATTTAGAGAGTACAGCTACAATTTTGTTACGCGGATATATTGCACAATAGTGAAGTCTGAGCTTTCAGTGCAGCCATCACTGGAATAGTGTTCATTATACCTATTAAGTAATTTTTTATTCTTCAGCCTCCTCCCTTATTTTTCTTATTTGTCAAGAATTCTTGAAGTAGGTGATTAAAGTCTCTGTTCAGTGGCTCAGTAATGGAAGGACCAATGTTCTTCTCACAGGACAGCAAGAATGATTGCTGAATCCTAGACTCACATTGATATTGATGGTAGGAGGAAGGAGACAGTCACATCTGTACCTCTGCTCTTTGATTCAAGGAATGTAATAACTTTCCTAGAGATTTCTCTAGCAGACCTTAAATGATGTGATATTGATCTGATTGGTCATATGTATAGACATCATTTTTTGATGGAGGACTAAAAATAGTGGGTAATGGCAATATTAACATTGGCTTTGAACAGTCATGGGCACTGTCCTGGGCTTGCCACAAAATTAAGGTTATGCTGGCAAAAATAAGAGAGGGTAGAATAATGTGTATACAAATAACTGAATCTCTAATTAGATGTAGTAAGTTCCAGTAAATGTGGAAATAGGTAAACTGGAATAACTGGTGGGAATGTTTCACTCCAAGATAGAAAGTAAGTGGGAATAGTAGAGGCAAGTGCTGATCAGTGATTTAAAAGTCCTGGATAAAGAAAAATCAGGAAAAAAAAAAAAAAAAGAGGATACCTTGCGTTTGTGAGAAATGTGTGGAATTTAATTCTTAATATTAGTCTGAGATCATTCTGTTAGAGGCATTAGATTTTCTTTAGTAATTGCACATACATCAGAGTTGACAATTTTTTGTCACACTTCCAGCTCTGTGACCTTGACTCCGGCCATGTGAAAGAATGAATTCATTTTCCAAACATTTTAAACATTTTCCTGTGAACAATATGCTATCAATTTTCTGCTAATGTTATTATTATAGTGCAGGGTTTCTTAACCTCAGCACTACCAACATTTTGGTTGGATAATTATTTGTCGTGGGGGTTCCATTGTACATTGTAGAAGGTTTCACACCATCCTTGGGCTATATAGCATTGTTGGCTATACTCACCACTGGATGGCAGTAGCAACTTCCACCCCCGAATTTGGACAACCAAAAATGTCTCCAGACATTGTGAAATGTCCTCTGGAGGGCAAAATGCCCTGTGTTGAGAACCATTAATTTGTTCTGGAATAGTAGCAAAGGGATCATCTGGATGCTTGATATAAATTGAGATTCTAGGGCTTCTCTCTGATTCACTGCATCAGAATATAAATTTTAACAAGATCCCCAAGGAAGCATTGATCTATAATTTGCAAACAGACCTTTAACTGTTCTCTCATTCAATTTCCAACATCTCTAGTCCATTTGACAGACTGCCATCAGATTAATCCACTGGTATCTTGTCAGTGCCTTTACAGTAAAATTGAAACTATTTCCTCTACCTGGTTTGTTTTTTTGAGGATTTTCATGATCAAGATCCTGAATAAGTTTTTAATACAACTCCATAAATATCTCAATCAAAAACTGTACATTCCAATCAAACTCTGTTTCCATTTATTAGTGACTTGCATGTTGCAATATTTCCTATTGAAATGGTATTCACAATCAAAGGCAATCCAACAAAAGCTACTTCTTCCACAAAACTTTCCATTTGCTTCTTATTTAACCTCTCGTACTTCCACCTCACATGTTTATTTTGTGCTTGTGTGTAGTAGAAGATAAAACAGTATTGAAGCCATACTCTAGGGCTACAGGGTTAAAATATGATTTTGCTGCTGGATGTGATCTTTGGCAAAGTAAATAGCTATCCTAAGACTCAGTTGCCACATTTATAAATTGGATTTACTGTAAGTACTTTCATCATGAATTGCTTTGACAATTAAATAAGATAATGCATATAAGGACTGACACATAGAAAGCACAGAAAAAATAACAATTATTACAAGTATTAATAATAATAATAAAATAATAAAGTAATTCATATACTTAAACAAATTAAATAATACAGAAGTAGAAGGTAGTACATTTCATATTGTCCCATCGTTTCATTTAAAACCAGAAAGGACTATGGAATATTAATATTAACCACCACTTACATACTAATTTAAAAGTGCCAAGTTCATTTTTACATCTTCATTTATTTCTTTCTACTGGTATTTCTGCAAACAAAGTAAGCAGTTAATAAATATTTGGTATTGAACAAATTCAGGACATGCCTTAATTTTACTACCACATCATTACAGCCTAAAAGTCAGAATTTATGTCTGATTGCTTTCTGTATCCCCACAGCGACAAGAAAACAGTGCCGGAACATAGCAGAAGCTCAATAAGTATCTGCTGAATATAAGCATAATTGACTAATCAGTTAGCTGTGGAGAGATATTTAAGTTAATGGGTGCTCAAAACCCAAAGGGAAATGCTATTCTGGAAAAATCAGTCTATTTATGTTTATTTTTCACTCTTTACTCCTTCCAGTGATGAGAAAGACATTTTTTCCTACAACTAGGTGGTTTATGTTTCAAACTTGACAAAATATTTTTCTTTAGCCATCTGCTTTCCCATTTACCACAAATGGAAACTTAATATTTCAGCATAAACAGTCATCTTAAAGAGAACTATTTGCATCCCCAAATGTTTTTTCTCCTGTTAATGTGTCCCAAGTAAATCACCTTCCTCTCGAAGATGCATATTATAGATAATATGTCATAATTATTTTCATCACCAAGAATCACTTGCTATTTGCCAATTGATAGGATACTACTTTACTTTTCCCAGTTGGAAATAGCAGTCAGCACTTGCTCTAGCATTACGTGAGAATGCATAATGACTTTCTATTAAAGACAGATAATTTTGAGGTCTGCTTCAAAGTACATCATTATTTTCATTTTTTTAAAAGCTAACTACATTGTTATTTTCAAGAATCGTTGATGGAACCTACCTTTTAGATATAAAAAATACCCACAATTATTCTACTTATCTCAGAAAATAAGCTATTTTCTTTAGTTGTGTTTAGTACCTGAATTCACTCATTATATTATTTCCAGGCATTAAATAAATTATATTCACAGAGCTAAAGAGTTTCAGCCTCATCAGAATAGGCAGAGGGTTTCTAAAGGGAAACACACGTAAGTTCTTGGTTTTATCTCCAAAGCAATAATTATTTTCTCTTCAGGAGTAAATAACAGGGACCAATTGTTTAATAAAAAGATGAAACAGAAGAATTGTCTTCCTCTTTTCCCCAGGTCAACTCCTAACCAAATTCTGCCAATCATAATAATTTTTGATTGTAACTTTTCCTTAAACCCTGCATATATCTGCTTATTTTTGCTGCTCAGTTTCTCTGCCTTGAAATATTCTCTTCCTTTAGTGTTCATGACAGTATCTGCCCCTGGGTTCTTCTTACATTACTGGCTGTTATTGCTATTTCTCTTTACATTGTTCCCCCTAAGCGCCTTACCTTGTATCACCTTGAATCTTAGTCCTTTGATGATATATCTTTTCTGTCAACAGACAGAAATTCAAGTTTGTGTCTCAAACTCAATTTCTATCCTGATCTCCAAGTACCTAAATATAATTGCCTGCTCTACATTCTTACCTAAGTTTATAATAGATGTCTCAAAATGACCATGGTGAAACTGAGCTTCTGACTTTTCTAACTGAATCCTCTAATTTCATATCTTTTCAATCCAAGTTGATGGCAAGTCAATACTTCCATGTGCTAAAACCAAACTTTCAGGAATCACTTTTGACCCTTTTCTTTATTTCATATCCCGAATCTAATCCATTAATCTTATGCCTCTACATTCAAAATATATCTTTCTACATGCACTCTGGCATGCTTTCACTAGTATCACAGCTTGCACCCTGGTCCAAGCCTTCGTCATTCTTGTTACTACTAGTATTATAATAGCTTCCTTATTGGTCTCATTTTCCTGCCTTCTTTCACTCTCATCAATTCCCAATAGGGCAGCTAGGGTAATCCATAATGATCTCTAGTTACATCCATATTGTTGCAAATGTCTGAATCTCATTCTTTATTATGGCTAAATAGTATTCCATTGTTTATATGTACCACAATTCCTTTATCCATTCATCTATTGATGGACATCTAGGTTGCTTCCACATCTTAGCTATTGTAAACAGTACGGCAACACAGGAGTGCAGATATCTCTTCAATACACTGATTTTCTTTCTTTAGGGTATATGCCCAGCAATGGGATTGCTGGCTCATATGGTAGCTCAAATTTTAGTTTTTGAGGAACCTCTAAACTGTTTTCTCTAGTAGATTTACTAATGTACATTCCCACCAACAGTGTACAAGGGTTCCCTTTTCTCCACAACCTCATCAGCATTTGTTATTGCCTATCTTTTGTTTATAAGCCACTTTAACTGGGGTGAGATGATATTTCATTGTAGTTTTGATTTGCATTTCTCTGATGGTCAGTGATGTTGAGCACCTTTTCATATGCCTGTTTGCCATTTGTTTGTCTTCTTTTGAGAAATGTCTATTTAAATCTTTTGTCTGTCTTCTGATCAAACTATTAGATTATTTTCTATAGACTTGTTTGAGCTCCTTATATATTTTGGTTATTAATCCCTTGTCAGATGGGTAGTTTGAAAATATTTTCTCCTATTCTGTCAGTTGTATCTTCACTTTGTCAATTATTTCCTTTGGTGATTGTATCCTGTAAAGAAATGTTTTAACTTGATGTGATCCCATTTGCCCATGTTTGCTTTGGTTGCCTATGCTTGAGATGTATTGCACAAGAAGCCTTTACCCAGACTAATGTCCTGGAGATTTTTCCCAAATGTTTTATTTTAGTAGTTTCATAATTTGATGTCTTAGATTTAAGTCTTTAATCCATTTTGATTCGATTTTGTGTATGGCAAGAGATAGAGGTCTAGTTTCATTCTTTTGCATGTGGATATCCAGGTTTCCCAGCACCATTTATCGAAGAGGCTGTGTTTTCTCCAGTGTATATTCTTGACACCTTTGTCAAAAGTGAATTCAATATAGGTGTGTGGATTTGCTTCTGGGTTCTCTATTCTGTTCTAGTAGTCTATGTGTCTGTTTTTATGCCAGTACCATGCTGTTTTGGTTACTATAGCTCTGTAGTATAATTTGAAGTCAGGTAATGTGATTCCTCCAGTTTCGTTCTTTTTGCTTAAGATAGCTTTGGTTACTCTGGGTCTTTTGTGGTTCCATATAAATTTTAGGGTTGTTTTTTCTATTTCTGTGAAGAATGACATTGGTATTTTGATAGAGGTTGCACTGAATCGATAAAATACTTTGGCTAGTATGGATGTTTTAATTATATTGATTCTTCTAATCCATAAACATGAAATATTTTTCCACTTTTTGGTGTCCTTTTTTCAATTTCTTTTATCAGTGTGTTACAGTTTTTATTATAGAGATTTTTCACTTCTTTGGCTAATACCTAGACATTTAATTTTATGTGTGGCTATAGGATTTTAAAAATTTCTTTTTCACATTGTTCACTGTTGGCATATAGAAATTCTACTGATTTTTGTATGTTGATTTTGTATCCTGCAGCCTTACTGAATTGGTTTATCATTTATAATAGTTTTCTTGTGGATTCTTTAGGTTTTTCTAAATACATGATCATATTTTAAGCAAATGAGAATAATTTGACTTCTTTCTTTCCAATATGGATGCCTTTTATACCTTTCTTTTATCTGATTGCTCTAACTAGGAGTTCCAGTACAACGTTGAATAACAGTGGTGACAGTGGGCATCCCTGTTGTGTTCCTGATTTTAGAGGACTCAGTTTTTCTCCATTCAGTATGATACCAGCTGTGTGTGTGTTATATATGGGTTACATTATGTTGAGGTACGTTCTCTCTATTCCCAGTTTTTTAATAATTTTTTTATTATAAAGGAATGTTGAATTTTATCAAATGCTTTTTCAGCGTCAATTGAAATGATCTTGTGGTTTCTATCCTTCACACTGTTGATGTGATGTATTGCATTGATTAATTTGTGTATCTTGAACCATTTTGGCATCCCCAGGATAAATCTCACTTGGTCATAATGAGTGATCTTTCTAATGTATTTTTGAATTCAGTCTGCTAGTGTGCTGTTAAGGATTTTTGAATCAAAATTAATCAGAGATATTGGCCTATAGTTTATTTTATTTTATTTTTTCTTTCAAATGAGTCTTTGGTTTTGGTATCAAGGTAATACTGGCCTCATAGAATGAGTTTGAAAATATTTCCTCATCCTCCATTTTTCATAATAGTTTGAATAGAATTGGTATTAATTCTTCTATAAATGTTTGGTAAAATTCAGCAGGCAAAGTTTTTCTTACCATGAAATGTTTTATTATACTTTGTTCTTGTTACTTGTTACTGGTCTGTTTGGGTTTTGGATTTCTTCCTGATTCAATTTTGGTAGGTTGTACATATCTATGAATTTGTCAATTTCTTTTAGATTTTCCAATTTGTTGGCAAATAGTTGCTTATAGTAGCCACGAATGATCTTTCGAATTTCTGCAGTATCTGTTGTAAAGTCACCTTTTCCTTTTCTGATTTTTATTTAATTGGATTTGTTTCTTTTTTCTTAGTCTGCCTAAAGATTTGTCAATTTTGTTTAACTTTTTGAAAAAACAAGTTTCATTGAACTTTTGTATTATTTTTTCATTTCCGTTCTGATTTTTATTATTTATTTTCTTCTACTAATTTTGGGCTTGGTTTGCTCTTGCTTTTTGAGTTTCTGAAGATTCATTGTTAGGTTGTTTATTTGAGATTTTTCCTCTTTTTTGATGTAGGCACTTATAGCTATAAAATTCCTTCTGAGTACTGCTTTTGCTATAAGCCATAGGTTTTGATATGTTGTGTTTCCATTATCATTTGTTTCAATAAATTTTCCAGTTTTCTTCTTATTTTCTTCATTGACCCACTGGTCATTCAGGAGTATATTGTTGAATTTCCATATACTTGTATAATTTCCAAAACTCTTCTTGTTATTAATTTCTAGCTTTATTTCGTTGTGGTCAGAGAAAATGCTTGATATCACTTTAGCTTTTTTGGAATGTTTTAAAACTTATTTTGTGACCTAACATATGGCCTATCCTTGAGAATGATCTATGTGCTGAGGAAAACAATGTGTATTTTACAGCTCTTGGATGAAATGTTTCGTAAATATGTATTAGTTCCATTTGGTTTATAGTGCTGTTTAAATTCAATGTTTTTGTTGTTGTTGTTGTTGTTGATTTTCTGTCCAGATAATCTGTCCAGTGCTGACAGTGGATAGTGTTGAAGTCTCCAGCTATTCTTGTATCAGGATCTATCTCTTTCTTTAGCTCTAATCATATTTCTTTATGTATCTGAGTGTTCCAGTGTTGGATATATATATAATATATATATATATATATGTTATATCTTCCTGCTGAATTGACTCCTTTATCATTATATAGTGACTTTCTTTGTCTCTTCTTATAGTTTTGTCTTGAAATTTATTTTGTCTGATATAAGTATAGCAACTCCTGCTCTATTTTGCCTTCCATTGGCGTGGAATATCTTTTCCCATTCCTTTAAATTTAGTCCATTTATGTCTTTATAGCTGAAGTGTGTTTCTTGACAGCAACAGATCAATGGGTCTTTTTAAAAAAAAAACCATCCAGCCTATGTCTTTTGATTCAAGAGTTTAGTCGATTTACATTTCATTTTGTAATTGATGAGCAAGGACTTACTCCTGCTATTTTGTTATTTGCTTTCTGGTTCGTTTGTGGTCTTCTCTTCCTTCTTTCTTTTCTTCCTGTATTCCTCTAGTCAAGATGATTTTCTCTGGTTATATGATTTAGTTTATTGCTTTTTGTTTTTAGTGTAGCCATTGTGTGTTTTTTCGTTAAAAGTTACCATTGCACCTACAAATATTATTATATAACTCATGATTTTAACCTGATATCAACTTAACACAGTTTGCATAACACAGACAAGCAAAAAGAAAACTAACAAAAGCTCTATGCTTTCACTCTGTCCCCCTGCTTTTTAACATTTTGTTGTTTGTATTTATGTCTTATTGTATTGACTTTGTCTTGAAAAATTATTGTAGTTATTACTTTTTATTGGTTTATCATTTAGTCTTTTACTTAGAATAACAGTAGTTTACACACCATAGTTACAGTGTTATAATATTCTGTGTTTTTCTGTGTACTTAATGTCATCATTGAATTTTGTACCTTCAGGTGATTGTTTATTGCTCATTAATGTTCTTTTAATTCTGATTGAAGTACTCTCTTTTGCATTTCTGGTAGAACATGTATGATGGTGGTGAAATCCATCAACTTTTGTTTGGGAAAGTCTTTATCTCTCCTTCACGTTTAGAGAATACTTTCCCTGGATATACTATTTTAGGGTAATTTTTTTTTTCCTTCAGCACCCTAAATATGCCATTGATGCATGCTAAAATTTAAGAACTATTGTACTGTATCTTGTATTCATTTATTTTATTAAAGTATATTTTATCACATATATGAACATGTGGTTTATTAATAGAATATATATGTATATTTATATAAAAAGCCCTCTTCCTCAAAAGTGTAAATATCATAAAAGAGGGATTTTTGAATTACTTTGTTTACTGCTGCTCCCAAAGCATCTTGAACAGTGGCTGGCCTATTTTGTAGTGGCTGGCCTCTACAAATCTTAAAATGAATAAATGAATGTAGGATGTTACATCTCCACGTCCCTGCTCCTGTTATTCTATCTGTCTGTAATGCACTTACCTGATTAACTTAACTGTTTTTCTATACTTAATTTAGGTAATATCCTTATTCCTCTTGAAACCCCACACTTTCCTTTTGCAGCTCAGTCTTAGTAGGGACTTCACTATTTGCCTATGGAAGATTTTATGTCATTATGTATAATAGATAGCACAACACATATATTGAACTTATCTATTTGAATCTGCCCTTTTTCGACTACAAAATTAATTTGGAGGGCGGGGGGCAAGTTTCTTTTTTATCCATACCTATACCTTTCCACATCCCAAATACAGAGTGTGTCTTCAATCCATATTGCTGAACTTACTGAATTGAAATTGAAAGATTGTCACCAAGGCAGTATGACAACTGAAGACCACTCAAATTAGCTTAAGGAAAACATCTTGATTGTTGTCAGGACACACAGTGTCCAGGAAATTTAAGAGCAGGAAGCCAGGCTTCAGGAAGGTCCAGGGTCCAGACCCAGAATGCATTTCTGAAACAAAGCAGCTTCTTCCCCAGTATTGATGTATCTGGGCTTGTATGGTCTTCAGAGGAAAGAGTCCTATCTTTTCCATCTCAGTGGTGACACATGGGAAACCAAACATATGAGTTCCCATTTCAAGTGCACCACAATGAAGACTGACTGGCATTACTGTATTTCCTTTTCCGTTTTCCAAATGAGAGAATCTGATTCATCTGCTTCCATTGGGGACTTGTCCATGATAAAATAAACTATATGCTTAAAGTTTACTCTCTGAGAATGGATGAGGGAATGGCAGGACACCCAACACATCCTTTGCCTACATGCATACACACATACACACACATACATATCTATACCCATGTATATCATTGAATAAGATTGTACTTGATAAAATTCTACACAAGTGTTATTACTATTAGATTCACTACATAATCACTTAAATAAATGCAAGAGAGTTTTCATAACGTTAGCATACGTGTAAGCATTTTTCAGTATTTGTTGAAGTTTTAAATCTTTACAAAAATTGCATATAGAGGAACATGCACTCTCGAAATTTTCTAGTAACCTACCAAGTCTAATTTGATGTATCTATGTCTCCAATATAACTTTAAAAAAAGTAGATTGTTTCATTTTCCCCTGCATCTAATAAAGGATATTTTAAGAAAGCTGATTCCAACGATGCTCTCATTCATGCAACAAACACTTGTTGAGTGTTGGTTATCTCTGTTGTGTTAAGTAAGGGGCAGAGTATCTACCCTCAGATAAATTGCATCTTGTGTATGGGGAATAAAATAAAGAGAAAGTAACTATAACATGAGGTTGTTAAGACTCTATGTATCGAACAGCAGTAGAAGATAAAATATTGGCCATAAAATTCTGCTGTTCTGGGGATAAGAGAAAAATCTCATACCATCTGCCTATTTTGTCATAATTCTTATGTAGGAAAAATAAACTCCTAATCCCAGTGTGTTCTGTAGGCAAGAAGAAAGAACCAGTGGCTACAGAGAATTTCCCTGGAGCATTTTGCATCAAAATGCTGTATGCAGCTCACCTTCCTGGTGTTGGTACTAACACTGACCATGATGAGTCTCTGTGCAATGAGTGCCTGCCCTGGACAATGAAGGCTGTTCTAAATTCTTCTAATACTAGCACCTACAAGAGAATCAGGTAAAAAGAAAGCAGGTCAGTAATTTTTTTTTTTCCTCTCTGCTTGCACTAATGCATGTCTCCCTTTTAGGCAGGATAAAGTTAGAGATCAGGAGCAGATTTAGGAAAATGCTTTATTTTCTATGGCAATATGCTCGCAGCTTTCCTGGCACAAAGACTAGGATCACGTAAAATATTTCCAAATATATCTGTGCTACTGAATTACTTTCCAGATCCACTGCCTTATTAAAATAATGAATACATTTGAAAGATTAAATATTTGCTAACCTGTTAGTTTAACCCTCCATGATGTAATCTAAATAAACAATATTAAACATGCACATCTGGAACAGAGCATGTTTCTTGAATATTTTCATGTCCTAGATTATCTAGAAGAACTTGTCTTTAAGCTCCCTGAGACCAGGAGCTCTATTGTAATTTATCTTCCATGCAAAGCCTAGCCCAGTCCCTGGGATGCAATAGGTCCTCAGTGAATATCAGTTAAATGAAATCGTATGTTGTGTTATTGATTTGCAGTTATAAAATTGATTGCATAAAAGATACCAACTCAACATGATAAGCAAGAGGAGGAGAATATAATATTATGGTTCCCCTGAAATGGGCTTAAAGTCAGACATTTCCCTGCTTTTGTTTTTCAAAGAAGAGAATAAAATAAAATAACGATAGACGGTTCATTTACCTGTCAGTTCTTCTGACACTTCTCTGAGATCATTTAGGTCTAATGCAGTTCTTCTATTTCCTTTATAGATGCCGATGCTTTTAATAGAAAAAAAAAAGACTCTCTTGAAGTCTATTTGGAGTTTTCTGCTTTCTCTCAGACTCTTTGATGTATTTCAAGAAACACGGCACTTAAAAAGTGCATTGTGTCCTCATCCACATTTCTCCCCCCACCTGCCTTGCCAAAAGAAAGAAAAAAAATGACAAGTGTGGGTCTGATATATTTAGTTCTTATTTCTCCCTTTTACATGCCTTTTCACAGCCTCTCTGATGTAGTCACTTGTCCATCTCACACATACTAGGACTCTGAAAATTGTTCTCACACCAGCAAAACCCCTGATGAAACATGCTTCACAGCCTGATGAACTCTCTTTGTGGCTGTGAATATACCTTGTTCACTCAATAATTTTCCAGCAGGAAACAGTGAAGCATGTGACCCAGGAGGGTGCAGGCCTAACGCTGCTCCACACAAACAGCTTTTATTCATGTACCAACATGAAAACTAACACATTCACCCTTGGTGTAACATGCTTTGGATGACAGCCAGATGGTCTGTGTGGGTAACAAGACATTCTGAACATTTAAAAATAGAGCTTTCATGCTGAACCTAATATTAAACTCTTCTTATAAAAGAGTAGAATCAAGAAATAGTACTATATATCTACTCTAGACTTAATGTATGATCTTGAAATTTCTTGAATTGCAAATGTGTCTGAGCATTCTTGACATACTTGTGGCCTTATATTGTCTTTCTTCCCTCTGCCAATATTACTATTCAGTTTTCCTCATTTATTACTACCTGCCATTTTATTGTTGTGTATAGTTTCACCTTCAGTAAGTTCTCTAGCTATGCTGTCTTCAAAATGTCTCTTTTCACACTGAACCTCACCTCACATACCATGAATTATTTCTTAACCTTTCCTTTGCTACCATTTCCTTCATATCAGAATGCCAAAAACTTTGCATGGGGTACATTACATTTAACTTACTGGGCTAAATACTCTAGTAGACATAAATGAGGGAATTTAAAAGATAAACCTCATTTTTAAAGCTGTGTTAAGTATGAGGAAACTATTTTCTTTTTTTAGTTTTTCTACTTATGTAACACTAAATAAACATTTGTTAGTATAACAAGGTGTGAGATTTTATTACTTAGTATTTTTCATATAGTATTACAGCTCAAGGTAGCATAAATATAAATCTGTTGGTCTAAGTGACTGAAAAATTAAGGATACTTTAGCCTCAAGCATTGCTGGATCCAGGGCTCGAGTGATATCTTTGAACTCTTTTTCTTTCAATCTCTTACACAGGCTCTCTTCTAATAAAGGGAATGATGGTGGGCCATGACCTTCATCCTGCCATTGTAATAGGGTCTTAAAGCTTAGGCAGAAAACTCCCAGTGGGACATTTCTTGGACTAGTGTGTGTAACATACCTATCCATGTAGTAATCTCTGTGCCAGGATGATAGGGTTGTATGATCAGTCAAACCTGGGTTATGTGCTTATCAGTGTTGCTCCCAGTAGAAATATATGTGTTTTCTAAAGGAAAGAGAGGTTTGGGACCAGAGAAAGAAATAAAAACATCTTACACAGGCAACAGCAGCAAATGTCCATAGCAGACATATAATACTAAGCCTATTTTAAAGGTAAGAAAACCAAGACTCGAATTTGTATAACTAAACACACATGACACTGGCATCAGACACCCTAGTAAGCAGTAACATGAAAGAGGAAAGACCTCAAAAAGCAGCTGAGATTTGAATAGGTACTTTCTCATACACATGTGCTTTCCCAAAGTCCAAAATCTGGTAACATTTATATTTCAGTGACTTGATCGATTTCCTCATTGCTTTTCCCAAAGATTCACCCCTGCTTATTTTACATTATGCTGTCGATGGAGGATGCATGGAGAATAGTGAGGAATTGCACCTGTGTCTAACAAAGACTCTGAGGGGAAAAGGAATCATTAAGCACACCTAGGGTACACACATGATTAATTATGATAGTTTAGATCTTATGTTAATGTATTTCTTTTTTTAAAAAAATCTAATTTAACCCATATTTCCAGAAAGTAGAATCCTGGGATTTTTTAAAAAATGGGATAATGTTAACAGTAAAAAGCTGTCTTTTTATAGTTCTTTTTTCCCATATACTCCCCCCATCCTAATACATGTTATTGCATATTAAGTCCTAATTATCTGAAGGAAGTAATATTCATATTTTCAGGTACTCACAGTCAACACTAGTGTGAGCCCTTCTCCTTCTCTCCTGTCCTGGACTGTTTTGCTTGTACATGCGTTTGATTTCACTGCTTATGAATATTTGTGAAAGCACCTGCATTGGCCCCTCACCTGTTGTTTGCCCTAACATAGAAGACATGACAGAATCTGTCTCCCCAAACTCCAGATAGAGCACATCACTCTTCCCATGCTTTCTGTCTTATACATGCCCTGAGATTTATTCCCATTGTCTATGTCTTTTTGCTACCAAAATGCAAATAAAAAATAGATGGTTGATTCTTTGGGATAAGTAAAAGAATGATTTATTTTTATTCCAAAATGTTACATGCTTTCATATAAGACTAGTCTTGCTAAATGAATGGCATAGTCTAATGATAATGTTTTGAGTATATATATATATATATGTATATATATGTATATAATATGTAATATATGTATCTAGTATATAGCGATATGGAGTCCAAATTCATTGTAGCTAAGCAAGTATAGAAAACTAAAAGTTTAGGAAAGGAATCTCAGAAATTAATAAGAGGCACTTACCACAGGTGATTTTAGGTCAGTTGATAAACTATTTAAAGGCCGAGACTACCTAGTAGTTATCAAAATATACTACATACTACTACATATACTAATTCATAATATATGTTTTTGATGCATTGATATAATGCAATTTTATGATGAATCCCATCTTATATTTCAAATAGATCTTTGATAAAAGGGAATATAGCAACTTGACAATATTCTATGGAAGCAATCACATGGTGAAATATCATAATGCAATGTCATTGGTGTCACAGTGAAAAAGATCCATTTTTATGAGGAAAGTGCTTGGTTTTGCCAATAAGTCTTGAGATATCTACATTAGGCACTTTCCCTTATAACCATCTGCTCATAGTTTTAGACAGTAGAACTTTTTTTTTCACCTTCTTTGGTAACTGGAGAGAAGAGAGTTAGAAGCCTCTCCTGCAGCACTAAGAGATTATATAATTCTATCAGCATATCATCATCAAAGTCAGCATGAAATTGAAGAGCTAGAAAAAATCATCAACTATTATTTATGAAGACAGCTTGGTGGAGAAGTGCTATTTCTCAGCTGCTGCCCTGGAAATTATAGTCAAGAGTGGCAACCCTAACTGAAAATATAAATGATAGAGGAACTTTCCATAATAGTTATGATGGTTAATTTTGTGTGTCAACTTGACTATACTATAGTATCCCGTTTTCGGTCAAACATTGATTTAGATGTTGCTCTGAAGGTATTTTTTTTTAGATGCAATTAACATTTAAATCATTAGACTGAGTAGATTATCTTGCATAATTGGAATAGAACCCTTCAAATCAGCTGAAGATCTTAAGAGAAAAGACAAAGGCCCCTTGAGGAAAAATAAATTCTGTCTCCAGGCTGCCTTCAGACTGGACAGTGCAACATCAACGCTTCCCTGAAACTCCAGCCTCCTAGTCTGCCCTGCAGATTTTAGACTAGCCAGTCACCACAATTGTGTGAGGCAATTCTTTCAAATAAATCCCTCTCTCTCTGCATTTATATGTATATGTATACATATATAGTATATATATAATATATAACAGTATATAATCAATATAAGTAATGTAAATCTAAATGGGTAACTTATTTTACAAATGTGTATATATTATGTATACACACATCCTATTTGTTTTCTAGAGAACCCTAATAGTAATATAACAGTTCTTAGTTTTGAACTATCTGTTGAACAAATAACAAAAAGTTGTGGATTTGCTATATTTATTTTCTAATATCAAAGAATACTGGATTTTTACCTTCTAGTATATTTTTGGTATATTTGTATAGTAAAATATACATAATTTTAGTTTTTTTATACAAGTTATAATAGTATGTGCCATTCAATTTCTTCTTCAGAAAATGCGTGTTTTTCACCTAGGTGTGGCAAATGTATACTATGATGAACCCTAGTAACTCACGATCTTTGTATAATCCCCTTCCCTATGATCTATGGCTTATTTCCAGTGAATAGAATATGGCAGACTTGATAGGATGCCATCCCACTGATGATTACCTTATATGGTAGAAGTGATATGATAGTCACAACCATCAGTATATGTCCTTATATGACTTCGTCTTAGCAGACAATAGGCAGAAATTCTCATACGTGTCTCAAAGAAGTAAGCTGCCATGTTGTGAGAGGGCTTCTGAGATGGCCACATGGCATGAAACTGAGAGTGGCCTTTTGGAGCTAAGAGAAGAACCCAAATAATAACAACTAGCAAGAGGATGGGACATTAGTCCTACAATAACACACAACCAAATTCTGCCAACAACCACATGAGCTTGGAAGAGGACCCCAAGCTCTGGAAAAGAATGAATCCTAATAACATATATAATCTCTTCCTCTTCAAACTTTTTGCATAGAAGCTAATTAATCAGGGCCCAGAATCCTGACTCACAGAACTATAAGTTAATACATGTATGTTGTTAAGCCCTTATATGCATAATAATTTGTTACTGAGCAATAGAAAACTAATATAGTAGTTAATCACTTTGTAATATAAAAACACTGTAATATAATATATTTATACACTGATAAAATAATTCTTGATTAATGATGGATAAAATAAATACAATTTTAAAAGACATACATTTTACAGATTCTCCACTCACAGGAGTATAAAAATATGTTTAATTCATGTTTCTTAATTGTAATCTAATTTAATTTAACAAAGTTTATTAGACACCTACTATGTATCCAAAACTACATCAGGTACAGGAAATGTGGTTTTGACCAACAGAATCACTGTCCTCTGGATCTTATAAGGGATAAAACACATTAAATGAATGTCATCCCTATACCCTAATCAAGCCAACTAGTGACAAATGTGGTATTTACCTTTTTGTCAGAAATATTGTTACTTAATTCTGAAAATTAAAATCTTCAAGTCTACAATTGCCCAAGAAATAGGAAATGAGTATCTATTAAGATCTGTTTTGTGGAATATTTCTTTCACATTTCCTAATTTAGTATCACATGCAAAGATACTTGAAAGATTCAATTTAAAATATACACTAAAAAATTAGAATTTGAAATTTTTTTGATCATGTCTTTACAACATTTCTTATGGTTAGGTTATTTCTATTTTATTATTTCTGAAGGGGAGGAGGCTACAGGCAATATGTAGCATCTTCTCCCATGTTCAAAATATAAACCATTCAAGAAATAAGACAAAGAAGTTCTCAACTGACAAAGAACAGGTTAAATAATTTCAACTATTTTTGTAGGCAATTATCTTGAATGCATAATTAAACAAACTTTACCAATCCAGTTTGCAAGCAATACTGGACCAGGACAGGGTTTCTCGCCTGCAAGACTAACCCCTGTGAGATTATGATACGAAGGAGAAGTTGGAAGCACATACCCGTGTGGCAATGTGATAAGAAGTCTGACTTCATTTTCGATGATGGCTAACCGCTTTTAAGTTCCACCCATTCCTCTTCCACTCTTGTTCCAAATCTGGGAAAGCCTATGACAAAGCTCAGATGCTCTATCCTTTGGCACTGGTAAGACCATGCCTGCTCTGGCTTGTGCGTGTACACAGGAAGTCTCACCCAAGCCCACCCCTGAATACAACAAAAGCCAAAGCCATTCACTCAGCCTGGCTCCCTCAGGCAACTTAATGAATTACTTAGGGGGTTACCCTGATCTCCACAGAAAGCCTCATCATGTCAGTAACAATCTTTTTCATGCCCTGTTGGAGTATGTGTGTATGATTTTATAAATTTCAACATTCAAACCAGATTTTATATAGGGGTCCATCCTGCCTCTTTGGGCTGCCACAGCAGATGACATTCCCTCAAAAGAAAAAGAAAGATAAAGAGGTGAGGTTTGGGCCAGGAGTGGTGGCTCACATCTGTAATCCAAGCACATTGGGAAGCTGAGGCAGGTGGATCACCTGAGGTCGGGAGTTCGAGACCGGCCTGACCAACATGAAGAAACCCTGTTTGTACTAAAAATACAGAATTAGCCAGGTGTGGTGGCACATGATTGTAATCCCAGCTACTGGGGAGGCTGAGGCAGGAGAATCACTTGAACCTGGGAGGCGGAGGTTGCGGTAAGAGGAGATTGCACCATTGCACTCCAGCCTCTGCAATAAAAGCAATACTCTGTATTTTAAAAAAAAAAAAAAGAGGGGCGGTTTGGGTATACAAGCCCAGTTTTTTCTTCTAACTCATATGTCCCATGTTATGGTTCTTTCTAACTCACATGTATTGTCAATTTTTTCCTGCTAGGCAGTGGCAGCAGTGAGCAAATTGGTAAAGAAAAATAAAAACTTTGAAGACATTGGATGAAAAACCCTATATGGAAGGACATTTCAGGAATGGGAAAGAAGCATTACCTCTATCCCCAAACTTTAGTTTCTCTTTCTGTGATGATTAATATTGAGTGTCAACTTGATCTGATTGACGGATTCAAAGTATTGTTCCTGGGTGTGTCTGTGAGGGTGTTGCCAAAGAAGATTAACATTTGAGTCAGTGGACTAGGAAAGGCAGACCCACCCTCAATCGGGGTGGGCACCACCTGATCAGCTGCCAGTAGGGCTAGAATAAAGCAGGCAGGAAAATTTGGAAGGAGCAGACTTGCTGAGTCTTCCAATCTTCATCTTTCTCCCATGCTGGGTGCTTCCTTCCCTCAAACATTGGACTTCAAGTTCTTCAGCTTTTGGATTCTTGGACTTAAACCAGTGGCTTGCCAGAAGCTCTTGGGCCTTTGGCCACAGAGAGAAGGCTGCACTCTTGGCTTCCCTACTTTTTAGGTTTTGGGTCTGTGACTGGATTTCTTGCTCCTCAGCTTGCAGACGGCCTATTGTGGGACTTCGCCTTGTGAAGATGTGAGTCGATACTCCTTAATAAACTCCCCTTTATATATACGTCTATCCTATCAGTTCTGTCCCTCTAGAGAACCCTGACTAATACACTTGCTCTTCCTAACTATTTGAATGCCATTTTATGCCCCTGTACTCCAGCCACACACATACAACTTCTCTTGGAATTTTAGATTTCTATTCTCATATCCCTAGTTTTCCACACTCTTGACTATTCCTGCCTCTTCTCAATAAATCTTTCTGTATGAACCTTTATATGATCAAAGAATTTAGCCAGGAAGCTACATAATCCTTGCATTTAAATAAAAGTATTTTTGCTCTAGAACTAATAGAGCACTATTTATCCTCTATTTGTGCATTTCAGCTTTATTGTTGGAGATCATGCCCACGTCAGGCAGGAGACTCCCTTGGTAAGGAGTTTATGCACTCTTCTTGATGAGTGGAAAGACCTTTCACTGTTTCTCTGATCAAAACCTACCAAAAGGCGGCCAGGCGCAGTGGCTCACACCTGTAATCCCAGCACTTTGGGAGGCTGAGGCGGGCAGATCACGAGGTCAGGAGATCGAGACCATCCTGGCTAATATGGTGAAACCCCATCTCTACTAACAATACAAAAAATTAGCCGGGCGTGGTGGTGGGCGCCTGTAGTCCCAGCTACTCGGGAGGCTGAGGCAGGAGAATGGCATGAACCCGGGAGGCAGAGCTTGCAGTGAGTCGAGATTGTGCCACTGCACTCCAGCCTGGGCGACAACGGAGTCTTAAAAAAAAAAAAAAAAAAAAAAAACTAACAAAAGGGATTGTTCTGCTGAGGAAAATATATTTTCTAAGCTCTGGGGTATATTCAAAGAGATAAATAAAAAACAACCAGCTTCTAAAGTTACTCTTGAAATGAGTATCATAGCTATTTGTTAACAGTTTAGCAGAGTAAGAAATAAGGTACCGAATAAAGTGTGAAAAATAGTTTTAAAGCGCTCACATCCGAGATTTAACACTTTCTGTTAAATATGCCCAAAGGGAGTTTACATGCAATTTTAATGTATTTTAAGTGGCATTTTTTAAGACTATTAGGCTTGGTAAAACTTAAATATAACACTTCATAGTCCCACTATAAGAATTTGCATGTATCTTTTACAGGCAAATACATGAAGCTTCTTTTAATGTTATTATTTTTTTTATGATAAGAATGTGAGCTAGTTCAGAAAAAAGTATGATGTACACAAGTTTTTTGTTTGGTTTTGAGTCACAAATATTGATCCTGAAATAAGCTACAATTAGTCATTTATTTCTCTTGTGTAAGAAATATATTGTGCCTGCTCCATAAAACATGAACCGTCATATGGTTCCTTCAATTTTTCTTCTAGAAGATGTGTGATGCTTTTATATTTTTCTTATTTTTTCATGGCTGCATTTCTCAAAAAAAATACTTCAGTTAGTCCTCAAATAGATGACTAATTATTGTCTTGGCTGACAATGCTTACCTAGCAGCTCTAATATTTAAAGCCCAGTACAATTCAATGAGATTTTATAAACTACCACTTAAGTGAATATTAGGCTTCCACAATCCTTTTAGGGTATTTCTTGTCATCGTAGACTTACGCCTTTTGCAAAAAATCTCTTTTGCAAGCTTCCTTTCTTCATTTGCTTGTCCTTAAAATGTTGCATTTTGCTTGGATTTTCCTTTTATGAAAGAAAGCCTAGTGTCTTCTGGAGATTTTGTTTCCAATCAAGCTTTCAACCACCACCAACATGCAGATAAACTGCAAAAATTTACCTCCAGCTGAGTCTGATACACATACAGATATGTAAAAGCCTCCATGCAGGACAGGTAAATGACATATATTACATTTGTTTTGATAGATATGACTTTTAACTTTGTCACAAAAAAAATTGGTCTAAAATAATTTTTATTCACAAGATGATGGTGGTTTTGTATTGGGAAGGCACTCTTTTCCAGGTCCTTTGTCTATGGGGAACAGGCTTTATTTAAACCATTTATTTGTCTGTGCTGGTTGACAATTCTGGATTTAAGGCTGCTAGAGCTCCCTTTCTGGCATATATGAGAGGATAAAGAAATCCAAGGAATTCACTACCATTTTGTTCTTCAAGTAAGTATGGAGAACCCTAGGCAATGCACTTTCTTCTTTTCATCTTTCAGAGTAGTTCTGTTTGTTGCATTATGTCCAGGGTTTGTGTGTGTGCGTGTGCGTGTGTGTGTGTGTGTGTGTGTGTGTGTGTGTGTGTATTTTCAGTTATAAAATGAAGACTTAGGAGGAATGGGTTCACTTCATCTTTGGGACTATGTTTTTCATCTTATGGAATATATATTTTTCTTTTATCACGATACTCTGTCCCCCTTCTATTGATGGACATGTAGCCCCTTCCCCACACTTTCCTTTCTCCCAGCATCTTCTTAAGTCTTTCTTTAAGCTTTTAGAGGGTATTTCTTACATAAGTACTTTCAACCACCATGGGCTATCAGTCATTTTACCTTCTCATGAAGCCTTGTGAAAGTGCACCCATCTGCTTGTGCTAATTTTGATGACAGATTAAAAGAATTACACTGTGGTAGTTCTATCAATCCAGAGAAATTGTGCCAAGTATGGAAAATGTCTACCCCTTAAACCTCTGCCTGTGTAGGAGGTACAAGAGTTATTCACAACGTTAAAAGGGGTCACTTGAATTTCTAAAAGCTCACAAGGTTTTATATGACACTTATAGTCAATTGAACAGTATCCTGCAAAACTTACCTTTTCCCAGAACCTATGAATATGATATTACATAGAAATAAGGTCTACTCAGGAGGCTGAGGTGAAAGGATCACTTGAGCCCAGGAGGCGGAGTTTGCAGGGAGCTGAGATCGAGCCACTGCACTCCAACCTGGGTGACAGAGTGAGATCCCATCTCACAAAGAAAAAAAAGAAAAATAAATAAGGTCTTTGTAGATGTAATTAGGTTAATGTGACATTATAGTTGGTTCAAGTTGACCCTAAATTCAATATGACTGCTGTCTTTGTAAGAGGAGAATTTGAATAGAGAGATACAAAGAGAATGTGCTATTAAATGAAGAAAGAAAACATTTAGTTAACTTCTATCCTGTGTCCAGGAAACTGAGTCTTGAGTTTACAATGCTTAATTTTTATTGAGTAATATTCTTTAATCTGGGTTGTTTGAGTCAAATTCTACAGCTCTTTTTTAATTACTTCTTTGTTTCAAATTGTTGTCACCTATGTTTATTCACTTGGTTATAAAATATCTTTCCATTGTTTATATATGAGAAGCCAAAAGGGAAAGCATATGATAGAACTTAGCACCTGAGTTTCTTGAGCTCAACAAGTTATTGGAATGAAAAGACATTGAAAAGACAGAATGAAAACCCTAACGGTTTATGTCTGAGCCAGTGGGTGATACTATCTTCTTTCTCACATCTCTCACATTTATCAGTTTATGCATTAAGACTTTGCCTTAATAACAGCACATATTCCAGACCATGCTCAATAGCTTTCTGTGGTTTGAACACAGATAACTCTTTTATCTTCTGCCATACTAGTCTTTGGCCCAAGGATATGATTAGAGTGAAGGCTGAATATCAGAATCAACTGCCCAATACAAACTAAGGAGAAAGCAAAGTATAAGGTCTAGCATTGCACTTTTAGTAGATTTGGTGCCTAACTGAAGGCAAATAGCAATTTCTAAGCTGTAGGTCAATTGAATTGGGGTGTGGGTATGATATTTTCTTGGGGTAGGGTAAACAGGCTGGCCATGAGAATTGGAAAATGATGATTGATCCATAGGATTGCATATGGAGCATCATGTAGATGAAGTTATGTATCTGAAGTTCGTATATTTATGATTATGTTATAAATGACTTTCTTATGGGACTATTTATATAAGGAGTTTTCTGTTTGGTACAATATGTATGTGAAGATATATTAGAGATACAGAGCCATTGTCAGGCTGCCAGCAAGGGCCAGAACTCATCCATTCTGCTTCAGTTAGGCATAGATATGAATATAAAATCTCAGAACACTCTATAAGGGGTGCTAGCTTTGAGGAGTCCCAGCTGTGTTCAGAGTTCAGTGAATTGTTTTCTCTTGATTGAATACCCATTGCTCACTATGAATTCGTTTTAACGCATCAAGAGAATAAGGCTCAGATACTGTAAAAAAACCCAGGTAGCTTTCAGAGAAAATCCCATTTGTTAAACACTGGGAAATAAAGGAGTCTGGTGAATCCTTTTTAACAGAAGGTGGTGAGATTTATATAATCCAAACAGTGATGATCCCACAGTACCCAAAACTTTGCCATGTCCCCTGTGCTCTTCTTTGTCAAACAGAGAGAACAATCAAACTACTGACAAATTGATTCCTCGGGGCTCTTAGGAAAAATGGACACAGCTGCCAGAAATGTTCTAACATATGTTATTCCAACCCCACAAAAGACACAGCAGATTTAGACCTCTGTACAAACTTATCAATGGAGTAAAATGTTGATAAAGGAGGAGACCAAGAAAGAAACGCAATTGACAAATACATATACACACATAGTCTCCATGCTAGTAATGGGATTTCTGGCAGGCTACTCTTAAATTACTCCCATTTTTCCTGCTTGGGTTCTAAAGCATTTGAGACATAAAACATACGGATGGCATATGGAGGCCAAAGAACTCCTCTCTTACTGATAGAGGCCAGGCTGGAGGACATGACCGTGTATGTTAATCACATGGGTTTCCTAACAAGGATCTGTAGAACTAATCAGACTTCTCCATCTGGACCTGAAAGTGCTGACCTTGGGGCAGACTTCTCTATATGGGAGGAGTCATGTAAGCCTTTTGGAAAAGTGGAGGAGATTTCTGGCTCCTTGAAACATCTCACACATCCACCCCTGGCCCCACTCTGAGAGAAAGGGGTAGGACCTCATCAAAGCATGCCTAATTATTCTTCCCAAATTTATCAATCATACAATGACTATACACATCCCCTAGGGAGGAATGACTAAATGAACAAAGAAGTTATAGTAACAGTCTATAGAGATTCAGAAACATGGAACAACATCAAAACTGAAGATTTCCCCTCAATAAATTATTCTTTTATGTCTCTATCTCTGTCTCTCTGTTCATCTGTCCATCTGTTTGCTACCTATTTACACTTTTGGTTTTATCTGTTGTGGTAGGTGCACTCCAGAGAACTATATTCTAATTTACCAATTCTTGTATCCAGAGGTTATAACAGCTATTGAGTTGTATATACTAATTCTGTAGTTTGAATGTCTCCTCCAAAACTCATTTTTAAATTTAATTGTCATTGTAACAGTGTTGGGGGGTGGGGACTTTAAGATGTGATTAGGTCATGAGGGTTCTGCACTCATGAATGGATTAATGCCTTTATCATGGGTATAGGTTAGTTGTCTCAAGAATGAGCTCCAAACGAAAGAATGAGTTTGACCCCCATTTCCTCTTTGTCTACTGTGCTCACTTGTCTTTCTGCTTTCTACCATGGAATAATGCAGTACGAAGACGCACATCAGGTGGCCAAGCAGATGATGGCACAATGCCCTTGGACTTCCCAGCCTCTAGAACCATGAGACAAATAAATCTTTCTCTTTTTTGCTTTTTAAATGATCCCATCAGTGGTATTCAGTTAAAGCAGCAGAAAACGAGTTAAATAATTAGTGACTGATTTTTTTCATTTCAAGAATTTCTAGTTGATTACTTTTTATATCCACCTACACTGATGTATTTTCTGCCTTTATTTGCTCATTGATTTTTTGGATTTATTTGTAAATATTATTCTTTTTTGTCCATTTTCTGTATACTATTGTGATATCATTTTTTAAAGTTATTATTTTATTTTCTCTTTCATTTGGAGTGGTCTTCCACTTAATGTTTACCTAGTTTCATCAAAGCTTTATTTTTCCTCATGGGCTTTGGAATTTCTGTATGCAGGCTTGTCTTAAGGGGGATATTTATTCAGTTTTGTTCTATTCTTCTTGTGTTCATTCCTGTAATAATTGTGTGTTTTCCTCCTTTGATCCACGTGGACCCTAGTCTGTATCCAATTCTCATTTCAGTGGCTCAAGCTGCTGTCCCCACTGTGTTATTGAAAATGTTGTAAATACAGTCTCTGAGCCATTGGGAAGCTTGGCCTATACTATAGCCAAAGATGTAGTAAATTTTTCTCTACCTTTTGAAGTGTACAGTATTACATAAGCTATAGTTAGAGACAAGGATCAATTTTAGCTATTTCCAACTTCCTTTCACAGCATGAGAATCCCATTATATTCTTTAGCTTAAGAAATAAGGTTGCCTCTGATATCTCCTTCTCTTGAGGCGGGTTTAAGTTAAGTTCCCTAGAAGACACACCTCCTGGGCTCCACCATCTACTGTTAGTCAAGAGCTCATCAGTTGAGCAACTATAGCCCCACTCATTGCTTCAGGTTTGCTCCTCCCACTCTTGTAACTTAGATATTGAGGGTCTGTGGTCTGGGTTCTGAGATGCAGTGTCCTTGTACCCCATTATGTGTGTTAAGAGTATGGGGGGCTGGGAGAATGGGAATGATGGCAAAAGTTATTTTACATGCCTGGTAACCCTTTGTTGAAAAGCCTGAATTATTCTTTGTTTGCTCAGTTAGTTTCTATTTGCTTACAGAACTGAGAGCCCAATCTAGAGACATTCTTATGTCAAAAATACATGCGATTTTCCTGGACAATATCTATGTTGGTCACACCTTTCACCAAGAAGGCTCTCAGGTCGTCATACCTATTATCTCATACCAAGGGTCCATTTTTCCAATGCCCTGATAGAAAGATTCATAGATTCAACTGGTTTGGAACTATCACACCAGCTTCTTAGCTCCTGGTCCTAATTAACTCCATGATTGTTCTCATGAAGCCAGAAGAACCATTGTGTCCTTTTCTATAGTTGCAGAAGGCTGTGAGAAACTTATGTGAGAGTCACTTCATTTTTTTTCCTTAGGCACAATAAACCAATTACTCTACTGACAGCTCAAGCAAATCTCCTGCCTTTATAAGTCTGCATTGATTGACAGGCAACACATGCACTCTCTCTCTGTCTCTGTCTGTCTTTCTGCATCTCTGTCTCTCTCTCTCTCGCTCGCTCTCTCTCAGTTTTCATATATACCTCAAAATCTCCCAAGATCTTCATCACCATGCCTACTCTGCTTCATGACTGAATCAGGTTCGACTCTGTCTTTGCTCTTCAGCATGCATCTGGGGAGTGAAAAGGCAACATCCCCTTTCCTGAGATCCTCTTATCTCTTCAAAAGTTTCTGTTGGTGTCTTTTAACCCATTTAGTTCTTTTGGTGAAGGTCAGTGTGGAGAGCTATTATAGTCTCCAGGAGGCTAACATACCAAGATTCTGACAGGATTTTTTTCTTTCTTTCAAAAGTTATTTTTATAAATGAACTGGAAGGTTAATGTAAGTGATAGTTGAAAATAGGAGAGCTAGCTAGGCTGCTTCTCAGTAGGGATGAAGGTAGGGTCTAGTTTCCATTGTTGGCAAGTATTTTAGGATATAGAATACCAAACAGCATCTTATCTTTACTTGAGAAACAACTCAGGAATTCCAAACAACTAGAAAATTCTACTCAAAACTCTGTTTCCTGTATCTGAACCACATACTAATACATGAGATAACTAGTTGTAGGAAGTATGTCTTACTTACCTTTGAAGTACCTGCCCATTGTCAAATGCCCAACAACACTTAATGAAAGTATCTGTAACATGTAGGTTGAATTAATGTTAACCATATAAGCAGTGAATTAGATATTTTATTATGAATTTGATTATCTTCAATTATCTTACTTGAAGCTAATTATCTTCCAGGTATAGGCAGAATAATCATTTCAGTCGGTACCACTGTAGATCAGAACATAATGAAATCATGAGGTTTTGTTCTGAGTGGCCATGCCTGATCACAAAGATGATGCCACAGGATTCCAGCTCTATCTCAAAGTGCCTTTATTCTGTCCAAGAGGATGGTGAGAAAATAACCACCTAGTCTGTTCCGTAAGCCATAAACATTTCTTATATTTTATGTAAAACCAAATGCTCAGGATATGGCTAAGTGATAAAAAATGTTTAAGAATATAGAAGTCAAAATGGAAATATTTGGATTACATTTCACAGCAAAAGATGACTAAATCTGGAGGGTGAAAAGAGGGAGAAGATCAAGAAAAATAACTACTGGGAACTAGGCTTAATAACTGGGTGATGATATAATTTGTACAGCAAAACCCCATGACACAAGTTTACATAGTAACAAACCTACACATGTACCCATGAACTTAAAATAAAAGTTTAAAAAATCAATAAAAATAAATCTCTAAATATAAATCAACTGACAAAAAATAATTGATTTATATCTACAAATTCTTGATATATGTTTTAGACACTAGGGGCAAATATATTTTGAGAATATGCTTTCTCAAAAGAAGAAGTAAAAATATTTTAAAAAGCTAGATCTATATACACATATAAGCATATTTGTGATAGTTATCTGTTGCTATGTAACAAATTACCACACAATTCAGCAGATAGATCAAAAACCATTTATGATCTTACATTTTTTGTGGATCAAGAATGCAGGTGCAACTTGGCTGTGCGCCTGGAGCTCATGTCTTCAGTAGTTTGTAGTCAAGCTGTCAGATGGAGCCTGTATTAGCCTGTATTAGTCAGGGTTCTCCAGAATGACAAAACCAAGAGGGGGTGTGTGTCTGTGTTGGTGCAGGTTGTATGAAAAGAGAGAGAGAGAGGCAGAGACAGAGAGAGATTTATTTTAAGGAATTGGTTAATGTGATTGCAGAGGTTTAGGGATTTCAAATTCTGATGGGCCAAGCAGGCAGACTGGAGATTCAGAGTAGAGTTGCAGTTTGAATCCAAAGGCAGTCTGCTGGCAAGATTTCTTCCTGCTTGGGGAGGTCAGTTTTTGTTCTATTAAGGTCTTCTATGGATTGGATAAAACCCACCCATATTATGGAAGAGAATCTGCTTTATTTGAAGTCCACTGACTAAAATGTTATATCATCCAAAAAAAAAAAAAAAAAAAAAAGAAAGAAAGAAAAAACAAAACACCATCACAGAAATATTCAGAATAATGTTTGACTGCGTATCTAGGCACCATGGCCCAGCCAAGTTGACACATGAAATTAACCATCACAGGTCTGTGGTTCTCTCAAGGCTTGACTGGCAAAGGCTTCATTACAAAGTTCACCCTCGTGTGTTTTGGCAAATCAAGTTGCTGTAAGCTAGAGACCCAATTCCTCACCACACAGGCCCCTCTATAGGTCTGTTCACAACATGACAGCTTATTTCTCCAGATCAAGGGAGCTGAGGGGAAAAAAAAACAGGAAAAAACATCCATAATGAAAGCCATAGTTATTTCAAAACCCAATTTCAGGATTGACATCCCATGTCTTCTTTAATATTCTAATTTTTGGAAATGAATCAGAAAACCTAGTACACATTTCATGGGAGGGGACAGCATGAACTTGAATTCCAGGCAGCAGGGATCACTTGGGGGATGGGGGAGACACTGTAGAGTCACCAGTATGTGTAGAAATTTGAATATTGCTAAGTATGTATTTTCAGTGGCAGAAAATGTAAGTCCATTCAGTACATATTTTTTCTTCACTGTTTTCAGCATCAGAAGAACAAAAAAACAAGTTTTATCTCTTTCATGTATCCCATTCCCTCTGCATCTTCACTCTCAGCATGCTTGTTTTCAGGTGCATGTAGCATCTAACTTAAGAGTCAGCAAATTACAGCTCCAGGGCCGCATTCAGCAGCAGCCTGTTTTTTTAAGGCCAACTTGTTAAGAATGTTGCTTACAAGTTTAAAGGGTTGCAAAACAAACAAAGTGAAAGAAACAAACAAAAACAAAACACAGAAGAATAAATATGTGACAAAGATTAGATGTGGCCCACAAAGCTTACAATATATACTCTCTGGTACTATAGGAACAAACTTTTCTAACCTTGGTCTTTCTTTCAGAAAAATAATGAAATATATTTATGTATATATATATACACATTATACAAACATATATAGTCACATACATATATAATAAGACAATGAAATATGAAATTTGTACAAAGTATAATTCACCAAATTTCACTTTGAAATTAATATGGAATGATAGAAGAAGGAAAACCATCAATTTTTTTATTATAGTTTTATTCCAAGTTACGTAAGTTCACAAATAATCCAACATTCTGTTTTTCCCCTTTTTAGATTCCCCAACAGCGCATTTAATTTAGTAAAAATTGTACAAGATGGTAAACTATCTTCATTTGATGTTTGTATGTATGGAACACCAAGGGGAATAAAAGCGAATTCAGAGAAATCCCAGGATAAATAATGGCAGTTGATATTTGGGCTATAATAAGAGAAGACTGGATTCAGACATTTGTTTCTGCAGGTTCTTCAGCTTTTTGACCCATCCCAGGAAGTGAATCCTTCCAATATGAAGAGAGGGCTCAAGTCAATAGGTTTCTGAGAGCAGGTTTCAAGGAACCCCTGCATTTTGTCCACAGGGTAGAGGAACAAAGAGGAAGTTAAGAGTTCATTGATTGTTTAATATTTACTGAGTAGTTACAAACACAGGGGAACTGTGACACTTTTGAACAAGCTCTGTATTTAATGAAAAGAGTTTGAAATCCTACACCAAACTCTGTCTCCTGCTTCAGGCCCTTGCAAGATCCATCAAGCTTAAGAAACAAGCAGATCTGTTCAGCTTTCTGTCTCCTTTGTCTTACTTTGTCATTCCTAAGGGTGTGAATCTATGGCTTCAGAGTAAACAGCAGAGTTATCTTTTTTTGTTTGTAGATTAATCTTTGTAGTTTAAAATTACAAGACTCACAAAAATCTCAATAGCAATATCAGCTAATATTTATTGAGTTCCCATTATGTATTAGGCATAGTGCTGTTTGGTGGCACAGCTGGGTTCCAGAGTCCCCACCCTTCAAAGCACCGTAAAATACTGCTTCCTACAGCATGAAATACATCATGCATTAAAGCTAACTTCCTTAGAACTGAAAATTGTTCTCTAGAAACAATTTTTGCTTTAGAGTAAGAACAGGGGCCGGGCGTGGTGGCTGATGCCTGTAATCCCAGCACTTTGGGAGGCCAAGGCAGGCGGATCACGAGGTCAGGAGTTCAAAACCAGCCTGGTCAACACAGTGAAACCCCATCTCTACTAAAAATACAAAAATTAGCCGGGCATGGTGGCACGTGCCTGTAGTCGCAGCTACTCGGGAGGCTGAGGCAGGAGAATGGTGTGAACCTGGGAGGCGGAGCTTGCAGTGAGCCGAGATCGCGCCACTGCACTCCAGCTTGGGCAACAGAGTGAGACTTCGTCAACCCGCCCCCCCCAAAAAAAAAAGAATCAGGGCTTAAAGTTTTTAGTTTCTTATTTTATTATCACTGTTTCTTTTTGTTGCTATGATTTTGTTTCCTTCCATTTCTTTCTTTTCCTAAGAATTCCTTCCGGTTTTCTGGTTGAACTGTTGTTGAATTGCATAGTTTTTTATGTGTTTATTTTATTTTATTTATTTATTTATTTTTTTGAGACGGAGTCTCACTCTGTCGCCCAGGCTGGTGTGCAGTGGCGCGATCTCGGCTCACTGCAAGCTCCGCCTCCCGGGTTCACACCATTCTCCTGCCTCAGCCTCCCGAGTAGCTGGGACCACAGGCACCCGCCAAGGCGCCCGGCTCATTTTGTTTTTGTAGTTTTAGTAGAGACAGGGTTTCACCGTGTTAGCCAGAATGGTCTCTATCTCCTGACCTCGTGATCCGCCCGCCTCAGCCTTCCAAAGTGCTGGGATTACAGGCTTGAGCCACCGCGCACAGCAGAATTTCATAGTTACTAAACAATTCTTATATTCTTATTTTTTTAATTAAATTTACTTTTATCTGGAATTTTTTAAATGGTACAATAATATTATTTCAGAAGAAGGCTTACTATCCCTTGTCCAAAGAAAATACTCTGTGTTTTCACATACCAAGGTGAATTATCTGCCTTTATTAGCTAGTTCAGGAAAACTAACAGTGCTTGTATTTACTTCACATTTCCCCAAAATTACATTTATAATTTATTTTTTGAAATTTTATTATTATATTTTCAGGGAATTATACTTTTAAATATCTATTTAAATAAAGTATATTTAAAATATACTTTTAAATATCTATTATTTAATAAATAGATATTAAATATCTATTATTTAATAAATAGATATTAAATATCTATTATTTAATAAATAGATATTAAATATCTATTATTTAATAAATAGATATTAAATATCTATTTATTAAATAATATTATTTAAATAAATATTAAATAGATATTTAAATATCTATTATCTGAACATATATTTAATTTAATTTTTTAACAATTTTTTCCATTACCCCTTTTTATGATTGTTCTTCAATGGGTAAAGCGTTTCAGTGGTTAAGTAGCTTGTATTTTAAGGAATGCAAGTCTATTCTAACTGCTATGCTACATCAGTAATACTGTTTAAATGACTTTATATTTATTTTTTGTTTTACATTTTATATTATACTACATTAATTCGAATAACTCTATTGCTGGTAATTGGAATGAATGGGACAACTGTTACTAAATCGACTTTTGGCAAAAAAAAAAATCATAGGTGGGAATTGAACAATGAGAACACTTGGACACAGGAAGGGGAACATCACACACAGGGGCCTGTTGTGGGGTGGGGGGAGGGGGAAGGGATAGCATTAGGAGATATACCTAATGTAAATGAAGAGTTAATGGGTGCAGCACACCAACATGGCAGATGTATACATATGTAACAAACCTGCACGTTGTGCACATGTATCCTAGAGCTTAAAGTATAATTAAAAAAAAAAAATAAGGATACTAAGGCTCAGAAAAGTCTTACTTAATCATAGTGACCTGACTAAATCTGGCAAGATGTGGAAAACAACTAGAGTCTCCTGAGTCTTAGTCCAGTGACCTTTCCCTGGAATTGAATTATACAGCTAGATTTATTCGGGGGAGAATTTTAATATATGAATAAGTCAATATATTTCTGCAACAGTGATGAAGTAAACATTTTTCACAGTAATATGACAAAAACTGTATTTTCAGGAGGGAGAGAATTCAATTTTCCCAAACAGTTTTGGGTTTCTTTGGGACCCATTAGATTCACCACTGTTTGCCTGATCATTTTTTTTTTTTCAGGGAATGCTGAAAGCTGTTTGCAGTTAAAACTGAAGGTTCTTAAGTTGCTTGAAGGCAATCTAGGTTGAACAAGAGTTTGACTATCCTCAATAATTTATCTTATCTTTACTTAGTAATGTCATTTTTTAAAGAAAAATTATTGCCTTGGGTACCGTAAAATTGATATATTTTATACAACATGATTTTTACAATACTTTCAAATTACATTTTATGATGCTCTGAAGACATGAGAGCCATTTTCTCATATTGGAATAAGGAGAAAATATGGATAGAACTTTAAGTCAGTGAATCATCAGGTACCTGGAGAAGCAAGAGGCTCTCGTTTGATAGAAAAATCAATGATTCTTACGTGTTCCATTGTATAATTTGACTTAGGGGGTATTTTGTGCGTTTGTATAAAAATGTTTAATTAAATCATTTCATGTATGCTAGATTTTGTAAATATAGCAATAAATAAGAAACTTCTACTGCCAAGGACTAGTCATCAAGCAGAGGCAAACTATTGACTTTCACAATAGCAAATACTAAATGTGAGATCTATGTACAAGTTATGATAAGGGCACCAGAGAGAGGCATCTGACAAAGTCCAAAAAAAAATGAATCAAGATGACTTTATCTAAGAAGTAATGCATTACATTAAACTTAAATATGAATTAGTCCTGGAAATAAGGAGAAAAAAATAACCCACAGGAGTAGATACTACTAGGGCTCACTAAGAGTTCTAATTTCTCTTTTCTTCCAAGAAAATGCCGGTTATGCCACAACCATGTGACTTTTTTGGCCAAGATATTGTGGCCAATGTGAGTGGAAGTGATGTATTTTATTGTTGGATAGAAGCAACTAAGGGTCACGTTGTAATGTTCCATGTTCTCTTCTCCTGCCAGTCTGAAACCTGAAGACGCAGCTTGAAATAAAAGCTTCTTAAGATGATAAAGCCTCCATTTGCTTGAGTTTCTTTCAGTACAATGAGAACACTCTTACCAATATACCTTGGGCATGTAGCATAAGAAATAAAGTTTGTGACTGTAAGCTACTGGTATTTTAGAGGTGTTTCTCCATGTAATATAGCTTATCTCATCTTGACAGATACATGCATGATTTTTATAAATGGCAAATAATTCAGAACAAAGAAGTAGAGTAATAATAAATAACGTTGAGATGTCAGCAGGGATTAAATTATAAAATATTGTCTATGTTAATTTGGTGAATTTTGGTTTTTTTCTTGTGACAAATCACATTACTGATATAAATGAATTGACATATGGTTAAACAAAGAAGATGGTTTCATGATCCTGGTACTGCTGAGATTTGAGGCCAGATAATTCTTTGTGATGAGGGACTGTGCTATGCACTGAAGGTGTTTAGGTACATCCCTCTCCTATACCCACTAAATGACTGTTGCGTCCTCTTCCCCAGTTGTGAAGCATAACAAAGTCTCCATACATTGCCAAATCTTCCCCAGAGGCTAAAAACACCTTCAGTTAAAAACTTCTGGCATAGGAGAAGGGGAAAATGGATGCAAGGTAAACAACAAAGGGTGGCCATCCTAGCTAGGAACGAACACTTACATTTTCTAAACTGGTGAGGACGTAATCTTATTTGAGTTTTAGAAAATCTTCTTAGATTATTGCTTCAAAAATGGATTGGAAGAGACCATTATTGATTGCAGAGATACTCCCTTGGAATGATATGAATATCATTTTGTTGCTGAAAAACTCAAATTTTCTATTTGTTTCATAACTGCTCTGGCTTTTATCTCATACCTGTGTGACAAAGACTTATTTACAAAAGCTATGAGGATCCACAGGCCTAAGAATGATACAATGGACTTTGGGGACTCCAGGGAAAGGGTGGGAGGAGGGTGAGGGATAGAAGACTACACACTGGGTTCAGTGTATACTGCTCAGGTAATGGGCACACTAAAATCTCACAAGTCACCACTAAAGAACTTACTCGTGTAACCAAACACCACCTGTTCCCCAAAAACCTATGGAAATAAAAAAATTAAAAATTAAAAATAAAAGCTAATTATTTTTAAGTTTCTAAACAATCTAATACTCTGTATTTAATGAAAATTTTTCTAAATTTATTATGAATGATTATACCATAAAAATAGGACTTTGATGTATGAACGATAAGTGGAGAGAGTTGGATAATTGTCAAATCCAGTGACTAGGGCAAGTTGGAAGTATAGTCCATTCTAATTAAAAAAATGCTGATGTAGCCGGGTGCGGTGGCTCACGCTTGTAAGCCCAGAACTTTGGGAGGCCGAGGCAGGTGGATCACGAGGTCAGGAGTTCAAGACCAGTGACCAAGATGGTGAAAACCTGTCTCTACTAAAAATACAAAAATTAGCCAGATGCGGTGCCAGGCACCTGTAATCCCTGCTATTCAGGAGGCTGAGGCAGGGAATTTCTTGAACCTGGGAGGTGGAGGTTGCAGTGAGCTGAGATCACGCCACTGCACTCCAGCTTGGGCCACAGAGCCAGACTCTGTCTCAGTAAATGAATAAATAAGTCAATATGCTGATGTATCTTACTGTGACTAAGAATGAATTAAGAACTGTGGATCTGAGTGTTAATGCTACCTCTGCATCTACTGACTCCATGATTTCTGTCAAGGTTTTACCTTATGCTTCAATTTTGTCACTTATATGATAGGGCTAATAACATTCTGTCTTACATTGTTTTTCTAGATATTAAATAAAATAATGTTTTAATTTATAAAATCATGCCAAATTAAATATAATATAGTTGTTTATCTGTAAGACTTCTGGGATTTTAAAAAATAGTCATATTTCATTTCTTTAATATTTGAATGAAATTAAATTTGTAAGTTTTCTTATTTGCGTCTTATGCTGTGTCTTTGCTTTTATATCATCAAAATATCTGGTTCTGCTAAAATTCCTTATTTTCTCTAATTTTTCTGAAGTTTGTTGCCCCTCTTTTTTCTTCTCTCATAAAAATGGAGGAACATTGTATGTTTTCAAGGCACTTATATATTTGTATAAAATTGTTTCAGAAAATATAGGATGACCAGAGGGAGTAAATTATATGAGGACATACAGGCTAATCCTTTCATTTTAAAGAATGTGGTCTCTGGGTTTCAAGACAGAAGAAAGTATTTTATTAGATTAGTTTTCATGTGGGAAAACTCTAAAACATATATTAATATATTTATTAAACAAATATTCACTGAACATATATATATATACACATATACTTATATATATATACACACATATACATATATATATATATATGTATATATAAGCCTATCTATACATGTACACATATAGCTATATATAGGAAAATAGAAGCTGGAGGCACCAATTAGATTCTCAGAAACAGACCCTTCCCTCACTGAAATTAAGATCCAGTGGGTGAAATGGCTAACAAAAGAATTTCCAACAAATTGTGATAAATATTCGAATAGTTGAAATTTAGAATGCTATGGGGAAAAAAGGGGTAGAAGAGACACTTAACTTTAGTCAGTATAGTGTGCTAGGGGTTGTGAGAAAGAAATTAAAAATATTCAAGATAATAGCAGCATGACAAAGACTGGACCAAAGAAATGAATAGTTCTCTGGGAAATCGAAAGTAGCTCATTACATAGGGTGTGGACTATAAGAACATGATTAGCAATAGATTAGAAGGCAAATCAGTGAGGACCTTGCAATCCATACTAAGACATTTGGATTCTATCCTACAGGAATGGAAAGGTGTCAAGGCACTGAGCTATTACAGTGGAATAGTAAAGTCAAATAGAGGATTATTTTTGATGCATTGTCAGGAATGAATTGGAGAGTGCTGAGACCAAGACAGGCAGCTTAATAATTACACTGCTGTCATGTACAAAACAGTTGCTAGTGTTTCACTAGGTTAATGGGAAATGGAACTGTGAAATGTAGACAAAAGTATGGAAGATTCACATTGACTTGGTGGTTGATTTGATGAAAGATGAGAGAGTAGGAACAATCAATGATATGTCCAAGGTTTCTTAATTGACCTGGGTGCATAGTGATGATGTTAAATGACAGAGAGCAGCAGAAAAAAAAAAAAAAGATGGGTAAAAAAAATAATCTAAGTGAATATTAGGGTTTTATTTGAATTTCAAGCTGAATTGTCATCTGGCTATTTAAGACTGAAGCTCAGGTAAAGAAATGACCTGAAGACATAGATTAAAATGAATATGTCAAAGATTGTAATATTAATATGGGAGATTACCTGAGCAAATATATAGAGTAATAAGAGGAGATAGAAGAAAGCTGCAGATAGAAGAAATTCTGAAGTTCAATGTGCAGCTGAAGAAGAATGCAAAATAAAGGCCGGGGAGGAAGAAATAAAAAATGGCATACTGCCACGTTTTGTAAGGTGAGGTAAAGAATCATGCATTGAGAAAGGGGGAAAAAAAGAACTAAATCCATAGATTGTAATACAGTAATAATTTTAGTCATAAAAGAAGTTACAGTACTCCTCAGGTAAGAATAAAGCAACTTTAAGAAATACTCCTAATGACTTCCTAATTAAAAATTATAATTTCTCTTTAAATCATATTTAGAAATTCAAGATAAAAGGCTTTAGGAAATTTTCTGTATTTTGCTTATACCATCTCAAACATAAAATGTGTAATATCTTTCCATAGATCAAAGACATTGGATGAAGAGTCAGACTTTGGATTAAGAGTCAGCTTTTGAGGAAGGGTGGGGAAAATCATCCTATCACGTTTTAGTTAGATGTTTATTGTTCTTAGAGGTTCCTCACTATCACAGGATCTAGGAACACTGTACCATCATCTTTTCTGATGGAGACACATTAAAGAGATTCTTTTTCCCATTCCTCTCTCTGTGGTTCTTTAGAGTGAAATAGTGCATATATCTTTTTGATGTTAATGGCCCAGTAAATTGTAGATCCGCAATTTAAGCATAAAGAGTAAACTGTATCCTCAGAAACCTTGTGAAACGGGGTGGGAGAAAGGTAGCAAAATGTAAATATAGTCTGAAAAGTTCACTAATGATGTTTACTTCATTACTTAGCTGCTATTAGATAGATTGAATCATTTAAAAATAGCATTTTCTGTTCAGCTTTAATAACAGTGTGTTCCTTATTTTATTGTATGCATGGTGCAAGGGTGGCAATTTCACAGTAAGCAGCTGGACTGATGCTATTCATTAGCAATTGGACAATGTATCATAGGAAAAAGTAATGTTCCATTTAAGTATGAATTTCAAAATTTCAATTCCTCACTGAATCGTTGTCTTATATCCAATATACATAAATAGCATTTTTATTAATAAGATAAAAATAAAAACATTTTAAATAATGCTAAAAACTTTAGGATAAACTTTTAAAAAAACAGCTGTGTGAAATCCTGTATATTATGCATCATGACTAGAGGGTAGAAAAATCCCTCTCGTTAGCTAGATTTCCTGCTTAGCCCAGCTGGGCCATTCCAAGTGATCTAGGGAGTCAAGGTGATCATGAGCCAACGATTATTCATTTGTGTGAGCCGCCAGCATAACTTGCCAGTAATAGTTACCCACATTGAGCATCTGTGCATAGATACTGATAGTGGTAGTTGTTATGGCAGCCAAAATGGCAAATTCCAGCGTGCCCTTTGCTTGAACACAGTTATTTGAATGAAAATACATTTTCAAATTTCCTGAACTGGCACAAATTCCCAAGAGAATTTGACCTAGATAGTCAAGGGCAGATTATGGTTTTAAAGTCTGGCTTAAATCTACTCCAAATGGACTACCAATCTGATTAAGGATAGTTGGATACAAAAGCTAATGCAAATTTTGGACATGTAAACAGCAGGCAAAAATCTATGCTATTACGCTAGCATTTAGTCTTGCATGCATGCTGTTCATTTTCTTTGTTAGAAACTGGGGAAGTTTCTCATATACATATATACATATACAGTACATATACGTGTATGGTCAAATGTGTATATATAAGTATATTTGTTAATTGGAGATTGATAAATAAACTTGGAGCTCTATTGTGGTGTAAAATAAGATTTTTCTAATTATATATGTTTGATTTATAATGATTTTTTTCTAGTAGTCTTGATTTCTTCTACCTATCTATTCTCTATGAAGTAATGCCATCCATCAAATTGTTAATCCAGTTAGCCTTTAAACAAATGTTTATTGAATAATTATGATGTTTAACCAATGTCAAAAATGGTTGGCAGCATCTCTAGAACTTGTGTCCCTGAGATTCCTGTGACTCTGACTTCATGTGTCCCACAGTTTAAGTCTATCATTTTCAAAATATATTTTTAAGAAACACCTGGGTTGCTTCTTCATGATAGGATATATATTTCTAGGCTCTATTAGAATATATTCTCATTCAGCAGTTCTAAAATACAGTTCAAGTATCTGCTTTTTTAATGCATATTCCGGGATGACACTGACAGGGTTGTTTGTCTACCTTCTGAGAGACGTTGAGCTCATTAATTTCTGTGGTTTGTGTCCCCTCCAAAATTCATGTTGACACTTAATCCCCATTGTGGTGGTATTAAGAGGTGAGGACTTTGGGAAAGTGATTAAGTCATGAGGGATCAGCCTTCATAAATGGAGTAGTGCCCTATGAAAGGGCTAGAGAGAAGTCGCATAGGCCTCTTTTTGTCCTTCTGCTCTTCCATGATGTGAAGACACAATGTTCAAAGCACCATCTTGAAAGCAAAGACTAAGACCCTCACCAGACACTACACATGCCTACAATTTGCTCTTGGACTTCCGAGACTTAAGAGTTATGAGGACATTTATTTCTGTTCTTACACTTAGTCTTAGGTATTTTTATAGCAGCACAAACAAACTAAGATACTAAATAAATTACAACACCCAGACAAAAGATAGTGAAAGATAAAGAAATAAAGATGGGAAACACATAATCTTATGTTTGCATGAGAGATTTCATGTAGCATTTCTGGGACTCCCCACTCTTCTCCTTATTATAGGCACTCACTCAAATGTATAAATATTTGTGTTTTTGAGTAAAAATGTTCGTTTAGTACATGTTTTAATTTACACTATGAATTTATGCTATAGATTGTGTTCACTTCTACTTTTTGTTCAATAATAAAAATGAACATAATAAATTTCCTAACTGTTCAAAATATTTCTTTGTGTGCTCCTAGTATATTTTATTTATTCATTTTATCTATGTGGTCTTCAACATTCTCCTGCACAAACAATGCTAGGTAGAGCATGTCCTCCTATAAAGAGTTTAAGAGTTTCTCACTGTAGGTATGGAATGACTGGTTCATAAGTTACTATATGTTGCCTACTATATTTAACAATATCTTCTTTAAGTGAATATGATTGATGCACGATGCTATGTTTGATTTTTTCCCCAAAAAGTTCATGTGTTGGAAACTTGAAAGGCATGGTAAAAGAATTAAGAAGTGGAGTCTTTGAGAGGTTATTAGGCCATGAAGGTGGAGCCATCATGAACGAATAAAGACCATTTTTGTAAAAGTGGGCTCCTGATAAAAGAACAAGTTCAGCTCCAATTTTCTCTCTGTCTTCCAGGCCCTTCCACTTCTTCTATAGAATTACACTTGCCAAATGACAGCACCATGCTCTTGGACTTCCTGGCCTCCAGAAATGTGAGACCAAAAAATGTTTATTCTTCATAAATTACTGTCTGTCATTGTTCTGTTATAGCAGCAGAAAGATGACTAAGACACAAGGTAAGTGTCAATTCTTATCCATTGTGCCATAATTTATAAAATCTAACATTTAAGATCATTGCACCATCTGCAGCAGACAAACAATATCTATACAAATAAAACTGTCAAATGACATGAACCATAAATAAGTGAAAAGGCAATAAATTTACAGTTTTAAATGCAAATTAACACAATATTATCATTTCAGTGATAATTTTGATAAAAATGAAGTTTTGATAGAATTCCCCATGTTTAACTTCTTGTTCCTGGTGTTTATTGATAATTTGATAATTCTGTATTTCTTGTATGAAAATTTTCTAACTACATTTGGTTTCTTTTAGTAGTTGATTTTGAAAAATTATATTTTTCCTAGGAAATTATCTATTACATCATGTTTTTAAATTTATATGTATGGATTATGCAAATAGTTTTAATAAATTTTTAAAATTCAAAAAAAAAAGATCATTGTTAAAGAATGAGTAGAAACTTACATTGCTATGAAAGAGAGAAAGACTTCTGAAAAGCAGGAATTCCATAAACAAAGGAGAGAAAAGTGAAAGGGCATGACTTGGATCTCTAACATGTAAACGAGTATTGTATCTGAAAACTGTAAATGGGTGAAATTTCAAGAGATGCAATTGGAGAGGAAAGTGGAAATTGAATTGTAAGGAACCTCATCAAAAAAAGTATGTAAGATGATAGGTATGTAATTCTGCTTCACTAGAGTAAATATATGTTATGTATAAATATATATAATATATAATATAAAATATATATAATATATAATATATATAATATAAATATATATAAAAATATATATATATATATATATAAACTGGGATATATATATATATATATAAACTGGGATATATATATATATATATATATCCCAAAACATCATGTGGTAAATATCAAATACACAAATCAAAAGTTTCATTGAAAATAGCTTTATAAATGAGTCTTGTAGAAAATAGCAATCACTGAAAGGATTTCCAGCAGAGGCTAGCACAATTTGATTTTGATGTTAGATATCTTCCTGAGCAGAAGTTAGGCTGGATGGAGGAAAGAAATAACTATCAATAATTAAAATATTGACTATGTATACATGTAATGGCAAAAATCACAACTGACATTTATTGACCTTTATTGACCTATACTGAACACATTTATCATCTCAATTAATCCTTCCTATAACCCAGAGAGACAGTTATTACTTTGCAAATAAGAAAACAAATTCAAAGAAGTGAAGTGATTACATCCAGGGCACACCAGGTGTTGTGGGACTTGTACAATTTATAAAGTGAAGGTCGTTTAATAAAGAAAAAAGAATTAAATGTGATAAATACAAAATTAGGTTTAAAACCAGTATGTATTTCTGATGAGAAAATTAAACAAAATAAATTATAAATATTATAAAACTAAACCGTACATATATATTCCCCAAATAAAAACATACGGCTTACATTAAATAAATTCTATATTTTATAATACTAAATACAAAATTACATATACCCTAACAACCACTTTCCTATATTTTGGGGAATATACAAGCTTTTATTTTTTCTTCAAAAGAAATTTTAAAATATTTTCTATAGAGATAATTTTTCTCACTTCTGGCATAATTGCTCAAAACAATTTGTTAAAAATCACTAATAGCATATAAAATTTATTTTTGAATTTTAACAAATTTGTTTATGGTCAAATTGGGAAATCTGTATCAAATTTTTTTCATTTGAGTTTTATGATTTGGAAGTGCAAAAATTCAAACTGTTACCATGCTATAACTGTATCTCTCTACCTTTTTATCATGCTGCTGAGTTAAGGCAGCTGTGGGGATTGGAGGAAAACTATAGTAGCAAGCCTAGCAATAACATAATTATAAACAGAATTGACTACAAACCACATAACCATATCCCATCAAACCCTAATTAAATGTACCTCCAATTCAACTTTCCTCTCAGCTGTACACAAAATCTTGGTTCCTGCCACATGATACAATGAAAAATAAGATAGAAGTAAAGTCTGGATGAAAAAAAAAAGGCAATGGTTTAAACCAATTTTCTTAAATTATCTTATTTGGGGAATTGCATATAAATATGTTATGACACAGAACACATTGCTATGACCAGGACCTTGGAAATGTCAATGTAATTGATTGTTCTTGAAGCATAAGCTTCACTAGCTTTATGGTAAATCTACTTCTGTTTGTAACTAATTCCCTCAGTATCCCTTCAGGTATTTTAAGTTATTCCATTGTCCTAATTAAATCTATACCTAGGGCTAATGGGATAGAATTAAATGCTTTTTCTGTCTTCCTAAATAGCATATTTATTATATTAGTAATCCTACTGGTAATATATTTGTTTTGTCAATAAAAATTAAAAAGAGAAAGAAAAATTATTATGGCTGGATTCCCTAGCCTTGATGTTCAGGTTACTATTTCTACTAATCCTGAGGAGACGGGAAGCTTTATCTGAAACTTTCTTTCTCCTTAAGATAGCTTCCATACTATTATTATACCAATTTGATGCAAAATCATTGTTTGAGTTTTATCTCGCTGTTATTTTTAAATATCCAAATGACTATGTCATAATCACTTAGAATTAATTCTTAATGAATTTCTTACATAGACAAGATTCTTGTTACTCAAATTGTGGTCCAAACTTCCCAGCAACATGAACATCAACTGGAGACTTGTTAGAGATACAGAATGTCACCCTCACTCCATTTAATCATAATTTACATTTTAGATACTGATATGGTTTGGATATTTGTCCCCTCCAAATCTCACATTAAAACCTAATCCCCATTGTGGAGTTGGGGCCTGGTGGGAGGTGTTTGGGTCTTGAGGGCAGGTCCCTCATGAATGCTATTCTCACAGTAATAAGTGAGCTCTTTCTTCGAGTTCATGTGAGATCTGGTTGTTTAAAATAGTGTGGCACGTCCCACCTCTATCTTTCTCTTGTTCCTGCTCTCACATTGTGATATGTCTGTCCCCCCATCTGATTTCACCATGATTGTAAGCTTCCTAAGACCCCCACCAGAAGTTCTAGATACTGGTACCATATTTCTTGTACAGCCTGCAGAACTATGAGCCAAAATAAACCTGCTTTCTTTATAAATTACCCAGACTCAGGTATTTCTTTATAGAAACCCAAAAATGGACTAACATGATACTAATTGGTACCATGGATTCGAGCATTGCTCTAAAGATGATACCTGAAGATCTGGAAGCAATTCTGGAACTGGGTAACGGGCAGAGTTTTGAAGAGTTTGGAAGGTTTGGCAGAAGACAGGAAGATGAGGGAAAGTTTAGAAGTTCTTAGAGACTGGTTAAATAGTTGTGAACAAAATGGTGATAGAGAAATGGACAGTGAAGGCCAGACTTAAGAGGTCACAGATGGAAATGAGAAACTTACTGGAAACTGGAGTAAAGGTCATCCTTGTTACACAGTAGCAAAGAATTTAGCTGCATTGTGTCCATGCTCTAGAGTTTTGTGGAAGGGTGAACTTAAGAGTGATGAATTAGGTTATCTGGTGGAAGAAATTTCTAAGTAGCAAAGCGTTTGAAATGTGGCCTGCTTCTAACAGCTTATGATTAGTTATGAGAACAAATAAGTGACTTAAAGTTAGAACTTGTATCTAAAAGGGAGACAGAGCATACAAAATTGCAGCCTGGCTTTATGGTATAGAAAGAATCCAAGCAGGTTGTGGAGTAACCACTTGCTAGAGAGATTTGCATGACTACAAAGGAACTGAGCACTAATAGCCAAGACAACGGGAAAAAGACCTCACAGGCATTTCAGATATCTTCAACCCAGTCCCTTCCATCACAGGCCCAGAGGCCTAGGAGAAAAGAATGGTTTTAGGGGTCAACCCTGCCACCCCAGGAGGCTGCACTTTACATCCCTACTGCTACAGAGGGCATAAGCCATAAGGCTTGGTGGTTTTCACATGGTGTTAAGCCTGCAGGTGCACAGAATACAATAATAGAGGAGACTTGGCAGCTTCCCCCTAGGTTTCAGAAGATGTATTGAAAAGACTGGGGGCCCAGGCTGAAGCTTGCTGCAGAGGCAGATCCCCCACAGAAAAACTCTCTCAGGGCAATACTGAGGAGAAATGTGGTGTTGGAGGCTGCATACAGAGTTCCCACCAGGGCACTGCTTAGTGGAGCTGTGGGAATGAGACTGCCACCCTCCAGACCCAAGAATGGTAGAACTACCAACAGCTTGCAACCTCAGCCTCAAAAAGCCACAGGCACTAGATTTCAACCCATCAGAACAGTAGTGTTGACTGCGTACAGCAAAACCACAGGAGCAGAGCTGCCCAAGGCTTTGGGAGTCTATCCCTCACACCAGGTGTATTAGTCTGTTCTCACGCTGCTAATAAAGGCGTATCTGAGACTGAGTAATGTATAAAAACAAGGTGTTTAATTGACTCACAGTTCCACATGGCTGTGGAGGCCTCACAGTCATGGCAGAAGGCAAAGGAGGAGCAAAGTCACGTCTTACATGGTGGAAAGCAAGAGGGGTTGTGTAGGGAAACTCCCCTTTATAAAACCATCAGATCTGATGAGACTTATTCACTGTCACAAGAACGGCATGGGAAAGACTCGTCCCCATGATTCAATTACCTCCCACCAGGTCCCTCCCACAATACATGGGAATTATGGGAACCACAGTTCAAGATGAGATTTGGGTGGTTCATAGCCAAACCATATTATCCGGATACAGGATTTGGAGCCAAGGATAATTTTGGAGCTCTAAGGTCTAATGTCTGCCCTGCTGGGTTGTAGACTGGCTTAGAGACTGTTGCCCCTTTCTTTTGACTGATTTATCCATTTTGGATTGGGAATGTTTACCCAATGCCTGTACCACCATTATATCTTGGAAATAAATAACTTTTTTTTTTTTTATTTTACAAGCTCATAGGTGGAATGAACGTGACTTGGGTATCAGATGAGACTTAAGACTTTGGACTTGGGATTTCTGAGTGATGCTGGAGTGAGGTAAGGCTTTTGGGGACTATTGGGAAATAATTATTTTATTTTATAATGTGTGAGAAACATCAGATTTTGGGGGGCAGGGGCAGAATGATACAGTTTGAATACTTGTCCTCTCCAAGTCTCGTGTTGAAATGTAATCTGCGATGTTGGAGGTGGGGCCTGGTGGGAGGTGTTTGTGTCATGGAGGTGGATTCTTCATGAATGACTTCATACCATCTTTGTGGTAATGAGTGTATTCTTGCTCTGAGTTCATGTGAGATCTGGCTGTTTAAAAGAGTGTGGCACCTCCCCCTATCTCTTGGTCCCACTCTCACCATGTGGTATGCCTATCTCCCAGTCACTGCCGTGACTGTAAGCTTCCTAACACCCCCACCAGAAGCAGATAATGGTAGCATGTTTCTTGTACAGCCCACAGAATCATGAGCCAAAATAAACCTGTTTATAAATTACCCAGCCTCAAGTATTTCTTTATAGTAACACAAAAATCGAAATACACAGATACCTAAGAGAGTCTAGTGAATATTAAAATTTGAGAAGTACTGGACTTCGTATGGTTAACCTATGGTCACCTTCATGAACATTTTGGTACACTTGATTATTTTCTCTTTGACTTTTTATCTTTTTTTTTTTTTTTTTTCTTGAGACAGGGTGTCACTCTGTTGTTCAGACTAAAGTGCAGTGGCACGGTCACAGCTGTCTGCAGCCTCAGCTTCCTGGGCTCAGGGAATCTTTCTGCCTCAGCCGTCCTAGTAGCTGGGACCACAGTTATGTGTCAACATGCTGGCTAATTTTTACATTATGTGTAGAGATGGGAGCTCCCTATGTTGCACAAGCTGCACTTTCTATCTTTCATAATTAAGAATACCTTATGACTTTGGGTATGTGAAGTAACACTCTCAGTAGTGAATAACCACACAAACTCCAACCTTATTGCGTTGCTTCTACAACCCTTTTCAACAATCTGTTAAAATCTTCTGCCATTTGGCTATATGACTTAACATAAGGTGTATCCTATTTTATTATAAAAGTGCTCTATTTTCAGTGTAGAAAAAAGTAGAAAAAATAATATATTATATATGTTATATAATTACATATCATATTTACACATACATAATATATGTATATATTTATGCCCTCTACTGATTGACCTATTATTGATGTTTAGTAAATGAGTATATATGTGGATAGTGTTCATACTTAACTTTGCACACAAGTATTTTTCCATATCACTGTAAGCTCTTTTTAAGAAGTTATAATGGTTGTAGGAAGTATCATAAAATTTATAACCATTATCATAGTTTTGACATTACTAGTTTTTCTCAAGATACAACTGTGACATACAAATTTGCCCAGAACTTTTTATATGTTTCAGGTTATTTCTTTAGAACAAAGTCCTGCAGATGGAATTGCAGTGCAAGAAAGAAATGAATATTTCAACTGTTCTGATATAGATTTACCAATGACTTTATTTGATTTATTTTCTTTTCTATTCTACTCATAGGCTATTCTCTAGCTGTACCATTCACCTCAGGTCTTCATAAGCTCTGTCATCTTTACCCCCAGAGATGAAACTGGGATCTAATTTTCCAGAAAAATGTAGTTTCCCACCAATCATAAAATATCTAAAACATCAACTCTCCACTACTTTTGTACTTAACTATTCATATACCTTTGCTTCTAGTCTCAGATGAGTGACTATTTTCCCTGCTGACCTGGACTTTTGATACCATCATTTAACATCTCATCTGGAACTGTGATTCAACAATTATGTACTTTTTTAACTTTTGTTCAAAATGCTAATTTAATAAACCATTCCATTAATAAACCATTCCATTTTAGCAAACCTGGCATACACCTGTAGTCTGCATCATATCTATTTTTTATACATAAACATCATCAAAAAATAGCTACATTAATTTGATCCACTTTTCTTTTCCATTGAGTCCTCATTCTGCTTAAAATCAAACTGTTGCCCTCATATCTACTCAGAAAATATTCTCAGTATGGTTCCACTGGTATTCGCTAATTGTCAAATGCAGTGATTTGGTTTTAGTTCCTTACCTGACTTGAGTAACTCCATTCTACTGTCACTGTGATTCATTCCAATACTATCTTCTATGAATGTTTTCTGTATAGAGGTGACTGCTTCTTTTGTTGTACTGTTGCTGACTCCCAGGTCTTCCTGTAATATAGGATCCTTTACTCTATTTTAAATGTTTTATTTTCTCGTTAGACTGAAACATGTGGACTTTGTTATTCCTCAGTTTCTCTACTATTTTGGCAAGTCCTCGACACAGTGCAATGTGCTTAACCGAAGTTGAATTGGTCTGGGCTCATCTGAGGTCATCTGTGGGCTGTTGACCCTTTGATCACATGAACTTCCTTTGGCTTTTGGGACACTGAGTCACGGAGCTTTTCTTACCACATAGATGATTTTATTTCTCTCTGTTATTTGTCTACTACTTAATCCTAATAGCTACAGATGGATGCAGGATTATGAACAGCTAATGAGGAGTGATGCTTAGGGAAATAAAGGAAAATTGAATATTTATTATAACTATTTCAGTGACCACTAGCTAGATTATACTATAATGTTGCTTGCCTATAAATAATAGTGGCATACAAGAATTTATTTTTTCATATCCAGCATGACTCTGGTTTAATTTTGCTCCATGTCATATGGGCTTTTGAAGTCAAACTAAGGAAGCAACCTCTAGCTGGCACATTGTTTTCACGACAGAGAAATAAGAGATCTTCACAAGCCATTTGCTGATTCTTTTAAAGTTTCTGCTCACAAGTAACATTACATGGCCCAAAACCAGTCATATATTCAACTCTGACATCAGACAGAAGCAGCAAGTTTTTTTTTTAATAAAACATAACACAATGGTTATCACTGTATCCTATAATATAAGGTAGTAAAATTATTAAATAAGTCTGAGGAATGGAAGTTTAAAAATACAACACTGTTAATCCTAGAATCATGGTTCATAAGTCACTTTGTCAGTTCAATCTCTAGAAACAGCCTCAAAAAAAGGTGGAAATTTATTGTCTGAAGATAAAAAAATTCACCAAGTATTATTTTCCATATTGGAAACATATACTTCAGAATATCTGAAGAAATTTGAACTTAGTTTGTAATTATTATTCATTATTATTAATTCTCTAGTCTATGTTTATATCCACTTAATTATAATTTAACGAGTGTCATCACTAATATTTACAGAACAAGAACAATGCTCTGGAGCTATGCTAAAATTCTTCTATTTATGTTATTATTTTATATTCATAGCATCCTTTGAAGCTAAGCACTATTATTATCTCTATTTGACAAATGAGCAAACAGCAGCAGAGAGATGGAAAGTAACTAGCCCAAAGTAAGGTAGTCTTTATGTAAAATGGTTAAGAAAGTTTTTAAGTTTGAGTCTGTTGATTTATACTACTGTTGAACTTCCTATTGCATGTAACCTTAGCACTTAAAAATACTTTCAACTTATATTTTAGATCCAGGGGGTACATGTGCAGGTTTGTTACATGGGTAAATTGTGTGTTGCTGAGGTTTGGGGTACAGATGATTGCATAACCCCAGGTGGTGAGCATAGCACCCAACGGGTCGTTTCTCAGCCGATGCACCCCTCTTTTCCTCCCACCTTTTGTAGTCCCTTGTGTCTACTGTTCCCATTTTTATGTACTTGTGTCCTCAATAGTTCCCATTTGTAAATGAGAATATGTGGTAGTTTTCTGTTAACATGTTAATTTGTTTAGAATAATGGCTTCTGGCTGCATCCCATTTGCTTCAAAGCAATGATTTTATTCTTTTTTAAGGCTGCATATTATTCCACAATGTATATGTACTATTTTTTTCTTTATGCCATCTACCATTGGTGTGCACCTGGGTGAATTTCATGTCTTTGCTATTGTGAATAGTGCTGCAATGAATATAACGAGTGCGTTTGTCTTTTCGGTAGAACAATTTATTTTCCTTTGGGTATATACCCAATAATGAGATTGCTGGGTTGAATGATAGTTCTATTTTAAGTTGTTTGAGAAATCTCCAAACTGCTTTCCACAGTGGTTGAATTAATTTACGTTCCCTGCAACAGCGTATAAGCATTCTCTTTTCTCTGAAATCTCACCAGCATCTATTATTTTTTTACTTTTTAGCCATTCTTTCTTGTGTGAGACAATATCTCATTGTAGTTTTGATTTGCATCTCTCTGAAATGCAATGATGAGCATTTTTTTCATATATTCATTGGACTTATGTATGTCTTCTTTTGAGAAATTTCTGTTCATGTCTTTTACGCATTTTTTTTAAATGACATTGTTTTTTGTTTGTTGATTGAAGTTCCTTGTAGATTCTGGATATTAGATCTTTGTTGGATGTATAATTTGTGAATATTTTCTCCCATTCTGTAAGTTTTCTGTTTATTATGTTGGTAGTTTCTTTTGCTGTGCAGAATCTCTTTAGTTTAATTAGGTCTCACTTGTAAACTTTTTTGTTGCAATTGCTTTTGGGGACTTAGCCATAAATTCTTTGCAAAATGGGTAAAGAATGTCAAGATGGGTAACTCATGTCAAGAAGAATGTCAGGAAGAATACTTCCTAGATTTTCTTCTGGAATTTTTGTAATTCAATGTCTGAAAATTAAATCTTTAATCTACCCTGTGTGAATTTTTTATATGGTGAAAGAGAGGGATCCACTTTCATTCTTCTGCCTATGGCTAGCCTGTTAATCTAGCACCATTTGTTGAGTAGGGAGTCCTTTCCCCATTGCTTATTTTGATCAACTTTATTGAAGATCAGATAATTGTAGGTGTGTGGCTTTATTTCTGGATTCTGTATTTGATTCCATTGGTCTATGTGTCTGTTTTTGTACAAGTACTGTGCTGTTTTGATTTCTGTGGCTTTATATTATAGTTTGCAATCTGGTAATGTGATGCCTCCTGCTTGGATCCTTTTGCTTCATATTCCTTTGGCTATTCAGGCTCTTTCTAGGTTCCACATAGATTTCATAAATGTTTTCTAATTCTGTGAAAAATGACAACAGCAGTTTTATAGAAATATCATTGAATCTATACATTGCTTTGGGCTGTATGATCATTTTAATGATACTGATTCTTCCAATCCATGAAAAGGGAATGCCTTTCTATTTAATTCTGTTGTTTCTGACTTCTTCCAGCAGTGTTTTGTAGCCTTCGTCAAGAAGTTAGAGAGATCTCAAATTAATCATCTAACATTGCACCTAGAAGAGCTAGAAAAAAAAAGTCCCAACTCTAAGACAAGAAAAGAAATAACTAAAATCAGAGAAGAACAGAGCAAAATTGGAACATAAAAATCAATATAAAATATTGATAAAATTATGAGTTGATTCTCTAAATGCATAAACAAGATTGATAGACCACTAGCTATATTCACAAAGGAAAAAAGAGAATATAAAAATAAGCGCAATCAGAAATAACAATTATGACATAACAGCCAATCCCAAAGAAATACAAAATATCTGCAGAAACTATTGTGAACACTTCTATGCAGACAAATTAGAAAATCTAGAGGAAATGGACATATTCCTGGAAACACATATCCTCCCAAGATTGAACCAGGAAGAAAGTGAAAATGTGAACAGAACAATAACAAATTCTATTATTGAATTAGTAAGAAAAAACCTACCAACCAAAAGAAACCCTGGACCAGATAGACTCACAGCCGAATTCTACCAAACATACAAAGAAGAGAATTGACACAAATTCTACTGAAACTCTTCCAAAACATTGAGGAAGAGAAGATTTTCCCTAACTCATTCTGTGAAGCCAGCATCATCCTGATAAAAAAAAAAATCTAGCAAAGACACAATGAAAAAAAAAAGCCACATCAACAAGCCAATATCCCTGATGAACATAGATCCAAAACTTCTTGACAAAATACTAGTAAATCAAATCAAGCAGCATATCAAAATGTTAATTCACCATGATTAAGTAAGCTTCATTCCTGGGATGCCAGGTTGGTTCAACATACGCAAATCCATAAATGTGATTCACCACATGTACAAAATTAAAAACAAAACCATAGGATTATCTCAACAGATGAAGAAACACTTCAGATAAAATCTGATATTCATTCAAAATGAGAAACCCTCAACAGACTAGACATTAAAGTAAAATAGTTCAAAATAATAAGAGCCATCTCTGACAGATTCACAGCTAACATCATATTGAATGGGCAAAAGCTTAAAACAGTCACTTTGTGAACTAGAACAAGACAGGGATGCCCACATTCACCACTCTTATTCAATCTAGTAATGAAAGTCCTAGCCAGAACAATGAGGCAAGAGAAAGAAATAAAAAGCATCCAAATAGGCAAATAAGTAGTCAAACTATAGTTCTTTGCTAATGACACAATTATATACATAGAAAAATCTTAAATACCCTGCCAAAGGCTTCTAGGACTAATAAAGCACTTCAGTAAAGTTTCAGGAAACAAATAAATACACAATAATCAATAACATTTCTGTACATCAATTACATTCTAGCTGAGAACCAAATCAAGAATAGATCACATGTACGATAGCCACACACAAAAATGAAATACGTAGGAATATGGCTAACCAAGGAGTTAAAAGATCTCTACAAGGAGAACTAGCACTTTTTTAATATATATAAATGAAATGTGCTTAGACTTTGCTTAGTATGTATGCTTTTTTTTTAAAGAGTAGCAACATTATGCCCAGAAGTAGCTTTTAAAATTAATATTATTTACCATAGATTCTGCAAAAATTAAGGTTTTACCTTGATTCCTAGGATAAAAAAATGTGTGTTGAAAACTTATTCATCCCATCATATTGCCAGATAGCTACCTGTTTTTCCAAAATTAACAACTGTTCATTATACATTAATATTATTTTTAAAAGTAATATGGTCAAGTTTTCATGGTGACTACATGATCCTTCCTCTCATTTGTGGGATGTTTTTTGCTGTTTGTAGCAAAATATAGGTATAGCTGATGCATTTTATGAGACTCTCTTATTGCAATATAATTCTATTTCATAGATGATGAAATTCAGTAATTTCTATTATGCATGCACATTTTTAATTTCACAAGAGTTTTTCTCATGAGAGATGGTTATAATTTTTGTCTATTTGCTATAATGAATTTTATGTGCTTTAAAAGTACACACAATTCATCAAAATGTATACATTATTAAAAAGTGCATTTTTCCTAAAATGCTATTCTCCTTAAGAATTAGTTAACCCTTTCTAATTCCTCATTTTGTTGGATTTCTCCAATTAGCTCTGAGATCATTCTTCAATTTGCTAAAAGACTTAAGAAATTATTTTAACTTTATGACTTTTAAATACTTAATGAGAGCTTTAAAATTTACTGCTCTCTATAATAAAAAGGATGTTTTTACCTTTGAAAAATAGTTTACAATTTGGTCTTCTTTCTTTTATAGTAGGTTTTATATTTGAATCTTTAATGTACCCATTTTAGGATAATTTATTCTAGAACACTTTTAAATGTTGGTGTCATTCTATCTAACTATAAATATTTTGGATAAGTGGAGATATACATAATTATCTCTCCTGAGTAGCACAAATATGTTTTTCATGTGCTACAAAAACGCAGATTAACTTAGTACTGAGAAGCATGGATTTGAAAATTACCATGTACAAATTGTCTCATCTTGGCCAAGTGCGTTCAACTCTCTAAGCCTCAGTTACATCATTTGTAAAACAGCAACCTACTACATAAGGATTCTGTGAGACAATTCTAAAAAGTACCTGCCCAAGTCTGTGCATAAGATGTATGCTCTCAACATAGGTAAACTATCTTTATAGATATAAGAATTCTATTTTAAATATTGAAGGAAATATAAGGAAATTTAATTAGGTGATATTAATAGAAGAATGCAAGCACAAATACGATCGATTAGGAAGACCTCTTTCAAGGCGTTGATACTTTGGCTTGTGACTGGGACATTCAAGAGGATAGTTTTACCTTCCACACATGCAAAAATATATCCAGGATTTCAAAACTGTTATCTCATCTCGCTGCTCTTTCTTTATCCCAGCACTGTTTGCTTTTGTGTTGACTTCATTCTTCAGCAGGCTTCTTCCACTTGATGCTATAAAGGCACCAACACATCCAGAGATACATGGTTCTTCTTTTTTGCTAATTTTTCTGTTTCCGTCTCTCTCTTAGAATGCATGTTGTGTGCATGCATGTATGTGTGTGCAAGTATATGTGTGTGTTCATATAAATATATATAACATACACACATACGTGTGTGTGTGTATGTGTAGTGTGTGTGTGTGATAAACAGGATGGCTCTGCCAGACTCTGCTGTCCGTAGTTTGGATGAATCACTAATAGGAGTACACTGGTTAGTGGGCCACAGTGGCCAGCCATGTATCGCAGAGCCACACCTGCATCCAGAGGACAAGCAGACTTTATGATGGACAGTACCACCAGTGCCGTGTGTATTGGGACCGAGAAGGTTAAGGATGGCATACATTTATTACAAGGTTCCATTCTCATTACAGTTTTTAAACCACTAAGTTTAACACTTAAAAACTTGTAACTGGGCCGGGCATGGTGGCTCACGCCTCTAATCCCAGTACTTTGGGAGGCTGAGGCGGGTGGATCACGAGGTCAGGAGCTTGAGACCAGCCTGGCCAACATGGTGAAACCCTGTCTCTACTAAAAATATAAAAATTAGCTGGGTGTGGTGGCGAGCACCTGTAATCCCAACTACTCAGGAGGCTGAGGCAGGAGAACAGTTTGAACCTCGGAGGCAGAGGTTGCAGTGAGCAAAGATTCTGCCATTGCAATCCAGCCAGGGTGAGACTCCATTAAAAAAGAAAACAAACAAACAAAAAAACTTATAAACAGAATTTTGGTTAGTATGACCATAATTTTTAACTCTAATATAGTCATTTACACAATTTTGATCCTAAGTGTCACCTGAGGGGCACAGTAAAAATGCAAATTCTGAGTCTTCTACCAAACTTAGAGAAAAATGTGTTAGTAAAAGTCAAAGGCAAAAATCCCTGAATTCGTTGCTTTACTATGGGGAATATAGGAAATCTGCACTTTGAAAACAACCTGCTTTCTTAAACTAGATGCAGAAGGTGAAATTAAAAGGTGTTTATTAATGACGTGACCTAAAGTCACATGTTTCATAACATTACTTATGACCCTTGCAGTCTTGTTGCTTTCTGTGTTAGAGTATGACAAGATAAAGAGGAATGTAGCTAATTTGACACAAAGCTGACTCAGAATTTGTTATTGTCATAAGATGCCTGCTGTGTGTCGGGTATCTATTCAGGTCATTTCTTTATGATTTGAGAAAGGCAGCCTATCATTCTTGTGAATGTGATATCATTCTTGAAAAAAATAAGGATTTGTCAGTCTTAAAGTGAGGATGTTATTAAGCTGAAAAAATAGCAGCAAAATAAAAGCTGATGTTGTCTTAAGGTTAAAGGACTCAATGTCTTCAAGACGGCAGAAAATTAACTTTTTAAATTTCATTATATATTTTACCATCTTTATTTAAAAGTGCACAAGTTTATATGTGTGTGGCAGAATGTGTGTGGGGGAAGCTGTTTTAAATTGAGTTGAAAAGTAAAGCCATTTTGAGGAGCTTCGGGCTAAATGAAAAGAGATAATGGCAAACACTCAAGAAAGAGATTTCTAGACAGAAAATGGTATAAGAAAGAAAGGCACATGCCCAAGATGTTTGGGAATTATAAAGAAGACACCATGCAGGAGTTAACTGATGAGGAAGATGGTACATGACAAGGTCAGTGAGGTAAGCAAGTGGCAGATCATGTAGAACCTTCTAGACTAATGGAAGGAATTGGGATTTCATTCAATGACATATGAGACTTTAGAGAATTTTAAGTCTATAAGAATCATAATCTTATATATATTTATAACAGCTTTTTGGCTAACATAGTGAAACCCCGTCTTTACTAAAAATACAAAAAAAAAAAAAAAAATGCCGGTGTGGTGGCATGCACCTGTAATCCTAGCTACTCAGGAGGCGGAGGCAGGAGAATCGCTTGAACCCAGGAGACGGAGGTTGCAGTGAACCAAGATCATGCCACGGCACTCCAGCCTGGGAGACAGAGTGAGACAATGTCTCAAAAAAAAAAAAAGTTTTTAATGCCTGTTAGGAGAAAAACTGGAGAGAGACATCTAGGGCTGGAGAGGTGAAGATGACTTGAATGAGTAGCAGAGATGAAGAAAATAGAAGAGCCGGATTGTTTTTTGGCAGTAAGACCATCTTGATTCTGGAGGGGCTGTAGGGAAGGTGGGATCATAAAGAATGAAAAAATCAAGGCAGTATTTTTTGTGTGTGCTACTGAGCGGAGGGTGACACCATAGCCTGGAAGAGAAACAGGCTGGAGAGGAACAAAATGCTTGATTGCGCTTTCATTTGAGATGCTTATCATAGGTAATGCGAAAATAATACAGACTGAGTGTGTAGTTGAGAAGATATATTGTATAAAATCTATTGTTAATGTGATCTGGATGGCATCTGGCCTCATGAGAAGAAATAATATTACCCGGGAACAGACGAGTAGAAAAGAGGAGATATTTCAAGACCAATCTTTCCAGTATTTAGAGGTGGGACAAAGAAGACAGAGCTAACAAAGAGAAATGAGAAAAGAAAAAACAAAAATGCTATGTAGGTGAAAACTTAGGCAAGTGTTGCATCATAGGAGCCAAGAACAGAAAACTTTCAAGGTAATGGGAGAAAAAGAATCAGCCAGTACAAAGGTTATTGGTACCCTTGAGTGCATGCAAGGAGGAAAAGAAGATGAGGAACATGTCCAGAGACAACTATTTTAATAATATTTTCTCTGGAAAGGACTGGGAAATTAGGAGGTAGTTGTAGGGGAACATGTGGCCGAAGGAAGATTTTGTGAGAGTAGGGGGCGTGCTTTATGCTAGTGAAGTTATTCAAACGAGAAGACAAATGAAAAGGAAAAAAGAGACCTGTGAGGATGAAGTCCTAAAGTGGTGAGAAGAGGTAGAATTTCAAACAGAAAGGGATATGTGAAAATTATTCTAATTTCAACACATAATTATAATTACAATGAATCCCCTGAATTCATTGCTTTACTATGGGGAATATAGAAGTTTATGGGTCACTTATGCATGATGCAAAATAATCACTCCATATTGCTTTCCTACTACAACGTATTCTTCTCACAGAAACTTTAAGACCAGAGGGCCAGGTGCCGTGGCTTACGCCTCTAATCCCAACACTTTGGGAGGCCGAGGCGGGTGGATCACAATGTCAGGAGTTCGAGACCAGCCTGGCCAAGATGGAGAAATGCCATCTCTACTAAAAATAAAAAATTAGCCAGGCGTGGTGGCAGGCACCTGTATTCCAAGCTACTCGGGAGGCTGAGGCAGGAGAATTCCTTGAACCTGGGAGGCAGAGGTTGCGGTGAGCCGAGATCGCACCACTGCACTCTAGCCTGGGCCACAGAGCGAGACTCCATCTCAAAAAAAAAAGAAAAAAAGAAACTTTAAGACCAGCTTTTTAAAGATGTATAACGTTTTTAAACAAAATTATATTTTAATATTAAAGAATGTATAATATATAATATTTCTAGAGACAGACACTGTGTTAAAAAAAGTAAAAATAAACAAGGCAAGAAACAATTCCTTTCTTGTAAAAAAATATAAATAGTTATGTGGTACATCTTGACTAACTTTACTTCACAGTCAGATGCCATCCAGATCACATTAACAGTGATTTTATACAAAGTATCTCCTCAAGTACACATTCGGTCTATATTATCTCCGCATTACCTATGATAAGCAAACTTATCTAATATACATTATCCACAAAATATTACCAGTCTCTTTCTCTTTTTTACTGTTTTCTACTTAGACGGATTAGAATTGCCAACACCTTATCTCGTCTTAAATTTATACATTTATTTAATGAATCATAATATGCTTTAAAACATACATATTTGTTCCTCTTACCACCGACTATTTAGGTGGATTTCATTTTCAATGGGATATTTAGTACTGCATTAAATTAGCACTCTCTTATTTGAATTATTTTTATTGTTGTTGTTATTATAGAATTAATGCATGGGAGCAATTCTTTTAAGTGCAAAAATAACAATGGGTATAAGATAAAAAATACATCCATTTACCTTTCCAGAACTGGCAAGGGATAACTTTCAACAATCATTTCACATATATTCTTTCAAGAATTTTAGGTAAATAATGGTAAGGTTTCTTTCACAGTGTGAAGAGGTGCCCTGCGCTTCAATTTCCTGCCTAACCTCCTGCATGCATCAGAGTTCTTCCCCTATTCTTGCCTGCTCACCTTAGATATGTAGACATAGTTCTTTACTGCTTTGAGTGAAGTAAGCCAAAGTAGAAGAATATTAGGAAAACAGATTCTTACTTACTAGAGTTAGAAAACCAGTGATTGAATTTTCTTAACCCCAGATTAAATTAAAGAATGTACAAGGCTGGCAGGCTGAAAGAGAAGGACACTGTACGAAGTAAGAGTGGGAAATCAACAGGAAAAAAGAAAAAGAAAAAAAAACCCACGATCCATCACCAGGATTCGGGGTTCTGGGGAAAACAGGTCAGGATCTAATTTTCCTTTCTGCTGTCAGATGAGATCACAATTGACAGAAGCCTTCACATTGCCTGTCAATCACCCAGCAGAGTTTGTACTCAAAGATATTTGGCAGCCTTCCACCTAACCGTAATAATCATTGCACAGCTTTCCACCTAATGATAATAATCACCAGCTGAACAACAGGATAAGGCCTAGGTGACTAGAGGAGGAATGAGTGAGCAATACAGAAGAAAATGAGGGCACTATGTGACCAGGGCCTTCAAGCCCATTCCAACTTGATTTTTCTGTCACTCTTTCCCTTGCTCAGTCAGCCAGGGTCACTGCAGCCTTCTTGTGGTTATGCAAATATCTCTCCCACTTGTTACTCTCTCAGGCTGGATCTCTTACGTATTTTTCGTTTCTAAAACCACAACTAAAGCAGCATCAGCCTGAATTTCTTTCCTTAGATATGCATACTTCAAACTCCCTTGTACATTTGTATTTCTGTTCATATTTAGCTTCTTTGAAATCTTTGCTGAACACCTAATCCAAAATAAAGTATCATCCCCATTCTTTATCATCTCATCTTGTCTTATTTATCTGAATATCACTTATCATTGCTTGACATAAACTTATGTATTTGCTTGTTTCTATATACTTTCACTCGGATGTAATTACAGGAATACAAATACTTCAGTGTATTATGCATATTATTGTGTCCTCATGTCTAGAATTTGGCATACAGCAGGCACTAATTACATAACTGAATTCATATGAAGTTCATATAGCAATAAAAATGATCAGTTACCAATTAGATCCAATAACAACTAAAATATCCTTTCCTGCATTACTCTTTAATAGCAGTTTGATTTGATTGTACTATTGCTCATATTTCTTTCAGAGAATCCCTTTTCTTCCTCTGTTGAGTTACACTTCCCTAATTTACCTTTCACCATTTCCCAAATTAAAAACATGCCCTAAACCTCTGTGTGTTATTCACCTACAACATAAGAAGTTTCTCCCTTTGGTGCCATTGAGAGTTGCATTGTTCACACTCAGATTTATTTTGCACTGTAATCAATGAAATCTTATTTTCCTCTGATCACACAGTAAATTTATTCATACATTTTAAATATATTTTCTGTGCACTAAAGGCATATTAGACTCTGTATTAAGTGATATACATGTGTAACCAGAAAAAGTCCACCCCAGAACAGACCTAGAAGTTAATTTTAGACAACAGTTAACAAATGCTGATAATGGTTCTATTTATGAGAGAAGTATTTATTATAAAGGAAACCTTTAGAATACGAATTCTTACTTGATTTGAGTATAACCAATAGGTGATGGTGGTGGTGGTGGTGGTGGTGTGTGTGTGTGTGTGTGTGTGTGTTTTGTAGCTGGTATTGTAGTTTGGTAATGCATTTTCATGGACTGGTTTCCTATCCAACAGTAAGCTTCTGAGCACGATCTTGAATCTACAGAGGGCAATTGACACAGCTTTGTCTAGGCATGTAAAACACTATTTCCATTGCATTCAGAATACATATTTTAAGGTTATATCCACCTATTAAAAAAAGAAAAGAAATACTCTTTTTCATATATTTTGATCTAACATAAACTGTCCTGTTTTTACATATTGTTGATTTCCCCTGTGATTGGGAGACAAGAAATAAGGTGAATGTTTTCAAGTCTCTCTTTTTTCGTTTTCTTAGAAGCAGTGGAGTTGCAATTTGATGGAGACCTAACACAGTATCTCAGCATCACACGTGAGAGTGTTTCTTTTGTTTTTATCGAACAGAAAATGCAAGTCCAAAAGTAAAATGGGGTTTGTTGCTTCACACTAATAAAAAGCCCATAAAAGAATGCCTTCAGATATTGATAGATAAATATTCAAATAATAGACCTAGGTTCTATTTACTGTCTCTCATTTTCAAGTCTCCTCAGATTGGTTCTTATCTCATGGTCCTAGATGGTTGCGGAAAGTGCCTCTCTTACTCCCTCAGTTTCACTAAACACTAGACAGGTTTTGTTTCCTGACAATAGACGTCCTTGATCTCCTTTGGATTAGGATATTTACTTTGGAAAAATTGCAGTAGTAATTTATTTCTCTGCTCCTTTGAGATGTAAATCTTCTGCCAGACTCTTGCTATTTTTCCTATCCAGAAATATTTTTCTTAAAGACCTAGAAGGGACCCCTTTGAAACATAATCATCAACAAAGGCAATGCCCTTATTGACCAACAGCACTCCTTGAATGTCTTCCAGTACTTTAAGTGCTAGCTCATGCTGACACTTAAAAACTCGCCCACCTTTTTTTCATTGAAGTGGAGTTTACACTTACCCCCATTGTAATAATCATGAATACAGTCTCTCTTACCATTTAATATGTCAAGTACAATTTTTTTGACAGAAAGCAGATTATATGTTGGCTAAAGACGAGAAAAAAAACCCACATTTTTTGAATATTTTCCTGTATCTCAACTAGAAAGAAAAAAGAGAAAGAAAGAAAGAAAGAAGAAAGAAGGAAAGAAAGAAAGAAGGAAGGAAGGAAGGAAGGAAAGAAAAGGAAGGAAGGGAGGAAAAAGGAAGGAGGGAGGAAGGAAGGAATGAAGTAAGGAAGGAAGGAAGAAAAGAAAAAAGCAACCAAGAAAGAAGGAAGGAAAGAAAGAAAGAAAAAGAAAGAAGAAAAGAAAGAGAAAGAAGAAAAGAAAGGAAGAAAAATAAAGATAAGAAAAGAAAAAAGGAAGGAAAGAAAAAGAAAAAAGAAAGAAAGAGAATGATAAAGAAAGAAAGAATGAAAGAAAGAAAGGAGGAAGGAAGGAAGGGAGGGAGGAAGGAAGGAAATGGAAGGAAGGAAGGAAAAAGGAAGGAAGGAAGGAAAAAAGAAGGAAGGAGGGAGGGATGGAGGGAGGGAGGGAGGAAGGAAGGAAGGAAAAAAGCAACCAAACAAGAAGGAAGGGAAGAAAGAAAGAAAAAAAAGAAGAAAAGAAAGAAAAAGATAAGAAAAGAGAAAAGGAAGGAAAGAAAAAAAAGGAGAAAGAAAAAAGACAAGAAAGAAGAAAGAAGAAAGAGAGAGAAAGAAAGAAAGAAAGAAGGAAAGAAAGAAAGAAAGAAAGAAAGAAAGAAAGAAAGAAAGAAAGAAAATATCATTCTTAGCAAAGAGTTTTGGTAAAGTACAGACAGTAAGCTGAAGCCAGGAGAGCAGGCCATGGGAAGAGCCAGATGTAAGTCAGAGGGTGGGGATGGAAGGAGATGGTCCAGTTTCCTTACACTTAGATTGTAACTTCACTGGTAAACTTGGAAACAATCCAAATGACTTGTTAGTTTTCTAACCAACCTACTCTTCTTTTTCTCATAAGGACAAGAATGAGAAAGAAAGTAAGATAAGATGTCGTAATTCCCTTTCTCTTTCTTTATCTTTTTAAAGCTGCTATTGCTGCTTAGAAATAGGGATAGAGATACAAGGGTGGGAGATACATGAGTTAAAATGGCTATATGTAGGCTCCTTGTTAGTGAGATCTTTCATAAGTTAACTGGGAAAACAAATGGGGAGACTCTATATTTTTCTTTTTATAAATCAACTCTAATTCTTTGTAGTAAAATTAGGCTTGTGATCTAAGCCTAAGAATGATGAAATAACAAAAACTCAAAACAATCGTCTTTCCACATATTTTTAATGTACTTAAAGCCCTCTATAATACAGTACAATTTTCCAAATGTCTAATAGTAGATTATACCTACATAATGTTAACTTAATAATATTTGTTTCAGTCAGCACTATAAAAAAACCAAAAGATTGGCTATGTCTCTTGAGAATTTTCTAATTCTGTTTGAGTTTATTATATTTGATATCTAGAACCTAAGTTCTAGATTTATCAAAAGTACAATAGTTTTTCTTATCCCACATTTGTTCTCTCAAAGAAATCTCACATATATGTACATGATTGAAGAGTTACAAAAATGCAACTGGAAGTTTCACATGCAATATCTTGTGATAACATTAATGTGTCCTAATTTACATTTCACTGTAAAAATAATTGTCTAATGAATAGAGTTTGGAATTTTTTTAATATCAATTAAGTGACCAGGTATGGAAAATATAAACAATCTATATCACAAGAAATGATATTAATCTTCTTTCCTCAGAATGGCTTCCTTAAAATAAAAGGGTCATTTTTACAATCTGTCCACATATACCTTCTGTTAGAGATTTTAGCTAAGTAAACTCTTCATCATTAAAGTGATATTATGATAATTTAGACAGCAATTTCCTCTAATTGATTATATATTTTAATTTTTTTTAATGTAGGAATTTTCAGCTGTTGTGTTTCTTTCCTTACCTATGATAAATTGTCTTATGTTTTTCATTCCATGTAAGTAGAACTGGTAAAAATTGAAGGACAACCTCATTATCAATAATTCATGCTCAGTCATGTTGCCTCGCATTTGATGAAAGCATGGTGCTGTGTATTCTTTTTGACTTACTATCCCATAATACTACCATTTGAATATGAGATTTAGGATTATTAGAAAAGAATCAACAGATCATACCCAGATGTACAGTGATTTATTCCAATGGTACTATTAGGATTGTAAAGCTTACGAAGACAATCATTAAAATTCTCAATCTGTGATAAAAAAAATACCTTGTCTAGAAAGAAAAGCATTTTCAGGGGAACAAAACCATTTAAGGTATTTTCTAGGTAATTATTCTTTGTTGAACCACAATGCAATCTTGATGATTCTTTTCACTAGCATGATGGTGATAGAAGGTGCATGTAGGTTCAGAGAAAGGCATAATTTTGACTGATCTTTTTCTTGCCTCTTTGCAAATTTAATCACAGCAGAAATATTTCATACCTATATTTTAGGGCTATTTGAGGGATTTAATTGTATGGTACCAGCCACAGATACATTTCCAAGTTTTCTGCTATAATGTCATTGATTACTTATTCATGGAGCTCCATGAACTAAAAACACTAGTTTTGATGTAGGATTTGTAGAATTATGCTAGCCACGTCAGTGAACGAGGGAGGACTTTTTGAATGGCAGCTGGTAACTACAATTTAAGCTCTTTTCTTTCTTTCTCTTGCTCTTCTTTTTTTTTTTTGAGGGGCGTGGGGTTATTTTCTGATCCATTTTACTGCTTATTTTATCACCACACCTTCATTTGGAATATGAGAATTGAAGCAAGTAATATTTTCTTTTCCTTTTTTATCAGACTGTTCTGACTGACAGCTCCTGTTATCACATTAAAATTCTTCTCACGTTAATTTTAGAAAGTTATTTAGCATATATTATCTAATTTCACAACTCCGTTGATGTCTTTGGGGAAGATGTTATTCTTTCAGACGTGACAGTTATGACACACAGGGGAACCTCAAAAACTTGTTGAATCATTTTAGCCTCTTGCTGTGATAAAGAGAGCTGTGTATACTATGTCAACCTTTAAATACACCCCAGTTTTGTTACTAGTGTTTCTATCAAAATATTTTAATATTCTATGAATAGAAATTCTGAAACCACTCAAAAAGACATTAGGTAATAATCCTCTTGACCCTAGGGAGTCTCATTGGCCTTCCTCAAGGGAAAATATAAAATTCCTGATAGGTGATTTCAGTTAGTTAGGGAGCTGTGCACCTTCAGTTCAGCCTTGCACTTTTTCTGTTATGTAGACACTTTTATTTTAGAAAGCAGATGCTCTATGTCATGTTTTCCAAGGCATTCTGCCATGTTGGAAGACTGTCTAGAATTGTCTCCCTGAGACTGGATCAATAATTCTTCCTGACTCTAAGGTTAGAATTAGTAACGCTTGATTTGGTAGTTACCAGTAATAAAGACAATATACTTATCTCCATCTGTCCTCTCTTACTTTATCTCTTCATTGATTCAGAACTCAGGTGGAAGAAAGTGTGACTTTATAAGACACAAAGTCTTGGGCCTTTCATGTCTCTATAACGCTTTCTAGGAAACCACAAAACAACACATGTATTGCTTAGGTTATTTCTGAACCAGCTTCCAGACATGAAATGGAGAGTTGGTAAGAATATTAAAAGGAATCTGATAATTAAAGTATCTTTAAAATATTAATGACTTAAAAAGCCTGAGTATTGTGTGACATATAGAATATTTGGTGAAATAAATGAGGTTTACAATTATGTTGCCATTTCCACGACATTGATTTGTGTATAGAATAGTGAGTAGCTTCAAGTTAGAAGTAGCACCAAGGGAGGGGCAAATGACTGAGCTGTAAGACAGAGGGGTCTATACAAGACAATATCTTAGGGGCCAGGTGTGGTGGCTCATGCCTGTAATCCCAACACTTTGGGAGGCCAAGACGGGCAGATCTCTTGAGGTAAGGAGTTTGAGACCAGCCTGGCCTACATGGTGAAACCCCTTCTTTACTAAAAATACAAAAATTAACTGGGTGTGGTGGCATGCACCTGTAATTCTAGCTACTCAGGAGGCTGAGGTAGGAGAATCACTTGAGCCCTGGAGGTGGAAGTTGCAGTGCGCCAAGATCATGCCACTGCACTCCAGCCTGGGCAACAGAATAAGACTCTTGGGACAAAGCCACCAGTAGGGCATGCAAGACCTTGGGCAAATACTTTTGTGGGGCCTCAGTCTATACAAACGATTTGAAGAAAAACCATATTTAAAATTCATGAATCTATGTGAATTATAGGGATTTGCCAATGAGGATGTTGAATAATGGGTAGAAAGGAGATTTTTTTTTTAAATTCCAATCAGTGAAAGTGCCTCTGTAGCCAACTCTTTCTGCTCCTGGGCCCAGGAATCAATTCTTTCTATTTGTTACTGTCATTTTCACAATTCCTGGCTAATTTCATGTCTCCCACTTTAAGAAAAGATGGCAGCACTATTAATCACAAGTAGGTGGATCTTTGGAACTAGCTTTTATTGAAATGAAATAGATTTTCTTATCTCTGTAGTTTATTTCTTGCTGGTTGTATCATTACTCATATGATGATGCATCAAGATCCATTGGACCATCATGACTACTTGTTTGCAGTGACTCTTTCAAGGGTTGTCATTGTACATCACTGGTGGAGAACACAAATGCAAACCTTGCCTAGAGTATAAGGAAAAATGTGAACAATAATTTATTTTTCCTGGGGATGTTAAATTAACCAGCCAGAATATCTTATTATAAATACAGAACAACACATGTTCCATTTCACCTTTTGAATTCTTTAGGCACTAAACATTGCGTTCTAGAAAGTGATCTCTTTTGATATTGACCATTTCCCTGCCTTCCTCACAATACTTCCATTTGTACAAAGAATATCCTTCCCTTATCTGGCTTGTCTCAATACCAACCAAGAAAATCATGAAATCCTCACATGGATCAAAGTCAAGAGAGAACATCGATAATAAGGATCCATAGGCGTCGAGGAGCAAAGCCATAGAAGTGATAGGAATGAGTTCTTTCAGAGGCTACCTGACATATGGCACAGAGCCTGCAAATTTGGTAAGCTGACTGTCTTGCATGCCAGTGGTGGAGGCCCACAGGATCAAAGATGCTGTCTGTTTTCAAGACCGTTGGTGTAAGCCCTGTAGACTGGAGGTTCACCAATGACAGAACACAGATGGGCAAGAGGAAAGAGCCTCACTTAAGTCCAAGGTGACTGATGCACTACAGATTAGAGAACTGTCCTCATCCTATGTCTAAAATGACTGAACATGACTTCAAATCAGAATGTCAGCACCATCCTGGTATTCCAATTTCAAGTGATCCTGTGAAAGAAATAACATACATAATGAGAGATATACGCTTTTCAGGCCATGCTGCTGGAATGAGAACTCCATTGTTGTGACTGTTAAAGCTCTTCAAGGTATATGGACAGCCCTAAATAAAGGTGAGTGGGACAAAGGAAGGAAATGATTTAAAAGTACCCTACGGAAAAGAAACAGGACTGGTATCCATACATGATTGCACCGTTGACTATGGCATGCTCCAAGTCCCAGAAAGAGACATCCTTCAAAGAAGGCACTCCAAAGCTTCAAAACAGAGGAGAGAAACCCAGAGCCCATATGTCTAGCTTGATTTTAGAATGTCATTGGCTTAGGTTTGAATCTTAAGTCTGTGGCTTATGAAATGTGCAAACTTAACCAGTTATTTAATGTTCCAAAGACCTTTTTTTCATAGTTACAATAGAAATCATAACCACCAGGAAATTTGCTGCAAGAAATAAGAATTAAGTTGGTTTGTGACAGTAGACCCTCATTAAATAATAATACGGTGATCCGCCAACCTTAGACAAAAAATAATGGCAAAACCAAAAAAAGGACAGAAATTAAAAAATAATAATAATGACAAAAGAAAAGCATATCATTTGGTGGACTTACAAGTGAGATTTGAGGAACCCTTAAGCCAGGGAAAGAAAGAATACCATGAGGTAGATTGGAGGCTCTCATTCAGGGTTTTGTTTAAAAAAGCCCACTGGATAGCTGGAATTTTTTTCTCATCTGTTGGTATCTAAGAGATGCTACAGTCTGAGAAACTACAGGAAGCAGAAAGTGTAAAAGTCTAGCTGTTATAATCATTTACTTGGTAGTATTTTTTCCCATTAGGTCAAGGAGTTATTATAATCCCTATTTTGGAGAACTATAGCTTGCCTAGCTGCATTTTTAGAAATTGAAGCTTCACATTTTAGCCTCAGGATAGCACACTGGTTGCTTATAGGAAATAGGACACTAGTTGCTTACAAGAGATAAAATTGCATAGTTTTTTAAAAGAAGCATCATGGCAATGTCACCAAAATGTAAAGTATTTTTTTAGAGTATAGTGTAATGCAACACTATGTGTGCAATTACATCTTTTAAGCATCTCTATTGTGCTCCCTGAGAGGTTAATTGCTAGCAGACTTACAGTGAATGGATGGAGCCATTACCTATATGAAGACTTTATCTGCTATTTATCTTTCTTTTGTGTGGGCATATATATATATATATAAATATATATATGTGTGTGTATAATATATATGTGAATATATATGCTTATATGTGTGTATATTTGTGTGTATATACATATGTGTGTGTGTACACACGTGAATAACTACATGGAAATAGCACTGCAAATGTTGTTTTTGAGTAACAGCAAAAGCATCATTCATTTGGCCTTATTTCTCGGTGCCTGAGTAGTCAGACAATCTATAGTAAAATACTGTCAGAGTACATTAGATGAATAGGTCCCCATTGTGTCTGCAAAGTATAGGAAAAAATGTTGGCAAATGTGTAGTTCATTAGTTTATACACCTAAGTGACTATTTTATTTATTTACCACTATATATTTTTTTATTTTTGAATTTATTTATTTAGAACTGGCCAGGCAATGTGTGGCAATTTATTAACTAACCTTTTTAGCTACCTCAGGTGCCTAAATCAGAACATTGCAGACAGGATTGCCATGTCTGCTTAAAAATGTACGGCATAACACTATTGTTTTCATTTTATAAAATTCATTTCATTGTGTTTGAAAGTTTGGAAAGATATTGAATTTCCTGGTATAAATAAGTTCATATAAAAAGTATAGGAAAATAAAATTAAAATATACATACATTTTTGACTACCTTCCATAAAGAAGTACACACTCTGGTAACACATGATTTGATCACCTTTTCAGGATTAGAGCCTGATTAGAGCTACAGAGGCTGAATTATTTGTATATTTCAAGTTATATTACGAGTATCCTTAAGTCTAGGTGGTGTACATCCCTATATGCCACAAGAAATTGCTGTGAGTGCTCATGATCTATCCTATAATTCTGACCATATGAAGTCTGGTCTACCTAGTTCTTCTCCTTTGCTAATTAAGGAAATGTAACAATATCCAAAGAGAGGAATATTTAGACTTTCATTCTTTCAACCTATCATTCATTCATTTAGTGACTACATTTTAAGTATCTACTATACATCATTGCGACAAGATGCTTATAATTTAGAACAGCTATTCTTATCAAAGATATTGGCATACATTTATGTTTCAGAGATTATTGAAAACAAAATTACAATAATAGTTTGTGTTCAGTAATAACAAATGTTAAAAATGGGATTATGAAGATAAAGAATTCCACTTTCCTGGTATGTAGATGTAATGAGATAATTAAGAATACCTTTCAAACTTATACATACACTGATGTCTATTTTTAAAACATACTATGAGAAGATTTACATGTAAGGAAGCAGAAGTTTGGTAAAGGTCATGTATTTTTCCTTTAATTTATTTGATTTTATTGCCAACTTTAAAACACACTATATCATTCAACCACTTGACCTGAGCACTCCCTTCTCGCTTTCACATTCAGTCTCTGTGTATGTTTCAGTGTCTAGCTATCTTTCTCTTTCCTCCACAACTCTTTATCTAATACCTACTGGTCTTTCATGTCAACACAATTTCACATAAGCAGTAATTTTAAAATATGTTCTTAACGGAAGCCTAGGTTTGAAATCAGGATGGTTTTGGAGAAGGAAGTTTCACATAGGCACAGAGACAGCCCCAACATGAAGCATTTACTGATCCATCCCAGCTAGAGTATAAAGGTTGTATTATGGAAGAAAAGAAAATATAGAGAATAGGTGAGCTACTACCATGCCATAAAAATTGAGTTTGATAATGTTTTAAGCATAATTCATATTAGATAGACAAAAAAGGGGAAGTCAATTTTTATAACAATCCCAATTCTATACGTGAACTCTCCCATATTCAAAATCTCTTATTTCCAAAATTTTAATTCCAAAATATACCAAAAATATGTCATTACTTTAGCATTTTTCTTTTTATCTTTGTCATTTATTGATCTCTAAAATATTTACAGAATCTATTTTTCCTCCTCACTCAATAATCGCTTTTAATAAGCAATGTGATTTTCAATGCCTTTACCTAATAAAGATAATGAGCAAAAATAAAATGAAAACGACAACAGCTGATGCAATGGCGAACCATCCAAATGCTTGATTTTCTTGACTTAAACCTGCTGCTGCTATAAAAGCAACTATTAGCATACTGACAGGTGGTGCCAGAAGCCATTGTCTCTTTCATCCTCTTTCTCTGTCCTTCCTCTTCTCTTTCCCATTCCATGTCTCTATTTGCGACAAAATCATACTGCTTGGAAGTGTTAAATTTTTTTGAGCATTATGTTAGTAACTTTGAACAATGTTAGTAACATTGAAACTTATCATAGTTGAATATTTTAGTGGATTGACAATTACCAAAACAGTAGTCTTTCAACATTGACTATTTCTCTTTTGTTACAGTATGCAATGAATTCTCTTTTCTCACTAGTAACTAGGGTTTAGCATCCATTAGAGTTACTAAGAATAAAAGAATAAATGTATTTTTGTGGTTCCTTCACAACTGCTATTTTTCTCTCTCTGGGGCCTTAACGGAAAAGGAAAGTAGGTACTTTCTGTGCAATAAAATACTATATATGGTTCTTTTCCCAGAAAAGTGTTCCCTTCTCCACAAAAGAATAATAATAACAAAATGTCCTTAAACTTATATTTAAGAGCTTAGTAAATCCTACTTACATTAGCTCATTCATTAATGTTTTGGTTCAGTGTTCCCATTGCCTCTGCAGTTGTTATAGTCTTCTGCCTTTATTCTTCTAGGTTAAGGAAATAGTTATAAAAATATTCCATCTGTTTACATAGTAACACATTGTCAAAAATTTGTTTTCCATAAGTATAAGGTTATATTCTTCAATGCAAAATCGATGTGCAGGATAATTTTATCTGTATATGCATTAGATATCAACTACAGCTGTTCCAAATAACACAAACTTGGTAGTTTTATATAACACAAATGTATTATTTGAAGGTTTTGGAGTTCATAGTTACAAAATGGGTTTTACTAGACTAAATTCAAGGTGTCGGCAAGGCTGCTTTTCTTTTGGAGTTCTAGGAAAGAATTGATTTCCTTGCTTTTCCGGCTTTTAGAGGCTGTCTGCATCCCTTGGCTGATGGTCACTTTCCATCTTCAAAGGCAGTAACAGCCAGTTGAGTCTTCTACATATTGCATCACTGTGATACTCACTCTTCTGTATCCCTCTTACACATTTACAGGATCCTTGTGATTACATTTAAACCACTCAGATAAGCCAGTAATATCTCCTCATCAGGACTATGGATTCATGACATTTCAAGTTATCTATGACTATAATTCTAGCTTGCAATGTAAGATATTTACAGGTTGTGGGAATTAAGACATATAATGTTTTTGGTGGCAGTTATTCTGCATAGCACTATGAGTAAGAGAAGAAAACTTGAATACACACACGCATACACACACACAAATATTCTGTGCAAATTTATAAAGGCATCCTATTAGAGGGTCTGCAATAGGAATTTCTAGATTATACGGACTGTCACAAATGTATTTATGTATGTGAAGCCATGTACTTTACAATTTTGAGTTTCTTTATATCCTTTCTACCCTCTGATCCACATAACAATACTACAAGTTGGCTGGGTAGATATCAGCCTATTTTACTCATAATGAATCATTCATAAATTGCTAAATGTTTCGTAAAGACTACCCTTTTCACAATAGTCTTTCTACTGCCAAATTATGTCTCTCCAATTCTTAGTCGCTAAAGGCAAATATCCATCTTAAGGATCTCCACTGATTTCTGTTAACTTATTATTTAAGCTTATTCATCCTCATTACATCCATTACATATTAGCCAGATATGAAGGATGTACTTAAGTGTGGCACTGAAGAAGGTGAAGGCAAAATTTTCCTCACACATAGGTACTTTTCATCTTCTTAGTGAATAGTCGAACCTGTTCATGTCCATGCAGTTCATATGTATTTAGAAATGCACCTTAAGTTTAATAACGTTTTCCTAAAACATCCTAGAGGTAAATTAATTTACCTCTTTTATAATTAAAGGTTTTGTCTTTTACTTGAAAGCCAATTATGCACAATGTTTTTTCTTCCTGTTTCAGACTATCTGATGATGGGCATAGGAGTAGACAAAAACCTTTTATTGGCCCCTGGTTCTGGATTTTCAATAATGAGAGAGGTGATGAGAGGCATGGGCTGTGGGGTGAGGCAGGCCAAAGCTGCCAGACCACCTTTGCAACCTTAAGAATAGTTGCTAAATTGTATTTTGTAACTTAGATTTCTTCTTGGTAAGATGGAAGAAAATAGTACTATCTTGTGCAGATAATCCTTATGAAAATAGTTACCCAGAAAACTATTTGCTCATCTGTTGTGGTGTTGCCTTGGTTAATTAATTTTCTTCCCTACCACTTCCCCGCAAGACATTGTGAAACTCTCCATTTGTAGCTACTCCTATGTTAAGGTAGTTCACTTGTAATTAATATATTTTAATAGATATATGATGAAATAAATAAAAGTTCCAAACATTACACTTGGGTAATGATGGAGGCCTATTAAAGTAATGACTATTTTTATTCACTCACCAATTGTGGGGAATAATTAAATTAGAGTAAAAGTGAACGCTAAACAAGTAGAAGAGAAGATGTTTCTAGGCCAGTGTATTGTTCTGTCCACAAATATAAATGGAACTGAAGTCAATTAGACCCGTACCAAGCCTGTGGCTTTGTGGGCACTATCACAGTTTCACCCACGTGCCCCAGATCCGTTACTATTTTTGGGCTCATGTGCTCCCAGCTTTTATTCCCAGCACCCGTGCCTCCTACTAAAGAAACTGTGCTCAAGCTGCCAGATGTGTTTGTCTGCACTTGAAGCCTGCAGTGTCTGAGTATGTGAACCTTCCAGCTCGCAATCTTCAATCAGACTAGTGGGTGGGAGCACAGATACTTCAGCTCCCTTGCCTCTGAGGCCAAAAGCTATGGGATGTGGCTTTCATTGGTCTGAGCTCTCTTGTGAGACTGGGACAAATTCACCCTATGTCTGATTTGAGGCCCATCCTCGATTGTTCTTTTTCCCTTCCTTTTCCACTTGTCTCTACTATTTTATACATACCTTTCTCAGGGCTAGCTCAAGGAAACTCAACTTATAACACCAATGCTGCTTCAGAGTCCCCGGTGTTTTTGTATTGCTGGCCATTCAGGCAGAATTCATGGCTCTTTGTGATTTGACATTTTATGCTTAAGTAATATTGTAATCTCATGCAGACCTCCCAACATGCCAAGTTTCCTGTCTGTCTTTATGCTGCCTCATCTTTCTGTGATTCCTTTTATTTTATCTTATTTTTTTCACTAATACCACTGCATTCTTCAAGAATGAACTCATGTTTTTTTTTTTTTTAATTTCTTTTCTTTTCTTTTTTTTTTTTTGGTGGAGTCTTGCTCTGTCGCCCAGGCTGGAGTGCAGTGACTCTATCTCAGCTCACTGCAAGCTTCGCCTCCCGGGTTCACACCGTTCTCCTGCCTGAGCCTTCCGAGTAGCTGGGACTACAGCTGCCCGCCACCATGCCTGGCTAATTTTTTGTATTTTTAGTAGAGACGGGGTTTCTCCGTGTTAGCCAGGATGGCTTCGATCTCCTGACCTCGTAATCCGCCCTCCTCGGCCTTCCAAAGTGCTGGGATTACAGGCTTGAGCCACTGTGCCCGGCCATGAACTCATCTTTGAAAGCCTCCTTGCTACTTTCTAAACTTTAAGTTGACACGTTCCTTAGGTGTTCTTCCTTGGTGTCTCCGTGGTAACTGCTCATAGCACTGATTATAGTGTAGCAAGCTCCATGTTGCCTCCTAGGGGCAGCACAGCGTAGTATTTTAGACAACTCTATCTCAGACTGCTTAAAATCCGGCTCAGCCACTTACAGCAATGTAAATTGGGTGAGATGCTTAATCCTTTTATATCACTATGATTGTATTTTTTAGGTGAGGCTTATGATAGTTTCCACTTAGTAGAGGCGCAGTATAGATTAAATTAAGTAATCTAATACAGCATGCTTAGAACAGTATTAAACATGTAACATGTAATAGAATGTAATAAATATAATACAAATAAAGAAATGCACCAGAGTGTTGAGTGCTTAAGAAGATGAAAGAAGTGATTTTTGAATTGAGAAACTTGAAAATTTGAGTTTTTTAATCCTATGAATGGGGAAGACTGGGTGAGGCCAGTTTTTGGTGTAGGGGTAGGTTCAAGAATGCAGATTTGGCTATGTTTGAGAATGGAGGTATGAAGCTGGCGTACAGAGGAAAGGGCTGTGCTAGAGATAAAACCGTGAAGTGAAAGTAAATCAATAGTATTTCAATTCATGAATTCTCCAAGGCCTAAATCCTGTAGCAGGAGGTAGGGGAGAAAACAAAGAACCAGCAAAAGGAATTGAGAAACACTGTGGCCTGTAGATAAAAGGTCTACCACTAAGTGTATAATTTCATCTTATTCTCTACCGGGGGCAGCATGGTCTCACTCCAAACTTAGTATTTTCCCCTTTATACTCTACTAATGGAAGGAGAGTAAAATTCATGTTGTATGTCTCTTTTTTTCCCACCCCTAGTGCTTGGCACAATGCACAATACACACTAGACATTTAAATATATAAAATGGTATGTTGAAAGTATCTCAAATGTGACAGCATAGACCACTGATGTTGAATTTTGCTTTCAGTGCTGAGAGTCATGCTTTACTTTAGAAACAAGTAAGAAATAATTCCATTGCTTTTCATGTACTTCTTCTGGTTTTAACTAGATATAAAGTCTAGTCTATGTCTGTCAATCTGCCTCAAACTCCTACAATATCTACTAGCAGGAAAGGGCCGATACAGAACACAGCAACAAGGAAGAACAGTAAGTTTGTTCCCCTTTGCCCTATTTAGACATATGTATGTTTCTGCCAAAGTTTTATGCCAAGAAAATGTTCTTTAACAAAATTCTCCAGCTGGAAATATTTACAGAAATGCTTCTTTTCTTTAGTCATGATGTTTGCTATGGGAAAAGTGCTAGAAAAGGTATGTTAAAATACTTCTTGACAGAAGTATTTCAAAGCACCAAATGCTATGACCGTGCTATGGTGCCATAGTTTTTTTATATCATTTATGATAAGCACTTTATTAAGAAGACTTTTACTGGAATAAAATAGATACTGTGCTCTTGGAACTGGAGTTCTAAGACTTGAATTGAAATTCTTGTTATATCAAACACTACTTAGGTGACCCTGGGGGAGGTATTAAGATTCTCCAAACTTAGGTAGGGCAAGAGCTAACACTACGAGCTCTGTCATTAAAGCTGGGTTTGATGCTTCTCTTTGTGAACTGTGTGACATATGTGACACAGTATTTTCATCTACCAGTGCAACTATTTAAAAGTTATTTTACTTTTGTTTCCTGTGATTTTCTCATCTATCAAATTAGGATAATAATAACACCTACTTTAGGGGACTATTGGGAGTAGAGTATTAAATACATTAATACATGCAAATACTTAGCACAGTGTCAGCCATTAATAAAGTACTCATTAAATATTAACTATTAATGACAAGCATATGAAGGAACATCCAAGACTAATCCATATAAACGTATAAATCAACTAAGGAAAGTAAAGACCATTTGCTATAAATAGAAACCCTGCATGAGTGAAACAGCTTGGAAGGACATATTAAAGGGTTGCTGAAGACTACACTTCTTGAAGTTGAACTTTCTGGACTTAAAATACTTTTCCATTCATAGTACAAAATATACTCTGTATCTATAGCTATAAAATATATATGCAAATGTAAAAACAATTTAGGAGAAAGGTAACACTTAACATGAAACTACTGGAGCAGCAATGCATTTAGTGCATCAAGTAGCTGAAGGGAAGTGTTGTTTTATTAGAGTGCCTTTAAAAGCCATTAGACTATTTAAAGACAGTTCATTTCTTTAAGTGCACAGAGACTGATGCACTATGGAAAGTCCAAGCAAAGCCTCTTCAACCACTTTCTTAATGCCACTTTTATTCCAAAATAGATTATTTTTCTGAAAAATACCAGGGGCTTAAAAGCCAACTATTACATCCTCTTAGTTGATAAGATTAAGGATTTTCCTTAAGATAGAAAGAAGATTATTCCAAAATATTGGAAATATACTTCAAAATGAAAGAATTATTGCTGTCAAAATCTCTGTGTGGATTGCATCTTGGTATGAGATACTTTATTGGATATTTCCTGAAGTTGAATACTTCTTTTATGTCTAGGAGAATGTTAAAATAAGCTCCTTATTGTAAAGAAGAATAATAAAAAAATTGCCTACTATCAATTTTGAAGAATAGCAACTGAAAAGTATGTTGAAACCAAAATGATGAATGACTAGGGGGAAAAAAGAATCTAGAAATGGATGTAGGAGAACAATCTGCCATAATGAAGAGCCTTAAACGTGGGTGAACATTAGATTAGGTCATTAGGGAGAAGTGTTGCCAGATTTGCTCTGGTTCTCCATCCAAGTGCTCAAATATAATGAGAAGAGTATGGTTGAAGCAATAAATATTGTAAATGAGATGAGACAGTTACAGTGTGATGGGCCCATATATGTTATTAATTCTGTATCAATAAAAATGAATTGACATAAGAAAACAAAAGTTCAAATTCTGAGGGAAGTCCTTTGTTGGGTGTTCTCATCAAATGCTATGATTTTTAAGGCAAGACTCAAACTTAAGATAAAAACTCATAAAGACTAAGCATACCTAGACAGAAGCCCTGTTTGAAAGTCTGCATGAAAATGGCAAAGGATGAATCACTGGTAAGGGAATTAAACTTGGCAAGGACAAAATGGCAAGGATAACAACTGCAACTTTGTTAGCTTGTAGGTATCTGTGAACCATAACAATACCACGGGGGAGAATGGAGCTCAAAATAATGCCTCCAGATTTGTTAAGATTGGCTAGGTACCCAGGTCGGACTGATTCAGAAGGAGGAATGTATCAGAATTTGGAGTGAGAGAAAGAATTTGAAACAAGGTGCCCAACACAAACTGAATTTTTTTGTCTGAGTCAGTGCTATCACCAGACTATCTACATCTTTCTATGGACCATACTGCAACTACACTCTCATCTTTTGCAATACATAAAAATTGGACCACAAAGAATCACCAGATACTGTAGTTAATTCCTAGAATATTCTGGCCAGCTGCTTTACTAAAGGCTTACTCCTCTTTCAGCTGTGATGGAATGCATAATGATCTTGCATTGGGTCAGACACTCTTGTCATGAAAGAAAAGTGACCTTTATGACACTTACAACGCTGAAATGTTATAATGTCCCAATACTCTGAATGCATAATACTCTCCCCTTTACTTGCCATGGTGAGAATATGTTTTCTCTTTGCCAGAATGAAATCTGCAATCATAATCATCTGGGTAGTTACAGCCAAGGCATCCCCAGAGATTCTGGCCATCACAGGAACAGCTGCCCTTCTGACTATATACAGAAGCTGGGCAAAGCTTTAACAGTTCTGCTTAGATAATTTTATCTCATTTTGTGTTGGCTCAGGTACCTCACCAATCAAAGGGTAAGGCACAAATCCCTATGGACTGGAGTAGATGGGGAGTGATATTTTCCACCTGATGAAATAATGCTGGCTCTGCGTGCCCCCTTTATGGGAAATAGGGTGGTAAAGAGGACAGCTAAACTAAAGCAAGGCTTGTTTAAATAGCCACTGGGTAAGGTGTTACAAGTCCCCAGTGTGACAGAGAGAAAGTGTATTTCACTAGGTGGAAGTTAAGAGTCTGTCGAAGTCTATCTGAGTGTGAATCCCAGCTCCATGCCATCTAGTTACATAATGTTTGGCAAATCATTTGGACTCTCTAAAATTCAGTTTTCCCCTCTGAAAGCAGGAAGTAATTATAATGGTTGCTTTATGGAGTTATTAAAAGGCAAAAAGGCTAAATACTTCATAAGCATGCTAGGCACCGTGCCTGATGCAGAATTCACACTCAACTAATGCAGCCTTTTATTATTATGACTCATCTGGGTGTTGTTATTCCTTCCCTTGATAATTAGGAGTAGAGTATATTTTGAAAGTGGCAGTGAATGCTGGAGGACAAGCCTGAAGAAATCCTGCATTGATGCAGGTCTAAGCATCTTAGTTTCAACTGCCTTGTTCCTCCAATAAATTATAGAAGTCTTATTCCTGAGTAGAAATATTATTTCTCCAATAGATTATAAAAACTTTTAAAAGAGAACTATACTCATGCACATTTATGCTTCACATATAGACAATTGATCAATAATCGTTGAGTCAGGAATTTCTAGTGGGCACTGTAAACTTGCAACACTTTCCTATGCAACTGAGAGCAACTTTCCTATATAATTGACAGTAATTGTGTTTAAACAGTATAAATGATATAAACCTTTAAGAAAAAGTTTACCATTGCATATTCTAATAGGCTTCAAGCAAAAATATTTTCACATGATGTTGAAAAATAGATTTTTGAACAAGAATAAAGCACTTAGTAAACATAAAGTGGTAGATAAACACTAGAAATATGCAAACTTTACAAAGCAATGTTTTGAGTGGTCTCTTATCTATCAACAATACACATCATTATGCATTATAACTTAATGGTGCTTTTCATTAAACACCCTGCTTCTCTGAAAAATGACAAAATTACAAGGTTAAACTCTCAGCGTAGAGTAGATCTGGTGATGTGTGCTAATTAACTATTTTTTAATCAGTGCACTCAAGAAGAAGGAAGCAAAAGACAATGTCTTGCCTGGTTTTCAATTAGTGTATTTTGCTTCTTGCCATTTGTTCCCAATTGTCTGTTTTGACTAAACCTTGCATTTCTCTCGCTGAGCTTTTTTTTTTTTTCTCTCTTAATGCTGGTTTAAATTAACCTTTTCTCTTCTGTTGTTTGCAATACAAAAAACAGTTTAATTTTGGGAAACTAAATAACCACATATATGAAAAACAAGTTATTCATAGCTAGTCCAAGCACATCACTAATGATTGTGCAATGGAAATGCATTTTATTTGCTGTAGCGTTTTCATTACTTTGAGCATTGAATCAAATTGAAAACCAAAGAATAAAACTATCTCATATAAGTAAAGATCGTTTTTATTGCAGTGACTATTGCCCCTTTTCCTGTCATGTCTTCTGGCTAATATAAAATCATGTACTGTAATACATAAATGGAGATTTGTGAAACTGCAAAGCTTGTTAACAGTAACAACTTTCTTAGTTTGAGATCAACCAACATATACTTTTTTTTCCTTGACTATATTTTTGACATATCCCTGTCATTTGGTAGAAGAATATTTGGATGGAAAAGTCTCAGAAACTGGCATCATATTTTGTATTTTACGTTCCTTTTGACGTAATGAACATTTCCCCCTCTTTTGCTGAAATTGGCACTGGAAAAGATCAAATGCAGCAAAGTCTTTTAACAGTTTAAAATTGCCCCTGTCATTATCTTGTCAGTTACATGAGACCTTGAATGTGCAGGGCTATGGAAATCTTTCAAGACACATTTTCTAGAGGCACTGCAGGGGAAAACTGTTTATAAAATCTAAGAATCCTAATCATTAGAAAGTACATGGATAACAAAAGTATTAGTTAATGATGGCCAGAAAGCAACGTGACATGGTTTTCCAAGCATGGTCATTCAAGGAGAGTTTTGGCAGCTCAGTCTTTTTATCACGTTTTATTTTTATCATCCTCAACTTTTTCTTCATGTCAACCTATGGTTTTAATAACCTGTTCGTAAGACACTCATCTTCATTAAACATGGATTTACCTTTTTTCCTTCAGACTATTCCATCTATGTTACCTTTGCTATAATTGGTGGAGAAAATAAACAGGATTTTGAGATACAGTGAGGATAAATCCTGAATCTTCATAACATTTACTTGTCATGTGATCTTAGGCAACTTCTTCTCCTTAAAAGCCATGTCCTCTTTCTACCTGGCACACTCTACATGCTCAATAAATGGTATTATTTCCAGTTTCCAAGTCTGATCAAAACTCAGAGTTCCTTGTTATTAACCTGCTTTTGAAAATGTGCTGTATGTAATATAGTACATTTATATATACTTACATTTTCTCCAATTAATCTAAGCTCATATTACAGCTATCACTTCTCTAGTGATACCTCAGCAAGTAGACATTTTGGCTTAATGAATCCATTTCTACACTTCCACATCTGCAAAAATAAGTTTACACTTAAATAACTAAATGTTGTCTCAAAATCCAAGCACCAATATTTGCTGCTTTATTTCCAAGTCAATATGCTTCTCAACTTCCACAAGTGTGTTAAGTAACACTAGTATTGTTCTCTTGTTTACCAAAGTTCTTAGGAGAAGGACTTCATATTTTTATTTTTCCTTTGTCTCCTATATTAACTGTATTGTTCTGTAATGCAAGACAGCCTCTTCTCCCCGCACACTATCTCCTGGATGACTACATACGCCTTTGCATTCAATGCTACATTTGCCTGGGTTTTCATCACTGTGCATCTAATTTAGGGAGATAATTTTGTTATCACTTATCTTAATCTCACTGAATTTGTTCTGCATTCAAACATTGGGCTGTTTTTCCAATTTACCACTTTCATTATTTAATTCTCTTGCTCAATACCTATTAATAATAATTGCACCAATGTTTAACTTGTGAGAATAATCAGTAGATAATATCTTAATGTGTTCATTCAGGAAATTCCTTTTAAAGACACTATGTGCCAGGGGCCGAGGACGGAGGATGAACAAGATACATTGTCTGTTTTAAAGAGCCCATAGTATTTTGGAGATGACCAGTAACTGCAAGATTATTAAAAGATAATGTACCATGTACTAAGGGAGCACCTAGTGTGTGAGAATGAACTGGTCATTGCTAACGAAAGATAACTTCTTACTTTTAAATAATATTTATTTAATTTTTATATCCTTGCATGAACTAAAATCAAACTCCATAATTATATACTTTACCATATTTTATTTCAAGCTATAATTTATGGAGTGTTTACTATCAACTAGGTATTAAGTCTTTTCAAGCCTGAAGTAATTTGACATTTGTAATAACCTTATGAAGTATAAAATACTGATGCCCTTTTACAGAAAAGAGATGGAGGCCTTAACAACTAAAATAGCTTTTCAATTTAACCAGGTAATATATATCAGAAATTAAGTTCAAATTTAGGTCTACATAATTATAAAGTTTACTCTTAAACCTAACAAGCTTGCTCACCTACCATGCCTTTCTGTTCTCTTGCTTCTGTCTAAGCCATATCTGTTTCACATACCACCCTCTCCAGTAATCTTGAAATTCTTAAGTGGCATTGATTTCTCCATTCTCTAACTACTTGACTTCATATTACTTGACATATTTGAGAGAGATTGGTGGGCACAGAACTAGTAATTTACTCTATTTTGGAAAAGATTAAAAGCAGGAATGAGACAGAAGCAACTGAAAACAGAGCAGGTAGAAAGAGACAGAGTAGGAGCAATTCACATCCCACCAGTGAAACACATAGGCAAATGGCTTCGCTGGGTTAGATGTAGGCTCCATGGAATGTACCCAAGGCTAGAGTCATCAGAAAAGGACTCCTTCACCAAAGGATTCACAAAAGAATGGGGTGTTTCCAACATAAAGAATCTGTGCAAAGTAGACCTCTGAGATCCAAGGACTGAGATGGAGGTCAGAGGTCAGATATCTAGAAAAAGGAAAGTCAGGTAGTAAATACCTCCAAGAATAAACACTACATAAACACAGCACATACATACAACACACACACACACACACACACACACACACACACACACACACACACCCCACAGGAGAAAGAAAGAACCAATATTTAAAATTCTGTCATGTTTGAGAGCATTCCACAGCTGGGATAGCATTAGCAATGAATCTACTATATAAATATTGTTCTGGATTCTTAACTCCTCATTTCCCTACACCTCTAAAATATACAAAGATCAACCCTGCAGAAGAGAGAAAGAACAGCCAATGAGCAGGGGGAATGTAATGTGAGAAAGAAAAATCAAGGCTGAAAATGCATTTTTCCCACTGGAGGCTTCTAGAACTGAGTCAGGCCCAAGCGAGGGAAGAAGACATTAATAGTGCAGGACAATTTGAGACTTGGATTGACCTGGACTTTTGAATGCCTGAAAAATCGGACTATTAGTTCATGTTTAATGGTGGCCATTAAAGCTGAGATTTGATCCAGATTTCATCCAGGGTTAGGAACTGAAGATTCAGAAGAATGAGTTTATTTGAGATCATGATTCAGCAGATACCAATATTTGGGGTTTTCATCAAGCTTCAAAGAGTTTAAGATTTTCTTTTCTAAAAGGCTCCTCTTTAATTTGTTTCAGAGAGGCAGATTTGTTTTCCTTAAATTGGAGATCATCATGGACTAGGGACTGGCAGTGACTAAGGAAACATGAAGATAAAGGTATGCAGATTGAGGTAGCATGTTCTTCCAGAATTAGTTGGGCCAAGATATGTGTATTTCCATCGATCAGCAGTGACTCTGCAAGAGAGAAAGCTGATATGGGACTGTCCAGTGTCCTGTCCAAAAGATTCAAAAAGAAAAGTGAAGAGACACCAGCATTAAGAAACCGGTGGTAAATGGCGAATTACTGGGGACTGAAAAAGCAGACTAAATAGATATGCATCTACTCTGGACAAAAGAAGTATAAGAAACAGATGTCCAGAGATGGGACTCTCTGAAGAATCCATGAGAAAGGACTATTTTAACCACTATCAGTCCAGGAGAGGATACAGCCAAGCAATCCATACCTCATCCCTTCCCCATCTACAATGAGAGAAGATGTAACCAGGAAGTGTAGACAAAAAAGACTTTACATCTTTCTCAAATGCCAAGAGCTGACAATTTCAGTCCTTCACATTGGGAAGAGAATGTGTTTGCTGGGAGATTTCTTGTAATTAAATAACTATCAATTACCATCTTCAACAATATAATATAATTTCTGAATGGGGACCTGGTTTGCATCATAAAGAAAGAATAGTATTGCCTACTTTAAAGAATTTGGGAAGCTTTTTGAAGTTTCCATTCAGTGGCATGGGGGTTACACTCATGAATAAATTTTAAAGAGTCAATGAGACTGTAAATAAATACAAAACTAAGTAGAATTGTATTTCACTCTCATTTTGGGACTTTTGTGTTTACACTGAAACAGCAGTGATCTGGCATTATGTGGCTTTTTTTTTTCCTGTTTTCAATGCCCTGATTTCCTCTCACTCACCATTGACCAGTGTCTACTTTACATATGATGAGGCAACTTCAGCCACTTTCTAATGAGCTTGCCTCACATTTGGCAAAAAATCATCTTTGGCAGAGACTTTTTCAATGTTACTCAAAGCCTGCTGTCAAAGGCTTCACAGCTGGCCACATGGCAAACTCCCGCATTTCTACTATCATCAGTGAAAGAGCGGCTTATTTCCTTTGAGACTTTTCAGGCATGCACTAAGTACAGTTTTCTTTGTCCCCTTAATTTTGGAGCATACATGTAGGTTTTCATAATTATTCTTTTAAAAAGTTTGCTATTAACCTTTTATTAAACTTTTTCATACTCAGTAACCACTTTTATAGATCCTGGGGTTGAATAATTGACTAAATGTGGTTGAATTTGATACAGGATCTGATAGCACTTGTAATTCCCAGACTGTGGAAATTTCGTTAAGGAAAAAAAAAGTTGTTACTGATACAAGGACTTAAAAGCTCCTGTATATCTTTCTGAATTTATTTCTTAACACTGTAATTTAAGTTATTTCACACAGTCCCACTAGACTCAGTTTTTCCTGGAAAGTCTCAATCATGCTTCACCAGGGCTTGAGGTTTTTTTGATGCTTTTGTCTGCAATGTTCTTCCACTGGGTCCTTAATCACGTGTCATACTTATATCCTTTGAGCAGGGATGGTTCTCAGAATCTCTTAATTCTAAAGGTGGAAGCCAGACTTGGTTGAGGTTACTGTGAGCTGCACAATGTCACCCATTAAGGCTCCTGACTAAAGAGGCAGAACTACATGTCAGATGTGCTTAATTATATTCTGTGACTGCATTCAGAGGCAGCAAGTCAATACCTAACAGGATTTAGCAAGAACCGATGACAATGTGCATATATAATTTTGTACCGTGAAATTCATATACATCCTTGAATATAAAAAAGCACATTTACATTTATCCCTTCTCTTGATTCTGACAGAATCTGTATCTAATTAGTATCTACATTTAGCAGAAGTACTTGAGGCTAAATGTAGTTAGCAACTTCTCCAATGTCAAACAAAATGTAAGTAGTGGAGGTAGAACAGGTTGCTTCACAAATCTCATGTTCTTTCCATCTCTAGCTGGGCTGACATAGAATTCATGAGTTTATTCTTGACATACCAGCGTATTTTCCCAAATATTATAATTTGGGTAGAGAAAGTAATAATTGAAGAAAAACTGTAAAATCCAGATAGAAGACCTCAAACTCCTTTTTTCTTAGGCCCATGGTAATCTTTTTTATCCTAAAAAGGGGCACATATGCAAGGATATTGTAATGAGAACAGCTAGTGGAATTGGTGCACTCATTAAACTCCTCAAGCGGAGAGCAATATAAACTAACACAGTGGAAATAAGGTCAGTGAACATAAGGACTGAAACACCTTACGAAGGGAAATTGGTGTGCAGACTTGAAATCCTCATTTTCTACAGTTTGAGAAAATGTTTCTAGCTGCTAGTTTAGATTACTGCTGTGTATCTGTGGTCATGGCATTCAGCAGGCGAGAAGATCACAACTGGATAAGTCAGTAAAAGGCACAGATGTGTCAAGAAAATAGGTTAAATGTTATTAAAAGTACTCATTTTCCAATTACCAGTTGTTTTCTTCTGTTCTGGGACTCCTTATAAACTAAACCCCAACATGCTACTCCTCACCCCTGAAATCCTGGCCACACACACACACACACACACACACACACACGGCCGACTCGGTGTATGAATTATAAATATATGGGCACCCTGTGGTGAGGGGGTGACATAATATGAAAAGTGCTTTGTGATTTGTAAAGTGTTGAGTTATGTTAGAAGTTTTAATTCGTGAATGGTTCCACCTTTCTACAAAATGTATTAGGCAGCTATTAAGTGCCACATGCTCTGGTATCACTGGGAAAGGAGATGCTTCAAATGAGCTGCCTGCCCTTAAGGGGTCTACTGGGTGAAACAGAAGAAAACTGCAGAAGAGTTTGGCAAAACTTTAATAGTGATATGAACAATATGCTGTAGGAGCACAGCTTTACCCCAAGGGGATGAGAGAGTTGTCACTGACAGGCATCATTTGAGATGAGGGATGGCTAATGATAGGACCTGGGTGGACTGGGAAGCAAGGAATACTCAACAGCAATAACAAAGGCAAAGAGTTGTGAAATATCATCATATGTGCAGAGATTAATGAATTCTGTGTGATTGTGACATGGGCTGTAAAGATCGCTGATTAACCTGGAAAAGCAAGTGGAAGCCAGGCTGCAAAGTTCAATAGACCGCACTGCAAAATTTGTGCTGTGCTAAACAGAAACTTACTGATCTTCCAGAAAGGGGGCTATTTGATTATATTTGTTATTTTATGGTAACTGGGGGAAATAAAGAGAACATGTATAGGAATGGGAGAAGATTATTTGCAAAGAGCTTACTTTAAAAATCAACCCATATGAATTTTGTTATTGGAAACATTCTAAGACCAACTCCTCAAATGACTTCTTCAACTTTGCGTATATTTTACTGGATTAAGACTTAGGTTTAGGGTTGATCTATGCTACAATGTGAATATTGACAGGTATTGTAGCAGTAGAAAAACAAATTGATCTCTTTGAGTCTCAGGTATCTTACCTGCAAATAAGGGTTTTAGGTCAAATAGTCTCTGAAGACCTGCTTGTTCGAATATTTTATAATTACAGTTTTTTAAGGGAACTTAGCACAGTATCACAAATTGGTGTACAGATTTATTTAAATACACCACAGGAGAAACAGATTTAGTCTGTGAGCACATGAGTGGGGCACGTGAGCTGAGTAACAATGTCTTGTCCTATCTTCAGTTTTGTGCAAGAAGCCAACAGAAAATGAAGAATACCTTCCACTTTGGAAAATTCATATTCTTATTAAAAATAGGTAAAACTATGTGTTTTCATTCAAATTGTTGTACTGATCTCAAGCTGATTTTCCTTAACAAAAAGTTCCTCTTAGGATTGTCCAGTTAGTTACGTTCACATAGAAAGTCTTCTTATGAATAAGAATGCTTCACTAGGATTCAGATTAGATTCTAAGCTTTCCCTTTGAGCAGATGGGTATACTTTATAGATGTAATTTTATGATTTCATCTTATTACGTTGTTCCTCAATTTGCTCGTTTGCGAGATATGAATGATGTCTGTCATACCTAACTTCAAGAGTGGGTTTCTTTGTGAATATACCTTGAGAAAATGCAGAAAGTCTTAAGTTTTTATTACTGGTAAAATTTTCACAGTTCTGTACTTATTCCCTGGAAAATGTCAAGGCATCAGGGAATCACATAAGGGAATCATTGAAAGTTAGAGCTACAAGGGAATATGTTAGATATCATTGTTGCCCACAAAGACTTTCAGAATTACTCATCTTTCTTCTACAAGCTTTCTTAAATCAGCAGGATTGTGTGACCTACTGTGACCAAAGAAATTAATGGGGAAGGGTTTATGTATGACTTCCATCCCAAAGCACATCCTTGCTTAGGCAAGATCCACCAGCATTTTCTTTCTCTGCTACATCATTCAAGAAAGTCTTATGTTCCAGATGATACGAAGACAAAAGTTGTATGGCCAGCTGCCGCGTAGCAGCATGGACAGTAGCCTTTTAGGGTTAGAAAGTGGCCTGGATCTTCAGAAACATTTGTGTAAGCTTAAAAAAAGTACCAGGAATATTTTGATTTTTTTCCACATTATACCAACATAATCTTACCCTTGCCTAGTCTAAGAGATACTGGGATCCTTTGAGAGCCCAGTGAGTTTGCCTAATTTTGAAAGTGAGAAACTGATTTCTAGAAAAAAAATAAATAATTGTAAAGTCACATGTCTACCTAGGAGTAAATTTATAACCAAAAGTAATATCTGTCTCCTAATCTACTCACTTTTCACTGATGAAGAACTTATAACTTCTTCAACACTGACCTCTTACAGTTTAAGATAAAGTTTTTTGTTATAAGGCATGTACCACATGTTTCATAAAACAGAAAATATATACTATTGTGCTTGTTTTAAATATAAGAGAACTTATTTAGTTACAATTTTCAAAGCAATCATTTTTCAGGGAGGACATTTCTGTTTGTATTCAACAATAAGCCAAGCCAAATGAGTATCAAACTCCTTCCATTGGTCTCATTTACATGGTGCTTCAAACTAACTGAGAAAAATAAACTTAATGATACATATTGTTTGACAGCTACCAGGTAAAGTAATTAGTGATTCAATATCAAAGCAGGAGGAAATGATTCATTTGACTGTAATAAGCTGGAAAAAATATATAAGTATCTACTAAAATCAAAATTAATGCCTTAATAAAGTTCCAGAATTAATATGACATATTTTCACTTATGCTAAAGTCAATAGAAATGAATTATCATTTTAAATTAAATCCAATGTTGTATTATTTCAAAGTTTTTTTTAAATATACTTTAAGAAAACTTGGCTTGATATACCAGCATTTTGGCTAGATTAAGAATTAAACTAAATTTATCAAAATTGCCAACTTCAGAGTCAAATTTGCTGAGATATTATTACCATTACCTAATAAACCCTGGAAGATATCTTGCTGCTAATAATATAATGAATCAGAATGAGAATTATAACAGGGAATGTTTTAGCTGAAATGTTCTGTATGTATTGATGGAAGTGAATAAAGTAAGACTCTTGTGATAACTTTTAACTTACTCTGTTTCTGTAAGTACCCATCTTATTCTTCTTCGAAAATATAAAGGTCAGAAATCCCCTTGTATTTCTTGAGTAATAAAAATTCTTTGTTCTTATCAGGTCTAAGACACCAATCATAAATGCTATTGTTTTTAAATTTTATATATTAACTTGAAAACTGTGGATTGAAATGTGGTGCTTACATAAGCAAAGCACGTATGCTCTGATTTATAGTTGGAAGAAGTACTCTACTAAATCCATCTATGTATCAACTTTTCATTGTCTTATCCAGACATTAAAATTGGAGGAAAAAAAATCTCTAAATGTTTTACCTTGCTAAGTCTAAGAATTTGAAAAGTTGTAATAGAAAAAGTTAGTAACTCTGTTTTCTCACTTTTCTTTCTTTTTCTCTCCTCCCTTTTTTTCTCTCTTTCATCTATCATGAATGTATACATATATATTATTTTCATATATTTTTAAATATCTGCTGTGTGCTGCCCCTATTGTTCTTAGATATGATTAGCTTTCCATCTGAAAATTTAATGTTCAATAATTCCTCTATGGTTCTTCACTTTGACACATGAACTCTTAAAAAGTGTGCTATATAATCAGACTCTGTGCTAAATAATCTATAGAAGAAAGATGTCTTCTGGAAGACATTCCAAGGCCACAAAGGCTGAAGTACACGGAGTATAAAGCACTCTTCTTTCCTCAGAAGACCAACACACAAAAATCAACATTGCATGAACTATTTAAGTGTAAATCTTATTCAAGCATAGTTCTCCCAGGGACAATCATTGAGATCCCTTGTACAAGTTTCTGCAAGCAATATATTAAGGCCAACTAGTCACTAAAGGTGTAGATTCCTTTAACTTGGCAGAAAAATACCAGAGGTAAGATTTCTGTTTAAAAAGTATCCTGAAGCAGGGGATATGTTGTCTTAAACTATTTCAATGTCCCTCTGGATCTGCATATAATGATACCTCATTTACTTAGTTCTCTGGTAATGAAGCTACATTATAACAGTCACCTGACTTAAAAAAAAAAAAAAAAAGAAAAGAAACCAGCACAATTTTTTAGAAATTAAATAGCCTGGGCATTGAGCAGGTTGAGGGACTGTGAGGAGTGGATTTTTTTTTTTGTCCTGGATACAACTCCTGACATATAACACCAAGGAAATACACCTGGAAACCTAAATAGGTCAAAATAAGCTTCCAGATATTTAGCAAAGAGGAAAGCCTAATCTCCACAACTCATGCAGTTGGAAAGCCTCCTAAAGAGACCCAGTTCACTTGAAGACGAGAAGAGCCCAGAATCAAGAGTCCTCACCCTGTCTTCTCATCTTTAATACTCAAAACCATTATTGCTTCAAAGATGTATGTAAACATTACTCACATAAACTTTCACCATATCTCAATTTTAATATTTATATTATTTGTAACTCATGTAGTTATGTCAAGCCATAAGGCATTAGGATATAATCACTCTACTTTTGACAGTGAAAATCAATCATATTTGATAATTTGGGTAACAATAAATAATTCTGTGTAGAGTAAAAAATGCATTTAGAATCAGAGTTTTCTTTGAATATTCCTCTCGTAGAAATTGAAAAGAGTTTACTTAAAATTCTCCATGCTCCATTTCTACCTCGGGAAAATAGGTATAATAAAAGTTACCTAGGTTTTCTTTTTGTAAAAGCTTTTGTGGAAAAAATCTGTATAAATTTTTACTATTATCATTAGTATCAGGTTCTCTGTGTGTTGTAACAGTCAATATATATAATATAAATAATAAGTGGCCTCCTTTTTGGACTTAATGAAAGCTTGTGAATCTGGGCCATGGTTGAACTATTTTCTGCTGTATCAGGAAGAATTCCAAGAATGTTCAGCAATAGTGTTAGTCTTGAGTAAACCCCTCCCTTTGGAATGTGTCTGGAACTAGTAAATATAATGGAAATTGATTCCTGTGATTATATTGTATAATATCACTGAACTTAAGATAGGAAAATCATCTAGGGGGACCTGATGCAGTCGGATAAATGCCAATCAGTGGGTATAAAATTTCAGTTTTGCAAGATGAATAAATTCTAGAGATCTGCTGTAATGCATTATCTCTATAGTTAATAATACTGTATTGTACACTTGAAAATGTTCAGAGAGTAGATTTCATCTTAACTGTTCTTACCACAATTAAACAAATTATTTTTAAAAGCAGAGAATGTTCTCTGGCTGATGCTAGCAGGGGAATAGGAAATGTAAACCTAAGAGTAGTAATGTTAAAACACTGGTAAGTAATGAATTCCTCCAAATTCCCCTGACTCATATTCCTCTTCATTGTAAAATTACAAAATTATTCACCAGCTAAAATCACCTAAGTCTCACTCATTTAACCAAATCAAAGACCATAATATAAAAATTAAAGAGTGAGTTAAAAGCTGTGTGTGTGGTCTCATGTGTTACACACATCCTTAAAAATACTTTTGAGATCTACATTTAGAAACGTGCACTGATTTTTCAAGTATTCCTCCTACTTGTGATTTAGGCTTGATAAAGATTGATTATATGCATGATATCTGTCTTTTTTCCTCTATGAATCCTTATCTTAGTTATTTTAAGCCCTTATTTTCACTTTCAAATTAAACTCAGAGTGTGCTGGGTTTATCTTTTATGTCCAATCCTGTAAGTTTACTTTGTTATTTCTAGCAAACATTTTTCTTTTTTTTTTTTTTTGTGGGGGTGGCAAGGGATAAATACATCCCTCTGCAACAAAGCCATCTGGAAGTCCTGGTAAGGATGTAAAATGTCCTGTGTTTTTAATAAATCTTGATAATTCTTTTGTGAACAATGCAGAGAAATAACTTTCTACTTCAGGAGACATAAATTTTAGGTGAAGTTCAGAAACGCCTCACATATCAAATATAAGACTTGCAAGGAACCTAAATAAATTTTTTGGTTTGGGCTTTTCTTATTCTAAAATATGACATCATGTCGGTTTACCAATGATGCAAGGGAATTTCAGAGAGGTTAAATCATACTTTTCACTGCTGCTGTATTGTATGATGTAGAGAGTAGAAAGTAGAGGATAGAAATGACATATTGTGATTATTTAAAAAAAATCATCTGCAATAACAAACAGAAAATCCATAAGCCTGTGCCATTGTGGCAGTGTTTAAAACAACGTGATGAACATCTGTGTACCTATCTTTTGCAAAATCCTGTGCTAAGTACAAAGAGCAAGATAAAGATGAATAAAATAGACCCTTGTTCCAACAAGTTCATAGGCATTTGGATAAAATAAATCAGCATGATGACTGAATTACTTGATAGCAAGTGATAAATGCTCTGCGACAGGGAAAAAGGGCAATAGGTTCAGAGTTAATTTGGAACAGTTCTTGCTACAGTGGCCAGGAAAGGACTCAAGGGAAAAGGAAAATTTGGTATAGTGCCAAGAAGGTTGGAAAAATAATAAAGAAAGAAAAATGAAAGTACCCATGAACAAGTTAACTTCTTGACGACTATCTCTATTTACTTAGTAAAGTATTAGATTCTTCAGCCTAGTGTGTCACTTAAGGAGAAAGACTTTTCATTGACAGGAATCATTATAATGAGATCATGTTTTCTGGTTTCTGAAAAGCCTGGCTTAATATTCATTATATGTTGTGTTTATTTTTCACACGGAGATGATGTTTCTCCTCTATTTCCAGAATAAGTAGTCTGTGAAACTCATCATAAAACAATGATGACAATGATAATACCGAACAAGTAGCATGGATTTACTACACACCAGCCTTTCTCTGAGCTAAGAACTCTACATGATTTCTGTCTTCATGTATTTAAACAACACCTGGGCTTTGAGAATTTCAAGACTTTAATAATGTTGATGCTGCAGTTAGGACTCAAATCCAGTATTTCTGATAAGAACACAAGCCATGTTCTCATTACTTTTATAAATAAAGTTTTTAAATTTCAATACCTGTGGGCCTCTCTGAAAAACAGGTAAACTTAAGAGATAAAAGAGTTGAAAATAATCCAGTCCAGTGGGTTTCTAACTACTGTAGGGAGCAGAAACAGGAGAAATGCATGGGCAAGAGCCCAGACTGAATCATGTTTCATGACATAGATTTATCCAAGTTACTCCCACATGCAAGACACATCCGTTCTCTCCCATTGTTCCCCCCAAATCTCATTCCAGTAGGCGTCAGATCAAAGTCCAAAAGTCTCATCATTTAAGTCAGTTTCTGGCACAGATAATGTTCCTGAGTGTAACTACTCAAGTACAGTTCCTGGGACAAAGTTTATTTTTATTTTCAGACATATGAAGAGCCTCATCACTACATAATGGCAGGGAAACCATAGGATACGAGTTAAAAAACATCTAGTTTAATAACTGAGAAATAGGAAGCAAAAATAAGCCCCTATTTAATAACAGTTCTGAAATCCAGTTAAAAGAATGTTGGAAATTCCTTATTAGAGTTCCAGGCTTAAGAACAATTCTCTATGGCTCTCCACTCCACCCTCTGTTCTCTTGGTTCTATCCTCTGAGTCATCTTTCCTTTTATAAAAGTCAGCATGTGGGCCAGGCATGGTGGCTTACACCTGTAATCCCAGCACTTTGGGAGGCCAAGGCAGGTGGATCACGAGGTCAGGAGATCCATACCATCCTGGCTAACATGGTGAAACCCCATGTTTTGTCTTTACTAAAAATACAAAAAATTAGCCAGGTGAGGTGGTGCATGCCTGTAGTCCCAGCTACTTGGGAGGCTGAGGCAGGAGAATGATGTGAACCCAGGAGGTGGAGCTTGCAGTGAGCCAAGATCACACCACTGCACTCTAGCCTGGGCAACAGAGCGAGACTCCGTCTCAAAAAAAAAAAAAGAAAAAAAAAGTCAGCATGTGTTTCCATCTGAGCAGGTGATCAGTGTGCTTTCTGCCAGTAGAATTTTGGGGGCTCCACATCCTCCTTTTATTTTCGTACTTTTTCTGCATCATTCAGTCCAACCTTCTGAAATCGTTTTCTCAAAGACCTTGTGGATCTCTTGTGGATTTCAGTGAAGTTTAATTCATTAGGCAAAAGTCGCAGCCACAGTTATTTTTGAGAAAATCTCTCTCTACTTCTTGTTCAAATTGCTGAAGGACAAGGCTTTCAATCTTGAGGCTTATTGAGAGACTGAGAGAAACTTGTTAGGTATATTATCAATTTATTTATAGGTCATTTGTGTGACTAAATACTTTGACCTTTTGATCTTTCTGAGATCATAGTAAAAGATTTTATAGTTACATCCTTAGGTCTTCTCCAGGCCATACTTTTGGAAGACATTTCTGAACTTTAGTTTTTATTGCCTTCTGAAAGTAATTTGTGTTTTCAAAACCATCAAGATCTGGCTTTTTAAACTTTTAAAAAGTTATTCTCTCAGATTATCTTTCTCCTTTCATATTCTACTATATCTAGCAAGAAAAATAAAATCAATTGGTACCTTCCACACTTTGCTTGAAAATCTCCTTACCTAGATACATAAGTTCATCTTAACAAGTTTTTCTATCCACATAACTGCAAGAGGCAATTTTACTAAGCTTTCTGTCACTGTATTACAAGGATTCCTCAATTTATTTTTGAACCCTCAAGAGCAGCATCCTAAAGTCCATACTTATACTAACAGGTTCAAGGCAACTTAGAGTTTATCTATAATAATCCTCAAAAGTTTTCCAGAATGTGCCCATTGCCCAATTCTAATGCCACCACCACAACTTTAGATATTTGTTACAGCAGGACCTTCCAAGTACTAAACAGTGTATTAGTTTTAAATTGCTGTGTAACAAATCACCACAAATATAGTAGTATAAAACAGCATCCATTTCTTACCTCATTCTTTCTATGAGTCAAGAATCTGGACATATCTTACTTTAGTTTTTTGATTTGAATTTCACGAAGTGCAATTAAAGTGTCAGTTAGGGTCAGGATTTCATCTGAATTCTAGACTAAAAGGGATCTGCTTCCCCATTCATGCGGTTATTGGTAGCATTGCACTCTATGTCACTGTAGGATTCACGGTAAACACTGCTATTCCCTTAGTTTATTTTGGTCTCTGCTCAGGTGTTACCTCATTATAAAAGGTTTTAGAAACTACCCCATCTAGAAAAATGCTTCCTAATAGTTTTTATCATCTTATGCAGCTTTTTTTTTCATTCATAGCACTCACCACTTCTTTCCATCGTGTTATAGTTTAACTTATCAAATTATTTATCATATATATTTACCTATCAGAAAGTAAATTCTGTTAGGGCAGGGCTTTATTGTTGCTTTGGTGGTGTTAGTTCATTGCTTTTGGCCTTACATTCTAAGAGGATGGCTCTCACATTGATATGGTTTGGCTGTGTCTCCACCCAAATCTCATGTTTAATTGTGATCCCAGTGTTGAAAGTGGGGCCTAGTGGGAGGTGAATGGATCATGGGAGTGGTTTCTAATGGCTCAGTCCCATCCACCGAGTGGTATCTCATGCTAGAGTTCTCATGAGATCTGGTTGTTTGACTGTGTGTAGCTACCCACCGCCCTTCACGAAATCTCTCTCTCCTGCTGGCCATGTGAAGATATGCCTGCTTCCCCTTTGCCTTCTGCCATGATTGTAAATTTCCTGAGGCCTCCCAGGCTATGCCTCCTGTGCAGTCTGTGGAACTCTGAATCAAGTGAACCTCTTCTCTTTTAAGTTACCCAGTCTCTGGTAGTTCTTTATACCAGTGTGAGAATAAATACACAAATGCCATGTACACAAAACTATTTATTGAATGCATAAATAAAAATTAGTCTCCCAATTTTGTGAAGCAGGTTCATTGTGCACTGGTTACCAACATGTCCAGCAAGACAGTATACTCACACTCACAAGCTACATGAAATTGATTTATTACTTACAAATACACCATAAGGAACAACAGAAACCTAAGATTCTTTGTAAGCTTGTCCCCCAAGGCTATGAAAAGCATTCTGGGGCAAATGGAGTCTCATCTGTGCATGCTTCATTTGCACCACAGCTGAGGGAACCCAGAAAGCAGCCCACCATGGCTTTTATTCCCTAGGGCAAGTAGCTTGCTGGACTAAAGCAATTAATGACCTCCTGTTTCTAGGGGGCATCCAGCCAGTCCCCCACCATCTTAAAATATTGCATTCTCAGCATATTTTACAAGTATTCTTAAGAGTTGCAAGCAGGAAATGAGGCAGAAATGGGTCAGTCCAAGGTCAAAAACAGAACTGTCCCGCAGATGTCTGGTTAGTGAATTATTAGACAAAAACTATAATAAGAAAATACCTAAAATTTTAAAAAAAGAATGTTCCTGTATTAAAATTAAGTAAATTTAGCTAGTTGTATTTGGAGGTAAATTTATAGAAATAAATCCCATTATTTTTTAAGGTAGAGTATTACAAATATTTAATCAAAATGTTTAAATGAAGAAGAGACATAAATTATTATTAATAACCCTATTAGTTGTGAAAAAAACATATTCAGCCTTTATAAAATATTTTATGTCTTAAAGTACATTCTTTATCCTTGAACAAAAGAAATCAACCAGTATATATTCAGATATTACTAAATTCTCTTCTTTTAGCACAAAATACACAAGATGTACCCAGGAACACAAATGGGTAGTAAGGAGTCTAGAAAAACAAAACAAAACACAAAATTTGCAGTGGCTGTCAGCAGGTAGTTAGAGTATGAGTTCATTTAAAATTCTTTAATTTTCTGTATTTTATAATTTTGTATTGTTATTATACATCAAAGTTTATTAATCATATAGAATACCTAAATATCTATGTTTCCTTCACATTGCACCTAATTTCTGTAGGACACATATGTCATTTAAACACTGAATTGTGCACTTGTGTGTATGTGTTTGTGTTTATGGATGTATAATTGATTCAAAAATCCTGAGACATGAGAGCAGATGTAACAATAATTTCTGTATTTAGACAACAGCTATTTTTTTTACTCTTTTGACAGAGTACAGCATGCCCGCCATTCTAAAATTTGAAATTTATTTTATGAGATATCTGAGTATAAAATATTTAGTGTTAAAAAATACCTGCAGCAAACACTTTGAACCTGTGGACCAATAATATAACTTGACCATAAAATTTTTGTTAGCCTTTTTTCTAGTCAGTGGTCAACAATGTTAATAAGTTTCAGTGTTTTATAGAAGCAATGATGAAAACAATGCACTTAGTATGCAAATTTCATTCACTTTTCTTTATTAGAGGCTTGTTTAATATTCTGGCTCACATTAAAGACCATCAATGACAAAATGGATGGTAAGTAGGATGACACGTTTCCACTTTGGGCTGTTATGCTGCCTTGTTGAATAAACTTTTGACCACTTAACCTGTCTGGTTTTAAATGACTTCCCCTTTTAATAAAGGCATTAGACTGGTTGTACCTTTTATTTCCTTCCTGCTCCATTATTGTAAGCATTCATAGAAATATTTATTCTTTTTGAATTAAATCCCATTTGGCAATTATACTCAATGACTCATGAAGTATAGTTTAAAATAGATTTTTATTTGAAACAGGAAAACTTGAAACATTCTAGCACAGAACCATACTGGTTTTAAATTACATTTCCATATGGAATTAGGTCACTAGTTTTAGTAAGACATTTCAATATTTTTGGACATATCATCATCCTTGAATTAAACAGCAAATTAAAACTCACTGAAATGAATTTTTTATATGTAAGAATATTAAAACCATAGTAAGTATAAAGAATTTCAGAATCATTTTAAAGAAGTCAGAGTCTTCTTAAAGTTGAGAAACCCACAACATAATTAGTAACTTTTCTAAGCATAAATAAAGAAAAGTGGATAGTAGAATTAGGTTTGAAAAAATGTCAGGACGGTTATCCAATAAGAGATTTTGGTTCCTGAGCATCAGTGTAAATTCTCAGTGTAAGAGTGCAATAAAACTCCCAACTTCTTAACTTATATTTGTCATGTAGGAAGTGACATACAGATATTAAGTTGTTTGTGTTTTAAAGTAGAGCTGAAGCTTTACTCCGTTCTAAGTAACTGATGTTACTTTGAGTAGTGAATTTCCATATTTAAGTTTCTCTTTATTTTTCACAATTAGAAGTATTGTGTACAGGCTCATTTAAATAATATTTGGTTATGATAATTAAAAAAAAATAAAATCAGCATTATTAATAGTGGCAACTTCTTTAATATCACATATTTAAAGAGGCATTTTAATTAATGTATTATTATCAACTGACAGATATGAAATCAAAGTAGATGGAATTTGAAAACTGATGATTTCTTTAGACATAATCTAGGCTATATTGACGGTTTTATTTATTGTTAACAAAATCTAACATAATATTTATTATATACCAGCCACTCTTTTGAGTGCTTTGCAATATTAGCTCACTTCATCTGCAAATTAACCCTAGGAGGGAGATGCTACTGTGATCATCTCCATTGGATAGGTGCAGATGCCAAGGCCCAGAGGCTTTAGGTGCCTTGCTCTAGGTCTCAAAATGAATGCCACGATCAGCATTCAAACCCAGGCAGTCTGACACTTCACTCTGTGCTCTTAAAACGTATACCAGGAACTTCTTTAACAGAAAAGGTAAATGAAGCTCAGGAAGGCTCTATGCCTTACTTAGAGCCTCACAGCTATTATTGAAAACAGCTTGAACAAGATTGTCTCAAATCACATTAATATGTAATGAGCTGGGGAAGAGCACACTAAAATAATTAAGGAAAATCAAACATTTTCATGGTGTAAAGTATCTCCTGTTTTCTGTTTACATTTTACTGCAGTTTCCTAGAGTTAGAAAAGAAATGCCCTTTTTTTTCTTAAATTCCCTTAGCTGGTTTACTCAGTATTTGCTGAATGATACTACTCTGTTTATATACAGTGTTCCACGTTAACCTGAGCTGAAGAAAGAAGGAACAACGAAGATTGGGGCGGCGGTGGAGGGGAGGTTAGAAACAGTGAGGCATACTAAAGAACAAATGTGGGATTTTCATTTCATAAACATGTAAAAAACTGATGACAGTTTTGGAAGAGTTTCTCCGTTAGGTGTTTCCAAGACAGCGTCCCCGCTAGTACTTATGCAAATCTGTCCCCTCTTCAAAAAGATATTCTGCGTTTGTGTTCTTCCATAATATAGACATCATAGATGAAGAATAACACACACAAATTCCTCCCAAATATTATATATTCATTGTACAAGTATTAAATTAGGAAATACAGTGTGGCTGTGGCAAACTGCTGTGCCTCTGTCTCATCCATTTAAAGGGAGTGAAACATTTGCCACCTAAACCCAGGAAATTATTGCCCTTTAAGAATGTGGCCTAGGTGGTACAAGATCTCTGATTTTGACTTTTATGCAAAATTGTTTAATGTTGAAATGTTGATCCCTTTTTTGTGTGTGGGATGAAATAAGCATATCCAGACACCAGCTCCAGATGAGTTTTTCAGGTTATTTTCAAACTCTGCCATAAATAGTCACAGAGAAAGCCTTGATTGTGTAAATTTATTGGTTGGAAAGTGACCAAATGTGTCTATGAAACTGTATTTAAAATCGTCACGTTCTGTTTTCTTAGTGAAGCCACTTGGAGTGCTGAGGGCATGACAACTTTCAGTACGTTTTTTATAGTTGGAAAGTAAACACACATTTTACTTCTATAGTTCTAAAAATAGACAAAATGTGTTTTTGCTTGAAGTAATTACACTATTGTGCATTCACATTTACCTAAATTAATATTTAAAGATGGAAACAGTCGAAAGTGAAATTGAATTAAACTAAGGTATCATATTGCATTGTGTGCTGATGGTTTGTGCTTGATCAGATATGTAAATGTCAATCTATAAATATAATAAACTGTGCATACAAAATGGATCAAGTATGTTTAAGACAATATAACATGTCTTTAGAATATAAAATGTGGCATAAAAAGATTGAGCTCAATTGCTTAATAAATAATGCAATAAAATGTAATAGCTTTTAGAGAGTATTTGTGGGATGAAATTGGAAATCTTATAGAAACAACAATTCATATAAATGTGTCCTATACATTTGAAAACTCAAAAGCTTCACAGTTCGGGAACAACTTAGTGTCTTAATTAGTAACAGAATTAATGTTGGTAATTAGTGCTGGGTAGCTTACCTGAACACAATTCTTACCTCTGGATGTTAATATCATCCGGGCTACATAACTTTGTGCTGTTTAAATATTTCTGAACTGAATCTATATAGAGTGCTGTGTATAAGCCTCAAACACATTCTTCATGGAGTTTTAAGTCTCAAATGTACTCTTTACACTTGGAGCAAAGCCCTACCGCTTTTGGATGCTGAATTTTTTTAACTCCCACCCCACATTTTATCTTTTACCCCACTCCAGAAAGGCAAACAATATGAGAAAGATATCTTAGCAATGGAAACAAATATGACTTTCCTGGAATATATGGCTGGAAATGGAGGCTGCTTAGAATTTTGCTGGCACTAAGGATCATGATGGAAATCCAACTGGTCTATTGCTGAAGCAGAATGAACATCATTGTTCAGCATGTGAGCCTGAGCTAGAAATCTGGCTGTTATATACCAGGTCCTGCACTGCAAGCCATTATCTTGTTCAGCTATTATAATGGGCTATTTTTAGTGATGAAAATCAGAGGCACAACATGTCATACCGATCCTGAATGAGAATCAGCACTCAGATATATCAAGGCTGTAGTTTCCTCATTTGTTCTAAGAATTGTGTAGTATATAAAATATCCATAGTACAGTATATGACCCTCAGTATACTTTCCAAAAATTAATCCAAATCCTGAATGCCATTGCAACAAAGAACAGAAGGGAGCACGGAGTCCCAGCTAAGAAGTCTTGTGGGATAATCTGAAAGCAGAGAAGAGATGTCTGAAATAGGAGGTGAAATTAGATTTATTTTATATTTATAGGGTGGTCAAACACAGTTTTAAATTTAGTTCAAGGCCAGACTTCATAAGACTGTGAAAAAAATGAATATTATTGTCATCTTCATTTCCTGTCCATATTAGTAATGCCAGTTACCCAACTGGTAGATACAAAGAATACCGCTCAAATAGTGTTGAATTATTAAAAATAATCTCCTATTTTGCATTTTAAAAAGTTTCAACATGTTTACAGTAAGTGAGCAGATGGGTAGAAATTTGTTACACTTCCTTACAGTTGTTCTATGCCTTAATATTTTATTTTTAAGTTTGTGTATAAAGGATCTGAAGGACTACTAACTCTTCAATGCTTTAAATTTGACCCAGTGTTTCTTTGAAATCTAACCCTTTTCTATTTATCACAATTTTCTCCATCCTAATGGGTTACTTTAAGTTGTAACAGGCCGGGATATCTGAGACAATGAATCAGTAGGAATGCATTTCTGGCATGTGTTATAAAAGAATTATCTCTGGACAGGCAAGAATGTCTTCCTTCTTTGGAAGAACACTTTGCTGCCTAAGTCATACCCTATCACGAAGAGCCTTTGGATAAAACCCTTTCCTGGAAAACCAGTGAAAACCAGAGGTGTCCAGTGCATTCTGGATTTTGTCAGAGACTGGAAAACAGTGTGGGTAAGGCCAGATCTTGAGGAATTATAATACATTTCTCCAGTAGAAAGGAAAAATGTTTTTCCAAATTGTTGATCTTCCCTCTGAAGTTCTTTGAAAATTTTAAGTTACTGCTGAAAATAAAGTTTTGTTCTACTGCATTTACCAAACATCATAGCTTCAATTAAATGCTGTACATTGTACCATGGAGACATTATATACCATAGAATTCTTAAAACAAATGAGGCCACCGTAGCCTTGATGTTCAAATAGGGAATCAATAGAATATAGTTGTTAAATAATGCTATAGCAAATGGAAAGGTATATAAATCATAGTTCTTATCTTTGAGGAACTTGTGAAGAGGGAAAAAATGAATGCTGTACTTGGAGAGAAATACACATGGAATTCTTTGACAGCTTGGAGGGAAGAGAGAATACACTAGGATTTGGAAACTCTGAAGAGTTTGGAGAAGAAAAGATAATGTTTGAATTGCTTTGTGCTAAGAATCTCCATTCTGTGAAGGACAAAGGATCGCTACTGGAAGTTGTTTCAGAAAGAATAAAATAGGGGTTCAGAGGTCTGAGGGATATACTCCTGATATGTTTTTCTCTTTGCAGAAGAGGTGAAATGACAGTGGTGACAGGTCCATCTATCGTGGTCTTAAGCTGTTAAACAGCAACACCAGGGTGTGTTATTACACTCAGGAGGGATGTCCAAAAGTGTGTCATAGGAAGCAGCATAAGGTCAGTGGCTACTGTGCTTTAGGGAACATTTTGTATGACAATTAAGCTAGAATTAGCTCTATTCTTGCCAAAAGCCACAACCCCTTGAGGTATTATTAAAGAAAGCTACCTGACTAATCAATCAAACTAACATTGTGGCCAAGATTCTGGTGCCTCAAGTGGGTTGAACCAAGTAATCAGTGAACTTACATAATGGGATCTGCATGCAGCCTAAGTTGGCCAGCATGGTTCTTATGTTGAAATTTCTCCAAATTGGAAGAAAACAAGATTAGGTTTGTTTTTGCTTGCTGGCTTCTGTAGCATTTTGCAATCATTTTGCTTTTTGCTTTTGTTTTCTGTTTGTTTTCTTCCTTTTTAAAATCTTCGCACAGGGGCTAGGGAAAAAATTGTTTACTTAACATATTTTCTGGATTACTTCCTAATATTCTACTGATTTTTTTTTCTAGTATCATTTTCAATATCTAGCCCCAGACCTGAACAGTCCTAGACTTCCATAAGCAATAATAAACTAATGCAAAAGAAGAATGGAAAGTGAGAACTAGAGATGGATACAAGTAAATGGAAATATAGAAATCTGAACAGCTGTGTGATGGGCCTGTCACCAGTAAAGGTGTGAAGTCACTGAGTAAATCCAAATGCCTTATTGGATTATCCAGTGCACTTCACAGCTGGCCTTGACCTCAGGTAACTGGAGTATGACTGAATGCCTGTTTAAGGCAGCCAATTATTTTTTAACTTCTATCATGTTTCAGGAATTATGCAGATGAATAATGTATGGTCTGTCCCCTCAAGTTGCCTATAGTATAATTTAAGTCAGGCAGATTGACTAAAGCAGGCAATGTTAAGCAAGTGCAATGACAGAGCTATATATAGGGCAGTTCTGTAGACTTGAGGGAAGGACTCAGAAATGTTTCAAGAGAGAGTATTACCTAAGCTGAGATAAAATACTAGGGTGGCTCAACTAGATTTACCTCCACTGAAGTTAACAGTATCAAGTCAGAATGTATCCCTTGATGTATCATTGTGCATATATAATATACATACTGTATTTGTATGTATACAAATATGTATGTGTGTATGTGCCAAATATACATGTACGAGTATGCATTTGAATATCTGTGTGTATTTGTAATATACACACACTTCGCATTATTTTTACAGCTTAATTGAAACGTTGATTTTAGGAAATAATGGAATAACCTAGTGTAACCTGGATCTTGTTTTACCTAATTATCCCTGTGCACTAATGTGACAGGGAGAAGTCATAGGAGAATAATTTTAAGGCTTCCCGCGAGCCTCCAAAGTCTTTTATAAGTTATGTTCCACTTAACATTATAGCCAAATGGGGCCAAGGGTTAACTCGAAACGTGCTATCAGATGGCATAGAATCTAGGCAGCACAGAACAAGCTTTTTTGCAAGGACTGTGTTGCCCTGTGGCCACCACCAGAGGGCTCGGCAGGAATTGTTATTTGAACGACACTCTAGAGGAGTTCACTGAAACAGCAGCTTTAAAGTGCTTTGCCAGAGAAGGGTCTAGGCAGAAGATGAGGTTTTAAAAAGATGTCATTAGGAGAAGTCACTAGGAAGTTACTACTGAAGAAAGCAAATGTCAGCTTCTGAAAGCTCGTGTGTTGACAGTTGCTGCTGCACATGTGTGTCAGGAGATGCGTCAGCTAAGTTCAGATACACTGCCCTCCCAGCAATGGAAGAAACAGCCATTCAGGAGATGCAGCCGGCCATTCATTTTTATCATCCTGATGTACACCCTTGAAAACCAATGGGAAGGTTGAATGTGCAGTCTTTCATTATGTTTCTTACTAAGGGTAAGTGATTTCCCAATAGGAAAGATTGGAATAAGCAGAATTTTCAGGTGGAAAGATAGGGTTGCAGATAGATAGAGTAGAGATGAAGCCTGTTATTTGTTAGATTTGTGCCTACAATTGTCCATCTGTAAAATAGGGACAGCAAATCTGACTTTATTGTGTTGTTTTGAGTGTATAATTAGAACGTATTTCTTAAGGACTGTATGGTAGACAGAATTATGATCCTTCAAAGATGTCCACATTCTACTCCCCAGAATCTGTGATTATATTATTTTACATGCAAGAGAGAAATTGCAAACATGATTAAGTTAAGAATGTTGAGATAGGGGGATTAATTTGGATTATGTAAGTGGTCCCCATGTAATCACAAGAGTCATTATAAGAGGGAGGCAAGCAGGTCAAGACAGAGGAAAGAGAATGTGACCATAGAGGCAAAGGTTACAATGATGCACTTTGAAGATAGAAGAAGGGACTAGGAGCCAAGGAATGCAGGTCTGCATCCAAAAGCTGCCAAAGACAAAGACAAAGATTTTCCCTTGTTGTTTCCAGAAGGAAGGCAGCTTTGCCCACACCTCCATTTTATCACTGTAAACCTCATTTTGGAATTCTGACCTTTAGGATTGTAAGATAATTAGTTTGTGGTAAGTTTTCGAAAGTGCTAATAGGAAACTAATACAGACTATCACAATATCATAGAGGAACTTCAATAAATGAATATTATATTATTAGTAATTACTTGATATTTTACAATATATATTTTTAAAAATACTTAAGACTGAGTAACACATTTAGTTTGTTAGCTACTGTTTATGAGAGTACAAGTACTGTGGACAGTGCTTTGTATATATAATTTGTATACCTTGCACTAGTATAATCCATATCGCCAGCATTTTTCTCATTTGTAATTGGCAACATAATATTTACTCTGAATACAAAATTCATTCATAAGTCATGCAATCTCTAAAAAATCTGCAAAACCATTTAGTTTAATGAATTATCTCTTGTGCAACCAACATCACATGAAATAATTTTAACTTCAATCAAGTTACCATTTATTTAGTTCCTATTCTGGCAGATAATATTGTAGGTATTTGACATATGTCATTTCTCTATAGCCCATTCTTTTAACACAGACTAGATATTATTCCTATATTTTTCCCATTTGTTATTTAGAATCACTACAAGCATCAAAATCTGCTCTTTATTTAATCGGAGTTCCCTTTTTAGGTTGCAGGATGGAAACAATAGTGAGCTTCTCTGAAGCCTTTCTTCTCACTCTTGGTATCCTGCACTTAGTTTTTTTGTTTGTTTGTTTTCGTTTTTGTTTTTGTTTTTTGCAAGTAGTTCTGAACTTCATTTAATGATAGCAATGTATTTGCCTTCAGTGCTCTTAATTTACTCATGGTCATGCCATGGCTTCTTAAAGGAAAAGACCCTTGTTCTTTCTAAATATTTTCAATTTATGTAACAGAAAGATGTACATTAGAGAAAGTTAAACAGGTCTATTTATATAGTACATATAGACAGTGTGCTTCAAAGCTCTTGACCATCTGGAGATTAACATATGGTATGCATAATGATCATAACCATACTGTAATTCATAAACCAGAGCTTGGAGCCTCATTGTAGCCTGTTTCCATAATGACAACCTTTTCTTAATTAGAAATGGACTGATATCATGTGACAATTTTTTTCAAATTGTGAATTTATTTTTATGAAAACTTTTCCAAAGATAAATGCATTAACTTGCAAAAGTAACTTCCACATTGGCATGTCTCTTTAATTGTACAGTTGTGCTATCCTCTATCCTGCTAACCTCTGCTGTAAGCTCTTTGAAGGACAATACAGTTTGTTCATTTTTATGTTTATAGTACTTAACAACGTATTAGACTATGGAAGAACTCAATATATAGATGTCAAATAAATTTAGCAAATCACATTACTGTAAGAAATACAATTGTATGGAAGAGGATGAGCCATCACAAAAAAAAGTCAAGACAAAATTTATTTCTATGGAAATGAATGCCACGTTATTAGTTATTTATTAGCTACTAATTATTGAATTTACTTTTAAGTTTAAGGGAGCTAATTATCTGGTGCTAGTCCCTGTCTCTTATTCAGACATCTAAATAAATACCTACAATTGTCATGGTCTGTTGAGACACTTTATCAATCACTTTTTTGTTCTCAGTTTGTTCCCTTTTCTATTATTTTGCTTAGATTCTTTCTTATGTGGATAAGCTTCCGTCTACTCATTTTTTTTGTTTTAAAGTCAGTCCAAGTAAGTACGGTACTGTTTCTCAGCTTCTACTTTTCTAGAATACCTTCCCCAATCCTATTGAACACATTGATCTATTTGTCCTTGAGCTTATGTTTTTGTGTAATATGCCCTTTATAATTACATATCTTATTTATTGGTTGCCTGTTGCGTAGTTATTTACTCTTAACTGCTTTCCATCAGCAAATTCTTAGCTCCTATTTTAATAAGCCAGGTGGCTCAAGAATAAGAAAAATGTTTTGTTCTCCTTTCTTACGAAATTCTCATGTTTAGTAACCACATATGTTTAATAAGGTCTGGATTTTATCTACTGTATTCATCAGAAGTATTACAAAGTAGAAATTCAGTAAATATTTGTGAAGTCCATGAAGTTGTTGATTACACTATTAAGTAGCATTTATTCAATATAATTTTTGAGAGGTTAGGTTAGCTCTACTGTAGCAAATATAGAAATCTTCACAAGTGTACATATGTTTCCATTTTAAGGAGAAATACACTCCAGAATTATGCCTTGGCTCCATCTCTAGCAATAAGTCTATCTAGGTTTCAAGATCTGCTGCTTGATTTGGCCCATGGGGGAAAAGAAATTAAATAAAGTGTGCTAAGAAGCCAGACTGCTTGGCACTGGCAGGAAGGGATATGCATACGCATCATAAGAGACTAGGAAACAGTAGCTCAGGAACTGAGTGGAAATACATACTCTTGGAATTTCCTACTTCTAAGCAAATTACTCTTTTAAAACCTATAATTGTTTTATGACTTACAAATAAAAGCAGAATAACCTAAATCATTTTCTTAAAGAATATAAAGATACTGTGTTTACTCTAGAAGATAGGGCACATCCAAAAGCAGTTTTCTTGAACAAAATGTAAAATCATTGTTTAATTGCTTTGACTTGTAAACGAAGAACCTGGCTCCACTACGTTCAGTCTGAATCAAAATATCTTAGCAATGTGAACTTATCAAAAGTCAGCTCTCTAATAATGATCATTAACTCTTGGAAACTTTTAGGAACTTGGCCTCTCATGAGTATGTACGTTCACATCTAATGAACCTTCATGATGCTAAAACTAAACCTCATTTATCACACTTGCTCATAGATAAGGATTATATTTTCACAACTGACATTAAGAAAATGATCACAGTTTTTTTTTACAGAGAACTTGACAATAAGAAGGACATTTATTATATGACTCTGATTTAATAGGTTAAATTTGTTCAAAATCATGAGGAAAATAATTTTACTCTTTAAATAAGTGTAAGGCTACAGAGTGCAAAGGAATTGATCTTGCTTTGTTCAGTCATCTGTTCAACTCAACCAAATAATTAGAAGGTGATCTATCTGTTGATTATAATTTTTCTCTTATTTGAAGACATGAAGAATGAGGAATGGACCCATTTGCCCCAAAACTCTGTCTGTGTTTCAAAGTTCTTATCTAAAACCATGTTCATAAATGCTGAACAAAATGTTTCTTAAATGAACCTATGTTGACTGCAGTTTCTAAATTAATTTAAATTTTTTTTTCAAAAATGACCAAAAAATTTTTAGATAATTGCTGAGAGAATGTAGAATATCAGGAAGCAAAAGCTATCTTCTGGATTCCGCTGGTAACATACATGCATTTTAACAAAAAACGTTACGTAAGTCTCCTTGTTTTACCAAAAAATGTGTCTCGAAGATGAATTAGATATTTTCATTATTTCCTGTGGTAAAACTTAAAAACCTATAAAACTAACTAACTAGGAACTCTCCAGTGTAGAATAATAGTACTCTTTATATATTTAGTGTACTTCATTATTACTTAGGTTTATTGTTTGCTTGGTTGAGTGTTGCCTCCCCACACTTTTCTATTTCACACTATGTATTTGTTTGTGTTTTTCTTTTTTAATATCCTTTTTTAATTATCTTTTTTAAGTCTCTTTCAGGTCCCCTGCATATTGAGAAATTACCTTTATCTTTGCGATTGCTATTTATTGTTGTTATTGTTGACACAGTTGTCGTTGTTTTTAACCTCATAGCAGTTTCTTTAGTGTCAGGTTGATGACTTTATAAAAGCAGCTGAAATTATCAGCTAGGTTATGATAAAGAAAAGGTAATCATTTTACATAAACTTTACGAAATTTTCATTATAATTTTCTAATTTTTAGAACCAGTAAAACATTTCAGACATGAACTATTTATTTGAAAGACTTAAAATCATAATTTTTAAACTTATTAAAAACTTTGAGGATTTGACAGTTGCAGCCTCTTCTGTTATAGACATGGAAATACTATATGGGCCTTTAAAAGCTAAGAGACTTGTTAATCAGCAACATACGCTTTAAAAACCAAAATCCTGTTTATCCATCTAAATCTTTCCTTAAAATTTGCTTTGAAATGGCTATTGTTGCATGAGACACTTAGCAGAGATTATACTACGTTTTCCACCTTTCTTGGTGGTATAAGAAACTTGCGGATTTTGAAAAAAACTGACAAACAACCTTTAGAATGATAATTACAGAAATGGGAAGAAACTTTTGTGAAAGTCTTCTGTTATATATATGCTTAGTTATATGAAATCATTAGCACAAGCTAAGGCTGGCCTTTTTTTTATTATTATTTAACAAGTAGAATACTTCCATCTGATTTTTTCCCTATCTTTCCGTTAGAAACAATAGAATATTTACCAGTGAAAGAAAAGCCAAATTTAACTGAACAAAAGCAAAAAATGTTTTATAACAGAACCTAGTTGTCCACATCATACGTCATTACAATGAAAGGATGTGGGCTTTCTTTTACTTACTTCCTTCTGTTCACAACTGCAGCCAAATGGATTGCTCTGATAATTAAGATGTTTGCATTATTTTAAACTACTCTAAATATATTCCTTTGTGGGGTTGGGGTGGGGTGGGAAATTAAGCACCAGGTGCATAAATTAAGTTGTAGTCAAAAATCTTTGGAGACTGTAGATTTAAAACACTTGATATCCTCTGCGGCAAAGATATAATACATTCAATTCAGCCCATATGATTTTTCTTAAGTTCCTCTATTTTTAAAAGGTGATATTATCTGATATTCTGCCATTCCTACTCCAGTTGATAGGGGATAGATGGTGATGTATAGGATTGAAAAGTGAACTCTTAAATTAAAGGTGATAAAGCAGCTTTTAGTTTAACCCTTCCCCATTTGCCCAAAGAATACTGGCTGGTGGCACTTGCAGCTGCCGCGTTTACCCTGAGATAATTTTGCCACGAAATATCTCACTTTTATTATTATTTTTGCATCACCGTAGTATATCAACTCTTGAAACAAAAGACATCATTCTATTTATAGCATTCTGGTTTTAGTAGTGATATTTCCATTTATAAAATTTAGCAATTCTCCATCCCTGAAAACGTCAAACCCTAGAAAACACCATTCCTACATGTGATGATAACATTGTTTTTCTAACAGTTGTTGGCCCAAGATTGATTTGATGAATACAATTTTTCCATAATAGACAATTCTGATCTTAGTTCTACTTAGAAATAACTCCAAGAACAGTTTTTATACTTTACTTTCACATTGCGAATTAGTCAGATTTGCTTCAGCCACAAAGAATGTGTTTATGTAAAATTAAATGAGTGCTGGAAGCAAGTGGCACTTTTTTTTTCCTAATTGGAACAAAGCAGTATTATTTTGTTCAACTCAGTCTTTGAGTCTATGTTCAGTCTTTCAGGATTTCTCAACTTTCTATCATCCATTCTTCTCAACATGGGAAAGTTTATGCAGGCAAGAATACTTTTTCAATGGCTATATTCATATAATTTCTGATTAGTTGAAACTGACAAGTATACATATACGTATTATGTATATAAATCAGTAACACATATATAGTACGTATTCTACTTAAAAATAAATGTAGCTGAATATAATCAGGGGTTAATTAGCAAGGTAAAGAGATGTGACTTTTAAAAATTATTAAATAGCACTCTAAGCAGTTTGGATCTAAACTGGTATCCAGAGTAATCACAGGTAGAGACAGATAGCACTCTGTGTCATGGTTCAGGAGCAGCTATAAATGAAAGATAGAGTTCTGTATTGCACATATTGATTGAATTAGGTAGAGCAGTAATTCCTGCTAGGAAAAGAAACAGCATTTTATTGTGTAAGAGTATATGCATCATCTTTTATGTCTCAGTCACATAAGGCTAGCATATGGAAGAGGTAAAACAAATTGGTAGATGCTCTATAATGGGAAAGAAAAGTGGAAATATAATATTATTCATTGATATGAATAAAGAAAGATCAGGCTGAACTATTTGAGTGTAGAAGGATAATCCATGAAGAAGGAAGGCAACCTTGGCTTAGTTGTCAAGGACTTTGGGAATTTTATGGTTCAAGGGATATTACCTGTTTCAACCATAAAATAAAAAAATGATGATTTCAGAGAAGTGGGTTCATAGTCATTTCTTATTTTTCTGTTGAGAAATATGCATACATTATTTTGTTTTCTAAAAATATTTTTTTCTTTTCCTTATCATTTTTGTTCTTTTTCAAGAATCATTTAGCAACCCTTTACTTTTAGTTTTCTGTCTTCAAATATGTTATTTTTTCTGGTTTCATCACGACATCATAGGTGTTTAGGTTATATTAATTAATTAAAATATTCTGCCTGTTATTTTTCAATGTGTTTTGTTTCTTTTTTTTCTTCTTTTTTTTTGGAAGGGAAAGTGGTGGCAAAGAAAAAACAAAGTTGGGCACTGTTTAGAGTGGGAAGGACAGATTTTAACCATTAATGTACTATTGCCACAGAGAAAAGAGTTCAGTATGAATTTAACTCAACTTTGATTTTTACAAATGTTACTGGGCATTTTAAAGAGAAAATTAGGTTGTAGATAAGGGTGTAAGTGGGACTCAGTAGAGTCAGAGAAGTAAAAAATTACAAAAAAGGGGAAGGAAGTTTGGTCCAGAAGAAACCCATCAGAGTTTCTTAACTGGCCCTATTGAATTTAGGCTCCTACCCTCCCATAGAATCTGACACAGGGATCCTATCTTTAGGCATTGGCTGTAACAAACAGCAAATTCTTATGGCAACCCGAGTTTTCTCTGGCAGACACATTACAGAGGGCTATGATCATTCTAGGGAAGTGATCTTGACCTATGAGAAATGAGGTTGTGTTTTGTTAAAGTCTTTTTAGGCTAAGTAGAGGCCTAGTGACTAAAGGGCTCAGAGGAGCCTGAGTTAGAGTTTGGCCAAGGAGGGAGTTTCTGTCAGTGGTTTATGAAATATCTGTAGAAGGATTTTGTTAAGGATTGTGCCAAACTACCATTATCATGGTTAATTTTATGTGTCAACTTGTGTCAGCTTTTCTAGGCTATAGTGCTCAGTCCTTTTGTCAAACACGAGTCTAGATGTTGTTGTGAATGATTTTGTACTGTGATTAACATTTACAATCAGTTGACTTTAAGAAGATTCAGTTGACTCTTCAACAACTTTAGGGTCGGGGTGCCACCCCTACCCCCACACAGTAAAAAATCCAAGTATAGCTTTTGACTCCCTCAAAACTTAACTACAAATAGCGTACTGCAGACCAGGAGTCTTACAGATAATATAAACTGTTGATTAACACATATTTTGTATGTTATATATATTGTAGAGTCTGCTTTTACAATAAAGTAAGTTAGATAAAAGGAAACGTTATTAAGCAAATCATAAGGAAGAAAAAATACGTTTACTAGTCATTGAGTGGAAGTGGATATTCATTGAGTGGAAAGTCTTCATCCACCTCGTCTTCATGATAAGCAGTCTGAAGAGAAGGAGGAAAAGCAAAGGTTAGCCTTATTTTCTTAAGAGTGGCAGAGGCAGAAGAAAACTTATGTATAAATGGACCCTCACAGTTGAAACCCGTGTTATTCAAGAATTAAGTGTGTGTGTGCACGTGTGTGTGTGTGTACGTGTGTGTGTGTGTGTATACACATTATAATATGTTGGTTTTATTCTTCTGGGAAATCTTTGACTGATGCAACCCATTTTAATTGACTCAATATACTGGCCAAAATTCTAATAAAAGCCAGCTTCCAGTTTTGCAATCAGATGAATTATCACAAACAATAAAATTAGATTAGAAAGATATTGTGTAATATCTTGCCGACAACATACAAAGTGTTAAGGGTTACTGGGCACGCTCAGTTCTTCATACAAATTTCAATTCAGCTTTCTGTTTGTGCTAAGAGAGTGAGGCAGTAGGGGAAACTGTTTAATGTTAAAAAATTATTTGTTCTAAGAAAACTGAAACTAATGCAAAGATATAAAAAAGAGACGGGGAAAACATACCAATGCAAAACTGACTTGTCTTGGATCCTTTCCAATTTTGATCTACTCATTACTCTCCCCAGGTTTCCACCGCTGTCTACCTCCTTTTTCTCCTCATCGGCACCACTAAAGCTTCAGAAATGTCCTCTTTCATTTTTCAATTTATTGAATATCAGTCAAGTTACTGCGGGGCTATTGCTCCTAAAGGACTTTGCAAAATGTTAAGCTTTAAGACAAATATGCCATACAAAATAATTCCATCTTAGTTTCGGAAACAAATAAAAATGGAGCACAAAAAGGGTGGATAGTCTACAGTGAGTAATGTGCGTTTACTATACCCCGAAATAGATAAAAAATTTTCTCCAAGTTTGTTTGCTCTCTCAGTCCATATCCTAAATTTTTCTATTGTTTGTCAGTTTCATTTGCTATAAACAAAATCCCACTATAGTATTCATATATCATTAAGTGACACTTTGCACAAAAAAATAGGTAAAGATATAAGTTAAGATGAAACAAAGCATAAAGTCTTTAAGCTATTTGAAGTATGAAGATTTTTTTTTTCCAAAGTCTTAACAAAAAGAATTTTGTTCTACTTTCCCAAAGAGCCAATTTTAAACTCTAAACGTCTGTAATTTAAGGTAAACAAATAAAAAGAATGACATACGGTCACAAGGAAACATTAGGCAATGACATGTATTCATTTGTTGTCTATTATTTTAATGTTATATTAACTCTGTACCAGCAAATTCAGAATTATACAAGTGTATCAATTATTCCATAGTTGATGTTTTCATTTATCTAAGTTCCCCCTCAAGGGGTAGAAGCTGTCTAGATCCTTTTTTCTTTAAAAATTACCAATTAGTGTCAACATTTGTAATTCACATAAAGTCAAGCCAGCTTAAACAGAAATATTGAAAGAATAATGAGTTTTGTCTTTGAAGCATTTCAAAACTCTGAATTCATGAAGCGAATCTAAAAACAACCAAACAGGATATAAGAAAGCAGTCTTGCACACAAGCACACTAAAAGGCATGAAGCTATGTTGAGAGTCAAAATTGACCTACTGTGGGCAGGTAAACGTTTCTTTTAAAAAATACATATCATATCACCTCCATTGTATTTAATATTTTTTTAATAATAAGCCTTACATGAGATATTCTAATACTGTAAGAATTGAAAAAATGAAAAAGAGCAAGTTACAGTAAATTTCATTAATTTCAAGGCAATATTAAACACTTAAAGCAGCAGATAAACATATTTTATATAATATTTAGGCACAGCATGTATCTTATTATTATGAAAAATGAGTTTTCTAAATTGAAAGAACTTGCTATATTAGAGTTGGTTTGGCATAAAGATAATTTTGGAATTCAGTTTTCAGAATCGTGATCAAGGAAAATTTTGCTATCAAGAAGGCTTATTAAGTGTTCTATTCAATTAGAGAATGTTACATCTGCAAAAATTCCTTGATATCATCACAAATTTCCGGATAAGGAATCTGAAGCTCATTATTGCACATTTTTGTTTATTTTTACTTAAAATAAAATATATATATATGTTTGAGACAGAATCTTACTCTGTTACTCAGGCTGGAGTGCAGGCTTCTGGGCTCAAATGATCCTGCCTCAGACCCCTGAGTAACTGGGACTATAGGCATGTGCCACCACTCCAGGCTAATATTTTTATTTTTTTATTTTGTAGAGCTGGGGTTTCACTATATTTCCCAAGCTGGTCTCAAACTCTTGACCTCAGTAATCCTCCCACGTTGGATTCCCAAAGTGGTGAGATTACGGGCATGAGTGCTCATTTTTAAAATGTATGTATTTATCAGTCAGGGTTCTCCAGAAAAACAGAACCAATAGGATATATACAGATATATAAGAGGAGATATATTATGGGAACTGCCTTACACAATTATGGAGGCTGAAAAATCCCATGCTAATTTGTGTGCAAGCCAGAGAACCAGGAAAGCTAGTGGTATATTTCATTCCAAGTCTGAAGTCCTGAGAACCAGGAAACCACTGGTGTAGGCCTTAGAGTCCAAGGAGCTATGATGTCTTAGGGCAGGAGAAAATGTATGCTTCAGCTAATGAAGATGGTGAATTCATCCTTCTTCTCCCTTGTTGTTTTATTTGGGCCCTCCATGGATTGAATGATGCCTGCCTATGCTGGTGAGGATGAATTGTCTTTCTTAGTAGACAATTTCTGAATTGTCTACTGATTCAAAAGCACAAATCTTCTAGAAATAATCTCACAGACACACAAAGAAATAATGTTTTATCAGCTTTCTAAGCATCCCTTAGCCAAATCAAGTTGACACATAAAATTAACCATCACTTTAACATAAATGCAGAATTTTAGAAAATACAAGAATAGTACCCTCAAAATTTCATATGGTCTTACAGTTTCCCTGTTATGGTAGTACTACATTTGCTTTATCCTTTGTATGCTCTCTCTGCGTGTACCTATGTGTGTGTCTCTCTGTGTATACCATTATTTTTCCGAATCGCTTGCCAGTGAATTGCAGACATAATGGCCTTTTACCCCTATATACATCATGTGAATTTTCTAAAAACAGAGACATTCTGTTACATAATTATCGAAATTTAAAAATGTAACATTGGTAGACACAGTATTATCATTCAAGGAAAGTTTATATTTAGATTTTGCTAATTAACAAAATAATATGCTTTATAAGTAAAATTAAATCTAACATTATATATCACATGTATAATCTACAACAGTTTCTGGATCTTTCTTTGTACCTTGTACATTGATTATTTTCAAGTTCAGAATAGTCATTTTACAGAATGTTCTTCAACTTGGGTTTATCTGATATTCCTTCATGACTAGATTCAGGTTATGCACATTTGGGAGAGGAATACAGAAGTGATGTTATACCCTTCTTGGTGCCTCATATCAATAGGCACAAAATATTTGTCTGTTAAAATACTAAGGATGTTAAATTAAATACTTGGTTAAATTGCTATCATTTAAGTTTCTTCACTGTAAGTTACTGTATTTGTTTGTTTTCTGTTTGTTTGTTTGTTTGTTTGTTTGAGACAGAGTCTTGCTCTGTCACCAGGCTGGAGTGCAGTGGCACAGTCTCTGCTCACTGCAACCTCCACCTCCCAGGTTCAAGTGATTCTCCTGCCTCAGCCCCCGAGTAGCTGGGACTACAGCTGTCTGCCACCATGCCCAGCTAATTTTTGTATTTTTAGTAGAGACGGGATTTTTACCATGTTGAGCCAGATGTTCTCAATCTCCTGATCTCATGATCTGCCATCCTCAGCCTCCCAAAGTGCTGGGATTACAGGCGTGAGCCATACCTGAAACTCGTTAGTTTATAAAGAAAATGAATTTATTTCTTATAGTCAAGAAGGCTTAGAAGTCCAAGGTTGAGGGGCTGCATCTGGTAAGAGCCTCCTTGCTTGTGGGGACTTTCTGCAGAGTCCTGATGGAGCACATGGCCTCACATGGCAAGGGGGCTGGGTGTGCTATCTCAGGTCTCTCTTCGTCTTCTTGGAAAACCACCAGTCCCACTCCCCTGAAAAGAATTAATCAATTAACAAATTAATCCACTAATACATGAAAGGATTAATCCATTCATAAAGGCATGATTAATTTCTCATGGTCTAGTCAACTCTTAATGACCCCACCTTTCAATACTGCCCCACTATGGATTGAGTTTTCAACACATGTAATTTAGGGGACACATTCAAACCATAGCAGTTACCATTTTACTTTTTAAAATTAATAAATATCTTTTGGAGGAATACTTTGAAATTATGTAAATATCTTGTTATTCCCTCAAAATTCCACCCATTAGCTTTCACATCTATTTGGTAACTGATGCTTGACTCGATGTTTATTACCGTGGTTGACAAAATAGGATTCATTTTCCAATTCCATCACTCTTCTGTATTTGTCAGTTGGGTTTCTGTCAAAAGGAAGAACTTTTTCATTTAGTTCATTTATCTAGCTATTGATTTATTATTTATCAGTGTGGATCCTTGAACTATTTTATTGAAAATGTTAGAATTCTTATTGTCATTATTTATTTTGAGTCTCAAATTGTCCCAGATCTCAGCAAGATAAGCCCTTCAAACTCACTCTTCTGTCTTTTGACATGTATCCTTTAACACTTTCTTATTTTCTCACACATCCAAATGTTCCAGGATTATTTTCTTAGGTTTCAGCCCTATTTCTAGATTCAGGCATTTCTTCACAGTTATCTTTTCTTTTCTGTTATTTGTAGTAGTAGTAGTTGTTGTTGTTGTTTGAGACTCCAGGCTGGAGTGCAGTAGCACGATCTCGGCTCACTGCAACCTCTGCCTCCCGGGTTCAAGCGACTCTCCTGCCTCAGCCTCCCGAGTAGCTGGACTACAGGCACACACCTCCACGCCCAGCTAATTTTTGTATTTTTGGTAGAGACGGGGTTTCACCATGTTGGCCAGGATGGTCTCGATCTCTTGACCTCATGATCCACTCACCTCAGCCTCCCAAAGTGCTGGGATTACAGGTGTGAGCCACCATTCCCAGCCCACAGTTTTCTTATTGGGTAGAGTGGTATTAAGAAAACAGGATCTGGCTTCTATGTGCCCATTGCTTCTGGGTTTTCATTGCTTGTGAGCTGTCTCAGCTGATAGAGCTGGGAAGTTGTACACACATATCTGGTTCTACTTCTAGAGCTAATCATTCACATATATTCAAGTCTAGGAGTTCACAATGATTACCCCAATTCCAATTCAACATCACATGGTTTATTCTGTCCTTTTCCACTTCCATTACTGTCTTCTCTGACAGTGGTAACACTGGTTCTCATTATCCACAATGTATCTACTTATTTGCTTAGTCCTAAGATTTATGGACAACGTAGTTTCAGAATTGCTAACCTATGTCGCTGGGAAAAAATATATGTCAACTGACTAGAATTCAATTCTTTATAGTAATTATTTTTACCATTTTTAACCTGAGTTTACATTGTCCAATAATATATTCAAAGTCCATTTGGGCTAGTTCTTTCTTCTTATCCACTCTTCAGTGAGATGATGCTGTTTACTTAAAATACAGAGGTTTTTTTTTTAACATTTTTCCATTTTTATTCAATATCAGGGGTTTCTTCCAAGCTTTTTATTTTAATTTTTATCTTTTTGGGAATGTAAGATATTAGAATTTTTTAAATTAGGATTTTACAAAAAGGATAAACTTGGAGATGTGCCCCAACACAGGTTATTTTGCATTTATTTATTCTTATCCATGGCTTACAGGTAAACAATCTTATTAATCTTCAGTGTATCCTTCTGATATTTCAATTGTTGTTCAATTTTAATAGCTAATTTCAGTTTTCCTGATGCTCAGTTTCACTCTGTTTTACCACTAAAACAGATGGTTTCAATTCATTGAAGGATTCTATTATTATTATTATGGTGTAGACAGAAACACACCTGTTTGGAAATGAACAGAACACCCCTGAGTTGGATTTATTATTTCCATTACCAATTGTTCAAGATTCTTAGCTTTTCTGACATACTTTTTTAAAAAATAGAACATTATCAATCTTACAAAGTTGCATGTATGTGGAAAATAATCTATATAATTTGCTTAACACTCAACACTGAGTATTTGTAAGTTTCTCAATAATTTTATAACTGCCATTACTTTCAGTACTAAGATAACCCCTCACAAACTAATGATTTGCTTTTTACAAACACATAATATTCATTAGCAAATCAATACAAAAGTCTACTAATAAATTGTTATTGAATTCTTAAAATGTTTCTAATTTTATTGATGAAAAATCCGAGGTTCAGATAATTGTGTGGAAGATTTAAGAACACCATGTTAACGTAAGATCCAGGGATGAACCGTGAATTCCTTTTAACGTGGGGTGACTTCCACTAAATATTTGTAACATTGCACTAGGAGATAAAATGGCTTTTTGTTCAATGTTGAGAATTAGACTACTCTGAACTAACTCCCTGGGTTCTTTTCATTTAAGGAATTTGAAATCTGCATGGAAAAAACAGGAAAAACACAAGTGTATTTGCCCCCTATATGTACACCATAAATGTTACAGTTTTCACTCAAAAATAATACAAATTTCATGAAGGGGGAACTCAAGTCTACTTCCAAAAAAAGAAAATAAATTAGAAAAATTTTCTTATGCGGAAAATAAGGTCATATTGAAAATACGTATTTTAGCATTTAGTTAAAATGTCCTTGCAATTAAGTGTACTCACAGAATATAACATTACTAACAGGGCATCTGAATATTCTATTTATTTTATGTAGTATATAATTTGTATCTTAGTCTCTGTAGTTGATTCTAGAATATAGAATTAACCACTTGGCTGAAACATCTTTGAAACTTCAGGCGATTTTCTCTTTTAATTTTTGAAGGACATCTGTAAGAGAGTTAAAGTCACTTGAATCCCACGTTGCCTTTTTATTAGTAGAAGCATTCAGGTCAGCCACTGACAATTTTTCTCAATTAGGAAACACAAAATAAGGCATGCAAATAACATGTACTTGAGGAAAAGTACATTCTGCTCTGGTCATGCAAGCTCTAATAACATTTTAAGTAGAAAAGTTGAAGGAATCAAGTACATTTTGGAGTAATTTTGTAAGCTGGAGTAAGATCAATCCATTCTGCAACAAAAAAATTCTAGACTTACAGTAAAAATAGAAGCAGTTTATAAAAGTGATGTAACACTACAAAAATCTGTGATCAGTCTAGAGAAAACACTTAAATGTTGCTGAGGATATTTCACCTAACTTTCTAGTATGTGGGTGTGAGTGCACATGTGTTAATGAAAGAATTTTCTGGAGATTAATGAAGCGGAGTAATTAGCTTGCTTTGTATCCTTGCCCTAGATCTTCAGCCATGAATAAGAATCTTGCTTAGATTCAGTGGACAATGGTTCATTCTTTTTCATTCTCTCTCTCTCTCTCTCTCTCTCTCTCTCTCTCTCTCTCTCTCTCTCTCTCTCTATATATATATATATATATATATATATATATATATATATATATATATGACACTGATTATATATCAATGAATCTGAAGAATCTGATGATTAGAGCATTTGGTCTCCTAAGAGCATTGTATTTTTTTCCAAGCAAGATCCTTCCTTTCTTTTCAGCATTAGGAAAACTGAATAGGTGACCCAAGGCACCCAGCTTTTTATACAGCAAGATTAGGACTTGAAACTGTACACCAGTTACAGGCTAATGTTCCTTCAGTGTAAGTCTACATGCTTTTCATGCTTTTCAAGTCTTTTTCATTTATAGAACACAAGTAAATATTCATATTAGGAAGCAGTTTTTAGCAAGAAGAAAATATATTTAATAAATACTTATAAAAGGTCATTTTTATATTTTCCATTTTAAATGAAAAATATGAGCAAGTAATGATTTGGCAGAATTGAAAAGCTTTCTGAAACCCATGGTTAGTGAAAAACTAAATGCTGCTGCCCTGGGGCACATCTTTATAAAAACAATTAACAAGATTTTTTCCCCTAGAATTAGATTTTGCTATTTAATGAAAAATAATTCATGCAGATTCAATCAACCAAAATATAATAGTGTTGATGTAGCTATTACCCTTAAAAGTGGTTTTAGACCTTGAATAGAAACAGTCTTGAGTCAGGAAAATTTGAATCCCAGGGGTACATTTTAGGAAGTGTCACTCCAAAAGCTGAGTTAAAATCATTTTGGTTCATGAAGTGCACTTTGATCATTAACCTGGAACCCTTGTCACAAGAAAATCCAATATTCAAAGCAATAGTGGGGGAGAAATGAAATAAAAAGGAAATAACACTACTTCATTTGCAGTGAATTGCTAGCATTTGGTACACACTAAAAACCATCCTCATTCTCAATCTTTTATTTTCTTTTATCTCCCATGGGATTATTATATTAGCAGTTGCACTGTGCATGCAGGGTTTGGAAAATGATTGCTCCTAGTGCCAAATTTTTTTCTTGGTAATGAATTGATGGGGAGGATGACTGCTAATTCTCACTGGACACTGGAGAGTACACAGGGCACACTATTATTGAAAGGTCCATTTGTTCCAATCTCTCTCTCTCTCTCTGTCACCCTCTCCTCTCTCTCTCTGTCTTTCTCTGTGTCCATGTGTGCCTGTGTGTGTGTGACTTTCCCTCATTCCTGATGGGCAGTTACATTTCAGAAGACTCTTTGCAGGGTGACTGAGTGGAAAGAAAATGGAAAATACAGATTTCAATCCTAAATACTTTTCCTGCAAGTTCTGCGATTTCAGTAATATTCAGTTTGTGATGGTTTCCTCATCTTTTAAATGGGAAATGGTAGTTACTTCCCAATATTTTCATGAGACCCAGTTGAAATAATATATATGAATTTTTCAGCACAGATGTGTTTACAAACTTAGCTCCATTACTTTCTCCTTACCATAGCAAAGAACCCTGGAAAATATATCACTAACTTTCCTAGGCTTCATTGAGTTTCAAAGACTTGTGAATTTATCATATGTATATGGTGATTTTCATCCTTTGTTTTTTTTATTTTTTTGGTTGTATCTCTTTGCTTCCAAATCTGCAGGAACACAGTCTGAGATCCTCATACTGCTTGTCTGAGAAGAGTCAGCCTGCCTTAAACATACTGTTCTATAGTTAGTTCAGTTAATTCAGTTTCCAGGAAAGCACTGTATTAAAAAATCAGGAAGTACCTGTAGGTTTCTTTTGCTTATTTATATTTATCCAACTTTACAAACTTTACAAAAAGAAAACTTTCGTTTTATCATTAAAGTACAATGACATTAGAAGTTTTCAGTGTCTTTAAAAAAATTTTACAACTACTCATATTCTTTAGAATTTTAACATTTTTATAATGTTCTCTATTCTGCTTGCTCCTTGTCATCTAATCTCATCTATTCCAATCACCTTGAGTGATTCTTATCTCTTTATGTGGCCACAGTTTTAAGGCTATGATTAGAATATCCTCTTTTCCCCTAGAGAAACACAAGAATAGGAAATTTTAAAATGTTGAAAAAGGAATGATGATCAAAAAATAAAATGGAAATAAAGCCTATATTTATGCCTATCACAGGCTTTGAAACTATTATGATTACAGAATTGTTAGTGAAGATATGAGTTATAAGCTTGTAAAGTAAAGTGAAAATATTAAATTGATGTGTCTTATTTTCTCACCTTGTTTACAAAGTTACAGTTCAGTTATCAAGTCAAGCCTCTATGCCTGTGCTTGGCTCTCAGGAATGAGAATATTATTTTAGAAATCGTCTATAAATTGTTTCTTTACTCCAAAGACAGAACTGTAAAATTGCATACAAATACACACTAACTAATCACTGAACCTATTAAACACAATGATTGAGGAAATCTGAACTTGTGTAGTTAAAATGCTATTTGTAATACAGACAATATTCTTATTTTATTTGAACCTTGGTTTACTCTTTATGAGGATAGCATTCCACCTCTTCTTGATTTTAACTTTAAAAACTGTGAATTAACGAAGATTATTTCTTAAAAATAGATTTCTTATAACTAGATTGTCTATATACCTCATATATTTAAAACTTCATCAGGATATGGTCTCCAGTTAGAAAATTCCTGCTTTTAAAAATCAAGACATTCTGGCACAAGCCCCCACCTACTTTTTTTTCTAGTAATTAGCCCTCTTCAAAGTATCTGTCAGTTAGACCTAGAAGTCCCCCTAAAGGTGTCTCATACATCAGTCTCATTTAGAGTGTTCTCGTGGAATATTTCATCTTCCTTTTTTTCTTCTCAGTTACCCATTTGTCATTTTGCAAAACCTCCTTGCTGTATTTGCTTTCCATTAGAGTGGCATTGTCCATGCCAAGGGTGGTGACTACAGATGTTTCTACAGCTTCCACTTCTCAAGGTGTTCTGATGTTGCTGAGTTCATTCCAAAAGCTAGAGAATGGCCTGTTTCCCATCTAGAAGAATATATTTTGCCATATGTACATTGAAACAGCTCTCCTTATGAATAAAATATTATAACTTCACTCATTAAAAAAGTTTCTTTCAGTTTCACATCTACTTTATATTTACAGATGTTTAATCCCAGTTCATTTGAAAACCATGCTTCCTTCCCAGTTTTACTCAATTATTAGTTTAGACAAACATCAATGTTGTTGATGACAGAAACAATATAAGTCAATGACTATAAAAATTAATTTGTAAAAAAATATAGAGAAAACATGTTGGGACAGGAAAAAATGGTATTTTTCATTAACAATTACTGATATCTATTTTATTAAATTTAAAAACGCCATTAGAAATAACCAAGTCCTATTTAACAAAACTGTTTATAAAAGATATGAATTTCTTAAAAATTGTTATCTATTAATTTCATTTTTAGTGACTAAAACATTTGGCATTAATCAACTCTTTCCTTTTGAATCATTGTACCATAATTTTACTCCCTAGATCCGAATTTTCATCTGCCTTTTCTTTGACAATCACTGCTGACATTCAGATAACCAAATAGTAGTAGTTGATATGATTGGTTAATGTTTTGTTTTGTTTTGTTTGAGACGGAGTCTTGCTCTGTCACCCAGGCTGGAGTGCACTGGCGGGATCTCTGTTCACTGCAACCTCTTCCTCTGGGGTTCGAGTGATCCTCCCACCTCAGCCTCCAGAGTAGCCGGAACTACAGGCATCTGCCACCACGCCTGGTAATTTTTTGTATTTTTAGTAGGGATGGGGTGTCACCATGTTGCCCAGGCTGGGCTCAAACTCCTGGCTTCAGGTGATCTGCCCACCTCAGCTTCCCTAAAGTGCTGAGATTACAGACGTGAGCCATCACACCCAGCCAATCGGTTAATTTTTACATTCACACTATCTCTAGAATCCATTTTCTCTCCCAATGACTATTTACATTTTGGTTCAGGTCCTAAACTGATCTGAAAATAGAATTCCACTGTGCTAACCTTTCCTTATTTCAATCACTCTTTTGGAATTCTGTGAGATCATTGTTAACCAAGCTATTGGCATGTTGGAATTTATGGGTTTTGGTGTTAAGATTCAGATACTGATAAGGTCTGAAAAGTGGTCACTGAGTATGGGTTGCTGAAGCAGTAGAAATTTTTGACCTTTAAAATGAGTTTGTTGAAGTTGCCTTTGATTTTGATACCAATTATTGATTCAAAAAGAATAATTCAGATTCTAGAATGGCATTATCCACTGTACCAGATATTGAGCCAATTGTGTCCTCCATAGATTGCTTTCTTTCACAAAGTACAAACTTCTTAAATAATATTTCACATATTATTTATTATTGTAGTCTTATCTCAAGATAAGATACGTTTATACATTTACATGAATAGAAATTAAGATAAGACTACAATAATACATTTATACATTTACATGAATAAATGTAAATGATCATCAGGGGAGAATAAGGATTATAACTGAATTGATTGTACAACCAGATTACCCAGGATATTTGGTGTTTATGCCACTACATGGAATAATTTTTATTGCACCTATTTAGCTTCCCAAATTGCCCAGTATTGCTTAATAAATTTTATGGCCACCTAGTTATAACCTATATTTCTGAGTGAAACTTCGTGACATTTTCCTACTTTGCCATATTATGTTATTCCCAATTTTGAGTAGATTATTTAAACATGTATATGACTAAATATGTATCATAAATGAATAAGCAAGTCACATCCAGATTCAGGAACTGCTATTGCTATGGGTCCTCAGATACTGGTTCAAGTACACTATATACTGTTATTTGCAACAAGTATGCTTAAAATACCAGTTACATTTTTCCAAACTTACTATCTGGATGGCTATAGGTGAATTATAATTCATTTATGATTAGAAATATATATTAAATGAAAGAAAAAATAGCAAGTAAGTGAAAACTGTGTGAAGAATAAAGATAAGAAAGTAGTCAATTATACTGATAATTTGCCTGTGACAAATTCTTCTAGTGTCTAAATATATTCACTAAGATTAATCCTTCCATTCAAGATTGGATAGCATGTGTTCAGTCAATTATATGTTAGATTTTTATTTTGTGCTATGTAATTTTAAATACGGACATAATAGAAGATTCTACCCCGTGAGCCTCAATCTTTTAAAGGCAGAAAGAGAAGTCTTGTAGTTTTCAATATAAGGCAGAGGTTATTTCCTCAGTCTGAACTCCTGTAGCACGCTGTATCCAACAAAGCACTTTATGTCTGCGTGACTTCTATTTGCTTTTGAAAAAGCACTAATTCAGGTTATAGAAAATTTTCACCTCTCTTCATAATTATATTCTACTTCATTTGAAATCACACAAGACTTTTATATTGTAAAACATTAGAAAAGACAGATAAATGACACATTTTTTAAAAGTTATCAAACAGAGAGAAGCAAGCATTGATGTTATTATTTTAATAGTGAATCCTTTCAGATATCTCTCTATGCTTATATGATGTATAATAGTAATGGACCAAAACCCTCAATGCAGATGACCTTCATTCAAATCTCAGCTCTACCACTTACTAGCTATGTGACACTGGGCACATGACACAGTCTCCCAGAGGGTCAATTTCCTAAGCAATGCAATGGGAATCATGGATTATGTGTATATGTATACTTCATGTGGCTTTTGTAAATTAATACATATAAAACTTAAATGAACATATTGTATATTGGCTGATCATTATATTAAGACATATTTTATATAATCATGTATGTGGAAATTATGTGCAATAGTCTAATGTAAGTATTATTTACTTAAGAGTAGATATCATATATTAATTGCTATATCATATTTCTTTGTATGAATATTCTATATTTTATTGATCAGTATTATTGTTGAAACCATTTTAAAAGTTTATTTTTTTCTTAAATCATAAAATGTATGTCTATTGTAAGAAAAAAGCTTTAAAACATAAAGAATAAAAACTCACAAAGTATAGGTATGCAGAAGCAGATAAAATTTCAGATATTAGGCTTCTCCTAGTCTATGTTATTTGATAATATAGATATGCTCTTTTACTGAGTCCATGTTTCCATTTTTAATTGGGAAGTCTGCATTTTCTTATATTTTTATTGAGTTTGTTAATGCACTGTTTGTGAGTCCTTTGTATGATTTATAAACGGTAAAGATATTCCCCACAATAGACCTATCTTTTCATTTCACTCTATACTCATGGTCCATCATCAAAACCATTCATTTGCAATCCTATCCCATTCCCCATGCTGCCCTCCTTTTCTTTTTTGGGCGGGTGGGGGCTGGCAAATCTAAAATCTTGGTAGAACTATTATTTTATCTGTCTACATTCTCTGTGCATATACCCAAGCAATTGGACATTACAGCAAATATCACAAAACCAGGCTAAAGGAATTTGATTTTAAATTTACTGTAAAACATAGACCTAAAATAATCTCTCAACACCACCTGAATATTTTATTTTTTGCCTGGTAAATTCACTTTCTGTCTCTTCAAGCTGATGTCTGTCTTCATTTGTCCTGATAAATCTTAACACTTCCTTCTCCTAACTCACTTGAAGGCCATGGAATCGTATTAGTCTTCACTGTGGAGAGGAAGAAGATGTAGAAAACATCTCATCTTCTTATCAATGAATCTACACATAAACTTGACTCAATAACTGAATTATCAATTGTCCCTTCTGTTACAATGAAAGAAGATTCCTTAACCTCAAAGACTAGGTCTTTATCTTGTGCTTTGGGTGCTAGAGCATCCTTTTTTTCAAGGACTCTGTTTCAGCCTTGCTTTATTCACCATTGTTAATCTTTTTCACTCAACTCAATCATTCCCATGGCCTAAACATGTCCTTATTTATTTATTTTTACCTTTATTTAAAAAAAACCAACTCTTTAACTGTATTCCCTGTAGATACCAACCCATTCTTCTAAGCAACTTCTCAAAATAAGGAAAAAGTATTATACAAAGGATAGCCTCTATTTGTTGTTGTAATATTCTACAATCCTACTGGCCTTCACCTTCTCTAATCTGCTTTCTGTTTCCACCAAAAAACTAAAACTTTTTTCTCCTCTCCTTAAGGTCACCTTTCAGGATCATTCTAGGTGCCAATCACTTGCCTTTTATGAAACACATTTTCCTCTAAATTTCTGTAAATGCTTGTTCTCCTGCTTTATCCTTTACCCAATGGATACTTCTCATTCTCTGCTCCTGCGTTTTCTCTACTATTGGAACGCTAAATGTTGAAAAGCCTTAAGACTCAACTCTTGCTGTTCCTGCAAATTCTATCTCCAAGTCTAACCTTTTCTGTGAGTTCAGGTGTTGTAAGAAAAACCAGGTTCTTGTCACAGGACCAGGAAAGATTAGGCTCACAGACACTTTGAAGGGTGAGGGGGAACGGAATTTATTGGGTGAAAAGGAAAAAACTCAGCAAGGTGAGAGGGGTTCCTGTTAATAGGCCCCCATCTCATAGACTGAATCCCAGTTTACCACACAGGAACAGGAGAGGCCAGGCTCCTCCCCGCTGTAAACAGCAGGAACTTCCCAAGTCCCCACTCAATCCTCCCAGCGAACAGGCTTGTCTGAGATTCCCTGGACCGGCAGTCCTGTTTTTCAGCCTTCAGGCTGTTTTAGACTGGAAGGCGAGGTTTCCAGGGTGACCCTTGCCTGCCTCCTGTCTCTATTACTAGCTTTGCATACATAATGGCCTATTTGATATTTACTATGAGATTTAATATATAATCACAACTTGTTTTTCTCACATTATTGTCACAGCTTTTCACACAAAGGAAACAAAAAGCAAAGAACAAAGCAGGTAAAACAAAACAAAACAAAAATCCCATTAGATATTATCCTCAACCACACCTTGTTTTTAATTTGAGCTTTCAAGCCAGCAGTAAAATCCCTCTTGCCTCTAAAACCTGGTTCATTTCAGTCTACTTCTTTTATCTTCTTTGCTTCTCTCTTTGTCTTTACAATGATTATATCTCACTATACCACTAACAGTTTCATAAAGGAATTCTTTGCCCACTTTCTTCCATCCTATCATATATTATTTAGATAGTATCTAGAGTGCTGTTTTAAAAGCATGATTACAAAAAGTGTTTAGAAATTAACATAGGAGAATATCTTAAGACACAAAAAGCCATAACTCAAAGGAAAAAAATTGCAGTGAAATAGATTAAGGCCTAATATTGAAAAGTTTTCAAGAAAAAAATGAAAAGATAGGTCTATTGTGGGGAATATCCTTACCGTTTATAAATCATACAAAGGACTCACAAACAGTGCATTAACAAACTCAATAAAAATATAAGAAAATGCAGACTTCCCAATTAAAAATGGAAACATGGACTCAGTAAAAGAGCATATCTATATTATCAAATAACATATAAAGAGATGCTCATTATAATTATTAGAAAAATAAAATTTAAAGTTACATGAGGTATCACTATCACATAGCCAAAAATAAAAGGACTGATAATATCATGTATTATCAAGGATATGGAGCAACTGAAACTCCCATACACTGCAAATGGGAGTATACATTTGATAACTGATTTGCAAAACCTTATAGCAAAGTAAAAATATAACCCAATAATCCACAATTGATAGACACTTTGAGTGTACCAAAAGACATTAAAAGAATGTTAGAGCAGTAGTAGTCATAGAAGCTCCAACATGGAAACAACAAAAGTGTCCAATTAAAATTAATACATTATAATAATGAAATGGCATATAGCCACAAAAAACAAAAACTATAGCTATACAAATCACACAGTTGAATTACATAAGCATAATATTGATGATATTGACAAATCAGGATGATCTGAATGCAAGCTAAAAGAACTATGTAAAAAAGATTTTCTGAGGAAGGAGAAAGAAATGGAAAATGTAAAAAATGTACTTTTGTTTCTCTCTCCTAGTTTTTAATGTATTCTGCCTATTTTGCACAGTTCATAACAGAGATTATGAACTATGATATAAATTAATTCATACTGCACTTTAACAATAGTAACTCTCCCAACTCGTGTGCATGTTTTTTCTCTTTCTGTTTTTTGTGTGTCCTCTTCAATTTCTTTCATTAGAGTTTTATACATTTTGTTGTAGATATCTTTCACCTCCCTGGTTAAATTTATTCCTAGGTATTTTATTATTTTTGTAGCTATTGTGAATGGGATTGCTTTCAATTTCTTCTTCAGCTACCTCTTTACACATATATAAAAACACTGATGTGTTGATTTTGTGTCCTATAACTTTACTGAATTCATTGATCTGCTCTGAGAGTTTTTTAGTGAGTCTTTGGCTTTTTCATGAAATAAATATATCTAATTTGTTGAGAGTTTTTAATTAAAAGGATATTGAATTTTATCAAATTCCTTTTTTGCATCTACTTTTGTCCTTCATTCTAATGATGTTACTTAGCGTGTTTATTGATTTCTGTATTTTAAATCATCATTGCATCCCTGAGGTAAATCTCATTTGATTATTGTGTATAAACTTTTTGATGTGTTGTTGGATTTGGTTTGCTAGTATTTTGCTGAGGATTTTTTGCATCTGTGTTCATCAGAGGTATTGGCTTATGGCTGTTTTTGTTGTTGTTGTTGTTCTGTCCCTGTCTGGTTTTGCTATCAGGGTAATGCTGGCCTTATATAAGGAGTCAGAATGAATTTCTTCCTCTTCGTTTTTTTTCAATAGTTTGAGAAAATTTATTTTAGTTCTTCTTCAAAAGTTTGTTAGAATTCAGCAGGGAAACTATCCGGTGCTCAGATTTTCTTTTTTGGGAGACATTTTATTATGGATTTAATCTCATTACTTGTCATTGGTCTGTTTTTATTGTTATTGTTGTTTTTCTGGTTTATCTCAGCATGTTATATGTGTACACGAATGTATATATTTACTCTAGATTTTCTTCTTTGTTGCCATATAGTTGTTCATAATAATTTTTAATGATTCTTTGTATTTCTGTGGTACCAGAATCTTTGAGCTTTCTGTATTTGAGTGTTTATACTTCTCCCAAGACTAGAGAAGTTTTCAGCTATTACTTCATTAAATTGGTTTGCTATTCCTTTTCTTACTTTTTATCCTTTTGGAACTCCCATAATACAAATATATGCTTGCTTAATGGTGGCCCATATGTCTTGTAGGCTTTCCTCATTTTTTAATTTTTTTTTGTCTGACTCTGTTATTTCAAAAGATCAGTTTTTAAGTTTAGAAATTTTTTTTTACTTCATCTAGCCTATTAAAGTTCTCAATAATTTTTTTATTCATTAAGTTCTCCAATTTTCCCATCATTAATTGTTTTTCTAATTTTTTGGATTTTTTTATCTGTGTTCTCTTGTGTCTCAGTGAGTTTTCTTAGGGTCATTATTTTGATTTTTTTTCTGGCATTTCTTAAATTTTCTTTTTTTGGGGATCTTTTACTGAAGAATTATTGTGTTCCTTTTGAGGTAACATGCTTCCTTACTTTTTCAGATTTCCTGAGCTTTTACATTGATATCTATGCATCTGGTGGAACAGTTTCGTGCAGTAGCTTTCATAGGGAAATTTTTTTCCTCTGGATGTATCCAATAATGTCACTTTACTGTGGATCTTTTACTGAAGAATTATTGTGATCCTTTGGAGGTAACACGCTTCCTTACATTTTCAGATTTCCTGAGCTTTTACATTGATATCTATGCATCCGGTGGAACAGTTTCGTGCAGTAGCTTTCATAGGGAATTTTTTTTTCCTGTGGATGTATCCAATAATGTCACTTAGGTAGAATGCTTTGGCTTTGGTCCTGGGTTGTTGCAGTGGTGTAGTCTCCATATGATTTCTTTGGGTGTCATCAATGTCAGAGGTATCTCAGTAACCTAGGCTGTGTTGTTGTTGTTGTTGTTGAGCCTGTGGCACAACTTTGCTGGGGATGCAGACACTAAGCAGGCCAGTCATTGCTCTAGTAGTGCACACACAGGTGCATAGCAGCTTTACTGTTAGAAGTGATGGGATTGCTGGTGGCAGCATCCACCCCACACAGGTGGCTCTCAGGCTCTTTTGGGTAGGTACATTGGTTAGCTCTGTTTTGGGGGCAACCTTCCCACTGTGCGGGACCACCTGCTCCCCACAGTGTAAGGATTTTCAAAGGCTTGGGTCACTAGGTTCCCCTAATGTTGTGACGTTGAAGTTCTTGGTTGGATGTGATGGGATGTCAGCATGGCCTCAGGGGTGTGGAGATGCAGGAATACTGGGTCCCAGGAACATCCACCAGGATGCACTCTAATGGGAGTTCTGCTCACATAGCACTCTCAAAATTCTCTGTGCAATATGAGATATGACCCAATGTGAGTTCCCTCTCTCTGGAGTAAAGTACTCACATGGACTCCAGGCAGCTCCCTATACTGGGATCAGGGCTTATGAGGCTTTGGGGTTCTCCTATAGTTAGAATTGCAGCTGCCCATGGTAGAAATGTGGACTGCTGGACATCTCCTGCTTACCTTTTCCTCACCATGGCAAGTCCCTCTTGCCTCTGAGCAATCATAGTTGGGTGTGTTACCTCTTTCTCTGCACTGCCATCCTGAGTTTCTGTGCATCAAAGGGTCTTCATCACTTCCTTGCTGAATTCCAGTTTCTCTCTTAGATACATTATTTGTCATGTAGTTATTATCTATTTGTTGTTTCAGTTGTACATCGTGGAAGAGGCTAGTTTTGAATGCCTCTAGTCAGACATCTTGATCTAAAGGAAATAATTAACAAAATATAAGTTGCCACTGCATGTCATTTTCATTATGACTTTGTACTTTGCAGAAAGTTAGTAGAAACATTAATATTGATAACAGAGTAAGTCATAAAACAATTGCTTTGTAAGCAGAGTTATTAATATACAAATATGTTTATAAATTTTGGATACTTACCGGTCCTCAATTTTGAGCTACTTTGTTTCCCAATACCTGAACCTATGTTTTAATAAAACGGTCAGTTTTTTAAAAGTCTATTTGTTATTAGGATTATGTTCTGAAATTAATTTCTAAGAGATGTTTTGTAATCAATAGATATTCAATTCAGTATTCTAAATCTGATGAATTATCATATTTAAGTTTACAAACTGAAACTGTAGAGTCAATGTGATAATGACCTTGAAGTATAATAGTACTCTCTTAAATAATTTAATAATAATTCTGATTCTTTTACCAAAGAAACATCATAGTTTTCTTTGCCATGTTGCCTTTTCTTTAGATGATTGTTCAGCACCATCTAGAGCAATTTATTATATTAATACAAAGTATAATAGAAAAGAAAGATTTTGCCTGATATTAAGCAGTAATTAAAACACTAGAATTAGAATCAATTTTTTAATATAACTGAGAATTCAATAATAAACCCTCTGTGACACCAATTACTTATCTTGGAGAGAGGCACAGGGGACTTGAAAATTATTAATAATTTGAATATGCATTTAATAAAATTATGAACTGATTGACATGGGACTAGGAAAAAAGGGTGAATTTACAGTATATCCTTACAAATGTGTTAAATACACTATTTGAATTAAGACTCGAATTCATTTTTATTATGGTGTGTTTATATATTCAATTCCAAATTTAATTTTCACTATTTCTGCCAATATTTTATTTTCTATTCTTTTTAAAATTTTTTAATTTCATGGATATAGTAGGTGTATACATGAGACATGCATTTTGATTCAGGAACACAATGTATGATAATTACATCAGGGTAAATGGAATCTCCATCACCTCAAGCATTTATCACTTCTTTGTGTTACCAACACTTCAGTTATACTCTTTTATTTATTGCTAAAGGTACAAAAAATTATTGTTGACTATAGTCACTCTGTTGTGCTATAATTTCTATTCTCGAACCAAGAATATTAATTTTTTTGTAAGAGAAGGAAGAATGCATACCAATTTTCAAATGCATGACTAATTACAGGTTCATCTCTCTTCAAAAAAGGAAATACTCATACAAGATCACACACCATGGGGGATAATTACTTTATAAAAGGATACAATGTGACAACTGTTTTCTTTGATGGACTTATGACCTGAGAGCTTTACATAGTTTCTTTTCATTTCACAGCTTTACCAAATGTTATTCCAATGTCACTTCAGTTACCCATGTTATGTCTGTGTATACTGAAAACTGATTAAGTAAACAAGAACTAACATACAGGACAATTGTATGTCAATATTCTTTTATTTTTGATTTTTTTGTGTGTGAAATTTTGGAGAAAAACAATAGCAACCTTTAGTTATTTTCTAAGATGTTTGTTATGTGGACTCCTGTAAAGTGAGTACTTAGACTATGATAATAGCTTTATGTTTTACTTCTAGATTCCTTTCCACTGATTCTTCATATACTTACAAATAGGGACAGCTAAGGAGGTAGCCTATGGAGTCTTAACAATCTATTTTTAAAGAAATACAGGCAAAAATATTAAAAATAATGACTACAGCAGTAGATGTGACATCTAATTCAATTAAGTACAAACTATAACACGAACAGTTATGAATGCTTTACATGAATTGACTCATGTAAAATTCACATTAATCCTCTGACTTAGGAAAATAAGGCAAAAAAAAAGGTTAATCTGCCCAAGGTTACAAGGCTAATAAGTGGTAGGATGGGCATTTGAACTGGGATTCACTACAGGGTCTCAACCTAACCATTAGAGAATAGAGAAAGAATTGCTGGTTTAAGTATTTGTGTAGTTGCTTAACATTTTCACTTTTGGTTTCCTTGTAGTTTTCTATTTTGTTCTGAATACATAGAGTGTGTATGTAATTTTAAGACCAGCTCTGTGTAATGAAAAAGACAACATGGCATCATGTGATCCAATAACAAAAATTTATTAAGAAATGCTGTGAAACCTATGCAGATTCTTATCATTTTTTGTATTTTCTTTCAGCTATTTTTCTCCTGCAAAATGTGTTTACTCATCATCTCTCAAATAACTATGTATATTTTTCCCTAAATGACTGAAAGCACTAAATATATTTATATACACGCACAAAAGGACGACAGTTTTCATCCAATGGACAATGCCAAAATTGTAAGGGAGTTTTTGTAAAAACAATTATTGAATGCTTACAAGGGTGGTCCCATAGTTAGCTAAGTATATAGGTTGCTAAGGTGACTAATTTGAAGGATAGTGAATGAGTGCAATCATGTCTGTTAATTAGTCAGTTGCTACAACTTTTATTTATAATGAAATCTTTAAGTAGCTTGTTTATACAATTGGATTTTTTGAGAAATATGCTAAATAGCCTCCCTGAATTGAATCATCTGTAATAATTTCCTGTCCTAAGAGCTTGCAATATTGAAGGAGATTCTCAGGTGAGGTTTTTCATACATTAAAGTTTGAGAACCACTGTCCTAGAAGACAGGTAATGCATTTTCTTAAATCTTCAATGGGATTCATATTTATATGAATTCTTTTCTAGATATTCAAGAAAAAGTTGCTAACAACCAGAAGGACTGTGCATTAATGCTTAAAAATTGCCTAAACAAATTCAGCATGATATGTGAGAAGAGGCAAATATCATTGTTCCCAGAGGCTCAATCACTTTAAAAACAGCAAGGAACTGGCTAGGTAGGTCTGATACATCTTTAGAGTACCTTGCACTTCAGAAAAACGCCCTTTGTATTTAGAAAATTTGTTTATCCACAAGCTTCACGGTAAGATGTTTGTCTACATAATTCTCTACAAATATGTAGAGAATTATGGGGGCAGAGACTATTACTCCATAGGCTACTGTGAGGTGTCTGGGCCAGTCAAGCCTTGGAAACCTTTTCGAAGGGAACTGTGTACACTCTACCCTCCCTCCCTCCCTCCGTCCCTCCCTTCCTCCCTCCCTTCCTTCCTTCCTTGTAAGATTTCCTTCATAGACCCTATTTTACATTTCTATCCACCTCACCATTATGCTTATATCCAAGCATCTTTTGCATGAAAATGTGTATATCAGGTGGCCAGATCTGTTATTTTCCCCAAGAGTCTTCTGAGATATTCAAACACACCAGGTTATCACTCCCAGGACACTTAACTAGGAATGTTATCACAAGGAGACACTGGATTGTTTCCAGCACATTTTGGCTGAAGCCACATGCCTGCACATTATGGAATTTATGTGAACAGATGTCCTTTTTTCTTCATTAGAATCATGACCATTATGGCAATGCAAGAGGAGATACTGAGTTGGTTACATCCATACTGACAATTTTCACTACAGAATCATAAATTAAGAAATATAATTACAGTATAACTATGGGATATACTGAAATCACATTTGCTGGTGTTTATGGAATTTATTTCATTCAGGCACAGATTTAGAATGGAATGCAACTGCTGTGGCACACATTCTATCGGTAATAACCATGGAAAGTTTCCTAGTGCTCTACAGATTATACAATCCTTTACTTCACTTGATCCTCACAATAATTCTGTGAGTTGAATCCATGATGTATATATTTTTTACTCTTGGGGATTGGAGTCGATGGACTTCACAAGGATGACTTAAGTGGCAAGTGAAAAACCTGGGAATTTAGCCTAGTGGTCTTAGGATTGTCTATTTCAATGAAATACATTTAAAACCTGAGAATAAATTTGTCTTTTCAGTGTAGTTTCCATTTCTGAGCAGTAAAAGATAAATAAGTGATTAAAAACTATCATCTATTTCCACTACTCCCATTATTTCTTAAAAATAGGTAAATAGTTTCTCATTAATAAAAAAATTCAAACATTCTCAGAATGAAAGCAGTACTTCACGTGGACTTCATTTGGCTTAAATAAGAAATGTACTAGTTAGGAGTAGCTTTGGCAGCATGTAAATAAATCATATTAGGGAGGCTAAGTAAGAATTTCTTGTTATAAAAACAATATCTGGAAGACGTAGTTTAGGCAGAGTGTAGTTACTAAAAAAATTTTTCAAGAACTCAAGTTTGTTTGTTTTAAGCTTCATTCTCGACTAAAATTTAGTTCTCACTATTTTAAGATGGTTGGTGTACTAGCAGGCATTGCCTCCACATTTTAAATAAAACTAAAAGAGAAATGTGTAGGACACATTCTAACTTTATGTTTCTCAGAAGCTCCATACTCAGTCTGTCCACTTTTGCTAATGTCTAGGTTGCATGATCAAATCTATTTGCAAAGAATTATGGAATATAAAAGTTTTTATAGGTAACTTCTGTAACCAAGACTAAATTAAGATTTTGTTAGTAAGGAAGAAGAGCAAATTGGCATCCAGTGCATAGTTAGAAATATCTATCATAAGAATTCCTTACATTGCCCTTATTTTCTTTATTACGTTACATACATGAGAATTTCATTCTCAATCAACCAGCATTGACCCTTGAATACGTGCTTGAGAAACACAGTAGTTCCTTTCCTTTAACCATAAGCCTTCTGTTCTTTTCTCAGCTGTATTTTGTCTTTGAATATAACATTTAAAACTGATATTAGGCATTCTGGAAATTTGTAGGAGCTATATGGCTGTGGTAGCTATATCCATTTGTATGCCTGGCAGATAACAGGTAAAGTTTGGGTGTGCATGTAGATTGACATTCTTCCTTGAAATTAGAAATATGGAATATTTCATTCCACATGCAAGTTATCATTTCCCTTCTGAGGAAAGATCTAGAATATGCGTAAAAATTAGTAGTAGAAGACTGGAAAAGTCACTTTTATAGGTCTTTCATGAGAACTTTGTTCTAATTCCAGTAACAAAGAACTTAATTTCAGAAGGAAAAAGTTTTATGTATGTCATGAATCTTATGTAATGCATGCAAACTATCATCTCAAATACTTATTCGACAGCATAGAATGTGTGCAGTGCGAGAGAGATTCTCTTTTCCCTTTTTTTCCATACAAGGGTAAAATGATTCATCTCTGTTACTGGCAATCGTAGCATTTTTCTTACCCCTCTACTTTACAAAATAATATTAAAAAGATTCTGGCATTTCTTTTTAGATACATGAGCTTTGCTAATCAAAGTACAGACAGACAAAATAGAATAGATAAGAGCTTAAACTTGTTTGCACATGATCCAGAATAGCAGACTCAGTTCTATGTTATGCATACTCTGCAATTGTCAACAAGTTATTCAACATCTCTGGTTCCTGCTTATTGATAAAGTGGAAAAATATATCGAGCGCATTCCTTGCCAGGTTTTAATATAATTAAATAAGGCCATTTTCATAATGCACTTAGCAATGTGCTTAATGTATTAGCTGTTATTATTAATCATCTTCTTTGTTTTTCTCTTTCTAAGAAAACACTAATAAGTTTCAGATATCAATGCTGAGAGAGAGAGAAGATGTAAAGAAAAGAAAAAACAGGAAAGGTAAAAAGTCATATTTGACATGTCTTATAAGATGCATTTTTGACTTTGCTAATGCTATTCTGTGAAAAAAGGAGTAATATTTTCCTAAAGATGAACTAAATTCGTGCCTCTCCATATTCTAGAAGTTCACGAAAAGAAAAAACATAGGCACTTAATAATTCATATGTTATTGGATTAAAACCAACACAGAACATATTCCAGTAACGAGACTTGAGAAAATATTGTCTAGATATTCATTAAAAACATTTTATCCAGTATAGTGAACCAAACCTGCACAGTAAAGACATAGAAATCATACTAGTGAAAAACACTCTACAGAAATTAATATTTATAACGCAATTCCGTCTTTTCCAAAATACATGTCTTCATACCTCCACTTGTATTTGGAGGAGTTGCATAAGAAGTTTAAGGCCCACATGGCTCCCCACCTCATCCCTCATTAAGAAGATGCAGAGCCAGGATGTAAAGGAAAACATATATAGATCCAAGGGTCACACCTTCCTCAAGGGGACAACAAATGCAATGAACTCTTTTTTACTAGCACAGCTGAGAAAAGATGTGTGGAAAACATCATCATATAAACATATATATATGTATATGTATATACAAATATATGTATATTATATATGTATATACATATATATATATTTTATATGTATATACAAATATTTTTTTTGAGACAGAGTCTCACTCTGTCGTCCAGGCTGGAGTGCAGTGGCGTGATCTCGGCTCACTGCAACCTCCGCCTCCCGGGTTCAAGCGATTCTCCTGCCTCAGCCTTCCAAGTAGCTGGGATTACAGGCGCATGTGTCACCATGCCCAGCTAATTTTTGTATTTTTGGTAGAGACAAGGTTTCACCATGTTGGCCAGGATGGTCTCAATCTCTTGACCTTGTGATCCGCCTGCCTCGGCCTCCCAAAGTGCTGGGATTACCGGCGTGAGCCACCACGCCCGGCCCATATCTTTTTATATAATATGTATATCTTTATATTATATATATCTTATATTTTAATTAAAATGTATTAAGACATATCTTTATACATATCTATATCATATATGATTATTTATAAATATATATCATATGTCATGTAGAAATATATATCTTATATATGAGAGATATATATCAACATATAGATATATATATCTAATGTATAGGTATCTACATATAGATATATTTATATGTAAGATATATAAATCTGATATATATCTCATATATGATATCTGACATATATCTGATATATATTTATATATCTTGTATAGATGTCAGATATGTATCAGACACATATCTTATGTATATGAGATACATACTTTTTTTCCCCAAGTGTTTGTGGCATGGAAAACCATCTCCCCAGGCAACTTTGTATTATATGGGGTGCGTGTGTGTGTGTGCACACACAAAAAAATTTTCTTGGGAAAAGATATTAAGTTCTGGTTTTTGATTGTCAGAGAATGAAAAGACAGATCTTACAGCAGGATAACCAGATATTTCTGTCACACTTTTTATAGAGAGTATTATTTTACTCAATATATATTTACACTGTAATAAAAAAAGTAAAACCAACAACATATTATCGCAAAAATATATTTTGAAGCAAAGCAATATTGTCTTTAATAATCTGATGTAACACAAAGCTAAAATTTAGAATCAATGAACTACAGGTCATTCCCAAAATAAACATTATTTAAAAGTAAACATCATTTCTCAAACAGTGTTCTTAATAAGAACGTGATTCTGTTAGTTTAGAATTACAGTGTTGCACAAGTCAACAAGTCAAGCTGTGAAGCAGGACTAAGTGGTTGGTATACCCTAGAGTTGTGCGCTGAAGACACGTCAAACTCTCAAATTGCTGTGGAGGTAATTGGTGCTGCCAATTATGAGTAGATTTATAAACTCTAATAATTAAATGATGGGGAAGATATTCAAAATACACAGAGCATCTGAGAAAATATTATAGCCTAGATAAGCACATACATACATTTATACACATGCGTGAGCACACACAGCCACCCACCCCTTCTAAGAGTGTAAATCAATATTCCACCAACCTCTTTGGGACAGTCTTCCTATTACCCTTTGTATTACATGAGACACAAAGAACTTTCACTTGCACGGTGCTCACTTCTAATATCAAAATAACCTTCCCCCATGAGGAAAAAAAACAAATTATTGTATCTCAACGTCAGTAATTTTTGCTTTGACATTGCATGATTTTGCCATCATTATACATTTTTTAAGTTTATTGTTGATCCTATGATGACCTGAATCAGACCCTGTGGTATTGAATGCTCAATGCGCCCAATACCCAGTTATCCTATTCTTTCTTACTAAAAGAACCAATGATATTTAGTCAGTTCCTTGACTAGACAAAGCATCTCCCCATTTGCATTTTCCAGTCTGTTTTACTACCAGTAGAAGCCATGTTACTATGTTCTGATTAATACGTTCTGACTAATGTGAATCAGGCAGACTTGACTCAGGCTGAGGCCCCAAATGTGCTTGGCAGGGTAGACTTGATAGCTTTATATTTGTCATCACCATGACTTGTCTTGTTCACTTTTTCAAGGAGAATGGAAAGGTGCACTGATCCCCTTTTTCTGTAAGAAATGTCTACAGAAGAGCTGCTGACCTTCATCAATGCACAAATGTGTGCTTGTGAACTAATAATTTCTTGTTTTAAGCCACTAAATTTCTAGATAGTTTGTTTCACAGAATTATTGCTGCAATAGCATGTTGTCACACAATCCCGACTCTTTAAGTCTTTTTTATTTTATGTTTTCTGCCACTCACAGCTGAAACTATTTCTAGCTAAAACACTGCGTACATGTATATTATCTTTTTAAGAATTAAACTTATTTTACATTTTCTTAATTCAGTGACAGAGACATCTAAATTGTTATAATTGTCCAATGACTTGACAGGCAAAAAGAGTGTAATGAAAGGGTCATCACTCCTTTTATTTATGAAGAACACATGATTACCTTCTGCTAGCAGCATCTCATATACTATTTTAGATGATAATAATCATAGGGTACATCTTTAAAATATTTTAGCTTGTTAAAGAAGTCCTATTTAATTTTATTCTTATAATTGTTTTCTTGAGGAAAATAGTATCGTATACACTTTGCAATTTATGAAATAATTTAAACAAAAGCCATTATGTACTCAAAGAAAATGGTATTTAGAGATTTATAGGCTTGGGTTGAAATGCCTAGTACTGCCCAAATAACCTTAGAAGTATTATTAAAACATTCAGTCACTTGCCTTGTCAGGAAAATGGAAATATTAATAATTTCTATGCAGTTTTGTGGCGGGGTACAGTAATTATCTGATAGGCTTTAATATTAAACGAGTGTTATGAGCAAAGGAAGACACTTCTGAAACCATTAAGTAAATTTCCATGTAATCAAGTTCTTCCTTCGCATTTCCCAAACATTAATGACATGCAAAGGCCACAACAAAGTTCACTTAAATTCTCTCTTTACTTTCCTGAAGATTTTTCTTATACTTTGAAGGTCATGCTTCAAAATTGCTTGTCAATCTTCTTTAACATCCTTATTTTTCTTTTCCTTCATGGCTTTTCCACTCAATCTTTTCTTTACTTCCATTTCCGTGTCACAAAGCACAAAAGGTCCTCTAAAACTGGATAGAGGCCTCTTGGGAAATATCTGAGGTGGGGAAAGAAAACTGAACCAAATTCTTGAGAAAAGTAGGAGGGAAGAAAGACTGTCAATATTTTAATACATTTCACCCTATACATAGATGTCAACTTTCATGATATTTCTTCAAAAAATGCGTTACCTGAATTTAATCATGAAGAAACATCTGATAAGCCCAAATTGAAGGGCATTCTATAAAATAACTCATTCAAAAGTGTCAAGACCATAAAAGTCAAAGGAAGATTGAGAAATTATTTACAATTGAAGGAAATCAAAGAGACATGAAAACTAAATGAATGCATGAATCTGAAGTGGGTTACTTTGCTTTTATGGATTTTTTTTTTTTTTCTGAGACAGAGTCTCACTCTATCGCACAGGCTGGAGTGCAGTGCACTGCAACCTCCACCTCCTGGGTTCAAGTGATTCTCCTGCCTCAGCCTCCCTTGACTATAGAGTTATGTGTCGCTTAACTATATAGAGTTATGTGTCGCTTAACAGGACAAGAGGAATGCTCTGAGAAATGTGTCATTAGGTGATTTTGCACTTGTGTAAGTAAACAGTATACTTACACAAACCTAGATGGTATAGCCTGCTGTACAGTTAGGCTATATGGTATAGACTATTAGGCTACAAGCCTGTACAGCATGTTACTGTGCTGAAAATACTGTAGGCAAATGTAAAACAATGATAAGTATGAATGTATCTAAACATATCTAAACATAGAAAAGCTACATAAAAAAACACAGTATTATAATCTTATGAGACTACAATATATACAGTATGTCCTTGAGTGAAAAACTGTTAGGCAGCACGTGACTGTACATGGATTCCAACATGCATAGCACTTGGTATATAGTTACAGCTCAACAGCTGTTAATGTTATCATTATTTCATTTGATTACAACAGTTCTTTGAGTTTAAGAAACAAAAAATAACTGTTATAAACATTTAATAGATAATATTACTCAGAAAGGTGGGTAAAATGCCTAGGATCTTATGAATGAAAAAAGATGAAAACTAATTATAAATGAAGGAAAAAAGAATAAGGAACATATATGTGTGTGTGTGTGTGTGTGCGCGCATATATATATACAGAGAGACATATATATACATACATATGTAAACGCACATGTTTATGTTTTAATTTCAATATTTAGTTACCTCATACTCTTCCTAATGAAAGACTTTTAGGAATTCCTAATATCTATTTTTTTTTGAGACGTTGTCTCCCTCTGTCGCCTAGGCTGGAGTGCGGGTGCGCAATGTCCGCTCACTGCAAGCTCCGCCCCCCCCGGATTCATGCCATTCTCCTCCCTCAGCCTCCCGAGTAGCTGGGACTACAGACTCCCGCCACCACGCCCGGCTAATTTTTTTGTATTTTTAGTAGAGACCGGGTTTCACTGTGTTCACCAGGATGGTCTCCATCTCCTGACCTCGTGATCTGCCCGCCTTGGCCTCCCTAAGTGTTGGGATTACAGGCATGAGCCACCGTGCCCGGCCCCTTTATTTTTTTAATTGAAGCATTACTTACATAAAACCATACACAGAAATCTTCAGCGTTCAACTCAATGTACAGCCAAGATGAGGTGTACATAAAAACCACCATGAAAAGTTTTCATAGACCAAAAACTCTACCTAGGCCAGGCACAGTGGCCCATGCCTATAATCCCATTGATTTGGGAGGCCAAGGCAGGAGAATCACTTGGAGTTAGGAGCTTGAGACCAACCTGGGCAACATAGGGAGACAGCATTTCTACAAAAAATAAAAAATAAATAAACACAAAATAAAACATTATGTAGGCATGGTGGCTGAAACATTATCCAGGCATGGTGGCATGTGATTGGAGTCCCAGCTACTCAGGAGACTGAAGTGGGAGGACCACTTGAGCCCAACAGATCAAGGATGCAGTGAGCCATGATTGTGCCACAACACTCCAGCTGGGTGACAAAGCAAGACCCCGTCTCTAAAAACAAAAACAAAAAATTCCACCTAGATCAAGATGTAGAGTATTTCCAGCATTGCAGAGGGCATCCTCATGATCCCTTCCAATTAACATTCCTCCCCAAGTGGAACTACTATTCAGACCTCCATCTATAATACATAGAACACTTTTATCTATTTTAAAACAACACAAAGCGATGCACGTTCTACTTTTTTTGTGTCTGACTTTACACATTACATGCATGGAATAATTCACCTATTTTGTTGTACTGATCAGAAATTCTGTTTTTTTAAATGATGTTTTCATTTTATAAATAAATAAGTTTGTTTAGTTTTTATCCATTTGATGGCAATTAAATTGTTCCAGATTTGAGACAATTATGAATATTTTTGTACATGTTTCTGGCATACCTAGGCATTCATTTCTTTTGGGCTATACCAGGAGTGAATTGCTGGGCCTTATCATGCATGCATGACTAATTTTATTTAATAATGCCAAATATTTTTCAGCATGACTGTATCAATTTGTACTGCCACAAATACTATAAGATTTGAAATTGCTCAATGTCTTTGCCAAAAATCAGTATTTTCAGTAGTTTAATTTACCCAGTCTTGTTAATTGTAGGGTACCATTTTATTATTTATTAAATGAAGATTTTTAATTTACATTTCTCTGGTGACTAATGATGCTGATCATACTTCATACATTCAATATATTTAGGCATCTCATGTGTGGCACCTATTCAGAAATTCATTTTATTAAAACTTGATTGTCTTTTTCTTATTTTGTAGAAGTTCTTGTTATAAAATAGATACAAGTGCTTTGTAGGCTTTACCCATAGTTTTTTTTTTCTTTCCCAAGTTGTGAATTGGACATTTTAATGGCATATCTTGATGAACAAGAGATATTAACTTTAGTAAAGCCCAATTTATTCATCTTTTCTTATATGGCTATTCTCTTTTTTAGGTTTAGAGTTTTAAATTTAATGAACAAATTGTAGAAAAAAATAATAAAAAGAATAATTTGTATTTTGTCATATGTATATGTAAATTTAATACATATATTTATAATACATATGTATATAAACACATAAGTATGACATTTCTGTGAAGATACATTATATATAATTTTAAGATGGCACACACACACACACTCTTTGAGATTACACACTATATAGTACAAATTGTGTTGTGGAAAGTGCAAGCCAGAGCTTCAACATGATTTCAAGTAGTTTGTTTTCTTATGAAGCTAAAACATTGTCTTTTACATTGTGTTCTTAATAATATTATATACTTTTTATATACAGAGAATTTGCTAAGCTAAGGTGAAATTCCCTTTAGATTCAGCCTAATTTATGACAAATACAAGATTGATAGGATTTACATTTTTATAATTCTACTCTTGTTTTTGTCAGCATAGGAGCATCCCTAAAACGGTGACTATAATCAATCTTGAAACAAAGAACACAACTAGAAATAATGGCTCAATAAGGAAAGAAAGGGAAAGAAAAATGTATTGATAAGATGTCACTACAAATCAGCATCAAATTAAGGTCTTCACAATGGTATACTCTTTTTATCTTTTGTTTCAATTGAGTGAAATAAGATTAAATCACATATTAGACTCAGAAGGAAAACTAATCAGCTTAATTAGAACACCTGATTTCTTGTAAATTTCATTCACATTGGAAATATCATTAAGTTATGTTTCTTAAAATAGGAACATTTTAGTTATGATAAAATAATTTTGCAAAGCATAGATAAACAAAATAAATTTTATTTTTGGTTAAAGTACAATTTAGTTTTATCGTTGTTAAATGAATGGAATTATAAAAACGTTAATACCAAAATATATATTTCAAACTGAATTTTATTTTAAATTTAGTAAATAACTTGCTATACGGAGAAAAAGAAAAAAAAATGACAATTTTGCCTAAAGTTATGAGGTGACAGATGTTTCCACACTTTGTAATTTTTTGAAAATTATTTATTTTTCTTTTACTTTTTAGGGTGTCTGTAAGTGTTAATTACACAAGTACCAAGAGCAATTAGAATTTCCAGTGTAATTCTAAAATTTTTAAAAGTGCAAATGGAAAAAAAAATCTGTGTATTCTTATGCAAATAATGGACTTTTCAAATATTCTTCCAATGTATTGACATTTGTTGATATATTCTAGCTTTTAACTCTTGATTTCTGTATATAAAAGGTAGAGAAAGTTTTTTTATTATACTTTAAGTTCTGGGGTACATGTGCAGAACATGCAGGCTTGTTACATAGGTATACACATGCCATGGCGGTTTTAAGAAAAATATTGCCACTAAACAGTAAATCACTGCTTAATTTAGTACTTTCATATTCTTACTATTTTCCTTGAGACTTACATTAATACATCATTGTTGAACAAGTGTAGACTCATTGAAAGGTAACTATTAGTCTTATCACATGTAATTTTTTTCCCATGCTTCCTAGGCATGGAGAACATACATATACAGACATCACCAGAGATGTCGATTCTTCAAAGTTCTAGTCTCTCTGCAAAGTATTTGAAGATTAGACTTGCATAGACAAAATTGTGTCCCCCCAAAATTCATGTTGAAGTCTGAAACTCCAATCTGAAGATAGGGTCACTAAGGAGGTAATTAAGGTTAAATAAAATTCATGAGGGGAAGGCCCTAATCCTATGGAAATGGTGCTCTTATAAGAAGAGAAAGAGACCAGAATGCACTCTTTTCAGGCACATATAAAAGACCATATGAAGGCATAATGAGCAGGTAGCCATCTATAAGCTAAGGAGAGAGGCTTATCCAGAAACCAACCATGCTGACACCAGAATTATGCAAAAATAAAAATTCTACTGTTTAAGCCATGCCGTCTTTTGTAATTGCAGCCCAAGCTGACTAACACAGGATTTATCCAGTTGACTTCAGCATAATTATCATCAAAGTTTCCTATGGTTAAAACCAACACTTTTAAACAGAGATATTTGAAGTATATATGTTTACATCATAATTACAATGGATGTGGGTGCAATATCTTTATTATTTAGTTCAATATGAAACAATTTTTCCATTTTTATGCTGAACTAATCATAAATTATCTACAATGAGACTTGTCGTTGTAATGTAGACATGCTTGATTATTAGTACTCTGCACCTCCACTTGTGCAATAGATTACACTAAAAGTGTCTTCCTTAATGTGTTCACTTATCACATTCCTGTCCATATTTAAATCTTATTTTCCAAGGCCAACCAAATGCTCATATATTCTATGAAGACCTTTGCTTGTCAGTTTTGATTGACTTTTTATTCTCTGTACTTTCATACACTTACTTAAGCAGTTATTTATCAATATTATTTAACTGTGCTTTAACATATCCTTCCCAATTAAATATGTTTTTAAAGAGTCTGTACAATGCTATTTTGTTTTCTGGATAATAAATAAGGCACCATTTTGACATCAAATAGATTTGAGTTCAAACTGCCACTCTCCTCAATATCATGTCTGTGCCCCTTAAAAGAGTCACTTTATGTCCTTATCTTTAAAATAGGGGTGATACTGCCCATTCCATTCTTTTAATATAGGCATTCATATCTATCTATCTATATATAAATCACTAGCAAGCCACTTCCTGACACAAAATAACAGTCCAAAATGTATTAGGTATTAATATACATAGTTTCATATTATAGTTATTTTTAATTTACGATTATTTTTCATATTAATTTACTAGCTACTTCTCTTGCTGAATAATATACTTGCTAGATAATATGATTAAATTATTTATTAAGGCAAAATAATTATAAAAAATACTATTTCAAAAGTGCTAGTCACAAAATACAAATGAAATGCTACTAAAAATAAAGTGAATATAATTACCTCTAGAAAACTTTCAGTTTTAAAAGAGAACTGCAATGCATATTTACATTATGAAAAACAGAAGGTACTGAATTTTACATGTCACACACAAAATATTGGAGTTCAAAAGTGAGAGAGATAATTTCTGCTTGAGGAAAATATCAGCATATAGACTGTATTTACATAAAGCCTGGTGGAATTATTATAATTTTAGCAGATTGAAATGAGTAATAGTGATTTTCAGGTAGAGAAAAATACTACTGGTAAAGTCATGGGGTTCTTGCAAAGCGGTATATTGTATGATTTGTCTTTGAGCATGTAGGCTGTGCAGATTAGAAAAGACCAGTAAGATCAAAAAGAGATGTTTTGCAGAGTTTACGGTCAACTTTGAATGCCAGGCTCAAGTTCTACTCTGATTTTGGCAGAGAGTCATGGAGAAAATTGATCACTGGCAGTAGCAACATACGAGTACGTAGGAATGGCTTGTGAGTGATGGAGGTGAGGGGCAAGTAGCACTTTAAGGAATTGTTCCCATAGTCCAAGGTGATGGGTAATTAAGACCTGGACTGGGAAAATGAGAGTAAGTAAATTAAACACATTTAGATTAAAGATGAACATTTTTCCAAGAATGCACATAAAAATGAAGATAGAATACATTTTCTTAGAAACTCTCCCATTTTGTCCAAACTGTGCAGTTTTATCAGTTTTATGTTCCTTTATTAGTTACATTTAGAAAGACTAATTTAGAAAGATTGTGAAAAACTTTAGGAAGAGGTCAAAATGAATTTGATTATTTGGTTGAAAACTAAACATGACACATAGTAAGTGATATAATTTATTAAAGTCTGATACAAGTGAAAAGCTATTTAGCAGACATTATTTTGAGGAAAATATTAACAGATGAAGTAAATATTAGCAGATCATGAAGATGTCAAAAATAATGAGGATGATGTTTGATGGATCTGATGGGACCCAACATTTGCCATGACTTTACTGATTAAGTATCTTAAGTTGTTAACATTTGGGGAAATTGGAATGTTAAAATTTATACTTGCAAAATGTGCTTGTAAGAAAAAAATAAGAATTCACTCTCTTGCTAGTATATATTCTCTAAGAAGAATATTAAATGAAAATTTTTAATAGTCTAAGAAAATTTTCTGCACTTTCAAAATACTAAATTATGTGTTAAGGAATAAATCTTATTGATAGAAACAGCAATAAAAGCTATACAAATAATTTTCTTATATTGAAATATTTTCTTCAAAATTGTAATGCTGAATTTGGTTTTCATTTAAGACATGGACTATCATAGTGTAACAGCTTGCCAGCACAAAAGTTCATCATTTCAATCACCTTAAGAATAACCCGCATTCTCATGGGATTGATTTCAACCAGAAAGAATTCAGCAAGGGAGAAAAATACTAGCCAAATTTAATAAAGCTGACAGTTTCTGACTTATTGTCTGGTTTACTCAGGGATGGCAATCTCTTTTAAGCGACATAAACATGAAACCCAAGAATAAGTGTTTATATGAATGATGGTTTTTACTCTAAGTATTCCATTCCAAAGCAGAGTTTTTCTGTATGAATTTGTGGGATGAAATAAAAAAATTATTCCTCTGTGCATAAGTAAATGAGTAATTAATAAGAATAGCAAGCAAGGAAATAACAATTCAGTTCTCTAAACAGTGATTTTTGTCCCCTTAGCATTTTAGGTTCTTAAAAATTCTATTTCTTTAGCACCATGAAGCAATGAAACCTGTCCACTGTAGACTGAATAGTAAAACCCACAAGCCATGGAAACTGACTTTCAAAAAAAGAATGATTTAGAGCCTCGACCTTTGATCTTTGCAGAATCTGAAAAGTTCACCCTGTACTGAGATGGAAATAAGTTTTATTAGGAAATGAAAATAATCCAACTTATTAAAAAGAATATGAAAGTTTTATGCTTTGCAGATAATTCAAAGCTCCTGAAAACAAAGTCCCTTGAGTTACAGTCAGATAGGAGGAAACCACACCTTCCCTTGTTTCCTTCTCTTCTTCAATAATACTTCTCTTCAGTAGGAATTAATAAATGTTTCCACTAAGACAATGACTACACAGCTACTAAGGAACTTGGTATGTGCATAAAAGCATCACTGAAGTGAATAGCGTTTGGCTAACATAAACTGAGTAGTTGTCTATGTGTGCTTATAATCAAATTCACTGTCTTCCCAGGTAGTTCAATTAAACTGTACCTCATGAATTCTTTTGAGAATAAAAAAAGCCAACTTGCAAAATTGTAAATGACCTCAATCGAATCAGCTAAAAAAAAAACACTGAAATTGAACTATCTAAAGAATTGACCTTGAAGAGCCTCCATGTGCCATTATAATCCTTTTAAATTAAATTATCACTTCAAATTATTTACTTGCTGTTTAATTCCCTTACATTTTCTTACATTTCCAACCTTTTAGCTCACCTTTGTCACAAAATTTTCTACAGGCAGGGAAAAAAATGAAAAGGATACTTTCATTATAATGATGTCCTGTTGATTCTATATCTAGAGTCATTTTGATTCAGGAAGTTGCTCTAAGGTTCAGTGGATGTTTGCCAGAATTTTAGTCTGTGAGAGCTAAGTACTTCTTGCTATATGGAGTGAGCAATACTGCCTGCATGGAAATAAGTGTACTCCCTTTACCTACCCAGAGTTAAAAATCTGGAAGGAAAAGCAAAAGCTCTTATCATTCATGTCAATATCCTCTGTCTATATCCCTTGTCTCCAGGTGTGAGTAGCGTGATATATGCATACCACACAGGGTAAATACTTGTTGAATAAATTGAATAAATACATATACATGACTGAAATAATGAGAATGATTTTCATGAGCCACCCTCAAATAGTAAGTTCATTACTTTGTGGGAATGCCGTGACAATATAAGCAAAAGAACTCTCTTAACTTCATTCTTTTATTTCTTGGGTTCTTTCCTGATTTTTGCCATAATAATATTTCACAATCTCAAGTGTGCATAATGTGTGTGTCTCTCCGTGTATAAATATACAACTTGCCCTGCCAAATTAACTTGCATCAGCTCTTAAGAAATTAACAGAATGTTAGGCCAGGCGTGGTGGCTTACGCCTGAAATCCCAGTGCTTTGGGAGGCTGAGGTGGGCGGATCATGAGGTCAGGAGATCGAGACCATCCTGGCTAACACGGTGAAACCCTGTCTCTACTAAAAAAATACAAAAAAATTTAGCCAGGCTTGGTGGTGGGCACCTGTAGTCCCAGCTACTTGGGAGGCTGAGGCAGGAGAATGGTGTGAACCTGGGAGGCAGAGCTTGCAGTCAGCTGAGATCGTGCCACTGCACTCCAGCCTGGGCGACAGAGGGAGACTCCGTCTCAAAAAAAAAAAAAAAAAAAAAAAAAAAGAAAGAAATTAACAATGTATTTGATTTGCCATGTAAACAAATTGTTAATATAGTTAGGGAAACAATAGGTTAAAATGACTATATTGCAACTAAAATATGCTAGATAAATGCACACATATTTTCTGACAGGGTTTGTAATCCATACTAATTTTTGTTATTTAAAATTAGAAACCAATAGAGCAGCATATAGCTATATAACTATATAACACTGTGTCCAGTGTCATCAGAAATAGATTTTTAAAGAGCAAGTTTCTTCTTTCATTTCTTCAGCAGCATGCCCCTTCTCATATATTCAGTTATGCTACATTGCTTGAGGCTGTGCTTCTGTGAATCCTTAACATGTTTCTGCTGCCCTCTCTGCTTGTAATTACCCCCATTTCAACTCACTTTACAGCAGCAGTTGGATATCCTGCCATCTTCTATTTTCTGCACACGTGGCAGCTCAGTTGAGCTGTGATATGATGAATATTGTTTCAATGTTGCCAGATCAGTTATACTACAGGACTGTCTTTCTGGTGGCTGTGCTTCGATCACTGCTGTACAGTAGTGCTCAGAGGTAGGTTGATGAAACAAACTCTGAAGACTTATATCTTATGGATTATAAGAAACGTCCATAATAAGCAAGCCCTGCTTAGGGTGCAGTGGCTGCTCCAGCACAGTCTTGGTTGAAGTCCATAGTATCATCAGAATTCCTCTGGAAGTCCTCCTAAGCTGACCCCAACAGTGCTCCACAAATCTGATTAGTTTAAGATTCATCTTTTAAGGTACTATGAACATATTTTTCCTCTGTGTTTGCCATGGATACCAAGAGGAGAGAAACTATGGTTTATCCACCCAGATTTGCCCGAATATTTTCTGGCACAAAGTAGGAGCGCGCAAATGCATTGATAGCATAAAGAGGAACTAGATGCTAAATTGTGAAGTGAGATAAAACTCTGGTAATATAAAAGAATTTTACAGCTGCCATTTCTGATACTTTTCTTCCTAGTCCTCACTGGATCAATGCTTGCCATCGGTGAAGAGATTTTATTTTTTCCAGGAAAGGAAAAACACACATAAAAAAGAAAAGAAAGAAAAAAAAAGTTATTGAATATATTAACAGATTTTGTAAAGTTCAAAAAGTGGGAACATATATCTGATAAGTCATGTGACTTTAGATTTTCAAGCACTAAGATTTTGAGAATGAAAAAGGTTTCTTTTTTTTTTTCCAAAAGAATAAGAATATGGTGGATCAGAGCATAGTTTACACTTTAAATAAACGGATGTGTGTGTGTGCATGTGTGTGTGTGTGTGTGCTTGTGTGTGTGTTTACTGTGTGTTGGGGGTGGGGGAGGGATATGCTGATTACAGAAGAGCAGATTTTCAACCAAAAGGAAGTAATCTAGGCATATCCCTAGAAGGAATACATAGAAAAGGGAAGAACAAAAAAGACCACAACATCATAAATGAAGGTATCTACTTTCCCCAGTACATAAATAAGTTACAGTAGAGAAAAAAAATGTGTTTGTTCCAAAAGCATCTGAGATACCGCCCCCTAATCCCTGCACAGCAACTAATGATGCTGTGGGTGTAATGGATTATTACATAACGTCACATGTCTCTAAAATAATCAAGGAAGTCTGAGGGTAAGCCAGTGGCACTAGAGTGTCCTTGTGTCAGATGAAGAGAAATAAAAACCTCAATGGCCTGATAGGTTGTCTCTAAAACAACTGGTTTGCACTCTGAAAACAAAGTCAATGTCATGAATATTTGGGAGACTGTGAGAGAGACAGTGACACAGCAGCGTGTGCTGTGGGAATAAAGCCTGAAGAGTTGAGAACAGAGGGTTTCTCAAACCAAAATTCATTTTAAATAAAAAGAGTATCAGAGTTCCCTCCTCCAATTTTGTCTATTGATTCTTCTCAGTTCCTCCTGTTTCACTGCCATGTGTTTGGATCACAATGAAGGAAAAAGAGCAGGTGAAAAGGGAGAAACTTGAATGGACTGAGAAACCCCAAACTGAAATTTTTAAATAAGTGAAACTGACAATTGAGTGTACGTAATAAGATTCAGTTAGAAAAATACAATTTTCGTTTTCCATGTGATTAGGTGAAATTCACAGCACTAGAATAATTTTGAACTGTAGTAGAGAATCAAAAAATATAGAGGAAAACTGTTACAACTCACTTTTTTTTTTTTTTTTTTTTGAGACAGAGTCTCACTCTGTCACCCAGGCTGGAGTGCAGTGGTGTGATCTCGGCTCACTGCAAGCTCCGCCTCCCAGCTTCAGGCCATTCTCCTGCCTCACCTTCCTGAGTAGCTGGGACTGCAGGCGCCCCCCACCATGCCCGGCTAATTTTGTTTTTGTATTTTTAGTAGAGACGGGGTTTCACCGTGTTAGCCAGGATGGTCTCGATCTCCTGACCTCGTGATCTGCCCGCCTCGGCCTCCCAAAGTGCTGGGATTACATGCGTGAGCCACCGCGCCCGGCGAAAACTCACTTTTTAAACGGCCTCAATAAATCCTGAATCCCTTTTCTAATCCTTTGTGCTCCAGGACAAAATTCTTTATTATGGCCTTTCCTTTCCATCTCCCTCCTCCTCCCGTGCTCATAACTTTTTGTTGTTGTTGTTTACTGGAAATTTCCACTCATTTTTATATCCAGAACCTGGCTCCTCTCTCTTCTTTCTGACACCAATAATTAACCTTTATCTCTAATATTTTCACCATTTCTTTACTCTCAAAGTCCCTCATATGAAATAAAATATTAAAGGAATGAAAATTTAGTTTTAACACAACTGAAACCAGTTAGTAATTAGTTTACATTTTTATTTTGGAACAATTTCAAACTTTGTACAGGTTGCAAAAATAAAATCTCCTTTGTACAGTTTTAAAAATTACTAGCTTATTTCCTTTATGATATTTCTCTCTCTCTCATATGTATATATTGTATGCATATGTGTGTATGTATGTTCAGCATGTGTATAATATACATTTCTTTCTTTAATGTATGAGGCTAGTTTTCAGGAATTATTACATTTTAACCTTTAAATATTTAATTATCGTTAGCTAAGAGTAAGAAGATTTTAAAAAATAGCTACAAGAAAATTATAAAGGGCAGGCACGGTGGCTCATGCCTGTAATCCCAGCACTTTGGGAGGCCTAAGTGGGCGGGTCATGAGGTCAGGAGTTCAAGATCAGCCTGACCAACATGGTGAAAACCCATCTCTACTAAAAATACAAAAAGGGCGGCGTCTGGCAGTTTGAATGAGATGAAGAAACTGGAGCCGGGTGAGGGCAGCGGACGCGAGAGCCGAAGATGGCAGTGAATGTATACTTAACGTCAGTGACCAGTGATAACCTAAGTCATCATGACGTGCTGGCCTGGATCAATGAGTCTCTGCAGTTGAATCTGACAAAGATCAAACAGTTGTTCTCAATATCCATAAACTGGATATTGTCAGTTTATGGACATGCTGTTCCCTGGCTCCATTGACTTGAAGAAAGTAAAATTCCAGGCTAAGCTAGAACATGAGTGCATCCAGAACTTCAAAATACTACAAGCAGGTTTTAAGAAGCTGGGTGTTGACAAAATAATTCCTGTCGACAAATCAGTAAAAGGAAAGTTTCAGGACAATTTTGAATTTGTTCAGTGGTTCAAGAAGTTTTTTGATGCAAACTATGATGGAAAAATCTATGACCCTGTGGCTGCCAGACAAGGTCAAGAAATTGCAGTGGCTCACTCCCTCCTTGCTCCAGCTCCGAATAAACCCAAGTTCTAGCAATGCAACTCCCCAGATGCCCATCTCAACACAGAGAACTGCTGTGGCTCCTAAGACTGGCCCTGGCGTGGTGTGAAAGAACCCTGGTGTGGGCAATGGGAATGACGAGGCAGCTGAGTTGATGCGGCAGGTCAACGTATTGAAATTTACTGTTGAAAACTTGGAGAAAGAAGGATTTCTACTTCGGAAAGCTACGGAACATTGAATTGATTTGCCAGGAGAATGAGGGGGAAAACAACCCTGTATTGCAGAGGACTGTAGACATTCTGTATGCCACAGATGAAGGCTTTGTGATACCTGATGAAGGCGGCACACAGGAGGAACAAAAAGAGTATTAACAGCCTGGACCAGCAGAGCAACATCCAAATTCTTCACTCCAAATCATGTGCTTAACTGTAAAATACTCCCTTTTATTATCCTTAGAGGACTCACTGGTTTCTTTTCATAAGCAAAAAGTACCTCTTCTTAAAGTGCACTTTGCAGACGTTTCACTCCTTTTCAAATAAGTTTGAATTAGGAGCGTTTACATTGTAGCAGAGCAGTATTAACATCTAGTTGGTTCACCTGGGAAACAAAGAGGCTGACGTTGGGGCTTACCCTGTGGATGCGGGTCACACTGAGTGCTGGAGAAGGTGTTGTGTAATATGCTGAGGCGGCGACCTTAGTGGAGAAATGGAAAGACTGAATTGAATTTTAAGCTAATGTGAAATCGGAGAATGTTGTAATAAATAAATGCCTTATGAGTATTTAAAATATGCTTCCATATTTCAAAATACAAAATGTAACATGACAGAGGATTTTGCGTTTGATGTTGTATCTGGGAAGGAAGGACCAGACCTTGGAACCTTTGGAACTTGCTGTCACAAGTCTTAGAGGGCTGCTTGAATCCTCATAGGCCTAGGCTTTGGTCTAAAAGGAACATTTAAAAAGTTGCCCTGTAAAGCCATTTGGTGCCATTGACCAATTGCATCCCTGCTAAAAAGCAAGAGGCATTGTTGACTGGATAATAGAGGATGTGTTTCAGCCCTGAGATGTTCGAGGTGAAGAGCTTGGTTTTCACTGAGCATTTCTCTATTTTTCCAGTTATCCCCAAAATTTCTATGTATTATATTTTTGGGGAAGTGAGGTGTGTCCAGTTTTTTTGGTCTAAAAACTACTTTTGGGAACTTGCCCACATCTCTGGGATTTGAATGGGGATTGTATCCCATTTTACTGTCTTTTAGGTTTGCATTTACCATCTTTCTCTTCTCTGCTCCCCTTTCCCACTGGGGACTCCTCTTTGGCTCCTTGAAGTTTGCTGCTTAGAGATGGAAGTGAAGCATGCAGGTGACCATGCTGCAAGTTTTCTGGACCTCTGGCAAAGGGAGTGGTCAATGAAGGCCATTGTTACCTTGGGATCTGCAAGACTGGGGTGTTTTCGGTATGTGCTGTCCACAGCTCTCCACTGTAATCTGCATACTTTGCCAGTGCACTAATCTCTTTGGAGATAAAGTTCATTAGTGTGTTGCTAAATGTTAATTTTCTTTTGCAGAAAATACAGTATCATGTCTGAATTAATTATTAATATTTAAAATATTTCATTCTTTAACTTTCCCTCATTTGCTTTGCCCACAGTCTTTTCAGTTCCTTTGTTTGGCAGGATTCTGCAAAATGTGTCTCACCCACTATTGAGATTGTTCAGCCCCTGATGTATTTATATTGATTTGTTTCTGGTGGTAGCTTGTCTTAAAATGTGTGTAGAAAGAAAGCATTTTCTGATAAAATTGTTGTGTAGTGCATGCTCTGTGTGGAATTCAGAGGAAAACCCAGATTCAGAGATTAACAATGCCAAAAAATGCAAGTAACTAGCCATTGTTCAAATGACAGTGGTGCTATTTCTCTTTTGTGGCCTTTTAGACTTTCGTTGCCCTAAAATTACATTTTTTGGGAACCCATTTTCCACCTGGTCTTTCTTGACAGGGTTTTTTTCTACTTTAAACAGTTTCTAAATAAAATTCTGTATTTCAAGAGTAAAAAGAAAAAAGAAAAAAATACAAAGGAAAAATTAGCTGGGTGTGGTGGTGCATGCCTGTAATCCTAGCTACTCAGGAGGCTGAGGCAGAAGAATCGTCTGAACCTGGGAGGCAGAGGTTGCAGTGAGTGGAGATTGCGCCACTGCACCCCAGGCTGGGTGACAGAGTGAGACTCCATTTCAAAAAAAAAAAAATTATACATACAAAAAGTTTAACAGTAATATAATACTTTATTCTAATCTTCAGTCCTCATTCCAGTTTACTCCATGATGCCAATAATGTTCTGTATGGGGATTATTTTTCAGTATTGGATCCAGGCCCAAATCCCATAATGAATAAAGTTTACATATCTCTCTAGTCTTCTTTAATCTCGGACAGCTTCTCAGCCTTTCTTTGACTTTGACTTTCCTGACATTGACATTTGTTGAAGAATACAAATCAGTTATTTTATAGACTCTCTCTCAGTTCAGATTTGTCTGATATTTCCTTAAGATTAGATTCAGGTTATATATTTTTGGTTGGCACACTACTTAAGTGATGCTATGTCCTTCTCAAGGCATCAAAATGGAGGCCTAAAATGTCCAATTGCAGTTTATTGATGATGTCAACTTTGATCAGTTGGTTAAAATATCATCATATCCACTTCATAATTACTATTTTTCTTTTGTAATTATTAACAAGTATGAAAAGATGTCCTTTGAGAATATGTAAGTATTCTGTTTCTCATCAAATGCCGCCTAGTTAATTAAACATGTATTGAGGTGGGCAGATCACCTGAGGTCAGGAGTTCGATTCCAGCCTGACCAAAATTGTGACACCCCATCTCTACTAAAAATACAAAAAAAATTAGCTGAGCATAGTGGTGCACACCTGTAGTCCCAGCTACTTGGGAGGCTGAGGCAAGAGAATCACTTGAACCCAGGAGACAGAGGTTGCATTGAGCTGAGATCATGCCGTTGCACTCCAGCCTGGGTGACAAGAGCGAAATTCAGTCTCAAAAAAAAAAAAAGTATTGATGATTCTTACCAGAATTAATTTTTAATATGTTGGCTATAAAAAATTACTGTATCTAACCATATTATTTCATCTATATTTATCAGCTGATATTTTACTGAAATGAATTTTTCTTCTCCACTATTTATACTCTTATTTATTTATATACCTATGCACATTTATATACATGTATGCATGTATTTATTTTCCACATACATTCATGGAGTCCTATTTTATTCAATGAGACTTCATATCTTTCTATACTGTGATGCCAAATAGCACCAATTTTGCTAGTTGAAGCTCTGCCAACCTGAATTATCTTATATTTTGACATATAACCATAATTATTTTTAAACATCGCTTTCTTTTCTGGTATAGCAAGTTGTTTCAATTTCATCTTCTAATTTCCCAGTCCCAGACCCGGAAGCAGTCATTTTTCCAAGTATTCTTGGTTGCTTTTAGTGGTTAACGGTATTTAGAAACTGCATTAGTGATTAAATGCTGTCTAATAAGTTTCCCCAAAGCTTAATGACTTAAAGCAATACTAAGTATTTATTATGTCTTACAGTTGCTATGGGTCAGAAATTCAAGAGTGGCTTGGCTGAATGGCTCTGGCTAGGGTTTCTTATGAATTTTCTCAGTCAGGTGTCCACTGGATCCACAGTGATCTGAAGTCTACATGGATCGCTCACATGGCTGGCATGTTGGAGGGAGGCCTTTATTTCTCTCCAATATGGGCATCTCCCAAGAATGGCTGAGTGTTATCATGATAGTGTGGCTGGCTTTCCCCAGAGTGAATGTTTCAAGGAAACAAGATAGAAATGTTATCAGCTCCCTGGATTCTTGTAATCTCCCAGAGCAGAAATCAAGAGAGGTTACCAGATATAGCAACAAAAAGAAAATTTATTTAGCTTGTGCACAAGGGAACCAACACTGTGTGTAGGGTTAGTTTTATAGAGTCTTTCTATAGGGAAGGGTTTCATTAGGGCAGGTATAGAAGAGGTTTCTCTAGTGCTTGTGCAGTAATTCAACATGCTTCTTCATAGACAGCATGTAATATTAGCATTGTAATCTCCTCACCTGGGTGTGAGTTTTAGCATTAAAATGAGGAAGGGGTAACTCGAAGTTGAAGTTTAAGTCTAACTGCACATGTGGGACCCCAGGGGAGTCCATAGCCCTCTAAAGCAGCACTTGTGCTTAATAACTTCTTGGGTATTTTGTTGCTGAATGGCTGGAAGTTAGGTAAGCCTACAGCTTGATTAAGAGGCTTTTGTTCTTTTATTCTAGACCACATCGAAACAGAAAAACAGTCAGCCTGCGTGTCTCAGAAGTGTCAATGTTTTTTATGGCATAGCTTTGGGAGTTACTAGTCACTTCTGGTATCTCTTAGCCAGGTGATCCCTCGTTCAGTGTGAACATGAACTGCATAAAGGTAATGATACCAGAAAGTAAGAATCACTGGGGTCAATCTTGGATGGTGAGTTCCACAGAAATCCCAAGATTTGCTGGCATTATGCATGCTCATTTCTTCTGGTACACTATTGCTCCTGGGCCTTTTAAGTGAACAGAGCTATATACATACATGCAGATAGATACAGAAATCATAGATAGAAAGTTAGATACAATAGATAGATAGATAGATAGATAGATAGATAGATAGATAGATATGAATTGTTAACCTAAATAACAAACAGGCTCTCCAAAAGAAAAATATATTTATTCTGGAAGAGGGCACTGCAATGGAAGTACAAGTGCCATAGTAAACTGTGTATGTATTCAGGGAGGTAAAAGAATACAAAGACTTTTAAAGAAAAAAAATAAAGAGGACTAAATAATTGCTTTCAGATAATTACCTTTGGCTAAATAGATCAATTACAAAGGTGGTGCCACTCTGAGGTTACACAAGCAATTGCTTGGCATATGTCCTTGGAGAAGTATTTTTTGTGTAAGTCTGCAATTATCTTTGTGCAAGGTTGTGATTTTTACAGTGTTTTGTGATAGTTTTTGTTATCAGACACACAAGCATAAGAACGCTGTCTTTTTAAATTATACTTTAAATTCTAGGGTACAAGTGCACAACGTGTAGGTTTGATACACAAGTATACATGTGCCATGTTGGTTTGCTGCACCCATCAACTCATCATTTACATTTGGTATTTCTCCTAATGCTACCCCTCCCCCAGGCCCACACCCCCTGACAGGCCCAGGTGTGTGATGCTCCCTGTCCTGTGTCCAAGTGTTCTCACTGTTCAATTCCCACCTATGAGTGAGAACATGCGGTATTTGGTTTTCTGTCTTTGTGATAATTTGCTGAAAATGATGGTTTCCAGCTTCATCCATGTCCCTGCAAAGGACATGAACTCATCCTTTTTATGGCTGCATAGTATTCCATGGTGCATATGTGCCACATTTTCTTAATCTAGTCTATCATTGATGGTCATCTGGGTTGGTTTGCTATCGTGACTAGTGTTGCAATAAACATGTGTGTGCATGTGTCTTTATAGTAGCATGATTTATAATCCTTTGGGTATATAACCAGTAATGGGATTGCTGGGTCAAATGGTATTTCTAGGTTTAGATCCTTGAGGAATTGCCACACTGTCTTCCACAATGGATGAACTAATTTACACTCACACCAACAGTGTAAAAGCATTCCTATTTCTCCACATCCTCTACAGCATCTGTTGTTTCCTGACCTTTTAATGATTGCCATTCTAATTGGCATGAGATGGTATCTCATTGTGGTTTTGATTTGCATTTCTCTGTGACCAGTGATGATGAGCATTTTTTCATGTGAATGTTGGCTACATAAATGTCTTCTTTTGAGAAGTGTCTATTCATATACTTTGCCCACTTTTTGATGGGGTTGTTTGTTTTTTTTCTTGTAAATTTGTTTGAGTTCTTTGTAGATTCTGGATATCAGCCCTTTGTCAGATGGGTAGATTGCAAAAATTTTCTCCCATTCTGTAGGTTGCCTGTTCACTCTGATGGTAGTTTCTTTTGCTGTGCAGAAGCTATTTAGTTTAATTAGATCCCATTTGTCTATTTTAGCTTTTGTTGCCATTGCTTTTGGTGTTTTAGTCATGAAGTCCTTGCCCATGCCTATGTCCTGAATGGTACTGCCTTGGTTTTCTTCTAGGGTTTTTATGGTTTTAGGTCTAACATTTATGTATTTAATCCATCTTGAATTAATTTCTGTATAAGGTATAGGGAAGGGATCCAGTTTCAGCTTTCTGCATATGGCTAGCCAGTTTTTCCAGCACCATTTATTACTTAGGGAATCCTTTCCCCATTTCTTGTTTTTGTCAGGTTTGTCAAAGATCAGATGGTTGTAGATGTGTGGAGTTATTTCTGAGGGCTCTGTTCTGTTCCATTAGTCTATATATCTGTTTTGGTACCAGTACCACACTGTTTTGGTTACTGTAGCCGTGTAGTATAGTTTGAAGCCAGGTAGCGTGATGCCTCCTGCTTTGTTATTTTTGCTTAGGATTGTCTTGGTAATGTGGGCTCTTTTTTGTTTCCATATGAACCTTAAAGTAGTTTTTTCCAATTCTGTGAAGAAAGTCATTGGTAGCTTGATGGGGATGGCACTGAATCTATGAATTACCTTGGGCAGTAAGGCCATTTTCACTATATTAATTCTTGCTATCCATGAGCATGGAATGTTCTTCCAATTGTTTGTGTCCCCTTTTATTTCATTGAGCAGTGGTTTGTAATTCTCCTTGAAGAGGTCCTTCACGTCCCTTGTAAGTTGGATTCCTAATTATTTTCTTCTCTTTGTAGCAGTTGTGAATGGGAGTTCACTCATGATTTGGCTCTCTGTTTGTCTGTTATTTGTGTATAGGAATGCTTGTGATTTTTGCACATTGATTTTGTATCCTGAGACTGCTGAAGTTGCTTATCAGCTTAAGGAGATTTTGGGCTGAGATGATGGGGTTTTCTAAATATACAATCATGTCATCTGCAAACAGGGAAAATTTGACTTCCTCTTTTCCTAATTGAATACCCTTTATTTCTTTCTCTTGCCTGATTGCCCTGGCCAGCACTTCCAACACTATGTTGAATAGGAGTGGTGAAAGAGGGCATCTTTGTCTTGTGTTGGTTTTCAAGGGGAATGCTTCCAGTTTTTGCCCATTCAATATGATATTGGCTGTGGGTTTGTCATAAATAGCTCTTATTATTTTGAGATACATTCCATCAATACCTAATTTATTGAGAGTTTTTAGCATGAAGGGCTGTTGAATTTTGTTGAAGGCCCTTTCTGCATCTATTGAGATAATCATGTGGCTTTTGTCATTGGTTCTGTTTATGTGATCGATTATGATTATTGATTTGCATATGTTGAACCAGCCTTGCATCCTAGGATGAAGCCGACTTAATCGTGGTGGATAAGCTTTTTGATGTGCTGCTGGATTCGTTTTGCCAGTATTTTATTGAGGATTTTCACATCGAAGTTCATCAGGTATATTGGTCTAAAATTCTCTTTTGTTGTTGTGTCTCTGCCAGGCCTTGGTATCAGGATGATGCTGGCCTCATAAAATGAGTTAGGGAGGATTCCCTCTTTTTCTATTGATTGGAATAGTTTCAGAAGGAGTGGTACCAGGACCTCTTTGTACCTCTGGTAGAATTTGGCTATGAATCCGTCTGACCCTGGGCTTTTTTGGTTGATAGGCTATTAATTATTGCCTCAATTTTAGAGCCTGTTATTGGTCTATTCAGAGATTCAACTTCTTCCTGGTTTAGTTTTGGGATGGTGTATGTGTCCAGGAATTTATCCATTTCTTCTAGATTTTCTAGTTTATTTGCTTAGAGTTGTTTATAGTATTATCTGATGGTAGTTTGTATTCCTGTGGGATCAGTGGTTATATCCCCTTTATAGTTTTGTATTGCGTCTATTTGATTCTTCTCTCTTTTCTCTTTTCTTCTTTATTAGTCTTGCTAGTGGTCTATCAATTTTGTTGATCTTTTCAAAAAACCAGCTCCTGGATTCATTGATTTTTTGAAGGGTTTTTTGTGTCTCTTCTCCTTCAGTTCTGCTCTGATCTTAGTTATTTCTTGCCTTCTGCTAGCTTTTGAATTTGTTTGCTCTTGCTTCTCTAGTTCTTTTAATTTTGATGTTAGGATGTCAATTTTAGATCTTTCCTGCTTTCTCTTGTGGGAATTTAATGCTGTAAATTTTCCTCCATACCCCGTTTTAAATGTGTCCCAGAGATTCCGGTACATTGTCTCTTTGTTCTTATTGATTTCAAATAACATCTTTATTTCTGACTTCATTTCATTATTTACTCAGTAGTCATTCAGGAGTGGGTTGTTCAGTTTCCACGTAGTTGTGCGGTTTTGAGTGAGTTTCCTAATCCTGAGTTCTAATTTGATTGGACTGTGGTCGGAGAGTTTGTTGTGATTTCTGTTCTTTTACATTTGCTGAGGAGTGCTTTACTTCCAATTATGTGGTCAATTTTAGAATACATGAGATGTGGTGCTGAGAAGGATGTATATTCTATTGATTTGGGGTGGAGAGTTCTGTAGATGTCTATTAGGTCTGCTTGGTGCCGAGCTGAGTTCAAGTCCTGGATATCCTTATTAACCTGTCTCGTTGATCTGTCTAATATTGACAGTGGAGTGTTAAAATCTCCCATTATTATTGTGTGGGACTCTAAGTCTCTGTTTAGGTCTCCAAGAACTTGCTTTATGAATCTGGGTGCTCCTGTATATATATTTAGGTGCATATATATTTAGGATAGTTAGCTCTTCTTGTTGAATTGATCCCTTTACCATTATGTAATGGCCTTCTTTGTCTCTTTTGATCTTTGTTGGTTTGAAGTCTATTTTATCAGAGGCTTGGATTGCAACCTCTGCTTTTTTTTTGGTTTCCATTTGCTTGATAGATCGTCCTCCATCCCTTTATTTTGAGCCTATGTGTGTCTCTGCACGTGAGATGAGTTTCCTGAATACAGCACACTGATTTGCCTTGACTCTTTATCCAATTTGCCAGTCTGTATCTTTTAATTGGGGCATTTAGCCAATTTACATTTAGGGTTAATATTGTTATGTTTGAATTTGATACTGTCATTATGATGTTAGCTGGTTATTTTGCTCGTTAATTGATGCAGTTTCTTCATAGCATCGATGGTCTTTACAATTTGACATGTTTTTGCAGTGGCTGGTACTGTTTGTTTCTTTCCAAGTTTAGTGCTTCCTTCAGGGGCTCTTGTAAGGCAGGCCTGGCATTGACAAAATCTCTCTTTCATAGCCGTTCCCAGCTCTGTTTATCAGGTTTTCTTCCTCACATGTATTTGTGCATATGTGTATGCATGTGTGTATATAAATACTTGAAATTATAAAATAATGAGTTTGAATACAAGTATATTCATCCAATAAATCCTTCAACAGGCCTAAAATGGCTTCACACCTTCTATGCTCATTCATACTAGGAAAAGTTCAAGATTTGTTTATTGTTCTGTTTTTCTTTAGTCTGAGAGTGTACAGTCAAAGTAATCTATCCAAAATGTAATAAGATATCTTCTTTTCAATTTGAAAATCTCTACCTTTAACGTGGTTTGAAAAACAGTTGGATTCATTTGTTTTTATTTATATTAGGTTTTTATTTTTCATCTTGTTCATATAATTGAAGATATATATTATTAAAAATTGATTTGGATAGTCAAAATTTCACTCAGAGAAGTGTCACTCCTCACCTATCTCTTTCATCCACTTTCTCCCCTCCACCTAACCCCTGTAGATTACTGAAGTTCCAATGTACACCTAAGAAACTTCATCGGAAACCCAAGCCAGAATTGCTGAACCAAGCCTCCTAAAATTCCTGACCCACAAAAACTATAAGAAATAACACGTGTGTTATTGTTTTAAACCACCAAGTTTTGGAGTAACTTGTTCCATGGCAACTGATCACCAACATAGATTTAGAATACCATTAAACACTACAAAAAAAAAAAAACTAGGAATTTTTCAAAAACTGACTAATTCCAGGTTTGGGACAGGGAAATTACAAATCAAGACAGAAATATCTTGCTTGATGTTGCAGAAAGTGAGTAAAATGATGGTTAGAGTGTGTTGAAAGGATAGAGAAATCAGCTTGAAGTCCACTAGTCAAATAGGCACAATTTGAGCATGAAAATATATAAAGATGTTAATGAATTTTATCACATTGCATAAAGTAAGACTCTGTGAGTCTCTATTGAAGATGAACACAGGTGGTCCTCAATTTACAATGGTTAGAATTAACAATATTTTGAATTTACAATTGTGCAAAAGTTATATGCATTCAGTAGAAACTATATTTCATGTACCCATATAACTATTCTGTTTTTTACTTTCAGCAGAGTATTCAATAAATTACATGAGATATTCAACACTTTATTATAAAGTAGTGTTTTTTATTTTATTATAAAAATTGTTTTACTTTATTATAAAATAGTCTTCGCATTAGTTGATTTCACCAAACTGTAGGATAATGTAATTGTTTAGAGACTGTTTACGTACGCTAGGCTAATCTATGATGTTCAGTGTTTATGTGTAATAAATGCATTTTGAACTTTTGATATTTTCAATTTATGAGGGATTTGATAGAACATAACCCCATTGTAAGTCAAGGAGCATATAGACATACACATGTACAAAATAAATGAATAAATTAATTAGGAAGAAGGAAAATTATTTCAATAGGCTATAAATTAATAAATACAGTAGAAACTATAAAGTTAGAAAATTTCCTTTTATAACAAACATATAAAAATAGTTTCCACCCAGAATCATTACTAAAGGCTTAATCAGTAGGAGAGGTCATTTAATGAAGAACAGAGTATTTATGGTTTGTCAAAGGATTGTGCCTTGAATTCATTATTAACTACAAAAGAAAAAAATAATGATTGTGAAGTGAATAAAATAAAAAACATTTTTAACATGCTGATAAAAATTAGCATCATCAATAATTTGCAAAGATCATATACCTCTGTTTTGATGCCCAGAGAACACAGCAGCTCTTAAGAAGTGTGTCAGCCAAAAATGTTTAATGAGTATGTACAAAATAATCAGATACTTGTATGCTTTCTTATTTCTTCTTCTTTCTTACCGAAAATATTGTGCATACCTACATATGTATATAATCTTTTTCACCCTTCAATTGTTAACTTACTGTATCTGAAATTAACTTATCAGTAAATAGGGATCTTTCCTTTGTGCAGTTACATAATACTCCTTTATGATAACAGTAAGCTGTATTTTACTCAATTGCCTATGTTTGTCATGTAGGTACTTTTCAATGGTTTAGAAATTCAATAATGTTGCAATCTATAAACTTGTGCAGATTTATTTTTATTTTTATTTTCTGGAAGTTTATCTTTATAATAAATCTTAATATTTTAGTATTATACCAGAAAACACTAACTTTTTTTCTTTTGTCTATTCACTAGGCTATTATTTAGTGAGTTATTTCTATAAATCAAACAATATATACCATACTGACATAACAAAGATGAATAAGAAAGATATCATTCCATGAAGCAGCTCTCAGTCTAATGGAGGACCTAGATCCACAAACAGAAAACTAGAATGGATAATAGGGAGATTTCCTTAGCTAAAATGTAAGATGATATATTTTTTTAAAAAAATTAGGATAGATGGTACAAAATAGAATACACAAACTTTAAAGTATGTGGTAAGCTATTATTCTTTGCTTATTAGGAGTATATTGTTCAAAAGATTTGAAAAGCACTACAAAATGAGGGTGACAATTGTTTTATGCAGGGAGCTGAGATAATCGGTTTTGAATTTTTTATAAAAATTTTGATTGAACAAGTATAATAAAGAAGCTATGCCAATCAGTAAGATCAAATAGGACCTTTGCCATATTCTGCGATATAGATAATGAAGACTTAAATTACAGCAGTGAGTATAAAAATGAAAAAAGGGGTATAGCTTTGAGAAAAAAATTAAGAGATACAAGACATAAAACTTGGTAATTAATTAGATGTGGTGGATATGGAAGATGGTAAAGTCAAAGGTGCAATTCTAGATTTCCATATTGGGTGACTGGCTCAATAACAATGCTGAACACTGGCATGGAAATTACCAGAAGGTATTAGATTTAATGGATAATATATAAATTGATTTGGGGCTTACTGAATTTGAAGCATTGGTATGTTCATTCTGCTGGAGATGCCCAGAATCCTTTAAGATTTGAGAGACTCAAGCAAGTTTATAGAGTAAATTAAAATAAAGAGACTTTTGGGAATTCAAAGAGACTGCAAATGAATGATGCTTCAAGGTCTAGAGATAACAGAGAATAAGGATCAAGAGTGTAGGGGAAATGATTGTCTTTGAGGAGAAGAAAGGAGAGGTAACTCATTCTTAGAATCCGGAAGCAAAGCCAAATTCTGACTTTATCTCTTGTAAAATTGCAGAGTATTGTGCTCTAGCCATGTTTTATAGATGAGGAATCTCAAAGATAACCTAAGAGTTACACTAACAATAATTAGCTAACACAAGAATTAAATCTAGGTATGTTAAAGTGTTCTCATTTCTCTTTTTATTATGACATACTGGCTCTCTAAGAAGACAAGACCTGGGGAAAATTTTTAGTTATTTCCCTGCTAAAAGATTTATGTTAAACTATTGCAATAGCAGAAATTAATCGCTTCAGTCACTCCCCACTTACTGACCTCAATATATACCATTTTATCATTGTTTTAGATAAAAATAATTGTATGTGACTATAAAAATTGGGCTTCATCTATATTTATGCCCATAAAAGAATGTTTCTGGGTTTCCCAAGGCAGGGGTTTAGCCACTTCAAAAGAAGTTCAAGAACTGAGCTCTGGATATTCCAATGCTAAAAGCTGGTGAGATTGGGAAAAACTACAAGCAGTCAAGAAGTAGAAAGAAAATAAAGGATTTGTGTGTGTGTGTGTGTGTGTGTGTGTAAGCACATACAGTATCACAAAGGGTAGAAGAGATAATCTGCATCAGTCGTATTGCCATGTCAAGTTAAATGAGAGGCGTAAATTGACCTTGACTTATTAAGGTTGTGGCCATTGTTAATCCTGATAAGAGCAGTGTGGAGTGCTGGAGACCAACCTGAATGGAGTTAAAGACAGCAGAGGATATGAATACCTCAAGTTTACACGTTGATTTCTTTTGTTGTTATTGTTTGTTTGTTAGAGAATTATTGCTATAAGTGAGAGCAGATAAAATGTGGGTGGTAACTGAAAAAGGATATGAGCTCAGGAAAAGGATTTGTTTATTACATTTTTAAGATGGAAAAATATTAGTATGATTATGTGCAGGTGGAGTGGATCAAACAGTAAGAGAGAGTGCAAGTGTTACTGAAATAATGGGCTGGATTCAGGTGAGAGGATTTGAGATATAATGCATAAACAGATGAGTTGGTCTTAGGCAAAAGTACAAAGTGTAAATCTATATTAATAAAGTGGAGTATGGGAACAAATCAAAAGAGTGGTTGTTGGTGAATATTTTTTCCTCCTAGTCATTTATATTTTCTTAGTAAAATAAAAATGTCATTTTCTATCCATGAGAATAAAGTTGTGGAGGTTTAGACGAGAAAACTGGAAATTTAATATCCATGAGCTTGGGTAAGTGAATGGATAAAGATAATGTAGTATGAATGTCAGAAAGCATTAAGGGTCTAATTGATATGAGTGTTAGTAACTCATATCAACCAGTGAGATCAGTTGGTATGGTTGCATGCGTAGATGCCAACCCAGCTGATCTTTAGCAGGGTTGGGTATTTTCCATGAGTATCTCAGGAATGGAAATCAAGCAAAATTATTGAGATTATAAAATAAGGAGAGATTGCATTGCTGAAGTATGGAATTTAAGTTGGATAGCAAGTGAAGTGAGAGCAAGAAGTGGATGAGAGGCCATGAAGAGGAAAAATAATTATTGATCTAAAATTCTTAGAAGGATACAGAAATTATTAGTGTCTGGGTAGAGTTATGTGGATGAAAGAGGTAGAATGGAGTTGAATTCTTGAATTTGGGATTATGGAGGGTCTAAAGTTATTGGTAATGATATGTTTTGGAGTTTGGGCTTGGAAAGTGAGATGTTGAGGTAGGACAGGAGATAAGATAAATAGAAAAGAAGTGAAGGAACTGAAAGTCCAGGTACTGAAAGAATGACCTATGAGAATACTGGCCTTGCCAAAAACATGGCAAGAACAAATTAGAGAGACAGTGGACCAGCAAAAATCTTCAAGAAGTGATTGAGAGTGACCTTGAGATTGGCAAATCACTGAAATGAGGAGCCATATGTATGATATACTCCTGAAACTCTGAGACTCAATACTGCCTGCTCTTTGGAGGAAAAGGGAAAAATGGTCCGAAAATGGGCATGAAGTTCAAGAAAAACACCTAGCCTCTCTTTAAGGTGAATCACGGAAAAGAATATCACCATGAGCATTTTGGAGATTTCATATGAAGCCAAGTCCTGTGGAAGAAAGCTGTATTAGAGCAAGAAGGCAAAAAGAATCTTTAGGGAAATAATTGAGCTTCAGGAGATTTTGCTGATAACGGCATGTTCCAGATGGAAAAACTCAGGAGTTGTTCAAGGGTAGATAAAAGAGTTCAAAGAGGGTTTGTACACAGCTGTGTAAAAGAATAAAATATAAGAATTGAAAATAACCTAACAATCCCAGGGTTCAGATGGTGACTGACTTGAACAGGAATCAGGGCATAATGAAGTTGGCCTTCATGATGTCTAGGCAAGGACTGATGGGGAACCTGTGGGCCGGGGTATGGGGGCAGGGAGAAATCTCCACTTGGCAATGGGGTGAGGAGGCTTGAGCAGCAGCCAAGGTAGACAGCACTCTCTCTGAGCTGCTGACTGTGACACTGCTGATTTGAATTTGAGTTCAGTTTTCAGAAGGTATTGTCAGGTGTTTTTTTCTTTTTCTTCTGATTTTGTCAGATTATCTTCCTATGATTTCTAGTATTCTCTTAAATATCTAAAATATTTGTTGACTTCCTTGCTTTTTTATTTTCAATTTTTTAAAAAAATTCTGTCTATATTGTCTTCATATATTACTGAGAGTATTCATAGAAAAGTCTCTTATATTTCCAGTGACAAAAACACCACTTTGAAAGGTAGAAATAAAATAGAGTGAATGTTTTGCATGGTGGTGACATTTTACATGAAATAGATAGGTAACATTTTGTAATTTACAATGCACTGTCATTGTAAATTACAAGGCTCTCATTTGAGTCTCACAGAAAACTCTCTTAAGAAGGTAACATTAACATTTATCTCCATTTTACAAATGAGAAAATAGATTCAAAGAAGCTAATTATTTTGCCCAACATTACAACACTAATACACACTAGACTGAGGATTCTACATAAGTTTTCTTTCCTAGTTAATTATGAATTATCTTACTCTCCTGGATTTTATAAGGGGCAGTCTAAAGGCTTTGATAAAGAAAGCCGATGATGTCACAGATTTGGGTCACCATTAACAACCCTGAGAGTGTCAGGGAATGTGCCACATTTTTTGCTTGCATAGAAGAAACTTAGAATGTACTATGACTGTAGCTGTGAGTTGACTTCCAAGAAGTATTGTATAATATCACTGTAATTACCTGCCTTCTCATTTTACTCGTGATGTTCTCACTGCCTGAGATGTTTTCAATAGTCAAAACCTTGCTTGAATGGTTATCATAAATTCTTCTTCCTCAATAAAATACATCTGAATCCATAAATAGACTATAACCTCTTTTTTAGTCCCCTAAGAGTTATGTTTATACATTTACTCTGTCACTGCATACGTATCCTATCATATACAATAGCAAGTAATCATGTAAGCATTCACCTATAAAGTGTAGATAAGTGTAACTAGTGTAGATTAAAATGTTTAAAAATGGGATAAGGTACATATGATTTTAAGATACACTATGATTTTAGGAATAAAAGGAAGGTGAACAAAAGTGTTTTCTACAAAATCCTGTTTACATGTAATTTATATGCTATTGTTAGTGTGAAGAACACATGGCAGAGCATCATGGTGAGAAATTTGTGTGCTACAATGGGACCTGTGTTGAAACCCAGAGCTTCACTACTTACTTACTTTATGATCTTGGGCAAAGGGCAAGCTCTTTAACTTATCTCTGTCACAAAGTCCCTATCTATAAAGTGGGGACAGTTAACAATCCTGCTTCATAGAGTTGTTCATTGTTCAACACATCTTTATTGTGGGTCAAGTACTGGTCTAGAGGCAGATTAAATGAACTGATACTTGTACATCACTTAGAAAAGCACATGCTATCTAGTGAATCCTCCATAAATGTTAGATTTATTTTTCCGTTAATTTGTTGAGAGAAATTCTTTGAATGTAGGCGACAGCAAAACATAGGCATTGAAATTCAAATTAATTATAATTTAAAATCATATCAAACAGAATTGCAAACTCTCTAAAGCAGTGTGTCAAATGACTCTTATATTCTCCAATGGTCTTTTAAGAACAGAATAGGTCTAGTCTCTATGAAAACCCCGAAAAAAAATATACCTGCTTTGCCCAATATCTTTACCTTATGTAAGAAACCAATTAGGAATTATATAAAACATGCAGGACTTGTAATCCAACTTAAAAATATACTGTTAATGCATAAACCAGGATTCATATGAAGTACTTAAATATTAAAGAAAGTCAAAATCCTTTCTGACAGTGTCTGACTTTTTTGCTTATCTATTTCTAAAATACATCTTGCCTATCAGCCAAAGCTTTAATCACTTTCTCATTTCAGATATTGAAAGTGAGATTCCATTAAATCAAGTAAAGGTCATCTTTCTTTGAAATATAGATTATTCACCTGCACTCTTTAAAGAGGCATGGATTGGAGAGCAAACTCAATAGAAGTCCCTTTCTCCCCACTCTTTAAAGTAATAAGTAAGTAACCAAACAGATTAAGGATGATTATGTTCAGCTCTCAAGAACTGGGTTCCAAACCAGATATAAAATGCAATTCCAGCACTGAAAAGTAGGGTCTTCTTGTTGAAAAAGAAAGGACATATTCGGCTGCTCTGGGTTTCTTTTGAAGTACTTATGAAATACATTCAGGTTAAAGCAGCAACAGAAGCAGCACAAGATAAATAGGACTGGGTAATTCATCTCAAAATTTTCCCAGAGAAGCAAATTGTTGGTGGATAGAAACCTAAAGTTCCAAAGCAGATGTGTAGCATTTCTTTGCTCTAAAGTCCCCATTTGCTTCACTAAGTAGTTTAGGAACTCTCTAGAAAAAATTTATCCCTAAGGGAAATGGGGGTCTTCTAATGCATGTAAGTTTCTTTTAAAAGAGAATTATTTCAATTTTTATAAGGGATCAAAGATGGTTTCTTTTCATGCCTAATTGCTGATAGTAATGCTCCTTACATGGGAACCATCAGATATTTCACAGACATGCTTAAGCAGTCATTAATTATTTACACATAAATGCTGGAAAAACTAATTTAGCAAAGAGATATTTTCATTTACAAAGCATCTGACAGAGAAATATGTCCATTCAGAGACTAGCCTCCCCACAGCGTATTTAAATCCCGCTTTGCAACTAGAATATTTGACCAAGTCTTCCTAAGACCTTTGAACCCAATTATTTCCCTTCACACAGTATTCAGTGTATTTTTCTGCTTCTCATATAGCAGCCCTTTAAAATACACTTCCTTGCTTTTGTTTTTGTTTTTTTTTTTTTGTTTTTTTAATCAGGCTTGACACATTTATTATGTTTCTAGAATTAATAACTCAGCTGCCTTGTTTAATAAAGTATAAGTATTTCTGATTTCCAACCATTACCACCCCTTGGTGAGTATAAAATGGCATGGTGGCCTTCTTTCCTTGAATTCTCATTGAAGGTGCACCAGATCTACTCCCGCAACCCTCCCTCCCGGTAGGACATCAAGATTTCTTCATCCATACTGGACAGGTCCTGGGGTGAAGAATTCCTGCTGGATGTAGTCCTCTAGCATTTGCACACACCAGATGTCAGGAAGGAACTTAGAAGTTGGGTGGGGTGTTTATTCAGAAGTTGGTGATGTGAAGTGTATAAAACAGACACCAGATCAAGAATTTTGCAGGGAGAGTATGTTGGGGACCTGAGAAGAAGAGACTAAGAAAACAGCAGGGTGTCTAAACCACAGGTTCATTTGTACATATTTTCATTGTTAATTATGCATACTTCAGAAAAATTTTAAAATCCCTGAATATCGGTATGTAAAACAGTTCCAGTATGATAATTCTTTTTTAAAAAATTCTTACCTGATATGCCTGATTGCCATGCAACAAGATTGGACTTACAACTCATTTTATATGTCAGATTTATTTAGTAAATTTTATTTATAGTCAAAGCTGAGCTCACCCTATTGCTCTTATAAAATGGTCGTGAGTTCACAGCAAATGAATGGGCCTTTATTACTGGGTAATTTAGTTTCATTTTAAGATATGAAATTTGCTCTGGTGTTGAAGAAGTAGGTAGATGGGAGCAGGATTGTATGTGAAATGACTGCATTGTAAAATGACTCTGCGTATAATTAGTAGTGAGCTAGAACAACAGAGAAATAGAGAATTTTTTCATTTCACAGGGATCAGTAATTTTAACCATGAGAAAAAAAAATAATTAGTGGAAAAAAAAACTAAGTCATTTTTTAAAGTCCATTAGAATATAGTCGACTTGGCCATTTTATTATTTACTAGGTTTATATAAACTTTTATGCATAACTCTATTGCTATTATAATGTAAATTAAGTACTATGCCCTGGTTATTATAGTTGAACTATAAAATTGCATAGAATAGCTGTACAGTTGTATTATGAAATAATAATTAAGTGATATTATTTTTTAAAAAAACTATTTTCGTGGCTAGTAAAGTATCTCTTCAGAGAATAACTGAACAGTTTTCACTTTCATGATTGCAATTAAAAATGGAAGAAGCTCCTAGCAGTCTTTAAGATTTTATAAATATTTAAGGTAGAGAATGTAAATGTTTATTGTATGTATTATTTTCTGGCTGTAGGGTCACAACTCTTCAGCATCCACACTGCATAAGCAACGTGCAAAGAGTTAGTAAACAGAATTATATAGAGAAAAATCTTTAACACACCATGAGGCCAGAAAAATTTACAGTGCTTAGAATTCCCTGATGAATACTTATATTTTACTCTTAATCACTTGTAGCAGGTAAGAGGAACAGCATTTTGTAAGCCAAGTAGGAACGCATATCTTTTTTTATAAAGTGTGTCCATTACTCTCATTTCATGTATCAAAAGCAATGTATTAGCAAGTTACTTCAGCATGCAGGAAATGGAATTCATTGCTGATAAAATGAAGTCTGGAGACTATCCATGTTTCACAATTCAATCACTTACCTTGAAAATGAAGACTGTGAAGAGAGTCAGTTATTGCACTGTGAGTGAAAAGAAAGAAGTGACTCATTTCATTTTGCTTACTTCCACCACTGACACAGCATCAAAATTGCTCTCCTATTTAGAGTCTTTCTCCTCACTCCTTTTTTTTCACTGAGTTAATAACATGCCCAATTTCTTGGAGTCTAAATAGGCTACAAGATATATAAATAAAAAAAAATCATTATAAACCTTTAACTAGTTAGTAGGATGCCAGGTATACCAACACAGAAAAATACTGTTTTATGTTATATTCTTAAATATACAGATAGACCTGAAAATGCACTCATGTAACTGTTTGGGTGTTTTGTTTTTCCCCATAGAAAGGGGTGTAGGATATTCCACACAATATAATTCCTAATAGAAAAGGACAATCCCATTCGCAAAAGGAGCATAAAATATTGACTTCTAAAATGAAGAATGTGAATCTATTGAGAATACACAGTAGGGATATGTCTGATCATGAAGCAATGCTTCAAGCTGATGTGATCATTTAAACAGTTTAACACCCAATTCCACTTCCTAAATTATATGGCCTCTTCAGTTGAAAATGATTTTAAGCTAAATTATAGCGATAGTTGACTTAATCTGAAATGTCACTTTGTATGACTCCATAGATTAAAAAAAACCTCACATAGCTGGTTCTCAGAATTCATTAAATTTTATGAGGATGGTAGAACAGAGAAATAAATAAGTTAAAATTAGTACAAGCCACAGGTGAGCAAATATTGCAGCCAAAATATTATATATTATATATTTACCTAATTATATAGAGAATCCATATAAATTGACTTCTTACTTATCATTTGCCTCGTAGTTCTAATATGTTTTTTGCTCTAAAGAATTAACATTGAAATTGCTGAATATTTTATAGATTATTGGGCCTCACACTTGGAGATTCTGAGTTAGTGAGTTCTGAGTTAGTGAGTTTGCTGGGATATCTAGGAATTGGCTTGTTAAACTAGTGCCTCGTGTTTGTGGCTAAAGTAGAACATACTTGTATAACATTAATAATTAGTGTATTAGCAAATACTGGTCCTATAATAGGTACTCACATCATTATCTAATTAAACTGAAATATGCCTAAATGTGTACTCTTATTGCCTGCAAGCTTCATTTTTGAGTCTCCTGAATCATCTCCTTCATCGCTTAATGCATCCGGAGCAATTAAGCATCTGACAGATTCTGTCATTCCTTTGCCTAAATATTCATTACTTCTTAAAAGAATAGAGAAAGAAATACAAACATTTTTGTCTTTTTCTGGATGCAATGAAGCTTATCCTTATTTTCTATGCTTTCCCAACATGTACATTTTGCACAAACCAATTTGGGCAACTTCTGCACCTTGTATGTCGGTCCATATTTTTTAGTATGTCAGAGCCTCTCTCTACATTATCTCCCATTTCTGTCTTTTGAAATTATGTCCCATGCACCGAGTCACAACCCAAATGCCACTTTTTCTAGGATTTAAACACACTCATTGACTCCACCATTGAAGAAATCGTCCCATTTTATATAATGTTGAAGATTTTCATGCAATATCTAACAGCATCTATTGGCCGGGCATGGTGGGTCACACCTGTAATCCCAGCACTTCAAGAGCCTGAGGTGGGAGAACTGCTTGAGCTCAGGAGTTCAAGACCAGCCTGGGCAACATAGTCATCTCTACTTAAAAAAAAAAAAATGGCAAGTGTGATGGCTCACAGCTGTAGTTCCTGCTACTCAAAAGCCTGGGTGGGAGGATTACTTGAGCCTGGGAGCCTTGGAGATAGAGGCTACCTCGAGCTGTGATTGTGCCACTGCACTCCAGCCTGGATGACAGTGATACCTTGTCTCTAACCAATGAATGAATGAATGAATGAATAACCACTAGTGTTGTTATATCCAATATGGTTGTCAATAGACATGTACAGCTACTTAAATTGAAATTCTTAAAATTAAATAACACCAAAAATTCAGTGTCTCATACTAGCCATATTTCAATTGGACTGCAGGGATATAAAATACTTCTACCATTGCAGAAAGTTCTATTCAACAGTGCTGCACTAGAGGATTAATACTCTACCTTATGGAATTTTTAATAGGGGTTTTAGTGAAGCTCCTCCATTAAAATACAGTAATTAAATGTATGTTATTATTGAATGACATTGGCTTTCATACCCCCAGTCTCCTAAAGGAGATTCTACATAATTACAAAAATGATGATTTCCAACCCACCATTATTGTTTAGTGTAGTAGATCTCACACTTTAGCATAAATCAGAATCAGCTGGAAGACTTGTTAAAATACAAATTGTTTCAGTCCACTTTTGGAGTTCCTGCTTCACTAGGTCAGAACTGGAGACTCAAGATTTGCAGGCTTTCTAACAAGTTCCCAGGTGATTCTGATGCAGCTAGTCTGGAGAAGACATTTTGAGAACCACTGGCTTAGAGTATTTAAATATTTTTCTTCCAGATTCTTTGGCAATTAGTCATTATTTTCTTTGAGCTTTGTATTATGTACCTAGAACTTTTCATTTACACAGAGTATTTAATTAAATAAAAGTTCATTCTACATGTTTTTAATATATACTTACTGGGTCCCAAATCTGTATTAGAAGTACCTGTAGTAGTATCATGTTAGTGTCTGTATCATATCCACTAATCTTGTAGAAAGGAGTCTAGCTGGACTGATGACACAAAGATACATGAAAAAATAGTAATCTCAATATAGCCTTGCCCGTTAAAATATTTAAAACACGGTTATATAATCATTCTGTTTAATCTGTACAATAACCCTGTCACCTAATAGAGACATGGAGTATTTCTCTTAACAGAATAGGAAAGCTAGACTCAAGGAGTTTGTGTCCTAAAAAATATCACTAGATTAATATGTTTGAGGTGCCTATTAAGGCAAAATTAGAACAAAACCTACGATGTGAGTTTTTCTTTTATATAAAAATGAAAAATGAATCACATTTTATTGAAAAGCTTATACTGATGGCTTAAACTAGAACTTTATTATTTTTAAAATGTAAATATTTTGACTTTTTTAATGTAGAAAAATAGTGCAGATTAAAAACCTGTGAATAAAGTACTAGAGCTATTGGAAGTCAAGTAAATTTATGGACTATCCTTTAGAGAGATAAGGGTGAAGGAAACAAGTAATGTCAGTCAGGAAATGTAGATAGATGTGAGCTGCTTTTATTCCTTCATTTCTTCAGGGCAATCACATGCTTAAAGACTGGGAATGCACAAATGCTTGGATTGTCTGATGAAAGTATGAATCCTTTCAGATAGAACATGTGATATCCTACTGTCTTCCCTTTGTCCCCAAGACAATTATAATTAAATTAATCTTGCTGCCAAAACAAATGTAGCAAAATGGGTCAAAATCTTCATAAACCTTTAACAATCTGACAATAAATTAACAAATTGATTAATGTCTCTGTAGTGGTTGTAACATCTGGGACTAAAGGAGAGAAGATGAGATGAGAGCAGCAAAACATGTTGTTCCTTAATTGCTCTGTGGACTTTTTCTATAGTGGATCGTCATCCCCAACCAATTTAAGTAAATCATTGAGCATATGGTTTGTACTAAATTTAGAGCATCTGTGGTACTCACTGCTACACACATTTGCCACGCAGGTGTCTGATTTTGGACTTGTCATATGGACAGATGGGATTTTTCTGTTTGTCTTTTTTATTGATAGTGGAGTAAGGGAGTTCAATCTAGCTACTATTGGGACAGCTCTGCTCACATTGATACATTTTCTCCATTATAAAGTAAGAATTAGTGCTCATATTCTCTTTTCTTATTCAAATTATGTGATTAAATTTATGCTAATAAAAATGTTTTAGCTGGATTGATTGACTTTTTAGGACATAAGATATAATTTTATAATTTATATTCATCTCTTAGAGATATTTTGATGCATTCATTTATACTAATCCTTAAGGTAAATAGATAATATCAATTGCTTACTATAACCTAGACACTTCTTGAGGAGGTAAGAAATATTATAACATTTAAACATATTAGCATCACTATAGTGCAGATATAATTTGTATCCCCATTTTAGAGACAGGAGTATGGAGGCACAAGAAATGTGGCAAAGGTAACACAATAATTTAGAATTGGAAGTGGGACTTGAACCCAGGCTGTTTGGCTCCAGAACTCATTCTTCTACATACACTCTACTGCTTCTCTTGTTGGCAAAATTGGTTAATGGATTTACTGTTTTCTACTATCCTTTTAAAATCCTTCATCAATACCCTTATCAACATCAGATTGAGAATCATTTCCTTCTTGATAAACTAATATGTATTATATCCAATATGTTGTTTTCCTTTGTGATGATAGTTGTGACAGGCAAGTTATAGTGAAGCTTAATAGATACAATGTGAAATAATTGGAATGGAGAGCAGATTCTCATCTTTGTGAATATCTTCTTACATTAGTCAGTGGGAGCTGTTATAACAAAATCACCATAGACTAGGTGGCTTAAACAACAGACATGCATTTCTCACAGTTCTAGATGCTGGGAAGTCCCAGATCAATGTGCTGGCCAATTCACTTCCTGGTGAGGATCATCTTCCTGGTTTGTAGACCTGTGGAAGAAAGAGAGGGAGCTTTAGTTTGTTTCTCTTCTTATAGGAACACTAATCCCATCATGGAAAAATCTACCCTCATAATCTCATCTAAACCTAATTACCGCCAAAGGCTCCACCTTCTAATACCATCCCATTGCGAGTTAGAGTTTTAACATATGAATTTTGGCAGGAACACAAATATTCAGTTTACAGCACTCATAAACATGAAATATCTGATGAGATTGAAGGAAAGAGGCAAAGAATGCCTGATGCTGATAAATTCATGTTTATCTCATAGGCATACTCCACAGTCCACAGCCAGTGCTGTCATTAGTAACTACTGTTGTTTTGACTGCTTGCCCCTTGCTGTCATAGTAGATTTTATGTCATTTCATTTACTTGAATCATTAGATTTTGATACAAAATAAAAAGTGAGTGTATCTCAGTGATGGATCCAAGGTTGTGCTCATGACCTGGCTCAAGGGCACTTGGAAGGGCAAGAAATATTTTTGGGTAAAAGTAAGCTTGATCTCTTAACAGTGCATATTCCCCAAAAGTCAGAAAGGGAATCAGAGGCTGTGGCATTCAACTATGGAAGTTGATTCAAGCTGACCCTAACACTGTGTCTTCAATCTTCAATAAGTCATTTTGCCGTCTCTTGCTTCTGGTAATAGGACAGATGAAAAGACCAGAGAACCTTGTGTGCCTCAGCCCATTACCTTATCTCTTACATTACAGTGCTATGCTGGATTTGTGATGATAAATACAGCATTCAGGAAGTCCACAGAAGTAATGCTACAAAAGCGTGACTGTCAGAGAAAGTAAACATTGCCAGAATAAGTATTTAGATGAAATTAAAATGTTTCTCCTATCCATGACACAAGGAATTTCAAGGTAATAAACTTACCACAAGTTGACTAATTTGCAATTGTGGAGGTTCTGTGTTGACTCTGCTATTATGCAGTATATTTAGAAGTTTCCTAGCCAGCTTTGGTAAAGAAAAGTCCATGCACCATCTGGACACTTTTTTCTTGACTTCACTGATTAAATATTTAAGCTGAAAGATAATAAAAAAAAATGACTGAAACCCACAGAACACATCAAGTTTTCTTCATGATTAATTGTAACTTACTCCACAATATTAGTCTCTGAATGCACTTTTAAATGGGCATAATTTCACTCATACCAAGAGTTAATTCTTGTGAGGTGCATCCATAAAGCTTATATTAGCTTCCCAGGTCTGCTGTAGCAGAATACCACAGACTGAGTGGCTTAAACAAGAGAAATCTATTGTCTTACAGTTCTCGAGGCTAGAAGATCAAGATCAAGATCAGCAGGGTTATTTCTTTCTAAGGGCTGTAAGGCAGTGAAGAAGAATGTGTTCCATACCTCTCTTTTTCATTTCTGGTGGTGTGTTAACAATCTTTGATGTTCCCTGGCTTGTACATGTATCCCCCCAAACTCTGCCTTCATCCTTCATCTTCACATAATATTCTCTCTCCCCCCCCGTGTGTGTATGTATGTGTGTGTGTGTGTGTGTGTGTGTGTGTGTGTGTATCTGTCTCTGTGCCGAAATTTGCCCTTTATATAAGGAAAGCAGACATTGGATTAGGACCCATCCCAATGATTTAATCTTAACTGTCATTTGCAAAGGCTTTATTTTCAAATATGGTCACATTCATGGGTGCTGAAGGTAGAACTTCATTGCCCATCTTTTTTTTGGGAAACAATTCAACCCCTAACATAGTTCTTCCTTCAAATTCCTTACTAGCAGTTTCCTAATATTGTCTTTTCATGTCCCTGACTCTTAAGCCATATTAGTCACTGCCCAAGCATCTGTGTATTTCCTTACCTCATGCTGTTTCTCATTCCAAGCAGTGGGGACAACTCAATGTGCTACCATAAGTTCTGTCCACTTGGGATATTTATTTTCTCCACTTAGGGGAGATATAATATATTACATAGAATTCTGCCTAGCTAAAGTCAAAGTACATGGTATTGTAGCATCTGTTAGGCTTTATTTTTTCTAATCTTACTCAACTGGTCAGAGGGAGTTCTGCATAAAGCTGCAGATATAGAATAAGAGAAAGGAAGCAGAATGGGAGACATAGACAACAGTAATGATGAGCCATCTGCTCAGGATATTCACCTGTGTCTTCAGTAATTGCTTGGGATCATCTTATATGTAAGTTTCCACTTAGTAGGGAAAATGCATTAAACTGCATGGGTTCGTGGAATGGATAGCACTCAGTTTAAGATGGACAGCATATGTAATACATCTGTTTATTATGGATTGTCAAGTTTTATTATCAAAATGATTTCACTAGTAAGACTTGAAGAAAAAGCAAAATACTGAAAAACTTGCATGTTATTCTACTGGAGGTTGCTACAGTTTTCACTTGCATACAGATGCTTCTGATTATGTTATTGCCCGGGTTAAAAAGGCTAAGTGATATGATTCCTTGCACCACTGTGTATGTAAGCAAAAAGCCTTCTTTTCACTATATCCTTCTTAAAATTCAAGGACTTTTGCTCACCTGGAGAATGAGTTAAAGCAACATGCCTTATATATAAATTGCTTTCCAAAACCAAAAACATAGGCTTCTTTCTTAGTGGTGGAGAGAATAAAGTGTGGCAAGTGGCCCTTCTCTTTGCAGTTTATATTATAATGTAGCAGAATCACTGAGCTCTCAAAAACTTTACTGACTAGCCTTACATAATCATGAAGTTTATCTTCTTCCTTTTATATGAATGTGTTTTACTAAAATACCCCTCATCCCTTTAAGGGAATTTCAAAACACATGGTTTGGAGTTTAAGCAGCCACAATGTGCAAAATCATGCCACAAATATGGTCTACCAAAAACATCAGCATTGTCACTGCTAGAGGCAGACTATGTTATTTATATAGCCAGTTATGCTTTTATCAAACACTGCATGCTTCTGTTATTTTCATTGCTTCTCCATGACTTAGGTATGGCTACAGACGTTTTGAACATACTCTCCTGAATGGATGTGGCATAGTTTCTTCAAATCTCTGGATCCAAATAAAAGTCAGAGACACATACATCTTTTCAGAAATCCTAGGATATGTGCTTACTCCTTTTGCGACAACTAATTATTGTCTGCATTCTACTTCTAATGAAGAATAAATGCTCTCTCTTCTTAAGGCAGGTACTCTCCATTGATAAGAAAGGGTTAAAATGCTGTGCTTTTAAAAGTCAAATACAGTTCCCTAGGGTTACCCACATCATTTAGTAACACTTATTATTCACCAAGTCAAAAACCCAGTTGTGCGTCATGATTTTATTGTAACCTCTTCCTACAATGTCAATCCCTCAACAAGTATTATTGGCTTTACCTTGAAAATATATTTATTGCGTCTCTCTACTTCTCTTTATCTGTGTTGCTTCAATCAAAAGTCAAGCCACTAACACTTCTTTTCTTTACTATGGCAATTATCTCTTAACTTGTATCCTTGTTTCTGTTATTTTACTTGTTAAAGTGCTTTATTCACGAGGTATTTCTTACATAAAATTCAAATGTTGGCTCTCCTCTGCTTAAGAAACAAAATCCAATCCAAACCTTTTATTCACTTTCCATTTTTTTCTACAATAAATTATGAAATTTTGCCAAGGTCTACAATTTTAGTCATAAACAACAAAATTAAGGCAGAAATAAAAATTTCTTTGAAATAAATAAAAACGGAGGTACAACAAACCAAAATCTCTGTGATGCAGCAAATGCAGTTTTAAGAGGAAAGTTTATAGCTATAAACACCTATTTCAAAAGCTGAAAATATCTGAAATTACCAATCTAACATCACACCTAGAAGAACTAGAAAAACAAGAACAAATTAATCCCAACGTTAGCAGAAGAAAAGAAATACCTAAAATCAGAGCTGAGCTAAATGAAATTGAAACTCAAAAATCTATATAAAAATCAACAAAAGCAAAAGTTTGGTTTTTTAAAGGATAAACAAGATTTATAGCCTGCTAGCTAGATTAACAAGAATAAAAAACAGAAGATCTAAATAAGCAAAATCAGAAATGGTGAAGGTGACATTACAACTGATCCCACAGAAATACAAAAGATCCTCAGAAAGTATTACAAACACCTAGAAAATCTAGAGAAAATGAATTAATTCCCGGAAGGACACAATTTCCCAAGATTGAATAAGGAAGAAATTGAAATCCTGAACAGACCAATATCAAATTCCAAAACTGAGTCACTAATGAAAAACCTATCAGTCAAAAAAAAAAAAAAGAAAAAAAAACCTAGACAATATGGATTCACAGCTGAATTTCACCAGATGCACCAAGAAGAGCCAGTGCCAATTCTATTGAAAATGTTGCAAAAATCAAGGAGAAAGGACTCCTCCCTAACTCATTCTATGAAGCCAACGTCATTCTTATAACAAAATCTGACAAAGACAAAATGAAAAGAGAAAATTACTGCCCAATATATTCCTTGATAAATATATTGAATATACAAAAATTGATTGAATATACAAAAATTCTCAATAAAATGCTAGCAAACCAAATTCAACAGCATATCAAAATGTTAATTCATCTTGATCAAGTAGGCTTTATTCCTGGGATGCAAGGTGTGTTCAACATATGCAAATCAATAAATGTGATTCACCTCATAAAGGAATTAAACACAAAAACCATACGATCGTCTCAATAGATGCAGAAAAAGCTTTCAATGAAATCCAACACACGTTCATGTTAAAAACCCTCAGGAAACCAGACATTGAAGGAATATACCTCAAAATAATAAGCGCCATCTATGAAAAACCCACAGCCAACATCATACTGATTGAGCAACAACTGAAGGCATTCATCTTGAGAACTGGAACAAGACAAGGATGCCCATTCTCACCATTCCTATTCCACAAAATACTAGAACTGATAGCCAGAGCAGTCAGTAAGAGAAAGAGAAAAAAAGTATCTAAATAATAAATGATAAAGTCAAAATAACTCTTTTCATGGAAAATATAATTCTATACCTAGAAAACCAACCCTAAAGACCCTGCCAAAAGGCTGTTGGAACTGATTAACAACTTAAGTAAAGTTTTAAGATGTAAAATCAATGTAAAAAACTCAGGCATATTTCTAAATACCAATAACATCCAAGATGAGAGCCAAATCAAGAGCACAATTCCATTTACAATACCCCCTCACAACAAATAAAATACCTAAGAACACATCTAACCTAGTATGTGAAGAATCTCTACAAGGAAAACTACAAAACACTGCTAAAAGAAATCATCAATGACATAAACAAATTGAAAAACATTTCATGTTCACAGATTGGAAAAATCAATACCATTAAAATAGTCTTATGGCCCAAAGCAATCCACAGATTCAACACTATTTCTATCATAATACCAACGTCATTTTTCAAGAACTAGAAAAAACTATTCTAATATTCATAGGAAATCAAAATAGAGCCGGAATAGCCAAAGCAACCCTAAGCAAAAAGAACAAAACAGGGGGCATCACATTACTCAACTTCAAATTATACTGTAAGGTATAATTTGTAACCAAAACAGCATGGTACTGGTAACAAAAACCGTTACATAGACCAATAGAACAGAGTAGAGAACCCAGAAATAAAACTGCACACTTACAGCCATCTGATCTTTGACAAAGTTCACAAAAATAAGCAATTGGAAAAGGACTCTCTATTAAATAAATGGTGCTGGGATAGCTGGATGGCCATATGCAAAAGAATGAAACTAGACTCCTTCCTTGCATGACACAGAAAAACTAACTCAAGATGTATTAAAGATTTCAGTGTAAGACCTCAAACTATAAGAATCCTAGAAGAAAACCTAGGAAATACCATTGTGGACATTGGCCTTGGAAAACAATTTATAAACTAAATCCCCAAAAGCAATCGCAACAAAACAAATATTGATAAGTGGGTCCTAATTAAACTAAAGAGCTCTGCACATCAAAAATTCAGCAGAGTGAACAGGCAACCTACATAATGGGAAAAAATATTTGCAATTATGCATACGACAAAGATCTGCTATCTAGACTCTATAGGAGCTTAAATTAATCAACAAGCAAAAAACAAGCTATTTAAAAGTGGGCAATGCATATGAACAGACCCTTGTCTAAAGAAGACATACAACTAACCAACAAGCATAAAAAAATGCTCAGCATCAGAGAAGTACAAATCAAAATCACAATGACATACCATCTCACACTAGTCAAAATAACCATTATTAAACTTCAAAAAACAATAATTGTTGGCAATACTGCAGAGAAAAGAGAATGCTTATGCACGGCTAGTAGGAATGTAAATTAGTTCAGATACTATAGGAAGCAGTTTAGAGATTTCTCAAAGAACTTAAAACTACCATTTTTGACCTAGCAATCCTACTGCAGGGCATACACACAAAGGAAAGTAAATTGTTCTACCAAAGGCAAATGCACTGGCATGTCCATTGCAGCACTATTCATAATAGCAAAGACATGGAATCAACCTGGATGCCCATCAATTATGGATTGCAAAAGAAAATGTGGTACATATACACCATGGAACACTATGCAGCCATAAAAAAGAATGAAATCATGTCCTATGCAGCAACATAGATATAACTAGCGGCCATTATCCTAAGTGAATTAATGCAGAATCAGAAAGCCAAATACCACATGTTCTCACTTACAAGTGGAAGCTAAACATTGAGTACTCTTGGACATAAAGATAGCAAAAATGGACACTGGAGACTACTAGAGTAGGGAGGGAAGGAGGGTGACAACGGTTAGAAAACTAACCATTAGCTGCTATGCTCAGTACCTGGGTGATGGGATCATTCATACCTTAAACCTCAGCATGATGCAATACACCCAGGTAACAAATGGGCACATGTCCCCCGCCCAATGTAAAATTAAAATGGAAAAATTAAGTAAAAACATAAAGGAATATTGATGTTCTCTGAATTTTGTTTGTAATTCAACATATTTCATAATTTTTTGCAAACTATTGTTCCTATTCAAAACATTCTTCATCTGCATGTCTTGCCTGCAGAATTATCTCCCTTTAAAGCAGAGGTAAAAAACTACGGATTTTCTCAGGTGTTCTCTAATTACATCAGAATAAATTGGCAGTCCCTCCTTTTTGCTCAACAATAACCATGCATATTTCTGTCATAGCACTTACTAATTCATAGTTAAACATCTGTATGTTTTATCAGTCAACTATTACCACAATAATGCCAATAAGAAAACACAACAAAAGTCAATGGCTTAAGACAAGAATCATTATTCTCATTAATGAATCTGAAGATTGCCTCTACTACACGTGATCTAGGATTACAATGGCTTGGCTTCAAGCTGCTGTTTGGGTCTAGATATTCCATGTGTCTTTCAGTTTTCTTGGACTGGAAAGTTTTACAGGTGTATAATTCTCATTGAGACAGCACATGAGAACACTACAAAGACAAAAGCTGTCACATGCACTATCACCACATTGACCAAAACATGTCTTATGACCACAACCTACATCAAAGAAAAATACACATAGTGAAGGGATAGATAAGGGGAAGGATGAAGTGTTGCAGCCATTAATAATAGCTATCTCACTCTTCTTTCATGCGGAATTCCATGCTGCTTTTAGAGAGATTTTATGACACGGTAATCAGCCAGTGTGAAAGTACTGAATAAATATTGTTTTAATGAATAGATACATTAATAACTAGACTTTTTTTATGGCTGAAGCTAAGTGGTCACTGGCCTAATTGACATTTTGTCACACTACTATACACTCTTACAAACATGTTAGAACCAGATTCAAAATCAAATTCAGCTTCTTCATTCACGAGAATTAATTGTAAATTTTTTTTTCAAAACTAACCAGAATCCCTTGAGAGTGGAGGATTACAGTCCTTGAGAGTGGAGGATTACAAACCCACTCTAGGTTCTACCTTTCCTTTTAAGCCCACTTCAAAGTGAGAAAACAGAGAAATTAACTCAGAAAGCTAAGACTTGCTGTTGCTATTTCTTCAGTAATATTCTGAACATTTGGTCACATTCCTGCCACTCTGTAGACTGAGGTCTACCACCTCTAATCCATCTTCCTTTTCCAACTTTCCCTCTATGAAGTTCTTTACAAGTTCCACATGTAAGGAAAAGAGGGATGTCATGATTCATGTAGTGAAGGGTAAATAATAAATATTTGAGACTATAAATTTAAAATTCACAAATAGAAATAAATTGCAACTATTAACAAACAACAAAGATGAAGCAAAAGAAAGTTTTAAGGGCCTACTGAAATATATATTTTAAAGATGATTTCATAGCTGTGTTATTCTGGAACTTAGAGGAATTCTCCAAATACTTATTACAAATCTCTGCCACAATTATAATCATTAGTTACATGTCTGACATTGAACCATCAGCAAATTGAAGAAAATGAGCAAGTCTCACTCATCTTTGAGGATTTTTTGTCCCTAGTTCCTGTAGTTCAAACTACATTTCATTTTAAGGAAAACATTAGGTTGACTGCAAAATGAGAATCCAAAGTGAAAAGTAGCAAACTGAACAAAGTAGGATGCGCAAACATTGCAACTGTCCTTAAATAGAATGTAAAGGGAAAGGAGGTATTGTGAGTAAATAACTTTAGTAATACATCCTGTAGAATAACACTAAAATCTGAAATCATGGATTATAAAAGGATAGAAGAAAAAGAAAAGCAGAATTTCAAGCTGCTTCTATTTTAAATATTAAATATAAGATTTTTTTCATAGAATAATAAATGGGAGATTTATTTGATTTTCTGATTTTATTTTTAGATGCTGTCTTGCTAAGGGCAATTATCATCTAGAATAGTTTAAACACCAAACACATTCCAATCTAATCAGAGAGATGCACATTGAACTCTGAAATAATAAACACAAATTCAGGATGAATTGAGAAGATCAAGTATAGAACCACTTTGAAAAAGACCTTGCAGTATAATTACCCATTAAACCTCTGCTTACATTTCACAGAAGCAATTAATAAAGTCAACAGAGGATTGAGAGAGATCTTTACAACAGCTGAATGTAAATCAAATGCTGTCATGATATATAATTTGATAATATGCCTTCATAAGAACCATCTTTGTATATGCACACAATCTTGAAAATTAGAATGGTACTTTTCATTGGTTTAAAGAATACTTTGTCAAAACCTTAATTTAAGTAATTTTATATGACCACGATTTTTCATAATTTAATGCTTTATGTATGCACCCGAAGGAGAATAAGTTTTTAGGATTGTATACAAATTAGTAGCTTTTCATGCCTCATTTTATTTACAGCGTAATGGTAACATTCCTCCTGTTTATTTGTTAATTACCAGGGAGAAGAATACACAGACACAGAATACATGCGTTGTAAATGCCAGTTGTGTGAAAACAAAATTGGTGTAATATGTAGCTGGATATAGTCAGGCTGGCATAAAGAATCAAAAAGACTTTCCTGGAAGTTTAATCATGTTGCAACATAACAAAAAGAGAACAACTGGAAAGTCAGTTGTCAAAAATAAGATGGCTTCAAGCTCTGCAAAAACACAGGGAAAGTACAAATGGGCATGCAAATGGATGCTTCTGATGCCTTGACCATGTCCTGTGGGTCCAGGAGCCCTTCTTTCCTGACTGTTGATCCTGCTCCGTTATCAAGTTGACTCTTTTTGCCTCATTTCACCCTACTTCCCCTAACCTTCCTCGTTTTGTTGGTATTTGTCATGATCACCTTTGTCACCTTTTCTAACCCAAAGTATGTTTGCATTTTGGCTAGGAGAGGAAGAATAAACTGTTGCCTGTGATAGTAATAAGGGTTTAATTAATAAAGAAATAAATCTGTGGTTCAGCTATTCATTGTACATTTTTATTGCCTTTTGCATTTAAGCTAGATCTTACACGTATCGATGGTATATATGTAAAATTATTAAGTAAGGATTCTAAAATTATTAAGCAAGGATTCTAAAACCTGGATATCATGCAATAACTCACAACCCATTTTATTTTCATATATGTAAGAAGTTAAAGCCTAATAGAATATTAAAACATAATTCAGAGAGAAATACCACCTTACCACCTCCCCCTCACTACATAAATTGCCTCTCCATCCTTATTCATTTATAAACCAGTTGTTATAAAAACAAAGCAAATTTTCATACTATTACAAATTTTAACAAAGCACGAAGAGATTGAACCTAATACATTTTTATGCCTTTTGCAAAGTTCATCTAAATGTTCCTGGGAGAATATTTCAACAACAATGACATTGAAAAATATCTTCTATATACAAAGGTCATAAGTTGCATGTTGAAGGAGGCTGAAAGAGGAAGAGACAGGAGAAGGGGGGAAAGCTTAATAAAACTGTTAAGATCAGCACATTTTGGTCCCCATTTTTATCATAAATTTTATTATATCAATTAATTTAAAGAACAATTGGTTAACCTGCTCAATGTCAGGCAACTGCCTTTTCATCTTTTTCTTTCCCTGTTTCCTTTTATTTTTCTTTCTTTTTTTGCAATTTAATATTTAGAATAATTTTAGAGGAGATAAAAAGTACCTGTAAAATAGAAAGATAAAGACACGATTTGATTCCATTCTGAACTGTGTGTCAGCCTAAGACTTATACAAGGCCAAACATCTGGAAGCAGTGTGGAAAAATTCAATTAACAGTCCACATGCAGAGCTTCAATACCCAGGTATTTGGTGCCATTTAAATAAAAGGAAGGTTCTGAGTTAATGTCAACTCATTTCCAGGGTAACACACATTAAATGCTTCTTTAATAATGAAGAGAATTAAACTTAATTACTTTCATATTATAAAATAATTTTGGTCATTGAACAAAAACATATTAAACATATATTATAAATAATCACAGAGATTACAACATTGGTTTTTAAAGGAATATTTATATTTGGATAATACTTCTTTCTGTTTTCTTCATATTTATGGAAAAAATGAAGGCTTAAATTTTTAGGATCATAATGAAGAGCATATCTGGTTCTGTCTTATTGCTAGTCTTTCATCATTTTTATTTGCAGAAAATACTGTGGAATTAAAATGTTAGTTTTAGATAATGAAAATGATTTGAATCCTGTATCATTTTTAAGTGTATAGATTTAATCCACATACTATGAAACATATTACAGTACTATTACAATAAGTAGATTATGTGTGTGCTAGAATGCAAGGGAATGAGAATAAAAGCAAATTGCCGTATGAGTATCAGGTTATCTCCAGATATTTCTGACCAAAACCCAGTAATCCCCTACCCCCACCTGTCAAAGCCACACAGACTTCCACTGTTACAGGAACTATATTACACTCTTTGAAAGATACTATTCATCCCCCTGTGCTTAGAATGAAAAAACACATAAAGGACCCATGGGGTAACATGCTAATTCCCCTACCTACCCTGTGCTGGCACAATCATGAGGTCCAACCTGATTTCAGAAAATATTGCACATTTATTTTTGCCAAACAGGATAAAAACAAAGAAGATAAAACCAAAAAAAAAATGCCTTTAGCTAAATGCCTTAGCTTTTTCTCTAAAGTAGAAAAGCTAAGGCATTTTTAAACCTAAAATAAATATTTTCAAGAAAATTAAAAGGAGAATATTATCCTAAAACAAAAAACAAATGATAAACATTTTTAAAATTTTATGGGAGATATGTGAAATCTCAATAATGTAATTATCTATTTTGTTCCCACTATTTAAGGATCATTTATTTAACATATTTCTGAAATCACAGCCTTAGATCATGAATTAATACTTTTTTATTATAAAAATACAACTTGCAGATAATTGGAAAAAAACAACACTAATTGTAGAGCCCCAGAACTAAGTGTACAAGAAATTATCTCAGTTCACCCACTCATAGTTTACATTGTCTCTGTTATTTCAAACTGGCTATTTAAGAGAGCAATTACATTGCCTTTTCACACTTGCTTAAAAATAAACTTGATTTGTTGACAGTAATTTTCTTTAGCATAACAAATACTTAAAATACAAAAATTAAATACTTCTGTTTTACACTGTACATTAATTCTCTTATTCTCTTTTCTTGGAGGTAAGAATACATATGCAGGAAATACAAGTATTAAACATTGTATTATAAACCGGCATGCTTACTAATCACGTTATAAAAGATACCCTACCAATTACCTTCTAAATGGTCTATACTAATCACCCAAATTTATGCCCAATCCAAGGTCGTATTTTTATGAAAAAGATAAATGGAAAAGCAAAATAGGAAAACTACAGTGATGAGAGAAGTTGATAAATCATATTTGTAAGGATCATATGGGAATTAAATTGCTTTAGAAATTGATAATTAAGGCTCCTGGAAATTATCAATAGACATAAATGTTAGTTTATATTAAGTATTGAGAGAAGAAAGGCGGGTACCACAGGCAAGGTGATAGGACAGTAAGGTCAAACAAAGAAACAACTGAAAAAGAGTTGGAAATAGATTGTGAAAAATATAGCATGGTGTGATTCATTGAGAAGAAAGAAAAAATTGAGTGAAAATAAACAGCAATGTTAGAATCATTCAGTTAAAACTATTGTAGAGGGTGCTCTATGTAGATAAATAGATAAAAGAGTATTTTTAATTCTGAAGTGACAAAAGATAATCTTTGAGCCTGGAAAAGAAATAGATAGTCTTAAACATAATTGCATGTTCAGTAAACAGAAAAGAATTGTCTATAATTAACTTTTTAATAGCAATTTTAAAAAAGTAAAGGAAGAAATAAACCATCATACTCACTTGACATCATTTATGCTAGATGTTAAAGACAAATATAGTCTTATAGTCTTATGATTTGACTGCTCTTTTGTGGCAAATTACTTGCTCACATTGTTGCTTATAGCATATGCAGTACAAGAAAAATCTAGTACAAAAAATAAAAGTAGGAGCTTTTATACATGGCACCTTATTGCAAAACAGCTTGAAATTATGTGATAAAATAAAAAATATTCATGCCCTATGACTCAGAAATTCTATTTCATATACCTGGGAGAAGTTAGTATCTGTCAACATCATGATTATATACTCAAAATTATTCATAGCAGCATTTTCACTGTACTCCAAATAAAAAAACTTCACAACATGCATAAAAAAGTGACTTGGATAAATTAAATGTGTGTACTTAAAAAGGAATGTCATATAACAACAATAACAAGATAGATACACTGGTAACACCACAGACGTCTCATAAATTTAATATCATGTGAAGAAAAGCAAGATAGAAAACGCATACAAAGTGTTTATATGAATATAAAGATGGAAAAATTAAAATATAATAGGTATGCATGTATAAGTTGTATGCTTATATAGAAGAGTTAGAAAAAGAGTATCACAAAAGTTATGAAAGTAGGACTTTCCCTAGAAGAATGGGGGATGTTTGTCCTTGGAGAAGGGCACATTGGGGTCTGATATTTTTGTGATGTTCTCTCTTTGTACCTGAGTAATAACCACATTGATGTTGCCTTTCTAATTACTTTTAAGTGCCAGGTGCTCATGTACAAACACACACACACACACACAAACACACACACACACATCCACTTTCTTGTATGCAAAATATGTCTTGTGATATAAACAAAAGTAATAAAAAGAAAAGGTAATATAAAGTTAATTCCCATAATCCAAACAATTACTTAATAAACATGTGCCCTTTTTGGCAAATTCCCCTTTCAGATTTTCTGAAAATATTTAACATATCCAGCAATTATTAGACATTCATTTTTCATGAGTATTGATAAATACACTTAAAGAAAATATTGCTGTCAACATCAAGTTAGAGATAACATACGGAAACAAACACTTCCAATACTACCCAAATCTTCAACTTTTTAATGTGTTTTTGTTAGAAGTGAGAATACAAATACAGGAAATACATGTATTAATCATTCTATTATAACAGAATGCTTACTAATTACCTTATAAGAGAGACTTAATTTTTAATGTTCTTTACCTAGTCATAGAGTTAGGCATCTTGTTGCAATGACTTCTGGTAAAGCCTCCATCCTATGGCATCTGTTAGAGTGTTTCTTGATGTCTTACCTACTATAATGAGCACATCTTCTATTACAAAACTTGTGGGTCATTCAGCTATATTGAGTGTCTCAATGGTTAATATTAGGTGTCAACTTGCCTGGATTGAAAGATACCTAGACGGCTGGTAAAATATTGCTTCTGGGTGTGTCTGTGAGGGAGTTGCCAGAGGAGATTAACATTTGAGTCAGTGGACTAGGACAGAAAGACCCACCTTCAAGGAGGTTGGGCATCATCCAATCAGCTGCCAGTGCAGCCAGAACAAAGCAGATGAAAGAAGAGGGGGACAAACTACTTTGCTGAGTCTTCTGACTCTTTCTTTCTTCATGTGCCAGACACTTGCTTTCTCTCCTCTTTCCCTTGGACATCAACCTCCAAGTTCTTTGGGTTTTGGACTGTGGGACTTGCACCTGTGGCTTCCTTGGAGGCTCTCAGGCCATTGATTGCAGACCGAAGGCTGCACTGTCAGTTTCCCTGGTATTGAGGCTTCACACTTGGACTCTGCTGCTAGCTACTGGCTTTTCTCTTTCCCCAGTTTACAAACAGCCTACTGTGGAACTTTGCCTTGTAATTGTATGACCCAATTCTCCCTAATAAGCCCCCTTTCATATATATGTATATCCTATTAGTTCTGTCCCTCTGGAGAGCCCTGACTAATACAAATGGGTTCTTGGCTGTGCAATCATCTTATTAAATTACCCTGAATGTCACTTATAGACTTCACGTAACAGAATGATTTTCTACATCTGAGATGATGTCTTGTTTCTTTTAATTTTCACATTCCACCCTCCAAGAAATTATTGCTTTTAGTTTTAATGTCTGTAATTTTGTCCTTAGAGTCTTTGTTTCACATCATCTACCTGCGTTATACTGTTAGTATCTATGCCTAAGTTGTCACACTGACCAGAATCATCGGTTTGCTATTGTATCCCTATTTAGATGTACATTATACTCAAACTTGTCTAAGTTAACACTCTGGTTTAATTTAATGTAGCTCCTCCAAATATCGAGAGCAACTCAGTGCCTGGAAAACCCATAAAGAGGTTAAATTTCGAATTTAATCATAGTATCAATGTAGTGTATTTTATCATAAGACTTACTGTCACAAAATATCTACAAAAGTTTGAAGAAGACATAGCTGTGATAAATAGAATGTTTTTCAAAATTTTATAATTGAGTAAGTTTTCTAGAGTTCAGAACATTTCCTGTGAAAAATGTGTCACAAATGATAGCTTCCATTCTCAGTTTTACGAACATGAACTATTTTACCTACTATGTATTTTCATATGTGTCACAAATCATAAACATTTCTGAATTTGGTTTTTGGACTTTCTTTTCTAAGTCTCAGATAATGTTACCAAAACACTAGGAGTTTAGTCTAGGTACTGTTGTTCACTGCACAGGAAGCCAATCACTGAGACAGCAAGTATTGCCAGGGAAGAAGGCTTTTTGGGTGCTGCAGCTGAGCAGATGGGAGATCAGCCTCAGTTCCAATCCCTCAACCCAACAAAATGAGGAGTTTACATATCAGGGGAGAAATATAACCAAGTGCAGGAAAATACAGATTAGGAAGGGGTGAGGAATAGGAGTTGGTAAACATGAAATAGGTGCTCAGGGATCATGAAATTTCCATTTGTGGTAATGAATGACTCTGTGAATGAGAGAGATAATCAGATAAAGGATTTGTTTTTAAGTCAAATGCTGGTAAATAGGGGGTTGGCTGTATTAAAAATTCTGCATAATCAATATCAGTTGTCCATTTTGACACACAGTAAGAGTTTCTTGTCTTGTAATTTTATTTTGATGAAATTGCCTTGACACACTACTTGTTTTTAAGAGTAAACTATACCCAGTAATGAGATCATTGCATTTTAATGAGGTAAAAAGTTTTCTATCCTCTCCAAATTAAATCAATTTTTGTCATCAAATATCCACACAGGCTCTGGTGCTTATGAATTTTAGAAAGCTCTAATTGATTTTGGAAATTTGAACAAATCCAAATTGTATCAAATGCAGTTTTCTTTTCTCAACATTTTTTGTTCCACCAAATCTAACACTCTTTAATTTTTAAGCAACACAGCAAAGATAATATCATAACCTGAAGAGAAACGACACCTTTTTGACCAGGAAGAAGAGTAATTGCTTAAAAATGTGATTCCCTATTTGATGGTAACATTAGAGAAGTAATCCATAAAAGCTCGCCAAACTATCGATTCTGTCAAGTGATAATTGGATTAGAATCCCAAAAGACAATGAAAATTTTTCTATATAGAAGATTTTTTTTCCCATATAAGCGTTTCAGTAGACACCCTATTTCACTTATGTCTTCATCAGTTTATCTTGGTATTCTGAGGAATTAGCACAATGCCTGACATTTCATCATCTCCAAGAAAAGAAATGGCCAGAATCTCTCAAATAATTGAATCTTATTTTAAATGAACTGTTACAAGACTAGTTTTCTACCACAAAGCCCACTTGGTGCCAAGTGTAAAATTCTTGCTGACAAAGTTCTGGGTTTAAATTCTTATCTAATACTCTTGGTTCTTTAACTCTTTTTTTTTTGTTGTATTTTTTTTTTTTTTTTGGCGGAGTCTTGCTGTGTTACTCAGGCTAGAGTGCAATGGCACAATCTCGGCTCACTGCAACCTCAGCCTCCCAGGTTCAAGTAATTCTCCTGCCTCAGCCTCCCAAGCTGTGGGATTACAGGTGTGCGCCATCACGCCTGGCTAATTTTTTTTATTTTTAGTAGAGACGGGGTTTCATCATTTTGGCCAGACTGGTCTTTAATTCTTTTAGATCACTTAGAAAAGGCAATAATCCTTTTAGAACATTTTGAATATTCTTTAGACTACCAAAAGACTGTATTACTTATTCCTTGTCTTCTTTTCTGAACAGTCAACATAATTCAAGTTCCCTTCTAATGCTAAGGTAAAGCAATTCTAAAGCACTGTACTGTGTTCTTTCTGTGGGCTGCATGCTGGTTCATCTTGCCCTACTAAAGTTCAGGAGCCTACAATGAAAGCAAAAGACATTTTCATTTACTAAATCACAATTGCATGGAGTAAGAAAGATGACATCTAATATGGTGGTTAACCAAAGAAAATAAAATTCATGGGCTTATCTCCATTAGAGTTCCTGAAATTGCATTATGTGCACCATATACTGCTCCATCTACTAGTATAGGAATTTAGTTGTGTTTCCATGAAGATATAATTGTTTTGTTCTTAATTAGTTTACCAACCACAAGTTTGGGTGTGAGTGAGTGTTGTTTAGTAGTAAAAAGACAAATGTATCAAGATTCAAGTATGTGACTCTTATTTATTTATTTAGAGACGGAGTCTTGCTCTTATCGCCCAGACTGGAGTGCAGTGGCGTGATCTCGGCTCACTGCAACCTCCGCCTCCCGGGTTCAAGCGATTCACCTGCCTCAGCCTTCCAAGTAGCTGGGATTACAGGCTCCTGCCACCACATCTGGCTAATTTTTGTATTTTTAGTAGAGACGGGGTTTCTCCATGTTGGCCAGGTCGGTCTCAAACTCCTGACCTCAGGTGATCCGCCCACCTTGACCTCCCAAACTGCTCAGATTACAGGCATGAGTCACCGCTCTAGGCCTCACGTATGTGACTATTAATATAGAATTTTAATGTACATAAGAGATAATAGTGAATATCATTAATAAAGTATCTCTTTATTCAAGATGTTTTTAAATTTCCAGCTCTTAGGTTCAGGGGGTACATGTGCAGGTTTGCTCCGTGAGTAAATTGCATATCCTTGGGGGTTTGTGTACAGAGAATTTTGCCACTCAGATAATAATCATTGTACACCATAGGTAGTTTTTCTATTCTCACTCTCATCCCACCTGCACTCTCCTCCTAAGCTATACCCTCAGATAGTCTGCAGTGTCTATTGTCTTGTATTAGTCAGGGTTCTCTAGAGGGACAGAACTAACAGGATAGATGTATATGTAAAAGAGAGTTTATTAAGGAGTATTGATTCACACAATCACAAGGGGAAGTCCCACAATCCCTTCTGCAAACTGGGGGGCAAGGAAGCCAGTCCCAGTCCCAAAACCTCAAATGTAGGGAAGCCAACAGTGCAGCCTTCAGTCTGAGGCCAAAGTCCTGAGAGCCTCTGGCAAACCACTGGTGTAAGTCCAAGAGTCCAAAAGCTGAAGAACTTGGAGTCTGTCCTTTAGGGGCAGGAAGCATCCAGAATGGGAGAAAGATGAAGGCCGGAAGACAGCCCTTCTAGTTCCTCCATATTCCTCTGCCTGCTTTTATCCTAGCTGTGCTGACAGCTGATTAGATGGCCCAACATGATTGAGAGTGGATCCACTTCTCCCAGTCCACTGACTCAGATGTTCATCTCCTTTGCCAACACCCTCACAGACACACTCAGGAACAGTATGTTACATCCTTCAATCCAATGAAGTTGACATTCAATATTAACCATCACAATTCCCTTCTTTGTGTCCATGTGTACTCAATGTTTAGCTCCCACTTAGAAGTGAGAACATGTGATTTTTTTTTCATTCCTGCATTCATTTGCTTAGAATAATAGCCTCCAGGTCCATGTTGCTGCAGAGGACATGATTTTATTCATTTATATGGCTGCATAGTATTCCATGGTGTATATGTACCATATTTTCTTTATATAGTCCACTGTTGATGGGCATCTAGGTTGATTCCATATTTGCTATTGTGAACAGTGCCACAATGAATGTAAGGGTTCATGTGTCTTTACCATAGAATGATTTATGTTCTTTTTGGTATATACCCAATAATGGAATTGCTGGGTCAAATGGTAGTTCTGTTTTAACTTCTCTGAGAAATTTCCAAACCATTTTCCTCAGTGGCTAAGCTAATGTATATTTTTACCAGCAATATATAAGTATTCCCTTTTTTTCATAACTTTGCCAGTATCTGTTATTCTTTGTTTTTAGTAGTATCCATTCTGGAAGGTATGAAATGATATCTCATTTTGGTTTTGTTGCTGTTGTTGTTGCTGTTTTTTGTAGAGATGGAGTCGACTGTGTTGCTCACACTGGTCTTGAACTCCTGGGCTCAAGCAGTCTTACCACATTGGCATCCCAAAGTGCTAGGATTATAGGCGTGAGACACTGCACCCAGCTTCATTGTGGTTTTGCTTTGCACTTCTCTAATGACTACTGATGCTGAGCATTTTTTCATGTTTGTTGACTGCTTGTATGTCTTATTTTGTGATGTGTGTTCATGTTCTTTGCCCATTTTGTGATGGGATTGTTTGTTTTTTGCTTATTAGTTTGTTTAAGTTCCTTATAGATTTGTTAAGTTCCTTATAGACTGCATATTAGATCTTTGTCAGATGCATAGTTTGTGAATATTTTCTCGTATTATGTAGGTTGTCTGTTTACTCTTTTGAGTTTATTTTGCTGTGCACAATTCTTTAGTTTAATTAATATCCCCTTATCAATTTTCATTTTGTTGCAACTGCTTTGGAAAACTTAATCATAAATTATTTTCTGAGCCCAGGGTCCACAATGGTATTTCCTGGGTTTTCTTCTAGGATTCTTATACTTCAATGTCTTATATTTAAGTCTTCCATCCATCTTGAGTTAATTTTTGTATATGGAAGGAGTCTAGTTTCAATTATCTGTGTATTGCCAGCCAGTTATCCTAGCACCATTTATTGAATAATGGAAAGTTTTTTCCTATTGCTTGTTTTTGTTGACTTTGATGAAGATCAGATGGCCGTAGGTGTGCAACTTTATTTCTGGGTTTTGTATTCTGTTCCATTGGTCTATGTGTCTGTTTTTGTACCAGTATCATGCCATTTCAGTTTCTGTTGCTTTGTACTACAGTTTGAAGTCAGGTAATGTGATGACTTCTGCTTTGTTCTTTTTGTTTATGTTTGCTGTGGCTATTTGGGCTCTTTTTTGGTTCACTATGAATTTTAAAACAGTTTTTTTCTCATTCTGTGAAAAAATGTCATTGGTAGTTTGATAAAAATAACATTGAATCTGTAAATTTTAAAAATTATATTACGTCAATAATGTCAGCACAATCACTTTCAAGCTTGAAACACAACAGCTTGATAACCGTAAGATCTGATAAATATTGATCGACTTCTCTGAACCTTGGTTTCTTATGTTTGTTTTAAAGGATTGCTATGAGGATTAAACTAAATGAGATATGGATTGTTATCTCTTCCAGGAGATGGAATGTAATGAGAACTTATTAATTTTAACTTCTTTTTAAAGCCTTACTTAGAAAAAATAAATCTGACCTCAAGCAAGTTACAGGACAGTGAGGATCTTTTTTAAAAATTTACTATATTAAATGATTATTTTGGCATTATACTAAACTAATAATTATTTTGTGTTACACTATAGCAGACCAACCTATTTAAATGTGCTGATAAGAAGACTGAAGAGAACAAATGCTTTTGACAAAAATATATCAAGGCTTTACTACAATTGGCAGTTCAAAATTTCATTTTAGTTTTTTTAATTAAAGGAAGAACAATTAAGAAGTAGTATGACTATATTCTTATTCCAGAATTTATTGAAAAGAGAAGAGGAGATAAATAAATCTCTGCTCTTAATCACGGATTTGCTCTCTCTCATGAAGGAGGGAAAGAAAGGTGAGGTTTCTAAGAAAATATTTTATTTTTTATCATATCCTATGTACAGGAGATGACTCTATATTTATTTTGGCCAATCCTTATCATTGTTTAAAGGAAACTGAAGTCAAGCTTTTTATGAGAAAATCCTTGATTTTTATTTTTTAAAAAATATTTTGGACACCATACTAAATCTACAAGTTTGGGATCTAATGTGTTTAATGTACAATAACACAGATATATATATATATATATATATGTGTGTGTGTGTGTGTGTGTGTGTGTGTGAGTTTGTGTGTGTATATATACTATAATATTTTATTATTTTTATTTATTATATATGTGAACTATGTGATCTATCTATCTATCTATCTATCTATCTATCTATCTATCATCTATCTATCTATCTATCTATCTATCTATCTATCTATCTATCTATCTATGTTGTCTGAGTGTTTCTGGTAGACATTTGATGATATGTCCACAATACTTTAGAAAAGAATGTGCTTGCAATTCATATTAGTGATGATATCAGTAAAATCTTTGTAATTTGCAATGCCATTCTACCCTTCAGTCCTTACCTCATGCTCTCATTTCTGACCTACAGAATTCTTCACAAATTGGAACCCACAATTCAATGGTAACAATTATATTTCTGCTAACATTCAGAGTTCTCTACATTTTACTGAATGACTCAGAGGTATGAAATATTTGCACCTAATGAGTGGGAAGCAGGCATTTGAGAAAGGGGTAGAATTTTCCAAGACGTGGCTGAAAGAGTTGAAAAGACATCCCTATAAAGAGAGCAGAAGGGACCTGAGATGGCAGAGTGAGTTTAAAAACTAGGATATACCTATGAATGGATCTCCTTTTGAAGGATTTACTTTTTATGGTTCATTTTTGTTTGTTGTTTTTGTTGTTGATGCTGTTAGAAGCCTGGAAATATTTATTTGGCCATGTTCTCTCCATTTTCCTAATATGATCCCTTGTTTACCTTCCTCAGTTTCTTCCTTAAAGCATTTTAGCTGGATAGTCATGTCTTAAGAAGACTTAAAAGCAGAATGATAAATGGATAGGAGAACATGGTTCGCATATTATGTTTTTGTTAGTGCTTATGCAGAGGGAAAGTGACCTGTTTCAGGAGTTAAGACCTGTCTTTCAAGTAGTAACCAGAACCATAAAGAATCCATGGATATGTTTTAAAAATAACAAGGCATAGGGACTTTTTTTAATAAATAAATTTGAATGTTTTTCATATATTATTTTAATCTTTATAAAAAATCGTGCTCTCAGTGCTCTTACTCCTTATTTTACAGATAAGAAAACTGAAATACAGAGAAGACAAAAACCCTGTCAATAACTAGCAAGAAGACCCAGAGTTCAACCTCAAATGTTTGGCTCTGAAATTAAGACTTAATCAGTACTCTGTATTACCGAGAAGTGTTCTCCAAGATGCCAGAATGGACACATGATTAGGAGAGACAACTTCTAGGTGGATGTTTAAGAATAATGTTCTAGAAGCAACTGAACCTCTGAAAAAGGAAGGAAGGAAGAGATTAAATTTAAAAAGAGATAATGCTACTAAAATCTACCAACATCAATGCATGTGAGTACAGTGCTTATATGTTATTATTGTTGTTATATTTTGGTACTTACATTTTATTTCCATCTTGCCTAATGAGGGTTTAAAATGTTTCCTTAGAATCTGTAAATGAAATATTATTAGCTGATCCCATATAAATTAAGCCCATGATTCTGTATATTCAAACATCTATTGACACTTTAGCTGATATAGTAGGATAGTTAAAGTAGTAACTAGATGTCAGTCTTAATGCAGTGATCTAAACTTCTGGTAGACTGATAGTCAGTTACTTGACAGCAAAAATATAAGCATTCCAAGCCCAGTAAAGAATATGAAAGACTACAAAATAAAGCATGCATTTAATTAAGGCTCATCTAAAATCAGCCCATCTTGTTTAATATGTATACTTTATATTTTATTCCATATAATCCAGGCAAGCAAGACTAAAATTTAAACTTGAGATATAATTATTTGTATTTTTTTCAATTACTCTAAAAAACTTCACTTGTTATCTGTAATGACTTATCCTTGGCTTTCTGTTGCACTTCAGGGTGTGATGCATCTGTTCTGGGTTTATTTCAAGAGATTGCATAATTTGGTCATTCATTTGATTAATTAACATGTATTTGAAAAATAAACGGAAACATTGAGAAGGCAGTGCCATACTTTTTAAAGAAGGTCATATCACCTAATTTTCAGGGATCTAACCATTTTGGTTGCTTAATTAAAGCACAATTCTCCACGTTTTTTCTTTGCTAAATTTATGATCTAAATAATGGTTTGCTGCTTCAAATTTTACATACATGTTTTTGTTGTTAAAGACATTTTAGAATGTTAATATTTGACTTGGCCATCTACGCCTCTCTCTTCAGTTTTCATAGGTGTTCCTGTCCTTACATAATTGGAAGGTTCATGTGAATACAGACTTATCGGTGACTTCTTTTTGTGATTACTTTTCTACATCAAACATTCAACTGTCAGTTTTGAGGTTATTATTTATAATGAAGAACATTCCTTAAAATACATATTCTACCTATTCTACCAGTATAAGGTTTAATAAAGATATTTTAAAATTCATGTATTCACATATTTACCACTTTGTATAAGTAATGTAGACTTATCAGGCGGATGTGATATTCTGAAGAAGAGCAAGAGAGTCTCAGACTTTAAGGAATTTCCAAAGAACAGAAAACAGATCATTAAAAAACAATTACAATCAGATATGTAAAAACTCAGAGTAAGGCATTTACAAGATGTCATTAATGCTGTTAAAAAAAATGTATTGAGTGGAGGCTGAGGTGAGCTGATTGCTTGAAGCCAGGTGTTTGAAACCAGCATGAGCAACATAGCAAAACTCCGATTTCTAAAAAAACAAAATAATAACAAAAAAATAAAAAAATAATTAGCTGGGTGACAGTATTCAGGAGGCTGAGGTGGGAGGATCGCTTGAGCCAGGAGGCAGAGGCTGCAGTGACCTGAGATAGCGCCACTGCACTCCAGCCTGGTTGGCACAGTGAGACCCCATCTCAAAAAAAAAAAAAAAAATTAACTGGGTGAGATGGCTTGGGCCTGTAGTTCTAGCTATTCCAGAGACTGAAGCAGGAGGATTGATTGAGCTCAAGAGTTCGAGGCTGCAGGAAGCTATAATCATGCCACTGCACTCTAGTCTGGGACACAGACTGAGGCATCATTTCTAAAAAAAGTAAAAAATAAAAGCAATTGAATTTCATTGTATATTTACTGGGTATTATAAATTGCTTAATTGATGAAGTGCTTTTTAACTTTAAAACTACTAGTCAGAAGTTTTATTTCAGCCATTCTTAGATTATACATCATGAGTTTTGTTTTACATTCCATATGCCAGTTCCATTGGAAAATCCTAGATGAGCTATAAAATGCAATATTTTACTATTTATAGGGATGCAATTGAGTATGTTATTATGAGAAAAAACTAAATCACTTCTCCGCTACTTTTAGCTATGTGACAAAGGGTAAACTACTGAAAAATTTGTTCTTTTAGTACTCATTTATAAAACATATAAAAATACATAATTTAATAGGTGATATACATTACATGCTTAGCATGATGTTTTGTACATAGTAAAAACCAATTAATTTTAATTATTTTTATTCTTATTATTTTCCTTGTGTTTTGTTTTCTGTATGAACACCATTATGAGAAAAGTTTTCAGACTTAAGTTCCAGGACAAAAAAAAAAAGTGTTTTCTTAAAAGAAATCAAAATGTCTACTAACTTAAAATATTGCAAATCATTAATGACTGTAATCTCCATTCAATTTTGTGCTCCTGGAAACTCAAACCATATATAAAGCTCAACTTTAATAACTTAGTAGGAGATTGGTCTGAATATCTCTCTGCCTTTTAAGTATTTCCTCTCTCCTGACCTGTATATTTGGTGGCAATTTTTATCTACTTACATTTTATCATTTTATTCTGTGAATTTTTATAAACTGATTAATCCTTTCTAGAGTCAGGGGTTATAAACAAATAGACATGCATATTTATATAATATTGTTCTGGAACTGCTGAAATGTTTCAGTGACAGAATAACTAAATTTCTCTAATTTTATCTAATTCATGTTCTTTCAAGATTGGGGTGGGGGGTCTTCCCTATGTTGCCCAGGCTGATCACAAACTCCTGACCTCAAGTAATCCTCCCACCCCAGCCTCCCAAAGTGCTGGATTACAGACATGAGCCATCACACCCCTGCCTAATTAGTCATCTTAAGGTTTGAGACACGTGAAGTAAAAATTAAACTTGTATTCTCCAGAACTTAGTGATTCATCACTACCCTTAACCTCTCTAACAAATTCAAATCAGTGTTAGACAATTAGTATTTAGATAAATATATGCACAGAATTTCATATGAAAGAGTGTAGCGGATACTATCTCTTACACAGAGATGAAATGTTTTCTTTAATAAATGAAGTGGAAAAAGAGGCAACACAGAACTAAGAGATATAGTTAGTTTGTGTAACAGGAAAAAGTTTAGAGCAAAAGAAGTTATCATGCCTCTCTCTTCCTTTCAAACTATCTTGCATATTTCTATTACAATCAATCAACAAATTCTAATTTAACTTCTTTCTCAGAGACATACAGAGGCTTATTAAATTCCCCAGCAAGTACAAAGTAAACATACTTATCAAATCCTATTTCTTTCATGTTTAAAGACATAATTTTATGTTACTTGTTGAAAATATTTCCTACATTTAAATCATAAAAATCTGCTTGCTGTTGACCACACACATCATATTGACCCTGCCTCAGTGGCCTCTGGCAGTTATTCTCTCTGTTTACATCCTATACCTTTTGCTTCAACACAGAATACCTTCCCAAAATCCTGTTGAAAAAGCTTGCCAGCAACCTTTCCTGAAAAATCTACCCAATTCTGAACTTTCCTTTACAAAGTATTACTTCAGGCTGGCTGCAGTGGCTCACACCTGGAAGCCCAACACTTTGGGAGTCTGAAGTGAGTGGATCACTTGAGGTCAGGAGTTTAAGACTAGCCTGGCCAACATAGTGAAACCCCTTCTCTACTAAAAATACAAAAATTAGCCAGGAGTGGTGGTGCATGCCTGTAGTCACAGCTATTCTGGCGGCTGAGGCAGGAAAATCACTTGAACCCGGGAGGCAGAGGCTGCAGTGAGCCAAGATCATGCCACTGCATTTCAGCCTGGGTGACAGAGCAAGACTCCATCTAAAAAAAAAAAAAAAGTATTCCTTCAGTCCTTTACCCCATCTTTTAAAATCACAGCTTACTTTTTGATCATCAACATGTGGGCTCTTGAGTCTTCATTTGATATCACCCATTCCTAGAAATTGAAAGATGGAGAAACAACCAGGAGGAAAAAAATAACTCAGATATATGAGTACTAGACCACAGGTTTTACTTCTAAAAACCGTATAGCTTTTTGGACATTGAAGTTGGAGCTTTCACAAAAAAGAACCAACATTTATTAACTTCCTATTATTTATTAGAGACTAATCACAGCCTAAAGTAATATTATTTAGTATTAAAATAATGTCTGCATATTATATAATGTCAAATAACACTGTATATCCCAATGAATATACAAAGTAACAATAAAACAAACACACACAAAAGTCTTCTGACTTACCCATTTCTACCCTAATTCCCTCCCTCAAAAGGTACTGAATTTCAACCAGTTTGACTGATTCTTCTGTTGTTAGTTATCTTTATAGTCCTAATTAACACATGGATAGTTAAGAAATGTTTCTCACTTATAGATATCTACTGACATACTCCTCCTCTAGATGGTGAAATGGATGTAATGTATATCCTCCAAATGTAATGTTCTTAATCTGACCCTCCCCCAACATACAAAAATCACCTTTCAATGGCATCTTAACAATCTTGTGATCGACAGAGTTAAATCTGTACAGATTGTCTATGGCCCCTAAAATCAAATGCTTAATTCAAAAAGATTAAATGTCTAAAAAGGAATTCAGGTAAAGCCTCCTCCTCCCTCACCTTATTAAATTCTGTACGGTAAAGGGTCTCATGTCCTAAGCAGACAGTGACAGCATTGATAGCTCTTAAAAAACAAAGTGTATGTTATCAACTCAAACTTTGTTTTCAGCTGTTATTCAGAACGTGGATAAAAAAAAATGATACTAATTGAGGATCATTTGAAACCTGTACAGTAAATCTCGGAAAGCTAGAGAATCATCAATGACTCCAGCTGATGCTGAGAAATCCATTTATTTGGAACAGTATGTTTGTGAACTTGACCTTAAAGAATCACTTTCATTTCGTGTGTTGTTGCAGGCTTAATCAAGAAAAGCTACAAGAAACAGCTTCATTAAACTCATGCTTCATTTTCCTTACACTTCCTCTTAAGCATATTGTGTAGGAATATTACCTGTGAAGCTGTACATGGCAATTAATTTGAGGACATCATTGGGATTGTTATAGAGAGGATAACAAAGCATGTAACTAATCATATTTTTACTTCTTGACTGCTAAAATTTTCAGAACTCACATATATCAGTTAACCTTCATATGTATATTATGTTTTTGCATCTTTTTTTTAGAATTCATTGTTTTATATAATTTTACTGTGTTTCTAGTAAGTTGCCTCAACAAGCTGTGGAATAAGTTGAGTATTATTAAGATAATAATAATGATGATTCTGTGTTGTTTGGCTATATATATCCTTCACTCATGAAAATAAGATGAGGAACAAGACCATAATTCTATACTATATTCTAGACTATATTTATGAGTAACATCTATGACAGGCCACTTAACATTACCTTGAACTCCTTTATTGCCAGGTGAATAAGTTAGCATTTACCTTTCCTACGAGGTCTTAGTAAGTACTAACCATGTGTAATTATTAAAATTTTTGAAAATATAATTGACACTCTGAGCACTACTGAAGAACATTTGAAAGAGATTGCTCCATTGCCACTTTCTATTAAATACTAAAATGAACAAATAGATACTAAAAGAAACATTGTGATTGACTATTTATTCCTCAAACTTTCAAAATATCAAGATTTGACATGGTAAAAATGCTCATATTTACGGACTGCTGCCAAAAGTTCCTCTATTTGGTTTTGGTATCAGAGCAAGATATCAGAAGGCTAAAAATCATTTACTCATTGCAGTGTATCGAATTACTCCCATAGTTAGCAATTAAAACAACAGTTAATTTTTTAGTCGAGAAGTACAAAGTTGCAGCTATAGAGGATGAATTAAATCAAGATTGAATCTACAGCATGATGACTATGGCTATTAATAATATTGTACTTTATACTGAAAATTTTCCAAGGGAGTTGATTTCAGGTGCCCTTACTACATACAAAAAAGGTAACAATGTGTGGAAATGGATATGTTAATTTAGTTTACTGAAGTTATCATTTACTGCGTATGTATAGCAAAATATAACATTAATACTACAAATATACATACAATTAAAAACACATTTTTTATCTTGCAGCTTCTCTGGGTCAGGAGTCACTTGGCTAAGTGTTTCTGGATCGTGGTTTCTCATAAGATTGAAGCGAAAATATTGTAAGATATTAGCCAGGGATGCAAGGCTGGACTTAAGGTGATGATCTGTTTCCAAGATAGCTCATTAACATTGACTTTCCTCACCACGTGGGCCTCTCTCTAGGATTGCTTTAGGGTTCTGACAGTGTGGCAGCTGGCTTTCCCTAGAATGAATAGTGAGAGAGAGAAGAGAAAGAGAGACAGAGAGACAGAGACTAAAACAGAAACAGAGATGGAGAGAAGTGCCATTTTCTGTGGTCACAGAGACCAACCCTGAATCAGTGTGTCAGAAAATACAGAGCGCATGAAGACATGAAGGCAGGGATCAATGTGGAGCACTTTTGAGGCTGCAATGAATGTAAATGGATTTTTGTTTTCCTCCATGTGTCATATTGAACAACTCTTCACAATCTATAGATATAGAGGATATTTAAAAATCTAAATGACTTAGCTATTATTGAACATAAAATTATAGACTCACCAGTAACTAGAACAAAATTTTAGTCACAATAGATATTCCGTAGATAAGTTCTAAAAGTAATAATTTATATGATTTATTTTCAAGATTTTACATAGAGTAGGTGGTTATTGATACATAATATGTAGCAATGTTTAATCTATTATCTCCTAATGATTTGTGATCAATGATCAATCAATATGATTTTTCAGTTTGTTTAAAATCCTTTATTTAAACGTCAAAACAATTTTATCTTGTTCTATAGACTCTAAACTCTAAAAATGATATTTTAATGAGACTATATATCATAAGGCATGCTCATATCTACATATCCATTTACCAATTTCGTTGTCGTTGTTTCTTGCTATTTGTCTCTCACTGTTGTGATTTGTTTTCAATTTAGTTCCTTTTATAACATGTATATAGCATTTTGAGCCACAGCAAAAGTATAATGAGGTGTTACATAATTTCATATTTGCCTAAAGATATATTTATTTCACTCTAACTCTTGAATAATATAGTAGTTGGCCATATATTTATGGTATAAGCAAAGCCGAGGCACAAGCTTTTACTCAGCACTTACATTCAGGGGTCCAGATTTCTTTCAACTTTTAGCTTATCCTCACAAGTCAACTGAAAAGTGGGGATGTAAAATATGAACAGATTTCATAGGATATTTTTATTTTTCGTGCCTATCAATACCACACACCACTTCCATTCACATCCCGTGGGTCAGATCTAAGATAAATGGTTCGACTCTCAGTAAGAAAAGCTGGAAAATATCAGCAGGGTGTGGTGGCTTATGCCTGTAATCTTATCACTTTAGGAGGCCAAGGTGGGCTGATCACTAGGTCAGGAGGTCGAGACCATCCTGGCTAAGATGGTGAAACCCCATCTCTAGTAAAAATACAAAAAAAATTTAAAAAAATTAGCCGGGCATGGTGGTGGGCCCCTCTAGTCCCGGCTACTTGGGAGACTGAGGCAGGAGAATGGCGTGAACCCCGGAGGCAGAGCTTGCAGTGAGCCAAGATTGCGCCACTGCACTCCAGCCTGGGTGACAGAGCGAGACTCCATCTCAAAAAAAGAAAAAAAGAAAAAAGAAAAGCTGGAAAATATCATTTAGTTTTGGCTCCAGAGGAAAGAAAACACCCAGATATTGTTGAACAACTGTAGTCACTTCCATGCTTTTCATTTTTCACACCTGAAATTGTTGTTCTCATCATTGTACCTGTGTTATTTATTTGAATACACTTATTTATCATGTTTGTTTTAAGCAAAATAGCTACATTAGTTTGACTTTCATGCAAATAGAGCTAGCACTTGTAAATTTTTATACAAGTAATTCAGTCATTTAGAAAATTTGTATAATATAGATAAGCAAAAAGAAAAAATTTCACCTGATTTACAAATAAAAATGCATAGTTAACTGTTGGTCAGAATACATAGTAACTTGTTGGTAATAAAATTAATGCTTCCACATTTGATGTATATACATATCATATATGTGTATAACTATTTATATATTAAATATATGTGTATCTATTATATGTGTGTGTGATTGTGCAATTTGTATTACTCCAAAACCAAGTTTTTCATTTACCCATACAAACACAGAAACATAAACACACATAGGCACCCTACATGTGTCTATGATGTCTGATATTTACTGTGTCTAGCCACCCAGTGGATGATTTCCATGTTTTATCTAACTTAGTTTCCAAAATAACTTTATGGTATAAAAAACACCACTGTAGAATATGAAAAAACTGAGGCTCAAAGAGGTTTTTTTTTCATTTTTTTTATTTTGAGACGCCTTCTAGCTCTGCTGCCCAGGCTGGAGTGCAGTGGCGCCATCTCGGCTCAATGCAAGCTCCGCCTCCCGGGTTCACACCATTCTCCTGCCTTAGCATCCCGAATAGTTTTTTTTAACTTGTCACACTTCATACTTTTATAGAGCAGAGCTGATATTCAAGACTCCGTTGTCTAACTCCTAAACCTAAATGCTGAGCAACTCTGCTGCATCATCTTAGCATAGCTCCTACCTAACTAAGCACTTATCGTGGTCTGGGCACAAAGTAACTGTGTTGTTGACATCCATTATTTAATCCTCACAACAATTTCATGTTAGATAGCATTATCTTCATCTTTCAGATTCCATTAACCAGGCTTAGAGCTTTAAACATAATGCCCCAGATCACAGAACAGCAAGTGGACAAGTAAGTGTTTAAACTCATGTCTTTGTGACTCAAAAGTAGTCTTCCAATGGAAACACTTTGCTACCAGAGTGAGGATATCTCTATTAGCAATATTTTTCCTATATATTATATAAAACAACTACTGTGTCATCCAGTGCTACATTTATCAAATTGTTAGATATAAAATACTGATTTTGTATAAATAAACCCAGGAAATGGAAGGTGAAAGATATTTCCTATTAAGCATCAATCCTGTGAATTTGAATCAAAGATGATTTCACAGTGTAATAAATAAAAACCAAGTTATTTCTAGTGAAAATTTTCATGAAAAAAGCAAATTAAATAATTATGCTGTCATACACAATCACCACAATATAAAAATGTAGCCAACTAGGCAAGAACAAATAAATTTTTTTCAGATAAATCAAAGAAATAAAGTAATACCACAGTAGCAACAGTGATAGAACGCCAAAAAAGAATAAATTGGAGAGAAATTTGGCATTTATTGTTACCTGTGTTACCTGATGTAACACATAACATAGCTGAATTTCTACTCTGTCCTAACTCTGCTTTTCCTTAAGAAACAGGATGCCTGTAATAAAGAGCTCCCTTTGTAATCAGACCAGGTGAGAGTGATTAGAACCAAGATAAGTGACCAAATGACTTCAAATAGACTTCTGACTTCATTATAACCTCATTATCACGTTAAATTTTACTCCCACCAGTGACATGACAGTTGACAATTGACATTACAATGACATTACAATGAGCCAGAAAGGACAAAGAGGAAGGGAGCACTACCAATTCACTTCCCATTTTTCCATTTCTGGAAAGGACATGAATATTCCTTCCATCACTTTTAATATCCAACCCCTTTATTGGAGAAATCCTGTATTCTAATCCCCCTACCTTTCATTTGTTGAGAAGATGATTTATGAGCTGTACTCCTGCTTCTCAATTCTATGGCCATCAAATAAAGCCTGCACTGATTGACACTCACTTTCAACTTCAGGTATTGGCTTTGCAACATCGAAAAGGAAAAAAAAAAAAAAAACATCTTTTGGAGAACTATCTTTTTTGCTAAAATTATGACAGGACAATAGGACTAGAGGAAATATTTGCGGTGACATAGATCAATATATTCATTTACAAAATCAGAAATGGTCTTTAAATGTTCATCTTTAATTTTTTTAGTAACTGGATTTGTATTGCTTACCTACAATAATTTGAAATTGGAACTTTTTAAAAAATTATCTCATCACTTTCGTTCATCTTCTGAAAATTATCTCGTCACTTTCTTTCATCTTCTGAATTTCTAATGATTTGTTTTAGAGTTTATTTTCTGAATCATCTAGTCAATATACTAAGTTCTACCTAAGTTCCCATGATATGACAGAGTTAGATTAAAAATCAACCCAGTCAAAATCTCATCTCTTATAGTCTGAATTGATGTGTAAGGACATGCAGATTGACCTTCTTAATAGAAGCCTTAAAACACCCAGAAAAGCAATCAATACCATTCACGATTCAATTAATATTCTGGCACATTATATCATACAGTCTTTATTAATTAAATCCTAATTGAAGTTCACATATTTCTAGCCTCTTGCCTTTTCATTTCATTTTAAATTTTGATATCTGTAGAAAAAATAAAGCACCTTCCTTGGGTGTAAGAACAAATGTATGACCCCAAATATTTATATAATAGTACCTCTCATGTTTTTCAAAGGAAGGCTAATTTTTGGGGGGAGGAAGAAAAGATGCACGAAGACATCATGCCTTTCAAATATTTTTATATGTGTTAAAGTTATAATAAATGGCATTCCTTGACATTTTTACGTTATATCATATCTTTAGTACAAAATACTCCAAAGATCTACTTTTCTTGGTCTGGACAGATTTTACTCCATAAACAATTTCCAGTTCTTCCTGTGTTTTTTTTATATCTTTGTTTTTATTGATGCTGGTTTTTCACTAGATAAAGATATATCAAGTGTTTCTTATTTAAAATAAACAAACATCTCCTCCTTAGTCCCATGGTCCTCTCTCAATATTGCTATATTTCTCTCATCGCTTTCCTGATACAGTTTAATGAAGGGGTGCTCGTTCAATATCTCAATTTTTGTTTCCATGTAATTTCCTCTTTTCACTTCACAAAGGCTACTGTTTCCCCAATATTTACAAATATCTTCTAGTTGGATATTATTATCTTATTACTAGTCTAGTATTTGACTCTGTCATCCTTTCTTCTCTCACCTGCTCCACTGGCAAGGTGTGTCTGCCTTTATTTTCCTACCTTTCTAACACCTCTTCTATTGAACATACTGTTTGTTTCTGTAGCTCTGCTCTCAATGCTTTGCTCTGTCCATGACTTCCCTGAACTCTAAATTATAATATCATCTGCATTCTTATGCTTAACATTACAACCTCATGACTTCCCTGAACTTTAAATTATAATATCATCTGTATTCTTGTGCTTAACAATGCAGTTATTTCCAAGCACAGAACGGTCTTTTGAGCTCAAGTCCGTGTACCTAACTTTCTAACTGTATGATTCATCCTGGCCGTAAAATATATACCTCAGGTGCAAGGTGATAAAAATGGAACTCATTCTATCCTCAGACCCACAGTTGTTTTGTTTTGTTTTGTTTTCGTTTTGAAAAATGTTTATGTCATCTGGGTAGCCTCCAAAGCCAGAAACAAGTATTTAATATCTTCAACTCTTCTATACCCCCTGCCCACTTTATCCATTCATTCAGTTATCCAAAGGATATTTACTTGCCACTCAGTTTATGCTAGACACAGTTCTAGGTGTTAAAGATAGAATGACAAACAAGACAAACCATAACTCTTCCCTCATATCACTTATAATCCACTGGGGAGGGGTTCACAATGCATATGTAAAAATAAAATATGTGATTTTAGATAGTAAGAAGTACAAAGAATATTAATTATGATTGAGGGTTATATCATTTATGATTAGATTTGGCTGCATGAAACGGAAAACCTGAAATAATAGTGATAACAGTAACATTTAATTTTCTTTCATTGCAAAGAAAATTTATTTTTAGGCAGTCCACAGCTTGTATGGTGGCATCAATTTCTTCAGGGACCCACTAGTTACTTTCCTCTATAACCCTTATGTAAAGCTTTCAACTCAAGGTCACTTCTCAGTTCATGAAATCGGCTGAGATTTCAGCTATTGAGTCTAAGTTCCAGTCAGCAGAAAACATAAAGCACAGAAGAGAAAAAACAGGCAGCTATCAAAGAGATTAACACGGTTTAACAATATTCCTGGAGACTCCACAAAACAACCTCATGTAACTCTAATTGAATACATCATGCTGCAAGAGATATTGTCTTTTTTCAACCTTAGTCCAAATTAGATTGCACTGTGTTATTAAGAAAACATGGGGAAAAGATGTGGGGTAGGCAGATACTTCTGCCATAGGTGGCTATTTAGTGAGCTTTAGTAGGGAAGGTTTTTGAAGAAGTGAAATTTTAGCACATGTCTTTATTCATCATATAATCTTGATTGTGTTCCCTTAATAAACCATTTTCAACCTGTTTTCTTCTCTCTATTCCCTTTGGCCTTACCCTCCATTAATAAAGGTCCCCACTATTCCTCCTCTCTTTTACAGCAAAATTTCTCCAACTATTCTTCTGTTTCCAGTCTGATCAACACAAGATCAATTCTCCATGATGCTATCACCGAGCTTTTTGAAATACAAATATGATCCTTGAACTTCCCTGATTAAAATCCTTTAATGTTTCTCCATTGATTCAAGGCAATATCCACAGAAGTATTTCATGAAAAGCTCTCTGACCACCTAATATTTTACTCTTTTCTTCCTCCTTTCTCCACTAAACTCTAACTTCTAGGCATTTGTTACAGCATTATAAGTTAAGGGTTTTTTCATTTCTCTGTATTTAAAGTTATTTGTCTTTTTTCCAAGAATATCCTTTCCCCATCCAACTATGTCTAGAAAAGGCATGCACATTTATCTTTTTAAAGCTCACTCAATAGTCATGTATTTGTTTAAACTTTTTCTGAATACCACACTTTCAATATCATGGCCTCTATCTATAAGCATGAAAATTATTTGTTGAAGTTCCATCACTTATCACTACTAATTGTTTTTATTGTGCTAACTATGGACATTTCATGATCAACTGTGAGCTACTCGATGGTATGATTGTAGCTTTTGTTTCTATGTTCAATTGCCTCTTTCTGAGGAAAGCACGTTTTGAGATACTCAGTAAGATTTTCTTGAGTAAATTAAACTTGTCAGTCTCCCAGGCTGAATGTTTTACACTCACTTCTGCTACTAACCCATCCCTTAGTTATGGTGCAATTTTCTATTTGTGCTGTGTCTGCAGCTCCTTTCTCATCTGCCCTTTTGATTAATTCCCACTTCAGCTTCCACTTCTGGCCATTGTCACCACGTATTTGCATCAATACAATATTCTCAGTGGATTTACCTTCCTTCATTATCTCCCCCTCTTGATGGTGTTGACACTACCAGAGGCAAAACACAGTACCATATCATGGTACTGACATCAAGCTTCAAGAAATTCAAATTATTTACTGGATAAATTTCGTTATTTTCTAGCATAGAATTCACAACTTTTCAGTAATTAGTTGTATCTTTTATTCATGTTTGTTTTATTTTCACATCTTCTCCCCCCACCTACCTTTTGATCTTTTCCCATGGGGCTATCTCTGTAAAGGAGGCGTCACTGAGCATGAGGCGTTCTGTCAGAGACGTCAATTTTGTGGATGGCATAGTCCACTTATGGGATGTGTGTGAGGCCAGTGGCACATAAAACAGCTGACCCAAAAGGCCCGGAAAGTTTCATGGGAGACTGAATTACAAGGTAGACATCACAGGCTGATTCTGGCAATGTTTTCTACCACTAAAGTTCTAACTCAAGGTGACTAGATGGAGCAGGAGGAGTCTAGCTTGAGAGCAGATTAAGGGCTTGCTTTCTTAAGTGATTCTAAGGTGTGGAACCCAAGTCCAGGGTTGAGAGGGAAGAGACAAACCAAAGAAGATAATTTAGCAGGTTGATTTAAATATTATGACTTTTTAAAATTGTTTTTCCAGTGTCATTGCAAAATGTTCCCTTAGCTCAAAATAATGTTAGTCTAATTTGTTCTACGGGTTATTTTATAAGAACTCAACGAAGCACATAATTATACTCTTACAACATTAATTTTATTAATCCACAGGGAAGCATTGCATTATGTCAAAATCATGCAATTAAAAGAAAGTTGCATGTGAGATATGCTTTAATGTGGTGCAGCGTGTGTGAAACAAAATGTTATTTTAGAGCAAGATATCCACAGGCATGTAAAGAATTGTGTGTCTGATTTTTCTTTTCTGGTAGCAGAGCATGCTTTGTCTGATGAAGGGGAGAAATTCTCTCTTCATTCCCACTGGAGTTTTTGCTTCAACCCATAGCAGCAAAACATCATCTATCTATACCAAAGTATTAGAGTGATAAAAATGCTCAAAATTGTACCTCTTCTTCAAAGTCAAAATTAAATATTACCTCCTTCATGAAGTTGTCCCCAATCTCATCAGCTAAACTAATCTCACCTACCACTGTGGTCCCATAGTATTTGGTTTGTATATACATTTAAAATTTATCACACTTTCTTCAGTCATATTTTGCTTATTTCATATCAGTCTTTCTCCCGCTATGGTAGTCTTTAGAGGTTCATTTGGAAAAAAAAAATCAGCCGTGTCTTCCACTAAGCCTTACAGTGCCTTTTACTGTTTCTGCACTGAGACAGTGATGCTCCATTTAAATACCTGGGATTTGAAGTCTTATTAGATGAGATTGATTGTTGTATCTGCCATTTCTAGCTGTGCAATGTTAGGTAAACTACATAACCTTTTTCTTCTCTCACATTCCTCACCTCTAAAATGTGGGAAATATGGACTCATATATAATAGCATTGTGGTGAGTTTAAAAATGAGATAATAAGCACATAGAACTAGCAGAGTTTTGGTTCTTAGGCCATTAAATATTATCTATTGTTATTACACGCTTGGTAAATAGATACAACTGATACGAAATTGAATTTGAACATGCCTCTTTTTATCCTTTAAAGGCTAAACTCAAGGTCTTTAAACTCAAGGCTATCAGTTGTTATTACATGCTTGGTAAATAGGTATAACTATTAGGAAATTGATTTTGAACATGCCTCTTTTTATCCTTTAAAGGCTAAACTCAAGGCCTTTAAACTCAAAGCTTTAAACTCAAGGCTATCAGTGAGTGCAGCTGATTCCCTTTTGAATGTTGTATTTGCCTGTTTACAGTATACAATTTAATGGTTTCTAGCATGTTCACAGAGTTGTGCAAACACAATCCTAGAATATTTTCATCACCCCAAAGGGAAACCCTGTATTTTTAGCAATCATCCCCTTCACACTTTTCCCCATCCTTATCACCACCACCCACCAGTCCTAGGCAACAACTAGTCTACTTTATTATTTTAAAATTTTATTCTCATATAATTTCATAATTTAGCAGTTGTAACATTCTGGTAGAAAAGTCTTATTTTCTTTTTTTTATTATTTCAATAGGTTCTTGGTGTTTGCCTCCCAACTTATTTGATGTTTGAGTGTTCTTATGTGGGTTCTGTGGCCAATGAGAAGCACATACCCACAGGTGGTATTTGGTCACATGAATAAGTTCTTCAGTAGTGATTTCAGAGATTTTCGTGCACCCATCACCTGATAAGTGTACACCATACCCAATGAATAGTCTTTTATCCCTCACCTCCTTCCCCCATTTCCCTGAGTCCCCAAAGTCCATTATATCAATCTCATGCCTTTCTATCTTCATAGCTTAGCTCCCAATTTTGAGTGAGAACATATGACGTTTGTTTTTCCATTCCTGAGTTACTTCACTTAGAATAATGATCTCCAATTCCATCCAGGTTGCTGAGTATGTCATTATTTCATTCCTTTTTATAGCTGAGTAGTATTCCATGGTATGTATATATATATATGTATACATATATATATGTGTATACATATATGTATATATATGTGTATATACATGTATATATATGTATATGTGTGTGTGTATATATATATATATATATATACATATATATATATACACACACATTCCCACCAGCAGTGTAAAAGTGTCCCATTTTCAGCACATCCATGCCAACATCTATTATTTTTTTGATTTTTTAATTACGGCCATTTTTGCAGGAGTAAGGTGGTATCACAATGTGGTTTTGATTTACATTCCTCTGATCATTAGTGATGTTGAGCATTTTTTTCATATGTTTGTTGGCCATTTGTATGTCTTCTTTTGAGAATTGCCTACTCACGTCTTTAGCCCACTTCTTGATGAGATTTTTTTTTCCTTGTTGATTTATTTGAGATCCTTGTAGATCCTTGATATTAGTTGGATGGACAGACTGCAAAGATTTTCTCCTGCTCTGTGGATTGTCTGTTAATTCTGCTGATTATTCATTTTACTGTGAAGAAGCTTTTTAGGTTAAATGAGTCCTACATATTTATCTTTCTTTATGTTGCATTTTCTTTTGGGGTGTTCTTGGTCATGAAGTCTTTTCCTGAGCCAATGTCTAAAAGGGTTTTTTTCCAATGTTATCTTCTAGAATTTTTATGGCTTCAGATATTAGATTTAAGTCTTTGAGCTATCTTTATTTGATTTTTGTATAAGGTGAGAGATGAGGATCCAGTTTCATTCTTCTACATGTAGCTTGCCAATTATCCCGGCACCATTTGTCAAATAGGGTGTCTTTTCTCCACTTTATGTTTTTGTTTGGTTTGTTGAAGATCAATTGGCTGTAAGTATTTGGCTTTATTTCTGGGTTCTCTATTCTGTTCCATTGGTCTATGTGCTTATTTTTATATAGTACCATGCTGTTTTGTTGACTATAACCTTATAGTACAGTTTGAAGTTGAGTAATGTGATGCCTCCAGATTTGCTCTTCTGCTTAGTCCTGCTTTACCTATGTAGGCTTTTTTTGGTTCCATATGAATTTTAGGATTATTTTTCTAGTTCTTTGAAGAACTGTGGTGACATTCTGCTCAGGTACTTCAGAATATATATTCTATACATCAGCACATGGAACATTCTCCAAGACAGACCGTATGATAGGCCCCAAAGCAAGCCTCAATATATTTAAGAAAACAAATTATATCAAGTACTCTCTCAGATCACAGTGGAATAAAATTGGAAATTATCTCCAAAAGGAACCTTCAAAACCATGCAAATGCATGGAAATTAAATAACCTGCTCCTGAATGATCACTGGGTCAACAATGAAATCAAGATGGAAATTTAAAAATTCTTTGAGCTGAACAATAACAGTAACAAAACCTATCAAAACTTCTGGGATAGAGTAAAAGCAGCACTAAGAGGAAAGTTTACAGCCTTAAATGCCTACATCAAAAAGTCTGAAAGAGCACAAATAGACAATTTAAGGTCACACATTGCAGGAACTAGAGAAACAAGAATAAACTACACCCAAACCGAGCAGAAGAAAAGAAATAAAAAAGATCAGAGCAGAAGTAAATGAAACTGAAACAACAACAAAAATAAAAACAATACAAAATAAAATGAAACAAAAACCTGGTTCTTTGAAAAGATAAATAAAATTGATAGGCCATTAGTGAGGTTAACCAAGAAAAGAAGAGAGAAGATTCAAATAAGCTAAATTAGAAACAAAACAGGAGATATTACAACTGATACCACAGAAATACAAAAGTTCATCCAAGTCTACTATGAACACACCTTGTGTGCATAGCTAGAAAACCTACAGAAGATGGATAAATTCCTGGAAATATACAAACATCTTAGATTAAACCAGGAAGAAAAAGAAACACCTAATAGACCAATAACAAGCAGCAAGATTGAAGTGATAATTAAAAAAAAATTGCCAACAAAAACAAAGTCCAGGAACAGATGGATTCACAGCTGAATTCTGTCAGACATTCAGAGAAGAATTGGTAGCAATCCTATCGACACTATTCCACAGTAAGAGAAAATCCTGTCTAAATCATTCTATAAAACCATTATCACCCTAATATCAAACCCAGGGAAGGATAAAACAACAACAATAACAAAAAACTACAGACCAATATCTCTGATGAACATAGATGCAAAAATCCTTAACAAAATACTAGCTCACTGAATTCAACAGCATATCAAAATGATAATCCACCATGATCGAGGTGGTTTCATACTGGGAATGCAGGGATGGTTTGACATAACTTAGTCAATAAATGTGATACACCTCATAAACAGAATTAAAAATAAAAATCACATGATAATCTCAATAGATGCAGAAAAAGCATTTGACAAAATCAAGCATCGCTTTATAATTAAAACCTTCAGTAAAACAGGCATAGAAGGAACATCACGTAACATAATAAAAGCTATCTATGACAAACCCACAGCTAACATTACACTGAATGGGGAAAAGTTGAAAGCATTCTCCCTGAGAACTGAAACAAGACAAGGATTCCCACTTTCACTATTTCTATTTAACTTAGTACTGGAAGTCCTAGCCAGAGCAATCAGATAAGAAAAGGAAGAAAGAGCATCCAAATCAATAAAGAGGAAGTCAGATGTTAGCTGATGATATGATCCTATACCTAGAAAACCCTAAAGGCATTTCCAAAAAGCTCTTAGAACTGATAAATGAATTCAGCAAAGATTCAAGATACAATATTAATGTTCACAAATCAGTAGCTCTTCTATACACCAACAGCGACCAAGCTGAGAATCAAATAAAGAACTCAACCCCTTTTACAATAGCTGCAAAATAAAATAAAAAAATAAAATAAAATACTTAGGAATATACCTAACTAGGGAGGTGAAAGACCTCTACAAGGAAAACTACAAAACAGCACTGAAAGAAATCATAGATGACACAAACAAATGTAAACACATCCCAGGCTCATGGATGGGTAGAATCAATATTGTTAAAATGACTATACTGCCAAAAGCAATCTACAATTTCAGTGCAATTCCCAACAAAATACCCTTTTGAATTTTAATCATCAGAATGTTTCTGTTTAGATTAAACTTCTGATTATTAACCCCTAAACATGTATGTTCTGATCTGTTTTCTGCATTTGAGAGTGATACACAATATAAATTCAATTATCCATGACATATTAAATCCAAGGTATTTGGAGATGGTCTTTAGTTTTCTCTTGGGTTTTCTTGTCTCCAGGCTGTAGAAGAAATGAATCATGGTGTCTCCTGAGTATAATCCTGGCTACCTTCTTTTGCATATGCAGTAGCAAATTAACTTTTCTAATAAATGTTGCACCTGAAATGAATAGTAATTTCTGTCTGTAATATGGCCATAAAAATGCAGCCAAGAATAATTATTATCACTGTTTTGGAAAGTCTATTTCAATTAATGCAGTCTAAGAAAAATTGTCATTGTCTTTATTTTGTTTCTGCGGTTAGGCACAGTTATCATTTCAGTGATTTGTACTGAGTATGTAATCAAAATATTAAGAGTTTTTTTCTCATTGCATTGTTATATATGTGCATGTAATTTCAAAACTTAGAGGCCTAAGGTAACAGATGTTTATTTAGCTCACCGTGTTTTATTGGCTAGGTAGATGGTCTAGTCCAGGTCAACACAGATAATTTTTGCTGGGCTTCTTCATGGGATGTGGTTAGCTGGTGAGTTGGCTGGTATTTGGATGATACACGGTGGTGTTACTTGCATGTCATGCAGTTGGTAAGTTACAGAACAGTGCACGAGTGGGCTCTGGGACTTACTTTTGTCATCATGTAGCACTTTTGCACAAAGCAGTCACAGAATTTAAATAAAGTAAACATTCAAAGTTGCACAGTCTTCTGAGGCCTGGTTTCAGAATTGCTACATAATAGTTTGTACCATAATCATTGGTTAGAGCAATTACAGTCATTCCTTGGAGAGAAGACAAGTCAGATCCAGGCCACCCAAATAGGGTAAATAGTGCAATAAAGTGAGTCAAATAAATTTTTGGGGATTACCAGTATATAAAACTATATTCACCCTATAATATAGTATATTAAATGCACAATAGCATGATATCTAAAAGAAGTACATATCATAGTTAAAAAACATACTTTACTGCTAAAAATCACTAACAGTCATCTGAGGCCTCAAATAGTCCTAATTTTTGCTGGTAGAAAGTCTTGTCTTGATATTGATGGCTGCTGACCGATTGGGGTGGTGATTGCTGATAGGGGTTGCTGTATCAATTTCTTTAAATTAAGAAAACTATGAAGTTTCCACCATCAATTAGTTTTTTCTTTTATGAAAGATTTATCTGTATCATGCAATGCTGGTTGATAGTATTTTAGCCACAACATAACTTCTTTGAAAATTAGAGTAAATCCTCGCAAACCCTGATATTGTATATCACCTACGTTTCTGTAATCTTCTAAATTATTTGCTGTAATTTTAACAATGTTTACAGCCTTTTCACTAGGAGTAGATTCTGTCTCAAAAAAAAATTACTCTTTCCTCATCCACAAAAAGACACTTCAGTAGTATCATCAGGCTTCACTTCTAATTCTAGTTCTCTTGCTATTTCCACCACATCTGCAGTTACTTCTTCCATAAAAGTCTCGAACTTCTCAAAGTCATCCATGAGGGTTGGAATAAAGTTCTTCCAAACTCTTGTTAATGTTATTTTGACCTCCTCCCATGAATCACACATGTTCTTGATGGAATATAGAAAAGTAAATCCTTTCCAGAGGTGTTTAATTTACTTTGCTAAGATCCATCAGAGGAACCACTATCAATGGCAGCTATAGCCTTGTGAAATTTATTTCTTGAATAACAAGACTTGAAAGTCAAAAATCCTTCTTGATCCATGAATTGTAGAGTGGATGTTATGTTAGCAGGCATGAAAAACAGCATTAATCTCCAATACACCTCCGTTAGAGCTCTTGGGTGAACAGGTACATTGCCAATGGAGCAGTAACATCTTGAAAACATTCTCTTTTTTTTCTGAGCAGTAGGTCTCAATAGTGGGCTTAAAAAATTTAGTAAACTATACTGTAAACAGATGTGCCATCATGTAGGCTTTTTATTCCATTTAGAGCACAAGCCAAATGGAATTAGCAAAATTCTTAAGGGCCCTAGGATTTTCTGAATGGTAAATACACATTGGCTTCAACTTGAAGTCAACAGCTGCATTAGCACCTAACAAGAACATCAGTCTGTCCTTTGAAGCTCTGAAGCCAAGCATTGACTTTTCTTCTCTAGCTATGAAGCCCCAATGGCATCTTGTTCCAATATAAGTCTATTTATCTCCACGAAAAATCTGTTTTGTGTGTTTATTTTAATCAATAATCTTAGCCAGATCTTCTGGATAAATTGTGGAGCTTCTACATCAGCAGTTACTGCTTTACATTGCACTTTTATGTTACAGAGATGGCTTTTTTCCTTAAACCTCATGAACCTACCTCTGCTGGCTTCAAATTTCTCTCCTGCAGCTTCCTCAACTCTCTCTGCCTTAAGACAATTGAAGACAGTTAGGGCTTTGCTCTGGATTAGGTTTAATGCTTAAGGGAAGGTTGTGGCTGGTTTAATCTATCTAGACCACCAGAACATTCTCCATATCAGTAACAAGGATATTTCACTTTCGTATCATTCATGAGTTCAATAGAGTAGTTCTTTAATTTCCTTCAAAAACTTTTCTTTTGCATTCACAACTTGACTAATGGTTTGCTTCAAGAAGCCTAGTTTTCAGCCTGTCTCATCTTTGTTTGTTTGTTTGTTTGTTTTGTTTTGAGACAGGGTCTTTCTCAGTCACCCAAGCTGGAGTGCAATGGCATGATCTCTCCATGAGCAACCGAGATCATCCTAGGCAAACTCAAGCTTCCAGGCTCAAGAGATTCTCCTGCCTCAGCCTCCTGAGTAGCTGGGATTAGAGTCACACACTACCATGACCAGCTAATTTTTTTTTTGGGGGGTGGGGTTTTGGCATGTTGCCCAGACCTGTCTCGAACTCCTGAGCTCAAGGATTGGCCCTTCTTGGCCTCCCAAAGTGCTGGGATTACAAGCATGAGCCAGAGCACCCAGCCCTATCTCAGCCTTTGACATGCCTTCCTCATTAAGCTTAAACATTTCTAGCTTTTGATTTAAAGTGAGAGAATTGTAATTTATTTTCTTCCACTTGACCACTTAGAGGCCACTGTAGAGTTACTAGTTGGCATAATTTCAATATTGTTGTGTCTCAGGGAATAGGAAGGCTCAAGGAGAGGGAGAAAGACAGAAACAGCCAGTCAGTGGAGCAGTCAGAATGCACAATATTTATCAATAAAGTTTGTCATCTTCCACCGGCACAGTTCATGGCACCTCAAAACAATTACAATCTTAACATCAAAAATCTCTGATCGCCCGGGTGCAGTAGCTCATGCCTGTAATCCCAGCACTTTGGGAGGCTGAGGTGGGTGGATCACTTGAGGTCAGGAGTTTGAGACCAGCCTAGCAAACATGGTGGAACCCCATCTCTACTAAAAACACAAAAATTAGCCTAGCATGGTGGTGTGCACCTGTAATCCCAGCTGCTTGGGAGGCTGAGGTGGCAGAATCCCTTGAACCTGGGTGGCAGAGGTTGCAGTAGCCAAGATTGAGCCAATGAACTCCAGACTGGGAGACAGAGAGAGGCTCTGTCAAACAAACAAACAAACAAACACACACAAAAAAACTGATCTCTAGCATAATAGATTTGACAATAATTATATAGTTTAGAATATCAGAATAATTGTGGCACAGAAACAGGAAGTGAGCACATGCTGTTAGAAAAATGGCTTCAATAGGCTTGTCTGAGACAAGTTTGCCACAAATATTTGATTTGTAAAAATACAGTATCTGAGAAGAGCAACAAGGGACGTCTACAACAAAGGAAGATAACTTCTAAGGGTGAAGTAATTTGTTGCTCTTTTTGCTGAGAGGAATTACAAAGCAAAGTGGCCTCTTTGAGAAAAAAAGATACATTAGTACCTTATTCTTTCATAAAGATTTTCAGTGCCTGAAACAAAGCATTAAACTTAACAAATTAAGTATAATTATTTCAGTTTAAAAATATCCGTTGGTGGTAGCGTAAATTAGTTCAACCATTGTGGAAGACAGTGTGACAATTCCACAAGGATCTAGAATCAGAAATACCGTTTGACCCAGCAATCCCATTACTGGGTATATACCCAAAGGATTACAAATCGTTCTACTATAAAGACACATGCACACGTATGTTTATTGCAGCACTATTCACAATAGCAAAGACTTGGAACCAACCCAAATGCCCATCAATGTTAGACTGGATAAAGAAAATGAGACTATGCAGCCATAAAAAAGAATGAGTTCATGTCTTTTGCAGGGACATGGACGAATTTGGAAACCATCATTCTCAGCAAACTAACACAGGAACAGAAAACCAAACACCACATGTTCTCACTCATAAGTGGGAGTTGAACAATGAGAACACATGGACACGGGAGGTGAACATCCCACATAGGGGCCTGGCAAGGGGTCGGGGGCTAGGGGAGGGATAGCATCAGGAGAAATACCTAATGCAGATGATGGGTTGATGGGTGCAGCAAACCACCATGACATATGTATATATGAACTTAAAGTATAATAAAAAAGTTAAACTATAATACAAAAGATAAATAAATAAGAATATTTGTATATATATCGTTAAGAAAACATTGAGAATATTTTATCAGAAGAAATTTTATTTGTTTCTTCATTGGGCTTTATGAGGACAAGTTGAGAATTCAAGCAATAAAAAGCCAATGTAAGCATGCTTTTTAAAAAGAGGCATCATAAACAGTTTTCTCTCAATGAATGGATGAGTTTGACAAATAAACAGCTTTTTAAGCAATAATTAATAATATGTTATTAGAACATGTTTCTTTCTCCATTGGTTCGTATGACATAGGTTTATATATGCAGCTACATAAGCATACTTTCTTTAAAGTGCCTCGTGAACTATTCTCTTTCAGTGAATCCAAGAGTTTGACTGAGAAACACCTTTGTAAGCAAACACTGAAAATACGATAATAGAGTATGTTTCTTTCTCTATTGGGCTCTATAAGGATAAGTAGGTAAATATTGCCATAAAAATATTTTATATCTTTCCTTATGCCACATACCTAGATATTTCTCCATGTTAAGTACATAACAAATCCACCAACCACGATGCATATATGATTAATACATTTTAAAAAAGGATTCCTAAACATGCTACCAGAGACCCTATCACAGCTGAAATGTCTTTTATTTAGGAGATTATTTAGAAAACTATCAATTCTGTTAACTATATATTCATTATATTCTCACCTATCCCATATTCATCCCTTTTGCATAAATATTTCATGAAAAATTGGGTTACCTAGTTGGTAAATGTATATGACGTATGACATTTTCTTGATATACACATTTTCTGATGAATACATTTGTGTGCATGTGGTATTCATCTGTATGTGTGTTTTAAGTTCACTTACATGTACTCTTCTTTCCAATTATAAATCCAACATTACACATTGACTACTATCTCCTTAATCTCTCTCATTTTTTTAACTCCTACCACATTTTTTGCTCTTTGACCTTCTGCTTTCTTGTAGCCCCTTGATTTTTATTTTCTAATGTGAGCACTGACCTTATCTTCCTTTATCATCCAATTTATAATGCTGTTACTCTATAACTTCTTCTTTTACTACTACCCAACACAGGGCAGGCACTGTTGTGTATGGTTTATATAGATTAAAAAGGAATTTGGCCCTGTGTGGTGGCTCATGGCTGTAATCCCAGCATTTTAGGAGGCCAAGGTGGGTGGATCGCCTGAGGTCAGGAGTTCAAGACCAGCCTGATTAACATGGTGAAAACTTGTCTCTGCTAAAAATATAAAATTAGCTAGGTGTGGCAGCATATGCCTGTAATCTCAACTACTCAGGAGGCTGAGGCAGGAGAATCACTTGAACCCAGGAGGCTGAGGCTGCAGTGAGCTGAGAGCATGCCATTGCACTCCAACCTGGGCAATAGAAGGAGACTCTGTCTCAAAAAAAAAAAAAAAAAGGATTTACAACCCTGTGAGGCCACTACTATTATTGATTCATTATGTAGATTAAGACACCCAGGCACAGAGAATATTGCACCACCATACTCTCATAAATTGAAAATAATTGCTCTTTTTGTCCCATTACCTAAATCTTTCTCTTGCCAATATTTTAAACTTTTTTGTCATCTCATCCTTTCTCCTTCTTTTCTTCCACCAACCTTTCCTAGAATAATTGCAAGTTAGATGAAACACTTTGTTCTCACCTCTAGGTAACTAAATGATTTTGTGGAAAAACAGAATACGGCTATACAGATATCATAGTCTGGCTGATTAAATATATATTATATATATTTATATATAAATGTTATACATTATATATTATATATATTTATATATAAATATTATATGTTATATATTATATATATTTATATATATATTATGTTATATATTATATATATTTATATATATATTATATGTTATATATTATATATATTTATATATATATTATATGTTATATATTATATATATTTATATATATATTATATGTCATATATTATATATTTATATATAAATATTATATGTCATATATTATATATTTATATATAAATATTATATGTCATATATTATATATTTATATATAAATATTATATGTTGTATATTTATATATAAATATTATATGTTGTATATTTATATATAAATATTATATGTTGTATATTTATATATAAATATTATATGTTGTATATTTATATATTGTATAATATTTTATATTTATTAATTAACTAAAATTAATAATATAATATTAAATATATTATTTATACCCTCATCTGGAGGGGTGTGTGTGTGTGTGTGTGTGTGTGTGTGTGTATGTGTGTATATATATATGTACCTAATCTGAAGACTCAACTAGGGTATTTATATATACCCTCATCTGGAGGGTATATATGGAGACTCAATCTGCTCAATCTGGAGACTCAACTAGGTAAGAATATGCTTCTAAACACATCCCAGATGTTTGGAAGATTTTATGTCCTTATGGTTGTATGACTGAGCTCCCATTTTCTTGCTAAATATCTATCAGGAACGGCTCTGAGCTCCTAGATACACGATCAGAGCTCCAACATCAGAGCTTATCTTGTCTATTCTTCTTGAAACTGTCTCCTTTCTTATCTTTGACCTGCGAGCCACTCTGAGGTCCTTACTATATAACTACCTCTCATAGACAGTTCGCAAAATGGCTATTCGCTTCTTCAAGGCCAGCAGGAGAGATTTCGCATTTTGAACCTCTTCCTTCAAGAAGAGCCAAACCCTTTCAAAGGCTCTTTCGATTGAAGCACACCTCCCCAGGATAATCTCAATCCTTAACTTCATCTGTTTTCTCTAATCTCTTAATCTTTTACTCTTCCCAAATGACTTCATTTCTTTGGAACATGGTGATACAAGTCATAAACAGAACACTCTGATTTATGAAATGTGTATTTCTTTCCATTCCTACCCATTTCCCCCTTTCAAAGAAAATATTATCATTGACACTTTCTAAGGTTAATCTGTTTTTGTTTTGTTTTGTTTTGTTTATTTGAGACGGAGTCCCGCTCTGTTGCCCAGGCTGGAGTGCAGTGGCGCGATCTGGGCTCACTGCAAGCTCTGCCTCCCGGGTTCACGCCATTCTTCTGCCTCAGCCTCCCGAGTAGCTGGGATTATAGGCGCCACCATGCCCGGCTAATTTTTTGTATTTTTAGTAGAGGCGGGGTTTCGCCGTGTTAGCCAGGATGGCCTCTATCTCCTGACCTCGTGATCCGCCCACCTCGACCTCCCAAAGTGCTGGGATTACAGGCGTCAGCCACTGCGCCTGGCCTAAGGTTAATCTTTTTCTTTTCATCTGGATCCTTTTGACTGTCTGCTTTTTATTATCTTTTTTATTAATTATAAATAGTCTTCTTTATCTTCTATCTTTCAATACTATCTTTTTTTTTCAGCAAACACTGCTAGTTTACATTAGTTTCCCTCAAAAATTTAAAAGTTATTAACATTGTCCTTTTAAGGAAACTTTTTAGTGATTTTTGCCGAATTTCATCACCTGAAATTTTAATATCACAGATATACATTGTCTGTTTATATATTACACGTATCTCAGTGCTTTGCTCATTAAAAAGTAAGACTTTTTTCATGCCCACCTACCAAAAAAAAAAAAAACAAAACCTAATTTTGCCCATGGGGGTGATACTGTCCTCACTAAGAGTACAAGCTCTACACTATGACCACCCTGCGTTTCTAGCTACCATTCAACCTTCCTTCTTTTCATGATAAACATTATTGAAAGACTGAGGTCTTCCCTCATATCCATTTCTCAGGTTCTTACAATTTAACTTCTGCCCTTACCATTTTCTTGAATTTTTCACAAAGGTCATCACTGTCTTATTCTTTGCTTAATCTAATAGACACATTTTAGTCCTTATTATATTTGAACTCTTTTTGACATTTTACACTGCTGATCTTGCCTTTTCTTCTTCAAACTGTCTCCTTTCTTGTCTTTGAAGAAAGCAATGTTTTTCTATGTGACCTGGTTCACTCTTTTCTGTGTGTCATTTTTTTTTAATCTCCCAATCACTTAGAATTCCATATTCAACTTCTACTTACCTTTATATATTTTGTGTGTTATTTAATCCCCTGTCCTCACCTACCACCTCTATGCTGATAAGCCAACTCTTATCTTCCTCTAGATTTCTCTGGAGCTCCAGGAACATTCACCTTTCTGATTTGTATGGCCCACAAATACACAGAGCCACCATTTTCATCACCACTGCTGGTTCCTGCCTACCTTTCTTATTTGAACAAAAGACATTATTTTCAATCTAACTTATATGACCTGAGGATCTTCTTTCTTGATTGTTCTTTTTCTCTCAGTCACCATAATTATTTATGTATAAGAAGGTTAAAAAAGATATTATTTCTCCACATCCTCTCCAGCACCTGTTGTTTCCTGACTTTTTAATGATTGCCATTCTAACTGGTGTGAGATGCTATCTCATAGTGGAACACTTTTACACTGTTGATGGGACTGTAAACTAGTTCAACCATTGTGGAAGTCAGTGTGGCGATTCCTCAGGGATCTAGAACTAGAAATACCATTTGACCCAGCCATCCCATTACTGGGTATATACCCAAATGACTATAAATCATGCTGCTATAAAGACACATGCACACGTATGTTTATTGCGGCATTATTCACAATAGCAAAGACTTGGAACCAACCCAAATGTCCACCAATGATAGACTGGATTAAGAAAATGTGGCACATATACACCATGGAATACTATGCAGCCATAAAAAATGATGAGTTCATGTCCTTTGTAGGGACATGGATGAAATTGGAAACCATCATTCTCAGTAAACTATCGCAAGAACAAAAAACCAAACACTGCATATTCTCACTCATAGGTGGGAATTGAACAATGAGATCACATGGACACAGGAAGGGGAATATCACAATCTGGGGACTGTGGTGGGGAGGGGGGGAGGGGGGAGGGATAGCATTGGGAGACATACCTAATGCTAGATGACGAGTTAGTGGGTGCAGCGCACCAGCATGGCACATGTATACATATGTAACTAACCTGCACAATGTGCACATGTACCCTAAAACTTAAAGTATAATTAAAAAAAAAAAAAGAAAAAAAAAGATATTATTTATTTTGATTTTCATTCTGAATCATCTGAACCAAAGGATTAACATGAATCCATTAATAAAGGCTTTTTGTCTTCCATCCAAATATCCTCCAGCACATCATCTTTACTGCAGCCATAGAATATTTTTAAAATCTAAATCTGATTCTTTGCTTAAAACTATTAGATATAACTGTATTTAAATAAAATACCAATTCCTTAGTATTCACACACTGTCTTTTGATAATTAGCCAGTATCTAGTAAGTTTATCACTTGAGCTCTCTTGCCTGTCCTAAATTCTACTATCACAAATCTCATGTCTAGAAAAATTATATCATTAATGATTTTTATATACTATATCATTGATGATCTTATATACCATATCATAGGTGATTTTTATATACTATATAATTGATGATTTTCATATATTCTGTGTTATTGATATTTTTATATGATTTTAACCCATTTGTATACAAAAATCATCAATGTTATAGATTTTCCAGACATAAGATTTGTTACAGAAGACTTTAGGACTGGCAAGAGAGTTCAAGTAATGAACTGTGTTATTAGACACAAGCAAATTTTTAAAAGATAATGTGTGAATACTAAGGAACTTGTATTTTATTTAAATCCAGTAAATCATTAAGTCATGAGTTCAGCAGAGCTCAGTTTCTATTTACACTTTTCAATATATGTAGGGCCTTAGTTAATTCATTGCAATTCCATAGCATTAATATTTATGTTCTATTTACTTTATTTTATCTTTTTAGTTTCCACATGAAACTCAATTTTTATAATAAATCCAACTTAAAATTCCTCTACTTGTCTTTTCTTGAAGGTTGAATCTAAGTTCCAGGGACTTATTTTTCTTCATGGGATGGGACAGAGAGGATAACACAGTGTTAATTCTGGTCATCTATCCATGTTGACATCAACAGGCTTGATAGTCCATTTTATTTGTTTGGCAAATCTACACTTATTCTGGCTACAAGTTTCCTTTATGCATATGCCTCTTTGATGGTTCTCAAGGTCATGTTTATACCTCTCAAGCACAGAAAATTTAAACTGGGACTTACTGAGACTCTGTAAGATGAAATCAGCCCTATAAAATTGCCTCATGCAAGGTGCTGCTCCTTCTAATCTACTCTTCTATGTTAAGGTGGCTCAAAGTTCTTGACAAAATTGTTGATCCATCGCAGGAGCCCATTTGAGAAGCAGAACATAGGTATTATTCTAACATCCACATACTTATGATATATTTTTGTAGTATGTGTACCTCTCTTTAGAATGAACTTTGGCATCTTGGTACACATAGCTCCTTATCATAGAGCATAATCAGCTTTTAACTCATTTGATTCCATTGAGCTTAATTTCTGAATTCCTTTACCTCTCTTATGACCCAGATCAGAAGATCTGGGAAGATAAATTTAGATAAACTTATGACTGATCCTTCTGAGCATCCTGGTGTCAGGATAAACTGGGCCTGAAATTGTGCCTGCACTCTACTTGCCAAGTCCTGTATCCTGGTCAGGGACAGCCCAGGGGAAAGGAGCACCTTTCTGCAATTTAGTTGTCATATTTTCTTGTAGGACTCTCTTAAACCTACAGTCATGTCCTGGTAATATTGAGCAAGTTGTAGTTCCCAAATGTGCCCTACACTCTAGTGCCTGGTTGTCTTATATATATAATTTCTCTATCTCATCTTCGTTAGCTTAATAATTTCCACACAGCCTTAGACTTCATCTCAAGGACCAGATCTTTAAGGAAGCCTCTAGCTTTTTTCTCTCTTTTTTGTCCAATAACTAATCCTCTTATGATTATTCTCCATTTAGGGTTGTTGTAGGTATTACGTGAGTTAACACAATGGCCTGCTTAACCACATGTTTTGGGTATATATTCGGCACTAACAAATATAGCACCTCATTTCTTTTCAGTGCTCAATCATACTGGTTAAATAAACAATGATTAATTTGATAAAGAATCTGAAAAGTTATAAATATCCACTCTAAATCACCATTAAAATCTTTTGACAACTTTGACAGCCTGGCTCCTTAGTTTGTCTTCCACCACCTGGTGTCTAAGTTTTACTCTTTCTTCTGCAAATCCCTTGAAATGAATCCTGTAATCCTAGCAGTTTGGGAGGCCGAGGTGAATGGATCACCTGAGGTCAGGGGTTTGAGACCAGCCTAGCCAACATGGCGAAACCCCATCTCTACTAGAAATACAAAAATTAGCTGGGCATGGTGGTGCATGCCTGTAATCCCCACTACTCGGGAGGCTGAGGCAGGAGAATCACTTGAGCCCAGGAGGCAGAGGTTGCAGTGAGCCAAGATCACCCCACTGCACTACAGCCTGGGCAACAGAGTGACACTCTGTCAAAAAAAAAAAAAGAAATTAATCTGTCTTTGCTGTAAATAAATACTTTTTTCACTTTATTATAGCACTAAATATTATTGGCACTGCAATATTTAAATGTTGAGATAATACTACTATATTCTTCTTAGATGCAAGTCAGTTTGTTTCTTTTTTGGAACAGGTACATATATCTATTGATTTTTTTAAAAATGTCATACTGCCTAGGAAAGAATTTAATTGGCAGCATGGAAAATTTTGTTTTGTAAGTCCCAAACTTTAATATATGTATTCCATATCATATGTGTGTGTGAATGTATGTGCACACATATACTTCTGCACGTGTAAACTCAGAGGAGAAAAATAGTATATTCTATGGTACACGGGATTCAACTGTAACTCCCAATGATTCACGTTCTGTTTAATCCTCTTCTTTTGAGAGTGTGCAGGTCCTATGAATATAATGAGAAAGCACTTCTGTGATTATGTTACCTTATATACCAAATGAGATTTTGCAGATGTAATTGGAGTCATTAATTTATTGACTTTGAGTTATGCAAATAAGGAAGTATCCTGAGTGGACTAAACCTAATCAGCGAGCCCTTAAAATGAGGAACCCCTTCCTTTGATGGAGCCGGATACTATGGACCACATGGCTAGGACGTGAGGATGGTCTCTAGAAACACGTTTGGTTCTGAAACTAAAGATATCCTTGGCCAACAACTAGCAAGCAAGGAAGGAACTCAGTCCTACATCCTTAAGGAAAATAATTTTGCCAACAATTATTCTGAATGTGCTTGGAAGAGAAAGCTAAGACTCAGATAATACTGAGGCTCCCGCTGATACCTTGATTTCAGCTTGTGAGACCCTGAGCAGTGGAGCCAGCAAACCTGTGCCCAGACTTCTGATCCGAGGAAAGTGTGAGTGCTATGAACTCCATATTTATGTCTCCCCCAAATGTGTATGTTGAAATTCTAACCCCCAGTGAGATAGCATTAGGAGGTAGAGCCTTCGGGAGGTACTTAGGTTTAGGTGAAGTCCCGAAGATGGGGTCTCCATGATGGAATCGGTGTCCTTATAAGGAGATGAAGAGACCCAATCTCCCTCTTTCTCTCTCTCTGCCATGTGAGGATATACCAAGAAGGCAGCAATCTGCAAACAAGAAGGAGGGCCCTCAGCAGGACCCGAGTTGGCTGGCACCTTGATTTTTGACTTTTCAGCCTCCAGAACTGTGAGAAATAATTTCCTATTGTTTAAGCCACCCAGTCTATGGGATTCCTGTTATAGCAGCCCAAACTGACTAAAAGAGTGATGTCATACATTTGTGTTGTTTTAAGCCTCTAAATTTGTGATACTTTGTCACACAACAGTAGATAACTAATAGAGTTGTTTTGAATACAAGGGTAAGACTCTGTTTTCTGATTGAGACTTATAAGCACCTCACCTGTTGTTAGTGGCTGTGTAAAGAGCACTAAGCCTTCTCCATGAAGTGCTTTATAGAAAAACACCTGTGAAGCACCACAGAGGAGGCCAGGTGCAGCCATCAGCATCGTATTTAGGAGAGAAAGACTATGACATTCACCTTGGACAAGGCTCCACACCAACAGGGTAGATGTGTTTTATTTTAACAGAACCAGTTCACTCTTTCTCCAAGAAGACTATATCCTTCTTTGCTAATGACACCATACCGAGAGAGAAAGAAAGTAATCATGTAAAGTTGCTCTACCCCAAGAAGAATTAAATGGGGCACCTATATTTATCTCCTTTCTCCATGCAAAAATACCTTCAAGTGACACTATGGAGAGCTCATTTAGGCTAACTGCAGAGTGACAGTTTTCTCCTTCTGCAGGAAAAGGATAATCAGCTTCATTAATCCATTCAGACCTCCAGGGTATCATTTATTAAATTGCTCCCAATGTGCCTTATTCACTCCCAGGAAGTAATTTACATACTAGGGAAATTTGATTCACTATCAAGCATATCCCATTTTAAACAATTCTCATTTTCCTTCCTTGGTAGAAGGTAATAACTTATGCAAAATATGTGCAGGCATAGATTATACCATGCTGGGAAATTATTTAAGTATTACTTTCAGGATGCCAATATTCCATAAAAATATCTGCAACATGCAATTCAATGAATTTAATGAAGATTGTTTTTCATGTTTTTCTTGCCCCTTTCCTCCCCCTCCAAACAATTAAAAGAAATCTTACATAAAATTTTAGGATCTGGAAGCATAGACTCATTGACAAACAAGAATGAAAATCATAGAAGTGGCTTCTCTATTTCATTATTCTCTCAGCCTTTCAACTGAATCACAGTTGAGGCTATTTTTTTTGTTGTTGTTATATAAGCCACCGTCTAAACATTTACTTATATTTTTGGGACACTTTGCTTCCTTCCAAACTGAAACACTAGCCATCTGATTCATGCAGGAAACTTTTTGGTTTTAAGTTACATTAATAAAATCATGTTTCAACTGGTTAAGCTCTATTTTCTAGAATAAGAACGCTCTAACGATAACAAATACGTATATGTAGCACTTACCCTATGTCCAGGTATTGTTCCAACTGCTTTACACATCTTCATTCTAATATTCCCTTAAACAAACCTGTGAGGCAGATATTAGTGTCAATGCAATTGAAAAATAAGGAAATGAGTCACAGCAATTAAAAAAACAGAAATTACTCATGAATTTTTTATGATGAATAGTCTCTATCAGACTGCTTGATTTAAAAAATAGAAATATTTCACTCTTGCAGGGATAGCTACTAAACTTCAAGTGGAGTAAATGATAATAGTGAATAAGACAACACATAAAAAGCTCTTCAGTTCTCAAATGTTACCTGCTGCCTTGAGTTGTCAATGAATGGCCTCAAATGAGAAAAATAAGATCTAGTTTCTGCCCTCCCACTAACTAGCTGTGCTTCTTAATACCCCTGTTATCTTACTAGAAAATAAGTTAATGATGCTCGCAAGCATCCTTTAAGCAATGAAACTCTACCTTTTTTTTCCCAAGATGTATCTGTAAATGGTATATGACTTGACTAAAAATTGAAAAATAAAGTTATAACCAGGAATACGTTAAGATGTAAATTCCTCAAAACTCACCCTCTCTGCTGAAACAACATTGCATAATTGTAGGTGGGGGATATATTTTGTAAAGAACAAGAATGGAGTAAATCCTCTAATATATTGAATTTGCTTCTCAACAAATCTGCTATATCCAACTCCAACTGTGATGGCAAAATATTTCTTTATCCAGATAGCACATGACAGCTTATATAATCAATATGCTGGCCAGCAGCAGATTGAGTGTCCTGTCCCCTACCACATTATTTTTCACTGACACAGCAAAATCTTAAGATCAAATAAAGATTGAGCCTTTCACCCCTCTTTCTAGGCTCAGAGCAGTTTGCAGAATGTTGTGAAGTTCACATCATTTCCCCTGCTGCAATCAGTCATGTATTTAAATCTTAAAAGATGTAAATTGTAGGCTTATAAGAGTGAGAGCCCCGTGTCCATGTAAGCAGAAAACATTTTAAATTATTCTCCGACAGTGCAAAAATATAGCTACTGAGATTTTAGCTGATGGACAGTGGGGAATTCGGAATGTAAATCAGAAAGTCAGCCAAGAAACAGGGTTTTTCTTGCTGGTGTGGAGGTTATTATTACTATCCTTTTCTCTCCCTGAGCACTAAGCTTTTAATTTTGGCATTTGCAAGACAATGTTAGGCAAGCCTCTGCACAGTTTCACAGCCTAGAGTATTTTCAATGAAATAACAAATCGATTAAATGAATGTGACTGAAACGTTTGCTGTTCCAGATGTAAATAAATTACTCTTTGGTATTTATTTAACTGCATTCATCAAAAGATTATGTTGGGACATGGGTGTATCAGACTTCTTGAGGAGTGTGGATAGAATATTTGTAAACTAGACTTTTCACCCATGAATCTGAGTGTCTGGAAGGCATTAGTGGAATGCTGAGGAATATGCAGAAGCTGAGCCAAGCATCTGAGCTCATAAAAAACTCAGTTGAGAAAAGAGCCACCAAGATGAGACTGCTACCAGCTGAGACACATGACAAGGACACCATGATTTTGTAGGAATTTGTTTCTCAACAGAAAGCCTATTTGTGATACTTTAAAGCTGTGTGTAGATGTTAGTGCTTAATGATGCTGAAAGACTGAGGAAAGGTATGGAATAGAACAATTTTTTAGAGTACATGCTCTGCAATCAGATAGTACTAGAGCCCAATGTTGCTTCTTTTTCTAACTTGTGTTGTGACATTTGGCAAATAGCCAAATAGTTTTAAGTGCTTGGCTTTAAAATTGGGGAATATAACTTATTTTTTTTCCTACAAATTATGCAAGAGAATTCATAAAAATACACTGCATGTTTCTTGGCACCAAAACATCAAAAAATAAATTTTATTATGGTGAGCTAGTTCCAAAAGGCTTGGAAGAAGTTGAACAAATGCTTTATCTGACCTTCAGAGGAACTGAAACTATTACATTCTATAATGTTGGGGTAGAATTTAGACAGGGGACCCATCTTTCAGGCACTTAGTGAATGTTGACAAAAAGAAAGAAATGGCTTCCACTTAAAAAGAATTGGAAAGACTATAGATTTTATTTTACCTTGCTTTGGAAAGAGTTTTTAAAGGTAATATTACAGAACTGACTATAACTTGGTCTTAAAAAATAAAGTAGTTGGGGATTCTCATTTTAAAAATTTGCATTTGTAATGACTAATTTCGATCGGGCAAATAATTACTGACAATCCTCTGTAATATTTTTACTCCATATTTAAAGGTTTCTAACCTTTTATGAAGAGAATATATCATTTCATATTTCTTTTGTGTTTTAGCCCATACTAGGCTGAAGAGTTGGTAAGTATGTCATTAAAACTTGTTGAAATTAAAGAAATGGCTGAATCATAGAAGAAGAGATTTTGAATATATCTTAAAGAGAAGTGTGTTTTTTTAACAGCCAAGAAAGGTGATGTAGATATGATTCCAGACATTTGAAGGAAACTCATTTTTTAAAAATATTTGGACTACTATTCAGTTATAATTGTATGAGTATTTGCTAAGGAGAAAAACTAAGCAATTATTGATGGAGAACTAAAATACTAATTGTAACTAATGTTATTATTTAAAGGTTCTGATGAAAGCATTTTATTATTTCAAAGAATCAAAGGCTATAATGCTTTATAATATTATAAATTTTAGACTAAATTTTAAAAAATCATGATGTTTAGAATGTATAAACCCAAGTAGTTTTGTTCAAAGTAATAAGTAGATTAGTTCTGTGAAAGCTGTCTATACTGCAATTTTCTCTAAAGCAAATTATATTTTGCTATTTATTTCTATGACAAAAAAAAATCCCATGAAAAATATCTCAGGAGAGAGAGATACAAAATGAAAAATGGATTTGGTTGATGCTTAGGGGTGTAGTCATCCTGTGAAGGTGTAAGAATACTTTTAGGATTTTTGTAAAACTTCTTTATTGAGTCTGGGTTTTATGCTTACATGCTTGAGAAACAGTCATGTTGGTCATCATTTGCTGCCTCTGCTACTTCTCTCTCCTTTGCTGACCTAGAGGACCCAGAATGTTTTAGGATGCTTTCATATACTTTCTCCCATCATATATACATATAGCTCTCTTTAAACTCCTCAAAACACTGCGAACCTTTACCAAAGCTTTACTTAACTAGCCTCAGTACTAAAAACAAAATACGTGTCATGAGCAAGTAATTCACAATTTTTTTTTCTTTTTCTTTTTCTTTTCTTTTTTCTCTCTTTTTTTTTTTTTTTTTTTTTTTGAGACAAGAGTATCGCCCGGTCGCCCAAGCTGGAGTGCAGTGGCTCGATCTCAGCTCACTGCAACTTCTGCCTCCTGGGTTCAAGCGATTCTCCTGCCTCAACCTCCCAAGTAGCTGGGACTACAGGCACGTGCCACTACACCCAACTAATTTTTTGTATTTTTAGTAAAGACAGGGTTTCACCATGTTGGCCAGGCTGGTCTCGAACTCCTGACCTCAGGTGATCTGCCAGCCTTGGCCTCCCAAGTAATTCACAATTTGTAAACATAATATGAAAATTTTATGGTCCTAGAAGAAGCCCACATAGCAAAGGAAACGTTCAAAGTGTGTGCAATGGTCTGTGTGCAAAAGAGATAAACCTACTGTGCAAGACCCAATTTAAGACCTGCTTATTTCCATCTGGAAATGACTGCCACATATATGGGTTTTTTTCAGAGGGTAACCTTTGCCCCACCTAATCATCATTAAGTATTCTAAAATTCTGAATAATTCAAATTTGAATGACACTTGTGGTTGACAATGAACACTAGCGAAGTAGTGAAAATCTGAATTGATTTTAAAAATTGATGTAAATATTCTAATTCTTTCCATGTGTAGGCTGAGAACAATCTAATTTACACGACTTAGCATAATACCATCTTAGTTTGAAGTTTTTGCATTTAGATATACAATGACTATTTTCTTTGTAAAAAGTCGTTGGACTTGATATTTTGCTCTATAAAACTTATGAGACAGAGTCAATTCTGCTATCTTTTCCAAAAGAAAGTCATTCTTAAGAATTGACATCTACCATCCCCAAAATTGTAAAATGTCCACAAGCTCCAGAAATTCACCATGTGGCTATTAAAACAAATGAATTAATAGATATTAAGACATTTTTTAAATCACTCAACTGGGTAACCCATTGCACTAATAATTCATAGCATAGTTAATTATTCAGTAAATCACAGGATGAAAATTATACATGCCATAAGGTGACTATCATATGCATTTACATATATAGTTACAAATACATAGAAGAAGAGCTAGAAGAACGTGCTTCTAATGATTATTTTATTAGGTCATATAACTAGGAGTTTTTATTAATTATTTTTGTTTTTTTATTTTTTCTAATGTTGTTACTTGTATAATAAAGAGTTGGAACTTAGAACTTAAAATAAGAAACACTCTAAGAAGAAAATTAGGCAAAGCCACTACTCATAACTATGAGGTTCAGGTTTGGGATTTTTTTTATTGTTAGAATTGATGGTAGAAAAGGTATAATGTCGCCTAAGAAAGCTTTCAAATATAATTGTCTTAGACTGTTTGTGCTGCTACAACAGAATGCCTAAGACTAGGTAATTTATAAAAAATACAAATTTATTTCTCAAAGTTTTGAAGGCTGGGAAGTCAAAGATCAAGGCACTGGTAGTGTTGGTGTCTGGTAAGGGTCTCCTCGTATAATAAAGAGTTGGAACTTAGAACTTAAAATAAGAAACACTCTAAGAAAAAAATTAGGCAAAGCCACTACTCATAACTATGAGGTTCAGGTTTGGGATTTTTTTTATTGTTAGAATTGATGGTAGAAAAGGTATAATGTCACCTAAGAAAGCTTTCAAATATAATTGTCTTAGACTGTTTGTGCTGCTACAACAGAATGCCTAAGACTAGGTAATTTATAAAAAATACAAATTTATTTCTCAAAGTTTTGAAGGCTGGGAAGTCAAAGATCAAGGCACTGGTAGGGTTGGTGTCTGGTAAGGGTCTCCTCTCCACTTTCAAGTTGGATCCTCCAGAGAGAAGGAATACTGTTTTTCGCATGGCAGGAAAGTGGAGGTGGTGGGGCACAAACTTGTCCATTCATAAAGAACACACTCCCACTATAATGGTGTCAATCCATCGAAGAGGAGAGAACCCTCATGAACTAATCCCATCTTGTTTTCTTTTTGAGTCGGAGTCTCATTCTGTTGCTCAGACTGGAGTGCAGTGGCATGATCTTGGCTCACTGCAACCCCTGCCTCCCAGGTTCAAGCAATCCTCCCACCTCAGCCTCTCATGTAGCTGGGATTACACATGTGTGCCACCACGCCTGGCTAATTTTTGTATTTTTAGTAGAGATGGGGTTTCACCTGGTTGGCCAGGCTGGTCTCGAACTCCTGACCTCAAGTGATCCTGCCCACCTCAGCTAATCACATCTTAACAGACCCACCTCTTAACACTGTTACAATGGCAATTAAGTTCCCGATACATGCGTTTTGGGCGATCCATGCCATAGCAATGATCAACTGCTTTATCATCCACGACATAGTGATATACTAAGAGAGATCATAGAACCTGTTTTGACTTCAAAAAGGAAACACAGGCTGTATAATTTAGATGGCTCTAGAAGCATTTGTCTTGTGTATACAAAATGTATTTTGTCTTGTTAGTTTTATTAACAATTGTATCTACAAGGAGATTATGCAGTAAGTTTTATATACTATCTTGGAGTATTTTGGAAATTATAAAATTGCAGCGTTTGTGTAAGATTATGATTTTTCACAGTCTAGGTATTTTCTCTTTTCTCAATTTTACTAAATGGCCCTGATAAAAGCTATAGGAAGTTAAACTGGATGGATGGATGTTATTCATATTAGTAATGGTTTGAATAGAGTTGTTTTTTAAAGCAAAGACTTATGAAAATAAGGAACAAGTATTATATCTTCACTTTGGAGAATATTTTCTGAATGAAGAATTCATGATTTCAACTATGCAACTGTCATAGCTATTTATGAAAATCCACTCTCCTTGTAGATTCAATTGTTAACAAAATTAACAAGACAATACATTTTGTGCTTCAACAGTCTTTCCAAATTATCTGTTCAAATTAACGATGATAATTGAATGAAAGGGTGAACGACTACAAGCTAAAAATAAAATTTCAATGAGCAAAAAACAATGGTGTCTATAGCAAGAAGCTACATACAAGTTCACAATCTGGAACTTGTTATGCCCAATAACTCTGCCTTTTTCAAAGCATTGCTTTCTTGTAACTTCGGAAATTTTAGTATCTCTTCTTCTGTTCTAGTTAATTTATGTGAGGAACAATATTCTAGCAGATCCTTCACCAGATTAAAACTTCCAAACTTCCGACAATATGAGATTTTCAAAGTGATCATTACTCTTTTGCTTTTTACTTCCACACTTATATAGAATCCCAACAAATGTTGAACCCACATATTTACTCTCCTAAAGTTGCTACGGAAAAAGCATGCATTGAACTGGCTGGATTCATCTTTAAATGCAAAAAGATAAACGTAAAGTGGGTAATGCTATCAAGTAGTCCAACTTTTTCTCCATTAAATTTGTTTTATTTTGCTCTCACATAATTATTTTGTATATTCAAGTATCTCCTCAAACCACCTATGTCTTCTCCAATCTTCACTTATAGTGTGTAACCTTGACTCAAAACTCATTTTGAAACTGGATCTCAATCAATATTACCTCTCTAAATATTCTATCACCAACCGAATAGTCATACTTATATGTGGTCCTGAATCCTTCATCTAATTTTACCATGTAAAATTGTTCTGTGTGATTAGTTATTATCAAAGGCCATTTCTTTTATATTTGCTATAGCGCTCATCCTCTCTTAATTACTTATGAACTATACTCCAGCTGTTATTGGCGCACACAAACATAGAGTGTTTGGTCATGTACTTCTTTTGGTCATCTGCCTCATTTCCCTTCTTTCAGTTACTGCGAGAACATATTTCACATGAAAAAATACTGAGATTTTCTCCCCCACCAATGACATTTTAAATTACCTAATACAATTTTCAACATACGCTTTAGAATTCTTGTCAAGGTCACAGAGAGCATTTTCATGGCTAAAATCAATAGAAGTTGCTTTGTCTTCATTTTAAGCAACCACTAAGCAGTGTTTAATACAATTGAGCTCTTTGAAAAAATTACTGGTATTCCTCATTGGATATTGCTTCTCTATATTCTTCAACAGTTGCTGGTTCTGAATAGAATTTAAACTCTGGGCTATTTTAGGAAACATCCCTGAGTCCCTTTTGGTTTTCGTTGTTCTTTTCTATCTACATTCTTTCCCTAGGTCATTCCACCTATATTTAACTTCCCCTATGTACTTTTGACTATCTATCTATTTATCTATCTATCTATCTACATATCTATCTATATATCTATTTTTCTTCTATCTCTAATGTCTCCTGATGTTCCAACTGTATATAAAACTTACTGCATAATTGCTATACTTGAATGTCTAAGTCATAATAAAATTTACATGCCCGCAATTTTTTACTGTATCTTCAACTTAATCCTTAACCAATCTTACCCATTTCACCTAAGTGTTCTAGCTAAATTTTAGAATCCCTCCTTCTTCTTTAACTCTAATGGTTCTACCTTAATGCAAAAAAAAAAAAAAAAAAAGACTTATTTCTCTTGTGGATGACTACATTTATGTCTAAATAAGTGTTTGTTTTGTTATAGTAGTTACTAAGCAAATATTTTCAAATAAAAGAAACTCCATAGGTGTCTTCAAAGCTGCTTCTTTATTTAGGAATAAGAGAAATTAAGAAATCAAGAATTTTTATGATTTTGTGGATATGAACTTAGTTGTAAGAAATAAAAACAAAATTTTAAGAATTTTTTTTTTTTTATGTAACAAGGAGTCAAGAAGTACAGAATCCAAGGTTTGTATGTCAACTCAGTTTTCGTAGAAAGAATTCAGGCTTCCTCTATCACTGCTACAGGAGGACCACCATAGTCTCCAGTATTATACACTTAGGTAACAATGACTAAGCAAGAAGCAAAAAGTCAGTGCAGTGTTATTTTTCCTTGTAATATTGTAATGAGAAGAGCCCATTAGTTTGTGGTGTTCAGGTGACAACTGCTTGATATAAGTACACTTTGATAAACTGATGCTTATGAAAGTCCTCCCCCTTGCTTCTCTCTGTTCCCTCCCTCCTCTCCTAATATCTCAGATACCCTGAGTGTGTTATGTAATTAAGTGACCTTTTGACATGCTGTGACAAATTTAGGAAAACAAATTTTCTTTTCGGTAACACCTATGACTGCCGATTAGATTTCATATCCAACCAGTTTGGTGAACAGATACAAAATGTAGCCTCTCTTTAATTAAAAAATAATTTTCACCTTTAACCTTGCTGTTTCTTCTATTTTCTCATCATCACCAACCTCTGGCTCATGAAGCCCATCTTCCCCATTGATGAGAGCATTTATAAACTTTACTCTCCTATATTTGGTGTTAGTCATGTCATTAGTGTTGCTATCTAGTACATTTATGTGAGGAAGACAAAGGAGCAGGTGGCTGGTTTCTTTGGAGTAGATAGAAACAACTATTCTCACTTTTTCCCCTTTATAACCAGGAAGAACTACAAAGGTCCTCATTAGCTTCTCCTTATTTCTTATTGGCTGTACCATATGCTCACTTTATGCCAATAGATGGCAAAGGAAACAAGACCGCTATGATTGACTTAGCCTGATCATGATTAACTCTTTCAAGGCTTATCAGAGAATTGGAAGAAAAAAGGAGGAAGTTCTGTGAATTAAATAACTAACAATGCCTTATACAATGGCCATGTAAAAAAGATTGGCAAATTTAGCAAATAAAAGTACAGATTGTCCAGTTAAATTTGAACATCAGATTAACAAAAAAGTAATTTTTAGAATGAGTATATAGTTATTTAGTACAAGTATATAAATATATACTTCTACTAAAAATGATCATTATTCAATGCTGATCTGTGATACGGTTTGGCTGTGTTCCTACCCAAATCTCATCTTTATTTGTAGTTCCTATAACCCCCACATGTCATAGGAGGGGCCTGTGGAAGGTAATTAAATCATGGGAGCAGTTACCCCCATGCTGATGTTGTTGCGATATTGAGTGAGTTCTCATGAGATCTGTTGGTTTTATAAGGGGCTTTTCCCCCTTTGCTCAGCACTTCTCTCTCCTGCTCCTGCTGTCATGTGAAGGACATGTTTGCTTCCCCTTCCACCATGATTGTAAGTTTCCTGAGGACTCCTCAGTCATGCAGAACTGTGAGTGAATTAAATCTCTTTCCTTTATAAATTACCCAGTCTCGTGTAGCTCTTTATAGCAGTGTGAGAATGGACTAATACAATCTGAAACCCACATTCAACTGAACTTCCTGTATTTTACCTGGCAAACCTATGTTTAACCAAACTGTGAAGAAGCAAATATTTGTTATTGTTCCATCCCAAATGGTGTTTCAGGGCACTCTTATTCCATGAAATATTCATCACCAAAGTACACCAAAGTCTTTTCACTGACACAGAAGTTTAAGTCTCCCATTACAGTCTCTTTGCAAGCATCCCCTCTGCTTCTATCATTCTGTATTCAGAAATTTTCTTTTGATCCTGAGCAGTAAGGTATGAAGAAGAAAGCTTAGGAAGAGAAGAGCTAGAACTAATTTAAACTTGGTTGACTTTCTATCTATGTGACCATGCCTATGCCACTGCTTAAAATGCTATGACTATATCTGAGATTAAAGTAGCTTAAGATATTTTTAGAAGATGGCATGATAATGTATTATATTATTATATGCAATAAATAAGTACTAAGGAGTCTTTTATTCTGAAGCTTGCTAATCAGACAACTTCATTTTGCTGAGGCATTAACTGCTCTCTTCCACTCACAAAATATATGTTGGAAATTCTTAAAAAACAATATTGTTAATATTGTCAAACAGATAATTTTAAACTTCATAGTAGCTTCCAGATGACTGTATTGTCAGTCAACTCATCAACTCTTAAAACACACAAAATTTAGACAATTACCTGCTCTACTTCTGTTCAGTATATGCTACTGCCTGCTTTCCAAGGAATAGTACAACCATTTAACAGTTCCAAAGAGTATCATGTGACCAAATTTACCTTCCCGTTGGATCCCCAATAAAGATTCAAGGAAGAACAGTCACAAAGTTTGCAGATGTTTCTAACTTCATCCTGTAATATTTTGGAATAGAGGGAGTTTTCCATGGGCTGAGTCCCACTTGAGCTAATATTAATGAATCTTAGAATATATTATTATCTTAGAATATAATATCTAAGTGTGTTCCAACACAAGTGTAAATGAGTATTCTCTTATATCAAGGAGGTCTAACAGATGGCTATCAAAGACACTGCTATTTAGCTAAGTTTCTGTTACCACATCAATGTAATAGAAGAGCATGATCAACCTCTAAGTTTTACCCCATCTGGAAGCAGTTTATCTCCAAGCTCTATAGTTTTTAAAGATCTTTTTTAAGTCACTATAAAGACAGAATGAGAGAGAGAAAAAGAGAGACAATTTCCCTTCTGAACCATGCAAAAATGTGGCCTTGAAGTCAGATGGTTTTAGGTTTAAAAATAAAAATTTGAGACACAATGGGCAGTTAACAGGGAAATATAGCTCTTCAACCAGTCATATAGAAAATATGTTTACATTTTTGGCCTTACCTACCTTAAGATTTTTTTGCTTTTTGTTTTCATTAAATATCATATATCTAAAGGCTATATTAAAACTTTACATAGTTTTATCTTATATGCATAACTAAGGGAAAGCCTACAGTAGCCACTAAAAAAGAGCAATACTGAAATTATTTTGCCATTGTAGTGATCTGCTTCATATTGTAAGTATAGACATAACTTGGTGTATCTAATAAGTATACTATTATAACCCACATGGCCATATTGCTATTAAAATTTTGAAATTTTTATTTTTCACACAAAATTCAAGTGAGCCTATTTGTAGTTTAACTCATAAGACACCAAAAAAAAAACCCACAAAAAAAACCAAAAGTGCATGTTTCAATTTTGAAAGATCTTTAAAATAAATTTCGATGGTGCATGGGGCAACATTCAGTCATCAGAGAATATTTCTTATAAAATACAATGAGTTAATTTATAGTCAAGATTTAAAAAGACACTTATATTTTGCTTCTAAAATATTATTTCCGAGTATAATCTTTGAAAATTGAATACTTAGAGTAAATGCTCACATTTATAAGAAACATTTAAATTTAGTGTCAGTCCGCCTTTACATCTCTATTCAAACCAGCAAAATGAGATGAGGTCATTCCCTTTCAAAAAGTGTGAAAACTCAAAGCATTAATTTACTGTCTTATTTATTCTTTTAATTCAAGATTACTAAAAATGACCCTTTGCCTTCATTAAAATTGGTTACTTAAATAAGCATTGCAATTAAATTCTAACCACTGAATGTCAATTACTTGTAGATTAGGAATACATTTATTTTTATCACTAAGGAAATTGATTTTGTATGTCTTTTCAAACACAATGAGATCTAAGCATTTATCTCATTTGGATAAGATGAGAGTCCAAGTGCATTCCTCAAGTACATTTCTTTTTATATTTTTTTTCTTAGCTTTGAATATTATGGGTTTTTTTTGGTGTGTTTTTTATTTTATTTATTATTTATTTATTTATTTATTATTATTATTTTTTTTTTGAGGTGGAGTCTCGCTCTGTTGCCCAGGCTGGAGTTCAGTGGTGCGATCTCAGCTCACCACGACCTCGGCCTCCCGAGTTCAAGCAATTCTCCTGCCTCAGCCTCCCAAGTAGCTGGGACTACAGGCACGCACCACTGTGCCTGGCTAATTTTTGTATTTTTAGTAGAGACGGGGGTTCACTATGTTGTCCAGGATGGTCTCGAACCCCTGACCTTGTTATCCTCCTGCCTCAGCCTCCCAAAGTGCTGGGATTACAGGCGTGAGCCACTGCACTGGCCTTACGTTATATTTGTGGGCCAGTTGTTTTAATGTATTTTCATATATATGGCTGTTATGGTACTCTAAGTGTAAATTAAAACATAATTACATTTCTTGTCATTTCTTTACAACAACTCTCTGACAATGCTTTACCCTTGGATATAATAATGATATTAAAAAGATGCTTCACTTATGTTTAATAGAATTTTTTGAAAATACTTCTAGAATTATCTTTAATGAGCTGTTACTTTCATGCAGCAGTTACAGATAGAATATTTCTTTAATGCAAATTTTAAAAGAATCAAAATATAATTTCTTAGAGCTAATTATTCCCAGAAAATGCTTTGGAATGTGTTTTGAAAGTTGTATTAAACAGTGAACAAAGCACAATTTATTTTCTCCAGTTATAAATTGCTCACTTTATAAAAGATTTATATTCAGGGAGTTCTAGAAGATTTTTATAAAAGCATGGAAGAAAATAAGAAAGGGTAGGATGGAAAATGATTCAAGGAAATGGAGAAGAAAACAATCTAATTCACTTGGGGAATGACATTTAAATTTAGAAATATTTTCACTGATAATTTGCTACTTTTAAATTCTGTAGACCAGCATCTATTAGCTAAAACATCTTTTAGTTTTCTCCACAAATATGATCTATTATATTTGGTATTTTTTTTTACAAGTAACCAAAAACTCCAGAGTCAAGATAGCTAGCTGATAATGGTATTTATTATCTCACATAATAAAAAGTTATGCTGGTGAATTTATATCCAAATAATGTCACTAGGAGCTCATATTCTTTCCATCTTTTTATCCTCCCAACCTCAGCAGGTCTATTAGTTCACCTCTTGGCTTCCAGATTGCTGCAGTAACTCCAAGGATTACAACCACGTGCACTATTGTTCGGAGGCCAAAAAAAGAAACACTCTTTCTTTTTGTGTCAAAAAGCTCATTAATAACTAAAATACATTTCCTAGAAGCACAAAAAATTTATCCAATGCCTCATGGGTCATAATTGCATTGCATTAGCTATCAAGTTTAATTATTGGAAAGGGAGATTCAAATTATTATTATTGTTTTAGTTTAATTAAGATTCACTTTTAATGGCTGGGTCTGGGGACAATGTTTTTTTCTGAGGAATGTAAACAATTATGAACACACAGAAAAATCAAGGGGCAATTAACAAGGGGGAAGGGGAAATTGCCTTTTGGATAAGTAACACCCATCTACAGCCGTGCAATTGTTAATCATGCAATTAATAAAAAATAACAATAAAAATAAATCAAAGTAACTCAAAAGTATAAATTTTTTTAAGTCCAGCTGTTACGTGACATAATCATTTCACCAGGGCATATCCTAATAATCAAATCACATTTCCAGCTTTAGTTCATGTTGTATTTTTGAAGCATGATGACTATAAACTTATGTTCAGATGAAAACATTTTTCCTTCCTAATCAGAGCTATTTAAAGAGATCAATTTTTTTGAGATGTGTAGGTCAAAAGTACTTCTAATCTTAGGAGAACTTCTGAAAGAATTACTTCAAGAATTCTGAAAGAAAAGAAAAAGGAAGAAAAGAAAAGAAAAAGGAAGAAAAGAAAGGAAAGGAAAAGAAAAGAAAGAAAGAAAGAAAAGAAAGAAAGAAAGAAAAAGAAAGAAAGAAAGAAAAAGAAAGAAAGAAAGAAAGAAAGGAAGGAAGGAAGGAAGGAAGGAAGGAAGGAAGGAAGAAAGAAAGAAAAAGAAAGGAAGGAAGGAAGGAAGGGGAGAAAGAAAGGAAAGAAAGAAATAAAGAAAGAAAAGAGAGAAAGGAAGAGAAAGAAAGAAAAAGAAAGAAAGAAAGAAGGAAAGAAAAGAAAGAAGGAGGAAGGAAGGAAGGAAAAGAGAGAAGGAGAAGGAACTAGAATCTTTTTCTTTCTATAGCAGAGAACTTCCTTATTTAGTCTGTTTTCATTTCATCTTTTCATTTCATGTTATTTCATTCCACTCCTTTTGTTTCCATGCCCTCTTTAACTCTCCTTTCTAAATGTGTTTGTGCCCATGGCATATACAGGGTGCTGTGCTAGACCTACTAGAGGGGAAGGAGCACTGTATGGGTAAAGTTCTTAGAGAATAGAGGCCAGTGCTGTGGTTCATGCCTGTAATCCCAGTGCTTTGAGAGGCTGAGGTAGAAGAATTGCTTGAGGCCAGGAGTTTGAAACCATCCTCGGCAGCATAGAGAGACCCCAATCTCTACAATATATTTTTTTAATTAGCCAGGCATAATGGCATGTGCCTATAGTCCTAACTAGTTGGGAGGATCACTTGAGCCCAGGAGTTCAAGGCTTCAGTGAGCTATGATTGTGTCACTGCACTTCAGCTAGAGTGACACAGTGAGACCCTTTCTCTGAAAAAAAAAAAAAAAAAAAAGTAAAAAGTTCTTTGAGGATAATATGAACCTCAAGAATCTTACTATCTCCAGGACAGAGGTGGACACATAAGGAACCACACAAAATTCAAGGCAGAATGTCATAAAAATGAGGAAAGGGAAACTTTATGAGTAGGTAAAGATTGAATTAATAAAGAAATATTTGGTTTGGACAGTAGTCTACCTAATACGTTTTATCTTTGGCACCAGACCAATACTTAGCTAATAAAAAAAGATAATGATAATAAATAATGATAATTTTAGGTAGAGGTGAGAATTATTCAGTAATTTATTCAATTTATGTGCTAAACATTGTGCATGTATTACCTCATTTAATCCCACAATTACTTGAATTAGTTGCTATTTTTCATATTTTACAGGGGAGTAAAGTTACAGTTCAAATTATAGAACACCTTGCCAGGAATTACAGGACTGGCATCTCCAGAAATTATTCCAAAGCTGATATTCTTATCAATTAGACTTTTCTGAAACCCATGGTTGATATTTAATTCATAATTTGCAATTAAAATTAACTATGCATTTTATGATAGGCAAAAATTCTTGATTTGGAAGGAAACTGAAAAAATATATTATGCCTACTTCTGTTTTTACATAAGGACTGCATGTTATTTAAATCTGTTGGGAAGTGTTATATAGATTGACACAAAGGAACTTTATTTCCAAGAACACTATAGTTGTTTATCTTCTCAACTACCTGGTATGGCATATTTTTCTTTAGTAATTTCCTACCATAGTAAAAGTGACTTTTTATTGTTAAAGGTCACTGACTTGAAGAAACCTTGTTTTTTATTTACAGAAGGAAGTCTAAGACTACTCAAAGCCTAACAATAGCTAAATGCAAAACACAGTTCTGAGGATTATTTATAGCAGAGTAAATAAAGCTCTTAAGCTTGAAAGCATGATTTACATGTTTCAACAATTAATTTGCAATGTAAGGTTGAAAAGTACATATATTCCATGCATATTTGAGACATCTTGGGGCTATGGTACAAAACTAGATTGGACACCAAAATGTGTTAATGTAAGAAGTAATGATAGTAAAGCAGTTTTGAATAGTAACTCTTGAAAAACGTGGCCCAGGCTGTTATTATAAAGGGCAAAGTTTAAAACAAAGTCCTTTGAATATATCCTGAAAATAACTTTGCTGATCTCAAACCATAGGCCTTTTTCAAGGTTAAGATTTTGTATGGAAATTGTTAATGTGAAATAATCATCATTATAATAATTAACTGATTACTTGATATGAGCAAGTCACCAGATAAATATAATGTATAATTTCCTTTACTTCTCACAATAGTCTTCTAAAATAACTAGAAATGTTTTCCTCATTTTGAGATATTTTAAAAAGTAAAACTTAGAAATAATTGTGTCAAAATAACACATTGTAACTTGTGGAACAGGAGTCAGAGCCCAAGTCTGAAGAACCAGAAGACCTTAGAACCTATCAATCTTTAGTTTCTTTCTTTATGAAAAAATGGGATTTCTCAAATTCTCTTCAGATTTACTAAGGAGTTCTTGTTTTCTATGAGAGATGTAAACCAAAATTAGAATTCTAAGACCCAGCTGACTGCATGGACTTCTCTTCTTGGCCAAAGGCATTCCAAAGAAATCTGAAAACTCATTCAGGCCATGGTGAGAAGTGGGAGTTGGACATGTTTCCTCATACTCCCTTCCTTTGGAATTCAGGCACAACTGACCAGAATTAACATAAAAACAAAGATCTTAAGACTGACAGACAGATTCTTTGTAGCAATAAGATACTAAATTCCATCATAACTCTAGTAGAGCATCACATGATAGCAGGTCCTGAAGGATATAAAAGTATTTACCTCAAAATATATTTATTTGAAATAGTTTATTTTTTTGTCCTTTTTTATTTGGATCTTTTATTTTAAGTTCATGGGTACATGTGCAGGATGTGCACATTTGTTACATAGGTAAACGTGCGCCATGGTGGTTTACTGCACAGATTAACCCATCACCCAGTATTAAGCCCAGCATTCATTAGCTATTCTTCGCAATGCTCCCTCAACAGACACACAGGTGCCCAGTGTGTGTTCTTCCCTCCCGTGTGTCCATGTGTTCTCATCATTCAGCTCACTTATAAGTGAGGGCACGCAGTGCTTGTTTTTTCTGTTCCTGAATTAGTTTGCTGAGAATAATGGTTTCCAGCCCTGTCCATGTCCCTGAAAATTGCAAAGAACATGATCTCATTCCTTTTTATGGATTCATAATATTCCATGTTGTATATGTACCACATTTTCTTTATCCAGTCTATCACTGATGAGCATTTAGACTGATTCCATGACTTTGCTATTGTAAATAGGGCTGCATTGAACATACATGTACATGTGTCTTTATAATAGAATGATTTATATTTCTTTGGGTATATACCTAGTAATGAGATTGCTGGGTCAAATGGTATTTCTGCCTCTAGGTCTTTGAGGAATTACCACTGTCTTCCACAATGGTTGAACTAATTTATACTCCTACCAACAGTGTAAAAGTGTCCCATTTTCTACACAACCCCTCCAGCATCTGTTTTTTGGCTTTTAAATAATAACCATTCTGACTGGTGTGAGATGGCATCTCATTATGGTTTTGATTTGCATTTCTCTAATGATCAGTGATGTTGAGATTTTTTTTCATATGTTTGTTGGCCACATGTATTTCTTCTTTTTTTTGTTTTTTGTTTTTTGTTTTTGTTTTTGTTTTTCTTTTTTGAGATGGAGTCTTGCTGTGTCACCAGGCTGGATTGTGGTGGCACAATCTCGGTTCGCTGCAACCTCCGCCTCCCAAGTTCAAGCGATTCTCCTGCCTCAGCCTCCCCAGTAGGCTGGGACTACAGGTGTGCACCACCATGCCCAGCTAAGTTTTGTATTTTTAGTAGAGATGGGGTTTCACCATGTTGGCCAGGATGGTCTTGATCTCTTGACCTCATGATCTTCCTGCCTCAGCCTCCCAAAGTGTTGGGATTACAGGCATGAGCCACCACACCCAGCCTGTCTTCTTTTTAGAATTATCTGTTCATATCCTTTCACTACTTTTTAACAGGGCTATTTTTTTCTTGTAAGTTTAAGTTCCTTGTAGAATCTGGATATTAGACCTTTGTCGGATGGACTGCAAAAATTTTCTCCCATTCTGTAGGTTATCTGTTCACTCTGATGATAGTTTCTTTTGCTGTGCAGAAGCTCTTTAGTTTAATTAGATCCCATTTGTCAATTTGGGCTTTTGTTGCGATTGCTTTTGGCATTTCAATCAGAAAATCTTTGCCTGTGCCTATGTCCTGAATGGTATTGTCTAGATCTATTTCTAGGGTTTTTACAGTTTTGGGTTTTACACTTAAGTCTTTAATCCATCTTGAGTTAGTTTTTTGAGTATGGGATAAGGAAGAAATCCAGTTTCAATTTCTTGCATCTAGCTGGCCAGTTCTCCCAGCACAATTTATTAAATAGGGAATCCTTTCCCCATTGCTTGTTTTTGTCACCTTTGTCAAAGATCAGATAGTTGTTGGTGTGCAGTCTCATTTCTGAGTTCTCTATTCTGCTCCATTGGTCTACGTGACTGTCCTTGTACCAGTACCATGCTGTTTTGGTTACTGTATCCTTGTAGTATAATTTGAAGTCAGGTAGCATGATGCCTCCAACTTTGTTTTTTTGCTTAGGATTGTGTTGTCTATTCATGTTCTATTTTGGTTCCACATGAATTTTAAAATAGTTTTTTTATAATTAACTGAATAAAGTCTGTGGTAGTTTATTGGGAACAGCATCGAATCTATAAATTACTTTGTGCTGTATGGCCATTTTCATGATACTGTTGCTTTTTATTCATGAGCATGGAATATTTTTCCATTTGTTTGTATCCTCTCTGATTGCTTTGAGCAGTGGTTTGTAGTCCTCCTTAAAGAGGTTCTTCACTTATCTTGTTAGTTGTATTCTTTGGTATTTTGTTCTTTTATAGCAATTGTGAATGGAAGTTCATTCATGATTTGGCTCTTGGCATGCTTGTTGGCGTATAGGAATGCTAGCAATTTTTTGCATATTGATTTTATATTCTGAGACTAACAAAATTGCATATCAGCGTAAGAATCTTTGGGGCCAAGACAATGGGGTTTACTAGATATAGAATCATGTCATCTGCAAACAAAGATAATTTTACTTCCTCACTTCCTATTTGGATACCCTTTACCTTTTTCTCTTGCCTGATTGCCTTAGTCAGAACTTCCAATACTATGTTGAATAAGAGTGGTGAGAGAGGGCATCCTTGTCTTGTGCTGCTTTTCAGTGGGAATGCTTCCAGCTTTTGCTCATTCATTATGATACTGGCTGTGGGTTTGTCATATACAGCTCTTGTTATTTTGAGGTATGTTCCTTCAATATCTACTTTATTGAGAGTTTTAAATATAAAGGGATGCCAAATTTTATCAAAAACCTTTTCTCTGTCTATTGAAATAATAATGTGATTTTGTCTTTAGTTCTGTTTATGTGATGAATCACATTTATTGATTTGCTTAAGTTGAACCAACCTTGCATCCCAGGGATAAAGCCAACTTGATTGTGGTGAATAAGCTTTTTGATATGCTGCTGGATTCAGTTTGCCAGTATTTTATTGAGGATTTTTGCATCGATGTTCATCAAGAATATTGGCCTGAAGTTTTTTTCTTGTTGTTTTTTTGTGTCTCTGCCAGATTTTGGTATCAGAATGATGCTGGCTTCATAGAATGAGTAAGCAGGCAATCTCTCCTCTTCAATTTATTGAAATTGTTTCAGTAGAAATGGTACAGCCCTTCTTTGTACCTCTGATAGAATTCTGCTATGAATCCGTCTAGTCCAGGGCTTTTTTTTGGTTGGTAGGCTATTTATTACTGCCTCAATTTCAGAACACATTATTAGTCTATTCAGAGAAACAATTTCTATCTGGTTCAATCTTGGGAGACTGTGTGTGTTCAGGAGTTTATCCAGTTATTCTAGATTTTCTAGTTTATATGCATAGAGGTGTTTACAGTATTATCTGATGGCCGTTTATATTTCTATGGGGTCAGTGGTAATATTCTTATTATTTCTGATGGTGTTTGATTCTTCTCTCTTTTTTTCTTCATTAGTGTAGCTAGCTGTCTATCTATTTTACTATTTTTTTTTCAAAAAATTTGCTTCTGGATTCATTGATTTTTTGAAGGGTTTTTCAGGTCTCTATTTCCTTCAGTTTGGCTCTGATCTTGGTTATTTCTTGTCTTCTGCTAGGTTCGGAGTTTGATTGTTCTTGCTTCTCTATTTTAGTTGAGATGTTCACTTGAGATCTTTCTAGCTTTTTGTTGTGAGCATTTAGTGCTATAAATTTCCTTCTTAACACTGCTTTAGCTGCATCCCAGAGTTTCTGATACATTGTCTCTGTGTTCTCATTAGTTTCAAAGAACTTCTTAATTTCTGCCTTAATTTCATTATTTTCCCAAGAGTCATTCAGGAGCAGGTTGTCCAATTTACATGTAGTTGTGTGGTTTTGAGTGAATTTCTTAATCTTGAGTTCTATTTTATTATTATTTTTTGTTATACTTTAAGTTCTGGGATACATGAGCAGAACGTGCAGGTTTGTTACACAGGTATACATGTGCCATAGTGGTTTGCTGCACCCATCAACCCGCCATCTACATTAGGTAGGGACTTAGACTCCTACACAGTAATAGTGGGAGACACTATGTGTTTTTGTAGAGGCTGGTAACAGTTTTTCTTTTCCATATTTAATTCTTCCTTCAGGAGCTCTTGCAAGACAGGCAGGTCTGGTGGTGACAAATTCCTTCAGCATTTGCTTGTCTGAAAAGGATCTTATTTCTCCTTCACTTATGAAGCTTAGTTTGGCCAGATATGAAATTCTGAGTTAAAAGTTATTTTCTTTAAGAATGTTCAATATTGGCCCCCAATCTCTTCTGGCTTGTAGAATTTTTGCTGAGAAGTCCACTGTTAGTCTGATGGGTTTCCCTTTGTAGATGACCTGGCCTTTCTCTCTGGCTGCCTTTAACATTTTTTTTCTCGTTTTGATATTGGAGAATCTGATGATTATGTATGTCTTGGAGTTGATCTTCTCATAGAGTATCTTACCGGGGTTCTCTGGATTTTCTGAATTTGAATGTTGGCCCATCTTGCTAGGTTGGGAAAGTTCTCCTGGATGATATCCTGAAGTATGTTTCCCGTCTTGGTTCCTTTGTCCCCATTTGTTTCAGATATTCCAATCTGTCATAGGTTCAGTCTCTTTACATAATCCCATAATTCTTGCAGGTTTTATTCATTCCTTTTCATTCTTTTTCTCTATTCTTGTCTGCCTGTCTTATTTCACAAAGATAGTCTTCAAGCTCTGAGATTATTTCCTTCACTTGGTCTATTATGCTATTAATACTTGTGATTTCATTGTGCATTTCTCATGTTGTGTTTTTCAACTTCATCAGGTTGGTTATATTCTTCTCTAAACTCACTATTCTGGCTTTCAGCTCCTCTATTGTTTTATCATGATTCTTAGCTTCTTTGCACTGGGTTACAACATTCTCACTTAGCTCAGTGAAGCTCATTATTACCCACCTTTTGAAGTCTATTTCTATCAATTCAGCCGTCTCTGCCTCAGCCCAGTTCTGTGCCCTTATTGGAGAGGTGTTTTGGTCATTTGGAGGATAAGAAACATTCTGGCTTTTTGAGTTTTCAGAGTTTTTGCGTTGATTCGTTCTCATCTTTGTGGGCTTATCTACTTTTGATCTTTGAGGTTTCTGAAATTAGAGTGGCGTTTTTGGGGAGTCTTTTGTCGTAGTTGTTGTTTTCTGTTTGTTTTTCTTTTAACAGTCAGACCATTCTACTGTAGGGCTGCTGTGGTTTGCTGGAGTCTGCTCCATTCCCCATTCACCTTGGCTTCTCTTGCACCTGGTGGTATTACCACTGAAGTCCACAAAATGACAAAGAGGGCAGCCAGCTCCCCAACTCTGGAATATCCATCCTGGGGGGCACCAACCTGCCACCCGCCCACAGGCACCTGCAGGAGGTGGCTGGAACCCCAGCTGGGAGATCTCACCTACTCAGAAGGGATGGGATCAGGGACCGACCCAAAGCAGCAACCTGGCTGCTTCTTGGTAGAGCAGGCATGTTGCACTGGGAGGGACCCTTTTTTCCCATCTGTCTATAGTCTCCACAGCTGGCAGGCTGGAATGGCTAAGTCTATGGACTGTCAGAGATGGTGGCTGCCCTCCCTTCAGGAGCTCCCTCCCAGGGAGAGATCAGAGCTTTGTCCCAGAACAAAGGTCCCCGGCAGTGAGGAGGAGTGGTTTGGGGCCCTGGTTAAAGAAACAGTCTGGCCATGATCTAGCAAGGCAGCTGTGCTGCTGTGGTGCCCCCTCCTGGTGTGGACCATCTGCACTCTGCACAGTCAGCAGGCTGGCACAGCTGAGTCCCCTGAACCACAGAGATGGCGGCCACTCTTCCCCCAAGGAACTTGGTCCCATCTCAGGTGGACTTCAGCCTGCTCTCACTGTCTGGCTGAGATTCCAAGCCAGTGGGTTCCTACCCATGAGGTGTCATGGAAATGGGGCCCACAGAATGATGCTTCTTGGTTCCCTAAATTCAGTCCCCTTCCTAGGAATATATACAAATGGATTTTCTGCCTTGGCAGTGATCTGGGGGCCAGAATATGTAAAACTCTTTGGTCTCTGCATGCCTGGGTGGCTGCCCTGCTGGGATTCCACACAGCTCCATGTATCAGAACCAAAGTCCTGGATGTGTGAGCTCACAAGGGGATCTCGTGATCCTCGGGTTGCAGAGATCCATGGGAGAAGTGTGGTTGGCTTCCCAGGCAGGGTCACACAATCACTCACCACCTCCCCTGGCTGTGGGTGGGTGTTCCCTTGGTTCCACGCCAATCCTGGGTGGACCATGATCGCCCCACCGCTGCTTCTCCTTGATCCCCATGGGTCAAGCTGCTTGCTTATTTATTCCCAATGCAAGAACCTGGATACTTTAGTTGAAGGTGCTGAATTCACTCTGACATATTTTAGAATTACCCTGCACAGCTGTCTCTTTTACAGGAAATGTTTTGCATTTTGCTGAGATTTTTTTTTACTTACTGGTTATTCTAGATTCTGGAATCTTTTAATGGTTTGCATAGGAAATATTTGCCCTTGAGTGCTTCTAATGGTGGCCACTTGTGAGACTTCATCTACATAATAAGATCCTTGATGTTCACAATGCTTATCTTAATTCAGACACTCCATTCTATTATTTTCAGGTGTTTAGATAATAACTCTTTCACTCAATTACCAATCAGGAAATCTTTGAATTTGCCTATGACCTGGAAGCCCCCTGGCTTCAAGTTGTCCAGCCTTTCTGGACCAAACTAATATATAACTCACATGCACTGTCTTATGTCTCCCTAAAACATAAAACCAAGCTGTAACCTAACTACTGTGGACACATGTTCTCAGGACCTCCTGAGGCTGTTTCATGGGTCATAGTTCCCACATTTTGCTCAGCACGAATCTCTTCAAATATTTTACAGAGTTTGACTTTTTTCATCAACAGAGAAGAGAAGGCATATGGTGACAGGGCCAGCAACCTAGCATTGTCCCCACTTATCTACATATCTAATGTAATTTCAATATGAAAGACTCTTTTTTCCAATAATTGTCATTACCTCCAGTTTGCTGATGCCTAGTATTTGTTTTTGCAAAAAATATTTTTTGATAATTAGAAATAATATTTCAAATAAAAACACAGATAATTCAATTTATCAAGTACCAGCTATTTGAAAGCCATTATGTGTGCCAATCAACATTTTATTTTCCAAACAAGTGAGTATTAGTATCTCTTTTTTTGATAGAAATGGCAAAATGAGACTCATACAGATCATTTTGCTCAAGATGACATGACCTAACTCAACATCGTTTTTTAAATAGTTTTGGTGATTCACCACACTCTGAGCTTTGGGCTAGTTTGTGAGATTTCAGTAATGCAAAAGAGCACAGGTTTCCTGCCACCTTGAGAGGCATAGGTAATCAGTGGAAAGCTTATTCTACCTCTTTTACCCTGGCCATGTTGTTTCTCCTTCATCAATATTACTCAAAGCTTCACATATAGGCATAAAGGAAGGGTGTAGGTGTTTTTCTTCATATATAAATACATCCAAATGTAGTTGAAGAGCATGTGGATCTATAAAATGCAATCTGGTTCAGGAAAGAAAAGTACTGTTTGATTCTTCACAGTATTAGTCTAAAAACTATCAGGCATATTCCTCCTTTAAAAGTAGCAGAACTGTTTGTTTTGGTTTTGCTTTTAAACAGTTTCAAAGAAATTGAAATGGAAAGTATTCAATTTATCTCACATGGTAACAAGTAAGATTGTTGTATATTATTACATTTTAAATAGGATTGAAGTAACTGTGAGACACCAACCTTGACAAAATATAAGGTTGGTTTTGACATAAGGGTGCATTGATAATGTGTTATTCTATCAGGAAAGCTTACAATTTCTTTTTATCACCAAATGGGCACTTCATTAAATTAAATGATGCTATAGAAAAATGAAGTTGATCAAATGAAATGTTTCATAATAGCATCTTGGTCCAACATTTTGAACATAAGTTTTATATTTCATGTGTATAAATTATCTAGAAACTGTAAAAGGACAAATAAAAAGTTTATCTTTATTATGTGAATGTTTACTTTATATAATATTCTTTATGCAATTAAATTTAAGTTTACCTTTTGATATTCAGAAATATTGTCAAAGAAGTGTTTATTTTCTGCTTAAACCAAAGACCTGCCTATAAAGATTAGGTTTCTTTTTATTTGTATGACCAGGAACTCTTTCATATCTGAGCTCTAGTTTATTAAAATGTAAGCACAGCCTGCTTTTATTAAAAGTTTCTTTTTCTTTACACTACATTTAACCAAAAAGAAGTTTTAAAAACTCTTATGTAATTTGGTTTTTGGAAACTCTTTCTCTTCGTCCTGCACAAATGTGCTGTATATTATAAATTTTCTTTCTATGATGAATGAAATGTTCTATATTTCTGTGACATTCAATATGGTAGTGACTAATCACATGTGGCTTTTTAGCCCTTTAAATGTGGCTAGTGCAGCTGAAGAAATGAATGTTTAAATTTGAATTAATTTAAATTTAAAATTAAATAACCATATATAACTAGTGGCTGCTGTATTAGATATACAGATATAGAATATAATAAATACATCATACATATATACATATGCACACACATGTACCATGGATTATAATCTTTTATTTTAGTTGCTTAGTTGAGTGCAAATGTGGTTTTTCAATTTCATTTAAATTTTATATTACTAGTGAGGTTGAACATTTTCATATGCTTTTAATTAGTACTATTCTATCTTTTGTCTACTGATCATTATATCTTTTGTACCCATTAACCCATTAATATTAATAATAATAGAAACGTCTTCAAAGGAGACAGAAAGCAACATTAATTGACAGCCTGTATATGGACACAGCTAAAGTATGCTCTTCATTAGGACAATTCATTGATTAAAACAAGGGAAGACCTGCTACTATTGGGAGAAAGTAAACCAACTTATCCAGGAGAATAAAGATGTCATGTTGTAGAATGAAGAGAAAATAATGGTGTTAGTAATTTCTTCTTACCTTTTTACAACTTAAGATACACTGTTTTAAATTTGTAAGTATACAAGACAGTATAATTAGCCACAGGCACAAGGCTGCTCAGTAGATTTCTAGGATCTATTCTTGTTGCATAACTGAAACCTTGCAACCTTTGGCTAATACCTTCCCATTGTTCCTTCTGTTCAGCCTTGACATTCACCATTCTATTCTCTAATTCTATGAGTTGAATTACTTTACATTCCTCTTGTAAGTAGGATCATGTAGCATTTGTCCTTCTGTGTCTGGCTTACTTAACTTTAGAATAATATCTTCCAGATTCATTTATGTTGCCACAAATGGTGAAATTGTCCTCCTTTTATAGGGCTGAATAATATTATATTGCCGTATATGCCACATTTATCTATTCATCCATTGATGTATATTTATTTTATGTTGCTTTCATATCTTGGCTATTGTAAATAATGTCGGAATGAACTTGTTAGTGCAGGTATCTCTTTGAGTTCCTGATTTTCCCTTTATTTTTTTGAAACAGCGTTTTACTGTGTTGCCCAGGCTGGAGTATGTTGGCACAACCATGGCTCACTATCACTTTGACCTCCCAGGTTCAAGCAATCCTCTCATCTCAGCTTCCCTAGTAGCTGGAACCACAACTGTTTGCCACCACACCCAGCTAATTTTTAATTTGTTTGTAGAGAAGGGATTTCACTATGTTGCCAGGGCTGATCTCAAACTCCTGGGCTGAAGCAATCCTCCCACCTCAGCCTCCCAAAGTCCCAGGATTACAAATGTGAGTAACTATGCCTGGCCTGATTTCAATTTTTTTTTAAATATATACACTAAAGTGGATTTGTGGATCATATGGTAGTTCTATTTTGAAATTTTTGAGGATGCTTCATACTCTTTTCACCATGTCTATATCAATTCACATTCTACTGAATAGTATACAGGATTCTCTTTTCTCCATATCCTCTCCAACACTTGTCATCTTTCATCTTTTTTATAATAGGCATTTCACCTATTAAATCTCATTGTGGTTATAGCTCATTGTGTTTTTGATTTGAATTTCCCTGACATCTCCACTGTTAAATCTCATTGTGGTGATAGCTCATTATGTTTTTTTTGTTCGCCCAGGCTGGAGTGCAGTGGCACCATCTCAGCTCACTGCAAGCTCCGCCTCCCTTGTTCACGCCGTTCTTCTGCCTCAGCCTCCTGAGTAGCTGGGACTACAGGCACCCGCCACCACACCCGGCTAATTTTTTGTATTTTTAGTAGAGACAGGGTTTCACCATGTTAGCCAGGAAGGTCTTGATTTCCTGAACTTGTGATCTGCCCGCCTCGGCCTCTCAAAGTGCTGGGATTACAAGCGTGAGCCACCCCACCCAGCCTCATGTTTTTGATTTGAATTTCTCTGATAGCTAGTGATGTCAATCACCTTTTTGTATAAATTGGCCTTCTGTCAGTCTTCTTTAAAAAAATGTCTGTTAGAATATTTTGCTCATTTTTAAATCAGTTTTGTTTTGTTTTGGCTATTGCAGGAGTTGCTTATATATTTTGGATATTAACCCTCTATCAGATATACAGTTTTCCAATATCTTCTCCCATTCCATTGATTGCCATTTTATTTTTTTAGTTGTTTCCATTGATGTACAGGAAATATTTAGTCTAATATGTCCTCATGTGTCTAATTTTGCATCACAGCCTGTGCTTTGGGTGTCATATCTAAGAAGTAACTGTCAAAACCAATGTCAAGAAGCTTTTGCCCTATGTTTTTCCCATGTTTTCTTTTACTGTTTCAGGCATTACATTTATTAGTTCATTTTGAATTAATTTTTGGATATGGTTTAAGATAAGTGTCCAATTTCATTATTTTGCATGTGAATATCCACTTTTCTTAACATAATTTATTGAATAATCTTTTTTCCTTGTTTATTCATGACACTCTTGTCGAAGATCCATTGACTGTTTATGTGTGGGTTTATTTCTGTTCCTCTATTCTTGTCTGTTGATCTATATGCTTTTTTTTAAAGACAATACCACACTCTTTTGATTATAACTTTGCTCTTTACTTTCTCTATAGCCTCCAAGATAAATAGCAATGATCTCTAACTCCTGTTATTAACACGTACATAGCATTCTACCACATTGTTCCACAATTAACCTGTATGTCCAATGACATATGACAAACATTCTGGTGTGTCACTGATATGGTTTGGCTGTGTCCCCACCAAAATCTTACCTCAAATTGTAATAATACCCACAAGTCAAGGGTGGGGTTAGGTGGAGATAATTGAATCATGGGGGCAGTTTCCCCCACACTGTTCTCATGGCAGTGAATAAGTCTCATGAGATCTGATGCTTTTATAATTGGGAGGTCCCCTGCACAAGCTCTCTTGCATGCCACCATGTAAGATGTGCCTTTGCTTGTCCTTTGCCATCTCCCATGGTTGTGAGGCCTCCCCAGTCATGTGGAACTGTGAGTTCATTAAGCCTGTTTTCTCTATAAATTATCCAATCTCGGGTATGTCTTTATGAGCAGTGTGAGAGCAAACTAATACAATCACTTCTGAGATGGATTTGGACTGTGAATCCTATCTTGAGCTGTCTGCTTCTCCATCTCTCTGTGTCTCTCTAAATCAGCCAGAGAAGAACTGAGACCTATGAAGAACCACACTTCTGAGTTTGGAAATTGGACCTACCTTATCTTTTTGCACTTCACTTTATTGTACCTTACAGATATTATATTTTTTACAAATTGAAGGTTTGTGGCAACCCTGCATTAAATCAGTCTATTGACATTATTTTTCCAACAGCATGAGCTCACTTTGTGTCTCTGTGTCACATTTTGGTAATTCTATAATATTTTCCATTTTTCATTATTATTGCATCTGTTATGATGATCTATGATCAAGGATCTTTAGTGTTACTATTGTAACTGTTTTGGGGCACCACGATCCACACCCATAAAATATGGTGAACTTAATTGGTAAATGTTGTGTGTGTTCAGACTGCTCTACCAACTTATGGGTCTCCTGTCTACTCCCCTCTCCTCCCTATTCCTTGGGACAAAATAATATTACAATTAGACCAATCAATAACCCTACAATGGCCTTTATGTGTTCAAGTGAAAGGAAGAATCACACATGTCTTACTTCAATAAAAAGTTAAAAATGATTAAGATTAGTGAGGAAAGCATGTTGAGAGCCTAGATAGGCTGAAATCCAGGCCTCTTGTGCCAAACAGTGAGTGCAACGTTGTGAATACAAATAATAGATTCTTTAAGGAAATTAAAAGTGCTACTTCATTGAACTCATGAATGATAAGGAAGTGAAACTGCCTTATTTCTGATATGGAGAAAGTTCTTGTGGTCTGAATAAAAGATCAAACCAGCCACAGCATTCCTTTAAGCCAGAGCTTAATTCAGAAAAAGGTTCTAACTCTCTTCAATTCTATGAAGGCTGAGAGAGGTAAGGAAGCTGCAGAAGAAAAGTTTGATGTCAGCAGAGTTTAGTACATGAGGTTTAAGGAAATAAGCATCTCTATAACATCGAACTGCTTTACCTTGAAAATATTACTGCTCATTGGCAATGCACCTGTTTATCTGACAGCTCTAATAAAGATGTATAGGTGATTAATGCTGCTTTTATACCTGCTGACACAACTCCCACTCTGCAGTCCATGGATCAAGTGGTAATTTTGACTTTCAAGTTTTATTATTTGAGAAATACATTTCACAAGACTGCCATAGATAGAGATTCCTATAATAAATCTGAGCCATATAATTTGATAAACCTTCTGAAAAGGATTCACCATTCTAGATGCCATAAGAACATTCATGATTCATAGGAGAAAGTCACAATATTAATATTAATGGAGATTAAAAGAAGTTGATTCCAACCGTCATAGACTTTGAAGGGTTCCAAACTTCACTAGAGGTAGGAACTGCAGATATAGTGGAAATAGCAAAAGAACTCACATTAGATGTGGAGCCTGAACATTCATTACATGACTCATGTGAGTCAAATATACAGAATGTATAACTTTAACAGAAGAGGAGTGATTTCTTATGGATGAGCAAAGCAAGTGACTTGTTCAGATAGAATCTACTCCACTTGAAGGTGCTGTGAATATTGTTAAAATGACAACAAATTACTTAGAATAATATGTAAACTTTGTTGATAAATCAACAGCAGAGTTTGATACAATTGACTGCAATTTTAGAAGAAGTTGTACTGTGAGTAAAATGGTATCAAACAGCATTACATGCCACAGATAAATCATTTGGGAAAGGAAGAGTTAATAGATGCCAAACTTTCACATTTGTCGTAGTTTAAGAGTTAAACTACCACAGCCACCCCAACCTTCAGCAACCACCATCCTGATAAGTGAGAAGCCATAAACATCAAGGCACGATCTTCCAAGAGCAAAAAGCTTATGACAGGCTGAAGACTTCAATGATTGCTAACATTTTTAACAATAAGATATTTAATATTCAAGGTATATACTTTTTTTAGATGTAATGCTGTTGACAGTAAACTACATTTGTTTGACTTGCTGTATTTAGATTATCATATGCTTAATTGATACTGCTTTATTGTAGTGGTCGGGAAGTAAATTCATAATTATCTGGGTTATTCCTGTATACTTCAACTTGAGTGTGTAGTCTTGATTTGGCTGTAAACCAGGCTGATGGCTTGACTGCAACATCTTAAGAGACCGTGAGGAGTAATCACCTACCTAAATACTTCCTGTATTTCTGATATAGAGACATTGTGAGATTACATGTTGTTTTAAATCACTAAATTTTGGAATAGTTTGTTGTGCAGCAAGAGACAAATAGTCATAACTGTGTTAATTTATGTAAATTTATTTTGCTTAAGGAATGATTTTATTAATTCTAATATCTTTCATAAGTTCTAATACCTTTCATTAATTATTGCTTTGTGTTTTTTAGGTAGGCAAATATATGGTCTGTCAAGACTGTCTGAAAAAAAACTTTTCTCTTTCAATAGATACTATCTTTATATTGTTTTTATGTAATATTGTGCGAGCGAAAACCAAGGAATATATTTAAATAATGGTGACACCCATTGCAATATATTTGTCTATTCCTAATTTCTCCAATATACCAACATTATGTGTAGTATAAACTATTGGTTTGATAAAATTGTGTTTCAGTATGTGAAACATAACAATTTAATAAAAAAATTAGGAATAGAGATGAAACTTTATCAAATATATTTTAGCATGTATCGAGATAACAGCTGTGTTTTTACATTCTTTTACTTGTTAAATTAAAAGATCTATAAGACATCTTATACATTTGAGAAAAACAACTATTTAAAAACACAAATAATTGAAGGTTTTATGTTCAAGTCAGTGAAAGATTCTTTTAATTTGGGAGTTATTATTGTTGAGGTTATCAAATTATATAAATATTTTTACTTTAAAACATCCTCAAACAGTATAGTATTTAGCAAGTAGTATTATTTTTGGTCGTTTTTATTGTCTTTAAAAGTAAGTTCCATGCTCCCTGAAATTAAAAACCATGGTTTCTATTTATTTCATGCAAACATTTTTGTTAAAGCACCAGTTACAGCTTTATACCTATGAAAACCTTCAATAAATGCTTGAGGAACAGAGAAGGTATCTGAGGCTTGAGGAAGAGAGAAGGTATTTGTTACCAGATGAGCTGAAATGTAGCGTCTTCAATTGCATGAATTTGAAAACATTTTCCAAATTGAAAATTCAGTTACCCTTTGAAGATTTTAGATTGCATCATTATGCTGTTAGGTTATGATCTAGAAATCCCTCATTTCTGCATCTAAGAATATATCACTGTGTATAAATCATGGATTCAAAATCAAGGTATTTCTAAGCTGTTTTACATATAATTTTAATACAGAGACCAAGAGCAGCAGTAAAAATATACTCATTTTACTCTCACAAAAGAGAAAAATGGAGTTCCTATAAACTATTAAATAAATGTGTCTGTCTTTCTCCAAGGTAGAGCCTACTGAATTAATAATAATAAAAGGGGTGATTTTATTTAATAGGGTAAGAATTAAATCAGCTCACTAACTCATACATTTTAGGGAAAAAAAAAGGTTTTCCATCTTCCGTGTTCATTAATTTCCTCATTATATATTCTTTTTGTGCTTCCACTAGAGATACACTTGTTTTCAGCCTTTGGCAATGAGTAGAGTGCTTGTGTTTATAGTCCATGGATTGCTTTTCTGTATTTCTGCTCTGTTACATAACTCATGTGAGACAAATGTTCAGCCATCTGAGATTAAAAATTACGTTTCCCAAAATTCTGCTTATCCACACCATATTTGAGTGCACTGAATAAGTGGTGATTCCCATAGAAACAGACATATAACAAAATATAACTCTACCAACCGACTTAAAATGACCAGAGTTAGCTATTTTAAGTGAATCTTTTATTTAGAAGTATAACCTTGTATAATAAGTGCCTGATTAACACAACTTAGGCTACGAGATAGTTTTTTCTAAATATAAAAGTATGGCAATGGGAGGTAGAGAGTGTAGTGAGTTTATATTTATTTATGGAGAATAATAAAATTGTAATGGAATTTTGACCATTCTGTTCTACTCAAGATAAAATCACTTATTTAATAACGAGAGACATTATGAAATAGCCATTTATGGAGTGAGTTATATATATGTTTATGTTTCATGATGACTTCCAAGCTAGTACTTTTGGTGTTATAGTCACTGCAAAATATCACACTCTGTGACATTCTAGCCAATTTAGAAGACAGTTAATATATGTTATTTGTTTTCTAAATAATGCAATTATTTACTATTAATTAATTAAATAATATTTTTCTACTAATGACAATACAAATAAAAGGCTTTATTCTCTCACATTTCTCTTCTCACCAATAAAATAAATTGTTGGAGTTTATTTCCTTATAATTCTTATGCAAGTTATACTTTTAATGTAGTTAGAATGAATTGAACTATTTCTGACCTAAGGCATAAACAAGAAAAACTTTCACTTAATTGTCAACACAAACACTTCTATAAAAAATGGTGAGGTGGAAATAAATAGAGAAAGAGGCAGGAGATGGAGAGAGAATGAGATTCTGCATTCATGCATGAAAGGCAATAAACCTGTATGATGGCTAATTTTATGTGTCATCTTTACTGACACATAAAATTTTTCCTTTACTTACATGGGTGCCCAGACAGTTAGACTAACATTACTCTGAGCGTGTCTGTGAGAATGTTTCTGGATGAGATTAACATTTGAATTGGTAGAGAAAGTAAAGTGGATTGTACTCCCTAATGTGAGTAAACCTTATCCAATCAATTGAGGATCCATAGAACAAAAGGGCTGAGTAAGAGGGAATTCTCCTTGCTTAACAGCTTTTGAACTGGGACATCAGTTGTTTCCAGTCTTCGGACTCAAAGTGAAACGTTAGTTCTCTTATCTTGAACCTGCCAACTTTCAGGCTGCAACTTACACCTGTAACTCTCTTGGTTCTCAGGCTTTCAGACTTGGACTATAGCTACACCACCAGCCTCCCTGGGCCTTCAGCTTGCTGACTACAGATCTTGAGTGTTTTTAAATGGGATCCTCAGCTACTGATATTGCCTTCTGGTTTATTCTTCATGATTATGGGTTAAACAATGGTTTCTCTTTGCTCTTCAGATGAAGTCCATAGAAAACCTATTTTCTCAGAAAAACTTTCTTTGAACACCTCAGATTATTCAGATGTTATTAGGTGCTAGAGTAGCATGTACTTCTCTATTTAGGCATTACTGCCATTTGGGCTGTGCCTTATTACTCTAATGTTTGCCTCTCTTAGAGGAACAAGGCAAAATGTGCTTTTCCTCATCATTGTATCTGTAATGACTACATTGCTTTTTGACATAAAATAGGCCTGAAAATATATTTACTGACTAGATCAATAAAAGACATTGATTAATAGACTGGAATTACATCAGTTTGTTAAAGAATATTTACAAAAGAAACCTACAGCTAAGAGCATGAATAATGATGACAGACTAACATGTTTCCCACCAAGATCACTAATAACGCAAAAATGTCTTTTTTTTTACCATTCCTTTTCAGTATAATTCTGGAAGTCCTAAATGATGCAATACGAGAAGAAAAGGGGTATACTAATTGGTAAGAAAGAAACAAAACTGTCTTTGTTCATAGATGTCAGTGTCTATGTAAAAAAAAAATATATATCTGAGCCAGGTGCTGTGGCTTACACCTTCCTAGCATTTTGGAAGGCCAAGGCAGAAGGATCACCTGAGTCCAGCAGTTCAACACCAGCCTTGGCAACACAACAAGACTCCATCACTACAAAAATAAATAAATAAATTAGTTGGCTGTGATGGTGCACACCTATAGTCTGAGATACTAAGGAGACTGAGGCGGGAGGCCCACTTAAGCCCAGGAGTTTGAGGCTGTAGTGAGCTATGATTGCGCCACTGTACTCCAGCCTGGGTGGCAGAGCAAGACACTGTCTCTAAAGAAAACAATTCTGAAAAGAATCATCATCAACAACAACAAAGCCTTAGAGCTAATAAGCAATTATATTAAGATTACAGGATACCAGGTTAATTTACAAAAGTCCACCACTTTCCTATATACCATCAATGCACAATTAGAATTAGAGACTAAAAATGGAATATCACTTACATTAGCATATCTCCAAAAATAAATACTATGATAAGAACCTAACAAAATATGTGTTATATCTATATGAGGAAAACTACAAAACTCTGGTAAAAGGAATCAAATTACAACTAACCAATTCAGAGATTTCTAGGTCCATGTATAGGAAGATTCAAGACTGTCAAGGTTAAGTTTTTCCTGATTTGACCAATTAAAATCCCTGCAAGTTATTTTGTGGATATCAACAGTCTGATTCTAAAGTTTATATGGAGAGGCAAATAATAAGTTATTATAATAGCCAATACTGTATTAAAAAAGAAAAATATTGGAGGACTAATTCTATGTCATCTCAAGATGTACTATAAAGCTACAGTAATAAAAACAGTGTGGCATCGGTATAGGTATAGACAAATAAATCTGTGGAACAAAATACAGAACACAAAAATCAACCTACAAAAATATAGTCAATTGAACTTTTAGAAAGGCACAAAAGCAACAAAATGAAGGAAAGGTAGTGTTTTTGACAAATGAAACTGGAATGGCTGGGCATTCACATGCAAAAAAAGAATTCAGATACAGACTTTACACTCTCAAAAAATTAACACAAAATGAATCACAGATCTAAATGTACAATATAAAACTATAAATCTGAATATAATACAAGATAAAACCTACATGACATTGGATTTGGTGATAACATTTTAGATAAAACATCAACAGCATGATCCATGAAAGAAAGAAATGATATGCTGGACTTCATTAAGATTTACGTTTAGTGAAAGATAGTAAAAAGACACCCTCCAGACTGGGAGATAATATTTGCCAGAGACACATCTAATAAGGACTATTTTCCAAAATATACAAATAACTCTTAAAGCTCAACAATGGGAAAACAAACAACCTAACCAAAAAATGGACCAAACACCTTAACAGACACTGCAACAAAAATGTAGAAAGAATAGCATATAGGCATAAGAAAAGATGCTCCACATTATATGTCATTAGGGTAATGCAAATTCAACAATAAAATACCATTACACACCTATTATAATTACCAAAATCCAAAACACTAAATGCTGTTAAGGATGTGGAGTAACAGGAAATTTCATTCACTGCTGATGAGAAAGCAAAATAGAACAACCACTATAGAAGACAGGTTGTCAGTTTCTTACAAAATGAAATATCCTCTTACTACATGATCCAACTATTGTGCTCTTTGGTATTTACCAGGAGGAGTTTAAAACTTATGTCCATCAAAAAACCAAACACCGCATGTTCTCACTCATAGGTGGGAATTGAACAATGAGAACACATGGACACAGGAAGGGGAACATCACACACCAGGGTGTGTTGTGGGGTGGGGGGAGGGGGGAGGGATAGCATTAGGAGATATACCTAATTTTAAATGACGAGTTAATGGGTGCAGCACACCAACATGGCACATGTACACATATGTAACAAACCTGCACGTTGTGCACATGTACCCTAACACTTAAGTATAATAATAAAAAAACTTATGTCCATAAAAAGCCTACGCCCAAATATTTATAGCAGCTTTATTCATAATTGCTCTAGAACTAAATTCTATTATTATTAATAATAATAATAATAAAGGACACAACTTCAAGCTCTTCTCTTTCTGCTTCTCGTCATCTTCTGTGTCTCACTAAATTCAAATTTCTCTTTGACATAGTCTAGTGGTTTTCAAATCTAATTGTAAAGATGGATACACACTTTCACAGATTTCATTCCTGAAAAATAAATTCAAAATTCTGGATGGTAGAAGTTAAGCCAATGTGTGTGTGTGTGTGTGTGTGTGTGTGTATGTGTGTGTGTGTATGTGTGTTTCTTGAAAACTTCCCCAATGATAACTAGTATGTATTCAAGGTCAAGAACCAGTGACAATATTCTGAATTTCTGTTTTCAGTAATATGCCTGATTTTTACATTTGGCAGTTCTCTATGATATTAATGCCTATTCACTCAATCAGAAAATTCCACATTCCCCTTCTGAGTTGCCAGAATACCTGGAATTTTCCCTGCTTGGCTAGTCTTGGGGAAACAAATTATCAAATATCAAGCCTCTGTTATTCAAATTTCTGTCTCTTTCTTATTACAATTTTAGAAATTTCCCATCATAATATCTACAAAAAGATACAACTTAGATAATATTTAAACTGTTTACCGCAAGTGACTCAACAGCATCCCTGACTAAAATTGAATAATAATAAATGGTATGCATTGAGTACTGCTCATATGAACTTTCAAATAATTATATATTAAAACATATATAAAGATATTTCATTCTTATATCGTGCTGTGAGTTAGCCATTATTTTACTCTCCTCATTTTACAGTTCAATAAACCAAAGCTCAGGATAATGAAGTGACTTGCCCAGGATTAGGCAAAAGTTGGTGACAGCCCTAGAATGTTCACCTAGGCTGCCTCGCTCTAAGACCCTTGCAGCACTTTTCTTCTCTTTACCATTGCAATACATTAATACTATCTTGAATATTCAAGCTGCCTCCCAAAGAGCCTCTAACTATCTATTTAGTTGTCTCTGCCTCAGGTACATCAACGATTTACATATGGCAATATTATAAAACCCGCTAGCCTACTTTTTATAGCATATCATTTCTAGCTTAACATTGTCTTATTGAAAATACATTGTCCATAAATGACTTCATTAATTTATTTGTGGTCTAACTGGTAGAAAATAAACAGTTTCTACTATTGATGCTACCAATCTACTATGCTGAGAATTTACATTAGCTTTTTCGTGGCTATGTAACACGGCTAACTTAATTTTATTTTACTTTATTATTTATACCAAGCCTACGTTTTAAATAGCTTATAGTTGATTTAAAGTAAAAGGTCTGGCTATAATATAATTCTTGAATCACAGGTTATATGTAAAGATAATGCCTAACCCATTCAAAGAGGGCACGGAATTGATAGAGGGGTAGCGAGAATAAAATTTGACATTAGGTACACAATGATTAATATTTGAGTAAAACGATCTCCTTATATGCTGCAAAGTAGGCTATTAATAAAAGGAGTCTCAAGCCTCCATTATAATTCACAGTACAGCAAATGTTTAAAACCATTTTCTTTACTCTTACTTCTTTTCACTTTTCAATGAATCCCAGTTTCTACTGGATTTCTGACTCTTTTTGATTTAAAAAAAATAATTCATGAGAGTGCAATATTTTCCTGATGGTTAAAATTCAGCTTGTTCTTGCTGAGACTTTGGGCACTACCTCAAATCATGTCTCCTCTGCTTTGGCTTTTCCCCAAACAATGTGCCACTGTTTCAGCCTCTACTCTTCGTCCCAGCATCAGTTTGCAACCACAGTGTGACTTACCTCAAAACTCTGACTAGGGACAATCAGAGAATTAATTTTTCTTAAAAAAGAGACTTATACAATGCCCAGTAGCTTAAAAAATTAAGTCTCATCTATAGCATCGAACTGAGTTGCTATAATTTAAAAAAATTTCACCTCCCGGTAGCCAAGGCAAAAAGAGAAACATAAAGATTTATATAGGCTTCATTGTGTATGCAATGTCTCAGGTCTATTTAAATAAAATATAAGTATTAATCATAGCTAACATTTAATGAGTCTTTACTAATCCATGCTGGACACTTTTAAGTGTTTATTCCTTATAATACATTTATGAGGTAAGTGTTATTATCCAATCCATTTGTCAGCTGATTAAACTGAGGTGTAAGAAATTAAGTGATGTAACAAATGCCCCAATTGTAGTAATTGCTTAAACTGGGGATCTGCATTGATGACTTAATTTCATAGCTTAAGAGTTGAACATATAACTGCTCTGACCATTAAGACCCTTGATTATCAAAGTAGTTCCTCCAGAAAAGAGATAACAGTCAAAAAAAAATAAAATAAGAAATTAAAGATTGACATTTTAACCTAGGCCTCAGGCTACTACTTCCAAAATTCTATTCATCTAGTGCTTTATTAGATAAATTGGTGAATTGAAACTTTTAGACTTTAGGATTATTGGACACAAATATTTTCAGAGTGATATTTTTGTTGAGTTGGTTTACTATCATGGAGACTCATATGTTCAAGTTTGTAACAATATATGTTTATGCCATTGATACTAAAAACCTTGAAGAGCAAAGTGTTACATGAAGAAAACCTTCCTTCAAAATTAATGTCTTCAATGAACATAGGGAAAGATTAGAAAGAATCCTATCAAAGGTACCTTCTAAATTCAACACACAATGATGCTATAAAATTATATATCTGTATATCAATATGACATTTGAAACATGCATGAATAGCAGATTTGTCATTAACTGAGCAAATAAAAATAAACAGAATGACATTGGATAGAGTCTGAAATCGAAGAGACTCTAACAAGGTAAATTTTTGGTGTTGAGAAGCCTACTGGATTTTATTTGGAATGAGATGTTTGATTGGATCTTTTTTTTCTTTTTCTTTTTTTTTTTTTTTTTTTTTTTTTTTTTTTTGAGATGGAGTTTTGCTCTTGTTGCCCAGGCTGGAAATCAATGGCACAATCTCGGCTCACCACAGCCTCTACCTCCCAGATTCAAGTAATTCTCCAGCCTCAGCCTCAGCCTCCCAAGTAGCTGGGATTACAGGTGCCCACCACCACTCTTAGCTAATTTTTTGTATTTTGAGTACAGACAGGGTTTCGCCAGCCTTGAACTCCTGGCCTCAGGCCATCTGCCTGCCTCGGACTCCCAAAATGCTGGGATTACAGGCATGAGCCACAGTGCCCGGCTGCATCTTACCACTTTTTTTTTCTATGGAAACAAACCTACATGCATCATCTCTTCCAAACTTTTCAACAAATTGGGATGAGGCTATTTGCTGAGACCAGCTTGGTCATGGAGACCCTAACCCAGTGGTGCTAGAGGAATTAAAGACACGCACACATAAATATAGAGTGTGGAATGGGAAATCAGGGGGCTGACAGCCTTCAGAGCTGAGAGCCACTAACAAAGTCTTACCCACATATTTATTGAGAGCAAGCCAGTGATAAGCATTGTTTCTATAGATTACAGATTAACTAAAATCATTCCTTAGGGAAACAAAGGGAAGGGCTGAAACAAAGGGATGGGTTTGGCTAGGTATTTGCAGCAGGAACATGTCCTTAAGGCACAGGTCGCTCATGCTATTGTTTGTGGCTTAGGAACACCTTAAGCAGTTTTCAGCCCTGGGTGGGCCAGGTGTTCCTTGCCCTCATTCCAGTAAACCCACAACCTTCAGCATGGGCGTCATGGCCATTACGAGCATGTCACAGTGCTGCAGAGATTTTGTTTAAGGCCAGTTTTGGGGCCTGTTTATGGCCAGATTTGGGGGACTGTTCCCAACAGCTATTGGAATAAAACCATTTGTTCTGTTTTTCTATGTAAATTATATATTTCATGTGCAATATTCTTAAGACCTAATGTACTCCTCTGAATTTTTTGTCTTGGCAAAACTCTAAATAAAATTTTTATTAGAAATGTTTTGAAATTTATCTAGCATTGTGTTTTCTGACAAATTTTCTATAATCTTAAGATACTATAAAAAAGTTTTTTACTACAAAAATAATTTAGAGAATAAATAAATAGAATGTTCATCTATGATGTCTCTTAGCTATTGCATGGTAACCCTCATAGAATATTTAGACCTCAATAAAATGAGCATGAAGTAGACAATGGTGAAGATTAGCTGAAGTACTCAAAGCATAGAAAAATAGTCTATATTTGGATTGCAAACTCTTATGCAGTGGATACATCTATTAACATCCTCTCATGAGATGGAAATTGAACAGTAACTTTTACTTAAGGTCCTTGACTTCTCTCTGTGTATTTGAGAGTGGAAATCACTTAGAGAGTATGTCAGTTCTCCAGCTCTCCAAGGACTTAATATCCCTGCGGTTGAGACCCCAGTTTACCTGAATATGTATGCTTGCAAAACCTGACAAGAGGAGAGGAGTATGTTGGTTAGAATTTTATATCCTAAGATCTTTATTTCAAATGACTCTTATTAAAAAATGGCTAAGAGATCTCTTAAATTTAATTTAAACAATTTTATTGTGATCTAATTAAAACATTTCAAAAGAAGCCGGAAAGAACAATGCATGAAATGTAGTTAGTACACAATAAATAACAGTTGAAAGAATAGCAATTTATAATTCTCAAGATTAAACTTAGTCTGGGCATATTCAGGATATAAATGGCCTATTCATTGTTGAATGTATCAATTAGTGAAAATCTTGTAAATTAATAAGCCTCAGAATGAGGCCATTTTATATAACGGCTTTTAGTTGTAGAAAAAGAAAGGAGTTCTAAGATTTTTCAAGATATCATTAATAATTGGAAACTTAAAACCCTGAAGTGTTTCAAATATGTGACTTTGGCAGTATAAACAGTGGGATTAAATCCAAATGAGCTGCCCATCAGGAAAGATTAATTTAGATAACATGTGGATTGGGAGATTCAAGTTGAAAGGTAATCAAATTGTATAATCAAAGTACTCTCCAGAGGTATATAATCCAGCTTAGTTATGCCTTGATCCCTAAAGTGCATGTCTTGTCAATTCAATATCCATCTTCCCTAGAGTCCAGAGAAGGAAAAAAAAGATAATACAAAATCATATATTCTAGTTTGTCATAAAAGTTGACAAAGAAAGTCTTCTTTCTGAATCATCTTATTTGATCTGTGGAGAAAACATGACATGTTGATTAGGGAATAGATGAGTAGACAGGTCATGTTGTCAGTCCATCCCTTATTAGCATCTTCAACTGCCTAAGGACATATAACATATTAAATATGTAATTGTTGATGATAGTGGTCATACAAGCAACGTATTTTCTTCTTTACAGCACAAGTAAGCTTAATAAGATTAAAAAAATAAATCCAATAAAAAACATTAAGGAAAACAATTGAAATATTTTGAGATAAAATTTAATAACTTACGTTAGCATTTATTTTAGTGTATTAAGTGCAGACATCTACATATATACACACACACACACACACACACATATATATAAGTAAAAGTGACACAGATGTAAATAAAAATTTAAAGATAATATTGTACTTTTGTCTGGTTTTGTATTCATTGATTCATTTACACATTGGTTCAATTACTTATTCATTTATATATCCTTTATAACCTGGGTCCCCAGCCCTTGGGCCATGGATCCCTGATATAAAGGAGGTCCATGGCCTGTTAGGAACTGGGCCTCACAGCAGGAAGTGAGCAACAGGAGGTGAGTGAAGCTTCATCTGTATTTACAGCTGCTCCTCATCACTTGCATTGCCTCCTGAGCTCTGCCTCCTGTCAGATTAGCTGTGGCATCAGATTCTCTTAGGAGTGTGAACCCTATTATAAACTGTACATGCAAGTGATCTAGGTTGCACGCTCCGTATGAGAATCTCAATGCATGATGATCTGTCACTGTCTCCTATCACCTCCAGATGGGACCATCTATTTGCAGGAATACAAGCTCAGGGCTCCCACTGATTCTACGTTATGGTGAGTTGTATAATGATTTCATTATATATTACAACGTAATAATAATAGAAATAAAGTTCACAATAAATGTAAAGTGCTTGAATCTTCTTGAAGCCGACCTCCTGCCCCTGTCTATGGAAAAATTGTCTTCCATGTAACCGGTCCCTGGTGCCAAAAGAGTTGGGGACTGCTGCTCTATATGATCTTTTTTTAAACATAAGACCATGTTATGCAATGGCTATAGAAAGGAAAGATGAATTAAAACAGATATACATTATGATTCTCAGATAGTATAGATTTTTATGTTTTAGAGGAGAAAACACATACACTAAATCCTGGTGTTAAAATAAAATAAGATTAAGTAAAGCAAGGAATGCAAATAGGCATCCACAACATTTATTTTAAAATATTTTATAATATATAAACTTAAAAGTAGGTCTTTATTGCTCATCACAATTACCATCAAATCATTAAAGGTGTGATTAGTTTGTCATATTTGGGAAGAACTCTTGCCTGAATGAGAAAAGAAAGAAGAAGAAATGTAAAGCAAAATGAAAAGTCTTAAATCCAAGATAAATATGACACTAGGAATTGTATACTAGAGAAATCACCTAAGCTAATGAAATAAGGAGTGATTGTTTCCTAATAACATTTCCTCTTTCTAATAATAAGGAAGCATTCCAATGCCTATGAATTATTGACCACTTGTTAGATCTTTTTAAAAGTTATTTTTAATATTATTAAAATTCAATTTACTTTTTAAATAAAAATTGACTACTATCTGAAATTGTTAAACACATATCCATATGGCAAAACAATGGGTTACAAGATTAATTATAGAAGTCCCATAATCTCCAAGATTCTAGAATTCTGACAAATATTTTATCAATGATCTTAACAAATAATAGCTTTTAAAAAACATAAAGAGATTTAACCACTAAACGGATGGTCACTGTGAACAATGTTTAGAGTGCTGAAAGTTATATGATTATACACATACATAGCCTTTGAAAGAATAGGAGAACAATTTTAGGAGAGTATCCTGTAGATTATAATAATTACAAATATTTAATTTTATCTTTGTCCTTAAAATAATATTGATTTTTAGCACAATTTTAAACAAAACTTATATACATACTTTCTACATTCTACAGTTTCCTCTGAAAAATGTTTAAAGCACCACAGGCCAACCATAAAAAGAACATGGGCAAAATAATTTGGGAAATTAAAAGAGCAATTATTGCTGTTTAAATGGATATAAAGAGAATAAATCTGAGTATACACAGCATAACAGTTGGATGGACTGAACCTTTGGGGTCTAGATAGAAATGTTTGTATTACAAGGCAGTTTCTCTGATGATGTTGTGGTAATTCATATTAATTTAGGTCAGATTGCTGTCTTCCTAAGGCAACAAACTGTTTATACCAGTTCTTCTCAAAAACAGACTGCCTGTGTACATCCTTGATTAGTGACACATATTAAGATTTCATTGTATCCTTTGTGTTTAAATTGCTCCTTGCCAGAGGCAGGCATTTACAAAAAAAATTAGCAAATGACACCATTCCATCAAAATTTTATGTAGAGGAATAAGCAAAGTACTTTTGAGAACTGAATAGACATGAAGATAATTTGTTTTGAAAATATTATTTTCTTGGAATATGAGAGGAGGATATATTCTATTTAAACATGAATTAACTTGTGATTTTTTTCACATAGTTTTAGTGGTGAACTCCAGATGGTAAAGGTAATTTGATGCCTATTTTTGCCCATATCATACAATTTTTGATATATTAAGTAAGCATTCAATATACCTGTCTTATTTTTTAACTCTGAATATACTTATTGCATGCATGTGATTCTTTAATATATTTTTATTAGCCCCATAAAAATCTTGTTTTGGTTTTAATACAGAACACAAAGATATTTCTTTTGACAGCAATTAAATGGTCCTATATGGGACAATTTCAATTCAAGAAATATTCTTGTGTATCAGTGCTCACCAAGTTTAACAAGAGTAATGGGACTAAAATGAGACAAAAAACTAAAAAGCTACAAGAAACAAGCTGTAAGACAATTTTGCTTTCTTTTCCTGTTTGTTTCATCCTCCCAGTCACAGATATTTTTCCCATATAGAATATTTGGAGTTACTTAATTCCCAGAAAACATAATTATTGATGGCATAGGGTTGACAACGCTTTTGTACATTCCACATAATGCAACATTTTAATAACAAGTGTTACTTGTTTTACAATGAGTGTGTTTAAATATCAGATGAAATATGTAAGACCCATAAACTTGCACTGGTGAAGCTAAAGCATGCTGCAGGGATGTTACTGCCATAGTTAGAAGATCTGCTTGTAATCCAGCATAATTGTGAAAAAGTTAGATATTAAATATCTGATTTTTTCAATTATTAAAACAATGTATTGTTAAAAAATATATATCTCAATAATGTTCCCACACAACTTACCATTCAAAGCCATGACGATGGCTGATATTATCTTATTTACCTACTCATTTTCTATTTTACCCCACTAAAAAGTACACTCCACGAGGCCAGGTAATTTAGTTATGTTGTTGCTGCAGATCCCAGGTGCCTGAAACAGTACCACAAGAAAGTGAGAGTCAATAATTATGTGTTAAATGAAACAGGAAATAAATGAACAATTGAATTCACATGTTTTGCTCATTAAAATTTATAAACTCCTATAGTCACGTCTATCTACGCTGAATTCATTATACTATGGTACTATCATTGTGTATTAAGTTTATATTAATTCTAATTGTATGCATATCAATAAAAATAAAATTGTCTTTGAATATTAATATTTCTTAATTTTGTATTCAAATCCATATTATTGCTTATTTTTATTTCAAATCTTGTTTCTATTCATTCTTAGATTATTAGTCATTCTTTATGTCCTGTATTTTCTAAGCATTAAGATAAAATTACGTTATTTCTTTTGTCTTCCACTCTAACTCTTTAAGACAACTCAAATCTAGGGTTTTGTTTTTAAAGTTTTCAATATTGACGTAGCATGATGTAATTCTAAAAATAATATAAATATCTTTTGAAATGAATTTAAAGTCTTCTTGATTTTTTGAATAACTGAGTTAGTATTTTCATAAATGTGAATATTTCAAATTTGATAAAATTTTGTGGAATGATGTTACCAATTAATATTCTTTAGGCATATGTAGATTTGAGGAATTATAATATACATTTTTACGTAAATTAATAATAAATATTAAATATAACATTAATGTATTAATAATAAATATTAAGCGCCAAAATCTTCCAAAAAATGGCAAGAAGCCCAGCAAAGTAGGAAATCAGCCTCCCAGCTAAGTTGGACTATATTAACTCATCACAAGTTTACATGGGGATTCATGAGTGAGAATAAATAATTGGTCATTTAGGCAATGGAGAATTCAGAAATTATTGCCAAGAGTGGGGTTCTCTTTTTCATTCCCTATAGACCAGTGCAAAAAAAAATGTTTAATAACATTAATGGGCCAAAGAAAATATTCTTCTCTGCAAGTGGGGAAATAATTGAGTATTTAGCAACGATAATCTAATCTATCATACTTTGCTATTTCACAAGCACATCTGATTATTTCAAAGGAATTTTGTATATTCAGCGTCCAGTAGAGGTAGAAAAGATAGAACATGATAGCTATTAAGTAGAATGTTGAATAGTATAAAACATAGTGGAGAAAGGCTGTGTCAATATTCAGGTTTCTACTAGTATTTCTTCTCTGAATATAGCATATAAGGAAACAACTCTATATGTTTCTAATACAACTGGATGACTGCATGGAACAAGACTCAAAGGAAGATTCAACTTATATTACAAGGGACAGATACATTACAGAAGCTCACAGAAATAAGTAAGAGGTACCAAATTTTCTCATCTGTTCATCCATAGCTTAAATTACTTTAAACAGAAATTTTATGTATATATGATTATATATAATTAAATATATGTAATATATATACACACATACATTAGTTCTTGTATGAGTTTATATATAAATATATATTTACAAATTATAATTTTTATAATTTTAAGATTTTATAAATAAATGTATATATATTAAATTACATATAAATATATATTTATATATAAATATGTAATTATATATAAATACATATTTATATATAAATATGTAATTATATATAAATACATATTATATTATACACATTATATACATATATACACACATATATGCATATATACATATTATACACATTATATATTATACATTCTATATGTGTGTGTATATATATACACACACACACACACACACACACACACACATATAACTAGTTATTGTATGAGTTTGATAGGGCTGCCATAACAAAATGTCACATACTAGGTGGCTTAGACAAGAAATTTATTTGCTAATAGTTTTGTGGACTAGAAGTCCCCAACCAAGGTATTGCTAGGTTTGTTTTTTACTGAGGCCTCTCACCTTGGCTTGCAGATGATCACCTTCTGGATGTGCCACCACATCCTCAGTCTGCGTTTAACCTCAGTCTGTGTTGCCTGTGTCCTAATATCCTCTCATAAAGACACCAGCCATATTAGATTATGGCTCACCCATATGACCTCATTTTACCTTAAGTACCTTTCTACAGGGCCTACTTTCAAAGAGAGTCTCATTCTGAGCTACGAGATATTTGGGCTGCAACATATGAATTGGAGAAAGGAGATACAAAAGTTCTGTTATTAAATATGCTGTTGTTAAACAGTAAATAATTATGAGAAAGGCAATCTAGTGAATCAATAATTATAGAAAACCACATTGAATGTGGAGTAGAAAACACCTCAGAATCATAGGGATTATAAGAATGGGGAAGGACAACATGCAAACCCTAACTATTGCATTTATTTTTATAGCCCTGGGCCTTATAATATTTAAAAAAACAAATGTAGATATATTTTAAATAGTCAGGGACATTGTGTGACCCATTGTTATGTTTAAACAACTCCGTATGTTTCTAATACAAAGGCTCTCAAACATTTTTGTTCCAAGAATCACTGGGAAATTCTATGAAAGGTTTGGACTCCTCCACTGCAACCTTAAGCTTCTCTTTTCCATTACTGGTTTGGGGCCTAAGTATCTGCATTTTAAGAAGCATTTAAGAAAATTCTGATAGAGTTGATGATGGAGCACATTTTGAGACACACTGGTATAAACAAAATGTAAATTTTGTCTTTTTATTAAAAGTTTTAAAGCCCTGCTCTTAGGAAGGAGAATGCTGTCTGACTAATTTAATTAGTCCCAAAGACTCTTCCCCTTACTAGCTTTCTGAGTTATGTGAAATTAGTCACTCTTTGTCCTTGAAATTCCCATTTGTAAAACAGCCATATTAATAATACCTGCATTAAGGTAATGCTTCACATGTAATAATTGTTCAATTAATCATAGCTATTATCATATGGAGAAAGGTAGAAGATGTCAAAGCCAATAAATAGTTAGGATATAGCAGTTGCTCATACTCAGAAAGAAACAGATACAGTATTATAAAATATTCAATTAGAAAACCAGAAATCTGAATGTAGCTAGAAAAAAATTAAAAAAAAAACAGAAATGGAGTAAGGTGGAAAAGGAGGAGTGTGGAGCTACAGTGGGTGTTAAGAGATAAAGGATATTAATTTTCATTGAGAATTTTTTGGATACCAAACTCTTTGGCATAGAAGAAAGAAAGAAGAAAGAAAGGAGGGAGGAAGGGAGGGAGGGAGAGAGGGAGGGAGGGAAGGAAAAAAGGAAGGAAGGAAGTTTAAAAAATAAGAAAATAAAATAAATAAATATATATGTAGGATTCAGTCCCTATTTTGCCCACAGCGAACTAAATCTCAGAGAGATTAAGTAATTTATTAATACAAACACAAAATACTGATAAGGAGTAAATGAGGAACTCAAAATTTTGTCTTATTGTTGCAAGAATTACCACCACTGAAGTAAATGTCTGTGCAATAACTACTTTACTGAGGCTCCCTTCTGCCCTGTAGTACCAACAAAATCTCATCAGCAGTGAATTTCAAGTAAATTTTGAGTAATTGCTGAAAGGCCAAAACTCTTGTTGCCGAAGTCTCTGAGTCACACATTCCTCCAGCCTTCTCCAACTGTCAAGAAGCATGAAGGAGCAAATAAAAATTAACACACTTTCTAGACGGTATTTGATAATACAAAACATAGTAATATAAAATGTATTTATAACAAAATTTGGAGACACAGTGCATATTTGTTAAAATATCTTTTTTTTTTTTCCTGTGGGACCTCAGTCATTTATGGCTTTAAAAAATAGTTTCTGTTTTGTTTGGGCACTATAGTCTAAATAATGCTTGTAAATCTTGCACAGCAAATGGTCCCAGCAATGAAATTATTATGAAAAGTATTATGAAAGTAAACCCAGCAAAGAAATTATTAAAAGTTAAACAACGTTTTGTACTTTGAATGGGTTGCTCCACTTCACTTAGCAATTGCTGAATCCCTTATCAAATGAGCTACAGTGGTGAAAGCAGGGGACCAAGGAAGAACACAGCGCTTGTAATTCATTCCTTTTGTTATTTAATATTACATTAACAAGAAATTCCATGCCTGGATATTTTAAAACATCACTATATTATTGTCTCTCATGGATCTTTGAGTATATTGGTCTCAGACAGAAGTTCTTGCTCCAAATATCACATGTAGTTGTTATCAAATGTCAATTGGGTCTAGAATAGTCAGAAATTTGGATGAACTGGACCAGTTCAAGTGTCTGGGACCTCAGCTGGGAAGGCGGCGGTGATTCCAAATTGGTTGATCAGCTCTTTTTCTTAACATTTCTTCGTCATACAGTCGGCTTAGTCTTCTGCACAGCATGAAAATCTCAGAGTAGTCAAGACTGTTTTATGGAGACGGGCTTCTCTACAGCATGTGTTCTGTAAGAGAAATCAAAAGATACCAAACCAATTAAGCCTTGCTCCTGAAAATGGCACAGCATCCCTTTCTTCCTATTCTACTGGTCAAAGCAGTCATAGGCCCAACTCCTAGACTCTGATTCAAGAGAGCAGAGAAATGGTTTCCACTTCTTGAGCATGAAGATGGGAGATATCATTGTGATTATCTTTGGCTGGATAAAATAAGACAAGCAGAACTATCATAAGAACTATGAACCAATGAATTTGCTAATGGAGTCAGATGTTACACAATTGAAGTAGGATCCAGGGAAATAAAGGCCCCCAAAAAGAGATTAGAGAAATAGAATTGTATGGAATTTTCAGGAAATATTGATGCTCATTACATCTAGCTTTTAGAGTAGCAGCACCATAAATGGGGCTGGTGTTGAAGTCTGTGGAATCATGTTGGCTCTTTGCTCTTTGTGGTTACCTTACTTCTTAAGTTTGCATCAAATCATTTGGAGAATGAACTTGAGTTTCTCTTAGTTAGCATAGCTAACAGTCAGGAAGTAGAGTTGGATGCAGAGCAGTTAAGAGCAGAGACAAATTGGGAAAAATCTGCATCACTCTATGTGTATTTCCAAGGCAATATTTTCATCTCAAACCTAATGCCCATTTCTTCACTGCTGTTTCCCATTTAATAATTCTTTATAAGTTGAAATCATATAGAAAAGAGGTTCCGAGGAAATATAATTTCCATCATAACCATGTTGACCATAGAACATTGCAGCATATATTTAGTGACTTTGACTGGGGTTTGTGATCGCATCTACAAGTGCCAACTACTTAAAGAGTCTTACTTAATGAATGAGGTTCATTCAATAAGTAACAACTTATTTATTTGAGATGGACAATTATACGTTAGTGAAGTATCACAATAATAATGCAGACACATTAATTATCAGTGTATGGTCCACCTCCCTGGTAAATTATGTCATGTAACTTTGTGTTGCTTTAATATTAGTTGTCTACCTCTTCATTCATTCCAAAGACATTTATTTATTGAGCACTATCAATGTTTCAATATTGAGATATTGAAATAGTTTACTTCCTTATTTTGTGCAGATTTTGTATTGCTGAAAGCCAGTTTTAATCAGGAATTCATATATTTGCACTGAGCCATGATATTGGGAAGGACTATAAAAGGTTATTCAGGCAAAACTAATCCTAAATCACTGCTTTTCTTCATATTTCCCCCATGTAGCTAGTACAATCAGCATTGGTGCAATGTACCAACCTGAATGATGGCATGTCAACTTCCATTAATAGCTGAATTGATATACAAAGTTTCTGGGGAGTGTCTACATTAGTCCTGGAAGTAGATTCAAATATGTTAGAAAATTGTTTCCCATTTCAATCTGATTTCTTTAAAACTATGTGATTTAACATCTTGTAAATGCATTAGAGCTATGAATGCTATGAAGGAAAAAAACACATTTGTAAAGATTTCTTTGCCTTACTTTGTCTTGGTTCGTAAATTGAAATTATTTCAGCTTTTAGGAACATAAATGATTTGACATTTTGGTATTTTATTTTCATCACTAATTTCCCACTAGCAAACCCCCTACATGAGCAAGACAGAAAGATCATGTCACTCTCCTGTACAAATAATTTCAGCAAACTTGGAGAATAATTATGAGCCATATTAAGCACTTCTTTTCTTCCCCATATGATTGATTATCCACAACATCCTCGATTAGAAAACAGCTTATTTCAAATTCAAACAAAGCAACTACATTGAGTTAGAGTGAGAATACGAAGAGGAAGAGAGAGAAGAGAGCACGTGCTTCTTTTTTCATAATCATCTGTCATTCAGACATTAAACTATTGGGTCTTAGGTTTAACCTAAAAAGGATTTGTTTTCCAGTTACTTTCTATAAAAACGGTAGAGGCTATGTCACATTCCATGTGTGGGTGATTTTTTCCTTCTAATCTCAAAAATGTTTTAATTAAATCTGTAACATGACTGTAAAATTAAATAAATTTCAGTTTTAATATCATCAATTCTGAATTGATATAAACACAACCTTAAGTGAACATATTTTCAGGAAAATGTATTTTAAGGCCTGATTTAGTAGTCATTTAAATACTAACGCTGTTTTCACAAAATTATCTTTATTTCTTCTTCACAATTGATCCATGCATCCACAATTTTATTTACTGTCATTTTAACCTTCCCACAGTTTTTTCTTATAAAATTCCAATTTAATTCCAAGAAAAGGAAAAGATACTATGTCTACTGTATGTTACAGAAGCATTGCTTCTTAATTTTCTTTTATTACTAGCTGACATATTTGAAGATTTCAGACTATGTATGTCACAGAATCTAAAACATTCTTAAATTCACCATGTCAAATGCCACAAAACAGCTACTATCTTAATTAGTTCATAAATGCTGTAATGTAGATTTTCACATCAACCTCTTAACTGGAAACCACCTTTTGCTGATTTCACCTATGGTAAGCCCTTTAAATAACATTATCTCTTCTAACACAAACACACAGGCAACCACACTTGTGCTGGGTCACTTAGCAAGTGTGTAGCAGATCACTCCACTCTTACCTTTTTTTGGTCTTTTCATTAGACCATGAACTCTGTGAGAACAAGAACCACATCTTATTCCCCTTTGAATACCCAGGACTTATCCTAGAGCCTAAAGGAGAATTGTCACTCAATAGAAGTTTAATAAATGAATCTATTTAAATAGAAAAATTACATTGTTTCTTCTCTGCTAGATTATGGCTAATAAAATATCAGACTACCTGTTCACAGTATATTACACAAATGTATTTAGTAAGTACATTATTCCTTCATTTAGTATTTCCAGGTGATATATTGGGATCAACAGATAAAAATGAAACCACATTTGGAAAATGTGAGCAACCATGAAGAAAGGTTTGAGTGTCAAAAACATCCACGAAGGCAGTGAATTCTTCATCAGTGAAGTTTCAGGCAAAATGTGACTGATTATTGGACCTAGCTATCAGAAAACAAACATGACAATGAAAATGATTATTAGACTATGTTCCACCTGAGGCCATTTCATACTCATTTTTTTAAATTTTGTTTTAGAAATGAATCTGTAGAATAATTCCGCTCACTACCACAATTTCCACAAGACAGTGTCACACCAAACCCTCTATTTACATTGCACATTATCAATGTCTTTCCCTTTTGAGCATTATTTTATATTATTTTAAAACCATTTTATCTGAATAAAAATATTTAAAATGTTCAGGGTTCAGATGACAAAATAGCAAACCTCTGGAGATGACTATGTATATTTGTACCATAGTTGCCAGTGTTAAAAAGGCCTGAAACATGGTCCAATAACATAACAAATCAAAAGTGACATAGTTAATTCAAGGAAAAGGGCCAGCATACACTATGTAATCCTTTTTTTTGCTGACTTGCACAGGAACAAACATCAGTATGTAATGATGCATTATGACATAAAATAGCAGGGGTAAGGGGTAAGCACAGACAGAAATCTTTTCTGCCGCATTTATGAAAGATTCAGAGCCACTTACTGCCCTTTTTTGCTGGTCTATGCATGAATCAGTTTAACAGCTCAATTTACAATGTTATTTCTCATGGAAGGAATAGAGAAAGTATCAGATGTTCTAAGAAATCTATGTAAGTGAGAAATTAGCCATTTTCAATTTTGTACAGTGAGAATGTTTGTTTTCTCAAATGTAATTTGCTATTCATTAAGAAAATGAATAAAAAATTATTCTCTACCAAAAGGACACATGTATAGGTAGGTGAATGTATTTGGACATACAAATGAAACTCTCTCTCAGAGTCCTGGATTAGCTTCTACAGAAATAGAGTAATTTTAGTAATTTTTCTTTGTTATAGAAAACTTTTTATTCTACTAGTTTAATGTATTTTACATATATTTGGACATTTTAGGACAATGAGATTGATAAGTCAACTGGCAATAATTAAATATCAATTGACCAAAGACAACAATGCTTAAAAGATACCATTCGAATGAACTCAAGTCAATGTTCGGCCTGGTAAAAACAATAAGACTTCTATAACAATCAGGTTACTTTGAGAAGTATGCAAGTACACAGGGTCCCATTCAGTACTCCCTTTTACATCCCCAAGTAAGAAAAAAAGTTAAGAAGTGTGGTTCACTATTTTAAGGAGTGTTAAAACATTAAATTGAACAAATATCTGCAAACATGTACAGGAATATAAAGCAAAAGTAAAATAACACTGCATTTGTAGAGTTATTCATAGCACTGTGGATAAAAACACAGAGATAAGGACTAGGATCCCTTGATTTTAATTCTAACTCTTCTACTTAACTTGGCGACTAAATTGAAACCTATACGTGAGCTCTTTAGAGGCTCAGCTTCCAACTTTCTCACATGTAAATATCAAGTTTAAGATTAGAACCCGGCAGGGTGGTTCATGCCTATAATCCTAGCACTTTGAGAGGCCGAGGCGGTCGGATCACTTGAGGTCAGGGGTTCGTGACCAGCCTGGCCAACATTGTAAAGCCAAGTCTCTACTAAAAATACAAAGATTAGCCTGGTGTAGTGAGGCATGTATGGAACTCCAGCTATTCCGGAGGTTGAGCCAGGAGAATCACTTGAACCTGGGAAGTGGAGGTTGCAGTGAGCTCAGATCATACTGAGTGAGTCTCTGTCTCAAAAAAAAAAAAAAAAAAAAAAAAAAAAAAGATCAAATAATCTCCAAGGTCTCTTTCAACTCCAACATTTTCGAGTTTTACAGTACTACTTTGGGATACAGTATTATTCCAAGGATAGCAAAGAACATTTATTTTGATCATTGCCTCAAAATATGTGAAAGAGAGATCAGTAAAGTGCTTTTTTTGTTTTGTTTTGTTTTTACATTCTGGGTTTGTGGTCCTATTAAGATTTAAGGGCTTAGGCAGAAAAAGACAAAAAACATCGTATTATTTCTTGGGTGAATTTTTATCAATTTAAGTATCTTGGAAAACATCTTGAACATACAGAGGGTGGGGTAAGAAATCATTTACTGCTTATTAAGAGTAGCTGGATCAGCTAGTTGACACAGAAATGTCTGCTAAGCAAGGTCTCTGTGGTCAGAAGCACAAAGTTTTGAGTTCTGACTTGGCCACTGGCCTTTGAGTGATGTTGGGCAAGTTACTTACATTGCAATGGATTTTATTTTCCTCATTTTAAAAATGGAGCTACTCACATTTAACTTACATAGTCATTCTCAGACTTATATAACACTGTTAAGTGCCCAGCACTAAAAGGTGTTTGTCAAATGTTACTTCATTTTCCATTGCTTGCAGGCTTTACCTAGGCCACTGAAGTGTTTTTTGACCCGTGTATTTAGAAAGTGTTAGATGGGAACATTTCAAAGTGCTAGAAAGTGGAAACAGCTTTTCCTCACTTCCATTTACTAAGCCATTTAGGTCAAACTCAATTCAAACAAACTCGCATTTAAAAACTTGAAGGTAAGTGCACTGTGAATAGTACAGTATTTTGGAGGAAAAAACAAACAAACAAAAAAAGAGCATCATCTCCTTCCAAGAGCTCCTAAAGCAATGCTTTGGTGCCTGCAGTGGAACTCAGCTAAATATTGTTAGTAAAAACAGTAAATGTTAATCACACTAAGAATTTTTCTACATTGAAACAATAAGTCATAATTTTGGAAGCCAGAGGCACTTCCTTCTGCTGCTCCTGTCAGGTGGCATTACTTGAAACACTGCAGCACTATCTGTTTACCAAGGTAGAGTGGAAAATAATGGTTACAGTTAAATAAACTGTATGTTTTTATATGACTTTCAATGAAAGTCTGGTGTTCTTAACTAGATGCATTGAAAAATGCCTCTGCCAAGATTTTCAACTTCCTTATCCCATTCTCCATTTCTATATCGAATTTCTAATATTCATTGAATAAAATAAATCTAATGAACTTCAATGATGCATTTGAGAATCAAAATATTCAATACTTACATGTAGCATTTGTTACTGAAAGAGCTAAGTAATAACAACATTTTTTAAAAAAATTTGCATGTTTAAAATTTTGCTTTTGATTGAGCAATGACAAAAGTCATTGACTGTTTATGATTATGGCTAAGCATTGTGCTGAAAGGAACATAGCTCAGCATAATCGTGGGATGGAAGTGACCAAAGATGGTGAAAAACAAAAGCAAAGGCCTGGTCAGCAGTCTGATCACTTTAATTTGTGTCACACAGGCATTATCTACTCATTGGAGAGGACATGTGTCAACTTTGTTAGAGAAAACTGTTAATAACTGAAGTAGAAAATTAAATTTAGGCCTTCTATGCTCTTTTAAATGGTGGTTCTCTTGTGACCAGTTCCGTTAGCCCAGAATCATCCTAGCAACATGATCTCTGGCCTTAAGAAAGATACCATGCATACATATATGACTTAGCTAGAGAACATTTGAGGAAGTACAAAATAACAGAAAACAAATTATCCTCAAATGTGGAGGCAATGATGAATCACAATGCATGACAGATAGGAATGAGAAGCCTAGGAACTGAGTTACAACCTCTCAACAGTGAATCAATACAGGAATCAAAGCCAGGCTGGAAAATGCACACTTTACTCAGACGACCAAGTTCAAAGTTGCATATCATCTATGAACTCTAGAATGGAGGTAGAGCGGTAGCCTCAGGCAGAAAGCACTGTATGCTGTTCCCTATGTAGAAACTTACGTGGAGAATGTGGTGATGTCATTTAAAATTTTGACTCTATAATTATTCTGCATAACACAATTTGTACTGAGTTTTAAAGGGAGGCATTACGTCACTATCACTATACTCAACATTTCTAAATTTTTACTCTTATATTTAAAGGTCCATCCTCCAGAGAAAATAGGAGATTTTTGCTTTTACTGCTGTTAGTTTTTGTTTGTTCTTTGTTTTTTGTTTTATTTGTTTGTTTTGTTTTTTCATGCCATGGAAGTGAAGAAGGCCAACTGATCGTGGGGTAGAAGGTTGGGAAAAAATCATATTCAGCAAGAAACAAGCAAGAACAAAGTTTTTGGGTATCCCACATGTGGAAAGAATGATGCAAACAAATTTTAATATGTCTATAAACAGAAAGCAGGGAAACCTTGCCACACATCAAACCACAGGCCTTCTATGACTGGTTGAAGGAAGAAACCATTACGAGTTAAAGTACCAGGCCAGAAGCTACAGAAAAAGCTTTCCTCATGGATCTTTTTCATGGAAGAGCCTTTTGCAACACTTGAATGACTACAGTAAGTGACTATGAGGAGACATAATACACACTTAAATACATGTCTAGCTTACACATAGTGTTTCCAAACACCACCTCATTTTATCTCATCTCCAAGTATTAGGTATTATTATAATCAGCCCATTTTCAAGATAAATAACTGAAACATTTAGTGACAGTCCCTGGTTCTCAGTTTTGGATACACATTAGAAACACCTGAATATGTTTTAAAAATACCACCAATCCTTGAGTTTAGAATCTGTGGGAGGTGGGACCAGGCATTGGTATTTTTAGATGGTTGGAATATGAAACCAAAGTTAAGAAGCATGAATTAAATATTTTTTTCAAAATAACACCATGAGTAAGAGTGGATTCAGGATGGACACCTAGAAAGGCAATTTCTTTATGATATATTTCACTGTCCTGTAAGGTACATTTGGAAAAGCAACAACAGGCTTGAGTCAATGCTGCAGCTCAGCCATGCTCTAGAATTAGAACAGCATCTTATATGGTATGTATCAGCACACTGTGCTAGAAATATTCCTGTTTTTTTTGTTTTGTTTTGTTTTAAGAAACATGTGACTTCTCACTGCTCTTACTGTAAAGATTAAAAATTTTCACTTGGTCTACAAAGACAAAGATCCTCAGAAGCTGGCCTCTCCCTAACCCTTCAGTCACAAGAGGCAATTCAGGCATTGACTTTTCCCTTCTGCTGTGTCTCTAGTCTTGGTTTCCTCAGTGGTTGTGGCCTCTGCCTGGATTATGCTGTCTTTCCTCTTCCCCACATTAGCATTTGCTTTAAGTTCGAATTTTGTTTTAATGGTTAAGTCTCAGGAAAAACACGATTTTTCTTTCTTTCTTTTTTTTTTTTTGAGATGGACTTTTGCTCTTGTCGCCCAGGCTGGAATGCAGTGATGTGATCTCGGCTCACTGCAGCCTCCACCTCCCAGGTTCTGGTGATTCTCCTGACTCAGCCTCCTGAGTAGCTGGGATTACAGGTGCCTGCAACCATGCTCAGCTACTTTTTGTATTTTTAATAGAGACGGGGTTTCACCATGTTGGTCAGGCTGGTCTTGAACTCCTGACTTTAGGTGATCCACCTGCCCAGACCTCCAAAGTGCTGGGATTACAGGTGTGAGCCACTGCACCTGGGAGGAAAAACATTTTTATTACTAGTTCCAAACCTCCGCTCCCCTAGCCATATGGATTCTCAGAGCTTCACATTTCTTTCTTCCACTTTTATCGTCTTATTTGTTAACTATAGATAGGTGACTGCTGAGTCTAAGCCTTTAACTTTCTTCACTCTCCGTGACCCTCAACAAAGTACCTAGTGAGCATCTCCATTTCACTTTCCTTATGCCACCTTAAACTCAAGCTGTCTTCTTGAAAAATTTATTTTCCTTCTCTAAAATGTAAGTCCTCTGAAGTTTGTTTTTTTTTTAAATTTTACTAAAAACATCAATGTTCTCTTCACTGTCAGGGCTTGAATTGTTAATAAATGGTGTTGGGAAAACTGGCTAGCCATATGCAGAAAACTGAAACTGGTCCCCTTCCTTACACCTTATACAAAAACTGACTCAAGATGGATTAAAGACTTAAATGTAAGACGTAAAATCATAGAAACCGTAGAAGAAAACCCAGGCAATACCATTCAGGACATAGGTATGGGCAAAGACTTCATGTCTAAAACACCAAAAGCAATGGCAACAAAAGCCAAAATTGACAAATGGGACCTAATTAAACTAAATACCTTCTATACAGCAAAAGAAACTATCATCAGAGTGAACAGGCAACCTACAGAATGGGAGAAAATTTTTGCAATCTACCCATCAGACAAAGGGCTAATATCCAGAATCTACAAAGAACCTAAGCAAATTTACAAGACAAAAACAAACAAGCCCATCAGAAAGTGGGCAAAAGATATGAACAGACACTTCTCAAAAGAAGACATTTATGCAGCCAAAAAACATATGAAAAAAAGCTCATCATCACTGTTCATTAGAAAAATGCAAATCAAAACCACAATGAGATATCATCTCAAGCCAGTTAGAAAGGTGATCATTAAAAAGTCAGGAAACAACAGATGCTGGAGAGTGTGTGGAGAACTAGGAACGCTTTTACACTGTTGGGAGTGTAAATTAGTTCAACTGTTGTGGAAGACAGTGTGGTGATTCCTCAAGGATCTAGAACCAGAAATATCATTTGACCCAGCAATCCCATATATACCCAAAGGATTATAAATCATTCTACTATAAAGACACATGTACATTATGTTTATTGTGGCACTATTCATGATAGCGAAGACTTGGAACCAACCCAAATGCCCATCAATGATAGACTGGATAAAGAAAATGTGGCACATATACACCATGGAATACTATGCAGCCATAAAAAAGGATGAGTTCATGTCCTTTGCAGGGACATGGATGAAGCTGGAAACCATCATTCTCCGCCAACTAACACAAGAACAGAAAACCAAACACTGCACATTCTCACTCATAAGTGGGAGCTGAACAGTGAGAACACATGGACACAGAGAAGGAAATATTACACACTGGGGCCTGTCAGGAGGTGGGGGGGCTAGCGGAGGGATAGGATTAGGAGAAATACCTAATGTAGGTGACGGGTTGATGGGTGCAGCAAACCACCATGGCACATGTATACCTATGTAACAAAACTGCACATTCTGCACATATACCCCTGAACTTAAAGTATAATAATAATAATAAAAAGAATTACTTATGAGTCTTTTTTCACCAGTGTGTTCACCTAGTCTTTTAACCCTGGTGGATGAATGCTCAAAATGTCTCTTAGTCTATCGTCTTCTTTTCATTTCCATTGCCATTCCCAGGTTCAAGCACTCATCACTTCTAATTTAAACTACTACAGCATTGCTCAACATGTGTTGGACAACACACTTTAACTTCATGCACAGAGCTTATTAAAATGTTGACAATTGTGCTTTTTTTTCAGAGCAAATGAGTTCAAATATCTGAGGCTGAAATCTTAGGATCTGTGTTTTAACAGGTTCCCACATTATCACCCTATCCACTGAACTTTGAGAATCATGCAACTGAAATAACTTTCCTAGCATTACTCCAGTTCCCATCCTTTCTTGCTTCAATTAAACATAGATGCTCCTTTTGCATTGATTTTGCAAGGAATTATTCCAGTAATAAGGTCCCCAAACAGAAATTCAGTTAATTTCTGAAATTCCATTGCAGGTTTAAAAAAAAACATTAAGAATACATGTAAAGCTTTACTGGGAACATTTTAATTCTAATATGCGGTTTGAATTTACTGTCCTACATATATTCCTTTTAGTTGTCATAAACTCAAACTGTAAGACATATTTTTGAAATTTTACTTTGAAATAGTTTAGCATGTTTACACCTTTGTGATGTCAGCTTGCTATTTTCTTTATCTAAAACATACTTGCTCCAACAAATGCTTCAACTGACAAACTTCCAGGCTCACCTCAAATGACACCTTTATAATTAGTCTGTGGTGATCTTTCAAGTGTCAAGAGCCAATAATTTTATTAGATATCCCAAATATAAATGATAGCTATTTCATGGCTTGTACCACCCCAGTTCCATTATACTTTTGAATATATGGTAGGGATCCCTGTATTGACTTTCCTCTCTACTTTTACTTCATGTCTGCTGTACTTTCAAGGTATGTCTTCATGTATCTGGGCACTTGGGTGCAAGTGCTGCTTCCCATTAACCCGTAAGTCACTGCTGATGTTGGGGATTCAGATGCCTCTGCCTTGAAGGAGAAACTCAATGCAAATACTGTATCTGTAGAACTCAAATGCTTCTAATTAATGATGGAGTTGGCGATAATGCTCTTGTCTGGAGAGTTTTCTTATCAGAGGAAAAGCACTTCTCTCTTTTCTCTGCCACATAACACTTTCTGGCGACCCTCCTCCCCTGCCCACTACTTTTGTCATTCATGTTTTAATTCTGATTGTATTTAAGTGATTAATGGATAACACCTTTCCCAATTTACAAGCAACTGATAGATGAGAAATCAGATTAATGTAGATTAAACTACTATATTGATTAAAACTGGATTCAAAGATAAGACTCAGGAGGAGGGCCAAATGGCCTTGTAGCCCTCACCTGAATAAAAATGACAAATTCATCCTATAAACTAGATAATTTCACATCTTCTCTACAGGGGCAGAATCTGCATTGCAGATGAGCAGGCAAGAATGGACCTGTTGGAAGAAATCATTCCTTCCCCACTCCTGAGGTTCTATTCCACTTGGAAGCTCTTCATAAAATACTCCTGAATGACTGCTCTATACCCCTCACTCACTTCTTTAATCTAATTAGAGAGTTCGTAAATAAAAAAAAAAAACACCCTTATTTCCACACTCTTTTTGGTTTGTTTTTCTTTATAGTATAGGAATCCAGTCTCCATGGCACAGGTATGAGGGACAAACCTCCTGTGGAAAGGCCTCTGTCCTCCAGTTTGACCAGAGCCATGTTAGGTAAATCTTTATATATGAGCCATAGTCTCCAACATCAATTTTATCAGGAATAAAGGAGATATCACTTATATAATGTATTTCTGTAAAATACGCCAGATGGCATCATTTATCTGGCAAAAACCCTCCAATTATTCTTTATTTTACTCAGAATAAAATCCAAAGTGCCCACACTGGCTTCACAGCCCTCTGTGAGATGGCTCCCCATGACCTGTGTATTCTAATCTCCTCCTTGCTGCCCCCATTCCCTTTCCTGCAGCCATTCTGGCCTTCTGGTTTACCTGTGAACACATAAGACATTTTCTAAGCCTGCAATTCTCTTCCTCTAAATAACTCATTTTAGCCCTTCAAATCTTTGCTCAAGCTTCTGCTTTCCAATAAGCCCATGCTGAAACCTTGTTACTCCATTTAATTCTGCAACCTACTCTCCTCCCAACACTCTCAGGTTAGCTTTCGTCTTCTACTTGACTTTACATTATCGTCTTTAGGTACGCTATACAGTTTCCTCATTATGTTTGCTATTCATGGCATATTTCTCCCAACTGGAAGTTCCACCAGGGTGGCAGTTTTTGTATCTTCTGTTCCATGATATATTCCAAGCACTTAGAACAGTACTTGGAACATAGAAGGCACTCAATTAACATGGAGGGAAATCAAGCCTGGGATGGAGACAGAAGTCATTATATGATACTAGCTCCCATGTTGCTGAAATCCTTGGGGTATAATATGAGCAAACTAAATGGTAGTTATTTTAAAATTTTAATTTATTTTTCCATTTTGTGCTACTCGAGTGTGTGGCTGCTAAATATGTTTCTAACTTCAACCAATATGACAGTCACTTCCTTTTCTAAAAATGAAATCAAATTGTTTTAAAAAGGACTAGATACTATATTTTTAAATATATGACCGTTTTGTATATAAGAAATTGCCAATATATTTGGTATAATTAAATCTATATATTTATGTGCCACAGAATGAATAATTTCAACTCTTTAACTCTCTACTGACTATTGTTATTTAAAAATTTTGAGCAAGAATACAACGGAAGTCGTGCACAATAGAATGGGGCTAGCATGTTATCATTTGCTGCTAATGGAAAATGTTTTCTGTGAGAAAATAATCCTGTAGAAATAAGATAATATAAATAATTTTAATATAAATAACACTGTATATGCATTTAAATAACAAATATATAAAACATATTTGTTATATGATCAGCCTTGGCAACATAGGGAGACTCCTCTACAAAAAATTAAAAATCTAGTTGGATGTGATGGTGTGTGCCTGTAGTCCCAGCTACTTGGGAGGCTGAGGTGGAAGGATTGCTTGAGCCAGGAAGGTCAAGGCTGTGGTGAGCCGAGATTGCATCCTCGCATTCCAGCCTGAGCCACAGAGTGAGACCATGTTTCCATAAATAAATAAATTGTTATATGTATTATAGAATATATATGTGATGAGCTGATCGTAAGAAAGAATGGCTATATTTCATGTGTAAGGCATTGTTTGGCATTAATTTGAAGACTCTATAAGGTATCGGGAATATATATATGAATTTATGCTTTAAAGAAAAATAGTGGGATCACTTGCTTTTCATAAAAAGTATTATACTTTGCATGAAGATTATATTTATGAAAATTTAAAAGGAATATTTGGGTATTCTTTCACAGGACAAGCAAATAGATTGGTTTTTAGATTATTTTTTGTTGTTTTTGTTTTGAGAAGGAGTTTCGCTCTTGTTGCTCAGGCTGGAGTGCAGTAGCGCCATCTCAGCTCACTGCAACCTCAGCCTCCAGGGTTCAAGTGATTCTCATACCTCAGTCTCCCAAGTAGCTTTGATTACAGGTGCCTGCCACCATGCCCTGCTACTTTTTTTTATTTTTAGTAGAAACAGTGTTTGACCATGTTGATTAGGCTGGTCTCGAACTCCTAAACTCAGGTGATCCACTCGCCTCAGTCTCCCAAAGAACTGGGATTACAGGCGAGAGCCATGGCACCTGGCCGGTTTTGAGTTTTAGAACTGCATGCTTATTGAATAAACTAGGCATCCTTAAAAACTAAAAAAAGCCCATGACAATTTTTTATTATCTTTGAGTCAAAGTACAAAAAACAAGTGGGAAATTTAGGTCACTGCTCCAGGCACAGTTATAAAAGCTTTTACTTTGTCATTGATTCTATTAACCTGATCAGAAATTCTTAATTTTTCTATTATTCCTTCAACAATTACCTCAATAGGTATGGCCTATCTTTATTATTATAATTTTTGCACTGTACTGAATGTTTTCCACTGGATTGTAAAATCTTTTAGGGGACAGAATTTGTTTCCATTTGTATTGTACCTGGAGGCTAGTAGGCTTTGATAAAAAAAAAATGTTAAACTTAACTGAAAGAGGTGCTGAAGATAGAAATGAGCTTATGTTCCTTGTACCCAAAGAGGTTAGCATCTAACGAGGCAGGTATCCCAAGTTAATAATGACAATGTTATGTGAAAATGCTACTGCAAAGTTGCAGAAATGTTGTTTAGGAGCACAAAGAAAAGATACCTAACTTAGCCTACATCCAGAGGAATGAGTTGATCAGGAAATGGTTCCAAAATGATGACATTCCTAGAGGTGAAGTTGTAGATTCCCAGGCAAATATGGTTTATAATAAGGTTTTATACAGAAAGAACAGAGTAAGAAAAGCCAGAAAAAACAAAACAAAGTAGAATATGTTGAGACCCAATTTTTATGTTTAGAGAAAGCAGTTAATCAAAAATACCTAATGCATGTATCTTTTATCTAAAAGTGCAGATAGGCTGGAGCAGTGGCTCATGCTTATAATCCCAGCACTTTGAGAGGCTGAGGCAGGATGATCGCCTGAGCTGAGGAGTTTGAGATCAGCCTGCGCAACACAGGGGGACTCCTTCTTTACAAAAAATTTAAAAACTAGTTGGATGTGATGGAGTGTTCCTGTAGTCCTAGCTACTTGGGAGGCTGAGGTGGAAGGATTGCTTGAGCCAGGGTGGTCAAGGCTGTAGTGAGCTGTGATTACACCACTGCACTCCAGCCTAAGCCACGGAGTGAGACCCTGTTTCAATTTGAAATTATATGTGACAAAAACTCATCTGTAAAACACATTCTCTATGCTACTAAACATTTTCAAGGTTTGATACATTTTTCACAGGGAATATATATATATATATATATATATTTTTTTTTTTTTTTTTTTTGAGACAGAGTCTCACTCTTTCACCCAACCTGGAGTGCAGTGGCATGATCTTGGCTCATTGCAACCTCCGCCTCTCAGGTTCAAGCCATTCTCCTGCCTCAGCCTCCTGAGTAGCTGGGATTACAGGCAAGCACCACCAGGCCCCGCTAATTTTTGTATTCTTAGTAGAGACGGGGTTTTACCATGTTAGCCATGTTTGTCTCAAACTCTTGACCTCGTTATCCACCTGCCTCGGCCTCCCAAAGTGCTGGGATTGAGCCACTTCGCCTGGTCGGCCTGCTTGCTTTCCCCTCCCTTCCTCCCTTCGTCCCTTCCTCCCTTCCTTCCTTCCTTCTTTTTCTTTCTCTCTTTTTCTTTTTTCTTTCTTTCTCTCTCTCTCTCCTTCCTTCCTTTCTTCCTTCCTTCTTCCTTTCTTTCTTTTTTCTTTGTTTTTTCCCTCCCTCTCTTTCTTCTTTCCCTCTCTTTCTTCTTTCCCTCTCTCTCTTTCTTTCTTTCCTTTCTTTCTTCTTTCTTACTTTTTTCTTTCTTTCTCTCCCCCTTTCTCTTTTGTCCTCCTCTTCCCACCATCTCTCCCTTCTTTTCTTCTGTTAATCTTTTCATTGTTAATTATAACCATAGTTCTAGGATTAATTTACAATTAAGAAACTAACACATCAAGACACTCTTTTGAAAGAACTATGTCTTATCCAAAACTTATCAGACTATTTTGTTCACTTAGAATATATATTTTCCTTGTGGGCCAGGCACAGTGGCTCCCGCCTGTAATCCCAGCACTTTGGGAGGCTGAGGCAGGCAGATCACAAGGTCAGGAGTTCGAGACCATCTTGACTAACATGGTGAAACCCTGTCTCTACTAAAAGTATACAAAATTAGCCAAGTGTGGTGGCATATGCCTGTAATGTCATCTACTTGGAGGCTGAAGCAGGAGAATTGCTTGAACCCAGGAGGTGGTTGCAGTGAGCCGAGATTGTGCCACTGTACTCCAGCCTGGGTGACAAAGCAAGACTCTATCTGGGGAAAAAAAAAAAAAAAGGAAGGAAAGAAGGAAGGAAGGGAGGGAGGGAGGGAGGGAGAATTTGTACAAGATCTGTCTCCTACTACATTAATAAGTGGGTAATGTGTTAACTCATGTCCAAAATTGAACTCCTAGTCTTTCACCTTAAACTGGTTTCTCCTACAATTGTTCACATCTTCGTGTATATGTTAACTTGTTCCTTCCATTTCATCCGATTAAATACTTTAAAGTTGTTTTCAATGTATCCTCTAAATCTTTTGGAAATTTTCATTTATGTAAGATATAGTTATGTTTGGCATAATTTTGTTGTTGCTACTATCATTATTGTTATAAAGCACAAGTATGAGCAAAAGAGTAGCTGAAGTTGAGTAATCAAAATTACGGGTTGTTCTATGTCTGATGGGCTTTTCGGCAGCATTCATAAAACTTCTTTGTAGTCTATATATCCGTTGGTGCATAGGGTGAAATATTAACCATATATTGACCTATATTTAGAAGAATTTTAGATAGAAGATAGATATAGGGAAATACATATTATAAGAGATAGGAAAAAGCAAAATGTGTTTTTCCTATTCTCACACAGTGAACACAGAGCATTTTGCCTGTGCTCACCAAAATGTGCATGAGGTTTTTTTTGTTTGTTTGTTTGTTTTGTTTTTTTTTGAGACGGAGTCTCGCTGTCTCCCAGGCTGGAGTGCAGTGGCGCGATTTCGGCTCACTGCAAGCTCCGCCCCCTGGGTTCACGCCATTCTCCTGCCTCAGCCTCCCGAGTAGCTGGGACTGCAGGTGCCCACCACCACGCCTGGCTGATTTTTTTTTTTTTTTTTTTTGTATTTTTAGTAGAGACAGGGTTTCACCGTGTTCTCCAGGATGGTCTCGATCTCCTGACCTCGTGATCTGCCCGCCTCGGCCTCTCAAAGTGCTGGGATTACAGACATAAGCCACCTTGCCCAGCCTGTGTGTGAGTTTTTAGCCATACACGTGGGTAGGGAAACACAAGCAACTGGAAAACTAAAACTACTTTTCCTAATTTTATGCTCAATACAACACAAAGCACTTCACCTTCCGTCACCAAAATGTGTGGGTGTCTCTCACCACTATCAACCAGTTCTCTGGTGGACACCAACTGGGTGTTTTATAATTTAACTTAATTCTAACACTGTCTACCTGGAGATAGCATCAAACCCCACAGGTTAAGGGCTTATTCCCACAAAACCACTCCCCACTTCAGATGCCAGTCGCAGGTATCAGGTTGTCACCTTTACTTCTGACCTACTGCCTAGAAATCAGGTCTTTCAAGAGCTCCCCTTTGGGTTGAATTAATTTGCTAGAGCAGCTTAAGGAACTCAAGGAAACACTTTGCTAATGATTACCCATTTATGATAAAAGATATTACAGAAGATATAGATGAATAGTCAGATAGGAAAGATACATAGGGTAAGCTATGGGAAGGCAGAGGCATGGAGATTCTATGTTCTCTGAGTGTATGACCCTCCAGGAACCTCCACTTAGTCAGCAATTCAGAAGCCCTCTGCACCCTGGTCTATTGGGGTTTCATGGAGGCTGCATTACATAGGCATGGTTATTTGAATCTTTGGCGGTCAATTCAACCTTGATTCCCTACCTGCTCACTGGGCTGTCCAAAAGCCCATTAGAAATTGTCTCATCAAAACAAAGGATGTGCTTGTCACTCAGGAAATTGAAGAAGCCTTAGGATCTCTGTGTTAGGAACCAGAGTGAAACATTAAATAGAATAAAAGATTCTCCTAGCAACTCTAGAAGCGTTTTTAGGTGCTCTCTCTTGGGACCTGGGGGCAGGGATGTACACACATAAATAGACAGAGAGACATCTCAAATAGCTTAATATAAATGTGTCCTAGAATATTCTTTTCTTTTGCTGACATCACAGAGGAAGTATCCCTCAGATAAATCAATTTCCATTCATCTTTTACTATCTCAAATATCTCTGTTGGTTTCTAGAGCACTGGGAGGAAACTCCAATGGCTTCAAAAATATCTGAGTGTTAGCAAGACCACCAGTGACCCCAGAGATTAGAAAACAGTTGATCCTTTTTACTTGACACCAACTGTTTCCACTGACACTATTGATTTCACAGTTACTACAACTTTGAATTATCATTGTCATTTTATGTACTCTTTGCCTAATCCCTGTGGAGAGTTATCATCGTCAGCAACATGTCTGTTTTTTGCACTCTAAGTCCATTTCTTTGCAGACTAATGCAACTGTGTGCAATTACTACTTCCCCTTCTGCGTCCCTTTCCTTCTTATGCCTGCATGCCTCCCATCTTTTATCTTCTGATTTCTCTTCTGTAGCTGAAAATTCTCTGGACTTGTTCCTATAAATTTAAAATGACCCATGGCCTTGATGATCTCATCATCCACCAGAGAAGATTCACTGACAAACAAGCAAACATAACATGTGTTGCCCATTGCTAACACCCAAAGGGGAAATTGTCACCTCTCCAGGAATCCTGATTGTTTCCAGAGGCTAGAATGTGACAACTTGTTTTCTCTGGGCTCTCTTCCTCAGTGTCCTGCCTGACATTTTTCAGCATTCTGGGAAATAGAAGAAGTATACAAATGCTGTTCAGGTTACCGAGAATGGAAAAACCTAACAGGACCTTATCTGAGAGAACTTAACCTGAGTCACAGGTTGAGTAAGCCACAAAATAGAATTACCTAATGACTGTTCAAACTAAAAGCTAATAGTAGTAGAATGCCTATCATGTGCTGGCTGTAGGTCTTACTGTTGTAAGCTCTTTGTGTGTATTAGCCAAATTAATAATAATTATTATTTATAAATAAGGAAACTAAGTCACCGATAAGTCAAATAGACTTGCCTAAGGGCACATAGCTGGACAGTAGCAGATACTTGACCTAAAGTTAGTATGTCTTGTTGTAGACAGGGGTCTTGATTCCAAGAAATGGGAGTACCTCACACAGTATTTTATTACACAAAAGTTTCTCAGGTTGTGTGGACTCTAACTGTGTACATTAACATAAACATAGCACATAGAATACATTTATATGTACATATATATACACACACACACACACATACACATCTGCAGTATTTGTATAGCATTTAAGAATTCCCAAAATATTCTCCCAAGCATGGTCTCATCAGTCATAGCCACCACTCTAGATGTTAAATATTGTCAGAATACAGAAAGAAACAGATTTCTAAGTGTGAAGAGAGAGTTGTTCAAATTAACAGTGTTTGTAAGATTTGCCTTTAAGCCTTCTGATTGCATGACCTGGGTTTTTTTCATCACCGCATTAATATTCCTATGAAAAAGTGAAACAAAACGCAAATCAGATGACTAGAAACAGCTGGGCCTGATGTGTTTTATGGATGGTTTTTATACGTTATGATTGAAGAAACTTGTCAGTTTTTCTGTTTTCATCTAAATGGTGGAAATGATTTATATTAACTTATCTTAATTGAAGCCAATTAGATTTTCAAAGGTATTGTGGTTAAAAATATAACCACACTGTGATCTACAAATTGAAAAACCGAGTTCACTTGTATCTATCATAGCATAGAATTAGAAAGCTTATAATACATAATGACTTGTTTGATCCAGTTTCTGTCTAAAGAATTCATATTGAAGAGAGCTTGGATTTTTTTCTTTTTATAAACTGTTTCCTTTTAAAAGATGTTTTGTAAGTAATATTTCTGAACTATTTAGCATCCTTTGTGGTGATAAAAACTAAACTCAAACTGCAAATTGATAGGTCCTTTGCAAGTAAAAGTGCGAATTATAGCTTCAGGAATGATAAGTTCCAGAGTCTCAGATTTCTCCTCAGGATTCTGTGTTTTGTCAAATATTACTCCTATTTTTTCCTATAATGGTTTAAATCTAGACAAGGCAGAGAAGCTTCCTCTATATCAAGTTGGCAAGATGATCTTTCTATATCCAAAACTTTGTCCTATTAGATCAGTAACTTCAAGTGGAAACATAGAAACATTTCTCTTTCCCCAAATTTTAGAAAATATTTTTAAATTACATCTTCTTGTTCAGAAATGGGCCACCTGCCTATCCTTGAACCAGGTGGACTAGAGGTATGGTAGTTCTGGAAAAGAAATTGGGAATATTCCCAATAGAGTAAATAGGTGAATGTGTGCCGAGCAGACAAAATAAAACTTATGTCCAGCACTGTGGTTAGCAAAAGGTAACAGATGTCTACTACAATTGTGAGCCCATACATATGGAATAAGATAAATGGTTATTTTCAAGTAAATAAATCTGCTACAAAAGAAAGAATGCAACTAAAGGTAGAAAGCTAAATTTGTAGGCATTATTTAATAGCACAGTTCATTTACAATGTTTAAATCAGTAGATATTCACACTCATATTTTAAATTCAGAGTATACATATATATAGTAATATGATAGCAATAGATCTGAGTTGCTGCTAAGAAAATCTTTCTTTTAGGAGTATTTATGAATGCTTTTAAAAGCTTTCCTCAAACTGGAATGGGATATTTCATACAGGTTATAATTTAGTGTAATTTTTCTCTTTGAAAAGAAATTGTAAAACAGATATGTGATAATTTCTTGTGTTCTACTCAGTACCGACATTTATTGATATTGTTATTTTTTTATAAGACAATATGATTACTAAAGCAATTATGAAATGTACAGAGCCCAATAATGTACTTCTGACAAACTAATGACAGATTTTATTTTTCCCAATATAGCTATTAAAATTACTTAAATAATAAATATTTTCTGTCATTTATGATTGATAATACAAAAATCTAGGATTCCTAATAAATTTAAAATGTTCTCATAGAGACAGCATCACAGCTAACTAATATATCATATTATAATATATAGTTTTAACAGTATCTACGTATCTGTATAACTTGAAATTTCACACAATGGCAGTTTTTACTACTTTATTTTCAGAGTCAATCAATTTTCAACTATGGCAAGTGTAAAATCGACATAGCTGCAACATTCTGTATTAGCTTTAAATTTCCTAGCTCTATTTTTATAGGCAAACGTTTTATTCACTTTAAAAAAATGAAAAGTGGTGGGTGAAATATATCTAATATAGTCAGAACAAACATGCTGTATGTGCATGTGTGAGTTTGTGTCTGTGTGTCTATGCATATATATATGTGCAATTATCCAATTATTCCCTGTTGTGATATACTGCTCCTTTTTCCACTAGATCATTAAATGTTATACTACCAGAGAAAGGAAAACAGATATTACAATTATTTTTAAAAAAATATTTAGGGCCAGATACTGTGGCACATGCCTGTAATCCCAGCATTTTGGGAGGCCGAGGCAGGTGGATCACCTGAGGTCAGGAGTTGTCAACCAGCCTGGCCAACATGGTGAAACCTCGTCTCTACTAAAAACACAAAAATTAGCAGGGCTTGGTTGTATCCACCTGTAGTCCCAGCTACTTGGGAAGCTGAGGTAGGAGAATTGCTTGAACCTGGGAGGCAGAGGTTGCAGGGTTTCAGTGAGCCGAGATTGTGCCACTGCACTCTAGCCTGGGTGACAGAGCAAAACTCCGTCTGAAAAAAAAAATATATATATATAAATATATATATATGTGTGTGTATATATATGTGTATATATGTGTATATATATGTGTATATATGTGTATATATATGTGTATATATATGTGTGTATATATGTGTATATATATGTGTATATATATATATATATATACACACACATATATATATTTAGATCTGTAAGTATTTTTTTCCAAATTTTTTCTTTCTGTGATATAAGTTTGGGCAATGAAATGACATAATGTTACAAATTTTAGAATCGAGGTTTAAGTGTGAACATACTTCAAAAGGTCAATATGAAGACATTTGAAATGCAATGAATATCAAACATTTCATTCTTTGAGTGCTTCTGATAATTTGGAAGTGATTGTAAAATAAGAAAAATACTGGAAATTTAGTTGCTGATGTGGGTTATAGTCATAATTTTTCTTTACTATCCTAGGTAACTGATCAAATTACATAAACTATCTGAACCTCATAATAGTCTCTTCTTGTAAAGAGAATACAAGGCTTCTGAAACCACTAAATAAAACAATGAATGAAAAATGTATTATAAATGTATTGTAATTTTTTCTGATTTGTTGAATTCACTCAACTTTTTATATAAACATTATGTTTAATTTACTTTATTTTATTATTTATTTATTTATTTACTTATTTTGAGACTGAGTCTCCCTCTGTTGCCCAGGCTGGAGTGCAGTGGTGCCATCTTGGCTCATTGCAACCTCTGCCTCCCAGGTTCAAGCAATTATCCTGCCTCAGCCTCCCGAGTAGCTGGGATTACAGGTGTGCACCACCACGCCCTGCTAATTTTTGTATTTTTAGTAGAGACGGGGCTTCACTGTGTTGGTCAGGCTGGTCTGGAACTTCTGACCTCATGATCCACCCACCTTGGCCTCCCAAAGTGCTGGGATAACACTGAACCCAGCCTATGTTTAAAATTTTAAAGAACTAGGTGTTTGAGATTAATACAAAATTTAAAATTGTCTTAAGTTATTAGAAGTTTTGTGATCATCTTATATAAGATATTGATGTAAAGCATTTTATTAAGATTTCCTGGAACACATCAGGTACCATGTTTCCCCATTTTAATGAATGGGAAAACTGAGGTCCAGATGGCCCAAGGTGAAATTTCATAGTTGATAATGTTTTTGAACATTTTGATCTACTTTTTGAATGACAGTTTGATCTACTCTTCGTGAACTCTGTAATGCTTCATATAATGCTGCAGTTTTGCGACATCTAAAATAAACACATTTTTACCAAATCTTTATTAACTGTAAATACCTCACAATGATCCTTTGGGCTCTAGAGCTTATTCGAAATTTTTGAATGGAATACTACCACTGATTAAAACAGTTTCACTATTTATATTAGAAAACAAAACATTTTCTTATGCTTTAAAATATTTGTGTTACAGTTATGAAAATGACTTTCAAATAAATTTTTAACAAAAAAGAGTTATGCTAAACAAGCAAGAAAGAAAAGCAGTCAGCATTCATTCTAAAGAAATAACACAAATATCTATTAAGTGTTTTCAGCTAGATCGCAAATGCTTTTTATGAGAAAATTAATCTTATTCAGAGCATACATTAAAAAAAGGAAGCATAAGAACTTCAAATACATAGTTATTGATGTGCTGTATGCTTCATAAAGTTTATTTCTCATATCTTTTCTGCTTTTAATATAAAAGAATTATACATTAAAGTACCGAGAGCGTTTTTAGATCATTTAAAATCCCTTAAAAGCTGAGATATTCTTATAATTAATTTTCCACTGAGATGAGAATTCCAAACCTTGCAATAACTTGCAGATGGCCATTGTGCTAGTTAAGAGAACCTTTGTGCCATCTTCCAAGAATCATTTTACCCTCTAGTAAAAATTCAGGGTACGTTTATGCCTCACAATCAGGGCTGGGAGGCTAGTTCTTGGAAGGAAGTATGAGTGGGTTCCAATTTGATTTGATTTCAATGACATTTGTTGAACTTCAATTGTATTCCCCATCAGCTTGTTCTTTTTTTTTTTTGTATTAAATTTATTTTTTATTTTTTTTATTATTATACTTTAAGTTTTAGGGTACATGTGCACATTGTGCAGGTTAGTTACATATGTATACATGTGCCATGCTGGTGCGCTGCACCCACTAACTCGTCATCTAGCATTAGGTATATCTCCCAATGCTATCACTCCCACCTCCCCCCACCCCACAACAGTCCCCAGAGTGTGATGTTCCCCTTCCTGTGTCCATGTGTTCTCATTGTTCAATTCCCACCTATGAGTGAGAATATGCGGTGTTTGGTTTTTTGTTCTTGCGATAGTTTACTGAGAATGATAATTTCCAATTTCATCCATGTCCCTACAAAGGACATGAACTCATCATTTTTTATGGCTGCATAGTATTCCATGAAAAAACAAACAACCCCATCAAAAAGTGGGCGAAGGACATGAACAGACACTTCTCAAAAGAAGACATTTATGCAGCTTATTCTTTTAAATAAAAATACCCCTTGGAAGAAAGGTATTGGTAAACTCAGTTTTTTTTCTGCCTTTGTATCTTTCCTGAGTCTTAAAATGGTGACACGGGGCAATACAATTTACTCTGTGGTAGTAACAATTGGGAGAAAAAGTTTTATCATGGTACATCATGATGAACATTGTCAATGACATGCATTTTTCATTAGAACAATGAATTATGTATTCATTTTTGTGAAATAAATTACTCCAAATGTTGTAGTCATAAAACAACATGCATTTATTACCTCACAGTTTCTGTGAGTCAAGAATTTCTGACTCATAGCTTAGCTGCAGTCATCACAAGTTCTGATTGGTTCCACTTCCAAGCTTACTCAGCTAATGTTTGGCATGATTCAGCTCCTCTCATATTTCTGAATCAGACCTCAGTTCCTCACAAACTACACATAGGAGGCTTTTTTTAGTTCTTTGACACATGAGCTTTTCTATAGGTCAATTTGCAACATGACACCTTGCTTCATCAGAGTACGCAAGCGAGAGAGGAAGAGAGTACCACCAGACAGAGCAAGGTAGCAAGTGGATGCCACAGTCGTTTGTAACCTAATTCTGGAGGTGACATCATGTCACATTTGCCATATACTCTTTATTAGAAGCAGGTCACTAGGTCCAGTCCACAATAACAAGACTATTAATACCAGGAAGAGAACTATTAGGAGCTATATAAAAATCTGCCTACTACAAATAGTCTAGCATATTTTTCATCTCCATTTATACTTTATGAGAATTTCTTCAAATACCAGTGCGAAGGTAACAAATGTATTGTCTTTGATAATTAAAAAACACACACACATACTGCCAGAAATGACTTCATCACCAAATGTTATTTTTAGTAGTATTGCCAAAAACACTAGTTGTAAAATTACACACATTCTACTAACTGCTATTTTGGGACCATATTATTTGAAACAGATGATTACCAAAGGTGTTGAGATTTTTCTAGCATATTGTTTACTCAATATTTGATAAGTGTTACTGGTGCTTATTTGGAACAGAAACACTGAAGACAGGTATGAGATGCTTAGCCAAGATTTTATGATTACATGTGAAATATTTTGACATAAGCTATGTGTGGGGAGAAAGCTATTGAGATAAAAGTCAGGATTTTTTTCAAGAGGGAAGCTTATATGGTAAACCAAGCTGACTCATTACTTTAAACAAACAGATAATCTGAATATATTTTCAAGTCCTGGTGAGATCCTTGAACTTTATTATCCCCAATAACAATAAAACTCTATTATATCACTTTGAATACTGAAGTGGTAAGTTCAAAATAATATAGATGTGGCATTTGATTTATTATCCATAAAATATTTTTATTCACAAATATTTTATTAGCACTTTCTGATGGAACTAAACGCTATCCTTTGTATCACAATTTTTTGTTATCTTTTCTTTTAATGCATGTTCTTTTTGTTCTTCTAACTATAGCAAAGGACTAGCATTTGGAGATCCTGAGATTCAATTTATATGAATTTAGTCAAATCATCTCACTCTCTGGTCTTTCATTTCCTCGACTTTTAATATAGTTGTCAGACTCAGTGCTGTATTAGATCAACCTCAGATGTATCTGTTCTATGGCATTGGGAGCATCAATACCTTCAGAGAAAGATCTGTATCATTCTTCATTTATTCTCTAATGGTATTTAGTATGTGGTAGGTGCTAAACAAATATTTGGTGACAAATTATTATATTAATAAATATTAACATTATTTTGATATGCATTGGTTCCCATTGTTCTAGAAATGTAATTAATCATGTTCCACATAGAAAGGATTGTTGGCACCTAAAAGTTTGGCTTCTCTATTATTTTGGTTTACCAGGGATTATATTAATTTAACATATTTTTAATCTATTTCTTCAACTTGTGTTTATTAAATTTTTAGGTCTTTTTACCCAGGAAATATACTTCAATTTTTATAAAGCTTTTTATTCTCAGATTTAGTTCAGTTGAAAAGAAACCTTATTTTAGTAGGATTTTATTCTCTGCTTCAGGAGAGAATTTTTATCATTTATTTATTTATTTATTTATTTATTTCCTAAAGTGACTTTTCATTGTTCCTGGTTCATGACCATCTCTTTAGAACTAAGGTTGTGGTAGATGCTGGCAATCACAGAAGTTGCAAATCCACATTTCTCACAACATATTCCTAATCACTGAATGAACTAACAGATGCATGAACATGTTCCTACACAAGCATATGGTAAGCATCACAGTTGACTTAACCTTATGTTAAAAACAAATTTTTTAAAAAATTAAAAACAAATTCACCTGCTGTTACATGTTTTGAAGGCCCTTGGGAAATTTTCAGCTTTGCTCATTAACTATTCAATTAAAAAATTACTGCTAAGACAATGTGGCTAATCATAATTTGTTTTTTTCAAGCATATACAGAGAAGTGTCATTGAAGGCATTAACTAGTGAAAAATTGAAAATATCATCTAGACTTCCCATTTCAGTTCTGATATTTGAAGAGCTTAGAAGTCATCACTGTCTTTCTTACAGTTTTTGAGAAGTCCTGGTCCAAAACAAGGAAACAAGAAATGTCAAAAATAAGGAAGCTTTTTGACATGGTTAGGCTTTGTGTCCCCACCCAAATCTCATCTTGAATTATAATCCCCATAATCCAAGGGAGAAACCAAGTGGAGGTAATTGAGTCACAAGAGTGGTTTCCCCTTTGCTGTTCTTGTGATAGTGAGTGAGTTCTCATGAGATCTGATGGTTTTATAAGGGGCTCTTCCTCCCTCACTGGGTACTTCTCCTTCCTGTTGCCTGGTGAAGAAGGTGCCTTGGTTTCCCATCACATTCTGTCATGATTGTAAGTTTCCTGAGACCTCTGGAGCCATGATGAACTAAGAGTCAATCAAACCTCTTTCCTTTATAAATTACCCAGTCTCAGGCAGTTCTTTATAGTAGTATGAAATCAGACTAATATAGTCTGAGTAATCGTCACAGCCAAGAGGATCCCAAGGAAACATCACTACTAAAAGTAATGTGGTATCCAAGATAGGATTCTAAAATAAAAAAAAGATACAAACTAAATTAATTAGAATAAACTAGGTACCTTAGTTAACAATTATGTGTCAATATGTTTTCATTAACTATAACAAGTGTACCATAATAATGTAACATGTTAACAATGGGGAAGACTAAGTGAAGGGTATCTGGGAACTCTGCATGAACTTATCAATTTTTCTGTAAATAAAAAAAACTATTCTAAAATTAAAGTTTATTTAAAAAAGTTTATTTAAAAATTAAAGTTCATCAATTGGGTATGAAGTTGTCCTTTTCTAACTATTATTTTTCAGATACTTTTTAAAAATTTCATCAATGAAACTATCTTGGGAAGGACTTGTTATACTGAACCAATAGAAAATTAACAACTTTTCTACTTTGGTTTTATAATAAGCACTTCTCGGGGCTATGGGTTTATCCTATTAAACAACAGTCTCCTTTTCACTTTGCCTCAGATGTGGAATCAAAGTTGAAAAGGAAGCCCGATGCTTGTGTATTTCTCCACATCAGCACATTTCTTAGCTTGAATTTACAGATATGTCAAGACTCTAAAACATCAAATGATACAAAAGGCAAATCAGCAATCAAGACAAATCCTTCCTTTCAACAAAAACCAACACAAGTGTCACTATAGAAATGCCCTAAGAATTCAAGGTCAAAATATGGTGTCTTTAATTGTTAAGTGCTGTCAAATACGATCAAGTAAAAAAATGTGTCAAAAATTATGGTAACATGTTTCAGACACAGGCAAGATTAACCTCCCCAGAGGAATGTGAGCTGCCAAGTAACCTCAGCTTTTCCAAAAAGAAAGTGGTTTCCACTATTGGCACATACTTTTGCAATTCTTAGTAATATACATTGAATTATCTACTCTAAATGATTCTATACTCCTTCAAGAAATTATGTTATAAACACTCAATTTTAATTTTGAAACAACAGGAATTTTGCTAGTCCTATCAGAGACAGTCTTACTGGCAATAAAGGGCTGAATTAGATAAGTAAATAGTGAATACTTTGCAAATCACTGGAGTGATAACACCCTGGTAGGTGAATTACAATGCAAAGAATATGGTCCAAGTACTAAAATGAATTAATGTGGGCTTTCGTCTTTTATCTTTCTTTTTTTTTAATTGGTAGAAGTCAGATTTTGTTTTAAAAAGTCAGGATCTGTTAACTAACTAGAAAAGTTAGTTATGTTCTTAAGTGATACCCCTATATCTTGTTATTTTATTCATAAGTCTATTAAATTTTAATTTCCAAAGAAATATTACTTTCTGGGGAGGCTCCGATTATAGTTAGAACAAGTCAAATAAATATTTTAATCATTAGCCACACGAAAAATGTATGAAATTTTACATATATTAAAAATGCTCAGTTATCTTTTCAAGCACCAAAATGCCTGAACAAACAAGCTTAAAATAATGAGAAAAATTATGCAAAATACCTAAATGATTCTTATAAATTTAACTAAATAAAATCATTAAAAACATAAATTAAGTTCTCTAAAACTATTGTTTTCAGTCTGTCAAATTATCAAATTTTATATTCAAAATATTCCAAGAGAACACAACTTTTTGAGTACTTTTGTCTTATTTTAATATAATTTCTAAAATGCAGAAAAATTATCAGCATGCTACAGGAGACTCCTGAACACCCTTTATCCAGATTAACCAGCTATCTACATGTTTTCTCACTATGTGTTTATATTCTCTCTCTCTCTTGCTCTATATAATTATTTTTTCTGAACTATTTGAGACTACATTGGAGATATCATGGTCCTTTGCACCTAAACATTTCAATTTGCATTTCCCAAGAAGGACATTCTCTGACATAACCATATTAGAAAGATTAAAGTCAGAAAATTTAACATTGATACAATAATATTATCTAATTCATTGTCCATATTAAAAACCCATTAATCATTTTAATAATGTCTTCCTTTATATTTTATTACAAATTCCAGCTCAGGATCACATATCACATTTCTTTATTTTATATATTTAACATATTTTATTCTAAAATTATGAAGTCTTTCTTCTGTTTTTTCATCTTGACATTTTCAAGTTCTATCAGTTCTATCAGTTTTGGCTTTATATATTTTAACCTCTATTATTAAGTACATGTATATTATTAGTAACTCCCTCCTGAACTATACATGTTTATTGCTATTAAATGTATCTATCTGTATATATGCTCTCTGCCTTGAAATGTATTTATATGGTTATTATTTTAGCCATCTTGGCTGGTTTTATGATTAATCCTTTAATGTTTACCTTATTTTACTTTTATACTACTATGTCATTATGTTTAGAATTAATCTCTTGTAAGTAGCATCTAATTATGTCTTAATTTTTATTGACAATGCCTTTTTTTACATTGGAGTTTTTACTTCATTTACATTTTAAAGTACTATTTGCTTTGATTTCATTTACATTTAGCATACTATTTGCTATGGTTAGTATTATGTCTACCATTTTGCCATGTCATCATCTGTTTTGTTTTACTCTACTCTTCCTTTATTTCCTTGATCTGTTTTTGTCAATCAAATATGCTTAGTATTTTATTTTTATTTATTAATTAGCTATATTTTATGCATTAGTATTTAGTCATTACTTTAAGATTATAATATGTATGTTTTTCCAATCCTATTCTTATTAGAGTTAATATTGTACTAATATTAACTGTGATTAATTATAATTGAGTAAAAATATATACATGATAACATATTTATTATTTCCTATAAATTCATAAATTCAAATTACATAACCTTGTGTCATTTCCATTTATCTTGAAAAAAGAAAGTTCTTATCATTTCTCACAGTGTAGGGCATAGATCTGCTAGTGATTGATTCTATCGGTGTATATTTATCCAAAATTGTAATATTGGTCTTCACATCTGAAGAGTATTTTTCTGAATATACAATTCTGGGATGACAGTTTTATTGTTTTTTTCTTTTAGTCCATTGAAGGTGTTGTTCTTTGTCTTTTGGTTCTCACTGATTCCAATAATCAGCCAGATAATTTATATCATTGTTCCCTCATCTCTTTTTTCTGAATACTTTAAAATCTTTTTATATTTGGCTTTTAGCAGAGTGATTAGTAATTACTTAGGTTTGATTTACTTTACAAATATCTTGCTTGGGATTCATTTGGAGATATACGCGTTTCTCAAAATATGTGGCAACTTCTGTCCAACTTTTTAGTAAATACTTAAACACCACCTTTATTGTAGCATTTGATATCTTTTCAGAGCACATTGATGCTCAATTTTTTATTTCAATTTTTATTATATTCATTCCTCATATTAGTTCTAGAATTTCCATTGTTTTAAATATAGTATTTATTTCATTGTTGAGATTCTGTATCACTTCTTTTACAATGACCATAGTTTTCTTTTAACATGAACAAATTTACAAATGCTACTTAAAAGCGATTGTCTGCTAATTCTGTCATCTTGGTCATCATGGAGTCCATTTCCCTTGACTTTTTTTTTTTAATAATGGTTGATGTTTTTTGTCTGGTAGTATTTTATTGCATACTATACATTCCAGGTGATTTATTTTAAAGTTTCTGGGTTTCACTGTTTTTTTTCTGAAGACTCTTAATTTTTTATTGTTCTAACAGGAAGTAATTTAAGTGTACTCAAACTCTGAATTCAATTACCGCTGCAGAGGTTAACACATGTGACAGCCCCATTCATTCAGGCTTTCAGCTATTCCTTCTGGCTAGGAATATTGGAGTCTCCTCAAAGCCTCAAAGCATGCACACTTTAGGGATGGAGTTTTTATGCAGTTTTAAGGGTTCACCTTTCTTTAAGCTTCTACTTTTCGGATTTTCCCATTCACTTTAGATACTCTATTAGTCTCATATTCCATTCGTTGACTGTAATCTAATAAGATTGTATATGTCGCTCTGCTTCAGTTGTAGCCACCCTACACAAGACGGACTAGGAAGTGCCTACTCCATTAAGAAGCCATTTAAGTTCAAGTCTTACAGAGCTCAATTATTTTTCAAGAATCAAATCTTGTATAGTTCTTTTACTGCTTTTTTTCTTCAATAAATTCTTTTTTTTACTTTTCTTATCTAAAATGTATAACCGCCACAGGCAAAATAATTTCTTATAAAGCTACTTCATCATTACCAGTAATGTGAACTCAGTGACATTTTGAATTAGGTTCATAGGAAAGGAGGAGCAGTGTAATGGCCAAATAGAAGGCTTCATTGATTGCCCCGTACTTCAAAGACACCAATTTAACAACTCTCTACAAACACGCACAAAAAACAGCTCAACAAATCAAAAATCATATGAGCACTCACAGTACATGGTTTTAACTACATATCACTGAAAGAACCGTTGAAGATGGTAAAAAAGATTCTTGAATCACCAAGGCCACCCCTCTCCAATCCCCCAGCAATGGCCACATGGCACAGAGAGAGAATTTGAACTCTTGGGAGAGAGTGAGTGCAGCAATTGTGAGGCACTGCATTAATCTCAGTGCTTCCCCACCATAGTAGAAAGCAAAACTGGGCTGAACTCAGCTCCTGTGGAAGGAGTATTTAAACCAGCCCTACCTAGAGGGGAATCATTCATCCCAGGATTTGAGACATGATTTCTGGTAAGTTCCACCAGCACAGGCTAAAGGGCTCTGGGGCTCACAATTAACTTGAAAGGCAATCTAGGATACAAGAACTGCAACTGCTAGCTGAGTCCAAAGGATGAATTAAGCTCAGAGCCAGTGAACTTGGGGGCATGCAACCTACTGACACCAGCCAGGGTGGCTAAGGGAGTGTTTGTGCCACCCCTCCCCAAATCCTAGGCTGCACAGTTCCTGGCTTCAAAAACGACAACTTCCTTCCACTTAAGGAGAAGAGAAGGAAGAGTGAGAAGACTTTGTCTTGTATCTTCAATACCAGCTCAGCCATAGTAGAATAGGGCATCAGTCAGAAGGCCCGTTTCCAGGCCCTAGCTCTCAGATGACTTTTCTAGACACACCCTGAGCAAGAAGGAAACCTACTGGCTTGAAGAGAAGGACCCAGTCCTGGCAAGATCCATCACCTGCTAACTGAAGAGCTCTTGGGCCCTAAATAACCAGCAGTGATACCCAGATAGTATGCCATGGCCTTGGTTGATGATATTGTTTGGCCCTGTGTCACCACCCAAATTTCATCTCAAATTGCAATCCCCATGTGTTGATGAACGGACCTGGTGTGAGGTGATTGGATCATGGGGGCGGTTCCCCTCATGCTGTTATCATGTTGGTGAGTGAGTTCTCACAACTACTGATGGTTTTAAAATGTGGCACTTCCTCATGCATGCTCTCTTTTGCTGTCTTGTGAAAAAGTTGTTTGCTTCCCTTTTGCCACGATTATAAGTTTTCTGAGTCTTCCCCATTCATGCAGAACTGAACTGTGAGTCAATTAAACCTCTTTTGTTTATAAATTACTCAGTCTCAGGTAGTATCTTTATAGCAGTGTGAAAATGGATTAATATAGGAGAGACTCTGACACTTGCTGGCTTCAGGTGAGACTTAGCACGTTCCCAGGTGTGGTGGTGACAGATAGAGACTCCTTTAACTTGAGAAAAATGGAGAGAAAAAGAAAGGGGACTTTGTCTTATACCTTAGGTATCAGCTCAGCCACAGGGGGTAGAGCCCAAAATGGGCTTTTGGGGCCCCCATTTCCAGGCATTGGCTCTTGGATGGCATTTCTGAACCTGCCCTGGACCAGAAGGGAGTCCACTGCCCTGATGGGTGAGTCCCAGGTTAGGCAGCATTCACCACGATCTGACTGAAGAGCCCTTGGGCCTTTAAGTGAACCCTGGTGGGAGCCTGGAAGTACTCCCCATGGGCATGTAGCTGTGGTGGCCATGGGGAGAAGCTCCTCTGACTGTGGAAAGGGGAGGGAAGAGTACAAAGAACTGCATCTCATGGTTTGAGTGCCAGCTCAGCCATCCTACAATAGAACACCAGTAGGCTTCTCAGGTTTTTTACTCCAATTTTTGGCTCCTGGATGGCACGTCTGGACCTAATTGGGGCTTGCGGACACTTGCTGTGCTGAAGGAAAGAACAACGGCCTGACTGGCTTGTCTACCTGCTGATTGTAGAGCCCCAGAGGCTTGAGTGCAGATAGGCATTATCCAGGTAGTGGTTACAGCAGGCCTTGAGTGAGATCTAGTGCTGTGCTGGCTTCAGATCTGACCCAGTGTAGTTCAAGTGATGGTGGCCACAGGGGTGCTGCATCATTCCACCTCTGGCTTCACGCAGCTCAGAACAGAGAGAAAAACTCCATTTGTTTCAGAGAAAGTTAGGAAAGAGAACAAGAGTCTCTGCCTGGTAATTAAGAGAATTGTTCTGGATCCTATCCAAGGATATCAAGGCCGTACCTCTACCAGTCTACAAGAACCAAAATGTTACTGGGCTTGGGGTGTCCTCTAATGCATATATGGCTTAGATCACAACACCTAAGTCCTTTTAAATACCTAGAAAACCTTCCTGAGAAAGACGGGTACAAAGAAGCACAGACTACAAAAACTCTTCAATGCCCAGACACAGAGAAATATCCTTAAGCATCGAGACAATCCAGGAAAACATAACCTCATAAAATAATAAGGCACCGGAAACCAATCCTGGAGAAACAAAGATATGTCACCTTTCAGACAGAGAATTCAAAATAGCTGTTTTAAGGAAACTCAAAGAAATTCAAAATATTACAGAGAAGGAATTCAGGATTCTGTCAGACAAATTTAACAAAGTGATTGAAATAATTTCAAAGAAACAAGCATAAATTCAAGAGTTGAAAAATGCAATTGGCATATTGAAGAATGCATTGTCTTTTAATAGCAGAAATGATTAAGCAGAAGAAAGAATTAGTGAGCTTGAAGATAGGTTACTTAACAATACACAGTCAGAGGAGACAAAAAAAAAAGAATGAAAAAGAATGAAGCATGCCTAGATCTAGAAAATAAAAAGGTCAAATATAAGACTTACTGGTTTTAAAGAGGAAGTAGAAAACAGATATGGATAGAAAGTTTATTCAAAGGGATAATAACACAGAGTTTCCCAAACCTAGAGAAAGATATCAACATCCAAGTAAAAGAAGATTATAGAACACCAATCAGATTTAACCCAAAGAAGACTACTTCAAGGCATTTAATAATCCAACTCCCAAAGGCCAAGAGTAAAGACAAGATCCTAAAAGTGATAAGAAAAAAGAAACACTTAACATATTGACAATGGAGATTCAATATGTCTGGCAGCAGACTTTTCAGTGGAAACCTTATAAGCCGGGGAGAGTGGCATGATATATCTAAAGTGTTGAAGAAAAAAAAAGTGGCACCATAGAATAATATATCTGGTGAAAATATTCTTCAAGCATGAAGGAGAAATAGACTTCCTCAGACAAACAAAACTTGAGGGATTTAATCAAAACAGTTTCTGCCCTACAAGAAATGCTAAAGGGAGTTCTTGACTCAGAAAGTTCACTCAGAAATAAAAGGGTGTTAATGAGCAATAAGAAATCACCTGAAGGTAGAAAATTTACTGGTAATATTAAGTACACAGAAAAACACAGAGTAGTATAACATTGTGACTGTGTTGTATAAACTACGTCTTACCTTAAGTAAAAAAACTAAATGATGAACCAATAAAAAATAATAACTACAATAACTTTTCAAGACAAAGTACAAGAAGATATAAATAGAAATAGCAAAAGGTTAAAAAGTGGAGGGACAAAGTTAAGTTGTAGAATTTTTATTGGTTTTCTATTTGCTTGCTTGTTTGTTTATGCATCCAGTGTTAAGCTGTTATCAGCTTAAAATAGTGGGTTATGAGATAGAATTCACAAGCCTCATGGTAACCTCAAATCAAAATAATACAACAGATATACAAAAAATAAAAAGCCAGACATTAGAACATACTACCAGAGATAATCAACTGCAGTAAAAGGAAGATTGGAAGAAAGAAAAAGGAGGAAAAGACCACAACACAATCAGAAAACAAATAGCAAAATGACCAGTTTAAGGCTTTGCTTATCAATAATAACATTGACATGGTTTGGCTGTGTCCCCCAGAATCTCAACTTGAATTGTAGCTCCCATAATTCCCACATGTTGTGGGAAGGACCCACTGGGAGATAATGGAATCATGGGGGCAGTTTCTCCCATCTGTTCTCATGGCAGTGGATAAGTCTCATGAGAGCTGATGGTTTCATAAGGGGAAACCCCTTTCACTTGGTTCTCATTCTCTCTTGTCTGCCACATGTAAGATGTGCCTCTCACCTTCTGCCATAATTATGAGGCCTCCCTAGCCATGTGTAGCTGAGAGTCCATTAAATTCTTGTTCTTTATAAATTACGCAGTCTTGGGTATGTCTTATGAGCAGCATGAAAATGGACTAATACAAACATTGAATGTAAATGGACTAAACTTCCCAATCAAAAGACAGGGTGGCTGAATGGATTAAGGAAAAAAAAAACAAGACCAAAAGATCTGTTACCTACAAGAAACACATTTCATAGACTGAAAATAAAGGGATGGAAAAAGATATTCCATGCCAATGGAAACTAAAATAAAGCAGATGTAGCTATATTATATAAAGAAAAATAAATTTCAAGACAAAAAACTGTAAGAAGAGACAAAGAAGGTCACTATACAATGATAAAGTGGTCAATTCAGCAAGAGGGCTTAACAATTTTAAATATATGTCTATATATATGCACCCAGCCCCGAAGCACCCAGATATACAAAGCAAATGTTATTAGAGCGAAAGACAGAGATAGACTCCAACACAATAGTAGCTGGAGTCCTCAATACTCCACTTTCAGCACTGGACAGCTCTTCGAGGCAGAAAATCAACAAAGAAACATTGGACTAAATCTGCACTACAGATCAAATGGAGCTAATAGATATTTACAGAACACTTCATCCATCAGCTGCAGAAGACACATTATTTTCCCAGCATATGTATAATTCTTAATTATAGACCATATCTTAGGCCACAAACAAGTTTTAAAACTTTCAAAAAATTGAAATAATATTAAATTAGGTTCACATGCTAATCTAGTCAATCATCCAATATGGCACAGTTTTTAAACATTAAAACCAGTTTCATTAACAGACATATGCACACTGTTCTAAATTTAAGAGTAATAAAGTATGGATTTGATTTCCTCCTTAATTTTTGCATTTATATTTAAATTTGTAAGTAATTAGAAGATAACTAATCTCTAAGAAAACTTACCATCTCAGGCAAGATGAGAATCTTATTCCAGACTAATTGAGCTTCCTATGTCATGTTAATTATTCATGACAAGACAAAAGTGAAAACCATGCTATGGGTTTATATACATCAAACCTGGAAACAAGGGCTCAAGAAATTAGGTTACATATTTCTACAATGATTCTTGATAAGCTACAAAAGTATTCACGTTGAAGTTTTTTTAAGGCATTGTAGAGATGCTGGAGGTCCATTTCTTCTTGTAGATAAACTTTCACCATTGTAATTTCTGTCTCCTGGTTTAAGAGATATCCTTAAACCTTACTTAGAATGCCATCTGCATTCATATTCCTACACTTACCAACTCTTCAACTAATAATTTCGAAGTCTGTTGGAGTTCCTCATCATTTAAATTTTTTTCTCTAGCCATAAATGTTAACATTAAATTTAAATGTGCTATTTTTTTATAAAAGTAGTTTAAATGCATTTAATTAGATCCCAAATACCTCTATGCCTGCTTCTTTTCTACAAGTCTAAAGTTATGTTAATAATATTATGGATAGTTTATGTGGGATAAAATATAGATACACATTATTTATGATAATAATTGCTTTCATTGAACAAGCACTTGTAAGACATAAGTATATTTATCAGTAATTTGGTAATATTCTTCACAACAAAGGAGGTACTGCTATTACCCCTATTTTATGTATAGTGCAAAGAGAAAATAAAAACAGTTCACAGACGTTGTGAAATAACAAAGATCAACAGTACATCACGTCCCAGGTAGGGGGCAGGTGCAGAACCAGAGGATGTAACAGATTTGATGACCAGAAGAAAGATCCCCTGCTGAAGGAACTAGGTCATAATCAGAGTGTCAGGTCAAGTGTTTAGGCATATGGCAACAGGATAGAGAATGTTATTTCAAACATAGTGCAAATTTGGGGACTGTAGCTCAATAATGGCTCATGTCTAGTTGCTAGAATTAAGGGATTAGATAAAATAGAAATGCAACAATTTTGAACAATTTGAATCCATAAATAGTGGACAGAATTTAACAGTTGGAAGTGCAGTTGCTGTAAGTGAGAAAATCGAAGGTGTGCGAAAACAGTTAGCCACATAATTTATTTTTTGAAATGAATCATTTTTCATGAAAAAGATACATATACAAAATCAATTTGCAATAGTTAAATATAAATACTGATATTTTTACTAAAAGCAAGGAGTTAAATGATCCCAACTAGTTAAAAATTAAACCAGGTTTTATCATTGTAACTTATAATCCTTTCATCAATGAAGAAAAATTAGACCATGCAATGTATATGCCTAAGCATAAGACAAAACACCAGTAATCACATATATGATTAAAAAGAATAATTGTTAAAACATCTTGTTAAGTAAAGTGAAAGAAAATTTAAATAAATCTGCAATGCAGTATGAGTCTTGTTTGTGGAGTATTAAACAATCTATTTAAAAAATTGGAGTCCTTAAGCACTGGATGAAATGAAAATAATTGAGTAAACTTGTTTCTAAACTGCTGCTGAAATTAATTCAAATGTTGTGGGGAGGATGCGGTAAGTAGAATGAATATCTATATCCTCATAAAATGACATGCATTTATAGAAAATGATTACTATGTAAGTAATGGCATTTTAAAATCACAGTTCTGAATCATGCTACAGATTATGTTATGTTTTTTAAATATAGAAGCATAAGATAGGTAAGATATAAATACTTTTTCAGAAAACTGAATACATTAGATATATGTTAATATATGCACATATATTGGACATATTGAATATAATAGAATACTTATTTTAACATATGTATATCATGCTCTGTGTTAGGGTAAATTATGCGATATACTTTATTGCATCAACTTTTCTAAAATGTGATTTTTAAGTTTGAAATAATCATTTAGATAACTGTCATTTATGCATTGACTTTCATGTAACACCAGCCAGTAATGCTGCTTTTGCAATCATTTTTCCACACTCTAGTTTACAATACTTTAAAAGTGCTATGCACATATTAGGTCAGCAAATATATGTTGCAGGAATGAATTAATAGATGAATAAATGGGTTTATGAGGTACTAGGGATGCTTTCTCTATCTACAATATGTTTCCTTCTAATCACTGATAATTAAATCTCTATTCATTCTATTGTCGTTGTTGAGACAGAGTCTTACTTTGTTGCCCAGGCTGGAGTGCAGTGGTGCGATCTGGGCTCACTGCAACCTCTACTCTTGGGATTCCCACTGCCTCACCCTGCCTTCAGAAAAACACAGTTTTCTCTGTCTTCTACAACACTATATAGCTTGATTTTTTTTCTTGTCTCACTATCTCTTCTCAGTCTTCCTTACTTGCATTCATTCCTTCAGCAGTCACCAATAGTCTGGATACATCTTCTCTTTGTATGTAGATATCACTAGAAGGTACCTTCAGATTACCATGTCTAAAAGAGTACTATTGGTTTTTACCAAAAAAATTCTCTCAAGATGCAGTCTATTCATGTCATCTCCAACTTATTAAATATAATCACTATCCAGTCGTTTGTATGGTTAAAAAACGGCATCATCTATGATTCCTCTATACCTTCTGTATCTTCTCTAACTTCAAAACAAATATCCAATCTGTCTGTTCCTCAATGTTAATATTTGTGCCAGCCTAACATCCAAATGCAACTCCCTCTAACATCACTCTCCTCTTGTATGTAATCCAGTAACCATTTTTTTTCTTTTTTCAAAATATTCTAAGCATATTTTTTGTTTATTCTCTGGTCATTTACACTTAATGATTCTTTCTTCCAGAAATACTGTCTGTAAAATACTATAGTTTCATTTTTTATATTCATATTTTCAATTGAATGTCTTCCCAGGGAAAATGCATTCAGATTACCTTAGCTTGTACATTTCTCAAGCCATGTTACATATTTTATACTGCTTAATACTTCTGAAAGCCACAACATTAGTTATTTTAATTTTTTAACATATATAGTATTTATTTGATTTAGCAGCAGTGAGAAGGCAGGGATTCAACCTGTCTTCTTCACCTTTTAATTCACTGTGCCAGGACCAGTGCCTGACACATAACAGGTGCTTGATAAATATTTGTTGACTAAGAAAAAAAGAGTAGGCAATAAATTTTAGAGGTGAGAAATTTTTGAAAATGTTTGAGTTTGAGAAACTTCCTTTTTGAAAACAATTATTTCTACACCAAGCATTTATTATGAAAACATTTAGCAGTAATATTTTACTATCTTAGAGAATAATGAGTAAACATGTGTTTAAATAACGTTGGACTTTTTAAGTATCCAAGACAAGTTCTTGGAAAAATGGTTGCTGTATAAATACTATTTTCCTCCTCGAATGCTGTCTGCTTCACCATATATAGCCCTGTAAGCTGAATTGCTTCTCTTTCTCCCTCTTACTAGGCTTCATATTGTTAATCGGTTAGTTTTTTTCTGTCTCAACATTTTCTCTGTTCTTTCAATTCTTCCTTCTGTGTACAAATATTTCAGAAATCAGTCTCATATTATAAATAGAATAACAATCTGCCTTCTTGAATACACCCTCCATCCTTTTTCTTGCTCTTCTTCACTAAGCTTCCTGAAGAAAATATTTATAAAATATTTCCATTTTCATAGTTGACAGTCCTCATTTACTCAAAATCTCTTTAATATTACATGTCTGCCGAAGTTCCAATTATTTCTTTGTGAAATTCAGTGTTTTCTTTGTGGCCACCTTATGTCTAATGCTGCAATATTCAACACCGTTAATTTAATTTCTCTCTTGTCACATATAGCCTCTTCACCTACTGGGTTTTTTAAATTCTTTTCTCTCTTTGGCATCGTGCTATACTAGTTTTACTATTACCACTTTTTCTGACCAAATTAGCATCCTTTATGGCTCTTTCTTGCTGTCTCTGCATATTGTGGGGACCTCCTAATATATTTATTCTCTTGCCTCTTCTTTTCTAAGTTAATATGACATCAACTTTCATGGCTAAAGCTAATGTCCACAGGCTTGAACTCCAAACTGTAAATTTGTGTTTCCTACCTCACTAGGACACTGTGTAAACAAACTTCCAAACACCTGGCAGATGCATCTTCTTGAATGGATAAAGATAAGAATAGGTATTCAAAATGTCATCTTCAATTTTTCTGTAATACCCCTTTAAAAATATCTATTTTTCTCTAAGAGATTTTCAAAAGAACTTAATATTTACTTTCTCAGAAAAAAAAGCTATATTGAATAAAATTTCATCATAATCTCTAATTGCAAATTATATATGACTTAAGCTTTAATCATACCCATGACTGAGAAGCCTGTAAGAAGTTTGCAGACACTAAACACTTTATTTAAACCCCAATTAGTTTCCAACATCATTTCTTTCCAAAAGCCACCAGGGAGTGAGTTTTCTGAAGTAGAACAAGCCTAATTATTTCAGCTACATTCTTAATACTCACTAAATTTTACCACAATGAGGTCCTTAAATTCTAAATGACTTAACTATTTTAGAATCTTCTGGCCTAAAGGTAATATCAATAGAAGCCTTTAATGATCTAGACCAGAAACAATGGGACATGATTTGATGTTATACAAAATTGATATTCACATTGATATAATGATAGAGTTTTCTTAACGATTTCCATGGAAATATATTTCAGGCCTAAATTATTAATGAAATCAAGATCTCAAAGCATTCTCTTGGATTCTGAATCATGATCAGCAATCCTTCTGATTTTATATTACTTTCACATGTAATATGTGAAAAATCTTTTCTACACCATAGTATGTTACTCTTCATTAGGATAATACACAAAACTTATGTTAATGGTTCAATTTACAATGGATGAATCTGGATAAGAGAATAATAATCCTTTATGACTCTTGCCACACACTTTCAACTTTTCCACAGTTTCTTAATATACCTTGTTTTCCTGCGCAGATGACTCACATTTGCTTTTGATTATAGTACAAATTTTGATTATAGTATAAATTTGACATATTAAAAATCAGCCATACACCAGGGAAGAGAGGTATTTTGAAAGTAGAGTCCAGGCCTGGTGTGGTGTCTCATGCCTGTAATCCCACCATTTTGGGAGACCAAGGCAGGAGGATCACCTGAGGTCAGGAGTTCAAGACCAGCCTGGCCAACATGGTGAAACCCGGTATCTACTGAAAAAATACAAAAATTAGCCAGGCGTGGTGGCGGACACCTGGAATCCCAGCTACTCAGGAAGATGAAGGCAGAAGCAGGAGAATCACTTGAGCCCAGGAGGTAGAGGTTGCAGTGACCAGAGATTGTGCCACTGCATTCCAGCCTGGGCAACAGAGCGAGACTCTGTCTCAGAAAAAAAAAAAAAAAAAAGAAAAGAAAAGAAAAGAAAAGAAAGAAAGTAGATTTATTTACATTGCTGGCATGGTAATGAGGCTTTTTTAATGGTAACATTCTGGGATATTTTGTTTTATAAGTTTGATAAGCTCTGGTCTCCTTGCCCTTCTGAAAACATTTTTTACACTAATAATATTGGGACAAAAAGGCAGTCATTTATTCGTTCAAAAGAAAATGAAATAAGCTGCATTATACAATGGGCATTAAAGATACGCTTCAAAAATTTCAAGAGCCAGAATCAGACTTTCACCAATTGACTGACAACTACCTCAAGGCTGAGACACAGTGTCTTTTGAAAATGTATGTGATTATTTATTTATTTATCACTTTTTATTATTAACTGGGGATGCTCATTGATTTTGCCTCTAGGTAAATATACAGAAAGAAACTCAGCTTTAATTACTTCTCTAGCTGATTGATCCTTTCATGTCATTCAGACAAAAGACTGAATAAACAGGCTGACTTCATACTTTGATTCATAGGTCAAAGCTCAGTGTCTCTCAGAAGCAATTTCAGATCTGTGAAGTCCACGATAGAAACAACTCTGCCTCACTGCAGTACACAAAGTTTTCTGTTTGGTTTGGTTTGGTTTTTAACAGTAAAAATACTTTTAATACCATCTGAAGAATTCTACTTTGAGGTAATAAGTGCAGATGATAAGTACAGGAGATTAGGAGAGATAGGTACTACTAAAGAATGTAATAATAATAACAATAGAACTATGACTATTTATCAAAGGTTTACTATGTGCTAAATATGTTTTAAGCTTATTTCAAGCTTAAGTAGTTTAATCTTTTACAGAGACCTTATGAAGTGCTATTATTCCCTTCTTACAAATGAGGAACAGAGGCACAGAACAGCTGTTCAACTTGCTCCAAATCACTTCACTAACAGTGGGAAGTCTGGGTTTGCTACCCAGTTAGGCTATGTCCAGATTTTGCAATTATTGCAATTATCAGTGGCAACTTCCAGTTTGGATTTTATAAGGGTAACACAATGTTTTTCAACTTACACCTTTGCAGTTAAGAATTATTCAACGTCACTCTATTGTTTCAGGTATAAACTTTATGCTGGAGTACTATTAATTCTTTCTAATATTACATTCCATGTATGCTCATTCAACTCTGTTTTATTGATTTTTTTTTAATTTCTAAACCCATGACCTCTGTGATGGTTAATTTTAAGTTGTCAACCTGATTTGGCCGGGGAGTGCCCAGGAATTTGGTCAAACATTACTCTAGGTGTTTTTGCTAGGGTGTTTTGGATGGGATTAACATTTTAGGCAAAGCAAATTGTCCTTCATAACGTGGGTAGGCTTCATTAAATCAATTGAAGAAATGGAGCAAAAAGACTGACATTACCTGCAGCAATTATACGTGTGAGTGTGTGTGTGTGTATGTATTTATATATATATATTTATATATTATACATTTATATATATTATATAATTATATACGTATTATATATTTATATATCATATATAATTATATATATTATATATTTATATATATCATTATATTTATTATATATTTATATATTATATAATTATATACATTTTATATTTATATATTATATAATTATACTTATTATATATATTTATTTATATTATATATATTTATATATAATACATATTTATATATATTATATATTAATATTATATATTTATATTATATATATTTATATATAATATATATTTATATTATATATATTTATATTATATATTTATATATAATATATATATATTATATATATATAATATATATAATATATATATTATATATATAATATATATATAATATATATATAATATATATTTATATTATATATATTACATACTATATATATTTATATTATATATTTATATATATATATTTATATATCATATATTTATATTATATATATATTTATATATCCTATATTTATATTATATATATATTTATATATCCTATATATTTATATTATATATATTTATATATCCTATATATTTATATTATATATATATTTATATATCCTATATATTTAAATTATATATATATTTATATATCCTATATATTTATATTATATATATATTTTTATATCCTATCTATTTATATTATATATATATTTATATCCTATACATTTATATTATATATATATTTATATATCATATATTTATATTATATATATACTTATATATCATATATATTTATATTATATATATTTATATATACTATATATTTATATATAATATATATTTATAGTATATATATTTATATATAATATATATTTATAGTATATATATTTATATATAATATATATTTATGGTGTATATATATTATATATAAATATATATTTATATCATATATATTTATATATAATATATATTTATATCATATATATTTATATATAATATATATTTATATCATATATATTTATGTATAATATATATTTATAAATAATATATATTATAAATAATATATATTTATATATAATATATATTCATAAATAATATATATTTATATATAATATATATTTTATATTATATATAGTTATATATTATATATTTATATGTAATATATATTTATATTATATATATTTATATATAATATATATTTATTTTATATATATTCATATATAATGTACATTTATATGTTATATATATTTATATATAATATATATTCATATTATATCTATAATATATATTTATCTATTATAGATATAATATATATTTATCTATTATAGATATAATATATATTTATATATTATACATAAAATATTTTTATACATTATATATAATATATTTTTATACATTAAAAATTATATATAAATATATAATGTATAATATATAATATATAATGATATAAATATATATTATATT